>NC_000005.10:73859807-75109807 GCF_000001405.40 Homo sapiens | reverse complement strand
CTCTCACTCTCAGATGGAAGCCCTCATAGGCAGGGTCACAGGGCAGGCTTCACAACAAGTCCTCAGGACCTTTGCACCTCAGGCCCATTGTTAGAAGGGAAGACAATTACTTCTCAGCTCAGCAGCAACTTTCTTTTGGCCCTGCTGTGGTAGCTCCTCATTTTTCAAGGTCTCTAGGTGTTCAAGAAGGAAGCCAGATACCAATTCATTGTCATGTCAACTTAGAGTTCAGCTAGGTTCTCTAAATAATCTTTTGAGGAACTTACCCTATTAGGCTTGAGGTAAAGAAGAGAAGACCCTTTACCCCTTACTCTTGCTGCTGAATATGCAGATTCCCACTCAGGTAAACAACTGCTCTCTAAAGAAATCTTTTTTCAGACTCACCCTCCTCCACATCTGACACTTGTGATAGCTTTGATCTGGCTGAGGGATCTGAGTAATGAGTCCCATTTTGTACATTTCTTTGAAAATTTTTCTTAAAGAGACCTTGCACTCACTTTTCTATCAGTTGTCAACTGAACTGCTTCAACTGAACTGAGGCAGAAAATTGCCATTGTTAACATTTTGTATATTTTTCCCTAAGTATTTTAATGCATAATTCATCTGAAATTTTTTTCTGTATTTAAGATAAGGATAGAATAGGTTTACTCCGTATTACTACCCTATTACTCATCCCTATTTGTTGAATAATTTCTCTCATCCTCATTGTTTTGTAATGTCTAATGAAGTATTAAAATCTTACACATATTAGGACAATTCTAGATTCTCTTTAATATACCATTGATTAATATCATCTTTGATAAAGAAGTGTGTGATACCAAATTATATATAAAATTTATTTCTGTTGTTTCTTAGAGAAACATACAGAATATTTTAAGTTACTATAGTATGTTATTTTTACCTATGGTTTAAAATTCAGTTGGAAAAGCTGGGATGACAGGGCACATAGATAATTTAAAATGTCTTTTAATAAACAGTGTCAAATCTGCTGAACAAAATTATGTCTAAATTCTTATTGATTGTACACATTTTCCCCCTTTGTTAGCATATGCATCATGTCGTGAAACTAATCCTCAGCCACAGTATTAGGGCAATAGAAACTGCTCTGAGGACACTGACTCAATACTTACCAAATCATGTGTCTGATTTGCTGAGGGAATTTCTAAAACAAATTCTACCTCTGAACTTCATGTCATTTTCTACCACAGATTTTCTCAAGTTACTTTAACCAGAAAAATGTGCATTGGTCCAAAAAATTAGGAAAAATTTTAAGAAAGAAAGCCGAAAGTGAAAGAAACAACAAGTAGCTTAAAAGAATTAAAATATATGCATTTAACCCTTTCAGTTTCCTACTTGGGAATCTGGATTTGTACATAACCCACATTTATGGGTAATCATGTGGATCTGTGTTGGGAGAAAGGTCATTATGCCTTTACTTGGAAAGCAAAGGAAGAAAGTCGGGAAAATTTAAGTAATTATTGTAATGGTGGTTTGTAAGATCTATAGGTGACCTTAGGTATCATATAGTACAATGTAAATGTTATAAATGCAAAGAACAAGAACTGATAGCATGATTCTATTTTTAGAATTAAAAAATTCTATTTTTTAAGTGCATATAATGTATAATTATATATAGTGTAAGTATTTAAAATAATAAATATATAACACAAATTTTACAAACATACATACCCCTAAAGTATTAACAGTAACCACCCTTGTTGAATAAATTAGAGAAGAAGCAGTGGGGTGAGTAGGGATACTCTTACTTTTCATCTATGTAAATATTTATATGGCTTGAAAAAATTTTACAATGTTAATGTATTCCTTTTGTATTTTAAAAAAATGAAATAATTTTAACAAACAAAATATCTTCCTTTACTACCTTCATTTCACAGGTAAGAAAGCTAACCATATAAGTTACATGTCCAGGCTCACAGAACTTAGTGGGGCAGCAGGATTAGAACTCAGGCTGGCCTACTGTTTTACAGCATTCTTATCTATACACTTCAGGGCATTTCCATAGATTGACATTGTTAAATAAGCCTTAATTGAGATATCTGGGCTATTAATATTGGGGAAGATCATAGGGAATAACGCTTTTTAAAATTAACAATAGGGCTAATTCTCGTATGACCAAATTTGACATTCACTCTCCCTCAGTTAGCTAACTTTTTATTGTCATGTTTCTAGAACAATACATTGAAAAGATGTTAAAGATAAAAAAGATTATGGATAATGTGCTTGCCAAGCAGAAAGCAGAAAGGGATGATCTGGCTAAAAAATACAGGTGAGTAGAAAAAGAAAAAAAAAGAGTGCTTTTGAGTTTCTAGAATTTATCCATTTTTAGCTGCAATAGTTGTCTAGAATTTCTTAAGAATACAAACACTGCTTGGGGCCAAATAATGACTTTATGAGGTTGTCTAATCCGTTACTACCATGGAAAATTATACTTCCCAGAAAGGTATTTTTCTACACTATTACTTGGGATAGTCAAAAAAGAACATTTCGGTATCTTAAAAAGTTGTCTACAGTGGAGAATTTTATGAAAGCCTTTCTGGTTGTGAATCCCACAGGCAAATTTATTTCTTTAGCACACTCAAATTTTCTACACTAAAAAAGTTTCTTTTTTGCTGTCACAAACGTCCTTCTAAGCAGTTGATCAATCAGTTGATTAATTTTGTGTTTTATTGTATTTCTAAAATCTCAAGGTCCTTAAAGAGTTTTATCCTGATTATATTGGTTATATACCTCTTCTCATATTTTTTTGTGAAAAAAATGTTACATGTTTTTTTCTTGTTTGGGCATTATTTTTTATTAGTTTTTAATAGGCTTAGCTACTTACACTCCCTATTCTTTATTCACATTCAGTTTTCTAAACATGTCCTTATATATTCTTCTCCTATAATCATTTAATGTCTATTACATATTCAATTTTTTTCTGAACTTATTTTAAAAAATCAATTTTCTATTTTTATTTTTAATCCCCATTTTGCCTTCTTCTCCAGTGAATAGCTAACACAAGTTCCCTTCTGTTTCCTTCTTGTTTTCCTGTCAATATAAAGCAGTGAGCTTATATAACCTACATATGGGTAATTTTAGGGGACTTTGGAGAGGCTTGCTTGAATTTCCTTTAGTGTCCTGTGGTTAACCATGTACTATACCTGGAATTTTCAAAAGTTCCTGATCAATTGGAGTTTCAATACGTAAATTCTTATTAATATTGCTATGAGACTTCACATCTTGGTGTGGATAATCTTAAGTTTTGTGTCTGAACTCCTTGTTTCACATAGTTTTAAGTTTGATATTATGTATTTCTTTTGCATTTTATGCTACCAGTTGTTTGCTAATATGAATCCTTCTTCTTGCTGACTTTTTCACTTATGTATACTACTTCTTTTAACATCCAGTCTGCTGGGAATTTAGTATCAGCTCTAAACCTTGATAGGAGAGGCAAGATATATCTATATTATTGCTTTTCCTTAAAACAGCAGCTCTTAAACTGTGGTCCAGGGACCCATGGTGGGGTTCCTGAGACCATTTCACAGGATCTGTGAAGTCAAAACTATTTTTTAATAATAATAGTAAGATGTTATTGCTCTCTTGCTCTCATTCTCTCGTGAATGTACAGTGGAATTTTTCAGATGCCACATGATATATGATAAAGCCTGATAGAATGTGTTGTGTATTCTTTTGTTTAAAAAGTTTCTCAGTTTTAATTTCTAAAACAGTAAATACTGATAGATATTCATATACACAAAAGCTGTTTGGGTTCCTCAGTAATTTTGAAGAGTACAAGTAGTTCCCAAGACCAAAAAGTTTGAGAACCACTGAAAACAAAGTGTCCAATAATCTGAAGGTCAGGGTGGGATTGGTGGGCATAATCAAAAGACAAAAGTATGAAGATGTGAAAAGCCATTTCCTCTTTCTTAGTCCTCAAGGTCTTGAGAAATTCAGTTTGGGGAAGACACACAGAATGATGCTTTCCTCGGTAGTCCCTCTGGACTTGGAAGTGTCTTCATACAGGTTCAAAATACAACTACAGTAATTACTTGGGGAACTAACTTTTCTCAGGTCCAGCTGAAGTATGATTATTCACAAAACAATCTTGTTCTTCCAAAGCTAAGAGAACCTGAATAGAACTTTCAAATTGTACTTACTAATAAACAGGTAAGCAAGCCCCAAATTTAAAGAACGATGGCTCTCCTTAGCCACCAATTGCTACCTTCCAACCAACGACTAAATAGATGTTTAGATAGATGATCCAAGTTTTGTTTGTCTTTTAGAGTTGACTCCCAATTGATAATAATTGTATGAATATAAAATCTTGATAACCTTACTGTCACCTCCTTAAAAAAAGGGCACATTTACTTAAATAAAGGAATCAGCTTCCTCTCAAAGGAAATATTTTGCGTCAACAGGCTGCAGGTGGTCAGATTAAAAAAATCAAAGGCAGTAAATTGCACAGGCATAGTTTTGTGTATTTTAAAGTGATTAAAATTTGGAGACAAAGTATCTTTAACCTCTAAGTGACCGCTTTGAAAAGTTTTCTGCTGTTATTGCATTTTTTCTCTTTCTGTTTCTTCCTATAGGGTATCCATAGAGTCATTTAAGCATGGAGCCCTGAGAGAACAATTGGCCAACTTGGCTGCAAGACAGAAGAGCCTTTTAGTTGTGGCAAAAAAACAGAAAAAAATAAGCCTGAAAATTCAAAACTGTAGGAATGTTACATCATTGCCTTGTCTTAGTTTAAGGAAGCTCCCACCCAGATCAGAAATCTCTAGTGAAAAAGACAGCCAAGAGCTCACTAGTCTGGAAAATTTAGAGCATCCCCAATCAGGTTCACTTTCTCCTGTTTCTGGAAGCATGCAGGAAACACAATTGTCTCTGGAAACTTGGAACTACAGCCAAAATACCAACATTTGTCTAAATTCAGAGGCAGTGAGAAGGGGAGAATTTTCTGGAAATGATATGAATTCTAAACAAAATGGCAGTGATTGTACCTTGGATGGTTTTCCAAAATCCAGACATTCAGATGGCACAGAGAAGAATAAATTACCATCCCAACCTGTTGCTTTTATTGGTCAAACAGAATATTCACAGAAAGAGAATGATCTTACAGAAGCTACAGACAAAGACCATGAATTCTATGTTTCTTCCCCAGTAATCGGCAAATTAAATATTTCAGAAACTGCAAGTGTCCTTGCCGAAAATGCTGCCCATCCATCAAATATTATTTGTGATCAGGACCTTTCCAATTATGATCCCAAAAGAGGAAACAGAAAAACAAGTTCCCAGCAATCACCTACAGGGGCATCAGAATCTCTGGCACATCAAGGGATTGCTGTCTTAGGCAGTGATACAGTGCATCAGATGAAACCATATCTTAAAAAATCAGTTTCTGTTGTTCCATGTGCAGATGACAGTCAGATCTCCTCTTCCTCTGGATCTGGGCAACAAGATACAATAAAAAAGGCTTTAAACTACAGTACAGCTCCTAAAAAGAAATGTATTCAGATAAAAGATTTGATATTACTAGGAAGAATTAACCCAGGAAATAACATTCTGGAATTCAAAACACAGGTATTCTATATTTTTTTCTCTAAAATCATGCAAATTTTATAAATAAGTGAGTAAATGTTGCTGTCACATAATATAGACATTTAGCTCTGATTAGGGAAATGGGGTTTTGCTGAGCTTCCTGAATGGAGGGACACAACCATTGTATTCTTAGCAAGTGAATTCATATTTCTGGAATTGCCCTGATACATTTATTTTTATTTTCCTTTTTTTAATTTTAATTTTTAAGTTCCAGGATACATGTGCAGGATGTGCAAGTTTGTTACATAGGTAAATGAGTGGCATGGTGGTTTGCTGCACCTGTCAACCCATAACGTAGGTATTAAGCCCAGCATGCATTAGCTATTTTTCCTAATGCTCTCCCTCCCCCAACTGCACTCCCCAACAGGCCCCAGTATGTGCTGTTCCCCTCCCTGTGTTCACGTGTTCTCATTGTTCAGCTCCCACTTATAAGTGAGAACATGCAGCGTTTGGTCTTATGTTCTTGCGTTAGTTTGCTGAAGATAATGGCTTCCAGCTCCATTCATGTCTCTGCAGAGGACATGATCTCGTTCCTTTTTATGGCTGCATAGTATTCCATGGTGTATATGCACCACATTTTCTTTATCTGGTCTATCATCAATGGGCATTTGGGTTGATTCCATGTCTTTGCTATTGTGAATAGTGCTGCAGTGAACATACATGTGCATGTATCTTTGTAACAGAATAATTTATATTCCTTTGGGTATATGCCCAGTAATTGGATTGCTGGGGCAAATGGTATTTCTGGTTCTAGATCTTTGAGGAATCGCTACACTGTCTTTCACAATGGTTGAACTAATTTACATTCCCACCAACAGTGTAAAAGCATTCCTATTTATCTGCAACCTCGCCAGCATCAGTTGTTTCTTGACTTTTTAATAATCGCTGTTCTGAGTGGTGTGAGAGGGTATCTCATTGTGGTTTTGATTTGCATTTGTCTAATGATCAGTGATGTTGAGCTTTTTTTCATATCTTTGTTGGCCATATGAATGCCTTCTTTAAACCTGACAAAAACAAGCAATGGGGAAATGATTCCCTATTTAATAAATGGTGCTGAGAGAACTGGCTAGCCATATGCAGAAAATTGAAACTGGACCCCTTCCTTACACCTTATACAAAAATTAACTCAAGATGGATTAAAGGATTGGAGGTTCCAAGATGGCCGAATAGGAACAGCTCCAGTCTACAGCTCCCAGAGTGAGCGACTCAGAAGATGGGTGATTTCTGCATTTCCAACTGAGGTACAGGGTTCATCTCACTGGGGCTTATCGGACAGTGCGTGCAGCCCACAGAGTGTGAGCCGAAACAGGGTGGGGCATCACCTCACCAGGAAAGTGCAAGGGGTCCGGGAATTCCCTTTCCTAGCCAAGGGAAGCCATGGCAGAAGGTACCTGGAAAATCGGGACACTCCCACCCTAATGCTGTGCTTTTCCAGTGGTCTTAGCAAACGGCACACCAGGAGATTATATCCTGCACCTGGCTTGGAGGGTCCCATGCCCACAGAGCCTCACTCACTGCTAACACAGCAGTCTGAGATCAAACTGCAAGGCAGCAGTAAGGCTGAGGGAGTGGCGTCCGCCATTGCTGAGGCTTGAGAAGGTAAACAAAGTGGACGGGAAGCTCGAACTGGGTGGAGGCCACCACAGCTCAAGGAGGCCTTCATGCCTCTGTAGACTCCACCTCTGGGGGCAGGGCATAGCTGAACAAACAGCAGCAGAAACTTCTGCAGACTTAAACGTCCCTGTCTGACAGCTTTGAAGAGAGTAGTGGTTCTTCCAGCATGGAGCTTGAGATCTGAGAATGGACAGACTGCCTCCTCAAGTGGGTCCCTGACCCCTGAGTAGCCTAACTGGGAGGCATCTCCCATTAGGGCCAACTGACACCTCATACTGCTGGGCGCCCCTCTGAGACGAAGCTTCCAGAGGAAGGATCAGGCAGGAACATTTGCTGTTCTGCAGTATTGGCTGCTCTGCAGCCTCTGCTGGTGATACCCAGGCAAACAGGATCTGGAGTGGACCTGCAGCAAACTCCCAACAGACCTGCAGCTGAGGGTCCTGACTGTTAGAAGGAAAACTAACAAACAGAAAGGACATCCACACCAAACCCCCATCTGTATGTCACCATCATCAAAGACCAAAGGTAGATAAAACCACAAAGATGGGGAGAAACCAGAGCAGAAAAGCTGAAAATTCTAAAAATCAGAGCACCTCTTCTCCTCCAAAGGAATGCAGCTCCTCAACAGCAACGGAACAAAGCTGGATGGAAAATGACTTTGACAAGTTGAGAGAAGGCTTCAGACAATCGGTAATAACAGACTTCTCCGAGCTAAAGGAGGATGTTCGAACCCATCGCAAAGAAGCTATAAACCTTGAAAGAAGATTAGACAAATGGCTAACTAGAATAAACAGTGTGGAGAAGACCTTAAATAACCTGATGGAGCTGAAAACCATGGCACGAGAACTACGTGACGCATGCACAAGCTTCAGTAGCCCATTTGATCAACTGGAAAAAAGATATCAGTGATTGAAGATCAAATGAATGAAATGAAGCGAGAGGAGAAGTTTAGAGAAAAAAGAGTAAAAAGAAACGACAAAGCCTCCAAGAACTATGGGACTATATGAAAAGACCAAATCTGCATCTAATTGGTGTATCTGAAAGTGACGGGAGGGAGAATGGAACCAAGTTGGAAAACACTCTTCAGGATATTATCCAGGAGAACTTCCCCAACCTACCAAGGCAGACCAACGTTCAAATTTAAGAAATACAGAGAACACCATAAAGATACTCCTCAAGAAGAGCAACTCCAAGACACATCATTGTCAGATTCACCAAAGTTGAAATGAAGGAAAAAATGTTAAGGGCAGCCACAGAGAAAGGTCAAGTTACCCACAAAGGGAAGCCCATCAGACTAACAGCAGATCTCTTGGCAGAAACTCTACAAGCCAGAAGAGAGTAGGGGCCAATATTCAACATTCTTAAAGAAAAGAATTTTCAACCCAGAATTTCATATCCAGCGAAACTAAGCTTCCTAAGTGAAGGAGAAATAAAATCCTTCACAGACAAGCAAATGCTGAGAGATTTTGTCACCACCAGGCCTGCCTTACAAGAGCTCCTGAAGGAAGCACTAAACATGGAAAGGAACAGCTGGTACCAGCCACTGCAAAAAACATGCCAAACTGTAAAGACCGTCGATGCTAGGAAAAAACTGCATCAACTAACGAGCAAAATAACCAGCTAACATCATAATAACAGGATCAAATTCATACATAACAATATTAACCTTAAATGTAAATGGACTAAATGCTCCAATTAAAAGACACAGAGTGGCAAATTGGATAAAGAGTCAAGACCCATCAGTGTGCTGTATTCAGGAGACCCATCTGATGTGCAGAGACACACATAGGCTCAAAATAAAGGGATGGAGGAAGATCTACCAAGTAAATGGAAGACAGAAAAAAGCAGAGGTTGCAGTCCTAATCTCTGATAAAACAGACTTTAAACCAACAAAGATCAAAAGAGACAAAGAAGGCCATTACGTAATGGTAAAGGGATCAATTCAACAAGAAGAGCTAACTATCCGAAATATATATGCACCCAATACAGGAGCACCCAGATTCATAAAGCAAGTCCTTAGAGACCTACAAAGAGACTTAGACCCCCACACAATAATAATGGGAGACTTTAACACCCCACTGTCAACATTAGACAGATCAACGAGACAGAAAGTTAACAAGGATATGCAGGAATTGAACTCAGCTCTGCACCAAGCAGACCTAATAGGCATCTACAGAACTCTCCACCCCAAATCAACAGAATATACATTCTTCTCAGCACCACGTTGCACTTATTCCAAAATTGACCACATAGTTGGAAGTAAAGCACTCCTCAGCAAATGTAAAAGAATGGAATTTATAACAAACTGTCTCTCAGACCACAGTGCAATCAAACTAGAACTCAGGATTAAGAAACTCACTCAAAACCGCTCAAATACATGGAAACTGAACAACCTGCTCCTGAATGACTACTGGGTACATAACAAAATGAAGGCAGAAATAAAGAAGTTCTTGGAAACCAATGAGAACAGAGACACTACATACCAGAAACTCTGGGACACATTTAAAGCAGTGTGTAGAGGGAAATTTATAGCACTAAATGCCCACAAGAGAAAGCAGGAAAGACCTAAAATTGACACCCTAACATCACAATTAAATGAACTAAAGAAGCAAGAGCAAACAAATTCAAAAGCTAGCAGAAGTCAAGAAATAACTAAGATAAGAGCAGAACTGAGGGAAATAGAGACACAAAAAACCATTCAAAAAATCAATGAATTCAGGAGCTGGTTTTTTGAAAAGATCAACAAAATTGATAGACCGCTAGCAAGACTGATAAAAAAGAAGAGTCAAATAGACGCAATAAAAAATGATCAAGGTTATATCACCACCAATCCCACAGATATACAAACTACCATCAGAGAATACTATAAACACCTATACGCAAATAAACAAGAAAATCTAGAAGAAATGGATAAATTCCTGGACACATACACCCTCCCAAGACTAAACCAGGAAGAAGTTGAATCCCTGAATAGACCAATAACAGGCTCTGAAAATGAAGCAATAATTAATAGCCTACCAACCAAAAAAAGTCCAGGACCAGATGGATTCACAGCTGAGTTCTATCAGAGGTACAAAGAGGAGCTGGTATCATTCCTTCTGAAACTATTCCAATCAATAGAAAAAGAGAGAATCCTCCCTAACTCATTTGATGAGGCCAGCATCATCCTGATACCAAAGCCTGGCAGAGAAACAACAAAAAAAGAGAATTTTAGACCAATATCCCTGATGAACATCGATGCAAAAATCCTCAATAAAATACTGGCAAACTGAATCCAGCAGCACATCAAAAAGCTTATCCACCATGATCAAGTGGGCTTCATCCCTGGGATGCAAGGCTGGTTCAACATACGCAAATCAATAAATGTAATCCATCATATAAACAGAACCAAAGACAAAAACCCCATGATTATCTCAATAGATGCAGAAAAGGCCTGTGACAAAAGTCAACAATACTTCATGCTAAAAACTCCCAATAAACTAGGTATCGATGGGATGTATCTCAAAATAATAAGAGCTATTTATGACAAACCCACAGCCAATATCATACTGAATGGGCAAAAACTGGAAGCATTCCCTTTGAAAACTGGCACAAGACAGGGATGCCCTCTCTCACCACTCCTATTCAACATACTTTTGGAAGTTCTGGCCAGGGCAATCAGGCAGGAGAAAGAAATAAAGGGTATTGAATTAGGAAAAGAGGAAGTCAAATTGTCCCTGTTTGCAGATGACATGATTGTATATTTAGAAAACCCATCATCTCAGCCCAAAATTTCCTTAAGCTGATAAGCAACTTCAGCAAAGTCTCAGGATACAAAATCAATGGGCAAAAATCACAAGCATTTCTATACACCAACAACAGACAAACAGAGAGCCAAATCATGAGTGAACTCCCATTCACAATTGCTTCCAAGAGAATAAAATACCTAGAAATCCAACTTACAAGGGATGTGAAGGACATCTTCAAGGAGAACTACAAACCACTGCTCAACGAAATAAAAGAGGACACAAACAAATGGAAGAACATTCCATGCTCATGGATAGGAAGAATCAATATCGTGAAAATGGCCATACTGCCCAAGGTAATTTATAGATTCAATGCCATCCCCATCAAGCTACCAATGACTTTCTTCACAGAATTGGAAAAAACTACTTGAAAGTTCATATGGAACCAAAAAAGAGCCTGCATCACCAAGACAATCCTAAGCCAAAAGAACAAAGCTGGAGGCATCACGCTACCTGAGTTCAAAGTATACTACAAGGCTACAGTAACCAAAACAGCATGGTACTGGTACCAAAACAGAGATATAGGCCGGGCACGGTGGCTCACGCCTGTAATCCCAGCACTTTGGGAGGCCGAGATGGGTGGAGGTCAAGAGATCGAGACCATCCTGGCTAACACAGTGAAACCCCATCTCTACTAAAAATACAAAAAAATTAGCCGGGCATGGTGGTGGGCGCCTGTAGTCCCAGCTACTCGGGAGGCAGAGCTTGCAGTGAGCCGAGATTGCGCCACTGCACTCCAGCCTGGGCGACACAGTGAGACTGCGTCTCAAAAGAAAAAAAAAAACAGAGATATAGACGACCAATGGAACACAACAGAGCCCTCAGAAATAATACCACACATCTACAACGATCTGATCTTTGACAAACCTGACAAAAACAAGAAATGGGGAAACGATTCCCTATTTAATAAATGGTTCTGGGAAAACTGGCTAGCCATATATAGAAAACTGAAACTGGATCCCTTCCTTACACCTTATACAAAAATTAATTCAAGATGGATTAAAGACTTAAATGTTAGACCTAAAACCATAAAAACCCTAGAAGAAAACCTAGGCAATACCATTCAGGACATAGGCATGGGCAAGGACTTCATGACTAAAACACCAAAAGCAATGGCAACAGAAGCCAAAACTGACAAATGGGATCTAATTAAACTAATGAGCTTCTGCACAGGAAAAGAAACTGCCATCAGAGTGAAGAGGCAACCTACAGAATGGGAGAACATTTTTACAATCTACCCATCTGACAAAGGGCTAATACCCAGACTCTACAAAGAACTTAAACAAATTTACAAGAAAAAATCAACCCCATGAAAAAGTGGGTGAAGGATATGAACAGACACTTCTCAAAGGAAGACATTTATGCAGCCAAAAAAACACATGAAAAAATGCTCATCATCACTGGCCATCAGAGAAATGAAAATCAAAACTACAATGAGATACCATCTCACACCAGTTAGAATGGCAATCATTAAAAAGTCAGGAAACAACAGGTGCTGGAGAGGATGTGGAGAAACAGGAACACCTTTACACTGTTGGTGGCACTGTAAACTAGTTCAACCATCGTGGAAGACAGTGTGGTGATTCCTCAAGGATCTAGAACTAGAAATACCATTTGACCCAGCCATCCCATTACTGGGTATATGCCCAAAGGATTATAAATCATGCTGCTATAAAGACACATGCATATGTATGTTTATTGTGGCACTATTCACAATAGCAAAGACTTGGAACTAACCCAAATGTCCATCAATGATAGACTGGATTAAGAAAATATGGCACATATATACCATGGAATACTATGCAGCCATAAAAAAGATGAGTTCATGTCCTTTGTAGGGACATGGATGAAGCTGTATACCATCATTCTCAGCAAATTATCGCAAGGACAGAAAACCGAACGCTGCATGTTCTCACTCATAGGTGGGAATTGAACAGTGAGAACACTTGAACACAGAGTGGGGAAAATCACACTGGGGCCTGTCATGGGGTGGGGGTGGGGGAAGGGATAGCATTAGGAGATATACCTAATGTAAATGACGAGTTAATGGGTGCAGCACACCAACATGGCACATGTATACATATGTAACGAAACTGCACGTTGTGCACAGGTACCCTAGAACTTAAAGTATAATAAAAAAAAAATTTTTTTAAAGGTGGATTAAAGACTTAAATATAAAAACCCTAGAAGAAAATCTAGGCAATACCACTTGGGGCATAGGCACAGGTAAAGATTTCATGATGAAATCGCCACAAGCAATTGCAACAAAAGCAAAAATTGACAAATGGGATCTAATTAAACTAAAGAGCTTCTGCACAGCAAAAGAAACTATCATTAGAGCGAACAGGCAACCTACAGAACGGGAGAAAAATTTTGCAATCTATCCACCTGACAAAGGTCTAATCCAGAATCTACAAGGAACTTAAACAAATCCTCAAGAAAAAAAACAAATGATCCCATTAAAAAGTGAGCAAAGGACATGGACACTTCTCAAAAGAAGACATTCATGTGGCCAACAAACACACCAAAAAAAGCTCAACATCACTGATCATTAGAGAAATG
Organism: Homo sapiens; assembly: GCF_000001405.40. Taxonomy (NCBI): domain Eukaryota; kingdom Metazoa; phylum Chordata; class Mammalia; order Primates; family Hominidae; genus Homo; species Homo sapiens. The sequence goes on along the minus strand of NC_000005.10, from coordinate 75,096,248 downwards.
CAAGTCAAAACCACAATGAGATACCATCTCATTTCAGTCAGAATGACGATTATTAAAGTCAAGAAATAACAGATGCTGGCGAGGTTGCAGAGAAATAGGAATGCTTTTACACTGTTGGTGGGAATGTAAATTATTTCAGTTCTTTAAAAATTTTTAGGCTTATTTTATGGCTTAGCTCATATCCTGAAGAATGTTCCCTGTGCAATTGAGAAGAATATGTATTTTCCTGTTGTTAGGTGAAGTTTTCTATAGACGCCTGTTAAGTCTAATTGGTTTATAGTGCCTTGTTAAAGTCTTCTTTTTCCTCACTGATCTTCTGCCTGTTTGATCTATATAGTAGTGCCCCCTTATATGCAGGAGCTATGTTCCAAGAACCCTAGGGGAAGCCTGAAACCACAGATAGTCCCGAACCCTGTATATACTGTTTTTTTTCTATATATACATACCCATGATAAAGTTTAATTTATAAATTAGGCACAGATTAACAATAATAATAAAAGAAATGATTATAACAGTATGCCAGCATCACTACTCTTTTGCTTTGGGATGTTATTAAATAAAGATTACTCAAACCCAAGCCTTGCAATCTGATAACCTAGATTTCTACCAAGTGACTGATGGGCAGGTAGCATATGCAGTGTGATTACTCTTGACAAAAGGATGATTCACATCCTGGGCAGGATAGAGTGGGACAGTGTGAGATTTCATCACACTCCTCAGAACATTGTGCAATTTAAAACTTGTGAATTGTTTATTTCAGGACTTTTTTTTTTTTGAGACGGAGTCTCGCTCTGTGGCCCAGACTGGAGTGCAGTAGTCTGATCTCCACTCACTGCAAGCTCTGCCTGCCGGGTTCATGCCATTCTCCTGCCTCAGCCTCCTGAGTAGCTGGGACTACAGGCATCCGCCACCACACCTGGATAATTTTTTTTTTTGTATTTTTAGTAGAGACAGGGTTTCACTGTGTTAGCCAGGATGGTCTTGATCTCTTGACCTTGTGATCCACCTGCCTCAGCCTCCCAAAGTGCTGGGATTACAGGCATGAGCCACCATGCCCGGCCAAGAATTTTTTATTTAATATTTTCCAACCACTGTTGACCATGGAAAATGAAATTACAGATAAGGGGACTACCATACGTTATTGAAAGTGGGATATTGAAGTATTTTACTGTTGAACTATTTCTCCCTTCATTTCTGTTAATTTTTATTTCATGTATTTTCATGCTGTTTTGTGTTTTAAGTGCATATATGTTTATAATTGTTATATCTTCCTGATGCATCAAGCCTCTTAGCATTATAAAATGTCCCCCATCATCTCTTGTAACAATTTCTCTTTTAAGATCTAGTTTGTTTGATATTGTATAGCCATTCCAGCTTTCTTGTGGTTGCGGTTTATATGATATACTTTTTCTGTCCTCTTACTTTAAATTTACTTGTCTCTTTGAATCTAAAATCTGTCTCCTATATGCATTATATAGTTGGGTCTTATTTTTTTTAGTCCAGTCTGATAATCTCTGCCTTTTGACTAGGTTGACTAACCCATTGACATTTCATATTGTTATTAATATTGTTGGATTTATGTCTTCTATTTTATTTTTTGTTTCAATATACCTCATATCTTTTTGTTCCTCTATACTTCCTTTATTGCTTTCTTTTGCAATCGGTGAATATTTTCCAATGTAGAATTCTAATTTCTTTAATGACTTTTCATCATATTTTTTGAGTTGTGCTTGCAGTAGCTGCTCTAGGACTCAACATACATTTTCACTTATCAGAATCAGCTTCAGATTCATACTAACTTAATTCCAGTAAAATATAGAAATGTTACTTCTGTAGAGCATTATTCCTTTTCCTTTTTATGATATTATTGTTATACATATTATGTTTATAAATTTATAAACCCAACAATACGTTGATATAATTATTGCTTTGTAAAATTTTGTGACTTTTAAAGAAGCTGATGGAAGAAAGGAAAGCAATACATATTTATAGCTTTTGTTATACCTACCTTCTTATTTATCCTTTCTGGATTGTTACATTTATTTTTGTAGATTTGAGTTACCATGTGGAGTCATTTCCTTAGCCCAATAAAGCTTTGCTCCCACCTACCTCTTTTGTGCTACTGTTGGCAAATATATTACATTTCTATAAGTTATAGGCCCAGCACTAACTTCTGTATCTATTGTTTTTTATAATTGCTTTTCAAAATCTGTTGAGACAAAAAGAGAAGAAATATGCATTTATACTGTCTTTTATAATACATAATTACCTTTACTGGTACTGTATGTTTTTTCATGTGGATTCATATTAGCCTATAGGGTCATTGGCTTTCAACCTGAAGAATTCCTTTATTATTTCTTGTAAGGCAGATCTCTTAGCAACCAATTTTCTCAGTCTCTCAGTTTTTGTTTATCTGGGAATGTCTTTATTTTGCCTTCATTTTTAAAAGATCGTTTTCCTAGATATAGGATTCTTAGTTAATAGTTTTTTCTTTGTACACTTTGAATATGTCATTCCACTGCCTCTGGCCTCCATTGTTTGATAATAACACAGCTGTTAATCTTCTTGAGTTTCCCTTGTAAATGATGAGTTATTTTTCTCCTGCTGCTTTTAATATTTTCTCCTTGTCTTATGACTTTTGATATTTTTACTATGTGTCTGTGGATCTCTGCATTTATCCTACTTGAGTCATTGAGCCTCCTGAATGTGTAGATTAATGCTTTTCAGTAAGTTTGGTAAGTTTTTTTTGTTGTTGTTGTTGTTGTTGTGACACAGTTTTGGTCTTGTTGCCCAGGCTGGAGTGCAGTGGTGCAATCTCAGTTCACTGAAACCTCCACCTCCCAGGTTCAAGCGATTCTCCTGCCTCAGCCTCCCAAGTAGCTGGAATTACAGGAGCTTGCCACCATGCTCAGCTAATTTTTGTATTTTTAGTAGTGACAGGGGTTTCACCACGTTGGCCAGGCTGGTCTCAAACTCCCGACCTTAGGTGACCTGCCTGTCTCAGCCTCCCTAAGTGCTGGAATTGCAGGTGTGAGCCACCGTGCCCGGCCAGTTTGGGAAGTTTTTAGGCATATATTTCTTCAAATATTTTTTCTGCTTCTTTTTCCTCTCCTTCATTATGCATATATTGGTATGCTTAATGGTGTTCCATATTTCTCTGAGACATTTTCATTTTTATTCTCTTTTCTTTGTCTTGCATACTCTGTATCAATATCTTCAAGTTTACTAATTCTTTCTCTTGCCAGTTTAAATCTGTTGAGCCTCTTTGGTAAATGTTTTATTTCAGTTATTTTATTTTCCAACTCCATAACTTCTATTTGGTTCTTTTTAAATAAATTTTTCTTTTTTATTGATATTCTGTATTTGATGTGACCTTGTCATCATTCCTTACTTAATGTCTTTAATTATGGTTTTCTTTAGTTCCTTGAACATATTTATAATGGTTATTTTGAAGTCTTTGTTAAATCCAGTGTCTGGTCACTCTCACAGGCAGTTTCTCTTGTCTGTTTTTTTTCCCAGTGTGTGTGTCATACTTTGCTGTTTCTTTGTATGTCTCATAACTTTTTGTTGGAACTGGACATTTTAGACAATGCATTGTAGCAACTCTACCCCACCTTCTCTTGGACTTCTTATTGCTATTTGCTTGTTTGTTTAATTACTGGCTAGATTGTTTTAGTGAAGTCCCCACTTCAGTGCTAAACTTCCAATGTTGAGCCTCAGGGACTAAAGCCTTGGCCACCTCTTTCCCTGACCTCCCTGACCACCCATGGCTCTTAAGCTCCACTTACTGCCCATTGACTGTTTTATTGTTTTCAACAATGTCCTAGGGGGACAAATTGCTCTACAGACTAATCCAAGCAAAGGTGGGCTCCTTTGAAGGGATAGTTCCCAAGGTCAGTGTTTGAAGTTTATTATGAACCTAGGAAGGCTCCTGCCAGCTCTTTTCCCAGTTGTCTCTTACAAACTCGCCTGCCTACAGCTTAGCCTACATCTCAAATGAATCTACCAGTCTACTCACAATTGCCTTTTACCACAACTTCTACTATTTCTGATAGTGCCCTTGAGCTTGAACTTCTTCATGCTCTGTTGCAAATGAAGTTAGTTCCTTCGGGAGGAGATTAGGAGCTATCTGTTCTAAGCCTTGCTTCTCTTCTCAGGCAGAATCCCTGAGCCATGGCCCTGGAGCTGAGGGTGGGGCCAAAGGTGATTTTTCAAGTGATACTCTTGCTTTAGGAGCTGAGCATTCGGTGGAGGGGAGGCAGTAGCTTCATGTGTTTTCCGTTTGCCTCTCCCAATGTGAAACCACCACCTTACAAGCCAAGGCAAGGGTGATTGGGATCCCAGCATTCTCCGTGGTGCCGTGCCAAAGGTGGAGCCTCTGTCTCACCACTCAGAGCTGGGCAGGAGAAGGGAGCCTCTACCCTTTGGTTATAGCTGCTGGCAACTTAGCCTTAGCAACAGTAGCTGGGGGCAGGATGAGAAATGCTGAAGTTATGCCCCTCCCAGGAAGACAGCCCTGTAACAGGGAGCCCTGTAGTCTTGACTACAGCAATCTAGAGTGGAGTCTCCACTTCACAGAGCTGGGAGTGGGGAGGGAGGATGCAGTCTTGGTTCAAATACCATAGACTCTCACCTTTTTAATCTGATTTTTGTAGATTTTGTTGACTAGATGGTTCATCATTTGCTGCATGCCCTTATGACCATTTCTAGATACATTAAATTTATATACAAAAATACATCAGGTGTTAGGGTATATGTGGTCCCTGTTACTTTGTCATGGCCAGAAGCAAAAATTCACATATTTCAGCTATTTTTGACCTTAATTTCTGTTTTATTTTTCACTTCAGGAGACTACCCACAAAGCCAGTATTTTATTGAATGGTAAACTTAAGGTAGAAAGTGGTCAGATTTATAAAAACCCAGTCACCTGGCTCAAGGATCTTCTGGGAGGCAACAGTTATGTGACCTGGAATTATGCTTGGAGTAAGGTGGGTCATTCTTAAGTTTATCTTTAACTTCATATTCAAATGGAAAAGTACATATTTTTGTGATGAAAGTATTTTTTAAGGAAATCTGAAAGATCTCCAAGCTAGTTTTGTATTCATGTGTTCATTCTGTATATGCTGTATGCATATCATGCTACATGCATGTCACAGAATGAACACATCACTTTCTCCCACAAGTCCTATTTGCCAGAATTCCCCATGGGCATGGTTGCATAGCTGACTGCACCTTCCGTTTCTTACTCCTTATCTAGTCTCAGAACTTTTAATGCCTTTAATCTTCCCATTTGATCTCCCAAGGGATTTCAGGTCTTTGTATGGAAAATTTGGAACCACTGGTGTATTGGTAACTTAGTTAATATGTTATTATTCTAATGAAGTAAAGCAAAATCTCCTAAATACAAAAGAAATGGGCAAGAGGCCTAAGGCCCTCAGATATTATCATGTATTTTTATGTTTGAACATGTCCTTATCCATGAATTGCTAGCCCTTCAAAATGAATTACTTTCATTTAGACCTCCTAGACTTAGTAGCCTCCCTGTCAGTTCTGGCTTCTGAGTTATAAGCCCAGTAATGACTGATGTTCTTGAGGTCTAGTGTTCATCCACCTGCAGACTTCAGGGACAGTCTTAAAATTATTCTTCAGGAAAGTCTGAATCTTCAGACATCTGCCATGACTGTTTCGAAGACTAGAAGATACACTCAACCTCTACTATTACAGTAAACCTCAGTGTACCAGTAATAGGAAGCATAGCTTTCTCTCCTCTTTTTTGTTTAACCCAGGTCTGCCCACTCTCCCTCCCAGTCCCCTTTGTGCCCCTAAAGTCTATATTCTGTGTCCCAGATTCTGTGCCCCAACCCTGCATTCTGGTCTCCTAGACCTCGTTGGCAAGTGTATCTAGCACTGTTTCAGTTCCTTCACTTACATCAGCACATTCTGGATTCTATCTGCTATATGGTCTGTCTGACTTTTTCCCAAAGTTTGTTTTGGTTTCCCACTCCTGGAGTCACCAGGCCATCTGCTTTCAGTTCGTCTTAGCCCCTTTACCCTATCCTTTCCATGGATTCTTAATTCATATCTAAATGTTAGTAATTAGCATCTTGCCCATGAAAATCCCTTTTTGTTACAAGGTTTCTTACACTTATGATAGATTATACTGTTTTGCTGAAACTGAATCTTAGCTCACAGGACAGATAGCATACTGAATGCTGTAGCTTAGGTTCTTTTGAGCTCAACATGCCTGTGCTGCAGTGTGCCTGGTAATGACTCCATTTGCCCACTCTGTTTCTCCATTAGAACTACTGTTATTTCCTGCCTTTGAATAGCTGGCTGTAACATCATTTGGCCCTTACTCTGTACTAATGCCTCATTTACATATCTCATTGACTCTAGCATTTTCTCATAGCCATGTCAATTAGAGTTACACTGTTTAGCACCTATGTGATAGTGAAGCCACATGCAAATGTGGGCACTAAAAGTAGGGCAATTATCAGATATAAAATATTCCTACAGATTATCTAAACAGGCTTATTTTCTTTAGATTATCAAAAAAATGAAAACGGAGTTTTAAAAATTACTATGGGCACTGATGTACTTCTAGTAAATACCCCAAGCTGAGAAACATTACCCTAGTGATTTTCTTTACAATATTTAAAAGGCTCTTTTAAAGTCTTTTAAAGTTTACCACAGAAACCTCTGCCTCTTCTTGTCTTGGAGTAACTCCTGAATTCAGTCACTTCTTGAGGAAAGGAGCTTTTTGCTACATGGGTAAATGTGAACATTTCTACTGACTAGTTCTGAGAGTGGTGGGGGTGGTATGGGACCAGGAGTGGTTGGTGGTCAGGCAAGGAATGCCAGAAAACAAGGTATTGCCCTGTATCTGACAGAGTGACAGAGCCAGTAGGTGCAGAGATGACTCAAACTCCCAACCCAAGCAGTTGCTGAACAGCTTTGCCAAGGAAATCCTGATGCTTACTCAGAGAGGGCATCACTGACTTCTCTCCTGCAGCCTCCCAGCTGTTGGACAACATTCTGGTGTGGCCGAGTGATTTGTGGGTGGGAGGCAGCAGACCAAGCTAGTTCCTGGTTCCACTCTTTATAAGTTATATTATCTGGGCAATGGTTTTCGATCACATTGGAATCACTTGAGGGCCTTTAGAAACCACTAGTGCCTAGTAGACTCCAAGCCCATAACTTCTGATCTAATATCTAGGTGGGGATCAAGTGGCAATATTTGAAAAAGCATTCCAGGCAATTCTAATGTGCAGCCTCAGTAAGAATGATTAATCTAGGTCAAGCCATTTCACCTTTCTGAACTTCAGCTTTCTTATGTATAAAATAAGTAGTGCTAGGTGATATCTAAAGACCCTTCCAACGTAGCGATTGTGGAGCTTGAATAGCACTGTTTGATTTATAAAGCAGTTTTACGCAACAACTTTATCAGGCAGGAAGATCAACTATTATTTCTGTTCATGGATATGAAAACAAAGGTTTGGGAAGTTAAGTGACCTGATTTAGCCTCAAGGCCAGCCAGAACCAGGACTAGAACCTGATCTTCTGATTCCCTGTACATTCTTTTCTGTATTTATGAAGGCACAAGAGAGGCACACGTTCCTTTCATTAGAAACAGGTTGCTCTGAACTCAAAAGAGCACACAGTACAATCTAGCCACCTTTATGAATGTATGCAAAGCCTTAGTCATGTGCAGCAACTATTGCCCACTTCCACAGGAAAAATGCCTTTCTGTGATACAGTTGCAGGATGAAAATCATAAGAATCATAAGAATGGAAATGATGGTTTATTTTTGTAAATACTCAACAGTGAATTACTGCAGATGAAAAGTAGGCTGCTATTTTAGGCAGTGCTTCAAGGAACACTAGACAGATCTCTTCTGCAAACATACTTCCCATCCGGATGCCTCCCTGAATTTCCATCCTTATTTCCACCCTTTCCATTCCTTTGGATTTAGTGATCACTTTTTTCTGTGGTTCCCCTCACCCCCCACACATACTTTTCAAGAACAACTCCTCTCACCATCATGATTAGGAATATCAAGATATGGAAAGGTTGGGGTGGGAGCATAGAAACTGATGGAAATTGTTCATCTCGACAGACAGCCTTATTCTGTCAATTACTCACACTCTCAATGTGTCCTAAACCTCCTATGAACCTAGCTTCTACTCAGCTACATTTTAGAACAGAAAGAAGAGGAAGGAGATGGTTAGATATGTGATCTCTTTTAAAATACAAATATCCAGGAGTTTTGGATCCTGAAAATAGAAATAATGTGAAGGGCTTTCTCTTGCGTCTAGCTACATAGAGTGTTGGGAGTATGAAAAAAGAGTCTGGAATGGGGAGGTTGGTACCATGAAGGTGAGCTTTACCTGCATCATCATTTCCATAGAAACAGCTCTTCCAAGGCAGTTTTTGCACTTTGAAACTACTTTCTGTCTTATATTATGAATTCCTAAAGAAATATTTTATTTGAGAAATATTTTTATTTTCTTAGCCACAATGTATTTTGTGTTACAATGAATTTAAAAGAAAACCTACAGTTTTTTATTGGTTTCTTTGCTTTTTCCACCCTGAGATAAAAAGCAATTATTCTTTCTTCCTTCTACTCCTCTTGGAGCAGTGAAACTTTGTAAGATTGACTTCTTAAAACTTGCAATGGAATAAAAGTAGTTATTTGATCATCCATGAACAGATTTCTTTTCTTTCTTTTTTTTTTTCTTTTTGAGCCAGAGTCTCGCTGTCTTGCCCAGGCCGGAGTGCAGTGGCCTGATCTCAGCTCGCTGCAGCGTCTGCCTCATAGGTTCAAGTGATTCTCTTGCCTCAGCCTCACAAGTAGCTGGGACTACAGGCATGCACCACCATGCCTGGCTAATTTTTGTATTTTTAGTAGAGACGGGGTTTCACCATGTTGACCAGGCTCAAACTCCTGACCTCAGGGGATCCCCCCACATCGGCCTCCCAAAGTGCTGGGGTTACAGGTATGAGTCACCATGCCTGGCCATCCACGAACAGATTTCTATTAGTCAATACCAACAAATGGTTTTTCTGAAGATATATGAAAAATGGGATGATACTTTCAAATAAAATGGAGTCCCAGAAGGGAAGTATATGCAAAGGTGGGTTATGTTTCATTCTTTTTTGATGCATATTATTACATAAGATGTACAGAAATATTTATTATGGCAATTAATAATGACAATACTGCACTTTATTTCTTCCAAAGACCTTACCAAAATAAAGTTAATTAATAATTTCACTTGGCTCATTAACTACATTTCCAGAATACTGGCTGGCTGAGTCATCTATTTTCCTCAAACATGCATGTGTGTGTGTATGCACATGCGTGCACACGTGCGCGTACACACACACATTCTACACTCCCTACTTTTTCCCTAGTATGATATTGGAGAATCAGCATAGACTAATTTCTAAGGAATAATGGAGTGTTGTAAGAGCTTCAGGGAAAGCATCAGTGGCCTTAGGACAAAACACCCCTCCAGTTCTACCTTTTAGCAAAGCAAGAACACAACAACCTACAGATATCCTCACCGAACATGCCTTACACTAAGCTCCATCTCTCTTACATGTTCTCATCTGGCATCCTATCAGCTGCCCTTCATCAAAATGGGTTTTGGACAGTGAAGTTGCTGAGATCACTGGAGGCTATGTTGTCCAAAAGCCTGAGAACTTAGCCTCCAGCTCTTCCTACCATGCCTCTGTCAGAGTAGGCATATGAGCTAGATTTGAATCCAGAGAAATTTAGTTCAGGATTCAGAGTTTGAGTCATACACAAATGTAATGACTGCCCTTATGCTTTAGCCAACTGGAGGTTTTTCATGACATTAATATGAAATGCACATTTTCTAGAAGTGATCTAGTGTCTGTTCATTCTGAGGTCTATTCATTAACCTGTTCAATAAATCACTCCTACCTAATGGAAAATAGATTTTTAACTCAGTGGATATTCTTAAAACTCTGTTCTTTGTCTGAATTACCTGCAGTGGAATATGTAAGTCACCTTATATTGCCCAGCACTAACTAATAAAAATATTTTTAAAGTCTGAGATATAGGTGAGAACATACTGAGCCTGCACTTTGATGGATTTATGAGATGTGTTGGACATTGTCAGGGCATAACACATACAAAATCTATTGTTTCCAATAACTGGTTGTTTGGAGAACTGACAAATGGCATTCAGGGGCCTCTCCTCTACTTTCTATGGCAAGTGAGAAGGGATTGACACATTGAGTAGGCCAGGTCTGTTCCATTTTCATTGCCAGGCTTTGTTTGGTCATAGGATTGAGTCCAAAGGGTATCTGTACCTTTAAGATCCCCTAGACCTTTCTCACTCTGTTCAATTTAACATTTATTGAGTACTCGGAATGTGCTAGACAGTATGCCAGATGCTTTTCATGCATTATCTCTTTTAATCCTCATAACAATTTAATAAGCTGGAGGCACTTTTTTTACAAACACAAATTGAGGCTTAGGGAATTTGAGAATCTTGCTTAAGAGTTGGGACTTCACAGCCAGGCACGGTGGCTCACACCTGTAATCCCAGCACTTTGGGAGGCCAAGGCAGGTGGATCATTTGAGGTCAGGAGTTCGAGACCACCCTGGCCAACATGGCAAAACCCTGTATCTACTAAAAATACAAAAATTAGCCAGGCGTGGTGGCGCACACTTGTAATTCCAGCTACTAGGGAGGCTAAGGCATGGGAGGCTGAGGCATGGGAGGCTGAGGCATGAGAATTGCTTGAACTCAGGAGGTGGAGGTTGCAGTGAGCCAAGATCATGCCAGTGTGCTGCTCCAGCCTGGGTGACAGAGTAAGACTCTCTCAAAAAAAAAAAATTAAAAGAAAAGAAAAGGAGCCGGGACTTCAGAGTCTTTTATCCAGTATCGTCAGGCACTCTGTGAACTGCTGAGGGTATTTGAATGAATATGATATAGACCTGTCCTCAAGGAGCTTATGGTTTAATAGAAACAGATGTATTAAAACATAATTTCATTTATATGAGGTAAGTACCATGACAGAAATATGAGTAAAGAAGCTTTGGGAACCTAGAGGAGGATCATTCCTTGAAACTAGAGGTTATAGGGAGGCATCCTGGAGGAAGGGATGTTCAAGTTGAATCTTGATGCTTTGCCCACAGTGAACTAACCTCTGGAGGTATGTTAATAGATTGTCCTCAAGCTAAGAGTAAAGAACCCAAAGACCCTTGGGCCCAGAACATTTCTGGCAGAATTTACCAGTTCTGCCTCATCCCTGCCTTTTTGTGTGTAGATATTTCTAAGCTCTGACCATTTGCACTGATAATGATATAGCTAAGTTCACAAACAACCAAAAAAAATGGATGTCTAGACCTGAAATGTTATTAATTTAATCAGTTAAATATGTGATTTCTTGAAAAGTACCATTACTTTTATAGCTTAATTTTATTAATGTAACATTAAATTTTTAAAGTTATAAAGTAGCAGATGCTGGATTAATAGTTGTTGAATAAGTGAATAGGTGAGTGAATTAATATCACACAACAAGGGTCAACACATTTTTTTCTGTAAAAGGTCACATAGTAAATATTTTGGGCTTCATGGACGTGTGGTCTGTGTCAATTATGTTATAGCATGAAAGCAGCCATAGATGTTAAGTAAATGAATGAGCATCACTGTTTTCCAATAAAACATTATTTACAGAAAAGAAGGTTGCAGGTGGGATTTGGCCATGGACTGAAGCTTGCTAATCCACAACATACAACAATCAAAACCTTATAAAAATTACAATGTTCAGGACATAGGTGTATTTCCTTCTTACAGAATGTATGATTTATAAATTTTGTGCTTAATTATGTGCAGGTAACGTATCTTGGGAAGGAGCTTTTAAGGTATGTTTCTGAGGATGCACCCATACTTCCAGAACCAAACTCAGTACCTCAGCAATATCAACCTTGTCTTCCAGGTATGTACAGAACAACACTCATTTCTTCGTTGTGGGATAAAACACCAAAACCTACTGGAAAAGCACTCATTTTATTTTGTCTTTTTTCTCATTGATGTGAAATTAACAATCATTATAATTAACTATTTCAAGGTGAACAATTCAGTGGCATTTAGTAAATTCACAATGTCGTGCAACCACCCACCTCTATATAATTCTAAAACACTTTGATCACCCCAAAAAGAAACCCTGTACCCACTCAGCTGTTGTTTCCCATTCTCTGCTCCTCCCGATTTCTGGAAACCACCAGTCTGCTATCTGTCTGTATGGATTTACTTATTCTGAATATATCATATAAATGAAATCAATATATGTGACCCTTTTTGTCTGACTTCTTTCACTTAGTATAATGTTTTTGAGGATCATCTACATCATAGCATGTATCCATACTTCATTCCTTTTTGTGACTGAATAATATTCCATTATATGGATTTACCATAATTTGTCCACTCATCCTTTGATGGGCATTAGGGTGCTTCCCCCCCAACTTTTTTTTTTTTTGAGACGAGAGTTTTGCCCTTGTTGCCCAAGCTGGAGTGCAATGGCACAATCTCAGCTCACTGCAACCTCTGCCTCCTGGGTTCAAGTGATTCTTCTGCCTCAGCCTCCCGAGTAGCTGGGATTACAGGTGCACACTACCAGGCCCGGCTAATTTTTTGTAGTTTTAGTGGAGACGGGGTTTCACCATGTTAGCCAGGCTGGTCTCAAATTCCTGACCTCAGGTGATCTGCCCGCCTCAGCCTCCCAAAGTGCTGGGATTACAGGTGTGAGCCACCATGCCTGGCCTGGCCTGCTTTCCCCTTTTTAGCTATTAGAGATAGTGCTGCTATGAATAGACATATGTATATTTGTTTGAGCACCTGGTTTCAATTCTTTTAGGTGTGTGCCTAGGAGTGGAATTATTATACAGGTTGAACATCCTTAATTCAAAAATCCGAAATCTGAAATCTCAGAATCTGAAATTTTTTCAGTGCTGACATGCTAGTACAAGTGGAAAATTCCACACCTGACCTCACGTGACAAGTCACAGTCAAAACTTTGTTTCATGTACAAAATTATTAAAAAGATTGGATCAAATTACCTTCAGGATTTGTGTTTAGGTGTATATGAAACATAAATGAATTTCATGTTTAGACTTGGGCCAATCCCCAAGATATCTCATGTATATGCAAATATTCCAAAATTTGAAAAAATCTAAAATCCAAAATACTTCTGGTCCCAAGCATTTTGGACTAAGGATACTCAATATTTATTACATAGTAATTCTATGTAGGAAGCACAGCGAATCTGTTTTCCATAGCAACTGAATCATTTTGCATTCCCAGCAGGAATGTACAAGGGTTCCAGTTTTTCTGCATCTCTGCAATACTTGTTATTTTCTGTTTGTTTTATAGCACTCAATTTTTAACCTTAGTTAATTCTAGCAGAATTTAAGAAATTACCCCATCCCTCACAATTCCTTTCTCTGAATCTATGCTGTACTTACTTTGGATAGATTTTTAAGTATCATATAAAAGGAAAAAATGAGTGTTGTTTTTCTTTCTGAAGACATGATTTGGTTTTGTTTATTTTCTAAAAATAAGCATTAAAATAAATCTTTGCTTATTAGAGTAAACTAATACCCTTTATCAGATGGAATAGCCTTTAGCCTGAGTAAACTAAAGAGAATGTAGTCTTCACCAGTGAGCAGCAGATTTTGAAATGATCTGGAAAAAGGCAGCACACATTTCTGAATAACAGCCATAACTACAGTTATATTACCCTCCTATGCTACAGCATCCCCTCTTTTTTTTCCTAGTGTCCCTGTCTTTGACCATTTGGGGACAATACAGAAGAGAGGAGGTACAAAACAAAAAATGATGATACTGTGATAACCAGGGCCAAGAATTAAACAGGGTTTCTATCACCAAGTCCCTACCCAGGGCCTCCCTGGGACTGTTCCTTTCCTATAACAAGCCCCAATAATTCAAACTACATTCCTTTCCTAACTTTTGCACCCTAATTTCTCAGGATCCTCCTCTGTCATAAAAACTGGCTCCATTAATAGGGTGCATTCTCCACAGTTTTCTGAAGATAGCCTCAAAAGTGTTTTTCATCATTTTTGGGAAACAGATAACATTAATAACTGGTAATATTAATAACTGGTAACATTAAAACAGGTAACATTAATAACTGTGGGGAAGTTAAAGGGCTTAAGAAATTGAAAAGAGTTCTTGTAGTAGTTCATGGCCTTTGGTTCCTAAGCTGACTACCTATCTAATCTACCTAATCAAATCATGGGGTAAGGCCCAGTAACCTGAATTTTTTAAAGTGACTCTTACACAGCCAGCCTGACTATAGACTTTGGATGACTAATAGTATTTGATTTCTTGTGCAAATAATAATTTGACAGTCCTTGATATTCACCCCTTTACTTTGATTCCTGAGGGTGGAATTGGAATTGCTAAAGTACTCTATCCTCTCTCTCTCTCTCCGCCCCCGTTGCTCCATCCCTTTCTCTCTCTCTCTCTCTCTGTCTCTCTCTCTCTCTCTGTCTCTCTCTCTCTCTGCCTCCTCCCCACCACCCACCCCAAACACACACTTGAAGGAAAACCAAACAAATGCTTTCTTCTTCTGGTTTCTAACCTAAGAGTTGAAGCAGAGCAGTAAGTATTTCCTTCTATCATGAAGGTCATCTGTTCCTCAGATTTTCTAGTTCTAGGCAGGCATTTCCAACCCTAGATAGGTATCTCCTTCCTCAGAGGGCACACAATCTCCCTTTTAAGTGAGCATGAAGTCAGAAATGGGTTCTGAACTGCTATTTCTGTTGCCTGTAATATAAACAGTTTCCTGTTATTTATTTATTTTCACAAATCCTGATTTTTCTTTCCATTAGATATTTCAGAAAATTTTTATGTTACTGCGCCATTGGACTCCAGCCTGGGTGACAAGAGCGAAGCTCTGTCTTAAAAAAAAAAAGAAAAGGAAATTTTAATGTTAATTTAAGAACCATGGAGGTAGCAGTGTGCCAACCAGCTTCTTGCTACCTTGGTCTGGACCTAAGAATCTATAGGCAGAGCCCTGCTGGCATTCTGTAGGCTGCTGTTGGAATTTTGTCTGAATCTCCTTAATTAGAATTCTTCTGTAGCTGGTTTTGTGGTACCTGACAGAAACCCAGAGACCTGGCAAGTTAGGACAATGCAAAACTCTCTAACCCTATTACAAGAAAAACTCTCAGGAGAGAATCTTTCTCCCTCTTCTGCATATCGAAATATCATCATGGAAATCATGGCTCTGACACTGTAGAGACCAGAAAGTCTAAAAAAAAAAAATAATTTTGTGTGGCTTTCATCAGCCTACCTCAGGTCACAAACATAATCTGTTCTCTTATGCTTTTTGATGACCATACTTTTTAGAATACTGTTTTTGGGGAAATAAGGGGAAGTAGGAAGAGCCATTTTTAGTTTATTATTTTATTTTTTAAATCATCTCTCCTAAAATGTCAAGGAAGAGCTATTTGTATTTCCCATCGGTAGGGTGACCATCATCCTGATTTGACCAGAGCAGTCCCCTAATTCAGCAAAATTATTACTAACGTTTTGTTTCACTTTCAGAAGTTGCTTGTTTAGATGACCCAGTACAGGAACCAAACAAATCAATGTTTGAGAAAACAAAATTTGGACAAGGTAAAAAAAAAAGAAAATATTCAATTCCATTTACTTTTATAAGTGTTTAGATTCTACATATTGTGCAAATAGATCAAATAGATTGTCAAATATTATGCATATCACTCCATAT
The DNA here is from genome assembly GCF_000001405.40 of Homo sapiens. Classification (NCBI taxonomy): domain Eukaryota; kingdom Metazoa; phylum Chordata; class Mammalia; order Primates; family Hominidae; genus Homo; species Homo sapiens. Next base: position 75,080,455 of record NC_000005.10, on the reverse strand, counting down.
TATAAATAATTGCTGGTTACATCATCTTTATTTCCTGATAGACTAAGAAGATCTTTGATTTCAGAGAACTTTTATGAACTCTTACTTCTTATATTCTTCAATGCCTGGCACACCATAGCTTTCCAATAAATGCTCATTGAATAAATAAATGAATGAATAAGTAAATGAAAGCATGAACGTGATTTAAAAGATTGCTGTTTTAAAACTGGATTTACTTTGATTGTCTTAAGAGGTGGACATACCTAGATCTTATAGGCTATAATGGAATTTGTGGTGAAGAATTTAACAAATGGTAAATGGGATTTTGGTTAGTTAATACTATCTCCTTTATCTGAACTTACTGTTTCTTTTTTTTTTTTAGACAGAATCTCGCTCTGTCACACAGGCTGGAGTGTGGTGGCACGATCTCGGCTCATTGCAGCCTCGATCTCCCAGGCTCAAGTGATCCTCCTGCCTCAGCCTCCTAAGTAGCTGGGAGTGCAGGCATATGCCACCATGCCCAGCTAATTTTTTTTTGTAGAGAGGGAGTTTCACCATGTTGCCCAGGCTGGTCTCGAACTCCTGAGTTCAAGTGATCTGCCCACCTCAGCCTCACAAAGTTCTGGGATTACAGGCATGCACCACCATGCCCAGACCTGAATTTACTGCTTCTAATTGTGGGATATAAGAGGGATGGCCTTGGCCGGGCGCAGTTGCTCATGCTTGTAATCCCAGCACTTTGGGAGGCCAAGGTGGGTGGATCACCTGTGGTCAGGAGCTGAAGACCAGCCTGGCCAACATGATGAAACCCCATCTCTACTAAAAATACAAAAAATTAGCCAGGCATGGTGGCAGATGCCTGTAATCCCAGCTACCCAGCAGGTTGAGGCAGGAGAATTGCTTGAATCCGAGAGGCGGAGGTTGCAGTAAGCTGAGATCATGCCACTGCACTGCACTCCAGCCTGGTCAACAAGAGCAAAGAGCAAAACTCTGTCTCAAAAAAAAAAAAAAGAGTGGTGGCTTTCACATTTTCTCAGCCAGAAATTTAAAAGCGAATTCTCCCTCTCCCTCTTTATGAGAAATCATAAAGAATTCTATTTAAATTTGTTAATCAGTATTTCCTAAACTTATTGAATTAGAGGATATCTGTTCACATTCAATAGAACAAATAGCAGAAGCCTCAATATCCAATCTGTTTACATATCATTTCGGATACATGGTATCAAGAAAATCCTGAATCATGAAGACAAATGATAAAAATTTTTAATCTTGCCATCTTACAACTTTCTTCAGTGAATCAGAGATGATGGAAAAGCTTTATTCTGAATTGTATACAAAAACTAATTAAATTGGTAACTCAAGTCAATGCATTGATGGACTCCAGAGTGTTAAAATGTGGTATATTAACACATTTGAAGGTATGTGTTCTTTCTAATTAAAGACTTGAAACATAAAAACACAAACCTTTAAAAATGAAATTCTGTTGATGAAATATTGATGAAAACTGTGAACCATCCATGATCTCTACAAGTCCTTTTAAGTTTTAAAATGGAGTGAGTCTATGGGGCATTTTCCCTTGAAATTTCAAAACTTCCTCCCAAGCCTCTCGCCTTTTTGCCTATTTGGCTATTGTTCCTCTTCTGTGTTATTGAGGGAATCCTCACTGATATTTCAGTATAAACTGGAAGGGAAAAAAATAAGCATTTCCAAATTTCTACATTATTTGTTATCACTAGGTATGGATGTATTGACATATTTTTCACAAAGTTATTTCTTTTTTAATTCTGTTAAGATAGATCACGTTTCATTATTTACCAGGAAAACCAATTTTATATATTTATGTTTCCTGTCACCATAGTACCAAGATACTCAAAACACATTAAGCTAAGTGTATTCATCTAAGCAAAAAAATAAAAGTATCACCTGAAGTCTTTTATTTCCCAAGCCATCATTATAATAATTTACTAAATATATTTTCTTTCATGGGGACCTAACATCATTTGTTCATTTGAAAATAGCACATGCTTTTCCAGAAAAAAATAGGCTATTTTTTTGTTCCTAATAAAATGGTCCGTTAGATAAAACGGTCCTACTGATAATCTGTTGTAAATAAATGACTTTAATGATGGAGTTTTCTTCATTTCAGTTCTATTATCATGCTTTGTCATTTCTCTGTAGAAGTATACATAATAGAACACAAACATCCACAGGTGCTTCTGTTTTATGTGGTTAAGCGCTTTTTAAACCTCGAACACCCAAAGATGGGTACCTGATAACAGTGCATAGGGTGTTTATTTCAGCTCTTATTTACCACTCTCGATTCTTTTTCATTTTTTTAATCTTAATTTTTTTCACTCTGGTATCATGATTAACACTCTTTTAACCTAACTCATAAGGTAGATAATATATCTACCTACAGGAAAGGAAAGAGAAGAAAATTAAATATTTGTTGATTGTCTGCCATGTGGCAGGCCCTCTGCTATGTTATTTTGTATACATTAGACCACTTAAGAACTTCTATTTTTTTTTTTTTTTTTTTTTTTTTGAGACGGAGTCTCGCTCTTTCGCCCAGGCCAGAGTGCAGTGGCGCTATCTCGGCTCACTGCAACCTCCGCCTCCCGCCTCCCGGGTTCATGCCACTCTCCTGCCTCAGCCTCCCGAGTAGCTGGGACTACAGGCACCTGCCACCACGCCCAGCTAATTTTTCGTATTTTTAGTAGAGACGGGGTTTCACTGTGTTAGCCAGGATGGTCTCGATCTCCTGACCTCATGATCTGCCCACCTCGGCCTCCCAAAGTGCTGGGATTACAGGCATGAGCCACCGCGCCCGGCCAAGAACTTCTTTTTAGTAGAATTTCAGGGTTCGTTTTTGTACAACCAAATACACAAAAAAACCTGAACACTTTATATATAAAAATCAAGTACCTCAGACCCAATTCAGGTTAATAAACCACCTATAAGATTTTAATTCCCCCCCCAAAGAGTGAGGGCTTAAATAGTTTTAAACTTCTAAATAATTATACTTCAGGTTTATTTCTTGATTTTAGTAGTTTTTCAGGTGGCTTTTAATCTTATTAATGTAAATCTATATCACATTATTAATTTAGGCCAGGTGCAGTGACTCATGCCTGTGTTCCGAGCACTTTGGGAGGCCAAGGCAGGAGGACTGCTTGGGGCCAGGGGTTTGAGACCAGCCTGGACAACAAAGTGAGACCCGGTCTCTATTTTAAAAATGGAAAAATTGGCTGGGCATGGTGGGGCATGTCTGTGGTCCTAGCTACTTGGGAGGCTGAGGCAGGAGAATCGCTTGAGCCCAGGAGTTTGAGGTTACAGTGAGCTATGGTCACGCCATTGCATTTCAGCCTGGGTAAAAACAACAAAAAATTATTAATTTGGTTTTAAATAGCAAATTATGTAATACTCCATCACCATATTTAGCTTTTAGGATCCTTTTATTTTTAAAAAAGGCATTGAACTTTATATTAAAATAACAATAATAGAATATTTTCCCAATATAACTAGAGCATATGTATTTTTACTACCTATTGAGATAATTGTTAATCATTTTGTTTTTGATTAGAATTATATTTCTGATCCAGAATTGTGATATGATAGAAAGATATGTGGTCTTTGTCGCTAATTCCTGCCACAGTGCTTCTAAAACTCTTGGAATTTTCCAAGTGATAAGAGTGATATAGGCATCTTTTGTTCTAATGAGACGACTCTTGGCTGTCCCCTAGATAGCATCAGGATGAGGGCTGGTCATCAGAAAGACCAAGCCTTGATTAGAAGCTTGGAACTTTCAGCTCCACACTTCAACCTCTCAGGAGGAGAGAGGGGCTAAAGATTTAGTTAATCACCAGTTACCAATGATTTAATCAATCATGCCTACTTAATGAAACCTCCATTAAAAACCACTAAATGACGGGGCTCAGAGAACTTCTGGGTTGGTGAACACATCAGGGTGCTGGGAGAGTGGCATGCCCAGAGATCGCATGGATGCTCCTTGTCCTATGCATCTCTTCCATTTGGCTGTTCCTGAGTTGTATCTTCTATAATAAACCAGTAACCGGAAGTAAAGTGCTTTCCTGAGTTCTGTGAGTCATTCTATCCAATTATTGAAACTTGGGGTGGGGTAGAGGCACTATGGAAACCCTCTAATTTGTAGACAAGTTAGATAGAATTGTGGGCAACCCAGTAACTGATATCTGCAACTGGTGTCTGAAGTGAGGGCAGTTGTGTGAGACTGAACCCTTAAACCTGTGGAATCTGAGGTTAACTACAGTTAATTAGTGTCAGAATTAAATTGAATTGTAGGACAGTTGATTGGTTGGACCAGCGGTTAGTGTGAGGAAAAAAGTCCGCACATTTGGTGTCAAAGTGTCATGAGTAAAAATATCTCATTAGAATAAATATATATATATATTCAGAGTAAGCAATGTTTCATTCCATAACCCTAATGAGATATAGAGTGCTTAATATGTAAGAACAAGTCCGGGAAGACTGAGTTCAAAAATTTTAGACTTAAAAGTGAACCTCGTGTATCAACTACTCTTGGGCCTGTTTGGTGAAATATCTTTCCATGGGACAGTAATAATTACTAATGGATCCAGAGTAAAACATCCTATAAATGATATTGAACATTTTACATGCAACATCTAAATCTTGATACTTCATTTCCTCTGTCACCCTCCTCCCCTCAACATTACTGTCAGAGCTAAAGTGGAAGCAAAACTAGTGTTGGAAAGCTTTCAGTCTTTTTAGGTGTCTTTATCTGTTCCCATCTCTCTTCACTGGCCCAAAGCTTGGTGGGAGTAGTTTTAAGGGCTAAAGTAAGGGTATGGTTGGATTGGTGGTGAAATTTTGCTCACTTTTCTTTTATATTTAAACTTCCTGTATTTTATACAACCTATTAAGTTCCTAATAAGTAACAGTGAGTATATTGAGTATTATAATTGAATTATTAAATCAAGAAGATAAAATTTAAGTCTCAGTTTCCTAACTTCTTAGGTTATTTCCCTTTCTTGTCTCGCATGCTTTGTATTAAAGTATCAAAAAGTGCTAGGCAATTGTGCAATATTATAAAAGCAGATAAATAAATTTTAGAAGGATAAGATAAACTCTGGATTGTTATCATTGGTTACCTGGGCAGGAAGGAGAGGTGGAACAAGGAGAGGGTGGGGAAAACCATACCCATAGGCCATACCTGGAGCATGTACAAAAGTGAAACCCTAAAATCTCAGTAATAGAATCCTTGAAACCAGAAGGAAACATCCCAGGATAAACTGAGGAGTGAGCACAGACTGGGGCTTACAGAAGAACATCTCCATTCTAGAACTGTGTCTTTGGCTGCAGTAGTTACAGGTTATTATTTATTTCTCAGAAGACTGATAATAGAACTCATAATACATTTTACTTATTTAAGGTAGGTGTAATAAACTGCATATATGTTGTGATTTTTAAGAAAAGAAAAAGCAAACAATTTTTAAAAATATTATTACATACTGGTATTTGTGCTTTTGTGTAGAAATATATAGACATGGAGCAAAGGTTTGTTCAAGTTTTAAAAAGGAAGAAGCTAGGGAGGTTCTTTAGCTCTAACTTTGCTGAATGTTATTTTCCTGAAATGATTCAAATAATTTTAATGCTCTTATATAATAAAATAACCTGGAAATGTTATTAAAAATTCAAACAGAACAAAAATTTGAAATCAGTTTGCTGTATCTTTACCTTTACTTTAAAAAAAAATCTTTTATTTTAGGTTCAGGGGTACATGTGCATGTTTGTTACATATGTAAACTAATAACCCAGATGTTTGGTGTACAGATTATTTTGTCAACCAGGTACTGTATTCTTACATTTACTTAAATGGGGATTAGCCTATTTGGCTCAGTTGGGGATTATCCTAGTCGGCTCAGATTTCTCTATGTGTGTGTTTTTTGTTTTGTTGGTTTTCCACTCACATATATAGGGTATTTTCTTGTGGATCTCAACAAAGAAAATTTGAAGTTGGCAGTAGTGGTTAGCCAAAAGTGCAGGTTCCTGCTAAAGTACATAGTATGGGACAGCACTGGCTGGAATGAAATGGGTAGGGAATGCTATGGTGGAAGGAGTTTAGGGAGACCTAGTGCAGTAGAGGAGAAGGAGCAGAAAAGATTAAGATGATGAGAACAAGTGTGTTGTAAGGATGATCTTTCTTTTTCTTCCATTCTTATCACTATGGAAAGGAAACTGTTCTGTAAGAAACTATTGGTGGCCTTAACACTATGCTTTGTGATCTGACATGCATGTTCTCAGAGCTTCATTTCCATGGGTTTACCCTGGAAGTGCCGCCTTCTGCTACTGAGGAGCCAGCCACTTGTAATTTCCTAAAGTCCTATGATTATAGGAAATTGAGAAGTATATGTATGCTGACAGTGAACTTGAGTGGAGTTGGGGATGGGATTTTGACTGCCATGCCTGTAGAATACTAAAACAAGCTGGAATATAAACTATATAAGTCTTATGGCTGTACTAGCCATTCATGGCTAACCTGTTGAGAAAGATATAAATCAAAACCATGATACCCTATTGACTTTAGTAATAAAGTCAGCCCTGCTTTAAAAAAAATTTTTTAAAAAGAGGAGGTGGGCCTAAAATGGCCCTATTCTGTTAATTCATTGCAGTTTTTAAGGGAGAGAGAGACCAGGTTTATCTCCAAGCAAAGCTAGTTTAGAATACAAAGTATTATTGACTAACACTTTACAGTTTTACAGAAAGCTTTCACATTATGTGGTATTTTCTCATTTGACAAAGATCAGTGATGGGAATGGTAAGGCAAAAGGAAAAAAAGGTTTAACATTAGCATTTTTAAATTGAAAACTCCACTTCCAGAAATTACTAAGCTAACAAATGTCCATAAGAAAGCACTGTTTTCCAAACAATTTTGTTATATCATCTCAAGCCTCCCAAGCTCAAGCCACTTTATTTTCAGTGTATTAATTGAGAAGATGGGCATGTTGCTGCCTCTGGAGCCACTGCCTACTATTCTGTACTTTGGATGGTGATCTTCTCTGTGTAAACAACATAGTGATGATTTCTTATTTAAAATAAGATGAAGCTCACCTTATTTGAAGTGTGTCTGGTCCTCCCTTTAAAACAAGCACTTTTATTTAGGCCTGTGACTTTTTTTTTTTTTTAAGAGATGGAGTCTTACTTTCTCACCCAAGCTGGAGTGCAGTGGCAGGATCATAGCTCACTGCAGCCTCAAACTCCTGGGCTCAAGTGATCCTCCCATCTCAGCCTCCCAAGTAGCTTGGATTATAGGCTTGAGCCACTGCACTTGGCTAGGCCTGTAACTTTTGTAGCAAGACTTCCCTTTTGGAGAGAAATGCTAGGGTTTATGCCCACAAGTCCACCTTGCTCTGATTTTTCCCAACTTTTCCCAAGTTAACATGTGGCTGCATCATCTCAAGAGGATCAAATGAGATGAAAAGTTCCTAAAACAATCACTGTGGAACAATAGGAATTATCGTAGTTATAAAGATGGCTGCATTTATATATCAGGTCTTACACTCCAACATCCTAATACCAATACCTTAACGTATGGATATTTCTGTGTGTATTCATCTTTTCAGCCATCTATTCATCTGCCCTCATGTATTGGAAGTTTTGTAATATCGTTATTGTAGTAAAAATGATACCAAAATTGGCATATTTTGTGGAGCTTGTATTTTTTCATATCATGATCCTCTACGTGCTTAAATATTCGTGATCTCTCTGTGCCTCCAAAGAGAAAGCCCCAAGGTAGACTTAGTGGTCTTTGCAGAAATATCCCATCTACTTCTTAGAGTTCAAAAGTTCTGTATTATGTAAGATTAGGTTTGGCTGCATGCAACAGAAAACCCCAAATAGCAGTGGTTTCAACACACAAAGATTTAGTCGTTCATTAGAAGTCTGGATCCGTAGCATTCCAGATGAGGCACAGCAGCAACACAGAGTCACCAAGTCTTTCTACTCCATCTTCCTTTGTACTGGTTTACATCTTGAAGTAAACTCATGGTCCAAAATAGCTATGAATCTCTAGCCATCACATCTGCATTCTAGGCATTAGGAATAAGGAAAGTAGGGAGGCAAAAAAAAAAGGGCTTCCTAGCTGTCTGTCCCCTTAAGGAGCCTCCCCTGAAGTCAAACACAACACTTTGATTTATATCTCTTTAGCCAGAGTTTAGTCATATGCCACACCTAGCTGCAAAGAAGTCTGAAAAATATAGTTTTTCTGTGTGACACATTGCCTATGATTGTTAATGAGGAGAAAAACAAAAAGGCAAAAATAGAGGTAACTAATAGCCTCTGCCAAAAGTCCTTTTTAGGAAGCTATAAAATAATAGTTAATGTCAATTTAGACAAAGTAAATTGTATTGGGTAATCTGGCACATTGTAGGAAACTTTACATTGAAAATTCACACAGTGGATTCACAACAGGATAATGTGGTTGGAGTCATGCTGGCTATGAAGGAGTAAAGACTATAAGAGAGCACAAGTGTAAAGTGATGGGGCTTTGTGTGTACCCTCTTAGCTAGAGGCCTCCCTGCTCTGCACCTTTGGCACCACGTCTAGGAACTGCCAGTGCCATGGTGTCAAAAGATTCCTGCCCTATCCCTAATCATTTCTGCTATGCTTTATTAAGAACAGTTTTTCGGCCGGGCGCGGTGGCTCATACCTGTAATCCGAGCACTTTGGGAGGCCGAGGTGGGCAGATCACCTGAGGTCAGGAGTTCAAGACCAGCCTGGCCAACATGGTGAAACCCCATCTCCACTAAAACTACAAAAAAATTAGCCGGGCGTGGTGGTGGGTGCCTGTAATCCCAGCTACTTAGAAGGCTGAGGCAAGAGCATTGCTTGAACCTGGGAGGCAGAGGTCGCAGTGAGTTGAGATTGCACTATTGTACTCCAGGCTGGGTGACAAGACCGAGACTCCACCTCAAAAAAAAAAAAAAACAAAACAGCTTTTCTCAGATGTCAGTTAAACTGTGCTTGAATTAGGCATTATGATCTTGTTGATTTTGCTGGCAGTTTCATATAACATTGTGGAAAGTGGTAATAAGAAGTATTGCAGCTACTTCCAGCAGTCATTTCAATGTGTTGCTAAATAATGATATATGTTTTTAAATATTAAATATTATTAAATATTAAATATTATTAAAATATTAAATATTATTAAAATATTTAATATTTTGAAAAGTTACAAAAATGAGTTACCTCAAAACTTCATTTTAGTCTTCATAGAATAAGAACTATAAGCAGTGATTCTCTAAAGCAGTGGCTGAATTAAATATTTAAGTGTATAGATACTTCAGAGCTGTTACCAAAACATGAGCTTTTAACTGTGTTTTACTTGGAACACTAGATTTAAGGAAACATTTACGCTCCACTGAAGGTGACAAGTGAACTAAGGAATACAGTTTTGGAACAGAATTTTGATACATACAGATATTAAATTCCTGACCTAATTAGCTCCATGCTCTGATTAATATTTGACCAAATCAATGCAGACAAATTTTGTTTTATAGGGACAAGATCTCACTATGTTGCCCAGGTTGGCCTTGAACTCCTGACCTCAGGTGACCCACCCATCTTGGCCTCCCAAAGTACTGGGATTACAGGCATGATCCACTATGCCCAGCCCCAGACAAAATTTTTAATAGACACTTTCCTAGTCCTAGGAACTTTAATGGATGCTAAGTATATGAAAGATGCTTATGCTAAATACTAATCAGGAAGATGCCCGTGAAAATAGTAGACAAATTTTTCTACCATCAGAATGGCAAAACTTAAAAAGACTGATAATATTCAGTATTGGCAAAGATGTGGAAGAAAAGAACAGGTACTGTCACACATAGTCTCATAATACTGTTGGTGGTAGTATAAAAGGATGCACTTGGGAGGGCACTCTGGCAGAACCTCTTAAAATGTAAAATGTTTACAGACCCCTCAACTCAGTAATTCTGCTTCTGAGTATCAATCCTATAGAAGTATTGGCACATGCCTGAATAGTGAAAAGTGAGGAATAAATTATGAATTATAAACAAATTATGGTAGATGCATTAAGTTTTTCAAATCATAACTAAAGTGGGGGATAGTATCTTATAGAGGAAAAGACCAGTGTTAAATAATAGTGTTTAAATGATGAAACTAGGCTAATTTTGATGAAAAGAATTTAAATTAATATGTAAAGATTTATTTCTATGGGTTTTTCCTAAGAAAAAAATATTCCTTAACTTTTATGAGATACCTTGTTTCCGGAAGTCTATAAAACAAAGCTCCTAATAAAGGAGTTACTATGTTTACATATGGACCATGTGTAAAAAAGTTTAAATTCTTTGGATTATAAGTGATGATTTAAAACCCACATCAGACCGGCCTCAACCCCTCAAAAAGGAATTTTATTGACTCATTTACATGAAAGACCAGGAACAGATCTTCAGGTTTCATTCAGGGTTCAAAGAGCATGACAGAGCACCAGTTTCTCTTGCTTTCCATTTCTCAGCTCCATTTCCTCATTTTGGCGCCATCCTAATAGCCTTTCTTCTCATCATCCCAGGGCTACATGCTTCCAGGTTCAAGTCTAAAAAAGAAGACTCTGTATGTGACTCTTTGCCAAAATACCCAATAAAAATCTCATTGCACTTTGGGAGGCTGAGGCGGGTGGATCACCTGAGGTCAGGAGTTGGAGACCAGCCTGACCAACATGGCGAAACCCCATCTCTACTAAAGATACAAAAATTAGCTGGGTGTGGTGGTAGGCACCTATAATCCCAGCTACTTGGGAGGCTGAGGCAGGAGAATCACTTGAACCTCGGAGGCAGAGGTTGCACTGAGCCAAGGTCATGCTATTGCACTCCAGCCTGTGCAACAGAGTGAGACTCCATCTCAAAAAAAAAACCAAAAAACAAAAACAAAAACAAAAAACTCATTACATGTCACTTCTCTCTGAATGGGATATGTTCTGACCCCTGAATCTATACCTGTTCACTCATTGGTGTAGATCTAAGCAAATCAGGAGGTTGAAAACAACTCTACCAGAAGCATGTGGGCCAAGCATGAAGAAAGGGTTGGCCATACAGAGGTGACACTCATATTGTTGCTATCTGTGGAATAAGATTCAACTTGCTGAATGATGTACAGCTCATATAGCCAATCTCAGAGAAGAAAAAAAAAAATCTCTCAGACTGTCAGGGAGCTTGAAGAAACCAGTTTTAGGACCATTAGCCCCATAGACTGGCAGAGCCAAAAGGAACCCTCTTTATCATCACTCCTCTCACATCTCAGAGATGGAAGTCTGGAAAAGCCATATGACTTGCTTGAGATCACACACCAAGTTTGTGGCAGAGGCAGGACTAGAAATCATGCAGCCTAATACTCTTTTTAGTACTAAATAATAATAGCGTCTAGTATTTATTGTTTGCTATATGCCCGGCGGTATGCTAAGAATTTCACATGCAAAATCTCAGTTAATACAACTGTTTTATTCTCCGTTTATTGGAAATTGAGGCAGAGAGGAGCTTGTACCACTACCTTCAGAAGCTTCCACCATCCTTTTTCTGCTGATGTTTTAGACTTCAAACAGGCCCCTCTTTCCCAAGATCAACCAATGCTGGTTCATAGCTTTGTCTTGAGTACAGAAAATAGGTTGAGGGAAAAGGTCCTGATCAGAAAACCTGTTATGTGTGCTCTCAAATAGACTTGATTGGATTCTAGGATTTGTAATAGCAAAATTTACATCTTAAATTTCAGAGGGCAGTTTTTAATTTGTTGATACTTCTTTAAACAGGAACTTCCAGAGAGTCAATGCAAAGCAGCCCACGTTATCTACAAATAAATGAAATACTATTAATCAGTGATCAAGAATTTCTCCCATGCCACATAATGGATCAGCATTGGAAGTTTTGTGTGGAATGTGAGGAACTAACACCCTAAAACCTTGGTTTCTTAATATTTTATTGGATATTTGTTCAAATTACCAACAAACATTTATATTTCATCTTGTATAATCTGGTGGGCCTATTTTAACATACACTTTATGAGTTGCTATTTAGGATGTATGTTTACTGTTCTTAAGATGTATGTAACTGTTCAACAATTATATAAGATTAATGCTTTTTTGCCATTGAAATAAAGGCACATTTGAACTAGACCATATTGATTGGCTCTCTGGCTTTCTTTTTACTAATATAAACTTAAAACTAACTTTTCAATCAACACCTCTACCTTTGTATAAAAAACAATTGATCCCTAAGGAAATGAGGATACAAGTAAGTGTAATCCATGGATAATTGGTCCTAAAAAGGCCCAGGTTAAACAAATCCCTTAAGAACTTAAAGTCCTAATACCTTTCACATTTCCTTTGAAGTTTTTCTCAAAATCAAAATGTAAAATTATGAAGGAGGTTTAAGTTTCATAAAATTTAGTGTAGATAGGATTGTAGCTGTGGTAAGTCTTGGAACAAAGAATGAATCAAGTGTTGATTTGGAGTCTGATCATTTAAAATAGAACATCCTTCACCTTTGACTTTTGCTACATTATCACGAAGACTTTTTTTAAAAAAAAGAGATATATTTAAGAGATTTTTCAGTTTTCTCAAGGGTCTCTCTTAATCCTTTGATAGCCAAGTTACTCTTTCCTTGTCCTTCATTACCCCAGGTTCCCAAATAAGCTTTTGGCTCCATGGCCTTATTTATCCCTTCTATTTCTTTTGAGTATAGAAGTCAAAATTGCAATAAACATAACAGGCATACCTCAGAGATACTGCAGGTTTACTTCCAGACTACTGCAGTAAAGCGAATGTCAACTAAAGGGAGTCACGTGATTTTTTTTCCCCCAGTTTCTATAAAAGTTATGTTTACACTATACTGTAGTCTATTAAGTGTGTAAAGGCATATCTTAATCAATGTATGTACCTTAATTTAAGAATATTACTAAAAAATATGAGCATCTGAGCCTTCCGCAGGTTGTAATCTTTTTGGTGGTAGAGGGTCTTGCCTTGATGTTGATGGCTGCTGCCCAATCATGGTGGTGGTTGCTGAAGGTTGAGGTAGCTGTGGCAATTTCTTAAAATAAGACAACAATGAAATTTGCCACATCAATAGTCTCTTTCTCTCATGAAAGATTTATGTGTAGCATGCATTGCTTTTCAATAGCATTTTACCCACAGTAAAACTTCTTTGAAAATCGGAGTCAATCCTCTTACACCCTGCTGCTGCTTTATCATCTAAGTTTATAGAATATTCTAAATCCTTTGTTGTCATTTTAGCAGTGTTCACATCACCACACCAGGAGTAGATTTTGTCTCAAGAAACCACTTTCTTTGCTCATTCGTAAGAAGCAACTCCTTTTCCATTCAAGTTTGATCATGAGATTTCAACAATTCAGTCACATCTTCAGGCTCCACTTCTAATTCTAGTTGTCTTGCTATTTCCACCACATTTGCAGTTGCTTCCTGTACTAAAGTCTTAAACCCCTCAAAGTCATCCATGAGGATTGGAATCAACTTCTTCCAAACTCCTGTTAAGGTTGATATTTTGATCTCCCATGAATCACAGATGTTCTTAATGGCATCTAGAATGGTGAATTCTTTCCAGAAGGTTTTCAATTTATTTTGCCCAGATCAAAGGAATCACTATCTATGGCAGCTGTAGCCTTACAAAATATATTTCTTAAATAATAAGACTTGAAAGTCAAAAGTACTCCAGTAATATTTTGAAAGAAATCTTTTATTCTGAGCTGTACATCTCAACAGTGGGCTTTAAATATTCAGTAAATCATGCTGTAAACAAACAAATGTGCTGTCATCTAAGCTTTATTGTTCCAATTCTAGGGTACAGGCAGAGTAGATTTTGCACAGGGCTCTAGATTTTCAGAATGGTACATGAGAATTGGTTTCAACATAAAGTCACCAGTTGCATTAGTCCCTAACAAGAGTCAACCTGTCTTTTGAAGCTTTGAAACCAGGCATTGACTTCTTCTCTTTAGCTCTAACAGTCCTACATGGCATCTTCTTCCAACAGAAGGCTGATTAATCTATAATGAAAATCTGTTTAGTACAGCCACCTTCATCAATAATCTAGCCAGGTCTTCTCGATGATTTACTGCAACATCTACATCAGCACGTGCTGCTTCACCTTGCATTTGTATTGTAGAGACAGCTTCTTTCTTTAAATTTCATGAACCAGCCTCTGCCAGCTTCAAACTTTTCTTCTGCAGCTTCCTCACCTCTCTCAGCCTTCATGAATTGGAGTTAGGGCCTTGCTCTGGATTAGGTTTTGGCTTAAAGGAATGTTGTGGCCAGTTTGATCTTCTATCCAGACAACTCAAACTTTATCTCAGCAATAAGGCTGCTTTGCTTTCTTATCATTTGTGTGTTCACTGAAGTAACACTTTTAATTTCCTTCAAGAACTCTTCCTTTGCATTCACAACTTACCTAACAGTTTGATGCAAGAGACCTAGCTTTAGGCATATCCCAGCTTTCAATATGCCTTCTTCACTAAGCTTAATCATTTCTAGCTTTTGATTTAAAGTGAGAGGTGTGCAACTCTTTCTTTCACTTGAATACTTAGGCCATTATAGGGTTACTAACTGGCCTAACTTCAATATTGTCGGAACAAAACAACTATAATAATAACATCGAAGATCATTGCTCACAGATTATCATATCAGATATAATAATAACAAAAAAGTTAGAAATATTTTGAGAATTACCCACATGTGACACAGACACGAAGTGAGCACGTGCTGTTGGAAAAACTGGTGCTGATAGACTTGCTCAATGCAGGGTTGCCACAAACCTTCAATTTGTAAAAAAAAAAAAAAAAAAAAAGATAATATCTGCAAAGTGCAATAAAATGAGGTGTGCCTGCTCTCATGCAAGTCCAGTGATTTTGGTGGGTGGTGATATGGTGTTGCTTTTTGAATATTTTCTTATTTTAAACGTATAGAACATTAAGATACATCTTTAGAATATATAAGAAACTGCTTAACAGTGGCCTCTGGAGAAATAAATTACGGGGCTGGAGAACCAAGGAAAAAGACCTACTTTTGACTACATGTACCTGGAAATATTTGTCTATTAATAAAAGTGTAAGGACATATTAAATCATTTTATTTTTCTTCCTTCAAGAGTCCAATGCAAATGTTCAGGATAGAATAACCCTACATATTGTTATATTTGAGAACCAACAGAAAATTATATTGTTTCACTATAATTTCCTTGGAGTGCCTGTTTTTCTAATTCTTAAATAATCTGTATGAGACTTTATTCTGTATTTTGCTTTATTATTTAAGATAATTAAAATATGAGCCATTTGAGAATATATGTACTAATTAAATTATATATATAAATAAAATGTAAATTTTTGGACAATGTTTAATGCAAGTACTGGCTTATTAAAGAAAAATTATATACCTTTGCATGCATAATATATACACATATACTGGTATATATGTAGATAAGGTATATTATATATGCATACTATATATAAATATATAATATATACTTTTTAATAAATAGCTCCAAAAATGTGTGTTTCTATGCGTGTGGGGTGGAGGTGGGGGTATGTTCAGTAAAAGTTCTAGAATGCTACAGATACAAATGTTTATAGTGCCTATCCCTAAGGAAGCTAGACTGAGGAGGATGAAAGGGTACTTTTATAGTTTACTTTCGACTTTAAGAAGAAATTAGGCACACATGTCTTTTGTAATTAAAAAAAATTTAAGATAATAATTTTTAAAACAGGCATTTTGTCTAGTGATTACAATCTATGAAAGTCATATATGCTAAGTTTTTAATACAAAAGATCTTGCAATTCTAAGTTTTCATTTTGGTGATTAAATTCTTAATTTCCCAAGCCCTTTTACTCTATTTTATATACCAACTGGTGACTGAAATAACATCCATTGCCCTTCAGGCATGCTGAGCATTGCCCAAACTAAACAACAAAAGGGTCTACTCCAACCAGAGTTGGAGAGAACTACCTTACCCTAGATTATCTCTGTGAGAAGACTGGGCAATTTAGGATGTTAGCTACATGTTTTACCTACTCTGGATTCTAAATGAAAGCTTAGGCTTCTGACCCTAAACCATAGATGAAAAATATCTAATCAATCTCATACGTGGTATTTTTATCCTTTTTATAAAACTGATTTTTTGAACATCTCTGGAATACTCCATACCCAAAAAGGAAGCCTATTCCTTTTCAAACAGGTAGTCCTCAGTGTTAGAAAGCCGGAACCCCTATGTTCCAGGCCTCACAACTCTAAATGATAATACTTCTTTTTTTTACAAGCTGAATTATTATGGCACAGCTTCCACTGGCTTGGCTGTTGGAAGATTCTAAACATACATTGCTATGGCTTCGTGGTTCCCTCTGAAACTCATGCTGAAACTTAATCCCCAATGTAGCAGTGGTGGGAGATGGAGCCTTTAAGAAATGACTGGGTCGCTGAGGCGGGCCGATCACGAGGTCAGGAGATTGAGACCATCCTAGCTAACAAAGTGAAACCTCGTCTCTACTAAAAATGCAAAAAATTAGCCAGGCGTGGTGGTGGGTGCCTGTAGTCCCAGCTACTAAGGAGGCTGAAGCAAGAGAATGGTGTGAACCTGGGAGGCGGGGCTTACAGTGAGCCGAGATCGTGCCACTGCACTCCAGCCTGGACGACAGAGCGAAGCTCCCTCTCCAAAAAAAAAAAAAAAAAAAGTGACTGGGTCATGAGGGCCAGGCCTCATAAACAATAAATTAATTAATTTTTTCATGAGTTAATGGATTAATGGGTTATAATGGGAGTGGGTTAGTTATCACAAAAGTGGGCCTGTATAAAAAGCCAGGTTGGCTCTCTCTGGTCAACTCCCCTGCCTTGTGATGATGCCCTGCACTGCCTCGGGGCTCCAGAGAGTCCCCACCAGCAAGAAGCCTCTCATCAGATGTGGCCCTGAGACCACGGATTTCCCAGCCTCCAGAACAAGAAAACCAAATTTATTTTCTTTATAAATAGCCCAGTCTCAGGTATTCAGTTATAGCAACAGAAAATAGACTAAAACATACATCTTGTCTTTTCCTTCTCAGTTTCTCTTTCATTCAATCCCTTCAACTTCCTCTCCTGAGTTCAGTTCTTATCAGTGCCTGTCTGGACTATATGCAGCAGCAATCCTAACCCATTTTTCATACTCCCACTCTTTCCCTTATTATACACCTGTGACACACTGCTGCCAAATTATTCTTCTTAAAGATCTATGTTGCTTCCCTGCTGCTGCAAAAGTAAAATCTAGGCCCAGTATTCAAGATTACCTAACTATCTGGCCCTAACATAACCTTTCAACTTTACCTCCCAATGCTCTCTAACCTTTGACCTTAAACTCCCTTTTCATTTCTGTTATGGGCTGAATTTTGTACCCCAAAAATTCATATTTTGAAGTCCTAACCCCTAGTACCTCAGACTATGACTGTATTTTAAAGATAAGATAAATTACAATAAGGTCATTGGGGGGGGCTCTAATCCAATCTGACTGATATCCGTATAAGAAGAAAAAATTGGGACACACAAAGGAACACCAGGATACATGCACACAGATAAAAGATCATGTAAGGACACAACAAAAAGGCAGCCATCTACAAACCAGGGAGAGAGGCCTCAGAATGAAATCAACCATGTGGACATTTTGACCTTGGATTTCACACCTCCAGAACTCTGAGAAATAAACTTGTTTTAAGCTACCCATTTTGTGGTATTTTGTTATGGCAACCCTAGCAAACTAATCCCTAACTCTCCCCTACATTTGTTTACACTATTTCCCCTACTTAGAATGTTCCCTCCTCTCTTTGCCCATCTGTGTTTTTCTTATTCTTTGAGGCCTCTCCTCAGATATGACCACCTGTGTTGCTTTCTCAGACCATCCCAATCCAAGCACTTAACATTTACTGCATGGCTATATTAGACTTTTCTCACATTGCAATAAATAAATAACCGAGACTTGGTAATTTATAAAGAAAAGAGGTTTAATTGGCTCACGTTTCCGCAGGCTGTACAGGAAGCATGATTCTGGCCATCTGCTTGGCTTCTGGGGAGGCCTTGGGAAACTTATAATCATGGCAGAAGGCAAAGGGTAAGCAGGCATGTCTTACGTGGTGGGAGCAGGAGGAAGTGGGGGGAAGTGCCACACACTTTTAAACAACCAGATCTCATGAGAACTCTATCATGAGAACAGCATTAGGGGGATGGTACTAAACCATTATAAACCACCCCTATGATTCAGTCACCTACCACCAGACCCCACCTCCAACACTGGGGATTACAATTGAACATGAGATTTGGGTGGGGACACAGATCCAAACCATATCACTGACATTACTAGTTTTCTGTTTATGGTTTATCTACCTCATGTATCTGAAAAACTTATTGAGAACAGGTTCAGGGTTTTACACTTTGTATTCCCTATAAAATATCTTGAACATAGTAGGTGATCGAGAAATATCAACCAGTTAGTGTTTTCAGATACAACAACAGAAAACCCTACTCAAAATGGCATAAGCAATAAGGAAAATTTATCATTTCATTTAACAGATCCAGAGGCAGGAACTTCAGGGTTGATTAAGTCTTCAACTCAACAATGTCATTATTGTTTTCACAATTCTTCTTGGTCCCTTCACAGTGCCAAGATGGCTGTGCTGTTACAGGTTGTTATACATGTAGAAATAGCATCATTAGGATAAGGAATTAGACATTTTTTCCAAGACATTTATTTTGGAAAGAAACCTTCCCTGAACACACTCTAACCCCAGGAAACTTGTGTCTCATCGGCCAGAACTGTACCACCTACCATTCCTCTCTAGCCAGGGAAGTGGTGTTACCTTAATTGGTTGAGAGAAGTACATGCACATGTGCAGGTGAGCAGTCCGCTGCACAAATTCCAGACTCTGCCAGCTAAAAAACAAATAAGCAAGCAGAAACAAAATGGGGGAGGGAGGATGGAGGAGATTGGGGTAAGAGCTAATATTTATTGAGCACTTATATATACCAGTCATTGTTATAAGCACCTTTGATGTATTAACTCATTTAATCCTCACCACAACTTAAAAGGTGGGAGATTATTATTATCCCCATTTTGCACATGAGGTAGCAGGTGCAGGATGAAGTAATGTGACCACATAGCAACTACCAAATGGTGGAGCAGGGATTCGAACCTGGTAATCTGGCATCAGAGCTCATGCTGTTAGGCACTGTGTATGTCTCTTGCTCAACCAAAAGTATTTACCTGAAAATATACGTTAAATTATTAAAACAGTGTCAGAATCATTCTGAGTAATGGTGGCCCTATTGATTCCTTCCACTTATACATGCTGGGGAAGTCAACTTTTGCTCCCTTCGAATGAATGAAAGGCAGACAGGGCAGACAGAAATACTCATTGAGGGCCAAGCCTGGGTGGCTCACGTCTGTAATTTCAACCCTTTGGGAGGCTAAAGCAGAAGGATCGCTTGAGCCCAGGAATTCGAGGTTACAGTGAACTATGATTGCAACACTGTGCTCCAGCATGGGTGAGAGAGTGAGACCCTGTCTCTAAAAAGATAAACATAAACTCACTGAGAGAAAATGGAATGCAGAAGCCTCACTGATAAGTTCTAATATAAACACATTAGTACCTGCTCTTGAGTCTCTCTCTTTTCCAATCTAGCGCATTCCAGGAAAAAAAGAAAAAAAAAAGCTTTATTCAAATCTTATTCCATTCGAGATATTTCTCAAATTCAATGTGCACTGGGAACTAGCTTGTTGCTTTTAAGTGAATGTATGTGCCCAGTGGGCCTGGATTTTAAGTCCCTTTGGATTTTCTGTGCTATTGAAGGCCACGAGCACATCAGCTCTGCATGTGTTTCTTTGGAGTCCCTCTCCAATTTTTTTCTCATCTCATTTTGTTGAAGCCTATTTTAAGGAAACGAGGGACACATCTTTCTTAACATGTAAAAGCCAAGAAATGTGATTCATTTCTCCTTAAACTTCATTTTAATGTTCTTATGTCCCTAATTTTTTTTAGCCATCTAAATAAGAGGAACAGAATTTGAGGCCATGTCAAATCAACTTGCCTCAGACTTTAGCCCCTAGGTCAGGATTTGTGGTTAACTTCTCAATTCCTGGACATATTTTTAAGTTCCTATTTTTTTCTTTTGGGCTACGATGCTTTTTAAGCTTTAAAGTAGAAATGGTAGATGCAAACATTTGAAGCTGTAATGTCAATACTGGTATTCTAAAAGTTAAAAGCAGTTAACATTTATGTTTTTGGCTGTTCTCAAGACATCTTAAAGTTCCGTGACGTATGGCAGTTTGGCTGAGATATGAGGTTCTATGTTATCCTTCAAAGCTGGAGGCAAGGAAGTGGTAAGGCAAGTTGCCTAGCTGGTGGGTGAGCCTCACCAGTCACCTTACATCTTTATCTCAGCATAGCTTTTTTGTTCTCTGTTCCTTATTGCCTACACAGTAACTGTCATGAAATGATTAAATAGAGCAAAGTCAAAACTATTTTTCTTTGTGTAAAAATGGCCCCAAAAGAAATGCTGATGATGGAAATGAAAAGGTTTAAGAAAATGTGTCTTAGCCCCCACCCAAAATCCAGGATAAATAAAAAAAAATAGACAGTAAAATTTAGAAGAGCCCAGCTCTGTGACACAAATGACTTTATATGTAGTAATGCAAGCCCAGAGAGGCCCTAGCCCTCTGGAATTGTGGACCGTCTTTTCCTTTAGAAGCACTGTGGGATGACTTGAGCCTCGCAGTCCACTAACACCCCACTTTTAGTACCTCTACCCCATTTCTCTACATTTTCCCCAAGAAGTTACATTCTCCCACTATGGCTGCTTTTCTATGAAACTCTCCATCAGCCTGCCGGTCAGGTTGGTCCCTGGGCATTGCTGTCAGTCTCTAGTGCTGTCGCCACCTCCTCCATCCTTCTGCCTTATGCTAACCTCACCCCACCTGGTTCCTTTTTCCCCACAGCACCATCCATGCCAGCTGATGTGGAACAAGCTTTGCTTAAGGCTTGCTGGCAAAGAGGAAAGAATTATAGCACAACACAGCACAGCAAATAGCTTAAAATGACTGGACGTGACCTCTACCACAGAGAATTTCTCCTTGTTGACATTCTCTTCAGACCTGTTTTTGGCAGAGGATATGAGTATAAGTTCTAGGCTGACATCCCAGCTCTACCAATCCCTAGTCATAGAACCTTGTAATCCTCCCCAGTCTCATCCTATGTCTGTAAATGGGGCTGCCAATGTGCCTCCCTCCTACAGTTTTTGTGGGGGATTAAATGAGGTACTCTGTGCAAAGCAGGCATCACAGTGGCTGATACATAGTGACTGCTCAATAAATGATAGCTGTTGTTATTATGAAGATTATATGGGCCAGGCTCTCCTCTTTCTTTCTAAACCTCTAATTAGCAACACTGCGGCCTCTCTCTCTCTCTCTCCTCTCTGCCACCCACAAACACACACACACACACAAAGAAAAACAACTCCCTTATATCGAATACAGCAGAATCTTTGAGAATGAGTCTGAGCATCAGTAGTCCCAGGGACTAGGGTTTGAATGTGTTCTCCAAAGTTCATGTGTTGGAAACTTAATCCTCAATGCAACAGTGTTGAGAGGCGGAACCCTTAAGAGGTGATTACATCATGAGGGCTCTGCCTTGGGCTTTAATACCCTGCCCAAGTTTGCCCCCACCTAAGAGATTCTAATTTCATTGGTCTGGAGTGGGTATCAGTATTTTTAAAATCTCCTCCAGATAACTACAATGAACAGCCACTGACCTCTGCAACCTGCTGTTATCAATTCACTTTTCTTTCCCACCAACCCTCTATTACTGTAGTAATGCACGTTTCCCAGACAGTCCTATTAAAAGAATCACCTGGGATATGTCTTAAAACTATAGATTCCTGAGCCCCACTCTAGGCTTACTGAATCAGAACCTGCAGCAAATTTTTTTCCAAATGCCTAGATGAGTCTTATCAGGCAAATGTGAGGAGCATTAATCCAAGCTATCTTAGTCCATTCTCAGTTGGTTAATATGTATTTTATTCATTTATTTAACAACCATTTAATGAGCACCTAATATGTTCCCAACATTTCTTTAGGTGCTAGGAATACAGCAGAGAATAAGATAAAGCTCATGCCCTCAGAGATAGTATGTCTAGGAGCAGAGTAAACAAGCAACAATTTAATTTCAGATAGTAATAAGTGTCATAAAGACCACAGAGCAGGAAAAAGGCCAACAGGTGATGTGGAGGTGGGACAGGCCGTTGTTCTAAAAAGAGTAGCCAAGGAGGGCCTGTTTTCAAGAAGTCACATCTGAACAGTGAACTGAGTAATAACTGCTTACAAATTCCATTGCAACCACACTTATATAATTTTTATTCTATATGTCTCATGTGTCCTGAATTAGATGAGATTTTCTTTTGGTCAGGAGCTGTCTTTTATATTTTTGTACTCTCCCATAGCAACCAGTGTAGCACTATGCACAACCAAGACTCAGTGAATCACACTAGAATCAAAAGCATTTCAAGCTTAAATATATTTTTAAAGATAGCCAGCAGAAGATTCAGCAAGTTACCTGCTTGCCAAGCAAAGGAAAATCCAGGGAAACACATTAAATCATCAGATACTCAGCCCAACACTAGACTTCCTGCTTGCTTTCCGTTGCTAGTCATAGTTGCAGATTCTTATCAGAAAATTTTCAAAACATGCCATGATCTGGTCGTCTGTGTATAACTTTACACATTGGTGAGATCAGATACTGAGTTTTAATTGTCAATTTCTGCTGGCATACCATCCTGTAATGTAATTTCTTGTTTTTTACTCAGCTTCCCCTCAACTTCTCAGTGTTCTGAGTGCCCTCAAAGTTTCATTCAACCCCTATTTCTTTAAGATAATCAGCGAAGTTCTGCAGAAGCCCACTAGATCCTATTAAGTCTCTGAAGGCCTAAAGGAGACTTCAATACACTTGCAAATCCTCTGAAGGTTTAGTGAAACCAGTTCAGATGTCTGGGGAAGGTTTTTCACAATTCCAGTTTGAGATTCACGTAGCTGTTAGAAAAACTTTCCATTTCTTGCAGGATTCTCTTTTTCTTTAAATGCTTTCTTTGGACCAAAAACAATGCAATAAATACTGGAAGGCTGGCCCACGAGCCAACATCATGGGGACATTCCTAACTGAGGAATATCCATGCAAATATGCTTCATATCAACTCTATAAATGATTTGCTGTTTGACCTTTGCGAGTTACTTGACTGTTTGAACCTTGGGATCCTTGGTTATAAAATATGATGTCCCTTTCTCTGATGACACCCAGGATTGTCATAAAGATCAAATAAAATTACTGAAAGAAGAGAGCACTTTTTTTCTTTTCTTTTTTTTTAGAAGGAGTCTCACTCTGTCACCCAGGCTGGAGTGCAGTGAAGTGATCTCAGCTCACTGCAACATCCGTCTCCCAGGTTCAAGCGATTCTCCTGCCTCAGCTTCCCAAGTAGCTGGGATTACAGGTGCCCGACCCCACGTCGGCTAATTATTGTATTTTTACTAGAGACTGGGTTTTGCCATGTTGGCCAGCCTGGTCTCAAACTCCTGACCTCAAGGGATCCTCCCGCCTCAGCCTCCCAAAGTGCTGGGATTACAGGCATGAGCCACTGTGCCCAGTGAAGAGAGCACTTTAAAGCATGCTAATTGTTATAGCATTACAGCATGCTATTAGTACAGTAAGAGTAATTCACCATGTTCTTATACTCAGGATGGTAGGTATTTGCATCCCTTCAGTCTTTCATTTCTGCATGAAACTCAAGAAGCAAAATTCTGCCAGCATGCTCTTCCCCTTGGAGCTGTGTTTCTGAGAAGCTCTCCTTATTTCTCTTTGCTTTTTCAATTTTTCCCTCACAGATGTGTTTGAATCACCCTCACCTTTGAGTGAAGTCTTGCAGCCGTATCCTCAGTGAATGTGCCCCTTTGGCTGAATTCCTTGTGTACAGCTGCCATTTGGTCCCTAGATTTTCATTTGGCTTCAGTTAGTTGGCTCTTAGTGACGCCTGTCTTTATGTTCTCAGTGCAAGGACTACTTCTGTAACTAGAGTTTCTTGGAGGGCAGGGGCTGTGACTTACACCTCTTTGCATCCTTAGCTCAGGCAATATGTTTTTATTAACAATGACTTTTGGAGACTGCACCAGGTTAAACAGCATTCTCTGAAAATTCATGTCCACCTGGAACCTGTGAAAGTGACCTTATTTGGAAATAGGGTTTTTGCCAAGTAATCAAGTTAAAATGAGGTCATACTAGATTAGGGTGGGCCCTATGTCCAATGACCAATATCCTTAAAGAAGAGGGAAATGTGTTTGCAGAGGACACACAGGAAAAGGCCAGAGACTGGAATGATGCATCTGCAAGCCAAGGAATGCCAGGAATTATCAGCAATCACCAGAAGCTAGGAGGGGGCACAGTGGGATCCCAGCCTTGCTAACACATTGATTTCAGGCTTCCAGCCTCCAGAGCTATGAGGAAATACATTTCTGTTGTTTTAAGTTGTGCAGTCAGTGGTATTTGTTAGGCAGTCCTAGGAGAATAACACAGGAATGCTGAGCACAATGAGCATGCTTACAATGTGGCAGAGACCATTCTGGGGCCACTACCATCTTTGGGCAACCCACTTTCAGAAGACCTGCAGGGCCGGTTACAACAAGTTTTTAAGGGATGAAAGAGAGTAACCTGGCCAAGCGCAGTGGCTCACATCTGTAATCCCAGCTCTTTGGGAAGCGAGGCAGGCAGATCACCAGGTCAGGAGTTTGAGACCAGGCTGGCCAATATGGTGAAACCCGTCTCCACCAAAAATACAAAAATGAGCTGGGCGTGCTGGTGTGCGCCTGTGGTCCCAGCTACTCAGGAGGTTCAGGCAGGAGAATCGCTTGAACCCAGGAGCGGAGGTTGCAGTGAGCCGAGATTGCACCACCTTACTCCAGCCTGGGAGACAGAGCAAGACTCCGTCTCACAAAAAAAAAAAAAAAAAAAAAAAAAAAAAAGCGTAACTTAAGGCAGTGAGTAGAAAGGAGAGGGAAACAGCTGGGTATGGTCTGAGAATAAAACAATCCAAAACAAAAATTGGAAACTTTATGATGAATAGGTTTTTAAGAAATAGTTTGCTTTAGGACAAAATAGTTGATTTGGAAGTTGGAAATAGAGGAGCAAGTGAGTGAATGGATATCCACTTTATGACATGATACACGCAAAATAATAAAATTGACCTCTTTAGGAGGAAGTGCATGTATTTCCTAGCATGGCTTGTTTGAGATGTGTAAGCTGTGGTTAATGATGGCTAGTGGTCCCTTTAAATTCCAGTCTTGGAGACCTCAGTGGTTAAGAGCATGGACACCATTCAGACCACCCACTTACTGGCAAGTTATGTCACCTCACCTGCCTCCCTCTCATCATCGGTAAAATCAGAATTAAAATAGCACCTCCCTCATAAAGTTGTGAGGATTGAAAGAGTTAATCCGCATAAATTGCTTAGAACAGTGCCCAGGGTGGATAATAGAAGCCTTAATTGTTTTTACCATCATGACTATCGCCATCATCATGTGCAAATGAGGGAGACCCAGGAAGTGTAAATTATTATTCCAGAAAGAGGCGGTCCCATGGGGAGAAAATGAAGGCAAAGCTGGCCATTTGCTTGAAAGTACGTCTGTAAAACGAATATTAAAACACTTGCTCTCCGAACACAGGGAGTTTTTAAAAAGGCGTGGGGGCTGGGGTAGACTTAAAGTCTCTCTACTGCTTTGGGCAGATTCCAGATTCTGGGAGTGAAGCATATGGGGACCCATGTGACCCTCCCTCTTTGAGATTCACTGGGTCCTAGGTCCTAGGTCCTACCCAGCTCCCCACCCAACAGCCATGCACATTGCAGGCCCTCAGTCAACACTGATTGACGCAAGGGATAAAGGAACAAACCGACTGGGATTGACTTGTCTGGTGCCACTCCCTGCCCTGAAAGGCAAGCCCTGGGAGCCCCCGGCCCCGAAAGGACGTGGAGCCTCGCGGGAGACTCCTGGAAGTGCGTGAATAGCAAGCACAGCGTGGTGCGCCCGCTTTACAAAGTTAGCATATTCACAAGAACCCGCTCGGAAGGCCAAGTCCTTGATGTCGGCCAATTGGTTAAGTGGCTGTGTGCTTTCTTTCCACTGCACTTATTCGGTGATCCCGATTGGCGTCCGCACAGCCGCCACCCTCACTCTCGCTTGAGGATAAAAAGCAAGCCGATTTGGCATGTAGGCACTGTTTGAAAAACAACTTTGCACTCTAGTTATTCGGCAAAAAGCTCCACCTTCCCACGCTGCTGATAATATTTCTCGCGGCTGCGTGGGACACTCCTCGTCTCACCCATGAGAGCGAGCTGCCTTCTGTCTGGTTGGGCGATTCCTGCAGGGCCTGAGCCTCCGCAGAGCCCGGCGTTCAAGGAGAAAAAAGGAGCCGCGGATGTGAGTTTGCTTCGTCACTGCCTTGTGAGCGACTTTGGGCAAGTTACTTAGCTCTCCTGACCTCAGATTTCTTGTCTAATGTGGGAGGGAACCGAACGTGGATGACGCTCCGGGCAGCGGCGGAGAGCCGAGATCACCGCGCGCGCCTGAGAACTTTGTCCGAAGCGCGGCCCGGGGACTGGGAGCGCAGGGCAGGGAGCTCCCTCTGCGGGAGCGCGGAGGCGCTCCTACTTTCTCCGCACGTCACGGGGGCCGCTCAGCGCTCTCCCACCCCGGGCCGGGCGAGAGCGGCTCCCCAGCAGGGCGACGGAGGAGCGCGGCGAGAGCGAGCCGCCGCGGAGAGCCTGGGAACCCAGAGCGCAACCCTCGGCCCCCGCCGGGGCGGCCTCCGCAGCCGCACGGACCCCGCGTTCGGGGCTGGCCCGCTCCCTCTCGTAAGTCGACTTGGCCACGCGGGGGAGCGAGGGTCGCCCGGGGCTGGAGATGTTAACCCGGTCTCAGCCTCGTCTCCGCCGGGACGCCCCGACCCTCTGCTCCTCACGACTTTCGTTTTCCCGCCGGGGAAAACTTCGGCGCCGCGTCCATCTCCAGGCGGCAGGCGGGGGCGCCCTCTCGGAGCCGCGCGGGGAACCGGGCTGAACCCCGGCCTCTCTCCGCGCCTGCAGGAGCCCCGGGGCCACCAGAGCGCGCGGCGGACGGACACAGCGTCACGGGCCGGGTGGGCGACCCGGCGCGCGCCTAGCAGACGCCGCAACTTCGGGGCTCCCCGCGGCAGCCGCCGCCTGCGGCCAGACGCGGGGAAGTTCCCCGAGGCCAGCGGGGGGAAAGGGCAGCGGGCGGCGGGCGCGGAGCGTGTCCTGGATAACGGGCGCGGGCCGCGGAGCCGGCTTCCTGGGCTCGCGGGCGGAGTGGAGCCGCCAGGCTGGAGTCGCGAGCGCGCCGGCGCCGGGCTTTCCCGGGACTCTCCCCAAGTGCCAAGAAGCGGCTCGTGGGCGCGCCCTTGCCGGGAGCAGGGGCATCCCGCCGTCCTGGCCCTTCAGAGCCCAGCGCCGCCCAGCCTGGCCCGCGCCGCTGCGAGGCGCAGGGGGCCCGGGGGAGCTACTGAGCCCGGCTTCGTGACGCTTGCCTTTCGGAGCCGCTTGCCGCTTCTCCGCAGCCCTGGACCAGAGGGGACAAGCGATGCTGCCCGAGCCCCCGCCCCTGGGCTTCGGGACAGGGACGCGGGGCGCCTGAAAGGACTGCTACCGCGGCTTCTGCGCCAGGGCAACCGGGGCTGGAGGGGGCCTCCGAGTTGTTCTTTGGGGGCGGAAGCTGCGGGCCGCGCCTCCCAGGCCGCGCCCTTCCCAGAGACCAGTTTCTGGGCTTTTTAAGGTCAAGTTTTTTGTGCCGCAGAGCGGGCCGGGATCGTCTGCCTGCGAGGTGGCGGTGCCTACCACAGCGGGTCGGGAGCTTCTGGGATCCGAGCCGAGAAACGGGACGCTCGAGTCCATTTGCAGTCTTCACGTAGGAAACGGTGCTAGGTAAACGGGGCGAGTGGGTGTTTTGTAAATTTAAAGACTCAGCTTTCCCTGACGGGGAAGTTTTCCGAGTCACGTAGTCTGGGAAACAGTGTATTGTCCCCTCGTTGGGCAGGCAGAGAGGCGATATTGGCCTTGGGGCACTTTTTAAATTCATTTTTTTCTTTTTCTTTTTTTTTTTTTTTTTGTCTTTAAAAATGGAAGAACAACAAACCAGAAGATTAACAGAGTTGGGGCTAATATAATGCGTTTAATTGTCTCATGTGAGTAGACAGAAGTCGCCCTTTTTGATCTTGCATTCATAAAACATGTCCCTATTAAAGCATCAATAAGCCTAAAACATTCTAGAAACTAACAGTTCATTCTGACAGCTTTTGTTGATAGTCTCTTAAGGAAGTAAAATCTTTAAAAGTGAAAAAGTGAATCATTATAGAGAGCATATCCTATGTTGCACTTTCTAAGGATCCAATTTTGTGTGAGAAATGACCAGTTAAGATGTGTTGTTGATTTATCTCTTTCTGGTATCAGGAGAGAAACAATAGCCAAGGAACTGTGTGGCCGCTGAATTTTCTATGGGGAGACTGAAAGGAGTTTCCTGCTGCGGGGTGGTGGTGGGATGAGAAGGTTTATACTCTTTTCTTTGGGGGAAAAAGTTTATACTGATTTGCTAAATGTCACATCTCCTGCACAGAGGTAGGTGGGGTGAATGGCATAGTCGGGCAGTCAGAGTTAGCACTTTATGGCACCTGGCCAAGTGCCTTCAAGATAAGCAGGCCATAAATACAGGTGCTTCCCAAACTGACTTTGAATGACCTATGGTTGTTTTCTAGGAAGGGAGAGGGAGAGAGAGCAGGTAGAGGGCCCTGTACCTGACGGTGCTGTTTCTGCCTCATCCTTGACCCACGGGTGCTGGGAGCATGACCTGGTGACCTGGGGCTTATCACAGCACCACATAGGAGAGGTAAAACGGAGTCAGCTTCAGGGGATTTCCTTCTTAGGCTACAAGGCGGGAAGAAAGCAGTGAGACAGTAAAAATGAGCAAAGCAAGGCTGAAAAGTGAGTTCTTCAGGCCACCTGTGTTGAGCACTGGCTGTGAACCAGGCTGTGAACTGTCCCAATGTGAACAGCGCATTGGCTGCTGTGAGGCGCAGATGTGCTGCAGCTCACTGCATCTGTGCTGAGGCAGGAGGCCTTGCTGGGGAGACTGAAGGTGGGCTCAAGGATGAGTGGGAGCTGTGTAAACTAAGCAGCCATGGGGGAGGGGAGAGGTGAGAAAGGGGAGTATTCCCATCCCCGGGAATGGTGTGTGCTGAGACCAGAGGAGAGGAGAGCCTGAGAGGTGGAAGAAAAGACAGGTTCAGTATGACCTGAGGGGAGGATGGAGAATGGCACCGGGGAGGCCAGCAGATACCACTGCCAGGTGATGCCAAGGGGCATTGTGGCGAGTGGATCCTCAGGACAGTTTCACACCTGATAGTACGCAGATGAGATATGGATTAAAAGCAAAACAAAACTCCAGCTGCCCCGTGGAGAATGGACTTGAGGAGCCCCTAAGTAGACAGGGCTGGGTCAGAGGGTGCAGGAGGCCTGGCAGTTGAGACTGAGGTAGTGCCAGTAGGGATGACACGTTGGGCGGATTCAAGGCCGGCTCTGGAGAGACCTGGGGCTGAGTTTTGTGTAGGGTGTGAGAGCAGATGAGTTTTGTGTAGGGTGTGAGAGTGCAGCGTGACTCCCTCTAAGCTTGGGTGCTGGTATTTACGGAAACAGGGAACATTGGAGGAGGAAAGACAAGTTTGGTTTTATTGGGTCTGGGCAGCTTTCGAGGCTCCTAAGTGGAATGGCTTCCCTAGTGGCCACATAGTGCACTCGCTGGCTGACTCTCCACAGATGGTGGTCCTCTGTACGAGGGGTGTGGTCTGAATCCTGGGGTGGATGGGGTGGGGCGAGGCGGTGGTGTCTGAGGACTGGAAGCTGCTCCCAGAGTGAGAGGTGGGACGGAGGGCTAGGTACTTTAAGATGAGGGAGCCTTAGACATATGTGAATGCGATGGAGCGAGTTGGAAGGAGAAGCTGAACACACAGGATGTCTGGATCCCCTCCCCCTTGGATTGCGATGGTATTTTGATATCAAGCTCATGTAATGTAAACTGTCAACATCTTACAGAAACAGTGTTTTAAAGCACGTGTGACTGCGAGTGATTTACTTCACAGATCATACAAATGTAATGTTTAGGAGAAACATGGATGATAATCACGCAACAGAGATGCAGCATGGCTAAGAGCAAGGCCTCGCAGTGAGACTGCTGAGCTCCTGGGTCTGACTCTTGTCACTGCCTAGCTTAGGACCAGGCCCAAGCTTCCTGACATTCCTGTCTCAGTTTCCTGGTCTCTGAAACGGCACCACACCTAAGGGGTACGTGCTCTACAGCACCTCCTTGTGGGCTGTTGTAAGGATTGCCTGTGTGCATTATGCAAGCACATAAAGTGCTCAGTAAACCTTAGTGCTGGTGGTTTTATTATCATGATGCCATTTCTATCATTTCTGGTTGTAGAATCTGAAACGTAGAGAATGTTGAGAACCTGTCCAAGCCCATACAGCCAAGGAATGGCAAAGTTAAGGCCAGGATCCGATTTGCCTGACTCACAAGGCAAGGCACCTTCTACTTAATGTGTCAACAAGTGTCAGGTGCTCGATGCTGTATAAAATTAACTGTAATAAAGGGATCCAGTCACTGCTTGCCAGAGTGTAGTGAAGCAAAGCAGATAACATCAACATTGAGGCTTACAGACTTTTCTCAAGCAATTTAGAGATGTATGTTTTGTATTAATTTGCATTACTTTGCATGTCATTTATATGCATTCCCATATGCTTGTAATTTTCCTAGTGGGATCTAAAGACTGAAGCTTCAAGTATATAAGAGAAAAGAAAATTAATCAGGAATTGAATGCAGCCGTTTCCATCCTAATAGATCTCTGGGGATGGTGGGCTCAGTGTGGGCATTTGGAGACAGGATTGGATCAGTATTTACTATTTTAGATGTGGGGAGCCAGATATCATTTGATAAAGGTAGCTCACAACTTAATATGTTATGAAGTTTGATCTGCTGAACGTAACAGAAAAATACAGGCAAAGTGGAAGAAGACCAGAGGAAAAATGTCTACCATATAAGATGCCAGAAAATGAAGCAGAAACAGAAGTCTGCTTTATGAAGCTGAACTAATAAGAAACACTAAGGGGCAGAAAGGAAAGATTGAATTTCTGCTAAGCGATATGAAATGTTAAAAAGAACAATCTTAATCACAAATGTGTGAGGCTTCAAAACCAGTAAATTCTTCCCAATGTGGATTTACTGAGAAACAGGCCATCGGGTCTTAGTGGAATCTTAGAACTACAGAGTATTACAAAAACAAACTACAATTTTGTTACTTAGAGCAGCGGTTCTCAAAGTGTGGCCTCAGGACCAGTTACATCAGCATCGCCTGGGAACCCGTGAGGCTCAGCAATTTGTGTTTTAATAAGTTCTTTAAATATTTAGAGCCAGCTTTCACTCCTCTATTGAGTCATTACTTCTTCAGCTTTAACCTTTCCAGGTCCGTCTTGTGGTCACTAGCTTCTCACTGGGCTGCTTAACTTCTATCAGTTACTACCCAGCAGAGGGATGTAGCCAGACATGAACTCATTTCTCAGGGTGTCTGCTCAGTACAGAGCAGAGTGGGTTGGTCCCTTCCTTAGTCCCAAGGTCTAAACTGTGGAAATGCTTTCCTTTTTGGGTGGTACTATTCATAGAAACAAGGATTTGCAGCCTGCATTCAGCTTTCGCATTCTGCAGCTTTGTGGTTCGCATGCTGTCCAGGAGCACGATGGTTTTGGTTTTGTTTTTGTTTTGCTGCATTTTGCTTTCTTTTGACAGTCTCGAACTAAACTGTGACTCGTGCCAAATGTATGGTCAGCCAAAACACTGAACTGTCCTCTAGAGATGCTCTTGTCAAACCACGTTTCTCCACGAACCACAATTCTCCATGAACCAGGGTTCTCAATTAACGAATACAGTTAATTTTTTGCACGTGTTAGTTTTGTACTTCTCTCTGTTAAAATTTATCTTACTAGATCCAGGTAATCTGCTTGGTTCCTATTTCTGTTATTTTCCATATAAGCTGAGTCTCAGCTTTGTGTCCTTTGCCAATTTGGGTGCTGATATCCTGGTTGAGGGGTTAATAATAACGTGAGCATCTTTGTTAGAGGCCTTCCTCACAGTTAATGAGGCTCAAAAACTTGGCATCTTTTGCAGTCCTTCTGGGTTAACATCAGAGGAATAGTTGTCATCAGTGCAATCATTGTTTGCATTTAAATTACTGTTATTCTAAAGTCCTCCTGCACATGGTTTCTCTTTATAGGGCCCATGTTCTAGAACTACATCCTCGGTCACTGTCCCAGTACAGCCATCTGTAGCACCTCCTCAGTAACTGACGGTGATGTTCCTTTCCCTACGCTGTTTATACCATCAGCCTGGGGTTTTCTTTGGAGGTGACACAAAGGTAAGTTTCAGTTTATTTATAGTCAGATTAAGATGAATTCAGAAGCTTCAGAATAATAGGAAGCAAAAAATTGTGCCTTGTAATTTCTCTCTGCTTTACCTACCTCCCCCAAGCTCTAAAACCTAAGAGTTTTGTGCTAAAGTCTAGATTTAACCAAGAGATTCAGGTTATTTAATTTAAAAAAAAAACCCTAAAATGTTGCTCATACATGATTCTTAGAGGAGTACAATTAGGTAATATAATTGCAGAAAATTGTTTTTAAAGGCAAAAGGCAGAACAACTTTGTGGTAGGAATGCTTTTAGCTGTGGTTTCTAGAGCATGAAAAAGTACCTGGAGTCCTAAACTGTTGTATCATTATCCTTAACTAATCCAAGTCAAGCCTCCCCCAAAACCCCACCCACAGTGAAATTCCAGCCTTAAACCAAACCTCAACATCTCAATAAAATCCAGCCACTCTCCTCCTCCAAGATGCTCCAAAATGCTTCCAAACCTCTTTTGATGCCATGTGCTCCCTTGCCATAGTAAGCAAATCAATAATAAATAAATAAAATGGAAAAAACACCTGGTGATAATAAAGTTCTTTGTAGTCTCAAGTAAATCTCTGTTGTAGGGAAGGCAAAAATTTACCTCTGCACTCCTACAGTTTTTCAGTTGGGCCTGAGAATTAAATTGACTTAAGAAATATCAACAGGAGACAAGCACACAAATTTATTTAATATAAGTTTTATGTGACAGGGGAGCCCTCATAAGGAAATGAAGCCCCAGAGATGCAGTGAGAATTGAACACTTATATAGTGGATTGGAGAAAGTAGGAAATTATAAAAATGTAGCAAGGCAAAAAGAGGCCTGGGCTAGGGTAGTTAACTGGGAGAAGCAGCTAGGAAGATAAGGGTTGTGTAACAAAGTTTGTACAAATTTTTCTCAGCCACAGCTTTCTGTCCTTGATAAGACTGTTAAGTAGACTGTCCGTCAACTTTCTCATTTCACTTAAGGATTTCATCTCCTGCATCTAAGAAACGGCACGAAGGGCAGAATGGTCTTGTACCTGCTATTTTGCAAGTGCCGTTAACTCAAAAGTCAATATCAGAGTGGCGTATTTTGGAGTGGCCTATTTTTAACTCCTTCCCCAGGAATCCTCTGTGCTTCTAGCTCTTTTATTGCTTTTCATTTCCCTCCCCTGTGCAACCCCGTCTTCTCTTGTTGGTTTTCTGGGTTTTCTGGTTTCTAATCTAGTTAAGGAGAAAACTGGCAAGGATGACCCTTTGGAGAATTGCTTCTTGGCTGTGCCCGGGCTTGTCCAGTCAGCCTGTCTGCTCTTGGGTAGGTTAGACCTGTTTCCAAAGAGTCTGCAAGCCCTGACATTTCTCATGGTCATCTACAAGATCTGGACAGTCCACGAGAGAGCAGCTCCTTCAGATTGAAGCAGAGGGGGGACAGTTCGGCCCAGGACCAGAAGGAACAACACCTAGCGGAGTTCCTGTGGTTGCCAAGGCTCCTTTTTTTCTTCCTTCTCCTGCTCTCTGTGTCACTGCAGCATATTTGCAATATTTGTGCTGTGTCCTTTCTCTACACCCCCACATTCTACCTCAGTGGAACAAGGAGGAGCTCACTCTGCCCAGCCATCACCTTCTACCAGGTTCCTTCTTCCTTTAGCCTTTCCAGCAACCCTCCTGCCCTCTTCTGAGGTTGGCAAATTCAGAGAGACATAATGGCAGATGTGTCAGGAGAAAGAAATGGAATGATACACAAGGTAGACACTAATTAGGTTGCAGAGTTACAATGTGAAAAAAACATTAATGGAATGATTGTAGAGCTGAAAGATGGGATGCAGAACTGGAGAAGAGATCCTCAGAAAGGAAGAACATCATTTCAACTGATGTTGAACATTGAATTGAACATCATTCATTGAATTGAACATCCATTCAACATCATGGCAAGAAAATCCCTGAATGTAAAAAAAAAACATTTCCAAATGCTAGCTAGTGACCTGTCTTTTCTGGAAAATTTCTATAGAAAAGAAATTCAAATGTGACAAAATAACTGGGATTTCTTGAATTGTGTTATCAGTCACTTAGGACCTCACTGTTTATTTCTCTCTGCATTCCTCCAGGCAGTAGAGTTTCTAGTTGTATCTCTCCAGAATCTAACACAGTGCCTCCCTAGCACATGGTAGGCACACAGTAAATGTTTGTGGGATGGATGGGCAACCAGGATAGAAACTGGATATCTAAGAATATAAGGTTTATATAGGGGATATTCTTGAACGAGTGAAGGCAGGAATTCAAACAGGTGTTTGTACACCCTTGTTCATAGCAGAATTATTCGCAATAGCTGAAAGGGTGGAAGCAAAGCAAATATCTACTGACAGATGAATGGATGACCAAAATGTAATGTATACATACAATGGAATATTATTTAGTCTTAAAAAGGGAAGAAATTTTGACACACACTACAACATGGATGAACCTCGAAGACATGTTAAGTAAAATAGGCCAGTCAAATATTGGACAAATATTGTATGATTCCTATGATATAGAGGCCTAGAGTAAACAAATTTGTAGAAACAGAAAGTAGAATGGTGGTTGGCAGGGCCCAGAAGCAGGATATTGTGGGGTTAGTGTTTAATTTGTATAGAGTTTCAGTTGGAAAATGACCGTGTTCTGTGGATGGATTGTGGTGATGGTTGCACTACAATATGAATGTAATTAATGCCACTGAACTGTACACTTAAAATTGATTAAAGTGGTAAATGTTATGTATATTTCACCACCATAATAGAAAAAAAGAATATGTTCATCAACTAATTCATAAATAAGAAACAAGAAAAGTTATTTTTATAACAAAGAAGTGAACCAGGTAATACTTGGAAAGTATAGGTTATAGCAAGAAGACAGCAATGACACTAGACCTAAAAAATATTCAAAACTGTGCTACTAAAACTGTGTTGCCTGAATCCTAATATGGGGCAGAGACTTAGAGCTCTTTCATTCTGCCCTCTCCCCATTATCCCTATGATTCTTTTTTTAAAAAATCAATTTTTTATTTTGAAAAAATGTCAAACCTGAAGAAAAATTGTAAAAATAGTACAAGTGGGCCCTTGTCTGATTCTTCCTTCACCATGAGAAGCGTGGAGGCCTTTGATGTGGTTTCTGTACCAGTCTACCCCGCAGAAATCCGTGGCTGTTGCCTTTGGAGATGGTGTCTGGGTGCGGGAGTGCATGCAGCACGCTGAAGCTGAAGCCCAGTCCTTGTTTACAGAATGGCCACTGGTCAATGACACTGGGCTGCTTCAAATGCTTTTGATCCCTTACCATCATCCAGCCCTGTGCCAGGCTGGTTTTCCTGCCAAAATGTGCCCAGTGCATTAGCTCATTTAGTCATCGCAGTAACCGTTTGAGTCAGTGCCCTTGTTCCTCTTTCACAGATGAGGAGGCAGAAGGCTACTAGATTAATGACATTATTAGCAGCAGACTCAGGACTTCAGTTCAGAACCATTGGCTTTAAATTCTAAACCTGTATGATGTACACAGAAGTAAAGCAGGAAGGTAACATGGAGGGGGTCCAGTGTGGGGCAGAAAGAAGAGGAATGGGGTCAGGCAGCAAGGGGAGGGAAAAGGGGCACATTCAGGCGGTGGCTCAGAACTATTCAACATGGTACTTGTTGGGTTGATATCTACATGGTACTGATAGCTATTTGTTGAAAAGCTGGTTCCAAAGTCCCCTGTTACATAACAAGCTCTCAAGAAGACAGCCCACCTGCGAGGTGACCTTCAGGGATTATGTGACCTGTACCCTGCCTGTGACTAGAAACCATACACAGAGGAAGTTTGCCATCAGCTGAAGAGTGCTTAACTGAGGCGTGGCGAGCAGACTGCACAGTTCTTGCCAACATCAGAGTTAATTTGGTAAATCTTGGCATCTGCTTTCCTTCAGATATTTACCTAAAGCCTCCATCTGCCTCTAAATATAGATGGATGAGAAGTTCAGCATCATTTAAGACACATTATTTTGCACTTGGCTATATATAGGAATGTACTGTTGTATAAGTAGCCACTTTAATCTGGTTTAAATTTAATTTGGCTCCTGGACATGCGTATGTATATGTTGGTTAAGCATTTCCTTTTCCTACGGTCATCTTTCAAAGTGCACGTTGCTTAAACATATAAGGGCTTACTTTTCTCATGTAACAGGAATTCAAAGTGGGTGTTTGCTAGTGGTGGTTCAGTGGCTTGAGGATACGGGGGCTGAGGTCTCTGATATTCTCTTGGTCTGTTCCTCATGGTCTCAAGGTGGGTGCAACAATTCTAGCCATCATATTGGAGTTCCAGGCAGAAAAGTGGAAGAAGAAGAAAAGAAAGAACAAAATGGCGTACCTCCTACCTGAATCAGGCTCCTATAGGAAAACTTTCCCAAAATCCCACATTATATTTTATTCCTCTACAATAGAAGTTAGAGGAAAGTCTTTTCAAGAGACATGTTTCTACCACCAACAATATAGGGTTCTCTTAGTAAAGAAGAGAGGATGGATGTTGGAAGGCAACTGGCTCTCTACCAGAGCCATATGTAAAACCCTTACCTATGGATCTGTTTCTGGATTTTATCCCACAGATCTCTTTTTATGCTGGCACCAGACCATACTGTTTTAACATCATAATCTGTTGGAAAATCTGAAGAGTCTGGTTTTTGCTTTTGCTTTGTATACAGTTGACATATAAGTTGGCTTAGACACTTAGTAAACTAAACAATCTTTTTACTTTTTATTAACCTGAAATAAAACCTACGTATTGAGAAAGACCTGTTAACTTAATTAAAACTACGGCTAGAAGGGATCCTTGTAGGAGATGGCTGTTGGAGAGCTTTCTGGAATCATTTCTAGATTTGACTTTTGGTAGGTTGAAATCTCTGCTTTTGAAATTCCTATTGTGGCGGAATTTTCCCAAGCACTGCAGATTTTTATTTCTTCCATCCTTTTAACTTAATTTTTGAATTCCTGAGTCTTAATTTTATTGTGTCTAATATGCACACAAGATCTGAGAGCAATATGTACATTTTAAGCCAAGAAACACACAGATCTTAGCTAAATGGTGAAGTCATGCCAAGAGCTGCCAATCCTGTTTTTCAGTGGAAGTGCAGAAGCATGTTGAAGTCTCCAGCTGAGCTCCCCACCACATTGGAAGAACCCAGAAAACAAACAAGCAAGCTCTTCTCATGACTTAAAACTCAGGGTTTTCAGGGTGATGATTTTAAACTCAGGGTGTCTAATCCATTCATGAAGAGTGTGGTCTGGCCTCAAGCCATTTCTGACATCAATACCCTTGATTCATGTCTGTTTATCCCTGTGCTGCCTCTGCGATGGACATGGAGATTCTACTTTAAATGCACATTTAGAAATCAGTTACCCATACCTCTTCAGCTAGCCATGGAATCTTTGAGGAATTAATTTTGGCCAGTTGAAAAATATGGAGTTAGCCATATAATACCAAAATAAATGCTTCCAAAAATTTCTGAGGGGGAAAAAAAAGCATACCATGTAGATATTAGGTGGAGAAAGTTATTTTCTTTCTAGTGCAATAGATACACATTTTCAAAAATAGACATGTTTTTCAATTCAGTTTTTCTACTTTATAGAAAAAGAAGCCAAAATATTCTCAACCCATATTTTTAACTTAGAACATGAAACATAAAATGTAGTTTGGCTTTATGTTGTGTCAAGCTAAGTGAGAAGGGCAGAGAAGACGGGGATCCCAAGAAGGAATGAAACCTCTTTGATAAAGCTTGAGAGGCAAAGATGTAATGCATTCATTCACCCCTTTTTCATAATCCTTTATATCTAAAAAGAAGCAAACGTTTCATGTGAGCTTTTTCATCAAACTGAAATTTGAAGGCATAAGTATTTTTGAAATTCACCATCTTCTGATATTTTTTAGAATTTTCTTTAGAGAAAAACTGTTAATGTTTTACTCCCTTTTGAGGGTCACAATCTATTACAAAACAAAAACTTTTCATTCAGTTTCATTGTATGTGGCCCTTTACACTTCCTGCTAAAGACTTTAGCCATGTATCTTTGCCCAGCTAGATACACACACAGTCAGCTTTTGATATTTGCCCTGTGGACCAGATGAAATAAAGCCCAGAATCAAGTCTACTGTTTCCCAATTGGTGTGACCATGGGCTGAATTCTGCGCTTCTTTTTGTTGTTGTTGTTGTTGTTACATTGCTACAGCCCAGATTTCCAATGACCTTGAGAGGTCTATGCGTGGGTATGTACATCCTGATGTGGGTTACTCATTTCCCATGTAATCTTACAGGTCCTTTATTTCTGCCCAAATGTGAGAGGCTCCAGTAAAGTTTCTAGCTAGAAGAATTATAATCTATAGAGGTGGTTGATAGAATTATTTTCATGCTCAGTGTTTTCCTTTAGGTCTCTATTCTCCAAATCTTGCAGGTAAAGTAGTCCTTTATTCAGGGAAGATGATGACGTTCATAATTGCAGGCCTAGAGAGAAAGCTGTCAATTGTCATACATTCCACAGGAACATCAAACAGAGCTCCTTTAGTTGAGGGCATCTCAATTCACTGAGCTGAGCCAGTCTCACTGATGTGTGATCTGAATGACAGAGGACTGGCAAAGGCCCTGGGTGAGGGTGTGTTTGTGTATTCACATTGCTGCAGAATCTTCAGTACTGCTTTGTGGGTTCCGTGGTCCTTAGGGATGGCTTCACCAAACAGGGATGCAAGAACAAGTCATTGCATTTTTGCAATACCTGGAGAATTGCCCATAAAAGATAATGAACTTACAGGAAAAGCTTATAGCTTTTGCAACACATACTTACAGACCGCGTTTAGCCAATCATAACTGCATGAAACTGATTGCACGTGCTCTTGGCTGTCTTTTAAATAACTTTTTTGGTTATTAATCTTTTGAAAAATATCGAGCATACTGGGGAAAAAACTCTAAAGATTAACTACATTTCTTCCTGTCTCTCAAAATCCAAGACAGGTGTTTGTCTACATAATTCTGAAACTTTAGGGACAATTTATACTCCAGATATTAACAAAAAAGAATGCTGTCAAGTAGTGAAAAACCAATAATGATTAGAATGTCAGAATGAAGGGAATAATGAATGTACTGTTTTAGAAAAATAAAACCAACTTATAACACATTGACTCTTTCTCAGTTTTCCCAAGAAACCATTCCTCTTGTGGAGGTCCTCATACCTGACATTTGCATACCAAAGTTGTCTTTTTCCCCATGACTTTCACATACATTACATCATAAGACTTTCACAGTTGCACTGTGGGATAGAAAAAACATTATCCCATTTAACACATGGGAAAGAAAGATTTGCCAAGATTAAGTGATATGCTAGAGTCACTTGAAGAATTTTTTGTGGCAGAGCCCAGACTAGAACTTAGGTCTTCTGACTCTGTCCCATTGAGCAACTACCCCGTACCAGGTATGGATGTCTTTAATACTGGGGGTAAAGTAGTGAGTGAGGCCTTCAAAGACCTTATGTTTCTGTCTCAGGACAGGTACTAAACAAGTAAAGTAACTACTCCTTGTAGCAAGTGCTCAGAAGAAAACAAGGAGTGTGATAGGAGAGAGATTTAAGAAGGGTTAATCTGGGAGGCGGAGGTTGCAGTGAGCTGAGTTGGCGCCACTGCACTCCAGCCTAAGCGACAGTGCGAGACTCTCAAAAAAAAAAAAAAAAAGTTATCAGAGAGGACCTGAGGAAAAGCTATTTCTTTTCCTGGAGCAGCTGGTCATGCTAGGATCCAGGAAAAGTAGTCTAGACATGGAAACAGGAGTTGCAAAGATCCTGAGGCAAGGAAGAGACTAGGATGTTCTAGGAACTTTTAGAAGGCTGGTGTTGCTTAGAGTTTTATGAGAAAGACAGAGTAGAATAAGATGAACTCGTAGAGTAAGGCAGCCATGGGAACTGCCTGGGCCTTTATGGACATGAAAAGGATTTCTTATTGTATTCTACATGACATGAAATCCCAATGAAGGGTTTTAGATGTAGGGAGTGGGATTAGGGAGGGGAAGTGATCTGATTTGTATGTTTAAAAAATCATTTTGGCTACAGTACAGAGAATGGATTAGAGGAAAGCAAGGGAAGCCAGGTAAGGTTATTTTGTATCTAGGCAAGAGTTGATGCTAGCTTGGGTTAGAGAGGTTCCCATGGAGTGGAAAGAGGTGGGTGGATTTGAAATACATTTTGGTTGTAGAACAGGCTCTACTACTGCCAGGAGATTGGAAAGGCAGTCTCGAATTGTGGTTAGTAGTATAGGCTCTGAAATTGGACCATAGTTGAAAATTGGACCATGGTTGAAAATCCTTGCTCCTCCAATATACTAGCTATATGAACTAAGGTAAGTTATTTATCTTCTGACTTGATTTCTTAATCTGAAAGATGAGGATAATGATAATCGTACCTATCTCATAGATTTACTGAATGGAGTATAGAATAATTGAATGGAGTATAAGGTAAGAACAATAAGAGGCCGGGTGCAGTGGCTCACGCCTGTAATCCCAACACTTTGGGAGGCCGAGGCAAGTGGATCACCTGAGGTCAAGAGTTCGAGACCAACCTGGCCAACATAGTGAAACCCCCGTCTCGACTAAAAATACCAAAAAAATTAGCCAGGCGTGGTGGTGGGTGCCTATAATCCCAGCTACTAGGGAGGCTGAGGCAGGAGAGGAGAATCGCTTGAACCTGGGAGACAGAGGTTGCAGTGAGCCGAGATTGTGCCATTGCACTCCAGCGTGGGTGACAGAGTGAGACCCTGTCTGAAAAACAAAACAAAACAAAACAAAAAAAAACAGTGAATAAGATCATGGAAATAGTGCTATCTCTTAGCATCGATCATTAGGAAGGGACAGGTATGTGTCGCTGACTCTGGCAACATGAAGGCTTTTGTTGACTTTAGCCAGAGCAGGCTCCATGGAGTGGGGAGTAGAGCCAGTCTGGACCAAATGCCACCGTAAGGGACCTGAATAGGGGCAGTTGGGCATCCCTCCTCTGTCCAATCCCTTGATAGGGAGCAGTTGGATAGACACATACTGCTATGGTCTGAATGTGTTCCCCAAAATTCATGTGTTGAAATTTAATCACCAGTGTGAGAGTATTAAGAAGTGGGGCCTTTAGACAGTGATTAAATCATGAGGGTAGAGCCCTAAGGCATAGGACTAGTGCCCTTATAAAAGATGTTTTGGGGGAGCTCATTCACCTCTCCCCCCCTTTGCCCGTCTGCCCTTTGCCATGTGAGAACACAGCAGCAAGGCACCATCTTGGAAGCAGAGGGCAGCCCTCACCGACACCAAATCTGTGCCTTGATCTTGGACTTCCCAGCTTCTAGAACTGCAAGACATAAAAGCCTATCGTTTCTAAATTATTCAGTCTAAGATATTTCATTATAGCAGCAGGAATGAACCAAGACACATATGTAAAGGGGGAAGGTGTTCCCAGTACCCCAGGAATGAGATGGGGTTAAATGATGGCTAGACACATTTAGAGAAGAAATATGGGCTCAACCACCTGTAAAGTTATTTTCCGTTTTAATATTGCACTTCTGGGCTTCTTCAGGAACTGTGGGTTTATTAATTAAGGATTGGTGGAGAAGACCTAGATACATGAATTCTATTATTTGAATGGTTTTTTTCCTGTAGAAAAGTATGTTTACCTCTGTTAGGATTTGTTTACACTGTAATAATTTACAGACCCAGTTTAGGTTAGGACTTGTTCATAATATACTGTGAAATGAAAGAAACAGGTAAGACAATGCCTATATAGTGAGACTGTTATAAAGCAAAGCCAAAAAAAAAATGTGTTTCTTAAAACCAGTCTGGAAGGATATACTGTCTACAAGATGTTATTGCCAGGTGATGGGCCCCTGGTGAGCTTTATTTTCGTTTTTGGACTTTTCTGATTTTTTTTTTTTTTTTTTAATGAAAGTGGTTTGGGTTTTTTTGTTTTTCTGTTTTTTGTTTTTTTTGTTTTTTGTTTTGTTTTTGTTTTTTTGAGACTGAATCTTGCCTTGCCCAGGCTGGAGTGCACTGGCATGATCTCAGCTCACTGCAACCTCCATCTCCCAAGTTCAAGCAATTCTCCTGCCTCGGCCTCCCAAGTAGCTGGGATTACAGGTGTGTGCCACCATGCCCGGCTAATTTTCTGTATTTTCAGTAGAGACGGAGTTTCACCATGTTGACCAGGCTGGTCTCAAACTCCTGATCTCAGGTGATCTGCACTCAGGCCAGTCTGCCTCAGCCTCCCAAAGTGTTGGGATTACAGATGTGAGCCACTGTGCCCGGCCTGAAAGTGTTTACTTTATAAAAAGAGAATAGAAAATCTTTTCCTTTTAGAGACCATATCTTATTATTATTTGAGAAATGCTTGTCCTCAATTTGTATTGGATTTCTGACCGAGTCATACGTCTCCTTGTGTTTTGCATAGTTGGTATGTTTACCTGCTCACAATCTGATTATTATTTGCTTTTGCAATCTTTTCTCCAGAACAATAAGAATGTAAGGTCATCTAGGCAAGAAACCTGTCTTTCCACTCCTCTGCATGACTCCTGGAGTGCTGTGGGAGTGTGGAGGAACTGCATCTGACTGAGTCATCCTCCCACCTAATGGTCTCACTCCAGAACATCCCCTGGGCTTGGCAGTGAGCGAGTCACCAAGGGAGAATCAGTGACTTCATTGAAATCAAGGAGCTGCAGTAGCAGGATGTTAGCTTATTCAACTAGATCAGGATGCTTTTTAGTGAGTTCGTCTTTATATTGATCTTCTTAACTGGTGATTCTTCTTAGTAAGGCTTTAGACAGAAGCAAAAGCCCTGACATTTCTAAATCAATAAGCTCTTCATATCCTATTTCTCAAACTGATATGTAATAATACAAAGTTTAAGAACTTTAAGGTGGCCTGAAGAGGGAATATTCTCCACATGAAGAGAAATTTAACCCAGAAAGTTTTCTAAAACAATTAGCAATTCTCTGTGCTTAAATGGTGTCACAGATAACTATAAGAACAAATGAATCGATAGTCATTGGTGACAGGATACGGGACAGGAGTAACCAATGGCAGAGTCCCTCAGGATGAGCTTGCTCTCTTTTCCTTGAATTGATTCTACGGGCTGGAAGACTGACTAACCTCTTCATTAGCTCATTGATCAGTCTCAGCCTCTGACTGCAGAGACAGAATGTGATTCCTCACCCAGCATTCCTCCAGGCTCATTCTCCATGGAAATCATCTCTTAAACAGGGTGGAAGATCTCCTCGA
Organism: Homo sapiens; assembly: GCF_000001405.40. NCBI lineage: Eukaryota > Metazoa > Chordata > Mammalia > Primates > Hominidae > Homo > Homo sapiens. The sequence goes on along the minus strand of NC_000005.10, from coordinate 75,036,615 downwards.
CCATGTTTGGGATCCATTCCTGTTCCTGTTCTAGGACATTTAGAGAAGACATAGTAATGAGAAAATTTAGTCAAGTGCTAAAACTGTTGCGGGAAATATGGAGAATTTTTTCTTTATATTCTGAGAGACACTATTGCATAAAGGGTTAAAAGTGCAAGTCTGGAGCAAGACTCTCTGAGTTCAGGTTCCATTTAAAGCACTTTCTAGAACTGTAACCTTGGGCATTTATTTAGTTGTCTTACAGTGCCTCAGTTTCCTTTCTTATAATAGAGGGATAACAGTAGTACCTACCTCATCGATCTCTTGAGGGGATTGAATTACATCTAGAGTACTTAGAATAGTGCACCTAGTGACAACTCTTGATTGAGTGATTCTACATTATTAATAACTACAGTATGGCCCTTGAACAACACAGGTTTGAACTTCAGGGGGTCCAATTATACACAGGTTTTTTTTTTTTCAAGTAAATACAAGTTGAAAATGTAGTATTTGCAGAATGCAAATCCTACATGTATGGAGGGCCAACTTTTCCCATACCTGGTTCCTCAGGACTGACTGTGGGACTTGAGTGTGCATAGATTTTGTTATGGACGGGGGCCCTGGAATGAATCCTCTGCATATACTGAGGGATGAATATACATAAAATTAATAAAGAGCATTACATGGAGGCCTTCGTGCACTAATTCTAAAATACTGAATTTGTTAAGACTTTGTGGAGAAATAGGAGGTAGATTGAAAAACAGGACAATAAGCCACAGGTCTGGGCAGGATCTTTAAAGAAGCCATGAAGTCCCTAATCATCTCAGATTTTCCAGTACCTGCAGGTATCAACAGTCAAGTTGCAAAACAGCAAAGATGGCGGCCTGCCCATCCCTCTGGGAGCTGCATCCCAGGGAGGTTTGAAACCTCTGTCAGTCAGAAAGCGCCAGCGTTGGGGTAGCTGGAGACCCCGGTTGGGAGGTCACACCCGGTGAGGAGGAACAGGATCATAGAGCTGCTTTAAAAAGCAATCTGGCCACATTTTCCTAGAGTAGTCCAGCCCCATTTTTAACAAGAAAACTGGCCTTCAGAGAGCTTAAATAGTTTGATCAAAGTCTTAGAGCTACTAAGAGTTCGTCCAGGGACTCAGGCCCAAGGTCTGTGGCATCCTGAAGCGCAGCTCCTTTCTTCCTCTCTCCCCAGTGCCCCACAACCTGTTCCTGAAAAAAGCTCAGGCATTCTTGGTCCCTAAACTCAGCCTTACTCTGTCCTTTTTTCCTCAGTCTTCCTCTCATTCTTGACTTACCATTCCCCTTTCTTCCCTGGGAAAGGAAGCATCTGTACTTCTTTGAAAGTCCTGGGTTTTTAAATTGCCAAGGTAAGAAGAGTTAGTTGAAGAGCTGCTAATGGTTGTAGCCATTTAGCCCTGAATGCAGTCGTGCCTACCTAGCTGGGGTGTCCCTGAATGCGGTCGTGTCCACTTAGCTGAGGTGTCCCTGAATGCAGTCGTGTCCGCTTAGCTGGGGTGTCCCTGAATGCGGTCGTGTCCGCTTAGCTGGGGTGTCCCTGAATGCGGTCGTGTCCGCTTAGCTGGGGTGTCCCTGAATGCGGTCGTGTCCGCTTAGCTGGGGTGTCCCTGAATGCGGTCGTGTCCGCTTAGCTGGGGTGTCCCTGAATGCGGTCGTGTCCGCTTAGCTGGGGTGTCCCTGAATGCGGTCGTGTCCGCTTAGCTGGGGTGCACCTCTGTGTTCTTGCTGCTTCCTTGAAGGCTCCAACAATGCCTGGATGGGTTGGGAGAAGAACATGGTTTGAGGGAAATGCCTCATTCAACATCCCTATTGGGACTTTAGTGAGGAGTAGGTTTTTACTGAATTATTATAGACCATATTTCACCTGAGTTATAGCCACCAAACCTTGCAACAGCTTTTTCAGTTCTGTCATCACTAGGAACTTGTGCCTATGTGGCAATAAACTCCACAACAGGTCAGACCTCCTTGTCTACCCGGGCAGGTAGAAGGGGAAATACCGCTTCTCCCGTGGGTGGGGCATTATTTGTAATGTAATTGTAAGACCACTTCCTGGCAGCAAAACACTTGCCTGCTTCCTGCCCATAAGCCTTTAAGAGGGAAAGTGCTGGGTGCAGTGCTTGCAGAAGGTGACATTGCTAGCCTGGTCTCTTAGGAACCATGTGGCCAACATGACAGCCAGCCTTAGCCCAGCTGACTCTGGTCAGACCTAAGGAGCTGGTTCCCATTCCTCCAGGCCCGGGGCCTCTACCAGCCCACCTCCACCCCCTGCAACTTGTGTCCCCTGGGGCTGTGCTGCTCTGGGGGTGTACCCCCTGCAGAGCCCAATGGGAGGGTCCCAAGGGTGTTATGCAGATGTTCTTTTCAGAGGAAGCCAAAGCCAGCTGAACCAAGGTTGGGGACCGGTGGTCCTCTCCAACCTCCTGCCAGCATTCCCCTCACTATTAGTGCCCACCGCAGCTGGGAAGAGGCCAACATCCCCTTTTAGGATTTGACAGAAACTCCATACCAAGTGGCTTTGCACCTACGCACCTCTTTGGGGAAAGGAATGCTTTTCAGTTAAAGGTATTTCTGTGCGGCCATAAAAAAGAATGAGTTCATGTCCTTTGCAGGAACATGGATGAAGTGGGAAGCCATCATTCTCAGCAAACTAACACAGGAACAGAAAGCCAAATACCTCATGTTCTCACTCATAAGTGGGAGTTGAACAGTGAGAACACATGGACACAGGGAGGGGAACATCACACACTGGGGCCTATCGGGGGGTGAGGAGCAAGGGGAGGGAGAGCATTAGGACAAATACCTAATGCATTCGGGGCTTAAAACCTAGATGACGGGTTGATAGGTGCAGCAAACCACCATGGCACGTGTATACCTATGTAAGAAACCTGCTTGTTCTGCACATGTATCCCAGAACTTAAAGTAAAAAAAAAAAAATAAATAAATAAATAAATAAAGGGATTTCTGGCCGTGGTAAGCAGGTGAAGGGGTTTTATTTTGATTTGGGACAGGGTAATATTGGAGAGGGCTGCTCCTTTCAAAGGATATCAAAGGCTGACCCCAAGACAAACAAACTCTCCCCCTTAAAGATGCCTTGGGCGAAGGTATATCAGAAAGCGAGGTGCCTGGGCTGTCCCATTTTCCTACCCTTCTTTCTTTGAAATTCACTCTCATTCCTGGCTCTCAGATGTGGGCCCCTGAGCCAGTTTCCAAAGGACTTCTCACTGGGTGCCTCCCACCTCTTCCTTCCCTGGATGTCCTGTGAGCTTCTATGTCTGGGCAGGCAACCATGACCTCCTGCCCAGCTCAGACTCTCCCATCCCAGGCTAGAGTCAGTATGTGTGTGCCCCAGGCCTTCTCAGGAAGGGCAAGGATGCCTGGATGCAGAAGAGGCCCTGGAAATGAGTGACAAGGCAGGGAGCTGGCCTTTGTCTTTTTTATTTAAGTGTGAAGATGATAGTTAAATGACATGACAACTCTGGGAGACTTGGTAAATCTCTTTAGAATGTGAGGTCTTTTCTTTTTACCACTGTGGTGTCAGGGGGAAGTGCTAACATTAATTAGAGACTCCATGGACTAATACAGTGAGAAAAGAAATAGCCAAAATTTACTTTGAGTTAGACCCCTTCCAATTCTAGCCATTTCTGTAAGCTACATACTATTTATACCTAATAACCATGAATTAATCACACACACACACACACACACACACACACACACACACACACACACACACACCCCTATTTGGGATTGATTAGTCTTCTACTGTACCACAACACCCAATTCTACACATGTGCCCAGGCTTCTGGAGTTGCAGTGAGTTGCCTTGTGTGTCAGGCAAGGGAGTGGGGACAGTTTTCCACAGCTTTAGAACAACTGGCAAGAACCCTGGCCTTGAGCCTGAGTGATGGGACCCTGTTCAGTGTGCTTTGGAGGAGCAAAAAGCTGAGACCAGTCAACAGACCCTGGGCTATGAGCCTGACCAGGAGTCTCTTAACCTGGGTGCTGATGCAGCAAAGATGCTGTCTGGACTTGGCAGCGGGGATGGAGAAGAAAGGATGGATTTGAGGCACATTTATGAGGTGATAGGTTGACATGGGTATGAGTGAAATGGACAAGTTGGGTAACTCTAGTTTCAAACATGGGCCATGAGTGGATGGTCTTGCCATAAGTTGAGACAGAAGACGCAGGCGAGGTGATGATGTCGAGTTCAGTTTTGGACTCGTGGAGGCTGAGTGCCTGTGGGATATCAGGAAGCAATGTCCATCCAGCAACTGCAGGTCCACCTCTGAGGCTTGGGCAAGAGGTGAAGGCTGGAGGGAAAGGTGTTGGAATATGGAAAGGCATCAGTGTGGAAGGTGGAATCTGGAGATGGGGGCAAGTATGCAGGAGAAGAGAAGTGAGCAGAGGATAGGAGCCTGGGGCAGTCCACAGAGGAGAGACGAGATGTGGCTGGAGAGGTGGGATTCTGCAGTACAGTTGATGGTGGTGAAGGTGTGGTTCTTTAAACAGAGGGATTTAAGCGGAGGTGAATGAGGAAGGTGGGATCTCATTCCCAGGGGAGAGTTTTGTCAATGGGTCTGTATAGATGAAATCTACAAAATTAAACTGGGTTCCAAGTTCTTGGCAATTCTCTTGAATGAAATTGGATACAATGATTGTCTTCCATTTAAGGTTTATTGAGATATGTTAGGAAATTGCACAGGGGTGCTCAGACCCCACCAGGTCTCAGTATCTGAGCCTCCTGAAGCAGCCCTAGGAGCTCTGCCAGCTTTCCTGTCCTGGAGCCTTGGGCTAGTACTTCCTGGGCCGCCCTTCTTGCTGCTCCCTATAAGTACATCTGTACCCTCCTCCTAGTCAGCCTGTTTTCATCTGAAAAAGTAATATAATCATTTTTAAATGCAAATGATACTAAAAGATATTCAGTGATAAGTAAATCCTCCTCCTACCTAGGCCCCATTCCTCAGTCCTTTCCCACTCTACCCTGCAAAGCAATTCCCGTTACCAGTGTTGTGTGTATACAATATCCTTTTGGAAACACTACAGCTGTGGGCTGAATCCAGCCAGCTGCCTGTTTTTGTAAATAAAGTATTATTGGAACTCAGCCACACCCACTCATTGAAATATAATCTCTGGCTGCTTTCCTACCATAACGGGCGGAATTGAGTAGTTGTGACTGAGACAATATGGCCCACAGAGCCAAAAATATTTACTATCTGGTCCTTTAAGAAAAAGTTTAGGCTGAGGGTGGTGGCTCATGCCTGTAATCCCAGCACTTTGGGAGGCTGAAGTAGGAGGATCACTTGAGACCAGGTGTTCACGACCAGCCTGGGCAGCACAGTGAGACTCCGTCCCTACTAAAGAAAAAATTAGCCGGGCATGGTGGCACACACCTGTGGTTCTAGCTACTCAGGAGTCTGAGGCAGGAGGATCGCTTGAGCCCAGGAGTTCAAGGCTGCATTGAGCCATGATTGTACCACTGCACTCTGGCCTGGGTAACACAGCAAGACCTTGTCTCAAAAAAAAAAAAAGAGAGAAAAAGTTTGCTAATGTATGTTCTTTGTATGTATAGACATGTAAGCATACTAGACATGCTTCTGCATTTTGCTTATTTTTATTTCACAGTATATCTTAGAGATTGTTCCCCATTGGCATGTACATGCAGAGTGGTCTCAGGCCTTTTCACATATTATAGCATGGATGTAATTTAATCAATGCACTGTTCAAGGATGTTTGAGAGATTTTCTGTCTTGCCTGAATACAAAACACTGTAGGGAACCTCTTTGTGCTTGACTTTGCACACACACGGGATCTTCAGGGTGGGTACATTTAAAACTGACAAGTATTGCCAAATTGCCCCCCAACGTAGTTTTTACACCCCACCTACTACTCTCAGTGAAAAATCAGGCCCTTTTTATTTTAAGGGCTAAATTGCTAATCCCTGTGTGAAAATGGGTGTTAACAAAATAAAAAATAAGGAAAATATGCAGGCTTACCCAATTTTGTTATCTATACATTTTACAGTCTCTAATACTTAGCATAGCTCCTTTGGGTGTCTGCCCACCACCCTTCTTTCTGAACGTGGGGTTCCCTGGGCTTTCCTTGTTTGACTTCAGACCTGGATCTAATAGGGATCTGGAGGTAGAATCAAGACGAATGTTCCCTTTGGCCTTAGGTGAGTCCTTTGCATCTCTGAGGCCCTGTTGATGACATCCAGTTCTCTAGACCTCTGCCCAAACCAGAGCAATCCCTCCTCAAATATGCTAAGCAGAAATGCAGACAATATAAGACACACTATATTTATATTTTAGGAGTTTACATTACCTTCCCTTCTGTTTGGAAACCAACATCTCTCAAAATTAGGTATAGTTAACACAGAATACCCCAAAATACCACCATTCTTCATAATTCCATTTCCTTATTTCTGGATTCTTTCAAGGGTAAAAACCTTGTTTCATTCATCTTTGGGGCAGCATTTGCCTAGTATGTGGTAGGCGCCCAGTAGATTTTGGATAAACTGACCTGATTTTCTGTTAATATTCCAACTGGATTATTTCTTTCTCCTCTTACAGAATGAAGATATTCAAATGTTATTTTAAACATACCCTACAGCAGAAAGTTTTCATCCTGTTTTTAACCCTATGGCTGCTCTCTTTGTTAAAGCTTCTAAATGTGAGACGACTCTTTCCGCAAAAAGACATTTACTTGGTTGAGTACTCCCTAAGTACCTCGCCTTTTGTAAGAAACAGATACACTCATGTTAAGGATGAAGTCAGGTATGAAGTTAACTGTTCGGGTATCTATGAACAGGAGCCTTTGGAAATTGGAAAGAGTCTGGAAATAAGAAGAAGGGACATCATTGACTTGGAGGATGATGATGTTGTGGCAATGACCAGTGATTGTGACATTTATCAGACTCTAAGAGGTTATGCTCAAAAGCTTGTCTCAAAGGAGGAGAAAAGCTTCCCAATAGCCTATTCTTTGGTTGTCCACAAAGATGCAATTATGGTTGAAAGGCTTATCCATGCTATATACAACCAGCACAATATTTACTGCATCCATTATGATCGTAAGGCACCTGATACCTTCAAAGTTGCCATGAACAATTTAGCTAAGTGCTTCTCCAATATTTTCATTGCTTCCAAATTAGAGGCTGTGGAATATGCCCACATTTCCAGACTCCAGGCTGATTTAAATTGCTTGTCGGACCTTCTGAAGTCTTCAATCCAGTGGAAATATGTTATCAACTTGTGTGGGCAAGATTTTCCCCTGAAGTCAAATTTTGAATTGGTGTCAGAGTTGAAAAAACTCAATGGAGCAAATATGTTGGAGACGGTGAAACCCCCAAACAGTAAATTGGAAAGATTCACTTACCATCATGAACTTAGACGGGTGCCTTATGAATATGTGAAGCTACCAATAAGGACAAACATCTCCAAGGAAGCACCCCCCCATAACATTCAGATATTTGTTGGCAGTGCTTATTTTGTTTTAAGTCAAGCATTTGTTAAATATATTTTCAACAACTCCATCGTTCAAGACTTTTTTGCCTGGTCTAAAGACACATACTCTCCTGATGAGCACTTTTGGGCTACCTTGATTCGGGTTCCAGGAATACCTGGGGAGATTTCCAGATCAGCCCAGGATGTGTCTGATCTGCAGAGTAAGACTCGCCTTGTCAAGTGGAATTACTATGAAGGCTTTTTCTATCCCAGTTGTACTGGATCTCACCTTCGAAGCGTGTGTATTTATGGAGCTGCAGAATTAAGGTGGCTTATCAAAGATGGACATTGGTTTGCTAATAAATTTGATTCTAAGGTGGACCCTATCTTGATTAAATGCTTGGCAGAAAAGCTTGAAGAACAGCAGAGAGACTGGATCACTTTGCCCTCAGAAAAGTTATTTATGGATAGAAATCTCACTACCACATCATGATAGTAAAATCAGGATGGAAATAAGAGGGTGCCTGATAAATGGAGTCAGTGTGGAATTGAATACCATACTATGCCCAATACTGTTTAAACTCAGTCCTCCCATATTTTAAAAGGTGTCCAAAATTCCATACACAAGGGAAAGTGATCTAGCCTTTGATGTTATTAGCCTGCAGTTGGCTAGGTTTTTTTAATATTTGTTTTTGCTTGTAATCTCACTGAGCCAAATCAGAGATCTTAAACATTCAGTCAGTCATCAAACATTATTGAGCACCTAACTATATGACAGGCACTTTTTTAGAGACTGCGGCTTATCCTCATCATAGCAACCTCGGTATCTTTAAGTTCTCCACATAACAGTCAGGATTCTACTGAAGAAGCTTTTGAAGTTTGTGGTAATCGTCTGATCATATAAACCACCCATTTCAGAGTAGTGTTTAAGTACTGTGACCAACACTCCACTTGTCTCTTAACTCAGCTTTCAAGACATTTCTTAACCATCAGAGCAGAGGAGGAAAGACTCACTACCTCAGAAAAATCTCAAAGAATAGTCCAATTTCCTGCTTGCCAAAGCATAATCTGCCTTTTGGTGCATTACTTGGTCAATTCAGGGTTGAGGAGACTGTTGGGGGGCATTTATAATGTATGAAAGTTAAGGAAGGGGGTGAGGATGTGGGTTGGGACAGGTAGTACCTAAAGAGGAGCGAAGGGATTTATACAACATTTTTATCATGTTACAAAACAGTATCATGAATGGCCTCCTTTTTAGTTCAACTGTTTCTTTAAAATGCATTTACTGATTAAAAATAAGAACTGACCAATAGCTCCAAGTGTCACACACCAGAACATTAAGCCTAAGTCCTCAATTCATAAGTTATCATTCTAGATAAGTTTCTTTACAATGGAATACTTTCTGTGGAATCATTATAATTCTGTTGTATGGAACTATCAAGCTAAGAGTCACTAAACTTTCTTCAAAAGGTTGTGTGAAATATGACAGCTTTCTAAATTAATTTGTATAGTCATTTAAAATTTTTTCTTCTCTGGCAACTGTCCAACTGGAATCCAGATTTAAAGTGATAAAAGCTCTAAGTTTCTTGCAGTCTTTTTCTCAGCTTAGTTCCAGAGAGAAAAAAGCTAATTTTCCTAAGGACACAGCAAGAATATTCATTAAGGATATTTTCTAAAACCCACACTTGAGAAAACCACCCAATGAGTCAAAAATATATATATATAATATATATTTTATATATATGTAATATATATTTATGTTATATATTATATATAGAACAATTCCATTACATATATAATATATAAATATATATATTATATATACATATATTGTATATGAATATATATTATATATACATATAATTATATATATATAAATATATATTATATAACATATAATGAATATATATTATATATATAATGGAATTGTTCTGGAAGTAAAATGGGGTAGGAATGGGGTTCTGAGAATAGGCAATAACATTTTCACCAGTCTCTTGGGAAATTGTAGAACTCATGTAAAAATTTCTTGGTCATGATATGTCTCAATGGCAGCCTCAGTAAATAAAAATGTAGCCTCAGATATTATATTTAAAGATGTAGTAAATCTAGCCCAAAATAGGACAATTTGGAAGATTTAAGTATTACATATTTTTTAAATGTCTGTGTTCTAAATGTGAAATGCACTTTGCTCATTTTAAAGTTCATAATACTAACTGCCAACTGACACCACTTCTCGCTCCCTTTCTTCTCTTGAACTCATTTTTCTCCCTTTTTATTTACCCCCTTCAAATTACTTCATTCTTTGGAAATAACTATTACCAAGCCCCATTCTTCAAAATAAGTAAACATTGTATAGAGCCAAGTTCTGCAAAAGATCCATACCAGTTCACTCGTGTGCGACTGTGGACAGGTAAGTCACTTTGGTCTCTATGAACCTCAGTTTTCCAGATCTTTGAAATGAGCACTTGGATGCCTATCCTTGCTTCCACACAAGTGTTTTTTTTTTTTTTTTTTTTTTTTTGTGAGAATCGATTGAAATAGTATATGAAGTGGTTTGAAAATAGGTACAAACTATTGACATTTCAATGTCAGAGAGTGATACCTGTAGTAGTATAGGCAAAGGTCCAACCCCATCGAAAGGCTTAAACATTTACCTTTTCTGAAAAACTATTGAAATATAAAGAGAGTCCCCAGTCACAGGGGCAACTTCTGTAACCAAATCCAGATCTGAGGAAACTCCTGTAACCCCATTTGGGGTTTCTTTCTAAGCCAATAGGGTTACAGGTTGGTACAGTGACACATTGAGAATGGGGCTACAAATACTTTTCCCACCATCTAGGATGAAATACACGAAATCCTGTTGAAATCTTGGTTTTTATGCCTTTGCTCATCAGAATAAACGTAAATGCTGAAAAACAAATAACCTCCTGATCCACTGTCTTGCCTCCTGGTGAGAAATGATTCTATCCCCTGTTTATTGGGAAATTTCCAAAGTTGTTCATCACTTAAATGCCGTATTCAAAGGGAACATGGAAGGATGAAGCGGAGAAAGTGCCTTCGAGACATTCACACATTTCTCTGGACTCAGTCTGTTAACATATCAGGGAGCTTGTCAGATCACACCTTTTTGCCTTGGAAATCCTACAGATTTCCTGTACGCCTTCATATCTGATTCTTCCCTAAAACCTTTGGGTATGATTTCCTCCCTGGTCTTGATAATGTCCTGCAGTCTGTGTTTTATAATTATTCTTTGTATTTATTGAATCTAGACTTTAAGTTATTCAGAGATCAGACCAGAACCTTAGAGTTTCTAAACTGTATGTGGATATTAAATAATATTAATAATGAAAGAGCTACCAAAATAGTCTATATTGTGTGAACAATCTCTTGGGATATTAGACGTGTTTAAAGACCAGTGTTGCTGCTATTTTTAATATTTTGGTTAATTTAAGTGAAATGTACATATTTTAATTTGAAGATTTATCTTGCCCATCAGAATGTGAAGATATACTTGCATATATTTTGACATATTTCATGGAAAATAAAAATGATAATCCACTTTGTGAGTGTAAGTGAATGTATTCATATGTATGTTATTATAAATGATTTTTGTTTGCACTGATGATGAAATGAGAGTTTTGGGGGCTTTTTATACATTTATATCGACTGGTCTCTAAATCTCCTATTTTGTTTTCTTATCATTTTTGAAATACAGTTCCCATTACATGAGTTTTAAATAGATTGGTGTTTCATTTTGTATTATGCTACTACTAGATGTTGATTCTCTGGTATTGTAAAATAAAATGTGCTCCAAAAACCCAAACCCTTGGACTTTATGAGCTTTCCTTTCTCTGGTTTTGCTGATTCCCCACAAAGATTCTTTCAGTTTATGGCACTTGCCCCTTATTTAAAGAGCAGAGTTTATTTCACTTCAGTGTAAAAGAAATTCAGCATGTGTATTATACACAATATAGGCACATGAACTTAAGCCATTTAATTTGGTAAAGTCTCAAAGAGTCTTCCAGGATTTACCTGTCTTCCTCCTACTTCAGGTTGGTTTCTCCTGTAAGATTAATAAGATAAATACTCTTGTTTGCTTGATTACTTTATGGAAGTAGTTTTCAATAGGGTAGGTTGAACTTTTTATCTCAGGTCCCTCACTTCCTGGAAAATCAATATTCTTCCCTTTCTACCTTTTTTTTTTTTTTTTTTTTTTTTGAGATGGAGTCTCGCACTGTCACCCAGACTAGAGTGCAGTGGTGCGATCTCGGCTCACTGCAACCTCCGCCTCCCGGGATCAAGCAATTCTCCTGCCTCAGCCTCCCAAGTAACTGGGATTACAGGTGCCCGCCACCATGCCCAACTAATTTTTTGTATTTTTAGTAGAGACAGGGTTTCACTATGTTGGCCAGGCTGGTCTCAAACTCCTGACCTCGTGATCCTCCCAAAGTGCTGGGATTACAGGCATAAGCCAAGGCACCCAGCCAAGATTCTTCCCTTTCTTTGAAGGACTCCTGCCTTGGTTGTGAGCACGCAGACACCCCCAGTGTCCCCAGGCCTTGCTGGTGGAGGATTCCTGATGAGCTTCTGCTCTGTTCTCCCAGCTCTACTGAGCTGAGTATTTGTTATCATCAACCCCCACCCGCTGAGAAGCTCCCTGGCCATTTTTCTTTCACCATTTCTAAACCCATAACAGTCACCAGCCTACCCAGTATGTAGATATGCCAGGGGTTTGCATATTTCACTCACAAATCTCAATCCATCTCAAGGAATTTGGGGCATTTGGGGAATCTTCAACCTAAAAAAATAAACACTATACTCAACCTAAGGTTAATTCTAGCTCTTACCAAGCTGGACAACTGTGCAAATTCACAGTAATTTCAGGAACAGGGGACTATTTTTTGGTGCCAGTGGTGGTGAGGCAGGTCTATACACAGCATCATATTAAAGACTGATTTGATTCCTACATAAGTTTCATATTTTTTTGTTCCCATTGGCACCTACAAATCTACACCTAAATTGGGACAATTGGCTTCTAGTTACATGAAACTGATTATGAGGAAACTGTGGCAAGAGAGAATGAATAGATGATTGTAAATTTGTTCTCAGTACTGGAAAAAAAATCTGGTGATGCAAAACAAACGGCTTCAGAGACAGATGATCAGGGTGTTAACCCACGTGGACACACCAAAGCCACAGGAAGACTCTTCATCGGGCCTTACATACAACCTTCCCACAGAGCAGCAAAGCACGCCCTCCTGGAGCACCCTCGGTTGAATCATGCATAAGACAAACAGCCAGAAAAGAATCTCAGGGAAAATCATGGCCAGGAACCTGGGTAAATTTATTTTTTTGTTCTTCTTGTTTCTTGTTTTGTTCTTTGTTGTTTCTCATAGAACAATAAAGGAAATTAAACAGAAACCACGTATATTCATAATTCTAACATCCTGACAAAAGCATTATAGTTCTCTGAATGCTCTTATCTACATACACGTGTTTTGACATTTGCCCGCACTGCCAATATTTTTACAATCACTCTGCCATGTTGCTACATGGTCTTTATGGCTATGTAATGGTCATACCACAATTCACTCAGCCTCTACTTTACTGTAGGACATTTGAATTGTAAACTACTTTTTTTTTTTGCTGTCATAAATAACAGTGCTATGAACAGTGTTGTTCGTACAGCTTCTCCTTGAATTACTTCCTTATGATGCATTTCCATGAGAGAAATTATAATCCTGAAGAGAATGGAGTTTTTAATTGATTGTTTTTCATGTATGTTTGTTATAAATCAACTTCTCAGAAACTGTGCAGGATGCTTGGTTGATGTATACAACTACAGCCTCTACTTATGTGAAATTGTATTCATTTATTCTGATAAATGGCTCTTCAGATTCTCAAAGTAAGCCAAGACTTTTGCCTAAAACAAGGAAGTAGTTTTTCCTCTAGCAGATAAAAGATGGTGTTTTAATGCATGGGTAGTAAAGAGCTATTTCAGAATAATGTTCTTAAAGGCTTAACTTTGATGACTGACTCCATTCCAGGAAGGATCTAGAAGTTGCTAGTTCCTTCTAATATCCATTCTTTCTGGCATCCCTGGTTATATTCTGAGCAACAATGTGACCAGCTGTTAATTCCCAGCTTCCCTTTCAACTATGGGGTGGTGGGCAAATGAGTTTAAAGCCTAAGTCACTGGGTGGGACATCTGAGAGTGCGCTTGGAAGGTAATTTACCTAGCTTGCCTTCTCCCCATCTCTCTTGCTTTTTCCTGTGCCTAGAATGTTTGTTATAGCTGAAATTTCAGCAACCATTTTAAAACCATGAGGATGGGAGTTATATGGCAGGGACAGAGTGAAAATATGACATCTGAATCATCCAAGACTACCTACCTGCAGTCTCCTTTTATGTAAGGAAAAACTTGGTATGTGCTTTAAGCCACTGTCATCTCAAGTCTCTATTACTAACAGCTGGACATGATCCCTAACTTACACAATGTTTGTCTAGGACACTGGTTTTCAAACTCCAGTCTGCATCAGAATCATCTGGAGGCCTTCTAAAACACAGATTGCTCCCCGCCTTTCCCTCTTTCTCATTAAAGGGGAGGGAGATTTGCATTTCTAACAAGTTCCTAAGTGAGATTGATGCTGTTCTAAACTATGCTTTGAGAACCACTGTTAGGATATCTTTCCTGAACATTATTTCAACATTGCAAGCATTAGGCTGATTTTAATATTTAGAAACCACCAAATTTTGCAATAAGCATACATACCTCTTGATCCTAAGACACTATAGTTAAAAGTTCAGAAATATTTTATATGCTGTTTTATATGCTTTCTCTACATTGTTGAAGAGGTAGCTATCTATATTTTTAAAATAATGACCAAATTTGATGCATTTCTGTAACTATAGGTCCTCCTAAAATTGTTTTCAACCGCATGGCTGCCATACTTGTAACTATTTTATAAAATACAATGAAAAACAAATGAATTTTGGAGGGTGTGAGTAACCTGAAATCATGGGGGTGAAATCTCGAGTTCAGACGTATGTGTAATTCTATAAAACAAAGATGTATGCTAGTGAGATGGCCTCTACCCAGCTAAGAAAAAATTTCCATGGGAAAAAAATTATGAACTCTAAGGAGAATACAAAGTGGTGCAGGTGTAGCTTGGCTAGAGATAGAGTTTACATACTCAGGATCGTGTAAATGTTAAATATTGACCTAATCAATGCTACTGATATAATTTACAGGCAACATGAGGGGATAGAAAGGATGAATATGTTGGGTAGGAGTGTGGGTGGGTGTGAAAGACATCAAAATCATCTCAATGATCGGACTAGGTAGACAATGCCTGTAACTGAAAAACCAAATAGAGGAATAGAAAGATGTCACTCCAATTTGTGGAAGCAAAACCAAAAGAACCACTTCAGAGAGTTACTAGTCACCTCCAAGGAAAGGAAAGGGGGAATGCTGATTCTGTTTTGCAACAAGCCTTGCAACCAGGTCTTTAAACTTTGAAATAAAAACTGGGGAAACAAATAATTAACTGGTAAGGAAAAAGACATGATCTGTGATCAGACTGCTTGTAATCTAATAGCTAGTGCAAAGAACCAGAAACCTTATAAGGGTGGCTAGTGTTTCTGTCTACTCAGCCCTTCTTCCATCCCAGAATCTTCAGAGCACAAAGAGCCCTCCTGGCTACTGAGGTGGTCACGTGACCCAAGCTGGGCCAATTACAGCCTCTCACAGCCAAGGCCACACTAATTGGTCTAAGGAGTGGGCGCCTGATCTAAACGGGGCTAATCAGGGCTCTTGGGACTTGTTAAATTCCTGCCAGAGAATAAGAACCTCTTGTTCCTTTTTCTTTTTTAATCACAAAACATAAGGATGTGGGCTTGCTAGCCCAGCACAGCTCTCTCTGTGTCCACACCCCACTACTTGGACAAGTTTGTATCAGCGAATTAATGTTCCAAAAGGAACAGGGAAGAGAAAGACAATGACAGAGGGGGTCCTCGAGATGTTCAAGGCAGTCAATCAATCATTGGTGACACCAGCTCCACCTGCCCTTAGGTTCATTTACACAGCCCAATTCAATCTCTCCTTTTTGTGTGTTTACACAAAATTAAATTAAAGTTCACTTATGGTCATAAAAACTACCTTGTAGTCATAATACACAGTGGAATACCAAACAAAACTTATGGAAAGTTTCAAGCAAACACAAACAGAGAGAGAGAAGAGCATGATGAATCCCAACATCCTCATCACTCAGACCCACTATTGTCAATATTTTGACAATCCTATTTCATCTATCCACCCCTTCACCCCATTTTCCCACAGAAATATTTTAAAATAATTCTAGATATCAAATTATTTTACTTGTTAATAATAGATTGAACCATATGAAACTGCTGTTTTTGTAGGTCAGAAGTGGTCAACTATTGGCAATATTCTGTGTTCTGACCTAATATTTCAACAGTGTCAGGTCCACGGCCACGACTATGCCAAATGTCCTGCTTGGGGTTAGATTCCAGCCTCAGCTGAGGTCTGAGGCAAGTGGGTGGATGGGCGAATAGCTGAAAGAACACTCGGGGGGCTGTAAGTAGGTGAAATGTAATTTTATTCAGCAGCTCTCTCATCAGCAGCTCTCTTACACTGTCCACCTGTCTGCTCTGGCTCTGTGGCTCCTGCCACTCCCATGCTTGCAGCTGCACTCCCTGGCCTGCAAGGCCAGCCACAGGGTCAGCAGCCTAACTCTTTCCCTCTGGGCACAAGCCAGTTCCTGGCTCCCCCTCTGTCTGCCTTCGAAGCAACTGGCTCTCCCTTACAGGGGTCCCCAGCATTACTCTCTCTCTGGGCAGCAGCACGCAAGCTGTGCCGTGCCATGCCGTGCCGTGCCATGCCAAACTGAGCCCCGTGCACAGCATCTGCAGGGCAGTTATACCTTCTACAGACAATAGGGGCTCAGAGCCAAGTATGAACTTACACAAACAGGTTATATAACAAGTGGAGTATGCACCTGTGCCCTAAACTCGCTGAGTCACTCTGGCCTGGATGTCCACCTCGGCCTATTCCTTGACCAAAGCACATCCATGTACCTTATGAGTCTCCTAACTGCCAAAAACTCTTTTTTCCTGACATAACCACTAAGCCATTATCACACCTAACAAAATTAAGAATAATTCCTTAATGTCTAACAGTGAAACCATTTTCAAAATTTTCCAACTGTATCATATGTGTCTTTGTATTCACCATTTGTTTAAATCAGGATCCAAACAAGGTCTACACATTAATTTAGTGAAAATAACTTTGTAAGTGATCTTACTCTCATTTAGCACTGTCACTTAAAAGGAACCTAGGCAACTAATATGGAATGGTGGACAATCTTCAATCAACAACATTTAGAAGAATTGTCTCAGCTCCTTGTGTATATTACTAAATATACATATATTGCATTAATATGTTATATATATAAAATCTTACAGATTCCAGGCATTGTGATTTTGCTTCACAGGTTTTCTGCATTTGCTTTTATGAAGTAATTGCCAGTATCATGCCAGGAAATGAGAAAGGGCCCCAGGGAGGCCAACAGATATGGCTGAGGTCACCAGCTAATAACTGTCAGAGCTGAGATTGGGATTTTAAGTTGTGTGGCTCCCAAGTCCAAGCTCTTCGTTGCTATACCCAACCTGTGCTTTTTGCGCTGGTCCTGGTGAGCATTAATATGCCAGACAAATGCCTATTAATATTTTATTCCACAAATGTCTCGGTCAGCTCAAGGTGCTGTAACAAATGCACCACAGGCTAGATGACTTAAACATTTATTTCTCACGCTTGTGGAAGCTGGGAAGTCTAAGAACAAGGTGCTGGCAGATCTGGTGTGTGGTTAGGGCTCTCTCCCTGGTTTGCAGGTGGCTGTCTTCTCATTATATCCTCGTATGTCTGAGAGCAGAGATTGAGAGCAAGCTTCTGTGTCTCTTCTTATAAGGGCACTAATCCCATTTATGGGAGCTCTACCCTTATGACCTAATTGCCTCTCAAAGGCTCTATCTCCTCTTATGAGCACATTGGGGGTTAGGATTTCAACATACGAATTTGGGGGAGGGAAGACACAAACATTCAGTCTATAGCAACAAAGTACTGAGATCTTGTAGGAAAGGAGCTTATAAAAGTAAGCCAGGATTGAGGAATTGCATCCCTGTGACTCAGGGGAGTCAGTATGTAGGACCACCCTCTGCACTTCCTCTCTCTCGTCATCCTCCCTCTGCATCCCCAGCCCTCCCTGTGGTGCTTCTCTTCCCCTGACCTGGCTTGGCCTCTGGTCTTCCTCCCCTCACTTCCTTACTCCTAATGTTCATTCCTTTTGCCTCTTGCTTTATCTGCTTTTCCACTCAAGTTTTTTAAACTGAACCCTAGCCTGCAAACTAACCTCAACTCTGGTGGATGTTCATTTATAGCATTTTTTGCTCTGGTCAATCCAGACTAATTAAACCAGTACTGGTATTTCAGACTGAAGAGTTCAATCCCCTTCCCCTGTCAGAAGATCTAATTCACTCCACTTAAAACATGTTACTGGTGGCTCACACCTGTAATCCCAGCACTTTGGGGGGGATCACGAGGTCAGAAGTTCAAGACCAGCCAAGGTGGCAGGTCACGAGGTCAGGAGTTTGAGACCAGCCTGACCAAAATGGTGAAACCCCGTCTCTACTAAAAATACAAAAATTAGCTGGGCGTGGTGGCACAAGCCTGTAATCACAGCTACTCAGGAGGCTGAGGCAGGAGAATCGCTTGAACCCACGAGGCGGAAGTTGCAGTGAGCCGAGATCATGCCACTGCACTCTAGCCTGGGCAACAGAGTGAGACTCCATCTCAAAAAAATAAATCAATAAAAATAAAAAATAAACATGTTACCCCCGGTGACTCACAGCAGGCACAACATCTATGCTGAGTTGTAAGTTTCTCTGCTTTTATCATGTGGTCATCACCTGGCTCACGTAGCAGTTCCCAGGGAGATGTCTGCTTCAAGAGAACAACAATAATTGGAGAGATAGGAGGATCATCTTGGCAGCACTTCACAAACTTTAACGGGCATAGAAATCTTACTTGTGGGTCTTTTAAAATGAAAGTTCTGATTTGGTATTTCTGGGATTGGGCCTGAGTTGCTGCATTTCTAACAAGCTCCCTGGTGGTGTCAGTGCTGCTGGTCCATAGACCCACCCCTCTTTAACATGCAAGAATCTAGATCACTGGTTCTCAGCACCTGCTACACATTAAAACCCTCTATGATGCTTTTTATTAGGATAAGCTTAGGTGCAGGGATTCATAGGAGCTCCCAGGGGATTCTAATGAATAATCAGTGAAAACCACCACATTGGAGGCTGTAGTGGCAGCAGGAATTGGGTGGCCAGCAGAGAGATTCCTGGCGGGCGGAAGGTGCGGCATGGTCACGGGAAAGTGGAGGTCCTGGCTCCGGAGGGTCTTTGTTCTTCTGCATGCCCTGCCTCCCTTCGCTGTCCCTCACCTTTGCTCTCCCTTTTCTCTATTGTCCCTACAAATCCACCCCCTTCCTAAAGCATCTTCTCAACAAGAAAAAAAGCTGAACCAACTGAAAACCAATACTTTTCTTAGATCCATCAGAAAATTGAAGTCACAGGACAAACCTCACTCTGAAAATTGGAGACACAGGCAAATAAAGAGGATCCCAACTTACCAAGAGTAGAAGCCCACATCTGGAGCACACAGGTAGGAACACCGAAACTGAAATTGAAAATTTCTGAATGCTCACTGTGGGCAGTGTTGAGTTAAAAATTCCAGATGCCCCAGTTCTAGGGACACACCCCAGCTTTTGTTTTATCTTGAGGGGCCCCACCAAATTCTCAGGGTGAAGACTGGAGAAAAATTTCTTCATGCTTCCAATGGAGGGGAAAAAAGCTGTGGCTTCCAGGAAATAAATCTGAAAAAGATGTTGGGATTCAAAAACAACTGTAAATCTGAGCAAGCATGCAGTTCAGCACACAATCAGTGATGATGAGTTATTAGATGCTAGGCATCACGCTAGGTGCTGAGGATTGAGGATGAGTAAGACTGGCTCCCTCTCCTCCAGGAACTCTAGTCTAGTGGGAAATGCATATGTGCAAACAACTATGTCAGAGATTAATTGTTACTGCTCCTCATGTCTCATCTCTCCTTCTTTCATAATAATAGAACCCTCCTTTTAAGCTGAGCGTGTGCGTCTCAGCATAAAGAGTACATATCCCAGCCTCTCTTGCAAGGCAGGTGTCATCATGTAAGAATCATTGGCCAATGGGATGTAGTAGAAGTTTTTTGTGCAACTTTCTGAGACATGTTCTTAAAATAAGGGATGTCCCAGTGCTAACCCCCGGTAACTGTGGATATAACCTTAGTTGGGGAAAGGGTCATGCAGATATAATTAAATCAAGGATTTCAAGAAGAGATCATCCTGGATACAAAGGGTGGCAGCTCTTCTCCTTTTTCTTTCTGCTGGCTGAAAAGCAAATATCTTGGATAATGAGGTAGAAACCTCAACCAAAACCCTGGGTTTCTGATTATTATAAAGTCACTATACCAGCCTGTATATATGTAACTCTAAAGAGACACAGCTTGATACACTTGGTATACTTGAGCCATTTGCATGCATTCTTTCATTCCACAAGTATCTTGTGAGGGCCTTATATGCTAGGCACTGGGCATACAGCAGCAAAATACAGCCACAGAACATGCCCTTAAAGCCAGCTTTTTTATTTTTTGTAATTTAACAAAATACAAAAATTTTATTTTGATATAATTTCAGATTCCACATTGAAATTTTATTTATTTTTTAATTTCCAACTTTTATTTTAAGTTCAGGGGTACATAATATGCAGGATGTGCAGGTTTGTTACATGAGTAAATGTATGCCATGGTGGTTTACTGCACAGATCTTCCCATCACGCAGGTATTAAGCCCAGCATCCATTAGCTTTTCTTCCTGATCCCTCTCCCTCTTCCCACCCACCCACCCACCCCCCACCCTCCAATAGGCCCCAGTGTGTATTGTTCCCTCCCCACCTCCGTGTGTTCTCATCATTTAGTTCCCACTTATAAGTGAGAACATGCGGTATTTGGTTTTCTGTTCCTGCATTAGTTTGCTAAGGGTAATGACCTCTAGCTCCACCCATGTCCCTGCAAAGGACATAATCTCATTCCTTTTTATGACTGCATAGTAGTCCGTGATATATGTACCACATTTTCTCTATCCAGTCTATCACTGATGGGCATTTAGGTTGATTCCATGTATTTGCTATTGTGAATAGTGCTGCAATGAACATACACATGCATGTGTCTTTATAATAGAATGATTTATATTTCTTTGGATATATACCCAGTAATGGGAATACTGGATTGAATGGTATTTCTGCCTCTGTGATCTTTGAGGAATCCCCACACTGGCTTCCACAATGGTTGAACTAATTTACACTCCCACCAACAGTGAAAAGCATTCCTTTTACTCCACAACCTTACCAGCAGCTGTTGTTTTTTGGCTTTTTAATAATCACCATTCTGACTGGTGTGAGATGGTATCTCATTGTGGTTTTGATTTGCATTTCTCTAATGATCAGTGATGTTGAGCTCTTTTTCATATGTTTGTTGGCTGCATATTTGTCTTCTTTTGAGAAGTGTCTGTTCCTGTCCTTTGTCCACTTTTTAATGGGGTTGTTTTTTTCTTGCAAATTTGTTTAAGTTCCTTACAGATATTGGATATTAGACCTTTGTCAGATGAATAGATTGCGAAAATTTTCTCCCATTCTGTAGGCTGTGTGTTTACACTGTTGATGGTTTCTTTTGCTGTGCAGAAGCTCTTTAGTTTAATTAGATCCCATCTGTCAATTTTTGCTTTTGTTGCAATGGCTTTTGATGTCTCCGTCATGACATTTTTGACTGTGCCTATGTCCTGAATAGTATTGCCTAGGTTTCCTTCTAGGGTTTTTATGGTTTAGGGTTTTACATTTAAGTCTTTAATCCATCTTGAGTTGATTTTTTTATATAGTATAAGGAAGGGGTCCAGTTTCAATTTTCTGCATATGGCCAGCCAGTTCTCCCAGCATTATTTATTAAATAGGGAATCCTTTCCCCATTGCTTGTGTTTGTCAAGTTTGTCAAAGATCAGATGCTTGTAGGTGTGCAGTCTTATTTCTGGGTTCTCTATTGTTTTCCATTGGTCTATATGTCTGTTTTTGTACCAGTACCATGCTGTTTTGGTTACTGCAGCCTTGTAGTATAGTTTGAAGTCAGGTAGAAGGATGCCTCCAGCTTTGTTCTTTTTGCTGAGGATTGCCTTGGCTATTTGGGCTCTTTTTTGGTTCCATTTGAATTTTAAAATAGTTTTTCCTAATTCTTTGAAGAATGGCAATGGTAGTTTAATGGGAATAGCATTGAATCTCTAAATTGCTTTGGGCAGTATGGCCATTTTAATGATATTGATTCTTCCTATCCATGACTGTGGAATGTTTTTCCATCTGTTTGTGTCATGTCTGATTTCTTTGAGCAGTGGTTTGTGGTTCTCCTCAAAGAAGTCCTTCACTTCCTTTGTTATCTATATTCCTAGATATTTTATTCTTTTTGTGGCAGTTGTGAATGGGAGTTCATTTGTGATTTGGCTCTTGGTTTGCCTGTTGTTGGTGTGTAGGAATGCTAGCGATTTTTGCACATTGATTTTCTAAACTGAGACTTTGCTGATGTTGCTTACCAGCTTAAGAAACTTTTGGGCTGACATAATGGGGTTTTCTAGATATAGGATCATGTCGTCTGCAAACAAAGATAGTTTGACTTCCTCTCTTCCTATTTGAATATGCTTTATTTATTTCTGTTTGCCTGAGTGCCCTGGCCAGAACTTCCAATATTATGTTGAATAGGAGTGATGAGAGAGGGCAACCTTGTCTTGTGCTGGTTTTCAAGGGGAATGCTTCTAGCTTTTGCCCATTCAGTATGATATTGGCTGTGGGTTTGTTATATATGGCACCTATTATTCTGAGGCATGTTCCTTCAATACGTAGTTTATTGAAAAAACAAATTTTTTTTGAGACGAAGTCTTGCTCTTGTCGCCCAGGCTGGAGTGCAATGGCATGATCTCAGCTCACTGCAACCTCCACCTCCGGGGTTCAAGAAATTCTCCTGCCTCAGCCTCCCGAGTAGCTGGGATTACAGGTGCCTGCCACCATGCCTGGCTAATTTTTGTATTTTTAGTAAAGACAGGGTTTCACCATGTTGGCCAGGCTGGTCTCAAACTCCTGACCTCAGGTGATCCGCCCGCCTCAGCCTCCCAAAGTTCTGGGATTACAGGCATGAGCCACCGCACCCGGCCATTGAAAGTTTTTAACATGAAGGGATGTTGAATTTAACAAAGGCCTTTTCTGCAGCTATTGAGATAATCATGCAGTTTTTATCTTTAGTTCTGTTTATGTGATGAACCACATTTATTGATTTGCATATGTTGAACCAGCCTTGCATCCTGGGGTTGAAGCCTACTTGATCATGGTGGATAAGATTTTTGATGTGCTGCTGGATTTGGTTTGCCAGTATTTTGTTGAGGATTTTGCATCAATGTTTATCAAGAATATTGGCCTAAAGTTTTTTGTTGTTGTATCTCTGCCAGGTTTTGGTACCAGGATGATGCTAAAGCCAATTTTTTCTGTTTCTCTTACGAGCCAAGTTATTTTCTAACTCAGAGCCTTTGTCCATGCTGTTCTCTCTGTCTAGGGCAGCACTGTTCAGTAGAACTGCCTGCCATGATGGAAGTGTTCTACGTCTGTGCTGTCCAATATGGCAGCACAGACATGTAACTACTGAGTACTTGAAATGTGGCTAGTGTGACTGAGGCATTGATTTTTTATTTTATTTTAATTAATTTAGATTAATTAATGTGGCTCTACTCTACTGCTTTCCCCAAATGGCTAACTCCTTGAGGTGGCTATGGACCATGAACATAAATTCTTTGACATGCCTCCAGTTGAGAGATGGGGTCTCTATCCCTTCTCCTTGAATCTGGGTGGGCTTGTGACTGAATGGTGGTAGTGACATTATGTGACTTCCAAGGCTAGGTAAGACAAAGCCTTGCAGCTTCTGCCTTGGGCTCTTGAAGGTCATACTCTTGGGGCACTTGCCCCCAGGAAGCTGCATCTCAGAACCCAGCCACCCCACTGCGTGCAGCTGAAGCCACACAGGAGATCACATGTAGTTGCTGTATCCCAGCCTAGGCCTACCATAGAAACTACCACAAACCTGGTGGTTTAAAATATTCTCTTGCAGTTCTGGAGGCCAGAAGTGTGTATTCAAAGTGTTGGGAGGGGATAGCAGGTGCCATGCCCTCCTAGCTTCTGGTGGTAGCTGGCAATCTTTAACCTTCCTTATGCAGGGAATCAGAATATGCCACCCAAAACATGCCACTTAGGCATGAGGATAATTTTGAGCTGAAGGCAATTGAGACACAACAGATGCAAAAGGAGCTCTCTATTCTCCCTGTTTCTTCCTAAAGGCAGGGTACAAATTTCCCTTTCTGAAGGTGTTACAACCCACTGTCCCGCCCCCCACCCCACCCCTCCTGGTCCCGCACCGCGGCCATATCAGGAGGAGAACAACCGTTATCACCGGAGACAGAACATCAGACAGATTTCTGTCTGCACAAACAAACTTTATCTTCCATAAGTTTCCTCCATATATTTATCTTACCACAAATTACTGACCCTAGAAGCCCAAATCCCTTTTCCTGTCTTGTCACTTCTCAATAAACCCATTGCTGTTCGTTTAGATGGTAATGGTATATAAGCCTGAAATTCTATCCACCCCTTTTGAGTTATTTATCACTCAGTTCTTCTTCATGCATGCATGTTGTGCACATAAGTAAACTCTGTGTTTTTTTTCTCATGTTAACTAGTCTTCTCCAAGTTTGATTTGCAGGCCTCAGCTACTGAACCTAAGAGAGTAGAAGAGGTGTTTCCTCCCCCACACTTGGCTTATAGACATATTACTTCAATCTCCACCTCCACCTCTGTCTCCATATTGCCTTCTCCTCCATGTTTCTCCTCTACTCAAATATCCCTCTATTTTCTCTTAAGGACACCAGTTATTGGATTTAGGGCCTACCATCAATACAAGATGATCTTGAGAATCTTAATTTGATTACATCTACAGAGACCCTTTTTCCAAATAAGTATTTCACATTGACAGGTACCAGAGATTAGGAGTTGAACAGCAGGGCACAGTGGCTCATGCCTATAATCCCAGCACTTTGGGAGGCTGAGGCGGGCAGATCACCTGAGGTCAGGAGTTCGAGACCAGCCTGACCAACATGGAGAAACCCTGTCTCTACTAAAAATACAAAATTAGCTGGGTGTGTTGGCACATGCCTGTAGTCCCAGCTACTCGGGAGGCTGAGGCAGGAGAATTGCTTGAACCCGGGAGGCGGAGGTTGCAGTGAGCCAAGATCGCCCCATTGCACTCCAGCCTGGGCAACAAGAGCATAACTCCATCTCAAAAAAAAGGAGTTGAAAATATTATTTTGGAGTCACTATTTAGCCCACTATAGCACCTGAAATATGAGTGAGGAAGCCTGGAGTTGATTCCAGCCCCCAGCTGTTTGCATTACCCCTAGACATTCAAGTCTTCCTGGCTAAGACTCTAAACATTATAGAGCAGAGATATGCTATTTCCACCATGCCTCATTGAATTTCTGACCTAAAGAATGTTTTAGCATAATAAAATGGTATTGTTTTATGCCACTAAGTTTGGGACAGTTTATTATGCAACAATAGGTAACTGGAAATTCCTATTCATCTTTTAAGCTCAGTTCAAAAAACGTGTCTTCAAAGACATCTCCTTAGCTATCTCCTCTATGGTCTAAATTATATTTCCCTCTCTTTGCTTTTCTTTTATGACACTAATCACAATTTGTAATTATATATGCACTTAGGTGTTTTGTTTTGTTTTTTAAAATGTCAGTCACCCTCACTAGACTTCTGTTTCATGAGGGCAAGGACAAAGTTTGTTTTATTCAGCACAATGTCCTATGTGTGCCAGGTACACAGCAAATGCCCAGTAAATATTTGCTGAATGAATGAAATTCTGGTCTTTCTGTGACTGAATCTACAACTGACATTTCCTTGTCATCTGAACTGAGACAGCTCCTGGAAAACATTGTTTATTTTGCCATTTTAGCTTTCAGACTAAATAAGCTAGAATGCAACAAGTGGGAAGCAACATTTTCATTTTCTATGATTCAAACACTAGTTCTTGCTGTTCCAGTTCCCTGTATTAAGTAATTGCTGTAGTTTTCAATTGTAGTGAAAAGAAGTGAATACAAAGATAGCTAGGCTATGAGATAGCCTCTTCAATTTTTAAGAAAGCATCTGTAAGTATACAGAAAGAACCTCAAATTGTCCTTGTGCATGAGTAAGCAACAATCTCATGAAACATTCTTCCATGAAATGAAAGATTAATGACAAAACAAAACGAATAAGTTCTTCCTGATATCTTGATCAACAGACATCTTTTTCTAGAAAGTTCACTGATACAAGTCCCACTATTATTTTTGTTGGAACAATAACATATATAGGATATAAATTAAAAGGCAAAGCATGTTAAAGGAGGCCAAAATTAGTCAAATAAAACTTATAATTACTTGTACAAATTACCACAGGGATAGAGCATAACAGAAGCAGGAAGCAGGTAGGAATTTTAACAAAAGCTGAGCACCAGCAGTTGGCACTCCCCTGCATGGCTGTTACTCTTCTCACTGTGGTTGGTGTTGAACAAAGTATTCCTGCCCTCCCAGGCATATCCAGCTTGCACACAGTAGGAATTTTAACAAGATCTGGAAGGCCCTACATGATCACATTCTAACTGTGCTTTCT
Source organism: Homo sapiens (assembly GCF_000001405.40). Lineage (NCBI taxonomy): Eukaryota > Metazoa > Chordata > Mammalia > Primates > Hominidae > Homo > Homo sapiens. The sequence goes on along the minus strand of NC_000005.10, from coordinate 75,010,266 downwards.
TAGATTCCGTATTTGTCTAACAGTATCAGACTAATAGCCAAAGTTATTTCCATTTTCCCTGTGATCCAGATCTCATACTCTGAACCACCTTCTTATCTAACTTGTACAAACCACACCAGGATTTTCCCTGCTTTAAATCACCCAGAGCCAGGTACCAGACAACTAAAGACAACCCCTATAGCCCAAAGCTCAGTGACATTACTTAAACTAGACATTCCTAAGCAGTCTCCCCTGCCTTGCCTTGCCTTACTTGCAAAAACACCAATAAAGGCTCTAAACTATGCTTTCCCCTTGCTCCTACCTCCTGACCACACCTATTGCTTCCCCAGGTGGCCCAGTGTGGCCTGGCCTGCCCCATCCTCTCCGAAACTATAAGTAATAAATTCTTCTTTCAATGGCATTAACCTCTCCAGGTTGTCACTCAGCCACCATAAATTAAAATCCTGCGGGTACAATTGAGACAGATCAGCCCTTAGGGGCTTTGTGGTCGCCGTTTCCTCTGCCCAGGCCTCTCTTCCCTCCGTATCCACGCTGTACCCACATGGCTTCCTCTCTCACTACATTGAAGTCTCTGCTCAAGTATCACCATATTTGAGAAGCCTTCCCCAAGCACCCTGCTAACTAACTAGAAACCCCTCCTACTTCTAATGGTCTCTACCTGCTTTGTCCTGCTGTATTTTTCTTCATAGCTTGTATCACTACTTGACTCATTATATATTTATTTGTTTTGTGTCATCCTCATTTCCCACCTCACATAACATAAGCTTCATTAAAGCAAAACATGCTGTTTCATTAACAGCAGGGTTCCTACCACTTAGAACAATGCCTGGCATGTAGCAGGTATAAAATATATATATATATATATATATATATATATATATTTTTTTTTTTTTTTTTTTTTTTTTTTTTTGAGATGGAGTCTCGCTCTGCCACCAGGCTGGATTGCAGTGGAGTGATCTCGGCTCACTGCAAACTCCGCCTTCAGGGTTCATGCGATTCTCCTGCCTCAGCCTCCCAAGTAGCTGGAACTACAGGCTCGTGCCACCACAGCCAACTAATTTTTGTATTTTTAGTAGAGATGGGGTTTCACCATGTTGGCCAGGATGGTCTTCATCTTTTGACCTCATGATCCACTCACCTCGGCCTCCTAAAGTGCTGGGATTACAGGTGTGAGCCACCGTGCCCGGCCAAAATATATATTTTTCAATGAATACACTTCATTTGTTCAGAGCACCTGGTCCATCAATGAACACATGAGTGGTCTCAATCCCCTTCAGATTTGTGACTCTCACTGGGGCTGGGTATCTGTAAGAAGCCAGTCCTCTGGATCAATATGACACGAATTTGTAAAAGGGAGTAAGCAGTTTAAAAATATATCCTGGGAAATCCCAGGATAAAATCCCAAGCAAGCAGGTTTATGGAATCAATACTGGGGACTCCTGGGGATTAGAAAAAGGAGCAATTGCCATTCCTGAATTATCTGACCATATGGCATTCCTCTAAAAATCTGCTTTGTCTTGGATTTTGGGCTCTGTGACACTAGGGGGAAAGGAAAATATTTCACTTTATCATATAGAAACAGCATCTTGCCCTCTAATGGGGTTGAAGCAGGGTCTGGGAAGCATTTTGGTAACTGTTGGCACAGAAATCTTCAGGGTGGACAGGATGCATTCCCTACAGATGGAGCCTGTATTATTTATCTCTGCTAGGCAGCTCCCCAGTTGTACCTCCCAGCCCAACACAAGTGTGTAGTTGACACTGGCAGCCTTTCTCTCCCAGTGATCACAAACGCTGTAACCACTTTTCAAAGGAAAGCTGGCTATACCAGATGCTTGTAATAATGTATCTCAAAAAGTCTGTAAAACATTTAGAGTAAAGACAAATAAGACTTTAACAATGATGACCGGAAATTCGGAGGCTTAAGAAGGAGACCATTAGGGAAGAAAGAAATGAAATGAAGGAGGGAAGAAGGATGAAGGAAGGAAGAATATCTACTCTCTAACAAGACACAAGAACTTATATTCATCATTTGCATGCCCATTGCCTCTAAGAAAAAAATCTCCCAGGCAGGCGCGATGGCTCACGCCTGTAATCCCAGCACTTTGGGAGACCGAGCTGGGCGGATTGCCTGAGCTCAGGAGTCCGCGACCTCCTGGGCAACATGTTGAAACCCCATCTCTACTAAAATACAGAAAATTAGTTGGGCATGGCAGCGTGCACCTGTAATCCCAGCTACTCGGGAGGCTGAGGCAGAAGAATCACTTGAACCCGGGAGGCAGAGGTTGCAGTGAGCCGAGATCGCACCACTGCACTCCAGCCTGGGTGACAGAGTGAGACTCTGTCTTAAAAAAAAAAAATCTCCCAAATAACTTTCCATACAGTATGATTTGGAAGCCAGTTAACTATGGACTTTAAGATATTTTCCTTTATCTAACCCAGATACTCAGAACTAAAATCAGATCAATTTTTCTCTTGTCTCAGAGCTTAAAGGCATTATAAAAGGTTACTGAAATGAAGAAAGTGAGTCTGACAGTAAGAATGTGTCATCTTCAGACTGTGCAGGGGAGAGATCTGGTCACCCCCACGGAGCTGTAGTCTGCATGATATCCAGGGGGAGTGCCGTAAGAATGCAGCCACGCCGACTCGTTTACATATCACCCATGCCTCTCTGCAACCGCAGAGTTAAGTAGTTTCGACAGAGATGGCTTGCAAAATCTGAAAATATAGAATATCCAATACTTTACAGAAAAAGGTTGCTGATCTTTGATAGCTATTAAAGGAAGAAGTTGACTAATCAGGCTACCATGGTCTGCTTAAAATATTTCTGAGGACTCTATGATGCTCTTCTTCAATTTCATTCCTTTTTTATTAAGCAAACTCCTGAATGTAATTAGATTTTCTCAACTATGCTTCCCTATTAAGGAAAGAATGTGCAGACTTACAAGAATTTCCAATCATTCTTGACAGTTATATTTCTCACTGTAAATGACTAAATTGGCTTTCCAGTACAGTCTCATAAATTCGCATAAGGTACTACAGTTTTCAGCAGTCCAGCATCTCTTGACATTAGGCTGTCAATGGGGCAGATCTGCAGGGCTAAAAGACCAGGCCCTAAACCTGTGCCCATGGAGTCAAAGCCCCATGAGGTCTGACCTCACATAACAGTTATACTTGCATCCTTTGGGAGATCAGGAAAGAATTTGTGCAAGGAATGTCTTTGGTATATGCAAACTTGGATTTCTAGGCCTTTTACCGCTGACCTCAAGAGAATTTGCAAGACAATAATTGAGGCTGTAAGTGAAGAGGAGAGACTAAAAGCTTTTGCTCCTATTCAGGAAATGATGACTCTTGTGCCATTTGCTAATGAATCTGACTATGGCACGGGGCTTGAGTTGAGAAAATGGACCTCTTTTGCTATGGCTCACATTATTTTTGTAAAGTTGCTGGCCAGCTTTTACCTCTTGCATATAAACTGTTGAAGAGGAATCTGTTTGCAGAAGTTATTGAGAATCATCTGGCAAACAGAAGAGAACTTAGACCAACTTGCTGCATGAGTAAGGTGGCTTTGTTTAGTGTACAGTGTTTCAAAGGATTAGTATTAAACTTGTGATTTTTGTTTTGTTTTTAAGGAACACAAAAAAAACCATTTATTTAAAATAAAGATTTCTAGCTCTTACGTTTTAATTTAAAACAATTTATTGCCCAGGCATGGTAGTTCACACCTGTAATCCCAGCACTTTGGGAGGCCAAGGAGGGCAGATCGCTTGAGCTCATGAGTTCAAGACCAGCCTGAACAACATAGTGACACTCCATCTCTGCAAAAATACAAAACTTAGCCAGGCATGGTGGTATATGCTTGTAGTCCCAGCTACTTGGGAGGCTGAGGTGGGAGGATGGCTTGAGCCCAGGAGGTGGAGGTTGCAGTGAGCCAAGATCACGCCACTGCATTTCAGCCTGGGTGGTAGAGCCAGACCTTGTCTTAAAAAAGAAAAAAAATGACCAAAATAATACATTAATAAAGGTTTAAAACTCAAAAAGCACACAGCTGAAGCAAAAAATATGCTCACCTCCCCATGGCCTTCCTGATCTCCAGTTCTCACTACCCAGAAGGAACTATTTTCAGCCCTTTTCACTGTTTTTTATATCTGCCTTCATAATTCTAAATAACATGCTAAACAAAACTCCTTACAACACAATAAAATACAGTTTATTTATTTTATTTTTGAAATCATCCCCTTGTACTCATTCTACACTGACTGTTCCTGGGCTTGCTGCACAGCTGTAACCCCAGAGCTTCCCTTCTGCATTATTTTGGGTCTTCCCACAATCTCCTGCTAGAGGTTTCTGATTTTCTGGATCCTGTGTCTTCCTCTGGGTGTTTCAGCCTGATTGATGGAGCACATTCTCCTGTTGCTTCATGAGAAAGAAGGAAGAGAAGGTAAAATTTTTGTTACTCTGCGTGTTTGAAATTGTCTTCATTATATCCTCATATTTGGTTGATAGTTTGTCTGGGTATAAAATTACAGATGAAAATTGTCCTCTTAGAGGTTGTGGGCATTGGGCCTCTAGTGTCTTGTGTTGCTATGCCATTCTGATTTCCAATCCCTTGTATGCTTTTGAAGTCCTCTTTTTTTTTTTTTGAGACAAAGTCTTTCTCTGTCACCCAGGCTGGAGTGCAGTGGCACAATCTTGGCTCACTGCAAGCTCCGCCTCCCGGGTTCATGCCATTCTCCGGCCTCAGCCTCCCGAGTAGCTGGTACTATAGGCGCCCGCCACTGCGCCTGACTAATTTTTTTGTATTTTAAGTAGAGACAGGGTTTCACCGTGGTCTCGAACTCCTGACCTCATGATCCGCCCACCTGGGACTCCCAAAGTGCTGGGATTACAGGCGTGAGCCACCACGCCTGGCCTGAAGTCTTTTTCTCTCAGATGTCCTGGACTTTTATCATGGTATACCTTGGTGTAGATCTTTTTAAAATTCATTGAGCTGGGCAGTCAGTGGTCCTTTTAAATCTAGATGCCCCTGAGCCTCAGTTTGAGAATTTTTTTTCCTTTTTACACAGTTACTGCCCTTCATTTTTTTTCTATTCTCTTTTCCTAGAGAACCTTTTAATTGAAAATTTGGGCTGTTAACGAATCCTGTAATAGTTTTGTCTCTTTTATATTTTCTCTGTTTGTCCTTTTGTTCAACTGTCTGAAAATTTTCTTTAATTGTACATTTGATACCTTCCATTGAGATTTAAATTCTGCTAACATTTTAAATTTTAAAAACATTCTTATCCTCTGCAGATAAAAAGAAAATTATGACATCCTGTTCTTCTTTCAGGTATGCAGTGTTTTCTCCTAGGTCTCTGAGGATTTTAATTATAAATTTTAAAATGTTTTCTTCTATTCCCCATATTATCTGTTTTGTTTGGTTCCTTTTCTACCTTTGTTTTAGTCTCTGTGTTTCCTTTTGGAGGCTCCCACAATCTGGTACTCCGTTGCTGGAAGGAATGAGACAGGTACTTGTTCCCCCAGTGATGAGAAAGTAAGATGACACAGAAGTACCGTCTCACCATAAACAATTAGAAAACTGAAAGAAAAAAGAGAAGAAACTCTTTTTGGATATAGGCCAGTGGGAAGCATAGGGCTGTGATCATGGAGAAAAGGGGAGCAAGTGAGGTGAGCTTTCCATTACGTAGGCCTCTGCCTGGAGATAATGCCTATACTGAGGTTCACAGAGGGTAATGTGGTTTGGATACTTGTGCCCTCCAAATCCCATGTTTAAATGTGATCCCCAGTATTGGAGGTGGGGCCTAGCAGGAGTTGTTTGGGTCATTGGTGGAGGATCCTTCATGAATGACTTGGTACCATCCCTTTGGTGATGAGTGAGTTCTCAGTCTATTAGTTCACATTGAGAACTAGCGGGTTAAAGGAACCTGGAAACTTCTCCCCTCATTCTTGCTCTCTCTCTCACCATGTGGCACATTTGCCCCCACTTTGTCTTCTGCCAAGAATAAAAGCTTCCTGAGGACTCACCAGAAGCTGAGTAGATGTTGGCGCCATGCTTCTTACACAGTCTGCAGAACTCTAAGCCAAATACATCTCTTTCTTTATAAATTACTCTCTCAGGTATTCTTTTATAGCAATACAAAAGAGACTATACAGAGGGGAAATCTAAACAGAGACTGTAGTTTGGAGAGGTCAAAGTGGCTAAAATTTTCAGGGCAGAGTACCTAAAAGACAGGAATTTCACTGAGCTCTAGAAATCTACATGGGGACTCCCTTGAGATTTAGGTTGAAGACCAATCTGTTTGTGTATATGGTGAAGTTCCACTAGGCTGGACAAGAACAACCTCCAAGGAGAAAACAGTTGCAAGGAGCTTTGAGACAAATAAATCTCAGATATCACATAGGGCTGAAAACCATTCAGGTTCCCACCAGTTGGAGTAGAGAAGTTTTATTGAATACCAAAGACCCCAGGAGGGCTATGACTTAAAAGTAGAGCTAAATTGCTTTAGGGTAATAGACTCTAGAACTACCTTAAAAGAGATAAAAAGCCTCAAAAGGATAAAACTAATCTAGAAGTAACTTAAACTGCCTGCCAGGAAAAATTCAATACTCTTTAAAGGCATTCAAAGCTCAGCACTTGACAATATGAAATTCACCATGTTTGGCATTCAGTCAAAAGTCATGAGCCATGTGAAGAAGCAGGACCATGAGGCCTATGACTAGATGAAAAATCCATAATTAAAAACAGAAAAGAACTGATAATGGTGATGTAAGAACATGGAAGTAGCTGTTATAAATGTGTTTTCTATGCCCAAGGACATGGACATGATAAGAAGTGAAATGGAAGGTACAAGAAATCAAATGGAGATTTTCAGAGATTAAAAGTATCTGAAATGGAGACTTCCAGTTTCTATTCCACATGTACAGAGCTTGGAAGTTGCCACTCTGTCCTAGCAAGTACAAAGCTGAACAGGCTAAAAAACCAGCTCTTCTTGGATCTGTAGGAGAGGGGAGGACACAGGGCAAACCACTGTCGTCAAGTCTGGAAAGACACGGAGGCCTCTAGAAGGAGTCACAGCTTACTGGGCAGAGACTCAGGAGCAGAAACTGCTGTGGGAACCAGTTTTAGGAGGGAAAACCTGAATTATAATCGATGAATTTCCAGAGGCTCAGCATGGACAAGTCTGAACGTTAAAAACTCCAAAAGGACCCAGTCATAGGGAAGTAGCCACACTTTTGTGAGTTTTACCTCCAGGAGCTTGACCATGTTCCGGCAGTACGTACTGGAGAAAAAATCCCTAATGATTCTGGCAAGGGGAGAGGAAAAGGAACTATTTTGAAATACGCCAAGGCATTTTCTTCTTAACAATGCCTGCCCTCAGGAGAAACTATTTATCCAGATCCTTATATGCTGGGGTTTTTCCAGAGCCTAACTGACCTTGGAGAAGGGAAAGACTCCATCCTGGCCCACTGTAGCCATCCTGTTCCATCTAATTGGGGAGAGGAACTGAGAAAAACTAAATTACATCTTTCTAACAGGTAACAGTTTGTTCAAAATATAATAGCAACAATGTATTCCACTGTGATTCTTATGTATGTATCTTATGTGTATACTTGCTTATATGTAAGTAAAATGAATGACAGCAAAGATACAAGGGACAGGAGGGAAGAAATGGGATTACAGTTTGAGTATCCATTATCCAAAATGCTTGAGAACAGAAGTGTTTTGGATTTCAGATGTTTTTCAGATTTTGAAATGTTTGCCTTATACTTACTGGTTCAGCATATGAAAATCCAAAGTCCAAAGTGCCCCAGTGAGCATTTCCTTTCAGTGCCATGTCAATGTTCAAAAAGTTTTAGATTTCGGGGCATTTCCGGTTTCGGATTTTTGGATTTGGGATGCTCATTCTACATTTTGTTATTAAAAGGTACTCGTGCTACCTGTGTGCTGTTATTTGAAAGCACACTTGGATTCATTGTAAAAGCATTTTGCAAACTCCAGGGTAACTACTAGAAAAAGCAAATAAAGAAGTGTAACTAAATGCCAAAAAAAGGGAGAGAAAATGGAATAATATAAATGTCCAGTTAAAATCACATAGAGGACCAGGCACAGTGCCTCACGCCTATAATCCCAGCGCTTTGGGAGGCCAAGGTGGGTAGATCACTTGAGGTCAGGAGTTCAAGTCCAGCCTGGTCAACATGGCAAAACCTCACCTCTGCTAAAAATACAAACAACAGCCAGAAATGTTGGCATGCACCCGTAATCCCAGCTACTCAGGAGGCTGAGACAGGAGAATCACTTGAACCCTGGAGGCAGAGACTGCAGTGAGCTGAGATCACACCACTGCACTCCAGCCTGGGCAACAGAGTGAGAGGCTGTCTCAAAAATAAATAAATAATAAAATAAAATCACAAAAGAACTGACTGTGGGCACTATGGGTCATGCCTATCAGTTAGCCCTGCTCTGCAAGAAGCAAGAAAGAAAATAAATAAAATACAATAGAATCACAAAAGGCAGAAAAAGAGTAGAAGGCAAAAACAGAAAAAAAAGAACAAGGGCAACAAATAGAAAATAGTAACAAATATGGTAGATATTAATTCAAATATTTCAACAATTACTTTGAAAACCAGTGGTCTAAATACACCAATTAAAAGACAGAGATTGTCAAAGTTGGTCAAAAAAACAAGACCCAACTCTGTGATATCTATAAGAAACCTGCTTTAAATATAAGGACACATACACACTAAATTTAAGTGGATGGAAAATAGTATATGATGTTAACAATAATCAAAAGAAAGGAAGAGTAGCTATATTAATTTCAGACAAAACAGACTTCAAAGTAAGAAAAATTACTGGGGATAAAGAAGGGCAAAATAATAAAGGGGTTAGTTCCCCAAGAAGACATAACAATCCTTGACACGTAACCTAACACAGAGCATCAAGCTACATGAGGCAAAAACTGAGAACTGCAAGGAGAAACTGATGGACCTACTATCATAGTTGGAGACTTCAGCACCCTTCTATCAGCAATGGACAGATCCAGAAGGAAAAAAACATCAGTGGAGAGATAGTTGAACTCTGTTAGATATCTATAATGCCATCAATCAACTAGATGTAATTGACTATTTCATCCAACAATAGCAGGATATACTTTCTTCTCAAGCTTACATAGAACATTCACCAAGACAGGCTATGTTCTGTTCCATAAAACATACTCTCATAATTTTTTTTGAGATGGAGTCTCACTCTGTCACTGTATTAGTCAGGGTTCTCTTAGAGGGACAGAATTAATAGGACATATAGTTATATAGATATACAGATATATGGGAGTGCTGGGATTACAGGCATGAGCCACTGCACCCAGCCCTTCGTTATCCTTTTAATGTCCATGGGATCTATAGTGATGTCCCTTCCCTCTTTCATTTCTGATGTTAGTAATACATGTCCTCTCTTTTTCTTAGTCAGCTTGGCTAGAGGCTTATCAAATTTATTGATCTTTACAAAGAACCAGCTTTTATTGTAATTGATCTACTCTATTGATTTTCTATTTTCAATTTCATTGATTTCTGTTCTAATTCTTATTATTTCTTTGGATTTAATTTACTCTAATTTTTCTAGTTTCCTAAGGTGGAAACTTAAATTGCTGATTTTAGATCTTTCTTCTTTTCTAATATATGCATTCAATGCTATACATTTCCCTCAAAGCACTGTTTTTTCTGTAGCACATAAATTCTGATAAGTTGTGTCTTCATTTTCATTTAGTTCACAAATTTTAATATTTTTCTTGAGCTTTCTTTGACACGTGTTATTTAGAAGTGTGTTGTTTAATTTCCATGTATTTTGGGATTTTCCAGTTAATTTTCTGTTACTGATTTTGAGTTTAATTCCATTGTGATCTGAAATCAGGCATTAGTGTAAATTCTGTTATTTTAAATTTGTTAGGCTGGGCACAGTGTCTCATGCCTGTAATCCCAACACTTTGGGAGGCCAAGGTGGGTGGATCACCTGAGGTCAGGAGATTGAGACCAGCCTGGCCAACATGGTGAAACCTTGTTTCTACTAAAAATACAAAAATTAGCCTGGCGTGGTAGCACATGCCTGTAATCCCAGCTACTCAGGAGGCTGTGGCATAAGGATCGCTTGAACCTGGGAGGTGGAGGTTGCAGTGAGCTGAGATCATGCCATTGCACTCCAGCCTGGGCAACAGAGTGAGACTCTGTCTCGAACAAACAAACGGATAATGAAGGAATACAATGAACAACTCTAAGCCCACAAACTTGATAACCTAGATGAAATGAAATAATTCCTTGAAAGACACAATCTGCCAAATCTCACACAATAAGAAATAGATAATATAAATAGGCCTCTATCTATTAAAGAAATTGAATCAATAATTAATAACCTTCTAAAATGGAAAGTACTATGCTCAGATGGATTCACTGATGATGTCTACCAAATATTTAAGGAAGAAATTATAATAATTCCTTACAGACGAACTAAATAAAAGATATCCCATATTAATGTACCGGAAGACCCAATATTGTCAAGATGTCAGTTCTTCCCAACTAAATAAAAGATATCCCATATTAATGTACCGGAAGACCCAATATTGTCAAGATGTCAGTTCTTCCCAACTTAATCTGTATGTTCAATGCAATCCCAATCAAAATTCTAGCAAGTTATTTTGCAGATATCAACAAACTCATTTTAAGGTTTATACAGAGATGCAAAAGACCCAGAATAGCCAACACAATATTGAAAGAGATGAACAAAGGTGAAGGACTGACACTACCTGACTTCGAACCTTACTACGAAGTTATAATAAAGTTAGTATGGTGTTGGCAGAAGGATAGACAAGTAGATCAAATGGAACAGAATAGAGAGCTCAGAAATAGACTCACATAAATATAGTGTACTGATCTCTGGCAAATGAGAAAAGGCAACAGAATAGAGCAAAGACAGTCTCTTCAACAAATGGTGCGGAAACAGCTGGACATCCACATGCAAAAACATTAATCTAGACATCAACCTTACATTCTTTACAAAATTAACTAAAAACGATCCTAGATCTAAATATAAAACACAAAACTATATAAACTTACAGGAGAAAATCGAGATAACCTTGGGTATGGCAGTGACTTCTTAGATGCAACATCAATGGCATGATCCATGAAAGAAATAATTGATAAGCTGGATTTCATTAAAATTAATAACTTCTGCTCTATGAAAGAAAATGTCAAGAGAAGGAGAAAACAAAGCACAGACTGGGACAAAATTTTCCAAAAGACACCTCTGATAATGTACTCATCCAAAATACACAAATAACTCAATAATATGAAAACAAACAACCCAATTTTAAGAATGGGCCAACGACCTTAACATACACCTCATCAAAGAAGATATGTAGATGGAAAATAAGCATATAAAAAGATGCTCCACATCATCTGTCAAAGGGGAAATGCAAATTAAAACAATGAGATACCACTAAATATCTATTAGAATGGCCAAAATCCAGAACACTGATAACACCATACACTGGCAAGGATGTGGAGCAACAGGAACTCTTACTCGTTGCTACAATGCTGGTGGGAGTGCAACATGGTACAGCCATGGTAGAAGACAGTTTGGCAGTTTCCTACAAAATTAAAAATACTCTTACCATATGATCCAGCATTGTATTCCTTGGTATCTACCCAAAGAAGCTGAAAATGTATATCCATGTGAAAATTTCACATGGATGTTTATAGCAGCTTTATTCACAAATGCTGAAACCTGGAAGCAACCAAGATGTCCTGCAGCATGTGAATGAATCAACTGTGGTATATCCAGACAATGGAGTATTATTCAGTGCTAAAAAGAAATGAGCTATCAAGCCATGAAAAGACATGGAAGAATCTTAGATGTATATTACTAAGTGAAAGAAGCCAACCTGAAAAGGCTACGTACTGTGTGTTCCCAACTAAATGACATTTTGGAAAAGGCAAAACTATGGAGACGTGAAAAAGATCAGTGGTTTCCAGGGGCTAGTGGGGAGGAAGGGACAAATAGGTGGAGCACAGAGGATTTTTAGGGAAGTGAAACTATAGTTGGCCCTTTAACAATGAGGGATTGACATACGTGGATATTCTTTTCAACAACGTGCATAGATTGAAAATACAGTATTTGAGGGAAGCAAAGCCTGAGTATATGGACTGCCAACTTTTCATATATGTGGGTTCTGCAGGGCTGACTGTGGGATGGGAGTAAGTGTGGATTTGGCTATATGCAGGCAGTCCTGGAATCAATCCCCCACGTATACCAAGAGATGACTGTACACTGTATGATACTATAATGGTGGAACACATCATACATTTGTCCAAATCCACAGAATATGCAACTCCAAGAGTGAACCCAAGATAAACTATGAACTTTGGGTGATTATGATATGCCAATATTGGTTCATCAGTTGCAACAAATGTACCATTGTGTGGGGAATGTTGATAATAGGAGAGGCTGTGCAAGTGTGGGGTCGGGAGTATATGAAAAGTCTCTGTACCTTCCTTTTAATATTGCTGTAAACCTAAAACTGCTCTAAGAAAATCAAGTCATATATATTTTGTTCCGTATCTGAAATGAAAAGTGTACTGGATAAGATTCACTGATTAGATACTGCAGAAGAAAAGATCTGTAAACTTGATGATATAGCAATAGAAACTACCTAAAATGAAACACAGAGAGACAAAAAGACAGAAAACATTGAATAGAGCCCCAGTAAACTGTGTGAAAATAGCAAGCTTTCTAACATACATGTAATGGCAGGGCGGGGTGTGTGGAGTACAGAAAAATATTTGAGAAAAGAATGGCTTTTTTTAAAGTCCCCAATTTGATTCAAACTATGAATACACAGATCCAAAAATCTCAATTGCAAGTAGAAGAAACATTAAGAAAATCACAAATGGCCAAAAATCAATAATAAAGAGAAAATCACAAAAGCAGCCAGATGCGGGAAATTTACATTTAGAAACTGAAGACAAAAATTAAAGTAGACCTCGGTTGGGCACGGTGACTCACACCTGTAATCCCAGTACTTTGGGAGGCCAAGGTGGTTAGATCACGAGGTCAGGAGTTCAAGAGCAGCCAGTTCAAGACCAGCCTGGTCAACATGGTGAAACCCTGTCTCTACTAAAAATACAAAAAAAAAAAAAAAAAAAATTAGCCGGTTGTGGTGGCACACACCTGTAATCCCAGCTACTAAGGAGGCTGAGGCCAGACAATTGCTTGAACCCGGGAGGCAGAGGTTGCAGTGAGCCAAGATCACGCCACTGCACTCCAGCCTGGGTGACAAAGTAAGACTCTGTCTCAGGAAAACAAACAAACAAACAAAACTAAGTAGACCTCAGTAGAAACTATACAATTCATAAGAAACTGAAGTGATACCTTCAAAATAACCCAGATAGTAGCCATAGTACCCAACAGGTAGTTCTTCAGTCCACATCCCTCTCCCTCCTCGCTCTAGTAGTCCCCAGCATCTATTGTTTCCATTTTTATGTCCATGTGTACTCAATGTTAAGCTCCCAGTTATAAGTGAGAACATGCAATATTTGGTTTTCTGTCCCTGTGTTAATTCACTTAGGTTAATCGCCTCCAGCTGCATCCATGTTGCTGCAAAGGACATAGTTTTGTTCTTTTTTGTGACTGTGTAGTATTCCCTGGTGTTTATGCACCTCGTTTTCTTTATCCATTCTACTGTTGATGGGCACCTAGGTTGGTTCCATGTCTTTGCTATTGTGAATAGCATGCATGTGTTTTTTTTGTAGAATGATTTCTTTTCCTTTGGGCATATACTCAGTAATGAGATTGCTGGGTCAAATGGTAGTTCTGAGTCCTTTGAGAAATCTCCAAACTGCTTTCCGCGGTGGCTGCACTAATTTACATTCCCACCAACAGTGTGTGAGTGTTCCCTTTTCTCCACAGCCTTGCCAGCATCTGTTATTTTCTGATTTTTTAATAATGGCCATTCTGACTGGTGTGAGATGGTATCTCATTGTGGTTTTGATTTTCATTTCTCTGATGATTAGTGATGATGATCATGTTTTCATATGTTTGTTGGCTGCTTGTATAGCTTTTTCAAACAACCAAAAGCAGAAAGAATTCATTGCCAGCAGGCCTACAATACAAAACAATGTTAAAGGAAGGTCTTCAAGAGGAAGCAAATTGATACCAAATGGAAATTTGGATTTACACTTAATGATGAAGAATGCTGGCCAAGCGTGGTGGCTCATGTCTGTAATCCCAGAACTTTGGGAGGCTGAGGAGGAATGAAGAATGCTGAAAATTATAAATATGTAGGTAATTATAGAAGACATTTTTTCTTATTTTAAATTTTATTTTGAATATAATTATTTAAATTTTAAAAAGATGTATTGCAGGGTTTAAAATACCTGTAAAGTAAAATTTATGACAATAATAAGATTCAAAAAAATAAGTCAGGATATAGGCAATTTGTATAACACTCTCAACTGATTTGACTAATTAACAACTATAGAACATTCCACCCAGCAACAGAATACACATTCTTTTTAAGTGAACATAAAACATTCACCAAGGTAGAACATATTCTGAGCCATAAAACAAGTCTTAATACATAAAAAAGATCAAAATTATACAAAGCATATTATCTGACCACAACACAATTAAACTTAAAACCAGTAACAGAAAGATATCTGGAAAAACCCCAAATACTTGGAAATTAAACAATCATACTTCTAAATAACCCATAAGCCAAGGAAGAAAATCACAAGAGAAATTAGGAAATACTTTGAACAGAACAAGAGTGAAAGCCCCACGTAACAGCATTTGTGGGATGCAGCTATAGCAGTGATTTAAGATAATTTTTAGCATTAAGTGCTGCTTTTAGAAAACAAAAAGGGTCAAAAATTAGTGTTCTAAGTTTCCACCTTAAGAAACTAGAAAAAGAAGGGCAAATTAAACCCAAAGTAAGCAGAAAAAAGGAAATAAGATCAGAAATCAATGGAATAGAAAATGGACAAAGAATAGGGAAAATCAATCAAACTAAAAGTTGGTTCTTTGTAAAGATCAGGAAAGAGGCACTTACAAGAAGCTGTTGAGGGATAGGTTTTATTAAAGTAGAGTTTCTCAGGCTTACTTGTACATTAGAATCACCTGGGGAACATTTAAAACTCCTGACGCTGGGGCTGTGTACTTTTGACTAATTAAGTCAGAATCTCCAGGCATTAGCACATGTTAAAGCTTTCCAGGTGATTCTAATGTGCAGCTGAGTTTGAGAACCACCGTTGAGAGATCAGGCAAGGCCCAATCTCTTCACAGTGGAAGACCACCCCTCACCCAACTACCCACTTGTCAGGATCTAACTTGGGCTAGTCAGAGGCTCCAGAGTCAAATCCCCTCATCTCCTGCATGGATTTTTATATGCCTGGCTGCTGGTGTTGCGAGGGTGCAGTAGGAGAAGAAGAATGAAATCTCTTCATTTGGTATGTAGACTTTCACCTAATTTCAATAGGGTGTCTCAGGCCTGGCTTGGATTCCCAAGTCTTCTCTGATTTGGTTTCTCCACAGAATAAACCTCCAGTCTCCTGCCAGGATTGGAGAAAGGGCATCATCTGCGGTGTAGGTCAAGAAGGGAATCTGGGAGCCTTGCTGCTCCCATTTATTTAAGCTGCCTTGTTTGCAGCCCTTCTCTGCACCCCTGCTTTCCGAGTCCCAGGTTCTGCCATGTTCGGCAGAGTGAGTTACCTTCTTGCTGCCTTCTTCTACTGCAGGCTTGGGGTTCTGTTTCCCTTGGTTTGATAAACCAGTCAATGCACGTTCTTCTCTTTCCAGCTCCCAATATTTTTTTCGGTTGATTTTTTTTCTCAGTCGTCTCCATTTCCAATCCCTTAGAACTTGTGGTTTGCCTTCTTTCCCCCTTTACTATCACTTTAGTGGGATTTCATGAGACAGTGGAGATAAAAGTAAGTGTCTAATCTACCACATTTAACCAGAAATTTTCCAGAGCCTTTTTAAAAAATCAGAGTACTTAATAATGATGTTAAAAGAGAAACATTTGACAAATTACATTTAGTAGAGTTTAATTGGGCAAAAAATGAATCAGGCAGTTCTCAGCACCAAAACAGGTACAGAGAAACTGGGGCTCCCATGGAGTTTAATACTCTGGTCGAATAATACTTATGAACAGAAACAGAAATGCAATGTACAGAAAATGGAAGCGAGGTACAGAAACAACTGGACGGGTTACAGTCCAGTGCTTGCCTTATTTGAACATGAGCAGGTGGCTGCCTGCTACTGACTGAAGCATGGCTGCTGTGATTGGCTGAGACTCAGCTATCTGTTAGAAAAGCATACTCCTAAGCTGGGTTTTCAGTTTATTTACATACTAAGTTTGGTTGCAGTTATTATGTAAGGACTCAAGTATGCCAGTATGGTGGCTTTTCTCAGGCCAAATTTACTTTAACAATGGTAATCACTTTTAACTCAGTTACCTTCGCAGGAATGCAGAATGAGAGCTGTGTTGGTCTCTGGGATATAAGAGTATGATCACAGCAGATGATAATGGTTTTCCTGCTCCTATTTCACAATCTTAAGTCCTAAATAAAATGAAATTGGATTGCAGAACTCCAAATCTAGTACTTTTAGAACTGATTGCAAAGATGGTAGTATTTTGTTAGTAAGAGTTAAACCTGCCTCATTAATACTCGTGTGTTTTGTTCTCCCATAATGCTTCTAGTGGTAGCAATCCTACTGTGTTGTATTGACCAGAAAAAAAAAGAATATGTAACTTTCTGTCTTCTCATTAGGAAGTCATAGTAGACATGTCGTTTCCTGGATATCAGAAGCGTGTCTGTACTGGTTTACTCTCCATACTCTTCCCTTGGGTTTTTAACCTTACATTTGAAGCAAGGGAAAAGATGCTGGCCATTGCAGCCATGGTCTTCACACCGCAAAGCTACAGCAAAGCAGTGGATTAAGCACCTACCCCGGATGGAGACCACCTGGATTCTAGCCTGGGCATTGTCACTCTCTAACCTGATGACCCTGGGCAAGACAGGCCCCCTCTCTGGCCTTCTGGGTTTTGTAGAATAAAGGGGTGATTTGGCTAACTTCTCTGGATCTTTCTAGCTTGACAAACACTGTCTATACGAATTCTTACTGAAAATAAATGTCCCCAGAAGGATGTAGAGACATAATCTGCTTTTATGGAGAAATGACTCAGAAGGGCTGGACCTCGCTCTACCTTCACCACCTCTTTCACTGGAAGTACCTGAGGGCAGTGATCACTTCCGGCATTTCAATGCTTATATAGAATTGGCCCGAATATTGCTCCCTCTTCTCAGGTAACCCAGCCTGGGGCTAAAAGTATGTCTTTGTGCTTTTATGCCAGGTTCCAATCCCTGTCAGTTATGGTTTGTGGGTTGTTTTATTTCAAACAAAACAAATATAATTATTATATTTGGGCTTGAGGTCATCTGGGGGTTCTGAGATACTCCCCACTCATAACCAAGGCAAAGTCTGGAGCTAGAGGAAATAAACAGCCTTATAGACAAATCACATGAAGCTGTATAGATGAGCTGGAACCTGCCTGGTCCAGTTGGTTGTAATACACCAGGCATGCACTGTATGAAACAGGCCACTTGCAGGGTGTTATGTTGAATTATGTCCCCCAAAAAAGCAATCTTGAAATCCTAACCCCCAGTACCTCAGCCTGTGACCTTATTTGGAAATAGGCTAATTAGATGTAATTAATTATGATGAGGTCCTGCTGGAGTAGTGTGGACCTTTAATCCAATATGACTGGTGTCTTTATAAGAAGATGTTGAGAAAATACAAGAGGAGACTCTGTGAAGATGGAAGTGGAGACTGGAGTGATGTGGCTGCAAGCCAAGGAATACCAAGGACTGCTCGCCACCACCAGAAGCTAGGAAGAGGCAGGGGAGGAGTCTATCCAGAGTCTCGGAGGGAGCATGGCTGTGTGAACACCTTGATTTTCGAGACTTTTAGCCTCCAGAGCTGTGACAGAAAGTGTCCCTGTTGTCTTCAACTATCCAGTTTGGGTGGCTTACTTTATTATGGCAGCCATGAGAAACTAATACATAGCTAAGGTCAAGTTGCCTTTGGCCATCACTAGCTATCATCTAATTAAAAAGGCATCAAAGAAATGTTTAAACCTGGTAAGCTTTGAATATAATCAAATGATCATCAATATTTAAACCCTCAAGATAGCCAATGAGTGAAATGGAAAACTTTATACTTTCCAAGATGAATGCCTGCCATCGACCCATCTATATTTAAAACATTGGACTTTGCTTCTTGGGCCTTATTGACCTTCTGTCAACAAATAATTAAGTATTTATCCAGTGCCAAGAACTGTGCTAGGTGCTGGGGATACAGATATCAATAGGGAACAGTGTGCACCCCATTCCCTCCCAGAGTTCACGTTCTTGTAAGAAACACAGACATTAAATATACTATTTCAAATAATAAATTGAAAGATTCCATCCACGGAAAGGACCACAGTAGACAAGTTCAAGATGCCATGTCAGCATGTAATGGGAAATCTGACTGGCAGTGTGAATGTTAACCCCTGCTTTCCAGAAAGCCTCACTAAACCAGCCTGATTTGTAGTCTTTGCTCAAATACTCCCACCATGGCTGATGTCAAGCTCTCCTGCCACCACAGCAGGGTTAGCTAGCACAAGATGCACACACAGTAGCAGGCCACTCTGTTCTATTTCCACCACACATTCCGTTCTATTTCTATTGTGACCTCAGGAGCACAAATGTAGAATATAATAAAATAATTAGAACATGAAAAGTTTTAAGTGTTTCTCGCATTTGTTTTTATTATAACTTAATTGTAAATGTATACCACTTAATTTATAATAATGGCGGTGTTTAACAATCGGCTTGCAAAATTCTACCTTTCGCAAGCTGGGAATAAGTTTGGAGCAGAGGGTTAAGGAAGGCTTTCCCGTGGAAGTGACACTTAAAATGACGAATGAATTAGAATTAGCAAAGTACAGAAGAGGGGAGGATGACCATTCCAGGCAGGAACCATGGCAAGTGAGGTCTTGGGATTTAAGAGAGCCTGTTATACTTGAGAAACCGATGGCAAAGAAGGCGAGGAAAAATATGGAAAAATGAGGCCAAAAGAAGGACAGGGACCAAATCATGCATAGCCTTGTAGTCCATAGAGAGGATTTTGAACTTTATCTTAAATACAATGGGAAACTATTGAAGGTGTTAAGCAAGGGAGTCATGATCAGATTGAGGTATTTGAAATATCCTTATGCTCTGTGCATGGAATAAAACACTCAAGAATGGATGTAAGACACATAGAGCACAAGCATCAGAAGAAAAAGTGGATGAATTGGACTTCAACAAAGTGAAAAACTTTTATACATTGTTGGGGTTCAGAAACCGATACCCCAAAGTATGGCGCTTTGACATGCTGAACTGAGCAAGAAGCCTCAAGGTCTCTCTGACCCTCCCCCTGCCTCTTACCTCTCAATCTTTTATCTCTCCCTAAGCTCAGGATGAAGTTCTCTAAGTTCTCAAATCTGCCTAAAGTCTGGACTCACCAAAGAAGAAAGCAATTGCCCTTTCGTCCGGGCCACCAACGTGCCATCCAGACTGAGGAAGACCCGGAAACTTCAGGGCCACGTGATCCACAGCCATGACCCTATAAGGGAAGCACCAGAAGCACCCTGGAGGCCACGGTAATGCTGGTGGCACACATCACCACAGGACCAGCTTCAACAAATACCACCCAGGCTACTTTGGGAAAGTTGGTAGGACGCATTACCACTTAAAGAGGAACCAGAGCTTCTGCCCAACTGTCAACCTTGACAAACTGTGGACTTTGGTCAGCGAGCAGACATGGGCAAATGCTGCTGAAAACAAGACTGGGGCTGCTCCCATCATTGATGTGGCGCTATTGGGCTACTACAAAGTTCTGGGAAAGGGAAAGCTCCCAAAGCAACCTGTCATCATGAAGGCCAAATTCTTCAGCAGAAGAGCTGAGGAGAAGATGAAGGGAGTCGCAGGGGATCTGCGTCCTGGTGGCTTGAAGCCACATGGAGGGAGGTTCATTAAATGCTAACTACTTTTTTTTTTTTTAAAAAAAAAAAAAAAAAAAGAAAGCAATTACCTCTGGTCCCTTCCTTGGGTTTTCATTAACTGAACTCATATTGCAGAAAGACTGAAATCTGTTAACACACCTGGACAGACTTTTGTCAAGAACCATCGTCGGCTCTGTGGGTTCAACAGACTTTGTCCTTCAAACAGACTTTGTTCTTCAAGCCCCCTGAATTCCCCTAAAAATCATTTACTATCCCTGCTAAAATTATCCACAATGCTTTGTCTCCCTTCCCCCACTAAGAAGGGAATGTAACTATCTGTGCCCCATTGTGGGGTTGAGCAATCATTCTATGGTTTTTTTCCCACACAGGCTAGTAAGTTTGCATATCATTTTCCCCTATTAATCTGCCTTTTTTCAGGTGATTTTTCAGCAGAACTTCAGAGGGCAAAGGGGAAGTTTTCCTTTGGCCCCTGTAGCATCAAAGGATACTACCAAGAGACTGAAAAGACAATTCACAGAATGGAGAAAATATTCACCAAATCACACATCTGATAAGGGTCTAGTATCCAGAATATATAAAGGATGCTTACAACTAAAACCCAAACAATTCCATTTTAAATGTGCAGGTGGAGTCTGGATGCAGTGGCTCACACCTGTAATCCTCAGCCTTGGGAGGCTGAGGTGGTTGGATCACTTGAGGTCAGGAGTTCAAGACCAGCCTGGCCAACATGGTAAAACCCCATCTCTACTAAAAATACAAAAATTAGCCAGGCATGGTGGCACACGCCTGTAATCACAGCTACTTGGGAGGCTGAGGCAGGAGAATTGCTTGAACCCAGGAGGTGGAGGTTGCAGTGAGCCAAGATCATGCCACTGCACTCCAGCCTGGGTGACAGAGTGAGATGCCATTTAAAAAAAAATAAATAAAATGTGCAGCTGGGTGTGGTGGCTCATACCTGCAATCCCAGCATTTTGGGAGGCTGAGGCAGGAGGATTATTGAGGCCAGGAGTTCAAGACAGGCCTAGGCAACAGAGTTAGACACTGTCTCTACAAAAAATTTAAAAATTAGCTGGGCATGGTGGCATTCACTTGTAGCCCTACCTACTTGGGAGACTGAGGCAGGAGGATCGCTCGAGCCCAGGAGGTTGAGGCTGCAGTGAGCTATGATCACAGCACTACACTCCAGCCTGGGTGACAGAGCAAGGCTGTGTCTCAAAAAATAAATAAATAAATAAAAATGGACAAAGGACTTGAATAGACTTTTCTCCAAAGAAGAAATGTATACGATGGCCAACAAAGCACATGATAAGATGCTCAACATCATGAGTCAGTAGGGAAATATAACTTAGAACCACAGTGAGATACCACTTCATGCCCACTAGGGTGACTATAATTAAAAACAATACCAGAAAATAATAAGTGTAGTGAGGATGCAGAAAAATTGGAACCCTCATATTTTGCTGGTGGAAATGTAAAATCAGGTAGCTGCTGTGGAAAATTGTTTATTGTTCTTCAGTAAGTTAAACACAGATTACCATATGATCCAGCAATTCCTCTCAAGTATGTAACCCTGAAAATTTAAAGGAGATGGTCAAACAAAAACTTAAACACAAATGCTCATAGCAGCATTATTCACAATAGCTAAAAGATAGAAACAACCCAAATGTCCCTCAACTGATGAATGCATAAGCAAAATGTGGTATATCCATACAATGGAATATTATTTGGCCACAAAAAGGAATAGTACTGATACATGCTACAACATGGATGAACCTTGCAAACATTATCCTGAATGAAAGAAGTCAGACACAGACGCCACATATTATATGGTTTCATTTTTATGAAATATCCAGAATAGGCAAATCCACAGAAACACAAAGCAAATTAGTGCCTGGAGCTGGAGGAAGGGAGGAATAGGAAGTGCTGCTTAATGAATATGGGACTTTCTTTTGGGGTGATGAAAAGATTCTAGAACTAGATTATGGTGATGTTTGCACAACATTGTGAATGTGTCAAACCCCACTGAACTGTATACTTTAAAATGGTTAAAATGGCCAAGTGTGGCAGCTCATGCCTGTAATCCCATCTCTACAAAAAAAAAAAAAAAACAAAATAAAAATTAAAGAGATTGGGAGGCTGAGGCAGGAGAATGGCTTGAACCTGGGAGGCAGAGGCTGCAGTGAGCTGAGATTGTGCCACTGCACTCCAGCCTGAGCGACAGAGCAAGACTCTGTCTCAAAAAAAAAAAAAAATTAGATGGTTGAAATGGTAAATTGTTTATGTATTGTGCCACAATTTTTTAAAAAATGAATGCAAGGAGTCTGCGAGGAGAAGGGTCGGTCAATGACATCCGCCAAGCTTCTGACAATAGCAACACATGGGTGGCAATGATATTTATCAAAATTGGAAATTCCAAAGGTAGAAATGGAAAGACCTAGAGTTCCTTTTTGGGCATGTCGTGACTGAAATGCCTGAGAAACATCTTAGTAGAATTTCAGGAGGCAGTCTGCTACCTGCTGTGTCTTCCTCATGCTTGTGACCTCATATTTCCAGGTGGCTGCTGCGTCTCCAGGCTTCCTGTCCCTGTGCCATCAGAAAAGAAGGTGTGAGGGAGGAGTGCAGGAGGGCAAGAGAAAAATGTCTTCCCAGAAACTCAGCGTATGTCTCAGTGGTCAGGTGAGTGTCCCCTGGCCACCCTTTGCTGCAGGGAATGGGGTGGGGGAATAATTTTACTC
Organism: Homo sapiens; assembly: GCF_000001405.40. Taxonomy (NCBI): domain Eukaryota; kingdom Metazoa; phylum Chordata; class Mammalia; order Primates; family Hominidae; genus Homo; species Homo sapiens. Next base: position 74,987,441 of record NC_000005.10, on the reverse strand, counting down.
AGCACCATCCAAGGTAAATACAGCTGGACACTAAAGTGGTAAGGACGGCTTTTAGCCCATAATACACAATTGTAGTAGGGAAGAGGGTCCAGTGTGAACTGAACTCAACTCTGATTTGCACAGAAGTGAGTGGGTATTTTAAAGGGAGAATGGTCCTGGTGCTGTGGCTCACACCTGTAATCCCAGCACTTTGGGAGGTGGAGGCAGGAGGAGTTGAGACCTTGTCACAAAAAAAAAAAAAAAAAAAAAATAGCCAGGTGTGGTGGCACATGGCTGTGGGCAACAAAACGAGACCCTGTCTCGATAAAAAATAAAGGGAGAGTGAGGCAGCAGGGAGGGGTTGAGTGGGGCTCAGTAGAGTTAGGGTGAAAAATTACAAGGGTTGGTCAGTGTAAATGCCCATGAGGCAGCTGCATCTGCCAGCTGGCATTTATTGAAGTTAGGATTCCACATAGGCTGGGAGACAGAGGCCCCTTCCTTCCTGATGATTATCATTGTAAAGGAATTACCTTCACATGCTTGAGTAAGATACCCCTGAGTTGTAGGTGATACCTAGATATCTCAAAGGGGCAGCAAGAGGATCCTCAATTGTAAGCCCTTTATAGTAAATGCTCTGAAAGTGGTGGGGCTTATCCTCAGGGGTTGGCTAAAAACAAATAGTGAATTCTCCTCGAAGCCTTTGCTTTTCTCAGGCAGGTACTTTAAAGGGGCACTTTAACGACACTGGAAACGACCCTAGTGTCTGGTCAAGTCTCTTAATATGGAGGGTATGCTCCATTCTCCATAATGGGATTATTACGCATTGTATGCCTGTATCAAAATATCTCATGTACCCCATAATATACATACCTACTATGTACCATAGTAAGTGCATAAGTATATGCACCTACTATGAATTAAACATAAAAATACATAGTAAAATCCTTGCAGTCAAAGATTTTTTAAAAATACATGGGCCGGGCGCAGTGGCTCATGCCTGTAATCCCAGCACTTTGAGAGGCCAAGGCGGGCAAATCACAAGACCATCGTGATCCAGGAGCCAGACTATCCCGCTAACACAGTGAAACCCTGTCTCTACTAAAAATACAAAAACAAAATTAGCCGGGCATGGTGGTGGGCGCCTGTAGTCCCAGCTACTTGGAAGTCTGAGGCGGGAGAATGGCATGAACCCAGGAGGCGGAGCTTGCATTGAGCCGAAATTGCACCACTGCTCTCCAGCCTGGGCGGCAGAGCGAAACTCTGTCTAAAAAAAAAAAACAAAAAAACCATATATATATATATGGAGGGTTATCCAGGTGCAGTGGCTCACACCTGTAATCCCAGCACTTTGGGAGGCTGAGGTGGACAGATTGCTTTGAGCTCAGGAGTTTGAGACCAACCAGGCAACATGGCGAAACCCTGTCTCTCAAAAAAATATAAAAATTATCTGGGTGTTGGTGGCTTATGCCTGTATTCCCAGCTTCTCGGGAGGCTGAGGCTGGAGGATCACTTGAGCCTGGGAAGCAGAGGTTGCAGTGAGCCAAGATTGAGCATCTGTGTTCCAGCCTAGATGACAGAGTGAGACCCTGTCTCAAATATATATATATGCATATATACGGAGGGTAAAGGGTGGAAATCATTTGTGCCAAGAGTCTGTCATTCTTATAGGCCAAGGTTGAGGCCTAACCAAGAAGAGGGCTCAGAGGGGCCTGGCTAGAGTTTGGCCAGGGAGAGGATTTTTGTCAGGTTGTGCCACTCCTAAACAAAACTGTGTTTCTGCTTGGTGAAGAAGAAGCTGGAATGGATTTCAGAGAGGCAAATATCAGCGTCTTTCTTACCATGTAATTAATGTCGTGAACAATTTCAGCAGAATTTGGTCAGGAAGCCTTGAAAATAATATCAGGTGGAGACTGAATATCTTCTTAACTTGTCTGAGGCTGAGTGATTTCAATTCCTTTCATCTTTCCTTATCGTTTGTTCATATTTGTCAAAAATGTAGTCATTTCAATAACTTTTCCCCAAGTCACTTTGACTTTCCAACATCCCCTGTGAGCTCAGATTTGGAGTCACCTTTCTTATAAAGGAAGGATAGCAAGGTATGTGTGTAAGGTTGTATAAGGTATGTGTATTGGTGCTGTGCTCTAGGAAAGCAAAGTAAAATAACCACACAGGTGAGAGACTGAGAAAGACAAGAAACACCTGAGTGATGCAGTCCCTTTAAAATTACCAGGCCCAGCAAAGCATAGGAATGAGGCATCAGTCTTGCCGCACTTCCCCACCTTGAGCTGAATAATCATCTCTTGAAACTGCCTGCTGTATGGACTCTAAACTGAGTGTTGCCACCTAGCAATGCCACACTCTGAACGCCATAACTCATACCCCATAGTTTAACAACGTATATAGCCAATACTGATGAATGTTATTTCTGGGAACCAATGAAAATTCTGAAAAACAACGTTTGTAATCACCTCCTCTCCTGATTTGTCCTTTTTTCTTTAAAAACTCATGCCTGCCCTTTGTTCTCTGGAGCACTCCCCAAAGCAACTTGGAAGAGTTTCTCAGTTGGCAGTCCCCACCGTTGGCCCAAATAAACTCTCTACCTATATTAATTTTCCTCAGTTTCTTTCTTTAGGTCGATGCTGTGTTCTGACAAAGATTCTTTGCTTGGCCAAATTTTAGGCTCCTAAACCTTTTAGAACCTATCAGCGCACTTCCTTGGGAAATCCAGTTTTAGCAAAGAGCCCAGCTAAGTCAGTTTCACAAGAATCCCCCCCAAACATCCACCCTTGATATCTGATCCCCGTTGATATCTAATGAGGTTCCTCGTCCTCCACCATCCCCCAGGTGAGGTCTGATCACCCTGGCCTGTCTTCAGCAAGAATCCTGTTAGGCCTGTCTAGTCAGAATCCCCCTTACCCCTGATGTTCCCTCTTAGTAGTTTTCCATCCACTGGTCCCCACCCTCCTCCTTGGCTATAAATTTCCACTTGCTCATGCAGTATTCACAGTTGAACTCAATCTTCCTCCCCCACTCCAAAACCTCATTGCAGTTGTCACTGTACCTATAGCGAGGGCCTCAATAAAGTCTTCCTTACTGTGCTTTAATAAGAAGGATTGAATAATCTTTTCTTTAGCAGTTCCTAACTTTTGTTTGACACGTAGGATATTAATAGCATGTGGAACCAGGAAAATTTCAGTTACCCATGACTTGGTGATAATAACGTTCTTATTCTATCCCAGCTAGAATTTTCATTGTTTGGCCTCTGCTCAAAGATGGGAACATTTAAGGAATAAAACAACCTTTCAGCTCTTCATGTGTAAGCCTAACCTAAACCAAATTTAGTTTTCAGTTATAAAAAAAGACATGCCATTTAAAAAATGTCAACCAACACAAAATGACTGAATTTTTACACTTCACTTTTAAAATGTGAATACCCTTAGAAACATCAGGATTGCTATTCCAGGCACACACACATAGAGGAGTGTTTATTTCACGAAGGCAGGTGTTGACTACTAGAAATAAGTCATATATTTGAGAATCATTAGGGCAAGTAGTGTCTCAAGAGGCCTGTGTTTAATGTTGGCTTTGTGACTAAGAGAAAATATCCCTTTCTCATCTGCACCCCAAAGCTCTGTTGCCTCATTTATAAAACATACAATGATTCCTCTAGGTAATTCTACTTGTGAGCATTAAATTCCACCCTGTATTTTTTTCTCTTTGCTGTTTTAAGGAAATAAAATTTAGAAATTAAAAATTGAAAAGGCAGACTGCGATATGGTGCACTGGAAAGAGCCCAGCTTTTGGAGTCAGGACACCGGGACACTGCGGCTCTCATCCTGCAGCTCCTAATAGATCTGCTGTGTCAGTCTGGGCAAGTCCCTCCAAGCTTCTGAATTTCTGTTTCCTTATCTGTAAAGAAAAGTTGGGGGGGATGGCAGTGGAGTGGGGCAGGCAGGATAGGCTTTGAATGGCTGATCCCCAAGATCTCTTCAAGCTTGAATATTCTGTGACTTTTATTATATAAGCCAAGGTGTTGTGTAGTTGCAGTGGTAAGTTATGCTTCCAGCTGCAAGTAACAGGAAAACTGACTTACTATGGCTTCATTTTTTTTTTTTTTTTTCATAATCAAAAGATTTAGAGATAGGCAGTCCATTGGTTAAGTGGCTCAACAATGTCAGGGATAGCAATCTTTTTTTTTTTCCTTCTTTTAAAAATAGCTTTAAAGAGGTATACTTGATATGGAATAAATGCCACATAAAGGGTGCAATTTGATAATTTGACATTTGTATATGCCCATGAAACCAACCCAACCATCAAGATAGTGAACATGTCTATCACCCCCAAAAGTTTCTTGGTTCCCCTTTATAATCTCTCCCTCCTGTCTCTTCCTGTACTCCTCAGGTGACCATGGACCTGCTTTCTGTCACTGTAGCCTGATTCGAATTTTCTAGAATTTTCTATAGAGTAGTATGTACTCTTTTCTGTCTGGCTTCTTTCACTCAGCATAATTATTTTTAGATTGATCCATGTTGTAGTGTGTATCTATAGTTTCTTTCTTTTTATTACTAAAGAGTATTTCATTTATGGATATATTATGTTTTGTTTATCCATAAATGTTGCCCACTTATTGAAGGGCATTTAGGTTGTTTCCAGTTTTTGATTATTACAAATAAAGCTACTAAGAACATTTGTGTAAAAGTCTATGTATGGCCGTGCACAGTGGTTCATGCCTATAATCTCAGCTCTTTGGGAGGCCAAGCTGGGTGGATCACTTGAGATCAGGAGTTTGAGACCAACCTGGCCAACATGACGAAACCCCATCTCTGCTAAAAAATACAATTATTAGCTGGGCATGGTTGCAGGCAACTGTAGTCCTAGCTACTCAGGAGGCTGAGGCAGGAGAACAGCTTGAACCTGGGAGGTGGAGGTTGCAGTGAGCCGAGATCCTGCCAGTCATTCCAGCCTGGGTGACAAAGCGAGACTCTGTCTCCAAATAAACAACGACAAAAAAATGGTATGTATGAACTACATTTTCTTTCCTCTTGGGTAAATATCTAGGAGTAGGATGGCTGGGTCGTATGGTAAATAAATATTGAATTTGTTTTAATAAAACCCCAAATGTTTTCAGTGTGGTTCTACCACGTTACTTCCCTACCAGCAGTGTATGAGAGTTCCAGTTCTTGTACCTCCTTGCCAGCACTTGGTATGGTGGTTAAAAAAGAAAGCTTTTAGCCATTCTAAAAGTTGTATAGTGTATCTCATCATGGATTTTTGTTTTTGTTTTTGTTGTTGTTGTTGTTTTGGTTTTGGTTTTGGGTTGTTTTGAGACAGAGTCTTGCTCTGTCGCCCATGCTGGAGTGCAGTGGTGTGATCTCTGCTCACTGCAACCTCCGACTGCTGGGTTCAAGAGATTCTCCTGCCTCAGCCTCCCAAGTAGCTGGGACTACAGGCATACACCATCATTCCTGGCTACGTTTTGTATTTTTAGTAGAGACGGGGTTTCACCATGTTGACCAGGCTGGCCTTGAACTGCCAACCTCATGTGATCCGCCCACCTCTGCCTCCCAAAGTGCTGGGATTACAAGGCATAAGCCACTGTGCCCAGCGCATTGTGCTTTTAATTTGCATTTCCTTAATGCTGTTGAGATTCTCTTTATGTGCTTATTTTCAATACATTTTCTTGGTAAGATGACTGTCCAAAATTTTCCCCACTTCTTTATTGAGTTGTTTGTTTTCCTGTTATCAGGTTTTCAGAGTTATATATTATTTTTACCAGATGTATGACTTGCAAATATTATCTCCCAGTATGAGGCTTATCTATTCATTCTCTTGACTGTGTCTTTCAAAAACACAGTTTTTAATTTCGATAAAATTCAGTGTATCAATTATTTCTTTTATGCATCATGCTTTTAGAGATATATCTAAGAAATCTTTGTGACCCAGAGTTACAAATGTTTTCTATATGTTCTAGAATTTTGTAGTTTTAGATTTTACATTTATATCTATGATCCATTTTGAATTAAATTTCGTAGATGGTGTGAGGTATGGACCAGACTTCACTTTTTTTTTTCTACATGGATATTCAATCTATCATTCTAGCATCTAGTTTGTTTAGAAAACTATCTTCCTCCACTGACTTGCTTTTGCAATTTTATGAAAGATCAGTTGTCAATATATGTGTGAGTTTATTTCTGGTCTCTCTGTTCTATTTATTTGTCTAGCTTTGTCAGTATTATCCTGTCTTGGTTATTGTAGCTTTATCATAAGTCTTGAAATCCAGTAATGTAAGTCCTACATTATTTTTTTCCTAAAGATGGCTAGCTATTCTTGGTCCTTCGCGTTACAATATGAATTTTTAAATTAACTTGTCAATTTCCACAAAAAAAAAAGCCTCTTGGGATTTTGGTTTGGATTGTATCAAATCTATAGACTGGGGAGGAATGACATTGTAACAATATTAAGTTTTTAGATTCATGAAAACATTTTACCTGTTCATTTATGTTTTTAAATTTTCTTGCAATAATGTTTACAATATACAGACATTAAAGTTTTTTTGTTAGATTTATACTTAGGTATTTCAGGTATTTTATGCTATTGTAATTTGTATTTTTTAATGTCAATACCTGATAGTTCTGTGCTAGTGAATAGGAATACAATTGATTTTTTAATGTTGTACAAACATCCTACAACATTGCCAAACTAACTTATTCATTATAATAGCTTTTTTTGGAGATTCCACTGGATTTTCTGCAGTTTATGCTGTCTATGAATAGACAATTATCTTTCTTTCTTGCCAATCTGGATGCTTCGTATTTCTTTTTCTTCCCTGATTGCCCTAACTAGCACCTCAAGGACAATATTGAGTAGAAGTGTTGAGCAGTCATCCTTGTCTTGTTCCTGAACTTAGAAGGAAAGCATTCAGTCTTTCATCATAAGGTATGTTGTAAACTACATTTTAGTAAACGCCTTTTATCAGGTTATGGAAGAGTCTTCCTATTTCCAGTTTGCTAAGAGTTAGGATCAGGATTAATGCTGAATTTGTTGAGTGCTTTTTCTGCATCTATTGAGATGATCATATGGAGTTGGTTTTTACTTTATGTGGAGAAATACATTGATAGATTTTTCAATGTTAAACCAACTTTGTATTCCTATTATCTGTTCAGAATTTTTGCATCTATATTAATATGGGACATTAGGCTATAGGTTTCTTATAATATTTTGGTTTAATTTTCGTATGAGTAATAGTGGCCTTGTAGAATGAGCTGGGAAGTATTTTCCTCATTTTCAATTTCTTAGGAAGAGATTCTATAGTATTAGTATTATTTCTTCCTTAAATGTTTGGTAGATTTTATGAGTGAAGCCATCTGGACCTTGAGTTTTATTTATTGGAACACATTTAATGACAAATTCAATTTCGTCAATCAATATAAGGCTATTCAGGTTGTCTGTGTCTTTCTGAGTAAACTTTGGCAATTTGTATAATTCAAGGTATTTTTTTCCATTTCATCTCAGCTATCAATTTTATTGGCATACAATTATTCATAATATTCCATTATCCTTTTAATATTTGTAGAATCCATATCCTTTTAAAATTTGTAGAATCTACATGTAGAATCACGTAGAAATGATATCACCTGTATAATTTCTGACATTGGCAATTTATATCTCCTTCCTGCCTTCTTGCCTTCCTTCCTTCCTTCTTCCTTCTTTCTTTTTTTTTGAGATGGAGTCTTGCTCTGTCACCCAGGCTGGAGTGCAATGGTGCGATCTCGGCTCACTGCAAGCTCCGTCTCGCAGGTTCAAGTGATTCTCCTGCCTTAGCCTCCTGAGTAGCTGGGATTACAGGTACACACCACCACACCCAGCTAATTTTTATATTTTTAGTAGAGATGGGGTTTCACTATGTTGGCCAGGCTGGTGTCAAACTCCTGATCTCAGATGATCTTCCCACCTTGGCCTTCCAAAGTGCTGGGATTACAGGCGTGAGCCACTGCGCCCGGCCTCTTCTTTTTTTGTTTGTTTGTTTTTTTGTTTTTGAGACAGGGTCTCACTCTGTCACCCAGGATGGAGTGCAGTGGCATGATCACAACTCACTGCAACCTTGACCTCCTGGGCTCAAGAGATCCTCCCACCTCTCAGCCTCCTGAACAGCTGGGACTACAGGCACATGCCACCATGCCTGGCTAATTTTTTGTATTTTTTGTAGAGATGGGGTTTTGCCATGTTGCCTAGGCTGGTCTGGAACTCCTGGGCTCAAGCAGTCTGCTCACCTCAGCCTCCCAAAGTGCTGGGCTACAGGCATGAGCCACTACGCCCAGCATGTTTTTTTTTTTTTTCCTGATAAGTTTTTTCAATTATATTGATCTTCCAAAAAGCTGTTTTTTTGTTTCATTGATCTTCTCTATTTTTCTTCTGTTTTCTACTTTATTGACTTCTACTGTAGGGGCCAAGGGAAAACTCCCCCTTGTTTTAGTTTCCCCTTCATCCTCTGAAGGTTCACTGAAAATCAACTGACAAAAGGCACATTAATGGGAGAAAAACCATACAGATTTATTAACGTATACAGTAGTCATACAAATATAAGAACTCAGATGGCCAGATGGTTGGCACTTCTATACCATCTTGAGATTACAAAAAGAATAGGGGCTTAAAGCATGGCAAAACAGGTTATGGTGGCCAGACAGGTTACAGGAGAGAGAAGAGGAAAGCCCTGGCTAGCAAGGGCAGTCTTGCTAGGCAGATGAAACCTCAGAGATAGCAGCCCTCACAAAGAAGAGATGGTAGCCAGTGGGAAATGTTCCCATCAGACTTTTAAAGGTTTCAGACTCTCATTAATATTTCCTAGATCTGGACAAGGGGCCTTCAGAGAAAGCCTGTTTGCATCTGTCATTTACTTCCTCTACAAATGCAAATCACCCCCAACAAAAGATAGCTCCACAGGGCTACTTCTGCTTGCAGGCCCTCAGACCAGCCATTTCAAAATATGTTGAAGTCTATTTTGGGGTAAAATATTTTGGTTTCTTTCACTAATCTGATCTTTATTATTTCCTTTCGTTTGCTGACTTTGGGTTTTATTGGCTTTTTTTCTGTGTTTTGTTTTGTTTTGTTTTTGAGACAGAGTCTTGCTCTGTCTCCCAGGCTGGAGTGCAGTGGCATGGTCTCGGCTCACTGCAACCTCCACCCCCTGGGTTCAAGCAACTCTCCTGCCTCAGCCTCCAGAGTAGCTGGGATTACAGGGTGGCGTGCACCATGCCTGGCTAATTTTTGTGTTTTTACTAGAGATGCAGTTTTGCCAAGTTGGCCAGGCTTGTCTCGAACTCCTGGCCTCAAGCAATCCACCCATCTTGGCCTCCGAAAGTGCTGGGATTACAGGCGTGAGCCACCACGCCCAGCCTTTTTTGTTGTTGTTTTGTTTTGTTTTAAGATGGATGTTAAGACCATTGATTTGAGACCATTGATTTTAAGATTTTTCTTCTTTGCTAATATAGATGTTTAGTGCTATGGTTTTCCCCTTAAGCACTGTTTAAGTGGCATTTCATAAAATGTATTATGTTTTTTCCTTCTTACTTTTTTTTTAAGTTCAAACCACTCTGTAATTTTCCTTTTGATTTCTTTGATCATAGTTAGTTTCCAAATATTTGGAGATTTTTCAGAGATCTTTCTGTTATTAATTTTTATTTTAATTCCATTGTGGTCAGGCAACATCCCATAATCTGTTTGGGTGGTTTCCTTCCTGGTCTTAGGTGGTTTCCTCACATGCATGTGGTGATCAGTACTTGGCTGAAGCTCAAGGAGGGCCCTCTGCAGATCTCTGGATTGCTGGCTGTGCACAGCAATCTCTTCTGTGGTACTCTGGCCTGCAAGATTTATCGGCGTTGTTCTTGGTGGCTTGGCTCTATCGTCTCAACTTAGTCTGCTGGCCTCTGCCTGGATTCCGCCTCCTCCATAGCCTGAAAACTCTTTCAAGGCGGTAATCCAGGGCAATCATAGCGCTCACCTTCCCCACCCCCACACCCCAGCCCTTTTGTATCTCTATTCTTCTTGTCTGATGTCCCAATGTCTTAAAAAATCTGTCATTTCATATATTCTGTCATCTTTTATGTTCACTTCAAGCAGAAGGGTAAATCTAGTCTCACTTTGGCCAGAAAAAGAAGTCCCTGAGTGGGCTAGCATCTTAATCCTTCTCTTGAAACTTTCCCTCATGCTTAGGGCCTAATAATCCCAAAATGGCTGTTCTATCACTAAGCATTATATTTACATTTAATGCAGATTTAATGCTAATCATGCTTGTCCATGTCATTATAAATGCAAAATCTTTTCCAAAAAGTTACCCAACAAACTTACTTAAATAGCTCATTGGCCACAATGAGGTTACCTGGCCATCCTTATCTGCAAGGAAGTCTGGGAAAACAGGAAACAGTGTTGTCATGATTGGTTTATGTTTAAGTGTGATTTAGCGCTGACATATTGCCATCCCAAAAGAACTAGAGAAGGAGGGGGTGGGGGATAGAGGATACTGGAGCTCTGTAACTGAGGCAACCAACCGGGTCATCTTCACAAAGTAAGGCCAGCTTATCTCTCCAGTTGGGTCTTTTTGCCTTGGATACAGTCCACCCAGGCTTTTCTGACAATTGGCTGCTTTCCAACCTTTCTATATTTGATAAGGGTTTCTGTGTCCTGAAGGCTGGGGATAACATTCTAACACCCTCTAGAAGTTACTTCTCACCTTTGGGGAGATCTTTGAATCTCTAAAATATCAGACCAAAAAGAAATCATCAATTAAACTACTAATCGTTTCAGCCTCTGTATTTAAATTTTCTGTTATTTGCTTTTAACTAAAGTTAAAAGAGCAAGTGGACATAGAATCCAAGTGAATTCTACTCCACTAACTTTAAAGGTCAACTCAGTAAAGTACATCTAAGGGTCCATTGCTTTATTTATTCTGCCTCGTTCACTCAGAGGTGATCGGAGAAAATAAAGATCCAGTTGTTTCTAGCATTCTCCCTAGCAGTTATGGCCGAGAAGTGTGAAGTTTCACGTAGATTGATGGAGCAGTTCAAAAACTGCAAGCCTAACTTCTAGACCCAAGGAGGCATTTTCTTTGGCCAGGGAAAGATCATTCTGTGCAAATGGTTGGAGTTTAAGTTTGGGTCACTGGCAGAGTCTCTAGGCACTTAGGTGTTAACTTTACAGTAGAGGAAAAAGCAATTATTTTTACACCAGCATTTTAAGTCCTAAGATTAACTTTAGAAGTGTCAGGAAAAGGGGAAAGTAGTTCTTATCTTCACCTAGTAAAGACAAACGACCTACTTTTTAATTTAGTCATGTAAAAATACATTATGTGAAGAAAATCAAATATTCTCTCTTCCCTGGATACTGAGACTAATTCTCCATGAGACTTTATTTGTTTCATGAAACAATTGAATAAATTCTCAGAAGAATGAACTGCTAAGGCAAATGTGGCTTGAGAAAGATTCTTGAGGAAGAAAAATCTTAAGGTTTAGGTGATTAGAGAGTCTAAAGATGGGTTGGCTGTGGAAGAGTATTAGAGGAGAGAGGACTAGCTTGTAAGATAGTATCTGGCTGGAAGAGAGGTAGGATGAGATCCGAGAAGAATTGACAGGCACTCCATTGGGCATTTCTTATGTTAGTAAGAATGGGCTAAGTTATGCTGCAGTAACAAACAAGCCCCAGATCTCAAAGGTTTAACACAATAAAAGTTTATTTTCATCTCAGGCAATGTCTTTTGCGGGTCAAGGCAACTCTCTAGGGCAGTTGTCCTCTGTGTGGTACCCGAGTTATCCAGGCTGCTTCAATCTTTTGGGTCTTCCATCTCAGCATACAATCTTCTCCATGGTTGCCTAAGTTGGGGAAGAAAGAGTTGGGCGAATCACACTGTCTCACCTGGAAATGATGTGTATCATTACACTGGCCATGATAACTAGTTACATGGCCCTATCCAACTGCAAAGAAACTGAGAAGTACAGTCTTCCATATGCCTAGGATAGGAGAAGGAACAGATATTGGTAAATATAGTGATATTGAACATACTACTTTAATTCACAAGTCTTGTCTTAAAGAAGAATTCTGTACCAAGTTCTCCCTGAGTTCAGAATGTCTTTCCAGAAGGGGTTCGGGGCAATCTTGTGGCTAAAAGAGGTGTGAAAGGGACTTATTTTTAAGCTGCATTTACATATCAAGAAATAAGTCTTTATTTAGATTGAATGTTTATTTCAGGCAGCTTTAGGGGATGCTAATGAAGGCTATGTAGAAGTGAGCAAAATCCTCCAATCCCACCTCCCTCCCCTTCCCTACCTTGGCACTTACAGTGTCAGAGTTTCTTTATAAGTGCTGTAAGTGTGATACAGTGAGCAATTGCACATTTGGTACCAGCCAAAACCCCAAATGGGCAGGCCACCAATGGGCTACTGGTGGCAGGGAGGCCTGGGAAGCAGTGGCAGGCTCCCTACAACGTGGTACCTCAGTCTGTGCTGATATCTTGTTCCAATCTGTTTCCTGTAAACATCAGCAGCTTTCACACCTTGCATCACAGTAACGTGTCTTCTCAGAAAAAGCAAGCAGAAAAGCAAAATCAGTAAGATTATTGCTGCAACTCTTGGACTACAAATGTGTCTCCTATTATGATTAAGACTGTGCATTTGTGTCTGAAAGAACAAGAAAGTGAAGAGTAAATATGCATGCAGTTTTATCAGTGGGAACGTGTCTGCTAAGCATTTACCTCAAATGAGCTGAGAGGAGGGCAGACAGGAAGACATGCAGTCAAATGATTCACATCCCTTTGACACTAGAAGTTTCTGATCAGTCTAGGGAATCAGAAATCATACTCTATAAGGGACAGAGATTGTGAGAGTTTTATCATCTAAAACAGTCACATTGACCCTTCAGGTGGCATTGACAGTCATTTTCCAATCTGCCAAATATGGTAACCCGATGCAGGCATTGTGCTTTGTGTCATCTCAAGGCTCAGTCTGTGTTGCACACCAAACTGTAGTATTTTATGAGTCTGTCTAATGGAAACTAACAGCAAGTACATTTGTCTTTAGTGGTCCCAATGGCAGTCCCCAGATGTGCAGAGCGTTCCTCCCGCTCTCTGCTAACTCGGGACACCTCTGGTTATGATGCCCAATCTTGAGAATTCCTCTCTAAATCATCCTGTCTTTGTTTTATTCCCTTAGCTGATTATTCTGAAAACTATTGTGGTTAGTAGATAATAATTAATAAGTTTTCTGTCTTATCAATTAATTATTCAAATCAATTTATTATAATTCTTCAAATGTGTCAATCCAGCCATTTATCTATGTTTTCCCCTCTATTCAACAAATATTTTTTGAACAAAATGCTGTATGTAAAATATGCTGTTGGTGACATGGAGGATTTAGGGGGAAAGGGAGTGGTCAAATAGAGCTAGTAAAGGTACCTAAGCTTCTGGGCAGGACACCAACAGCAACCACTCCAGGAGGCGACATTTAAGCAGAGATTGGAATGACAAGAAAAAGCTGGTCACACCAAATACAGAGGAAGAGTGAGCTTGGCAAGTCTAGGGCCTAGAAGAAGGTCAATAGGCCTGCACTGTAGGGGGTGAAGCTCTAGAGAGAGTGGTATCAGAGACCAATCACACAGAACTTTGTCAGCCCAGAAAGGCTTTCAAAAGACATTGGTGGTTTTAAATCGGGGCACATGATTGAATTCTGGATTTTTCTGATGTGAGCCCATCTCTGGCCTGAAGTTGCCTTCCATTTATAGTGTGATACTAGTGTAAACAAAAATTATGGGAGGCCATTTTTTAGGCTGAGCTCTAGCACTAGGCCGCAACAGACCAGTCCAAACCAAAATGAAGTCACTCATGCTAAATGCCACGTAATCAAACTGAAACTTTAAGGAAACAGATACGTCCCCACAGCCCTATATTTGCTGAAAACAGGAGAGATTCCAGTCTACCTGAGTTGGCATAATAATGAAGTCCCCTCTGTTTAACCCTTATCAAAAAAGTAACCTGAAATTGACCAATCACCTTTTTTTCTTGTTCTGTTTTCTTGTCCCCACCTTGCAAAACCCACCATTCTGCCATTGCCCAGAGTGGGGGTGGCGGTGGGAATGGGGGACTCTGATTCTATTTTAGAATGAAAGCCACCCCATTCATGAATTACAAACAAAAGCCAAATTCAATCTATAACTAAATTTGTTGGAATTTTGTCTGACACCAGTTTTTCCATTTAAGATCATAATATAAAGTGTCCTTTTAAAGTAAATACATTTAAGGAAACAGAGCAAGGCCTTATAAAAATATTAAGTAAATAATACAGAGATAGCTGAACCGTAAAGGTGGAAACACTGCCCTCAGGCAGAGCAAAATGAAAGAATCTTTTGGGGTCCCAAACTGCTTAGGAAATCAGATGCCCAGTGTTTTGCAAGGATTTGAGAAGCCAACAAGCTATAGAAGAAGGCAGATGGTTTTCTGAAAGACCCAAGGTGTCTACATAAAGTTAACAGAATATTCCTTATGCCCTGGGTCACCTGACTGATGGCCAGGAAGCATCAAGGGTTCCTGTATCTTCCACACACACCATTTAGAATGCTGGTTATTGTCTCTTTGTAACTCTGCATTTTAATTTACCTTTTAAGTTGCTCTTGATAAATATTTTAAACAGATTTCCCCAGAACAAAATATTAGGGGATAGGGAGAAGGGGATGCACAGTGTAATTTATTCTCAGCCTTATACGCTGTTAAGAATGGCCTCAAGATTACAGAAGCATAACTCTGACAATTGAATATCCACTGACACACAGAATTAAAATGCCAACAATTACATTTGTTTAAATGCCAAGTTTTCCTTAAGATTTATTTAAAAATCTACATTTCTGAAAATATCTGCACTTCTGAAATCAGATTCAGTCTCAGAACATATGTTAAAGAAGAAAAAAAACCTTACCAGGATATACAGAAACCTGATTTTTTAAAATGTGCCTTGAAGTTATGATATAAATGTAAAAGAAGTAAGACTCTCAATCTCATTGTTAAAATGAGTCATAGCATTTGGTATTTCTATCATGCATGTGATAGAAAAGTGCTAATAATGCTTTTCTGACTTGACACCAATCATACAGGTATACAGGTAAGGATACAGATGTCAATACATTAGTACCAAGGTAGCGAATTATGAAGACAACTGTCTCAGTCTGTTCCTGCTGCTATAACAAATACCTTAAACTGGGTAACTTATAAATTATAGAAATTTATTTCTCACAGTTCTAGGGGCTGGGAAGTCCAAGATCAAGACACCAGCAGATTCAGTGTCTAGTGAGGGCTGCTCTGTGCTTCATGGGTGCCACCCTGCTGCTGTGTCTTCATATGGCAGAAGGAGCAAAAAGGGTCAAACTCCCTCCAGCCCTTTCATAAGGACACTAATGTCATTCATGAGGGGAGAGCCCCCATGACGTAATTACCTGCCAAAGGCCGCACACTTAGTACCATCATTTTGTGGTTAGGTTTCAATATATGAATTTTCAAGGGACACAGACATTCAAACCATAACAACAGCCAATCAGACTTGCAGGTTTCTAAAGAGTCTTTAGACTCTTGCAGGATTCCTTATTCAAATCATGCCTTCAAGATCCCATTACAATTCAAATCATGCCTTCAAGGTCTCATTACAATTATACACCTTCATACAAGTCTTCATGTTGCACAGGACAACAAGAATAAATGTTCTTGCAAGGTTTTACATTCTAATTCCTTATCAATACTGATTCTGTTAACTGATCTGTGACATAAATGATCCTCTCCCACTGAAGCTTCAGGGGAAAGAGACACCTTCATCTTTTTATGAGCCTCTTTTTGTTCATTATGATATCTTGCATTTTTAAAGCCATGTGCCAGAATTTCATCAGTCAGCTTTCAAAACAAGAGTCAGGCCTGTAGAGCCCAATTTTATTTTCTCCAAAAGATTTTATTGTCTCTAAAAATAGGGACAGGGATAAAAAGAATTTTACTGGAATACAATTAAATAGAAGTGTAGCAGTACGAGCCGCAGACAAAACTCCTCAGACACCAAGTTAAAGAAGGAAGGGGTTTATTTGGCCGGAGGCATCAGCCAGACTCCTGTCTCAAGAGCAGAGCTCCCCGAGTGAGCAACTCCTGTCCCTTTTAAGGGCTCACAACTCTAAGGGGGTGCGCGTGAGAGGGTTATGATCGATTGAGCAAGCAGGGGGTTCGTGATGGGGGGCTGCATGCACTGGTAATTAGATCGGAAAAAAACAGGATAGGGATTTTCACAGTGCTTTTCTACACAATGTCTGTAATCTATAGATAACATAACCAATTAGGTCAGGGGTTGATCTTTAACTACCAGGCCCAGGGTGTGGCGCCGGGCTGTCTGCTTGTGGATTTCATTTCTACCTTTTAGTTTTTACTTTTTCTTTCTTTGGAGGCAGAAATTGGGCATAAGACAATATAAGGGGTGGTCTCCTCCCTTAGAAGTATATTAACCATTCATAGTACTGGTAGCACAGGTGCAAAAGACCCCAGAAGCACAAGAACTGGTTAAGCGAATCAGGGAGCCGGTGTGCTGTGGAACAAAAAGTGATTCAAAGGAATCTTTAGACTGAATATGAATAGATTTAAACTCAAACCTTGTTTACAGTACAAAATAAAAAATTTGAATTTGTGTGTTTGTGTGCATATACTATTGACATTTACTAAGACAAAAAGGTTCATTTAATATAGTTTTCTTTTTTCTCAAAAAGTTGTTATGAAACCAATAATGTATCTTCAATTGAGAGAATCTCAGAACTAAAGGAATGTGGCACTTCTGTTGTCAAGGAACTATGTGTTAACATGCTGGTCCTGGCTCTGAAAATGTGTTGCCAGCTCTCAAGTTAGACAAGGGAAAATAAATCAATATGGCCTGATGAAATGGCAGAACATAGAAATAGTTACCATAAACACTAAGTCAACTCATTGACTTTATTAGAATTGTCTCAGGGCAAGGCATTGACTTTCTGTTAATTTTTTATTAAAAGAATATTCTTCAAGTAAAATAGTGCACTGTAGAATCTTTGAGTCTAAAAGGGCTGAGGACGCTTCTCTTTCTAATTCAGGTGTCCTGTCTATATAAAGCTCCTGAGGATTATGATAAAGTCTACACAGACATTAGTTGTTTATAAGTTTCTTAATAGAATATGTAGGGCAGGTTGCATTTCAGTTCAGAAAAAATAACTAAGGTCCAAGCCTCTAGATCGGTTTTGATTAGGTTGGCTGAATCACAAAGATCTAAAATAAAAGCAGTTTAAAGAAGGCAAATATTTATTCCCATATTGTTCTGGCAGTTTGATTCCATGAAGCCCTCAAAGACTCAAATTCCTTCCAACCCAGAGTTTCACCATCTTCTAGGTATAGTCCTTTTCCTTATGGCAAAAAAAAAAAAAAAAAAAAATGGTAGTTAGAGCTCCAGCTGTCATATCTGCATTCCAGGTGGCATAAGACAGGCAAAGAAGAAATGAGCAAAGTGCACATTGTAGTAGCTGTTGCTTAAAGAGCATTCCCAGAAGCTGCCAAAAGATATTTCAAGATATATATATTGACCGGGATTTAGTCACGTGGTTATGCCGAGTTGCAAGGGACCAAGCAATACTTTTATTCTGGGGGACTAGAGTCCAGCTAAAAATTGGAACTCTGTTAACATGGAAGAAGAGAAGGATGGATAGTGAAGGAAAAACCGCATTCTCTGCAAACTTCTTAGCTAGCTCTGTTAAAACTGGTGGTGGTTTGATAATTTTAAAAGTCAGTTAAAGCAGGGAATCACAAAAAAAAAATTAATGATATTTACCTTAAATATTCCTTTTAACTTCTAACATATCAGAGTACGTTCATTCATCACTTTCTTTGCGTATGAGGCTGCTATTTGGAGCCTTGCATTCTCTAAGCAGACATCAATTTAGCTTCCTTAAAGAGAAGCAGGAACTTAGAGAATCTTAAACACTCTAAGGAGTATTTAAAGTGTTTCTACAATCCCCCAAATCTATAGTTGATTCTTCTACACCTAATTCTATGGGATCTTAATTATTTTGATATGAGGTCTTTTTATTGTTGTTGAATTTTTGTCTTTTTTAAACAACTAACTTAGCTTCCATAAAAACAGCTCCCTTTCACACTCACATTTTTCCCAATTAAGTGATATTTCTAAGGTGGATGTTAAAATGGAACATTTCCATTATCTCAATTTTTTTTTTTTTTGAGACAGATTCTCACTTTGTCATCCAGGCTGGAGTGCAGTGACGTGATCTTGGCTCACTGCAACCACCACCTCCCGGGTTTAAGCAATTCTCCTGCCTCAGCCTCCCAAGTAGTTGGGATTACAGGTCCCCACCACCACGCCCAGCTAATTTTTGTATTTTTAGTAGAGATGGGGTTTCACCATGTTGGCCAGGTTTGTCTCGAACTCTTGACCTCAGGTGATCCACCCACCTTGGCCTCCCAAAGTGCTGGGATTACAGGCGTGAGTCATGGCGCCCCGCCTCCATTATCTCAATTCTGACTGATGCCCACAAACTAAGCACAAAGTTTATTAAGCACCCACACATTCTGAAGAGAGGACCCAGATTATCCTTATAGAACTTGCTAAGGAATATGACCAAAAATTTCCAACATTATTTAGCTTGCCACCAACTCCCAGGCCACATAAGAGATTAGGGAAGAGCAGTGAAAAAGACTGATAAAAGGAATTTCTTTGAAGTTGGGGTCAGGGAGATCTTTACATGAATTGCCAGAAGAGCATAATGTGTATCCTTAGAGTTGAAGGTCACCAGGACTAGAAGCTGGATTGTACCTAGAAAGGTTTAAAGGTAAGAAGCTTCCTCTGGCTGCAGAGGAGGAGAGAGTAGTACAGTAAGAACACCATTGTACTTCCAGCAATGTTGGGCAAGGATGTGTATTTCCCACGGGCCAGTGTGGACACTGAAGACAGCTGGGCTTGATCATTTAGAAAGGGCTCTGTTCAAGAGATCTGCCTGCCAGGGCAATGTACTCATCAAAAGTTAAGAGCTCAGGGGATGGCCAGACGTCGTGGCTCATACCTGTAATCCCAGCACTTTGGGAGGCCAAGGCCGGTGGATCATATGAGGTCAGGAGTTCGAGACCAGCCTGACCAACATTTTGAAACCTCGTCTCTACTAAAAATACAAAATTAGCGGGGCATGGTGGCACATGCCTATAATCCCAGCAACTTGGGAGGCTGAGGCAGAAGAATCTCTTGAACTTGGGAGGTGGAGGTTGCGGTGAGCTGAGATCACACCGTTGTACTCCAGCCTGGGCGACAAGAGTGAGACTCCATCTCAAAAGAAAAAAAAAAAAAAAAAAAGCACTGAGGGGAGAGGAGAATTATAACAGCCAAACGGAGGGGGCATTTCCTGCATGGAGGAATGGTGAAGGGGAAGATCCATGTAGTGTTAGTGATGGTGGGTGGATTCTGAAGGACCCACAAAAGTGCCCCACGAGAGAAAGAGCAAACTTCAGGGCATGTGCCACTCAGGGGCACTGGTGTCACATTACAAAGTCACTGGTCACATATGTTCCTTTTCTCTTTTGCTGCCCACTTTCATCCCTGAATATCTGGACACAGCAGTGTCTGGGGGAGGAGGCATTAGGAGTAGGATGAAGGGATAACAAAGAGCCAACCAGGCCCCCAGTGAGATTCTGAGCCTGAGTCGGGCCCAACCTGGAGGAGAAGGTGAAGCTTTGATATGAAACTGGATGGCACCTTTTAACAACTAAAAGTGGGGCCATTTATTAAGATCTGAAATTGAATGGAAATGCTATGGGATCTGCTGGAGAGATCACCCAATGGCAGGATGGAAAATCCAATGCAGCACATCTGAGAAAGAATAAAGTTGATTTTTTTAAAAAGTTTGCATACCTCCAACTTCTTTCTCAATACATTAGGTACATATTTAATGAAATTACATAATGTTAAGACTTGGTACAATAGGCACAAACAGGTTTGGAAACAGACATAACTGACTCCTGGTAAGTATACCATTAAAGAAGTGGGAAAAGAACAGCTCACGTGTTGTAGAGAGAGGCAAGGACATTCATCAACCTGGTTAACAGAGAGAAGAGATAGCATCTAGTGAGTACCTTAAATAGAGGCCTGTGAATATTACCATTTCCTTCTTTGAACACCTATCTTTATAAGAGTAAAACCCACTTAGGGGTGATACATGAAAAAAAAATCCAACATATAAATGAATACAATGAAATATACTTTAAAAAGCACTTAAGAGATCATTTCAAGTATTGGAGTTGGGTAATAACTGAATAGCTCTCATTTATCCTCTTCTTTTGTATAGTCGAAATTCCCCCTGTAACCAAACACAGGTCCAGCTGATCACTGCTTACAGAGTTCAATTAATAAGATTGAGGTCTGCTAGAAATTGCCTTTATTACAGAGCTTAGCTGAGGGGAAGAGTTACAGGCTCCTCCTGCCTTAAGGGTATGCTTCCACTTTCAGGCCAGAAAGCAGAGGCTTTAAAGGAGAACCTGGCATGGATGGCACAGAGGGGAGGAGACAAGGAAGTGACTTGTTGGATGTCTTATCTAACAGGTAGTCTGGCTGGCGCCATCGCAGGCAGAGCTAGGTAGCAGACTGACCACAGTCCCCTGGAAATCTGGTTGGGGAGAGTCCCCTTGGAACAGAATTTATATTGTAAATTAGCTGTTGCCTCGAGGCTATCTTCTGGTGGGGAAGAATCCTGAAGGGTACCTGGTTCGGTTCAACATTCGGTTCTTAGAATTTCTAAGCAAACATATAGTTAGATAAGCTGGCAGTGCAGGGAGTGCCTGGTGGAGAGAAGGTAAAGGTTATAGTTGCATTCCTAAAGAGTTAAGTAAAAGGTGAACACACAGGGAAAAAGAGAAAAGGTAAAAGATAATTTTTAGGAAAATGGGGTACTTGGTTACACCCATAATAAGATTTTTTTTTTAAAGAAGTTATCTATTGCAATCATTATCAACTCCTCTCGGGTTACTAACTCCTTTAAGAATTTGATGTCAGCTCTGGGCCCTCTCCATAGAAAATTCTAGATAGGCCTACTCATGAAAATCTTGCATATGGTTTCAGGGAATTCATGAAATTCTTGAAGGTCATCCAGAGATCCCACAAGAATCCCTGTTTTCTAGTCCATCCACTTTAGTTCCTAATGAGGAAACTAAGTTCCTGGAGGTGAGATGATTTGCCTAAGGTAATGGGAGGAGTCAGTGGCCCCAGAGCTGCTGTCTGCCTCTGTCATCCACATTTATATTATCCTCTTAAATCAGAGAGGAGGGGACATCCCAGAATGCAGCACAGTGCCATCAGGGAGGAACCTCTACAGGGACAATCAAGTGTTTTATCCGTCTAAACTTCTGGATTTTCTGATTTCTTTAAATGAAGCCTTCATTCACCTAGTCACCCAAGTGTGAAGCCCCATTTTCCCCTTCTTGTTCCTCACCCTCCATATCCAGTCACCAAATCCTATGACTCCCACTCTGTGTGGCCTCTCACCTCTGGCCCCTCCTTGCCTTTCCTCCCCGTCCTCACAGCTCTGCCTGCACTGTGGCAACTACCTTCTAATTAGCCTCCTTCTCCCATGTCTCAGGCTTAGCCCATCCATATAGACCTACCACATTAATCTCTCAAACCATGCCTCTTACCCATGCTTCTGTCCTCAAAAACCTCACGATCCATTTCCCAAATGAGGCCACTGAGGCCCAGAGCAATGACATATCTAAGCCAAGCCTACACAGCTAGGAAATAGAACCCCCCCTGGAACCCTGGAAATTCAGGCCTCTCATTTTAAATTCAATGCCCTCAAAGGGTAGACTCTAGATAGGCAGCATCAGAACCAACAGGGCAGTTTAGCAAAAATGCAATTTCCCAGGCCCCTTGCCAGATAATTGGAATCTCCAGAGAATCTGTATTTTCAGCAAGCTCTGAGGGTAATTCTAAGAATCAAGTTTGGGGACTACTTCTTGATTCATTGATTATCTAATACTGCACATATTAGTAAGATTTGGTTTAGACATTCTTGCTACTTTGGTTTACTTGTGTACATCATTTCTCAAAATAAGTAGTCTGCTTTGTGGCTGTAAACCCTGAAAACCAAAGTGGCTGGTGTTTCTCTGGAAGGTTGGTAGCATGGACTAGGCTGCATGACAATATTTATTCTTCATCCAATTATACTTAGCAAGAAAATAAAGCTATAACTGATGTTTCAGCATTATCTCTGCAGAGTTGCTGAATCCACAACTGAATCATAAGATTTGTCCCTTACTATAATTCTCCCCATGAATCAGTGCAAACATCCCTGAATCTCTTTCTGCTGAGGTTTTTATATGCTAGAGTCATCTTCCCTTTTCTCCAATTTCAGACCCTTCAAACAAAGGGCAAGCTTGCAGCATCCTCCACAGACATCCAGAGACCATGAATTTCAGATCTAAAAAGTTCAGGGTTTCAGAGGAAGCTCAAGCATTCGGAAAAGCTAAGATAAGAAAAATGCACAACTGAAGAGAGTGGGTGTAAGTTAAAAGGATGAATGTACACAGGTGGTCTGAGTTTTCTAGTTGAGAACAAATGTCCCCAGAGATGTTTGGTACATTGTAGGTTCTCCAGGCAGGCTGGTTGATCCCAGCTGAACTGAACAACCTGTTTCTTCAGATAAACTCTAGATCTCCTAGCCACGGTGAAGATCCAGTGAAGATCCCAGCAACTTCCTTACTATATGCCAGACCTTTTGTCCTCAGTCGTGGAAGACAAGGCTCTTGGTAAAATAAGAGGCAGAGGTCTGGAGGAGCCCAGCCTGCCAACAAACAGTTCAGTTAAAATCAGTTCAACAATCAAATACAAATGGCATGAGAAAATTTTTGGGGATGATGGAAATGTTCTATATCTTGATGTGGTTATACACTATACCCATTTGTCAAAATGCATTGAACTGTGCACCTAAAGGGAATGAATTTTTTGTGCATATAAGTTATGCCTCAGTAGAACTGACTTAATATATATACTTAAAACAATTTGACTGAATGCTTATAAGATTAACAAAATACTTAGAAGATATATAGACTTAAGAGTAAAGCAAAACATAAAGAGCACATTTTCATTTAAACTATATGTAGTACCTTCAACATATTTTTATTGATTCATGTAAGTGTCAGAAAAACATGCTAATCCAGAAATTCCTGATTATTATACTATTTTGTGTTCTTTCTTGTTTAGTGTCTGTCTTGCTCAGTAAATTTTCAGTTCTGTTAGGACGGGGACCATGTTTATGTTTTCACTAAAATACCTCCTGCCACTCGCTACATTTACACACTACTTAAAACACAGGGTTCAGTACATATTGGATGGAACCTAATGAAACTGAAGCTTTGGTGGATAAGAATTAAGTATGAGCCATTTCATACAGTCCAGTCTAATATTTGTGTAATAAATAAATAAACTTTCTCAGATAAAATGTAGAGGGGCACAAATAACAAATGTCTGGATGTGATTCTATAAGGTGAATTTGTAAAGGGATAGAAACACATTCCCCTCCGTATACTTGTGTTTTGGTCCACTGCCAGTATTATAAATCCTGCCTTTGCACATTTCTAACTTGTTTCACAAAGAATTTTCATAGACTGGAAGAGACCTGGAAGAATTCCTTTCTTATCGTCACACCAATGTCTCATATTACTGGAGTTCTAGAAGTTTATCCCAACACAGATTTCATCTCTAATAACAATATAAGTTCATTTTCTATCCTGAAAATTGGAAAGCTGGCCGGCATTCTACACTTTCTATTAAATTTAGAAGGAAGTATTTAACATCTGTCATGAGTCAGGATTGTGGTAGGGACTATCAGGTATGTGAAGATGAATAAGGCATAATATCTGCTCTCCAGGAGTTCACTGTCTAGTAGGAGAGGTAATATTTGACACAGATTTATCTTTCCAGGCAGAAAGAGGAAGAAGGTGATAAGTTCCTCAAATAAGGCGTAAAGTATTATGGGATATCCTTATGGGAGAAGATAATTAGACTCTTACATCACAGACAATAGGAAATCCATACACAGTGAAGATTGTGTGTGCGCGCATGCTTTGGGAGAAAACGGTAAAGGATGCCTTTATAATTTATAGTCCAAGCAGACCTTTCTTCCCAAAGAAGGCACTACAAAATCCAAAAACAATAAGTAGAAAAAATTAACACAAAAAATGAAAACTTCTTTATAATGAAAGTCATCATCACAAAGTAAAAAGAAAGGTGACAACTTTTTGACCAGCAATTTCACTTCTCAGGAATCTATTCTACAAATACACTACACTGCAGAGATACAAAATGAAATAAGCAAAAACTGATTTGTTTTGTTTGTAATGATAAAATAATTGTAAACACCCAAGTGCCCAGCATAGAGTATGGTACATCCACCAACAGAGTACCACGCAGCTGAAAACAGAATGAAGAAGATCCCTATGGACTGATATGGAGCAGTTACCTGGATATCAGTAGTTTATATTAAGTCAATATTAAGTGAAAAAAATAATATCAGAACATTTATTTCTCTTTTGTGAAAGAATTTTTTTTGTTTGTAGATTTTGTATTCTTAATCTGTAAACATTTAAATATGAAAAGTACCTGATAAGGTAGAAATCACCTGAAATCTTGCCCACTCCGAGATAAACACCTTTATACATCAATTGTATATACATATATGAAAAAATAGATATAAATACAAGAAAGTGATGATGATATGAGTACCAAAACCAGAAAATTTCTATTGGACATGGTAAGTGTAACTCCACTTATTGGATAGGTGAATATACAGGGTATTACAGGAGTGAATAATTGGGTTGAGGGTGGGTCAAGAAGCACTTTCTTAGAGGAGTTCCTGAAACATTCTAGATCTTTTGCCTGTCCCTCTTTTTTGGTTAGATTTGCAGGGTTTCTTAAAATTTTTTCATTTTTGTGGGTACATAGTAGGTGTATATATTTATGTGGTACATGAGATATTTTAATACAGCCATACAATGCATAATAATCACATCAGGGTAAATGGGGTCTCCATCTCCTCAAGCATTTATCCTTTCTTTGTGTTATAAACAATCCAATTATACTCTTTTATCTATTTTTAAATTTATAATAAATTATTGTTGTTTGTGGTCACCCTGTGATGCTATCAAATACTAGATTTTATTTATTCTATCTAATTATATATTTGTCCCCTTTAACCATCCCCAGTCCCCACCATCCCACTATTCTTCCCAGCCTCTGGTAAACATCATTCTACTCTCTATCTTCATGTGCTCAATTATTTTAAATTTTAGCACCTACAAATAAGTGAGAACATGCGGTGTTTGTCTTTCTGTGCCTAGCTAATTTCACTTAACATAATGACCTCCAGTTCCATCCATGCTGTTGCAAATGACAGAATCTCATTCTTTTTTATGGCAGTACTCCATTGTGTATGTGTACCACATTTTCTTTATCCATTCGTCTCTTGATGGACACTTAGGTTTCTTCCAGATTTTTTATCATGTGCTACATTTTATGTTTTAAAAATAAAGGAGAGAAACACTATACAGGCATTTTTGCTTATATCTACACAATGAAGCACAGGAAAATGATTCCATGTAAGGGATTGGGAGGGACAGGTGGAGGGACAGAGGTGGAAATGCAACTCCTCTGTGTTTACCTTTCTGTGTAGGTTTGATTTTTGAATCTTATAAAATGTATTATCCACCCTTACATTTTAATAAAATAAAAAGATAAACAACACTCTAGAGAAACTACATAGAGGATTAATAGCCATATAAATAAAAAGCCTACACAAATCAATAAGAAATTTCCATCTAATAGAAAGATGGCAAAGGACACAGATAATTTATAGAAGAAAAACAAATGTGCAATAAACATAATGATCTCATTCTCAGCAAGAACCAAAGAAATTCTAATTGAAACAATAAGATATTTTTATGTAACTGATTATCTTAAATTTAAAAGATAATATCAGTGAAGAGTAAGAGGGTGAGGAAACAGGAACCTTCCTATAAAATGGTTGGTCTGAATATAAACCGGTAGCACCTTACAGGAATATTTGAAAAATTCCAAATCTAGGAATTTATGCCGAATACTCACTTACAATGAATACCAAGAAAATATGCTGCAATGATGTTAATTGCTGTAGTGGCTGTAATAGCAGAAAAATAGGAACAACTTAAATGTCCATTATATTATGATATAGACATACAATGAAACACTAGGCAGTCATTATAAGAATCAAGTCACAGGCTGAGCGTGGTGGCTGGCCTGTAATCCCAGCACTTTGGGAAGCCGAGGCGGGCAGATCACCTGAGGTCAGGAGTTCAAGACCAGCCTGACCAATATGGAGAAACCCCATCTCTACTAAAAATACAAAATTAGCCTGGCATGGTGGCACATGCCTGTAATCCCAGCTACTCGGGAGGCGGAGGCAGGAGAATTGCTTGAACCCAGGAGGCAGAGTTTGCAGGTGAGCTGAGATCGTGCCATTGCACTCCAGCCTGGGCAACAAGAGCGAAACTCCATCTCAAAAAAAAAAAACACACGAAAAATCAAGTCGCTCTATATGTATTGATTTAGGAGTATATTTAAGATGTATTAACAAGCGTATAAAGCAAATTGCAGTAAATTATGATCATATTTTTGTAAACCAAAGGATTAAAAATTTTATTATGGGCCAGGTATGGTAGCTCACACCTATAATTCCAGCACTTTGAGAGGCTGAAGCAGGAGGATCGCTTGATCATGTAGTCCCAGCTGTAGTCCCAGCTACTTGGGAAGCTGAGGTGGGAGGATCACTTGAACCCAGGAGCTCAAGGCTGCAGTAAGCCGATTATACCACTGCACTCAAGCTGAGTGACAGAGTAAGACCCTGTCTCAAAAACAACAACAAAATGTTATTATGTATATGTGTGTGTGTGTGTGTGTGTGTGTGTGTGTGTGTATGGAATCTACATATATGGCAAAATCGAGAATAATATGCACCAAACACTAATAATGGTTATTTCTAGGATGTGCAGCCTATATTTTTTTATCATTTGAATTTTTTTAACAGCAAGCTTGTGTTCCTTTTAACACCTAAAAAGAAGTGGATTTTTTTTTCTTATTTTTTATTTATTTGTTGTTTTGAGATAGAGTCTTGCTCTGTCGCCAAGACTGGAGTGCAGTGGTGCAATCTCAGCTCACTGCAACTTCCACCTCCCGGGTTTTTGCCTCAGCCTCCCAAGTAGCTGGGACTACAGGCATGCACCACCATGGCTGGGTAATTTTTGTATTTTTAGTAAAGACAGGGTTTCACCATGCTGGCCAAACTGGTCTTGAACTGCTGACCTCGGGTGATCCACCTGCCTCTGCCTCTCAAAGTGCTGGGATAACAGGCGTGAGCCACCACACCCTGCTATAAAGAAGTTTTTAAAACTCCAATCGGAAAGATAGAATTGACTTCATGGAGAAGCTGCATTTCATGCCATCAAAAACTCTCTGAGCTGAAGGAAACCTTAAAAGTCAACTAATTTGGTGGTTTCCAAATGCTAGTCTGTATTCTAATTGCATCAGAAGCACTGGAGAAACTTGTTTTAAAGTACAGATTCCTGATCCCCATTTTCCAGAGATTCTGATGCAGAATTTCTGGAGTGAGGCCTAGAAACCTATAATTTTAAAGCAATTTCCAGGTGATTCTGATACTAAGCCAGGCATAAGAACCACTTAATTCAACCTCCCACCCAATACAGTAACCCTCCTCTGGCTGATAGATGTTCAATACACCCATGAGAACCTTCTAGAGAGAGGCCAGGTGGGGGCGTGGCTCACACCTGTAATCCCAGCACTCTGGGAGGTTGAGGACATAGGATTTCTTGAGGCCAGGAGTTTGAGACCAGTCTGGGCAACATAGAAAGACCCCATCTCTACAAAACATTTTAAGAAGTAGCTGGGCATGGTGGCATGCACCTGTAGTCCCAGCTACTCTGGAGGCTGAGGCAGGAAGACTGCTTGGGCCCAGGATGTAGTGAGCTATGATCAAGCCAATGCTCCAGCCTGGGTAACAGAGGGAGACCCTATCTCTGAAATAACCGACCAACCAAAGAACATTCTGGAGCGAAGACTCCAAGTTTTATTGATCAGATATAGGTGGGAATCCCTTTCCCCTGCAAGATCTAGATAAGATTGGTTCAAATCCTAACAATTTCATAGCATGTTAAAGTTCTGCTCAAGTCACCCAGACTAAATATATTTTTCCCAAAAGCTTTCCCCACAGATACTTCCCAGGCTTAAGCCCTCACCTCATCCAGTTTCCCGCCTAAACATCATTTCAGAAAGACCTTCCCTGACCAACCTGCCACTCAATTGCTTTCCTCAGCTCTGTTTTTCCTCACAACACTACTGTGAGTTGACATGTTGTATACTTATTTGTGTTAGTGTATTGTCTGTCTCTACACCAGAATGTGCGCCCCACCCTGAGAGTAGGCACTTCATCTACTTTATTCACTGTCCTATCCCCAGTGGCTACAATGGCACCTAGCACAGAGGTCTGAGTACTCAAAAATATACATTGATAAATGAATGAATGAAGAATGAAGAGATGTTTCTGTTTTTCCAAACCCTTTCCATCCTCTCTGACCCTTCTCCTAGCTTCCCTCTCCCCTCTCTTACTTTTCTGTTCACTCTTCCCTCTCAGGAACACAACAAATTCCCCTCCTTGCCTCTTGATAGGAATTTCCCTGACCTCCTCTAATCTTATAAAGTCTGACAACATTCCTGCTCCAGCAATCTCTCCAACACAAATTAGAGTTATCAAGGCATTTTCCCCAATCACAAACCATGTTATCCATAACAAATTCTACGTCAGAGATTTTTAAGTGATGTTTATATTCATCCAAAATCCTACTCTCCATAATTTCCACTTGATGGCCTTAGTTTGGCCCTCAGGAGCAGAAGAGAATGTCTGCAGTCGATTCCACATGGCCACCTGGTTTCTGGTTCTATATCATATGGTTCTTTGTGTAACATGGTTTCCAGAACTTTTCTTCATTCCCCTGATGCTCTTTACCTGGAATCCCTACAGTTTTCAATGCCCTCCTTAGAATGCAGCACACCCACCTGAACACACTCCAGAGAACAGTGGTGTCATTACTTTCAAAGATGTGGCTATGATATTCCTATTAATGGAGTGGCTGACTTGGAGCAAAAACATGTCTCTTTTTCCTGACCTGAGTTCCGGGTGGTTGGGATTTTATCAACATGCATATATTTGTCAAAGATTAAACAATAGGTTCGATAAAGGTGACGAGATAATCTTATCTTTTCCCTCAGATGACCATAGTTCAAATTCTAAACTCAGTTCTCAACTATGCACCTATGGCCCTCTGGGAAATTCAGGCTTTATTTTCCAGATCCAGGAGCTACCTGTTCCTCTAAAGATTGTATTTTTAAAGGAAGCTAACACCCCCTCAAACAAAGGATCTCTGTATTATTAAACTTTCCAAATGAAGCCTCTGCTAAGTGCACACCCCAAATACGCTAGCAGTTGTTTTCAATGATTTCATAGGGTAAATATACTGTTCTCCTCCAAAAATAACTTGCTCCTTTCTAAGTCAGGCTCCCTTCTCCATTTTTTCCTTGAAGCAAGTTTGAGGTGCCCAACATTGTATTAACTTTGTTTAGGATCCACCGTAGTCAAGTAGTGGACATCTACGAAGGCTGTTTGAGCAAAAAACCTGTACTTATGCATCTTTCTGAAACATGGTCTTTGTAGTGGACACACACTGGGCTGGCTTCTGACTCAGCATCATCCTGGCTGTGCATTCAAGCCTGGCCAGGGCCAGGTGTCCAAGAGTAGAAGACATTGACCCAGATTGGGCTAATCAGAATTTGAATAGAATACACAGAAGATGGGCAGAGTTGAGGCATCTAATGCCAGTGACATGGAAGAGTCTAGGAGCTCCAACTGCTGCCTGGGATCTTGCCCTTTCCTCATCCTACCCTTTCTAATATTTAGAATCCTCCCAGAAATCTGTTTTTTATTATGTTGGCTAAAGTTAAATGTTAATCAGTGTTTTAAACTGAGAGGAGTCTCCAGGGTGTTATCATAGAACTCTATCACTAGCCCAGTGTTCCTTGTCACCTTTGTTTGGAGCCTTAGATTAAACATTAATACTTATCATTGGCTGAAGCCTGAGCTCTGCATTTCTTTTCTTTTTTTTGATACGAACTCTCACTCTGTTACCCAGGCTGCAGTGCAGTGGCGCATTCTCTGCTCACTGCAACCTCTGCCTCCCAAGTTCAAGTGATTCCCCTGCCTCAGCCGCCCAAGTAGCTGGGTTTACAAGCATGTGTCAACACACCTGACTAATTTTTGTATTTTTAGTAGAGTAGGGGTTTTACCATGTTGGTCAGGCTGATCTCGAACGCCTGACCTCAAGTGATCCACCTGCCTCGGCCTCCCAAAGGGCTGGGATTAAAGGCGTGAGCCACCGGGCCCAGCCAGAGCTCTGCATTTCTAACAGGTCCCGGGTGCTATCTATGCTGCTGCTCTGCAGACTACATTTTGAATAGCAAGGCCTTAGAATACATAGAAGCTATGGTTATCAAATCTGCAGCTGCCCTCAAGTTTAAAAGAAAAGCTAACATGGAATTACTGAATCTGGGCATTTACATCCCAAATTAAGGTTAGATTAGAAATGGCAGGACTAATAATAGCTAACATTTATTGTAATAGATACTGGCCACTAGACTATGTTCTTCTGTATTCTCCAGGCATCATCCTAGCAAGCCCTGAGATGAGCGGTATTATTATCCCATTTTAGAAATGAGTCAAGTAAGGATGTGCCCAAGGCCATGGTTGGTAGGAAGTTTAGGCCAGGTGAAACACAAGCCATCAGATTCCAGAGCCCTTGATAACATCGCACAGCAGTGCCGTTCTGAGGTATTCAGGCCAAAGCCAAAGAACCGCATGCTTGAACATGTACAGCATGATATAGAGAGCCCTTCTGCCTCAGGCAGGAGGTTGGATCAGATGACCTCCAACCTCCCACCTAACCAAGAGCCTGGCCTTTCCAAGTGGAACACCTCCATTCCTCTTGTCTCCTCTCCCATCAGCTGATACTGAAATGGAGAAAATGATGTATATATCGTGTGTGTGTGTGTGTGTGTGTGTGTGTGTGTGTGTTGGTATGGAAAGCGAGAATTATAAGGGATACGCTTATGTGATTATGGAGGCTGACAAGTTCCAAGATCTGCAGTCAGCAAGCTGGAGACCCAGGAGACCTGATGGTATAGTTCCAGGCTGAAGGCCAGCAAGCTCAAGACCCAGGAAGAGCTCATGGTTCAAGTCCAAAGGCAAGGAAAAAAATGATGCCCCAGCTCAAAGGCAGTCAAGTAGGAAGAACTCCCTCTTAATGGGGAAGAGTCAGCCTTTTGTTCTATTTAGGCCTTCAGTGGATTAAATGATTCTCAATCACATTTGGGGGACAATCACATTTACACTATCTATTGATTTAAATGTTAAACACATTCAAAAACACCCTCACAGAAACACTCAGAATACTGTTTGACTAAATATCTGGGCATCCCATGGCTCAGTCAAGTTAACACATAAAATTCACCATCCCCCACACTTTCTCTTGAGGATCTCCCCAGCTGACATTTTCTCTTGCTTTCATGGGCTGAGATGGCCAATTTCACCTGGGGCTGGCCCCACTTGACACAGACTACAAATTGGGATTTCCCCCTACCTGTGCAAATGCAAATTCCAATCAGCTTTTTAATCAATAAATGGAATTCCCTCAGTGAAGGGTTATTCTGTTTTCTCTTCTTTAGAGTTAAATGGTTTATCTAGAAGCCTCTAGATAATATCTCCATCTTCAAAATATAAGCATTTATGACTGAAAAAAAAAGTGTCAGTCTTTTGAAAATTATGTTGATGAGTTCAACTCTCCATCATTGTAAGGTGCATGGTGTAAAGGGACTGTGCATGCTCACATCCGAATCACTCAGTTGGGGTCACTAGAAATATTGAAACAAAAGCGTAAATAAGCAATAGATAAATAAGCAAGTAATCTCTCTCACATCCACATGCAAACCTCTCTTAAATAGCACTGGAGATGGCATCTGAAACTGAAGAGAAAATTATATCCAGTGAGGCAGAGAAGCGATTTTATAGTAACTCTTTCTTGTTAGCAAAGTTTAGTGAATAATATTTAAGTAACGAGCAAGAAGTGAGTCACCATAATCATTATTTTTTCTATGCTTGTGGAATGCCATCGGGCAGCTTTGTTCCAGAAAACTATGCATAAACACATTTCTCAAGCAAATAATTTACAGTGAGATAAGGCAGAAAAGGCAGAGATAGCAGGGTACAATCTGTGGAATTCTGTTAATTCAGTACACTGAAATTATTCATTTTTTTTTCTTTTTCTTTTTTGGAAACAGGGTCTAGCTCTGTCACCCAGGCTGGAGTGCAGTGGTGTGATCTTGGCTTACTGCAGCCCCAACCTCCTCAGCTCAAGTGATCCTCCTGCCTCAACCTCCCCAAGCAGCTGGGACTACAGGCACGTGCCACACCTGGCTAATTTTTTACAATTTTTTTGTAGAAATGGGGGTCTTGCTCTGTTGCTCAGGCTAATCTTGAACTCCTTGGCTCAAGCTATCTGCCAGCCTTGGCCTCTCAAAGTGCTGGAATTACAGACATGAACGATTGCACCCAGCCAAATTACTCTTAATATTATTAGCTGACTTATTTGCAAAGAAGTATGAGTGATCTTTGTCCCAAATACATTGTGTAATTACTATCTCTCTCTTGTGATATTTGATCTTCCTGGAAATGCCATGATTCAACAGACCAAAGGAAGTCAACTTTCAGGACAGAGCAGGAAGCTGCCAGGGCCTGGTTCTCTCTGATCCCAAGCTGGCCATCACCACGACTAAAGTCACAGTTCAAGGATGCTGATGCTATGAAGATCTGCCTCCTTGATAACTCCATAGATGGCAGACAGACACAGAAGGTGGCTGCTGGGGCACTGTTTGGCCTTGAGCAACTGCTCAGGAATGCAGTCCAAAGTTGGTGGTTCAAAGGCTTCCCACTACCTTCACCATAAAGAATGAGTCCTAAGCATGGCTGGGCCTCCTCCAGCCCTTGTCTACTTTCATTCCCAGGATGTGCCATGCTCCTTTCCCGTCACAGGGCCTCCCCCCATGCTCTTCTTATCCCCCATTACACGTTCCCCTCTCCTGTTTCTATAGATGTCCCCTTTTCTGTCACAGACTCACAGACTTCCCTGACCTAATCAGGCGATTTCCCCTTTACATATTCTCACAGTATCTTGTTCCTGTGCCTCACAGCTCTTGTTGCAGCTGTAAGTTTATGTGAGCGTAAATTCCACCCTCGTGTTGGTGTCTCATGGGAATCGTAGGCCCAGTAAGAGCAGTCCCATCTGGTTTTGATGGCCACTGTGTCCTTGGTGAGGATGTGGCACATGGAATGTCCTCAATTACAAATATTTGTTGAATGAATGATTGCAAGAATAAATGATAGTGAGGGTGAGGGATGTTGTGCCTCAGGCTTTTTCCCAGAGCTAGGGAAGGGCGTGATCACCATGAGTTCCATACCCTTGTAGTTCTGTTTTTGGCTCAGTCCTACGCATGCATGCATATTAACATGGGACTGGTGAAAGGAAAGGAATGGTCCACATCACAGCTTAAAAGCTCAGCCCTCAGGTCAGACCCTCCTGGTGTGAAATGTTTCAAACAAGCTTGGGCAAGTTATTTTAACTCTGCCTCCTCAGTTTTCCATATGAAAATAGGGTTGGGGGCTGGGCGCGGTGGCTCACGCCTGTAATCCCAGCACTTTGGGAGGACAAGGCAGGCGGGTCACGAGGTTAGGAGATCGAGACCATCCTGGTTAACACAGTGAAACCCCGTCTCTACTAAAAATACAAAAAAATTAGCTGGGCGTGGTGGTGGGCACCTGTAGTCCCAGCTACTTGGGAGGCTGAGGCAGGAGAATGGCATGAACCCGGGAGGTGGAGCTTGCAGTTAGCCGAGATCGCGCCACTGCACTCCAGCCTGGGTGACAGAGCAAGACTCCGTCTCAAAAAAAAAAAAAAAAAAAAAAAAAAAATATTGGGTCAGGGATGGTACCTGACCCCACTTCCTCTTCAATTACATGAGATCGTGCAGGAACATATTTATATACAGTAAATGCTCAGTAAGTGTTAGCTGATATTATTAGAGGAAAGACTCCAAATCCTCAAAAACTCCCCACCACCTTGATCACGATAAATCAGGTAGGTACATGAAACTTAACCTTGAAGCAAGAAACATGTTAGAATATCTGAAAGCTTATCATACGAGTTTTTTAGTACCAGTAATTCTATGGGAGTTGGTGAAGAGTGAGATTTAAGAGTGATGCATTTTTAACAAGTAATCACATGAAGTGGACATTTGATCTTGGGTTAAAAAGCAGGGACAATATGTTTATGACAGCTCCCAGATAAACTTTCAAGGGAAAAATACGGCATAGCTAGGATACAGAAGCCTTTGGGAGAGATCCCTACTCAGTTCCTTCCACCGGCCATTTCCCTGGAGCTCTCAGGATGCCGGGATCCAGGCCACTTCACCTATCTTCTTTGCTAAGTGGTTCTTGCTGCCTATGAAGGTGCCCTCCCTGAGGAATGGTCAGTTCAGCTGAAGTCCAGTGCTGGGTTGTTGAAGCAATCCCTGAATTTTTATTTGATTTCCATTAGGGACAGTTTTAGCCTGAGGCCCCTGGCTGTGAAGTCACAGCCCTTTGGGAAGTCTCACCCGCCTTGGCTGATTAGTGGGCTGCTGAAGAATCACGTTTGTTCTGAGTCCCTGGATTGTTCCCATCCCCTTGAACCTGAATGATTTGGTTGCTTTTTTTTTTTTTTTTTTTTTTTTTTTACTTTGAGTTAACGAGAGGGGCTATGCTGAATACAGCCAATGACAGAAATAGAAGTCATTCATGTCATTCATTCTGGTGAACAGGCAGGATTCCAACCACTTTATTTGTGCAAGTATAAACAGGATTGATGTGATAGTCAAGATAGAATGAAAAAAAATAAGATTACTGATTATTGGGATAGGTCCAAAATGCTGGCTTGCCTTCAAATAGGCCCCCTCCTTAGTTCATGTTAAAATGCAAATTCCCAAGGAAGGAAAATACTTACTAATAGGAAATCACATTTAGTGAGCCATTCCCATTTGCCAGCCTTTATGCTGGGAGCTTTACATGAATGATCTCATGTAAATGTCACAACAGACCCAGGACTACTGTCATTTTACAGACAAGGAAACAGCTACAGAAGGCTTCCATCTGTGTGGTGAAGGTTACTCAGTGGTCAGAGGGGCAGCCAGGGTGGGAACCTGGGCAGCCAGGCTCCAAAGTTCATCCTCTTTACTACCACCCTGAACAATCTCCCAAGTGCTTCTATAAGATTCATTCATCCTCTAAAGCTTTATGCCAGATGTGCTGTGGATAAAACAAAACTTAAACACAAAGTATGCAGAGCCAGCTAACAAGTAGAGAGGTGAAGACCTATGCAGAATATTAATAACAAGCTTTTGAATAGAACTATGTTCTAGGCAGTGTTCTAAGCACTTTATGTATATTAATTCATTTAATCCTCAAAACAAAGTTTGTGGTGGATACTATTGTTAACAAATAAACTGAAGCACAGTGAAATTTTAAAGAGTTCATTTGAGCAAGCTACAGTTTGCAAGTCAGGCAGTTCCAAACCAGAGGTGGTTGGGGAGATCCACCAAGAGAACACAATGGGGAGGCTTTTAGAGGACAAGCACAGAAGTAAAGCAAAAAAGATATTTTATTGGTTACAGTTATGCAGTTGCTTTATTCGGTCTATCTTGTTGGAAAGTTTAGTTATATAAGTTCATTGGCTGCTTCTGATTGGTTGAGCTTACATTGTGTTTTTCTTTAATATAGGCACCTAAAGGAAATAGCTCAAGGTAGGTTTTGCTTATGTTTGCAATTCAAGCAAACTCAAGCTCCTAAAGGGATGAAAATGTTGAGCAGAGCAGAAATAAAGACAGTGAGGGTGCTCTGGTACAGATGTGGTCACTCAGCATACTCAGCACTTAGCAATCTTTTGGGTGTGCTTGTTCAGCCAATGGCAAATTCACCCAGCACTTTTTTCATCCTTTCTACAGTGCTTCATTTTAAATTCTTTCATTCAACAGATGATCACTGGGCACCTGCAGTGTGCCAAGCCCAGTAAAGCCCACTGGGATGGAATGATGGAATAAGTTGAGGTACTCATGAGGACCCATGAAGAAACAGAGGACAGGCATTCACACTAGACTAGGGAGGTCAAAAATGGCTGGCTCAGCAGTCTTGAAAGATGGGTGGAAAACTGCCAAGCAGACGAAAGGAAAGACATTTTAGGCAGGAGGATAACCAATCCAAGACCCAGAGTTGTGAAGGAGCATCATATCAAGAGAGCTACATGGGCTGGGTAAGGTGGCTCACACCTGCAATCCCAGCAGTTTGGGAGGCCCCAGTGGGAGGACTGTTTGAGTCAAGGAGTTTGAGACCAGCCTGGGCAACATAGTGAGACCCCTGCCTCTATGAAACATAAAATAAAAATAGAACTACATGGAGCTGAGTGTGGTTGGAGCATTGGTGAGAAGCATGATATATAGGAAGAGAGAAAGAGAATTATGGGTGAGAAGGTAGGGAAGGTAGGCACGGGCTAGATCATGAGGGTGCTTAAGTGATGAACTAAAGAAATTTACATTTTTCCAGCAGACCACAGAAAGCCACTGGAAAAGTTAAACCAGGATGGTGAAGTGGTCTGATTTGCACTTTAGAACTTTGGTGGCTGCAGTGCGAAGGATGATTGGAGGTACAGGTCCAGGTAGAGGCATTCCAAGGCTTTGTAGTGACCAAGGATGGGGATGTGAAGCCCTCAGGAGGGCCAAAGGAATTCAGAGAAAACCCTGTCTCATGTTTTGCTGAAATCAGTTTCTTCTGTGTCTGGCATTTCTGTTGTTCCAAGTATTTCCCCCTATTTA
The DNA here is from genome assembly GCF_000001405.40 of Homo sapiens. Classification (NCBI taxonomy): domain Eukaryota; kingdom Metazoa; phylum Chordata; class Mammalia; order Primates; family Hominidae; genus Homo; species Homo sapiens. The sequence goes on along the minus strand of NC_000005.10, from coordinate 74,950,347 downwards.
ATTTTGTTCCTAAATGTATTACACTTAGATGCAATCTTAGCGTCACTAAAAGTGGCACAGCCGGGCATTAAATGTGTCAGAATATGACACAGGAGGAAGTATCTGGCACCACCCGTGAAAACTCTTGCCTGGATCACTCTCTTAGTCCAACCAGCGGCCACAGGAAATGTGGGGACTAGAGAAACAAGCAACCATAAGGAAGCAATTAGCCAAAATTGGAACATGGGACATTCCACAGGACAAATGATCAGCTTCTTCAAGAAATTGCTGGCATGAAAGAGAAAGAGAGGATAACCATTATGGAATAAAAAAAGATTTAAAGTAATAACACAGTGCCATGTTTGAACCCTCGTTCAAGGAAACAAACTGTAAAAGCCATCTTTCTCCATTGGGGAAACTTGAATATGGACTAGGTGTCAGATGATATTGAGGAATTATTAGGATTTTTGTTAAATGTTGATGATGATGTGGTAGTTATGTTTTTAAAATATATATTGGGCTATTTCAGGTGAAATGACATGGTCTCTGAGATAAATACAATGAAAGAAATTTTATTTAATTGAAATGAAAGAAGATTGGCAAAACATTGATAATTTTTGGAGCCACTAATGAGTACTTAAATTATACTATTAGTCCATATGTTTGAAATTTTCCATAATATAAAGTGTGTGTGTGTGTACGTATGTAGTTAACTCTGCTCATTTTTCCACTATAAAATTAACATAAGCACTTTAAGGAAAACAAAAATATATCTATTAAAGAGTTAATTACATTCCTACCACTCTTCTAATACAACTACAGTCAGTATCCAGTAAATTTCCTTTCTTTTTTTTCTGTGCACACAATTTTTTTTTACATAGTTGGTGATAATTTTATATTTCAAATTTTATTCTTATTTTTTCACATCTTTCATTTTACCAGCTGGGCTTCATAACTGTGGTATGCTGGCTCTTGGGAGCTGACTGTGAGCACTTCCTCCCGGCTCTGCATCCAATGCTGTCACGTTGGTGGCTTGTAATTAATCATGGTGGAAATATTTAAACCATGAAAATCAGTAAACATTACAAGTCAGAGCTTTTTTCCTAAAGAGCTGGTTGTTAAACATTTACCAGCACATGGCTATTTATAACCACGTTTGTTTTTTTTTCTCTTTTTTTGAGATGGAGTCTCGCTCTGTCACCCAGGCTGGAGTGCAGTGGCGTGATCTCGGCTCACTGCAACCTCCGCCTCCCGGGTTCAAGCAATTCTCCTGCCTCAGCCTCTTGAGTAGCTGGGACTGCAGGCACATGCCACCATGTCCAGCTAATTTTTTTGTATTTTTAGTAGAGATGGGGTTTCACCATTTTGGCCAGGCTGGTTTTGAACTCCTGACCTCAGGTGATCCACCCGCCTCGGCCTCCCAGAGTGCTAGGATTACAGGTGTGACCCACTGCACCCGGCCTAAAACTGTAATTTTTAAAAGTGACCTATTAGCCCATGGAGTGATATATTATAGTGAAGTTTAGTTCTTACTATACGCCAGGTACTGAGTACTTTACTCACATTAGCTCACTTAATCCTAACGATGGACCCTATGAGGTAAGTGCTATTATCATCTGCATTTTACAGATAAAGAAATGGAGACAGAAAGAAGTGAAGTAAATTCTCATAGCTAAATGGTAGCAAGCCTAATGGGACTGGAACTCAGGTAGTCTTACTGCGGAACCTTAGCCAACACTGTGCTGTGCTGCTTTGTACCCCTGCTCCAGCCAACGACTGGGCAGCCACCCTCAGAGGCCAACACCACTGCTCCATGTATCATCCAGCAAGCGCAGAGAACTGCAAGGCCAGCATCCATCATCCCCTTTCTGCAACCTGAGGGCATGACTTGAGCCCAGCCCCCAGTAGCAGTTTGGCTTAAGTAGAATTTACATTATCCTCCCGGAATGCTGCTGTTCAACATAGCAAATGCACCCACCTGTTCTGCCTGCTGCTTAGCAGTCATAGCCTTCATAGGGTCACTTTCAGAGTCGAGATGTGTTTGGGGAGGATGGCGGCACACTCCAAGCTGCAAGAACTATTATGACTTCAGAGGCCGGATGAGTTTTGTTTTTTATCAGGGGCAAGGACTTCATGGGTGACTTCTTCCTGCTTCCTCCTGTTTGCAGTGTTTTACGGTCCTGCCTGAGAGACAGGAGTACTAGGCAGGATTCTATATCTGGTGTAGCTGTTCAGTTACTGAGTGATGACAGAGAGAGTCATTTGACCTCAGCAATGATCCTTTTGCAGAGTAGAGGCATCATAAGACCAGAGAGTTTTCAGAGCATTCAGAAGCTCTTGCAGGCAAGATGCTCTGTGTGCAATTTAGCTGACAGCCTACTCTCCTCTCTCGGGAACCAGATTTCACCTTGTTGGGGGCTAGGAGCACCCAAAATTCCTAGTTCTGTGTTCTCATATCACAGTGATAAGTAAGTGGTAGAAACAGCAATGGGGTTATTACTAAAATGTCTTTGAAGCTTGTCAGCCCAGCTTTGGATAAACAGCTGACATTAATCCAAGAATAGACTTTCATCAAGAAGCAGGAGAGGAGAAAGGTTGTCTTGGAGGGAGTGGGGATTTTATTATTATACGACTAAAATCATCAGTGAAACAGAAAAAGTTTACATCCCCTACATGCAAAGCTTTGCAACACCACAGGGACTCAATCAAATAAATGTCATTTTCACTCTAAGACCAAGGGAGAGGCTCTTGTAAACATCTAGGTTCTGTCCAGTTTAGGATTTCCCCTGATCTTTCAAATTCTCTAACCCATTAAAGTACCAAATAGAGATTTGACCAGAATTGGAACACAGCAGCAAATCTTAGGCCCTTTTCGGAGAGTGCTCCTGAGGAAGGACCTCAGGATGGGTAAACGTAGGAGAGAGAGGGAAGAAGGAAAAGAAAGACTCTAAAAGGTTTGAAAGGAGCCATTTACACTTAGGATGTGCTCCTCTCTCTAGACTCAGATTCACCTGAATGTTTTTGATGCAAGGGAAAGAAATAACTGAATGCTTCTGCAATTCCAGATTACTCCTTGGAATTGGAGGTGTGGTGAGGACTGAGACTCTGTGCCCCTACCCAGAGAGAAGTTAAGGAGAACAGATAGATTTGCGGCTTAAAAGGCAGCTGCCCTGGGCTCCCCTGTAGCACACTACTAGTTAATAGAAAGAAGATATAGGTGAAAAGCCCTGAATATAAGGTCTATATTGCCATGACTTGTTCTTTAGATGTTTAAATCATGTCTGATCTCTCCAAGTGGATCCATACCCTATTCTTTGAAATTCCATGTAGCACTAACAACATATTTGGGCATTCTTGGAGCCTCATTTTCCCAGTCTGTGCTCTCAAGTGATGAGGAAAAATTATGAAGACAATACCTTTGCATTTGCCTTTTCTTTTTTGATGAATGACTTTAAAAGACCAAACCTGAGTTCACCTACAGTGCAGTGATGAATTTTACACTTACGTGTGTGAACTTTGCCATCTTGTTCTCACATTGGCTCAGGCACGCAGATCTCTCAATACGTCCACCAAACGACTCTCTTGGGTAGCATGATGGCTGACACATGGCTAGCATTTAGTAGGGGACTCTGAGCAGAATCCTAGGTCATCAATTAGTAATGATTGGCAGGGCTGATATTTGACTACAGCTAATGGCCCTGAGGTCTCCAGGACTCAATGACTCATTCTCACCCTGACCTTTGCACTCTAGCAAATGTGTTTTTGTGTTCAATGGCAGTATTTCTTCAAGTCATCCAGAACAGTACATTATACTCATGCCCTGCTCATTTTATGCATACATTTTTTATTGATAAATAATATTTGTAGATATTTATGGGGCATATGTAATATTTTGAACATGCATATGATGTGTAATGATCAAATCAGGGTATTAGGGTATCCATCACCTCAAACATTTATTATTTCTTTGTATTGGGAACATTTCAACTCTTCTCTTCTAGCTATTTAGAAATATACAGTACACTGTTGTTAGCTATAGACACCCTATGCATTTTAATAGCAGACTGAGTTATGTTCCAAACCACAGGCTGTCTTCTCTCCTCCATATCATTGTAGTTTTTGCTGTGATTTAATTACATAGCAAAATTTAATCTCAGTTGAATTCACTAAGAACCTCTGACTCCCGGCTTGACCCAGGGAGATAGTCCATCCAACCCCTCAAGCCTAAGGTAGTTTTTAGTCAGGGTTACAAGGAAACCCAGTCAAAAGAGGCATAATCTTTCAGCTGCTACTGGAACGGGGAGTGAAGTGTCAGAAGCATCCTGGAAGGAGTGCACTCTTTTCTCAAGAGGACATGTGATGAGTCTTTAAAGTATTAATGTTGTACCCTGCAGGTCAATGGGTCAAACCACTTCCATTAGCTGGGCAGTGTAAGTTTGGCATCAGAGCATAAGGTTTTGATTGAATGCAATGATTTTTCCCTCTCTTATTTCCCTTTGGACCGGTGAGTATTATCACCTGGTGGTGGAATCCTTTCTCCACTTCCTCTTTGTTCTGCTCTCCAAGGGCTCAGTGTATAAGGTTTCAATCTGCTATTGTGATATGCATGCATTTTTTAACCTCAACTCAAGTATGGAGTGCACTGATATACCAGAGCGCCCTCCCCGACCACTGCCTGCCCACACACTTGAAACAAGTTTCAAAATTACACTCTGATAGTTCTCATTTTATGTCTCCACCTCCTCCTCCTCTTTTGTTGAATTTTCAATACCAGTCAAGACAACAGTATTAGTTTTGTGACTTACAAATAGATCACCTCTCATGACTGGTATCTACCCCCACTCCTTCTCTGTGATGTTTTCATCATCTTCTAGGTCTTACTCTTTCTTGTGCAAATTTTTGGATTTATCAATTACTCTGAAATAATTTGGAATTGTCAAATATTTATATATATATATCTGTAAAAATTCCTCAAAGGATTTCTCAAAATATCACAATATTTGATATCCTCTCTGCCACTTCATTTCTTTTCTCTGCCTCAAAGCCCCATATAGAAAACATTCTGAAAATATAATCACCAAAATGCAAATTCTATCCTTTCTGGAAAGTGGAATTGCAAGTAATTTTTTAAAGTGTATATTTTCTAATACCTACATATTTTTGTATAAAAATAGTATGTTTTAAAATGACCATCACTATATTTAATTAAGAGGTATTAGAGCTCAGAGCGTGATACCCCAAAATTTGGTACTTTGGCATAGTGGGTACTTTGGACTGAAGGAGGATGGAAGGGCCTCAGAAGTTAAGGTGTTCAAATATGATATTCTGGCATGTTAACTGTTTAAGCTAAAAACACCTGAAAAACAGCAGATGCCAGAAGATCACTTTGACCTTCATGCTGTTTCTTAAGAGCAGAAGATGAAATTCCAGTGTGGAAGACACTCTCCCTGTACTAGGAGGAAAGACAGCATCCTTATCTTCAGGGATGAAAAGTTAAAACCAAGAGAATACTGTAGACTTTGATAGAATCACTCTTATCTTTTAAAGCCTCTCCACACAAGTTAGTTGCTTCTTCACAACTTGTAATTCCTTGTCCAATTCAGTATATAAGTAACTCACTCTAACTGCTTCTTTGGGTCTTCATTTATGCATGAGGGCTCCCCTGCCATGTAAAACTTGTATTAAATAAATTTGTATGTTTTTCACCTGTTAATCTATATTATGTTAATTTAATTCTCAGACCCAGCCAAGACCCTAAGAGGGTGGAAGTGGAATTTTTCCATCCCTAGAAGAGCAAAAAATTCCCTCTGACCTTCTCCCATCTTCCTTCACTTTCCCTCATTTCTCTCCTGAAGTAAGCCATAGAAAGTAGAACTCCTCTCCCTCAAAGCAAGAAATATTACTGTCTGACCTTCTCCCTTCTCCCCTAAAGGCTGCGAAATGACAGGTGTTTTGCCCTCGACCCCCAAAGGAAGAAATGTTACAGATTGGCCAGGAAGAATCTGCACAAACAGGTCTTAGTGGGTTCCCTCTCAGTTCGTTCTCATTCAATCGTTTGTCCAATCACATTTCTACATGCTTGTCCATTCTCCGTGAAAGAAAACCATAAAACTACACAGTTTTCCTTGGATCTTTGGGTCTTCATTTCAAAAAGCTCCCATGTCACATAAAACTTTGTTAACAAATGTGCTGTGCGTCTCTCTTGCTCACCTGCCTTTTTTTGTAGGAGTATCTGCCATGACCCTGGTGATGGGTAGTACCTTTTCAACCCTACAGAGGCTGCTAGAGCTTGTAAAATGCTGGGAAATACTTTCTCAGAGTCCTACTAATGTTTTAGTTTCTTCTCCTAAGTTATTCTCATTCTTTGGGAAAGATACTTAACTTTTTCTATGGTTTGTTACTGTGGGTTTATAATTACATTTATCTTTTCCTTTTCCAAAAAATAAAACAAGTGTGTTTAATTAATGAAGTTTTTCTTATTAAATATTCTCAAATTGAGTGAACTAGATATGGATTAGTGTTTACAAATGAATTCACAAGCAAAGGAAGTTTACAGATAGAACTCAGTTATCTGCCTTTGAAAGACATCACTGTTGTGTTTTTTTTTTTTCTTTTACCATCCTTTTCTTCTCTCACGGCTATCTTTCCATTCCCTTAAGGTGTGTATACACACATATGTAATCAGTTTGTTAGTGTCAATCATCAAGAATCAATTCATCAAATGGCCAACAAGTGATAGGAAACTGTTGCTCGTAGTTCTTATATTTAGGTAACAAATTATGTCTGTCTTCCCTGAGGGATTCATAATTCAGCAAAGCTGTCAAGCCTCAAAGGCATACATTGAGTTTGTGTTTATTCTTTGTCGTATCTAGACTAATTGGCTGATTTTTAGTTGTATATTGGCAGTAAAATTTTTTATTAAGTATAATCTATATGGACTTTGTGTTCTACTTAACTGTTACCCATTTCAATTTTTAGATAACAGTTGGTTATTGTATGTACATTTCTTTATTATTCTGTCAAAATAAAGGCATCAGCCGGGTGCGGTGGCTCATGCCTGTAATCCCAGCACTTTGGGAGGCCGAGGCGGGCGGATCCCTTGAGGCCAGGAGTTCGAGACCAGCCTGGCCAAAATGTTGAAACCCCATCTCTCCTAAAAATAAAAAAATTAGCCGGGCAAGGTGGCACATGCCTGTAATCCCAGCTGCTCAGGAGGCTGAGGCATGAGAATTGCTTCAACCTGGGAGGTGGAGTTTGCAGTGAGCCGAGATCGCGCCACTGCCCTCTAGCCTGTGTGACAGAGCGAGACTCTGTCTCTAAATAAATAAATAAATAAAGGCATGGACTACAACCTGTGGATTATTACTAGATCAAGTTAATTTTTCAACCTTCAAATATATCCTCTTTATATAATTTGTGACCCTGCCTTGAAGATTTCCTAAGGGAGGAAGTATGTGGACCTAAGAAAGGAATAGGTAAAGGCACAGAGTGGTACATTTCATTGTGTGCCAAGTCTTCCTTCACTCACTCCCTTGTAATGCTGAGCACTCTATTGTTACCTTGTAAGCATTTGAAGCTCTCCATACTCACATCCTGGTGTAGAAGGCAGTTAATGGAGCCTGCAGAGAGCCAGTCAGTGAAAATTGTCTTATGCTTCACCTTTGCCAACCGCTGAATTTATTGAAATGTTGAATGAAATTTAGTAATAGAAGCAGAATGTGAATGAATATCTCCCCCAACAGAATCTTTTTAATAAGCAGATCTCTCCACTTATTAGAACCCCTACCCCAAAGCTCCCTCCAGTGCGACTCCTTTCTGTGGCTGGGCGCTCAGCACCATCGTGCTGTTTCCTGTGCCTCACCTCTGTATTCTTGTCTAATTCTGAAGCTTTCAGGGCTGTCTCCCTTTTCCTGCATGTTTAACTGTTCCATTTCTATTCTCTCAGAGTTAAACGTATGTGAAGGTGATCTTGAGATCTGAGTTGACCACACACTTAGGAGCCAAGAGTGTGATATGGCAGCTATAGAAGTTCTGAAGAAGTATACCATGCTTGGCTGGGCACGGTGGCTCACGCCTGTAATCCCAGCACTTTGGGAGGCCAAGGCGGGTGGATCACCTGAGGTCGAGAGTTCAAGACCAGCCTGACCAACATGGAGAAACCCCATCTCTACTAAAAATACAAAAATTAGCCCAGCGTGGTGGTACATACCTGTAATCCCAGCTACTCAGGAGGCTGAGGCAGGAGAATCGCTTGAACCCAGGAGGTGGAGGTTGCAGTGAGCTGAGATGGTGCCATTGCACTCCAGCCTGGGCAACAAGAGTGAAACTCCATCTCCAAAAAAAAAAAAAGAATACCATGCTTGGGTCATATGGCTGCCCTCACTGTGCACAAATTACTAATGCTACATGGCCCACCTCCCAACTAAATTATTACTTTGGAGGAGGCCTGACAATCAAAGTTGGCTTGTATGAGGCAAGTACATGTGCCCAAAATAATCAAGAAAAGGGTTATAGTGACTGGCAAATTCTGAAGGGTTCTTTTCTGTTCATTTCCTAATTCCTCCATATCATTCCACATCTTGAATCTTCACACCTTTTCAGCCTTTCCACACATGCACTAGATCCCTTCTCACCCCTCTTACTCAAGACCTCACACTAGAAATTCTCCCTTCTCTCTCCTGTATTATCAATTTTTTCCTCTTGACTGAACAATTTTCACCAATATAAAAACAGGCTGTCATATTTCCCATATTCTAAAACCCTCTCTTGATCTCACTTCTCCCTCCAAACATTGCCCTAATTTTCTCCTCCTTACAAGCGAGTTCCTTAGAATATATATATATATTTCAATTCTAAGAGTGATAAAAAAAGAATAATAATAATATATACACTGTTTCCAAATTCTTTAGAACCCACTTCAGTCAGGTTTCGCCCCCACTATCTCACTGAAGCTACTTTTTTCAAGGTCTCCAACGATCTCTCTACATTCTTAATCCAATGGTTATTTCACAGTTTTCACTTTACATACCCCATCACCAGCATTTAACACAGTTGATCACTTGAAATAATTGCTTCTTTTAGCTGTTTTTCTTCCTATTCTTCTTCTCAATCTCTTTTGCTAATTTCTTCTTATCTCTTTTGGTGTCTAAAGGTTGGAGAGTCCAGGGTTCAGACCTTGGTCCTCTCTTATCTATGTCCACTCCCTCCCTTGGTAATGTCAGCTGCACTCACTGCTTTAAATTTAATTTTTCAGCTATAAGTGAATGGTTCTTAACATTTATATTTCCAGCCCAGAACTCTACTTTGAACTCCAGACCTTTGTGTCTATTGCCTACATATCTCAAATTTACCACAGCTGCATGAGCTTCTAATAGCCCTCTGAACCAGCTGCTCCTGCAGTCTTCTCTTTCTTAGCTAGTGGCAACACCATACCTCTCACTGCATAGGCCAACCACCTTGGTGTCATTCTGATGTTTTTCTTCTCCCACACCTTGGATTGGGTCTACCAGCAAATACCATCAATTCTACCTTCAAAATATACGTCCTAAATATGATTATCCCCACCGCCATGCCCTGCCCAATCCAAGTCTTCATCATTTCTTGCCTGGATTACTGCATCATTTTTAATTTAATTTTTTTATTTGTATAAATGTAACGGGTACAAGTGTAATTTTGCTACATGAATATATTGCATAGTGGTGAAGTCTGGGCTTTTAGTGTACATCATGCCCATTAATGTACATCATACCCATTAACTAATTCCTCATCATCCACCCCGCTCCCAGCCCTCCACTCTTCCAAGTCTCCAGTGTCTATCATTTCATACTTTATGTCCATGTGTACACATTATTTAGCTCCCACTTGTGAGAACATGCAACATTTGTCTTTGTCTGACTTGTTTCACTTAAGAAAATGGTCTTCAGTTCCATCCATATTACAACAAAATATATTATTTCATTCTTTTTAAATAGCTGAATAGTATTCCACTGGGTATAGATACCACATTTTCTTTATCCAATCATCTGTCGATGGACACTTAGGTTGCTTCTATATCTTTGGTATTGTGAGTAGTGCTGCAATAAACATATGAGTGCAGGTATCTTTTTGATAGAATGATTTCTTTTCTTTTGTGTAGATACCCAGTAGTGGGATTGCTGGATTGAATAGTTCTATTTTTAGTTCTTTGAGAATTTTCCATATTGTTTTTCATAGAGGTTGTAATAATTTGCATTTCTACCAACAGTGTGTAAGTGTTCCCTTTTCTCCCCATCCTCACCAACATATGTTGTTTTTGTCTTTATTAATAGACATTCTGACTGGTGCAACATGGTATCTCATTGTGGTTTTAATTTGCATGTCTCTAATTATATGAGTGATATTGAGCATTTTTTCATATGTTATTAACCATTTGTATATCTTCTTTTGAAAAATGTCTTTTCATGTCCTTTGTCCACTTTTTAATAAGGCTATTTGTTTTGTTGTCGTTGTTGAGTTGAGTACCTTGTAAATTCTGGACATTTGTCCTTTGTTGGATGCATAGTTTGAAAATATTTTATCTCATTCTGCAGGTTGTATGTTCATTCTGTTGATTATTTCTTTTGCTGTGCACAAGTTTTTTGTTTAAGTCCCATTTGTCTATTTTTGGTTTTGTTGCTTGTGCTTTTGAAATCTTAGTCATGAATTCTTTGCCTAGATCAATGCCCAGAAGAATTTTCCCTAGGTTTTCTTCTAGTATTTTTATAGTTTTAGGTCTTACATGAGCCTTTGAGCCATTTGGAATTGACTTTTTTATATAGTGAGAGACAGGGATCTCATTTCATTCTTCTGTATATGGCTATCCAGTTTTCCCAACACCATTTTTTGAAAAGGTTGCCCTTTCCCAAGGGTATTCTTTCGTCAAACTTTGTCAAAGATCACTTGGCTTTAGATATACGGCTTTATTTCTTAGTTCTATTTTGTTCCATTGATCTGTGTGTCTATTTTTATACCAGTACCATGCTGGTTTGGTTACTGTAGCCTTGCAATATAACTTGAGGTCAGGTAAAGTGAGCCTCCAGCTTTGTTCTTTTTACTTAGGATTGCTCTTGCTATTTGGGCTCTTTTTTTTTATTATTCATTATGAATCAGGATTTTTTTAATTTTATGAAGAATGACAGTATTTTGATTGGAATTACATTGAATCTATAGATTGCTTTGGGCAGTATACTCATTTTAATGATATTAATTCTTCCAATCCATGAACATGGGAGGTTTTTCCATTTGTTTGTGTCATCTAAAATTTCTTTCCTCAGTGTTTTTTGGGTTTTTTTGTAGAGGTATTTCACCTCCTTGGTTAAATACATTCCTAGGGTGGTTTTTTTTTGCTGTTGTTGTTTGTTTTGTTTGTTTTGTTTTGTTTTAGCTATTGTAAAAGGCATTGCCTTCTTGATTTGGTTATCAGCTTGATCATTACTGGTATATAGAAATGCTACTGATTTTTGCAGGTTGATTTTTTATCATAAAACTTTACTGAATTTATTCATAAAATCTAAGAGTTTTTTGGTGGAGTCTTTGGGGTTTTCTAGAAATAAGATCATATCATCAATGAACAGGAATAATTTGACTTCCTCTTTTCTAACTTGTATGACTTTTATTTTTTTCTCTTGCCCAATTTCTCTGGCTTTGAGTAGTATGTTGAATATAGGAATGGTGAAAGTAGGCATTATTTTCTTGTTCCAGCTCTTAGATGGAACACATTCAACTTTTTCCCATTCAGTATGATGTTGGCTGTGGGACTGTCATACACAGCCTTTATTATTTTGAGGTATGTTCCTTCTATGCTTAGTTTGAAGGCTTTTATCATGAAGGAATTTCAGTAAATGCTTTTTCTGCATCTATTGAGATGATCATGTGTGGTTTTTGTCCTTCTCTTTATGTGATGAGTCACATTTATTGATGTGCATATGTTGAAACAACCTTGCCTCCCTAGTGTAAAACCACTTGATCATGGTATATTATCTTTTTGATGTGCTGTTGGATTTGGTTTGCTAGTATTTTGTTGGGGATTTTTGCATCTATATTTACCAGAGATATTGGTCTTTAGTTTTTTTGTTTTTTTTCTCTTATGACCTTGTCTAGTTCTGGTATTTGAGTGGTACTGGCCTCATAGAATGAGTTAGGAAAAATTTCCTCTTAGATTTTTTTAAAATCTAAGCAGAGGCTGGGCACAGTGGCTCACGCCTGTAATGCCAGCACTTTGGGAGGCTGAGGCAGGCGGATCAAGAGGTCAGAAGTTCGAGACCAGCCTGACCAACATGGTGAAACTCCGTCTCTACTAAATTACAAAAATTAGCTGGGAGTGGTGGCATGCGCCTGTAATCCCTGCTACTCAGGAGGCTAAGGCAGGAGAATTGCTTGAACCTGGGAGACAGAGGTTGCAGTGAGCACTCCAGCCTGGGTGACAGAGCGAGACTCAGTCAAAAAAAAAAAACAAAAAACAAAAAACACCAAAAGCAAGCAGGAATAGCTATACTTACATCACATAAAACAGACTTTAGCTGGGCGCGATGGCTCACTCCTGTAATCCCAGCACTTTGGGAGGCTGAGGCAGGTGGATCACGAGGTCAGGAGATCGAGACCATCCTGGCTAACACAGTAAAACCCCGTCTCTAATAAAAGTACAAAAAAAATTAGCCAGGCATGGTGGCGGGCGCCTGTAGTCCCAGCTACTCGGGAGGCTGAGGCAGAAGAATGGTGTGAACCCAGGAGGTGGAACTTGCAGTGAGCTGAGATCACACCACTGCACTCTAGCCTGGGCGACAGAGCGAGACTCCGTTTAAAAAAAAAAAAAAAAAAAGCAAAAACAAAAAAAACAGACTTTAGGGCCAGGTGTGGTGGCTTACACTTGTAATCCCAGCACTTTGGGAGGCCGAGGCAAGTGGATCACTTGAGGTCAGGAGTTCAAGACCAGCCTGGCCAGCCTGGTGAAAACCTGTCTCTATTAAACATATAAAAATTAGCTGGGCATGGTGGCAGGCACCTGTAATCCCAGCTCCTCGGGAAGCTGAGGCAGGAGAATCACTTAAACCTAGAAGGCGGAGGTTGCAGTGAGCCAAGATTGCACCACTACACTCCAGCCTGGGTGACGGAGCAAGACTCTATCTCAAAACAAAACAAAACAACACACACACACACACACACACACACACACACACTTTAAATCAAAAACAATTTAATAAAAACACACAAAGAAGGTCATTATATAATGATAAAGGAATGAATTCAGCAAGAGGATATAACAATCCTAAATATATATGCACCCAACACCAAAGCACCCAGGGTCATAAAACAAATATTAGCAGACCCATAGAAAGAGATAGACAGCAATACAGTAGTGGGGGACTTCAATACCACAGTCATAGCACTAGACAGGTCATCGAGACTGAAAAATAACAAAAAAAAAAGGACTTAATTGTTCTTTTGACCAAATAGACTTAGAATGTTATAGACTAATCTGCACACCAACTGTAGAATATATGTTCTTATCAGCACACGGAACATTCTCCAAGACAGACCATATTTTAGACCACAAAACAAGTCTCAACAAATTTTTAAAAATCAAAATCATATCAAGTATCTTCTCAAACTACAGCAGAATAAAACTAGAAATCAACAACAAGAGGAATTTTTGAAACTATTCAAATACATGGAAATTAAACAACATGTTCCTGAACGATCACTGGGTCAATGAATAAATTAAGGTGTAAATTTAAAACTTTTTTGAAATGAATTAAAACAGAAACACAACATACCAAAACCTCTGGGGTACAGCAAAAACAATGCTAAGAGGGAATTTTATAGCATTAAATGCCTGCATCAAAAAAAAAATAGATCAAAAATTAACAACTTCATGTTGCATCTCAAGGAACCAGAAAAACAAGAACAAACCAAACCCAAATTTGCCAGTAGAAAAGAAATCACAAAGATCAGAGCCGAAGTAAATGAAATAGAGACACTAGTGTTATTCCCCGATAACTGTGAGTCTATCTCAGCATTTGCTTATTGGAAGACCCAAACTGACACCAAGTTAGTCTGTAGATTAAATGATACATCTGGCAGAGTGCCCACCCAAGAATTAAATTTTGTCTAAGTTCATCTTGCCATCTTCCTAGCGACAAAATAATAGAAATGCAAATAATCCCAAATAGTGAATGATCTGAGACACTACCTAGATTTAGGTCTCGGGTCCTGACTGTACACATTAACATAGGATTAGTTAGCTTTTTCTAAGTGTGCCAGCACGTCAGAGGTGCTCAGGGAATACGTTGTAAGGGACATAGATTTCTAACCCTGTCAGTAAAATGGAAATGCCAAACTGTCACTTTATCTCCTTCTGGTAATTTGGTTGACTAATTCGATGTTAGATTCTGGTATCTTGACAAGCTTAGCGTTAGCCAGTTACTGGGATGATTTCCAATGCTTAAGGCAGTAATGCCTTATTTCTGCTTTAGCAGTAATGTGACCAGTGCATAACACTCATTAAGGGGTAATGCAGCATTTAATTAATGAGGGGAACTTTCCCCTGAGAGTGCATAGAGGAGATAGCCCAGAGCACAGAGGAGTGTAAGAATCTGGAAGTGACCTGACACTCTGCGCCAAAGCCGCATGGGGTTTATTGGACCCCGGCTCATCCTGGCTTCCTGCGGTGTTGGCAAATTGAAGCCCTCCGGAAGGCATCTTTGGTTTAACCAGCTCAAACTGTTTTGCTCTTTCTGATCTCCACAGAGGATGAGAGGAGCAGGCAGAAATCAGTTGAATTTGTTTTGTGGTAAGAGTTTCTACCAGGAAATGACTGCTCTGGGTTTCCACCAGCTTCAGCAGGAGGGTTAGTTAAATCATTATCCTGCTGGCTGGCATTTAGTCAGTGGACGCCTTTAATCCACAAGGCAGTTTCTAAAGTGTTCAGCTGAAAACAAAGATGCTCTTTACCCCACTCTCTAATGGGGTCCCAACCAGGGTCATTAACTGTCAACCAGCAGATACCGGGTCAGCTTCAGAGGAACTTACATTAGCTGTGCCATTTCCTTTGGAGCTTGACTGGTAGTCATTGACTTTTTTCACCTCATTTCCCGTAGCACTGAAGCAGTTCCGTTGGTAATAGCTGACTCAGGAAACCCAGGGAGCTGCCTAGTGGTGATAGCCATGCCTTGTTTTCCAGAAGCACAAGCCACAAATGGACATATGCCATCTACTAATTGTACTATTGCTGATTTGTATTTATTACATCTCAGAGTAAGTAACAGGCTATGCAGAGCCCCCTAGTGTTTGACTCCACAGAAATGGTATTGATCTGTCAAAGTTTCTTTACTTATCAGTATGAAACAGTATTGTGTAAGCTCTTTGCTCCAAAAGGCCATTATGAAAAGAGGCAATAACAACATGGTACGCCAGACGTGATATGCCGATGCCTCTTGCTTTGCGAGAAAAGACTAGATGGCGAGGTCCCTAGTAGACACAAAGGTTCTGGCCAGGATTTTTAATGGCCAGTTGTATAAATAATTAAGTGAGGAAGAGTAGAGAGTATCTTAGTGTATTCATTTCCTGCTGCCGTTGTAACAAGTGACCACAAATGTAGTGCCTTAAAGCAATACAAATTAACATACAGTTCTAGAAGTCAGAAATCTGACTGGGTCTCACTGGACTAAAACGTGTCAGCACGGCTGTGTTACTTCTAGGGGTCTAGGGGACATCTGTTTCCTTGCCTTTTCCAGCTTCTAGAGGCTTCCTGCATTCCTTGGCTTATGACCCCCAGTCAGCAATCCTCTGCGGCTGTAGTCACATCTTCTCTGACTCTCCTGCCTCCTTCCTTCCCTCCTAAGGACCCTTGTGATAATATTGGGCCCACCAGATAATCCAAAATAATCTCCTCCAATGCAAATCTCTTAATTTAATCACATCTGCAAAGTCCCTTTTGCCATGTAAGGAACCACATTCCCAGGTCCCAGGGAAAAAGACATGGATAGCTGTGGAAAGCCATCATTCTGACTACCACACCTATTAAGGTAATTGCTGTTCTTCCCTCTCAACATTCGAGTTCTTTCAAGTTCCTTTTGCCATGGGAAGACAAAATAGCAATGTAGATATGGTCCCTCAGAGACACAGAATCTCATCTTCCATTGTCAAATGCAGTTTCAATTACTCAGGCAACGGCCATTTTAAAGGACCATAAAAGATAATGGCACCTCCTGGCTGAACAGATGGCCTCTTAGCACAGTTCCGAGTTAGATGTGATAACAGTTTCACGGCTGGGAAGCAAGTGGGGCAAGAGATGGGACTGTTGGAAGGGTAAGATGGTCTCTGAATTGAATCCTCTGCCTTAATGTCCCCTGAGTTTCTGGGTTATCTGGAAAACCCTCCTAGGAGAAGTCAAGGAGCCTCAAAAAGCAAGAACACCCTCTTCTTTAACTGCCCTCTCCACCCTGAAAAGTTGAGATGTGACAGAATGAAAAGAGCACCAGCTTTGGAGTCAGACAGAAAGGCGTTCCAATCTCTGTGTGACCTGCAGCATGTTTCTTAATCTCTCTGGGCCTTATTGTCCTCACCTGTAAAATGAAAATAATATCTACCTCTTAGGTATCTGATATTTATATCAGAAACAATGTATGTAAAGTTCAAAGGATGCTGTTGGGCTTATGGTAGGTGCTCAAAAATAGTAAGTACTATTATTATAGTAGTAGTCGTCGTCATTGTTGAGGATCTGTTGTTACAACAGGAAGTAGAGATTGGAGTCAAAAGTCTGCCATGAAAATTTTAACTGGTTGATATTTCTCACATTAGTACCACCACTAGACATTTGACCAAAGCACGTGAGAAAACTTAAGGGCAAGGATGATAAACAAAAATGACTCTCTCTCTCTACACTTCCACCCCCGATTTCCTGTGCTCTCCCTATCCAAACACTCCTCTGGAAGAAGTCTTGATGGTACCTTCTTAGGCTGTAAGGAAAAGAATTGAACACAGTAATATCCTCAGCCTTGAAGATGTTCAGATTTACCCAGTGGGAAACAATTTCATTCTTCAAATTATTTGCTGAATTAATCTAATTTTATTCCCTTCCATCAAATTTTCAGGTTGGAAGAGGTCCCATCTGCTCTTCCACTGTTGAGAACTAACTGATATCGAATCATATTGGTGGAGCTCAAAATGTCACTGGCAATGCCGACGGGAGGTCGTGACTTTAGATCTACAGCCACACGGGCTTACCTTCAACCCAGCCCACTCAGTTCCTGGCATAGATGGACAAGTCAAAGACTCCCCTAAAGAGTGGGCCCTTTCGTCTGGCAAAAAAAAATAGATGAGAGTAGAATGTCTGCCTCTTGAGGATTAACCTGCTCCAAAATAAGCCCAAGGAAGCTAACTGACCACACTTAATTCCTTCCACTAAATTTACCAACCGGAAACTCCCCTTCCTCCCAAGGGCAAGAATGTGTGGAGGTGATGGGATAGGCTAGGAAAGTTATGGTAGCAGGAATTCCTTTCTCTCTATCAAAACCTGAGTCCAGGATCACTCACAGTGGGGGGAAGCCAGCTGCCATGTCATGATACTCTCAAGAAACCCTACGGAAATGTCCTTGTAGTAAGGAATTGCAGCCTCCTGCTAACAACCAGCACTAGCTTGCCAGTCATATGTGTGAGCCACTTTGGAAACAGATCCTAGTCCCAGCCAAGCCTTCAAATGCCAGAGCCTATTGTGAGGGATGGGGTTTGTCAGGCAGATCAGATCTGCATTTGACAAGCAGCAAATCAATGAAGTAGATACCTGCACAGCTGAAAGTGGAGGGAGAAGATACAATTGATGTGTTGGGCAGCAAAAAAGGAGGCATCTATTTAAAAAAGAGTACTTGCTAGCCAGGCATGGTGGCGCATGCCTGTAATCCCACCTGCTTGGGAGGCTGAGGCAGGAGAATCACTTGAACCCAGGAGGTAGAGATTGCGGTGAGCTGAGATCGTGCCATTGCACTCCAGCCTGGGCAACAAGAACGAAACTCCATCTCAAAAAAAAAAAAAAAAAGTACCTGCTACTTGAACCCAGAACTGTGTTCTACAGACAAAGACACATTCTCAGTTAGAAAACTACAATTTCGTTCCAGGATACGCTAACAAGTAGAGTTTAGTTTTCTTTATTCTTTCATTTTCTTTAATTTATATGTCTGTGTACAAGCACGCTGCTTTTGTTCTTGGGCTTATTAAATTATTTTTACTGAATGGCCAGTGATATGTTTTGATTGGCATCAAATGGAAATGGGGTGGGGAGAAACCGTTTTTGTTAAAATGCTCCTTTTCTCCATTAATGGCATGGAAATTTAACTTTAATTTTTTTAATGAAAAGTCTCACATATTTATTACTGAACCCAGGCAACCAATGCATTCATAACAGATTCAGAGAGAAAAAATGTATGCCAAATAAAACATGTCCAACTCTCCAGATAATGGTGACATTTTCAGCTTGATATGGTAATGTGATTGTGACGCTCAGACAACATAAATATGTGTGCCATCTCATGTGCAATTACTAATAGACCCAGCTTAGTTCTTCTCCAATGTCTCCTTTTGGAGTTGTACCTGATTTTATTACCAGTTTTCATCTGAATCCACTGGGGAATGGAACGGTTTTGCTTTTGTTTCTTGGCCATGAATCGCTTAATTCTGAAAGTCTTGTGAGAAGATCTGGTGAGAAGCACAGTCAAGTACACACCACGATGGCGGAGAAAAAAAGAGAAGGGGCTTGACACTTTTTTTTTTCTTTTGAGACAAAGTTTTGCCTTGTTGCCCAGGCTAGAGTGCAATGGTGCCATCTCGGTTCACTGCAACCTGCGCCTCCTGGGTTCAAGCAATTCTCTGGCCTCAGACTTCCGTAGAGCTGGGATTACAGGTGCCCGCAACCAAACCCAGCTAATTTTTGTATTTTTGGTAAAGACGAGATTTCACCATGTTAACCAGCCTGTTCTCAAACTCCTGATTATTGTTTCTGCTATTAGCTGTCAGTCCTCTTCACTGTGGTATGAACAAGATTATTTTGTGTGTGTGTGAAACTGATGGGGATGGTCTGCCTGCCGCTCCGTGCATCACTTTCAACACTGTCTTGTCCCAAATCAAAATGAGTTCTTCATTTACAAACTGTTGATTTCTTTTGGGCATCGTCTCCATAACCTTTTCATAAAACATCAATGATTTCTTTATTCCTCTACCCAAACTTTACCATAAGTATTCTTTTTTTGAGACAGTATCTTGCTCCATCACCCATACTGGAGTGCAGTGGCATGATCACAGCTCACTGCAGCCTCGACCTCCCAGGCTCAAGCCATCCTCCCACTGCAGACTCCATAACAGCTGGCCCTACAGTCATGTGCCACCATGCCCAGCTAATTTTTGTATTCTTTGTAGAGAAAGGGGTTTCACCATGTTGCCCAGGCTGGTCTTGAATACTTGGGCTCATGTGACCCACCTGCCTCGGCCTCTGAAAGTGCTGGGATGCCAGGCACGGTGGCTCACGCCTATAATCCCAGCACTTTGGGAGGCCGAGGCGGGCAGATCACGAGGTCAGGAGATCAAGACCATCCTGGCTAACACGGTGAAACCCCGTCTCTACTAAAAATACAAAAAATTAGCTGGGCGTAGTGGCGGACACCTGTAGTCCCAGCTACTCAGGAGGCTGAGGCAGGAGAATGGCGTGAACTCGGGAGGTGGAGCTTGCAGTGAGCCGAGATCACACCATTGCACTCCAGCCTGGGTGACAGAGCGAGACTCTGTCTCAAAAAAAAAAAGAGTGAGCTACAATTAAAGGCTTTGCCAGTCTCATTACATTGGAAAGATTTTTCTCTCATGTGTACTTCCTGTTTTTGTGTGAGTAATGAAGAATGGGGGGAATTATTCCCATACTTATTAGAAATATGGGTTTGGGGCCTACAAGAAATTCTTTGGGATGCTGAAACTGAGAAAGCATCGTTGATAGACTTCTCAACTTGATTACCAATTTTCCTTTCAGGCTGAAATGTGTGCATTTCAGTCAGATGAGAATGAAAGCTTGATCCAAGCTGATCTTTAATAGGCTTGTTTCCAGCATACCTTTGATCATATTGGTCTGTACTACCCATCAACTTTTTTATTTCTGTCATGGGTGCTTCCTGGCCATTTCTTTCATCTTCTTGCCACTGAAACACAAAGTCATGAATATCTTTCTCAATTTCCTGGAAGCAAAAATCTCCAATGTGATGACTTGCAAGTCTTTACAATGTGCCTATGTGGAACACTTCTGTATTGCCTTGCCCTGTTGATCACAACTTCTTCATCATGCATTTGGAAGAGATATCCGGGGAGATCAGGTTCCTATAATTCTCCAACATCACGTCTCTGTATAAAGTCCTCTGGGCAGGGTTCAGGCATTTCCACTTCTCCTGAGATAATTCTATGGCCACATCCCTGAATGTCAATAGACCCTGAGGAAGAGCCATCCCTGACCCCTTTGCTTTCCTCTTCCTCTTCCAGGTTTCTTCCTCGTGTACCAAGAGTCTTTAGAAGTCAATCCACCGTGGTCTGATCTTCACTCCACGGGATCCACTTCCTGATCCAATTTAACTTTAATCTTTACATGCTTTATATTTTTAATGAAGAAAGTGAGGATTTTTTTTTTTTTTTGAGACAGAGTCTCACTCTGTCACCCAGGCTGGAGTGCCGTGGTGTGATCTCTACTCACTGCAACCTCCACCGTAAGTGATTCTTGTGCCTCGGCCTCTCGAGTAGCTGAGACTACAGGCATGTGCCATCATGCCCAGCTAATTTTTGCATTTTTAGTAGAGAGATGGGGTTTTGCCATGTTGGCCAGGCTGGTCTTGAACTCCTGACCTCTAGCGACCTTCCCGCCTTGGCCTCCCAAAGTGCTGGGATTATAGGCGTGAGCCACCGCACCCAGACTGAAAGTGAGGAATTTAGAATAAGCTCAGACTCCTGTAGGACCATAGTACCTTAAATCCTAAAGATGAAAACTCAAAGAGTAGAAATAATAATAATAAATTATACTGATTCTTGTGATTTGGGTTTTTGTGTGTCAGTTGTTTGGGCAGTTAACCCATCATCTTCAAGAAAACTGATAGCAAATGTCCATATAATGTTGAAGGTCTAAACCCTGAAACAAACAAAAAACAAACAGCAATGACAATGAACCTGGCATCAAGAAAGATGCTGGGCTCAGTGAGATGGCTCATGTCTGTAATCCCAGCACTTTGGGAGACCAAGACAGGAGGATTGCTTGAGCCCAGGAGTTTGAGATCAGCCTGTCCTACATGGCAAAATCCCAAATCTAAAAAAAAAAAAAAAAAAAAAAAAAAAAAAAATTAGCCTGTTGTGGTAGCATGCACCTGTAGTCCCAGCTACTGGGGAGGCTGAGGTGGGAGGATCGTATGAGCCCAGGAGGTCAAGGCTGTGATAAGCCATGATTGCACCACAGCACTCTAACCTGGGAGACAGAGCTAGACCCTATCAAGAAAGAAGAGAAGAGGAAGAGGAAGAGAAGAGGAGAGGAGAGGAGAGAAGAGAAGAGAAAGAAAAAGAAAAAGGAATGGAGGGAGAAAGGGAGGGAGGGAGGAAGGAAAGGAAGGAAGGAAGGAAAAAGGAAGAAGGAAAGGAGGAAGGGAAGGAAAGAAAGAAAAGGAAGAGGAGGAGAAGGGGAAGAAGGAGAAAAAGAAGCCAAAACTCTGAAGGCCTCCTAACATTATAACTGAAGGGACCCTTTGTGAACCAGAGAAATAGGCAAAGACAAAACAGAATATCCAGAAAGGAAAGAAAACAAACAAGAGAAAAATATAGTAAAGAAAAATAGCTCCTGATTGTATGCTACATGCTAAACAAATGTTCCTAACATCATCTTTGGAAAACGATCTGAGTTTGAGCCAGCCACAAAGTGCCACTGTTGGTTAGTTAGAACGTCATCCATTAGCTCAGATGGGAGGATGAGGTACTAAAGCTTTGATAACTGCAGATGGAGTTTATATTTTACCATATCACCAACATACCAACAATGCTGTCAAGCAAACAAGGGTGATTAGACTGGAAAACATCAACAAATGGCTTAAATACATTATCTCATCTTCCACATGTTTCTACCAAAGAAGGAAGACAATTGCTATAGAACCAATAATAACAACCAATCTGGGATGTCACAAGTCTATCTTTCAAAACTTGGAAAAGTTTTGTTGCTTCATATAGAAGCATGCTCTAGCTTCTTTAGCAAAAGCTACACTCTATTTCATCTAATTCCTCCAGAATTTGTATGCACGGCAAAGCAACTTGGGTACTGTGGTTCAGGAAGATGCCATCATATTTTGTTTATGAATTCTCAAGCCTCACAATGTTAGGAATGACAGTCGGAGAGGTAATTTCCACGAGTTAGACTTTCCAGTGCGCAAACCATTTCAGTGGATGCGAGTGCAGTGTTTATCTGCCTTTTCTCATAAAGTCATATAAATGTAAATTTCATGGTTTTCTGTATTTCCCTGCATCAAGTCAAGTAGTGCATATTAACTACTTGATGAGTTCCTCCCTTCACCAGAGGAAAAAACAAAACCCTTGCTCATTTTGCTAGTGGATCCTGGATCAGAGAGAGGATATTTTTCTATTCAGGCCTATAGTCTGGGGCTGCCCAGAGCAGCTCTGATCACATGTAGGGCTTCATAAAAACAAATGCAGCCACTCTCAGGTCTGTTTGAGCCAGCAGTCTGAAGAGACTTCAGGCCTCCCAGAGCACCTCTGTTAATTAAGAGGATGGGTTTCAGCACCTCACTTGGTTACCCAAGGGAGAAGGAATGTTGGAGGAGAAATCCCTTCTAGGACAGGAATCTCCTCCTGGACACACGATGGTAGTGTACACACACACACCCTCAGGAGACGAGACACTTGGGCCCTCCTGACTCTTTCAGGTGGTGCAGGGTTCTAGCCTCCTGGAGGGCCCCACCTTTCCCACAGCTCCATGCCCCCTCTTCTGAGGGAGTAGGAGAAAGAGAACAATTTCCTCTCCGTCCCTTTCTCTGTCTCTCTCTCTCTCTTCCTCCTTTTTTTTCTCTCTCTCTCTCTACACACACACACACACACACACACACACACACACACACACACACACACACCAGGTTGTGAATTAAGACACTGATGGCCTCCTCCAGGCTATACGCATTTTGAGGCTCTGTAAAAACTGTCTAAGAGGAGACCCAATAGAAATGAATCCAGAGATGTGCCAGTGGGAAATCAATTGACCCGCAAGTAATAAGTTACAATTTACTTACATGTTCACACTGCTGAGCATGGAAAGTGAAGTATCTGGGATAATGAATGCCCCCTATCCTGTCCATATAATTCTGTACCAACACTGGTATCATTTCGGCAACACTCAGTGTTGGATTTTTGTTCATGATGGTTTTCATACCCAGTAATATGCACAGCTCTTATTTTATCTTAGAGCTTCAAAAGAAAACATATTGAGACAAGCTTCTTCATGGCTGGTCATCTAACATGCTCTCCTTTATTTCTAAGGGAACAAAGTACATATTTTCTCCAATGCAACTGAAATTTCAACTCCTGCTATTTTCTTTTAGGGCTTTGGGGAGTCAGTGTTAGTCAAATACTAATGACAGTCAAAAGAGCTAGAATTTTTTATATAATTTTCCATTTACAGAAATGCAAATGATATTTAAAATAAGAATAATTTCAGAACTAGTACATTGCTTTGTTGAAATAATCTGTTCAAAACCTCATAGTTCAAATCATATACAAATGCAAATTTACTGGCATATATGAGTATCTAACATGAAAATTTTTAAATGTTGAAACCTTCAGATTCCAGAGAGATAAAATATTTTGTAAAATGCTCAACCTCTTGGAATTGTCTTCAGTCAGGTCTGTGGTTCACATATATAAACTTACTCAGTTGGGATGGCATAGATATTATTGTCTTGTTTGGCCCAGACAATATGATCCCAATGTACTTGGAGGGTCTTTAGGGCTTGTCCCCAGAATATTGCTTTTAAGACCTTATTTCAGTTGGCTAACGACTAAAAAATAGAATTTGTGGAACAGCTTCTTGTCAAAATCACATCAATTGCTCCTTAATTTTTGTCCTACAGACCAGTGTTATACAGATATAAATTTCCTAGGGAAATGCTTATAGTAGGCATTAGTTGGTTAAGATTTCAAACTCTGAGCTATCTCATCATTTTACAACATATGCTCAAAGTGGAAAATATGGCCCATTACTTCTTCACATTTAGAAGTAATACTTTGAATTGTGTAGAAGATAAACTGATGGCATTCCATATGCTCTGAGAGAGAGTTCAAGGTCAGTCAGCAGTTATTAAGTTGCCACCGAAGGACAAACATTGCCCTCAGGAAAGCAGCGACAACTCCATGGATGAGAGGTACTGGCTGTGTTAGGCCGTTCTTGCATTGTTAGAAATGCCTGAGACTGAGCCAGGCGTGGTGGTAATCCTATAATCCCAGCACTTTGAGAGGCCGAGGCAGGCGGATCACGAGGTTAGGAGCTTACGATCAGTCTGACCAACATGGTGAAACCCTGTCTCTACTGCACAGGTTGCAGTGAGCCGAGATTGCACTACTGCCCTCCAGCCTGGGCGAGAGCCAGACTCCATCTCAAAAAAAAAAAAAAAAAAAAAAAAGTGACAATTAGGAGCATTTAGTAAAATTGATCTTCCATATTTATTAAGACTTCTATAGGTCATAAGTAAGTGTATTCAGAAATAAACTAAGCAAACTGTGATAAATAAGGCCAGGAATGCCTTTTATATAGTTACACAGGAAAAGTAAACCTAAAGGTATTAGGACTCATCTATCATAGCTAAACCCTGACAAACAGAAATTACTTTTAGTTTGCACCATCTAGAGGTGAAAAAAAGAATTCTGAATTTATCCTACAAAGCTTTCAGATCTTTTTTTTTTTTTTTTTTTTTTTGCTCATGAGGTTGCTAGCTGTCTTACAAATATTTGATTATTTTTAAAAATCTTAGAAGAGTAGAAATTCAGTATACCACCTTAGCCACTTGATGTCTACTTTGTGTCTGTTAAAAAGGGTTGGGGACAAAGTTGTGCTCAGTGACAACAAAACACTACCATCAACGTAAATACCTCAAAATGAACTTCTGATTAGAAGGATTTTTTGGCTGGGAGTGGTGGCTCATGCCTAGAATGCCAGCAGCACTTTGGGAGGCCGAGGTGGGAGGATTGCTAAGGCCAGGAGTTGGAGACTAGCCTGGCTAACGGAAAGACCTCACCTGTACAAAAATTACAAAATTAGCTGAGCATAGTGGCACACTCCTGTAATCCTAGCTACTTGGGAGGCTGAGATAGGAGAATTGCCTGTGCCCACAAGTTCAAATTTGCAGTGAGCCATGATCACACCACTGCACTCCAGCCTGGGCAAGAAAGTGAGAGCCTGCCTCAAAAAAAAAAAAAAAAAAAATCTAGCATGGTCCTCATGGTGCTTAGATTGTAATGCTTCTGTCATTATTAGTCATTATTTCATTATGTAATTTTTAGTCAAAATAATTTTTCCCCTAAATTATTTTGGCTCACTCTGAAAGAATTGAAGCTGATACATTTTGAGCGTTCTTGTGTATATGTGTTTGAACATCCTTGTCCAAGCAAGCACCCTTATTGTAGTAAAGTTTTCACTGTAGGAGTTTTTTTGTTGGTTTGTTTGTTTTTTTGAGATGGAGTCTCGCTCTTGTCGCCCAGGCTGGAGTGCAATGGCACAATCTTGGCTCACTGCAACCTCCCCCTCCTGTGTTCAAGTGATTCTCCTGCCTCAGCCTCCCAAGTAGCTGGGATTACAGGGGCCCACCACCACGCCCAGCTAATTTTATTGTAATTTTAGTAGAGATGGGGTTTCACCATGTTGGCCAGGCTGGTCTCAAACTCCTGACCTCAGGTGATCCACCCCCGCTCAGCCTCCCAAAGTGCTGGGATTACAGGCGTGAGCCACTGCACCCAGCTATTATAAGACTTTAATTATAACCTATAGATGCATTCTCCAAGTTATTTTGTACAAGATCTAACTGTGTGCTGTCTACAACAGAATCGTTTTGGACCTAAGGGGCACCCATAGGCTAAAAGTGAAAGGGTAAAAAATGATATTTCATGCAAACAGGAACCTAAAGAGAGTAGGGTAACCATAATTACATCAGACTAAATAGACTTTACAACAAAAACTTGACAATTCCCATGGAGTATCTTTATCCACCCTTTAAAAAAAATCCATTCAGCCAATCTGTGTCTTTTAATTGGCATGTTTAATCTATTAAAGTAATTACTGAGCCAGGCACAGTGGCTCATGCCTATAGTGCCAGCCACTTGGGAGGCTGAGACGGGGGATCACTTGAGCCCAGGAGTTTAAGGTTGCAGTGTACTATGATCTGCACTCCAGCCTGGGCGACAGAGCAAGGCTCATCTCTAAAATTAAGTAATAACAAAAGTATCCGTAGACAGATGAACAGATAAGCAACATGTGGTATATTCATACAATAAAATATTGTTTAGCCATATCAAAATTGACCTTGTGATACACACTACGACATGGATGAACCTTGAAAACATGATGTTAAGCCGGGCGCGGTGGCTCACGCCTGTAATCCCAGCACTTTGGGAGGCCGAGGCGGGCGGATCACGAGGTCAGGAGATCGAGACCACGGTGAAACCCCGTCTCTACTAAAAATACAAAAAAATTTAGCCTGGCGTGGTGGCGGGCGCCTGTAGTCCCAGCTACTTGGGAGGCTGAGGCAGGAGAATGGCAAGAACCCGGGAGGCGGAGCTTGCAATGAGCCGAGATCGCGCCACTGCACTCCAGCCTGGGTGACAGAGCGAGACTCCGTCTCGAAAAAAAAAAGAAAAGAAAACATTATGTTAAGTATAGTAAGCCAGACAAAATGGCAAGGATTGTATGATTCCACTTCTACAAGGTATCTAGAACAACTGAATTCATAGAAAAAGAAAATAGTAGTTTCCAGGGGCGGGCTGGGGACAGGGAGACGGGGATTATTGCTTAATGGTGACAGAGTTTCTGTTTCAGGAAATAAAGTTTCAGAAATAGTGGTGATAGTTACACGACATGGTGAATGTACTTAATGCCACTGAATTGGACACTTAAAAATGGTTAAAATGGTAAGCCTCATGTTCTGTATAATTTACCACAATTTTTTTTATTTTTTTATATTATTTATTTATTTATTTATTTTTAGATGGAGTCTCGCTCTGTCACCCAGGCTGGAGTGCGGTAGCGTGATCTCCACTCGCGGCAACCTCCGCCTCCCGGATTCAAGCGATTCTCCTGCCTCAGCCTCCCGAGTAGCTGGGATTACAGGTGCATGCCATCACGCCCGGTTAATTTTTGTATTTTTAGTAGAAACGAGGTTTCACCATGTTGGTCAGGCTGGTCTCAAACTCCTGACCTCCTGATCCTCCTGCCTCGGCTTCCCAAAGCTCTGGGATTACAGGCGTGAACCATCGGGCCTGGCCAATTTACCACAATTTTAACAAGACAGCAGGAACTCAAGATGGCTCAGGGAGGAGCTGATGCCCTCGGGAGAGCTGACATCTTCAGCCCTCACTCCACAGTTCTCTGGGCTCCTACCCTTGTTTCATTTCCCTCACTTTTTTTTTTTTTGAGACGGAGTCTCACTCTCTCGCCCAGACTGGAGTGCAGTGGCGCGATCTCTGCTCACTGCAAGCTCCGCCTCCCGGGTTCACGCCATTCTCCTGCCTCAGCCTCCTGAGTAGCTGGGACTACAGGCACCCGCCACCGCACCCGGCTAATTTTTTGTATTTTTAGTAGAGACGGGGTTTCACCGTGTTAGCCAGGATGGTCTCGATCTCCTGACCTCGTGATCCGCCTGCCTCGGCCTCCCATAGAGCTGGTCCCTCACTTTTTACTAACTCAGCCACATGTGTTTTTAAAAATTGTATTTTATGTAGCATTTATATTTTTATAGCGGAAATAGTTTTCAACATATTTATCATATTGCCAGTAATGTAAATATTCCCAACTTATTTTTTTAATTCTTCTGAAGTCCCATTATGTGTTTTTTTTTAAAGTCTACTAGATATATTGTTATATTTTGTTAAAATCCCATGGCATTGGAGAGTATGTATATAGTACATTCCCACTTGTGTTTTAGTAAAGGGGGTCAGAGACGGATTTGGACTCACTATTTTTACGCAAATAATATGCTAGTGGAGTACATCTGTAACTGCTAACAGTTTCTTCTGGAGAGAGAGAAAGGAGACCTAGGGATCTGAGGTAAGAGGAACAGTGGTTTTTGGACTGCTTTCATCTTTTACCGTGTGTGTGTGTGTGTGTGTGTGTGTGTGTGTGTGTGTGTGTGTGTGTAGTTTTCACTTAAAAAAAAAACTAATTAATTTTGGCCAGGCGCAGTGGCTCACACCTGTAATCCCAGAACTTTGGGAGGCTGAGCTGGGCGGATCACCTGAGGTCAGGAGTTCAAGACCAGCCTGACCAACATGGTGAAACTCCAGCTCTACTAAAAATACAAAAATTAGCTGGGCATGGTGGTAAGCCTCTGCTAAGCTACTCAGGAGGCTGAGGCAGGTGAATCACTTGAAACCAGGAGGCAGAGGTTGCAGTAAGCAGAGATCACGCCATTGCACTCCAGCCTAGGCAACAGAGTGAGACTCTGTCTCAAAAAAAAAAAAAAAAAAAACCTAATTTTTTGAAAGGTACTCCAACTTCCAGTTTTCCACAGAAAATACATTAAATACAAAAAAATTAGCCAGGTGTGGTGGCGGGCGCCTGTAGTCCCAGCTACTCGGGAGGCTGAGGCGGGAGGTTTGCTTGAGCCCAGGAGGCTGGAGGTTGCAGTGAGCCCAGATTCTTCCACTGCATTCCAGCCTGGGTGACAGAGTGAGACCCTGTCTTAAAACAAAACAAAAACAACTAAAAGTTTCTCAGAATAAAAAAATATATATTTATTTGAGTGAGTCTGAACTGTAAAGCCTGAGATAGAACTATCTCCAAAAGATACAATGAGAAAAGCTAGTTTTAGAACAATATCTATAAATAGTATGGCTCTAAGTTTAAAAATGTAAAATCCAAACTAATGTTTTATAATAAGACTATATATTACTTGTTTAATTTTTTTGATGGAATATTTATTGTCTAAATTTTGGTAAATGCAGAGAAGTTTAAGGAAGGAAATAGAAAATGGCTCAATACACTTCCCCACAAAAATAATACCTGTTAGCATTCCAGCTTCATCTTTCTTTCTTCTTTCATGTCTTTCCTCCTTCCTTCCCTCTCTTCCTTCCAACCTTGCTTCCTTCTCTTTCTTTCCTTTCTTCCATCTGTCATGTATATATATAAATTACAGTTGTAATTGATCTATGTTCTGCTTTACTCCCTTCACATATAAGTATTCTGCCATGTTGGCCGGGTGCAGTGGCTCACTCCTGTAATTCCAGCACTTTGAGAGGCCAAGCGGGCAGATCACAAGGTCAGGAGTTCGAGACCAGCCTGGCCAACATAGTGAAACCCCATCTCTACTAAAAATACAAAAAATTAGCCAGACATGGTGGCAGGCGCCTGTAATTCCAGCTATTCAGGAGGCTGAGGCAGGAGAATCACTTGAACCCGAGAGGCGGAGGTTGCAGTGAGCCAAGATGGCTCTGTTGCACTCCAGCCATGGTGACAAGAGTGAATCTCCATCTCAAAAAAAGTATTCTTCCATGTCAATAAATATTAATTGAAACCACAATTTTAAGTAAGTAATATCACTTTATATGAATATATAATTTACTGAACTATCTTCTTTTTTTGGCTTGTTTTTTCTACTGTATAACTTGATGAAAATCCTAATATGCGAAACCTATCTGTATTTTCTATCTTTCCTACTGGAAAATTTCCTAGAAGTGGAATTACTGGGTCAGGAAATATGAACATTTTAAAGAAATTGTAAGGCCTAATTTTTTCCCCAATAAGTGGTTGTACTCATTGTTGTGTCCATATACACTCCTACCAAACATACAGGAATGCCTGTTTTCTTCATCTTGACACTGGGACTAGTCCTTTTTAAAATTCTTTAAGACAAACACATCCTTTAATTTAAATTTATTTTTCTTTTAGAGAGAGATGAGGTCTTGCCCCTTTGCCCAGGCTGGAGTACAGTGGAATGATCATAGCTCACTGCAGCCTCAAACTCCTGGGCTTGAGCAATCCTCCTGCCTCATCCTCCAAAGTAGCTGAGACCACAGATGCGTGCCACCACCACCACACCAGTTTTGTTTTGTGTTTTGTTCATTTGTTTGTTTGTATAGACAGGGTCTCACTTTGTTGCCCAGGCTGGTGTTAAATTCCTGGTCTTGATCTTCCTGCTTTGGCATCCCTAAGTACTGGGATTACAGCCATCATGCCCCGCCTAAATCTCTTTACAAGAGATATTGAAAAATTTTAGACATTTATTGAATATTTGTATTTTTACATTTTTAACATTTAACATGTTAAAAATAACATTTTAAAAATATTTCCAAATAATAATAATTCTTTCACTTTGAAGTGGGGGGGGGGGGGATGTGCGCGCACGCATGCGTGTCTATTTCTAGGTGCTGAAAGATAAAGTACACAGAGTTACCACAAGAGGTCCCTAGCACACAAATTATATTGAAATCTTAAGCCTTCTTGAACTTAATTCCCAACAAGCCAGGATCTCCATAACCAGATAGGTTCATTAATTCCGAATTTTAGGGGCTCCCAACAATTGGCAACAGTGTACTGAAGAGAACAAGGGACAGTAGCTCGGCAATTCAGAAAGTGGGGTTCAAGCAGTGGTTTATTCCTCTGCATGCCACCCGGGCCCTCCTTCATTTCCCCACCTCGACCTCCTGTAACTTGATTCTTGTCAGATATATTCACTCTGAAATTTCAAAAGAAATAATCACTTCATGTCTGGGATGCCCTTCAGTCATTCATTTGATTGTTCATCGAATATTTATTACTCTGCGTAGTTAATCATTGAATGATGGTTTTTATTTTCTTTTAACAGAAAAAATTAGCTGCTATGTGCCACTGTCCTAGGTACTGAGAATATAATGATGAGCAAAACCAGACACTGTCCCCAGCCTTACAGAGCTCACACCTGTGACATCCATCCTAGCATATATAAGCAGACTTTCAGAAAATTCACCCTAACAGACGGCTTTGCCTTGTTAGGAGACATCATGCGCAGCCCACAAGGGATGTGTCTGCTGCTCTAAGATCCAGAACATTGTCTCTGTGACCCATGACTACATCCTACTGTGTCGTGAGTATTAAGCCATCTAGCTATGTATGAGATAAGGCTTTTAAAATTTCTTTCTAAAAAACTTTACAGTGTAATATACCTATACTGTAAAGAGTTCAGATTATATGGAAAAGTAAGTAACCAAATGAAAATCACCCATAGTCACAATCTTCAGATAGTTATTTTTAACAGAACTCTTTTTTATAAACAAATCATTATATATCTACACATTTGACATTCATTGACTACTCACTATGTAGAAAGCATATCCCAAAGCTGTGTCTTATTTTACTTAGGTTGCCAATAACAAAAATCATAGGCTGGGTGGCTAAAACAGTAGCAAGTTATTTTCTCATCATTCTGCGGCTAGAAGTCCAAGATCAAGGTTCTGGTCAATTTGGTTTCTGGTGATGGGTCTCTTCCTGCCACCTTCTCACTGTGTCCTCATACGGCCTTTCCTGGGTATGTGAATGGAGAGAGCCTGAGAAAAAACTCTTCTTAGTGTCTCTTTTTATAAAGACACTAATCCTATTGAATCAGAGCCCTCCCTTAAGACCTCATTTAACCTAAATTACTTTGTTACTCTAAATCCTGAAGGTTAGGGCTTCAATATATGAATTTGGGGATAGGGGGACACAAACATTCAGTTCGTAACAGGCTGCAAAGTCTCTGCAAATGAACAAGGCACACTCTTTGCCCGCTTTTCACTTATGCAAGAGTCCATGGTGCAAACTATGTTTCTGCCTCTTTGTGTTTTGTTTACCTTATTATCTTTTGCAATTTCCACCAGTGCCAGATAGACGAGGTTAGGAAAGGAAGGGAGAATCAAGAAAATTTTACTTTCCTCTCGGTTTGGAAAATATTCTGTAGAAAAGGAGGTTGATGCTCTCAGCTACTCCAAAGATCCTTAAAAGATAATGGTGAAGCATTTGCCATGTCTCCTTCTCCAGTGTCCTGGCTGTCCTCTGGGGCTTCCCACAAGGGTTGGGGTTGTTCAGTACATATCATGGGCCCCTCTTTACACTGATCTACTCTAGAAAGGAGCAATAATTCCAAATTCCCCTACTTTAGGGCAAGGCCAGGACTTGGAATGAGTTTCCCGATGGAGCCTGCCACTCACTGGGTCCTTTGTGGGAATCAGCACATGGAGAAGACTAAGTTTTATGGACTGAATTGTGCCCCTCCCCCCAGAAAATCATGCTGGAATCCTAACCCACAGTGTCTCAGGATAGGACTGTACTGAAGATATGATGATTAAATTAAACAAGTTGATTAAATTAGGATGAGGTCCTATGGGTGGGCCCTAATCCAAAGTGCATGTGTCTTTATAAGAAGAGGACATCTGGACACACAAGGAGACACACAAGACATGTGTGCATACAGAGGAAAGGCCACATGAGAACACAGCAAGAAGGCAGTCATCTGCAAGCCAAGGAGAGAGACAGAAGAAACCAACCCTGCTGACACTTTGACATTGGACTTCCAGTCTCCAGAACTATGAGAAAATGAATTTCTGTTGTTTAAGCTACCCAGTCTGTGGTACTTTGTTATGGCAGCTCTAGAAAACCAATGCACCAAGCTATAGTGCGGAGTCAAAAACGTTCCTGTCTCGTCTGTGTAACTTCATGTCTAATTTGCAGTGAGTGAAAGTAAAGGTGAGGAAGATGGATGTGACTAGGTCACTGTCTTAGTCCATTTTTGCTATAACAGAATACCACAAACTGCATAATTTATAAACAGTAGAACTTTATTTGGTTCATGATTCTAAGGGCTGGGAAGTCCAAGATCCAGGGGCTGCGTTTGGTGAGGGCCTTCATACTGGTCATCTCATTGGCAGGAAGTGGAAGGGCAAGAGAGCATGTGCTAGAGAGAGCAAGCAAACAAGACAGCTGAACTCGCTTATATAACAAACCCACTCTCATCATGACTCACCCACTCCTGAGATGGCAACATTAATCCATCCATGAGGCCAGAAGGCCTCAAGATCTAATCACCCCTTAGGAAGGCCCACCTCCCAACACTGTTGCATTAGAGATTATGTTCTCAACACATGGACTTTGAGGGACACATTCCAATCACAGCAGCCGCTAAGGAAAGTGAACATAGGGCTGGATTTATTTGTTCAGCAAACATTTCCTAATGACTCACACTGTTGTGAGTAGCATTGAGTGAAATACGGTCTCTACTCTTGAGCAGCTCATGACCCAGCAAACCAATTATCAGAGTGTGGCATGAGAAGTGCCACCTAAGAGAGAGATAAACTGGAGAAACTATAGGAAAAGAGAAGAGGAGACCAGAAAGACTTGTGAGAAGAAATTACACTGCTGTTGAAGTCTGAAAGAAAACTAGGATCTAGTTTGGAAGGAAAGAAAAACAGCAATCCAGGAAAAAACAAACAAACAAACGTGTGCAGAGCTGTATGGACTTGTGACAGCATGGTAAATTTAGAGACTTGCAGGTATGCCTGGAGCAATGGGGCCTGAAGGAGAGAGAAGGGGGATAGTTTTAGAAAGAGTCAGGGGCCAAATCCTGAAGGGCCTTGTGTGTAGATACTATCATTGACCTAGCGCTTATTCATTCTCCCCATCTTCCTTATAGTAAAAAACAAAACAACCACTGGAAAAAAAATCCACTGCTTAGTATTTATATTCCCTATGTTCCCTTGCTGTTAAGGTAGCTGTGACAACAGTTCTGGCAAAAGTGCAAGTCTACTGGGAATTTCTAGAAATGTTCTACTTTCCTGATCAGAAACCATCTTCCCTTCTCACTTCATCTTCCTACCTGGAATGCAGCTTTGGGGGTGTACCTGGATCCTTGATAACTTCTTCAAGCTGCTGCCTCTTGCTCTGTACTGTTCATTTCTCTTTGGTTAAGCTACTATGTTTGGGTTTTTCTGCTACCTACAGCCAAACACCATCCTGATATCACTGGTTTTACAGAAATTCAGGTAAAGAAGCTGTGAGAATGTGGTCACCCACTCTGGATAAAGATGGTGAAATGAAGTCTTCACAGCTAGAAGTCAGGAAACTTCCTGTCTTATCTGTATAACTTCATGCAGTGAAACTAGGGGTGACAGGGTCAATTCACAAATTATTAAGAAACTCAAAAATTATTAAGAAAGCAGAATCAATAGAATTTGGTGATTAATTGGATGTGACCTATTGGGAATTATCATCAAGAGATGACTTTTCTCGCCTTCTAAGTTCCTGAACTACAAATTCCACTTTCCTCTTACTTATTTTTTCCAACTCAATGTTTTTTCTTTCTCTCAGCATTTTCCATTCCCCATTTCAAGAAGCTGGCCAGTTTTAAATGTGTCTTTGTTCAGGGGCATTTGTGTAGTTGGACCTGAAAGAGATGTTGCACAAGACAGCCCCCTCTCCTGGCTTTTATTTTGAAAAATCTTCATTTGTCTTGGGAGTATGCTGGTCATTTTCTAGGGACAGGAGAGTGACCACTCACTGCCTTCAAGCAAGGAATCAAACCCAATGAGATAAGCTAGAGGGATTTGCTGAGACTAAAACAGGGAATGAGGGAATATAGCCTCCTCTGGTGTTTCCAGCTTCAGTGAGAGATCCCAGCTGGTGGTTCAAGCTGCTAATCTAGGACTCACCTTCACTCACCCCTCTCCAGTATTTCCTCCCACATTTAGCCCATCACCTACTCCTTTCTATTTTATTCTCTGAATATCTCCTGTGTCCCTCCATTTCTTTCAAACTCCACTGCCACAATCACCCAACCATACTCCATAAAATGATCTTTTCAAATTTGGAGTATTTTATAAAGTATGCAAATATTTTAATGGCCTCCTTTTGCTCTTAAAATAGACCAAAGTGTGGCTCATGCCTGTAATCCCAGCACTTTGGGAGGCCAAGGCAGGTGGATCACTTGTGGTCAGGAGTTCAAGACCAGCCTGCCCAACATGGCAAAACCCTGTCTGTACTAAAAAATACAAAAATTAGCCAGGTGTGGTGGCACATGCCTGTAGTCCCAGCTACTCATGAGGCTGAGGCAGGAGAATCGCTTGAACCTGGGAGGTGGAGGTTGCAGTGAACTGAGATTGCGCCATTGCACTCCAGCGTGGGAGACAGAGCAAGACTCCATCTCAAAAAAAAAAAAAAACACACACACACACAAAAAAAACGTAGACCTCCAGTGACTGACCTCTGTCTAGTTCACCAGCCTCACTTCTCTATTCTCTGCCCCAACTCTAGCCATGGTGACCTTGTAGCAACCAGAATGCTCTTTCCCTCCTCACAGAATTTCCCCTAGCTGCCCTCTGGTCAGATCTACTTAACTGCCACACCCATTCTGTGCATACACCACACACACACACACACACACA
This sequence comes from Homo sapiens, assembly GCF_000001405.40. Taxonomy (NCBI): domain Eukaryota; kingdom Metazoa; phylum Chordata; class Mammalia; order Primates; family Hominidae; genus Homo; species Homo sapiens. The sequence goes on along the minus strand of NC_000005.10, from coordinate 74,914,704 downwards.
CACACACACACACACACACACCCCTTGGCCACCTTCATTCATTCTTCAGGTTCCAGCCCAAATGTCATTTCTTTAGAGAAGCCTTCCCTGACCCCCCACCCTACTCCCCTAAATCAGGGACCCTGCTTTAAGTCATGGGTTTCTTTTTTTTCTTTTTCTTTTTTTTTTTTTTTTTTTGAGTCAGGGTCTCACTTTGTTGCCCAGGCTGGAGTACAATGGCACAATCACAGCTCAAGGCAACCTCAACCTCCTGGGCTCAAGCAATCCTCCCACCTCAGCCTCCCAAGTAGCTGGGACTATAGGCACACACCACCATGCCTGGCTAATTTTTGTATTTTTTGTAGAGGGGTTTTGCCTTGATGCCTAGGCTGATCTCAAACTCCTGGGCTCAAGCAATCCACCTGCCTTGTCCTCCCAATATGTTAGGATTACAGGCATGAACCACCAAACCGGACCTATGGGTATCTTTCACAGTATGTTTTCATGATATCTTTGTGTGATTATGTGATTGTTGTATCCCCTATCTATCTATCATGAGCTCCACATGAATGGGACTGCACGCATTATTTTATCTCCAGGGTCTGGTAGTGCAGACCTTACTGCCCAGGTTAGGTACATGGGCAGTAAGTCCCTGATGGAGATTTGTTGAATACCAAAAAATAAGAGAAGGAAAGAGAGAGTCTAAAATGATTACAGGCTTCTGGTGCAAGCAACCAAGTGAATTGTGAAATGAGATTCAGTTCAATTCATTTTAATTCTTTTATGAAATAAAGCACAAGAATATATGCATGCTTGATACAGAGAGTTGAAAGAGGAACATTACCCTCTCGCTCTCTAAGGATTCCCACTGGCTTCTCTGTGGATGGAGATTGCCATTCTATTATAACATGCAGCACACCCAGGCAGAAATAAACTGTCAAGGCAGAATTCTGAAAGGGCAGGCTGAATTCGCTTGTTTAGGGGATTTAATCTAGACCATAGATAGATAGAATGATTCCTAGAAAGGTTACCTTGAGATTTTATGAAGATGACAAAAAACTTATTGATATTTAAAAACATTAAGTGGACTTTGGATAATAATGATGTGTCAGTGTAAACACATCAATTCTAATAAATTATAACAAATTATAAAACTCTGGTGCCAGATGTCAGTAGTGGGGATAGCTGAAGAGGGGTTGCAGGGCCTTATAGGGGCTCTCTGTCTTTTTTGCTCAATTTTGTTGTGAACCTAAAACTGCTCTTTAAAAAAAAATTAAAAACCAATGTGTTAAAAGTAATTTACATAAAAAGATAAAATCATTATTCTTATTCAGAAAAAAAATGAACATGTTAAAGATTTTGCTTAACTCAGAATTCAGGAATCAGTCTAGTATTAAAACTGGTTCATGTGCTCGCTTTGGCAGCACATATACTAAAATTAAAATCGTTTCAAAGGAGAAGTCAGGCTGGGTGCTGTGGCTCACACCTGTAGTGCCAGCACTTTAGGATGCAGCAGTAGGAGAATCACTTGAGGCCAGCAGTTTGAGTCCAGCCTGGGCAACATAGTGAGACCCTATCTCTTCTAATAAAAAATAAAAAGGCCAGGCGCAGTGGCTCACACCTGTAATCCCAGCACTTTAGGAGGCTGAGGTGGGCAGATCACAAGGTCAGGAGTTCGAGACCAGCCTGGCCAAAATGGTGAAACCCCCATCTCTACTAAAAATGCGAAAATTAGCCAGGCATGGTGACGGATGGCTGTAGTCCCAGCTAGCTACTCGGGAGGCTGAGGAGGGAGAATCGCTTGAACCCGGGAGGCAGAGGTTGCAGTAAGCCGAGATCGCACCACTACACTCCAGCCTGGGCAACAGAGTGAGACTCTGTCTTAAAAAATAAAATAAATAAAAAATAAACTTAAAAAAAGGAAAAGCCAAAGAGCAGACACATTTATTTAGCCGGAATATTGCAATGAATGTGCAAATGCAGGCAACACTCACTTCCTCCACAGTGGGGGAAAGAAGTCAGTTGCACTTCTGCTGGACAGGACAGAATTTGCATGTCTATAGACAAAAACCATTTTGCATTTGTATCTGCTACCTATAAGATACAGTGTTGTACAATAACTCCCAAGGAATTAGAATCTGCCATGTAGAAAAGCATGCTATAATTTGCCACTGAAGCACACGTCTTCCTCTACACATACGTACAACAAAGCATTAAGGCTGGATGGCCCCAAGGTAAGGAGAATTCACTGTGTCTGCACAGACTTTGTGTAGTCTAATCAGGATGGTTTCTTGGGCGTCCCTCAGAACTTCTATCTGACATGATCTGATAGATGTAGGAAAATTGAACAGTGCCCTGACATTTCTGCTAAAGCATTGTATTTACTCCCTGGGCAGCAGCAAGGCACTAACTTCTTCGTTCTGGACTTATTTATTTTTTTAAACAGCTTTGCTGGGGGTATAATTTACATACCATAAAACTCACTTGTTTTGATTTGCTAGCAAGATGACTGAATAGGAACAGCTCCAGTCTGCATCTCCCAGTGAGATCGACACAGAAGGCAGGTGATTTCTGCATTTCCAACTGAGGTACACAGTTCATCTCACTGGGACTGGTTGGACAGTGGGTGCAGCCCACAGAGGGCGAGCTGAAGCAGGGTGGGGCATCACCTCACCTGGGAAGTACAAGGGGTCGGGGGATTTCCCTCCCCCAGCCAAGGGAAGCCGTGAGAGACTGTACTGGGAGGAATGGTGCACTCTGGCCCAGATAATGCGCTTTTCCCATGGTCATCGCAACTGGCAGAGCAGGAGATTCCCTCCGGTGCCTACACCACCAGGGCCCTGGGTTTCAAGCACAAAACTGGGTGGCCATTTGGGCAGACACCAAGCTAGCTACAGGAGTTTTTTTTTTCATACCCCAGTGCAACCTGGAATGCCAGTGAGACAGAACCATTCACTCCCCTGGAAAGGGGGCAGAAGCCAGAGAGCCAAGTGGTCTGGTGTGGCGGGTTTCACCCCAGTGGAGCCCAGCAAGCTAAGATCCACTGGCTTGAAATTCTTGCTGCTAGCACAGCAGTCTGAGGTCAACCTGGGACACTTGAGCTTGGTTGGGGGAGGGGCATCCACCATTGCTGAGACTTGAGTGGGTAGCTTTACCCTCACAGTGTAAACAAAGCCACTGGGAAGTTTGAACTGGGTGGAGCCCACCACAGCTCAGCAAGGCCGCTGCAGCCAGGCTGCCTCTCTAGATTCCTCCTCTCTGGGCAGGGCATCTCTGAAAAAAAGGCAGCAGCCCCAGTCAGGGGCTTATAGATAAAACTCCCATCTCCCTGGGACAGAGCACCTGGGGGAAGGAGCAGCTGTGGGCACAGCTTCAGCAAACTTAAACATCCCTGCCTGACAGCTCTGAAGAGAGCAGCGGATCTCCCAGCACAGCGTTTGAGCTCTGATAAGGGACAGACTTCCTCCTCAAGTTGGTCCCTGACCCCCATGTATCCTGACTGGGAGTCACCTCCCAGTAGGGGCCTACGGACACCTCATACAGGAGAGCTCTGGCTGGCATCTGGCAGGTGCCCCTCTGGGATGAAGCTCCCAGAAGAAAGAGCAGGCAGCAAACTTTGCTGTTCTGCAGCCTCTGATGGTGATACCCAGGCAAATAGGGTCTGAAGAGGACCTCCAGCAAACTCCAGCAGACCTGAAGCAGAGGGGCCTGACTGTTAGAAGGAAAACTAACAAAAAGAATAGTATCAACATCAACAAAAAGGACATCCACTCAGAGACCCCATCCAAAGGTCACCAACATCAAAGACCAAAGGTAGATAAATCCACGAAGATGGGGAGAAACCAGCACAAAAAGGCTGAAAATTCCAAAAACCAGAACACCTCTTCTCCTCCAAAGAATCACAACTCCTTGCTAGCAAGGGAACAAAACTGGATGGAGAATGAGTTTGACGAATTGACAGAAGTAGGCTTCAGAAGGTGGGTAATAACAAACTCCTCCAAGCTAAAGGAGCATGTTCTAACCCAATGCAAGGAAGCTAAGAACCTTGAAAAAAGGTTAGAGGAATTGCTAACTAGAATAATCAGTTTAGAGAAGAACATAAATGACCTGATAGAGCTGAAAAACACAGCACGAGAACTTCGTGAAGCATACACAAGTATCAATAGCCAAATCGATCAAGTGGAAGAAAGGATATCAGAGATTGAAGATCAACTCAATGAAATAAAGCAAGAAGACAAGATTAGAGAAGATAGAGTGAAAAGAAACACACAAAGCCTCCAAGAAATATGGGACTATGTGAAAAGACCAAATCTACATTTGATTGGTGTACCTGAAAGTGATGAGGAGAATGGAAACACGCTTCAGGATATTATCCAGAAGAACTTCCCCAACCTAGCAAGGCAGGCCAACATTCAAATTCAGGAAATACAGAAAACACCACAAAGATACTCCTCAAGAAGAGCAACCCCAAGACAAATAATCATCAGATTCACCAAGGTTGAAATGAAGGAAAAAATGTTAAGGGCAGCCACAGAGAAAGGTCATGTTACCCACAAAGGAAAGCCCATCAGACTAACAGTGGATCTGTCAACAGAAACCCTAGAAAGCCAGAAGAGAGTGGGGGCCAATATTCAACATTCTTAAAGAAAGAATTTTCAACCCAGAATTTCATATCCAGCCAAACTAACCTTCATAAGCAAAGGAGAAATAAAATCCTTTACAGACAAGCAAATGCTGAGGGATTTTGTCACCACCAGGCCTGCCTTACAAGAGCTCCTGAAGGAAGCACTAAACATGGAAAGGAACAACTGGTACCAGCCACTGCAAAAACATACCAAATTGTAAAGATCATCAATGCTATGAAGAAACTGCATCAACTAACAGGCAAAATAACCAGTTAGCATCATAATGGCAGGATCAAATTCACACATAACAATATTAACCTTAAATGTAAATGGGCTAAATGCCCCAATTAAAAGACACAGACTGGCAAATTGGATAAAGAGTCAAGACCCATCGGTGTGCTGTATTCAGGAGACCCATCTCACATGCAAAGACACACATGGCTCAAAATAAAGGGATGGAGGAATATTTACCAAGCAAATGGAAAGCAAAAAAAGCAGGGGTTACAATCCTAGTCTCTGATAAAACAGACTTTAAACCAACAAAGATCAAAAGAGACAAAGAAGGGCATTACATAATGCTAAAGCGATCAATGCAACAAGAAGAGCTAACTAACCTAAATATATATGCACCCAATACAGGAGCACCCAGATTCATAAAGCAAGTTCTTAGAGACATACAAAGAGACTTGGACTCCCACACAGTAATAGTGGGAGATTTTAACACCCCACTGTCAATATTAGACAGATCAGTGAGACAGAAAATTAACAAAGATATCCAGGACTTGAACTCAGCTCTGGACCAAGCAGACCTAATAGACATCTACAGAACTCTCCACCCCATATCAACAGAATATACATTCTTCTCAGCACCACATCACACTTATTCTAAAATTAACCACATAACTGGAAGTAAAACACTCCTCAGCAAATGCAAAAGAATGGAAATCATAACAAACAGTCTTTCAGACCACAGTGCAATCAAATTAGAACTCAGGATTAGGAAACTCAATCAAAACCACACAACTACATGGAAATTGAACAACCTGCTCCTGAATGACTACTGGGTAACTAATGAAATTAAAGCAGAAATAAAGATGTTCTTGAAATCAATGAGAACAAAGACACAACGTACCAGAATCTCTGGGACACATTTACCAGAATCTCTGGGACACATTTGAAGCAGTGTGTAGAAGGAAATTTATAGCACTAAATGCCCACAAGAGAAACAGGAAAGATCTAAAATTGATACCCTAACATCACAGTTAAAAGAACTAGAGAAGCAAGAGCAAACACATTCAAAAGCTAGCAGAAGGCAAGAAATAACTAAGATCATAGCAGAACTGAAGGAGATAGAGACATGAAAAATCCTTCAAAAAATCAATGAATCCAGGAGCTGGTTTTTCAAAAAGATCAACAAAATAGATAGCTTACTAGTCAGACGTTGGGAACAAGCCCCCCAAAATCTGGCCATAAACTGGCCCCAAAACTGGCCATAAACAAGATCTCTGCAGCACTGTAACATGTTCATGATGGCCATAACGCCCACGCTGTAAGATTGTGGGTTTACTGGAATGAGGGCAAGGAACACTTCGCCCACCCAGAGCGGAAAACCACTTAAAGGCATTCTTAAGCCACAAACAATAGCATGAGTGAGCTGTGCTTTAAGGACATGCTCCTGCTGCAGTTAACTAGCCCAACGTATTCCTTTAACTCGGCCCATCCCTTCATTTCCCATAAGGGATACTTTTAGTTAATTTAAGATCTATAGAAACAATGCTAATGACTGGCTTGCTGTTAATAAATATGTGGGTAAATCTCTGGGGGCTCTCAGCTCTGAAGGCTGTGAGACCCCTGATTTCCCACTTCACACCTCTATATTTCTTTGTGTCTGTCTTTAATTCCTCTAGCGCCGCTGGGTTAGGGTCTCCCTGACTGAGCTGGTCTTGGCAGTCAGACTAATAAAGAAGAAAAGAGAGAAGAATCAAATAGATGCAATAAAAAATGATAAAGGGGATATCACCACTGATCCCACAGAAATACAAACTACCATCAGAGAATACTATAAACACCTCTATGCAAATAAACTAGAAAATCTAGAAGAAATAGATGCATTCCTGGATGCATACACCCTCCCAAGTCTAAACCAGGAAGAAATCAAATCCCTGAATACACTAATAACAAGTTCTGAAATTGAGGCAGTAATTAATAGCCTACCAACCAAAAAAAGGCCAGGACAAGACAGATTCACAGTGCAAATTCTATCAGAGATACAAAGAGGAGCTGGTACCATTCCTTTTGAAACTATTCCAAACAATACAAAAAGAGGGAATCCTCCTTAACTCATTTTATGAGGCCAGCATCATCCTGATACTGAAACCTGGCAGAGACATAACAAAAAAAGAAAATTTCAGGCCAATATCCCTGACGAACATTCATGCAAAAATCTTCAAAAAAAAACTAGCAAACCAAATCCAGCAACACATCAAAAAGCTTATCCACCACAATCAAGTTGGCTTCATACTTGGGATGCAAGGCTGGTTCAACATACACAAATCAATAAATGTAATCCATCACATAAACAGAACCAATGACAAAAACCACATGATTATCTCAATAGATGCAGAAAAGGCCTTCGACAAAATTCAACAGCCCTTCATGCTAAAAACTCTCAATAAACTAGGTATTGATGGAATGTATCTCAAAATAATAAGAGCTATTTATGACGGACCCACAGCCAATATCATACTGAGTGGGCAAAAACTGGAATCATTCCCTTTGAAAATTGGCACAAGACAGGGATGCCCTCTCTCACCACTCCTATTCAACATAGTGTTGGAAGTTCTGGCCAAGGCAATCAGGCAAGAGAAAGAAATAAAGGGGATTCAATTAGGAAAGAGGAAGTCAAATTGTCTCTGTTTGCAGATGACATGATTGTATATTTAGAAAATCCCATTATCTCCGCCCAAAATCTCCTTAAGCTGATAAGCAACTTCAGCAAAGTCTCAGGATACAAAATCAATGTGCAAAAACCACAAGAATTCCTATACCCCAATAACAGACAAACAGAGAGCCAAATTATGAGTGAAGTCCCATTCACAATTGCTACAAAGAGAATAAAATACCTAGGAATACAACTTACAAGGGATGTAACTCTTCCCTTGTAAGATGTGAAGGAACTCTTCAAGGAGAATTACAAACCACTGCTCAAGGAAATAAGAGAGGACACAAACAAATGAAAAAACATTCCATGCTCATGGATAGGAAGAATCAATATCATGAAAATGGTCATACTGCCCAAAGTAATTTATAGATTCAATGCTATCCCCATCAAGCTACCACTGACTGTCTTCGCAGAATTAGAGAAAACTACTTTAAATTTCATATAGAACCAAAAAAGAGCCTGCATAGCCAAGAAAATCCTAAGCAAAAAGATCAAAGCTGGAGGCATCATGCTACCTGACTTCAAACTATACTATAAGGCTACAGTAAGGCCAGGCACAGTGGCTCATGCCTGTAATCCCAGCACTTTGGGAGGCTGAGGTGGGTGGATCACGAGGTCAGGAGATCAAGACCATCCTGGCTAACACGGTGAAACCCTGTCTCTACTAAAAATATAAAAAAAGTAGCCGGGCGTTGCGTCGGGCGCCTGTAGTCCCAGCTACTTGGGAGGCTGAGGCAGGAGAATGGCGTGAACCCAGGAGGCGGAGTTTGCAGTGAGCCAAGATCGCGCCACTGCACTCCAGCCTGGGCGACAGAGCGAGACTCTGTCTCAAAAAAAAAAAAAAAAAAAAAAGTCTGCAGTAACAAAAATAGCATGGTACTGGTACCAAAACAGATATATAGACCAATGGAATAGAACAGGGGCCTCAGAGAAAACATCACACATCTACAACCATCTGATCTTTGACAAACCTGACAGAAACAACCAATAGGGAAAGGATTCCCTATTTAATAAATGGTGTTGGGAAAACTGGCTAGCCATATGCAGAAACCTGAAACTGGATCCCTTCCTTACATCTTATACAAAAATTAACTCAAGATGGATTAAAGACTTAAGCACAAGGCCTAAAACCATGAAAACCCTAGAAGAGGGGCCGGGTGCGGTGGCTCATGCCTGTAATCCCAGCACTTTGGGAGGCCAAGGCGGGCGGATCACCTGAGGTCGGGAGTTCGAGACCAGCCTGACCAACATGGAGAAACCCCGTCTCTACTAAAAATACAAAAAAATTAGCTGGGCATGGTGGCACATGCCTGTAATCCCAGCTACTCAGGAGGTGGGAGGCTGAGCCAGGAGAATCGCTTGAACCTGGGACGTGGAGGTTGCGGTGAGCCAAGATCGCGCCGCTACACTCCAGCCTGGGCAACAAGAGCGAAACTCGGTCTCAAAAAAAAAAAAAAGAAAATCCTAGAAGAAAACCTGGGCAATACCATTCAGCACATAGGCGTGGGCAAAGACTTCATGGCTAAAACACCAAAAGCAATAGCAACAAAAGCCAAAATTGACAAACAGGATCTAATTTAAGAGCTTCTGCACAGCAAAAGAAACTATCATCAGAGTGAACAGGCAACCTACAGAATGGGAGAAAATTTTTACAATCTATCCATCTGACAAAGGGCTAATATCCAGAATTGACGAAGAACTTAAACAAATTCACAAGAAGAAAACAAACAACCCCATCAAAAAGTGGGCAAAGGATATGAACAGACACTTCTCTAAAGAAGACATTTATGCAGCCAACAAACATATGAAAAATACCTTATCATCACTGGTCATTAGAGAAATGCAAATCAAAACCACAATGAGATACCATCTCACTCCAGTTAGAATGGCAATCATTAGAAAGTCAGGAAACAACAGATGCTAGAGAGGATGTGGAGAAATAGGAATGTTTTTACACTGTTGGTGGGAGTATAAATTAGTTCAACCATTGTGGAAGACAGTGTGGTGATTACTCAAGGATCTAGAAATAGAAATACCATTTGACCCAGTAATCCCATTACTGGGTATATACCCAAAGGATTATAAATTATTCTACTGTAAAGACACATGCACACATATGTTTATTGCGGCACAGTTCACAATAGCAAAGACTTGGAATCAACCCAAATGCCTATCAATGATAGACTGGATAAAGAAAATGTGGTACATATACACCATGGAATACTATGCAGCCATAAAAAAGGATGAGTTCATGTCCTTTGCAGGGCCATGGATGAAGGTGGAAACCATCATTCTCAGCAAACTAACAGGAACAGAAAACCAAACACCGCAGGTTTTCACTCATAAGTGGGAGTTGAACAATGAGAACACATGGACACGGGAGTGGGCATCACACACCAGGGCCTGCTGGGGGATGGGAGGCTAGGGGGTGGATAGCGTTAGGAGAAATGCCTAATGTAGATTACAGGTTGGCCGGGCATGGTGGCTCATGCCTGTAATCCCAGCACTTTGGGAGGCCAAGGCGGGCGAATCATGAGGTCAGGAGTTCAAGACCAGCCTCACCAATATGGTGAAACCCCGTCTTTACTAAAAATACAGAAATTAGCTGGGTATGGTGGTGTGTGCCTGTAATCCCATCTACTCGGGAGGCTGAGGCAGGAGAATCACTTGAACCTGAGAGGTGGAGGTTGCAGTTGAGCAGAGGTTGTGCCACTGCACTCCAGCCTGGGCAACAGAGTGAGACTCCATCTCAAAAAAAAAAAATTTACAGGTTGTTGGGTGCAGCAAACCACCATGGCACACATGTAGCTATGTAACAAACCTGCACATTCTGCACATGTACCCCAGAACTTAAAGTATAATTAAAAAGAAAATCTTAAAAAAAAAAGAAACTCACCTATTTTAAGTGTACAATTCAATGATGGTTAACAAACTTACAGACTGTTCATCACTGCAATCCAGTTTTAGAATATTTATGAATATTTGTATAATCCTAAAGAGAACCATCATGCTCGTTAGCAATCAACCCCTGTTCCCACTGCAGCTCCAAGGCCATCACAAATGTACTCTTTTTTCTCCATAGATTTGTCTTTTCTGAACATTTCTATAAAAGTGATCATACAGTGTGTGGTCTTTTGTGCCTGGTTCCTTTCACTCATAATTATTTTCAGGTTCATCTATGTTTTAGCATTTATAAATAGTTCAGTCCTTTCATTTCTGAATAAGTATTCCATTGTATGGATAGAACACATTGTTTCTCTATTCATCATTGGATGGATATGTGGGTGGTTTCCACTTTGTAGTTATTACGTATAATGCTGCTATGAACATTCATGTATAGATTTTTGTATAGAAATATGTTTTCATTTCACTGGGGTAAATACCTAAGAATGAAATTGCTGGATCATATGGTAAACATATTGCTTTAAAATGTTGATTTTATTTTTATCCAGGTATGGAGAGGCCAACAGATCAGGAGATGACTGCTCTTGAAAAGACAGACTGAGACAGTTCCCAGGACAGGAGAGTGTGTGCTCCACCATGCCAGGCCACATGGGGGAGCGGCAGGGTCAGTCGGGACAGCGGGAGCAAGAGCCTTTATTCTGGTTTCCCCAGGAACAGGTGAGGCCAGGTAAGCAGGTTTAGGATTGGCCAATTTGAACTGAACTCTGGGGCATAGAGAATATTTGTAATTATCTGGCACCCAGCCCTGAGGTGATTAGGGCAGGGGAATAGTGGCAAGATGTGTGAGAGCTCAACTGAGGAGGTAATTAGGAAATAGGCTTAGGATTCGTTGGTTTGCACATGGAAGATGAGTTGTTTGCTATTTCTAGGTGTTGGCTAGCCCTGGGAGTTGCAGTCTACACAGGATCTGTAAGGCCCCTGATGTCAAAACATCAGAATAAAAAGCCATGTTTAGTACACATGTTTAACTTTTTAAGAAACTGGCAAACTTTTATCCAAAGTAGCTACAACATTTTACTTTGTCTCAGCCATGAAGGAAGGTTCCATTTTCTCTACATCTTCACGAACACTAGTTATTGTCTGTCTTTTCAACTAAAGCCATTCTAGTAGGTGTGAAATGGTAGGCAGCTCATTGTGGTTTTAATTTGCAAATTTGCATTTCCCTAATAACTGATGATGTTAAGCACCTTTTCTTTTCTTCTTTTTTTTATTTTTTTATTTTTTTTAGATGAAGTCTCACTCTGTTGCCCAGGCTGGAGTGCATCGGTGCGATCTCAGCTTACTGGGATCTCCTGGGTTCAAGCAATTCTGCCTCAGCCTCCCGAGTAGCTGGGATTACAGACGTGTACCACCATGACTGGCCAAGCATCTTTTCATATGCTTTTTATCCATTCCTATGTCTTCTTTAGTAATGTCTGTTGAAAAATTTGCCCATTTATTTTAACCAGGTTGTTTGTCTTCTTGTTATTGAGTTTTAAGAATTCATTATATGGCCGAGTGTGGTGGCTCACGCCTGTAATCCCAACACTTAAGAGGCGGAGGCGGGCAGATTACTTGAGGTTAGGAGTTCAAGACCAGTCTGGCCAACGTGGTGAAACCCTGTCTCTCCTAAAAGCACAAAAATTAGCCAGGCATTCTGGCGTGGGCCTGTAGTTCCAGCTACTGGCGAGGCTGAGGCAGGAGAGTCACTTGAATCCGGGAGGCAGAGGTTGCAGTGAGCCCAAGATCACACCACTGCACTCCAGCTTGGGTGACAGAGCAAGACTCTGTCTCAAAAAAAAATAAATAAATAAAAAGAGTGCATTATATATTCTGCAATCAGGTATATCATTTATTTTATCATGGCATAACAGCTAGGTTCCAAGAAAGAGCATTGTAAGAGGCAGAAAGTAGAAGCTATCAGTCCTTGCAGGGCCTGGGCTTAATGACCAGAATGTCCCTTCTGCCACATTCTCTTGATCAGGGCCAGTTACAAGGTCAGCCCAGAGGAGAGAGGAGAAGGAAACTCCTCTTCTTGTTATCAGGAGCAGAATGCACATACACGAAGAACATGCATTGATGGTGGCCATCTTTGGAGACTGGCTGCTGCTACCCTTTCAAGTACTTAGAAATTCTAATATTCGTAAGACAGTAAACATGTAAGTATGGTGGATGTTAAGTTGTTTTAAATGGTCCAATATAATTTCTAAACTTATTAAAACTCTCTTACAACTCAACTCAAAATTCCAAATCTAAATCAATTACTCATTCATTCTAAATTGGGACCACAAAGCTGGTCTCTTAGATACTCCAATTTGCCAAATTTTCTTAAACACTACAGGGACTTTAAGTACCAAACATATACAGATCATTCTTTTTAGCAGACAGACTGTAAGGTAAGTGCCCGTGATTCCTTATCTCTTGGTATTCATGCTTTGCCACACTCCCTGCCCTTGAGTGTTGGCAGGACTGGTGATGGGATGTCAGTCCCTTGATCAGGTTGTATTATATGGAAAAGATGATGGGATGTCACTCCTGTGATTATGTTACGTTACGTTACGTTTGTTATGTTATGTTATGTTATGTTATGTTATGTTATGTTATGTTATGTTATGTTATATGAGACTCTGTTTCAGCAGACAGAAGTGAAATGCTCCTTGTGGGCCTGATGGAATAAGCAGGCATGTTGGAGAAGCCTGTGTGGTAAGGAACTGCGGACTCTTCTAGGAACCTGTGGATGCCTCTAGAACCTGATACAGGCCTCCAGCCAACAGCCAGCAAAAAGCCAGGGTCCTCAGCTGCAAAACAGCAAGGAATTGATTTCTGCTAACAACCTGAATGAGCTGGGAAGTGAATTTTCCCTCAGTTGAGCCTCTAGATCAAAATACAACCAGTAACTCGAGCACAGCTTTACAAGGGCCTGAGCAGAAGACCCAGCCTAGACTCCTCATCCACAGAAACTATGCAGTAATACACTTAAGCCACTGGGTTTGTGGTAATTAGTTATACAACAATAAAAAACTGATGTCCTTTTTTTTTTTTTTTTTTTGAGACGGAGTTTCGCCCTGTCACCCAGGCTGGAATGCAGTGGCGTGGTCTCGGCTCGCTGCAAGCTCCGCCTCCCAGGTTCATGCCATTCTCCTGCCTCAGACTCCGGAGTAGCTGGGACTACAGGCGCCCGCCACCACCCGTGGCTAATTTTTGTATTTTTAATAGAGACAGGGTTTCACTGTGTTAACCAGGATGGTCTCAATTTCCTGACCTCGTGATCCGCCCGTCTTGGCCTCCCAAAGTGCTGGGATTACAGGCGTGAGCCACCGCGCCCAGCCTAATAATGTATTTTTAATCTTAACATAAGAATATTAATATTATAGATGTAATATACTTTTTGTTTTTTTTGAGACGGAGTCTAGCTCTGTCCCAGGCTGGAGTGCAGTGGCAGGATCTTGGCTCACTACAATCTCTGCCTCCCGGGTTCAAGCTATTCTCCTGCCTCAGCCTCCCGAGTAGCTGGGATTACAGGCATGCACCACCATACCTGGCTAATTTTTGTATTTTTGTATTTGAGATGGACTCTCACTCTGTCACCCATACTGGAGTGCAGTGGCGTGATCTTGGCTCACTGCAAACTCCGCTTCCCAGATTCAAGCCATTCTCCTGTCTCAGCCTCCTGAGTAGCTGGGACTAAGCACGTGCCACCACGCCTGGCTAATTTTTGTATTTTTAGTAGAGACAGGGTTTCGCCATATTGGTCAGACTGGTCTTGAACTCCTGACTTCAGGTGATCCACCCACCTCAGCCTCCCAAAGTGCTGGGATTACAGGTATGAGCCACCATGCCCGGCCGTATACTTTATTTTTAATGCTAAATTCTAATTTTTCCAGAGTCAAATGATATCCATAAAACAATTATACCTGGCCGGGCACAGTAGCTCATGCCTGTAATCCTGGCACTTTGGGAGGCCGAGATAGGTGGATCACCTGAAGTCAGGAGTTGAAGACCAGTCTGACCAATATGGCGAAACCCTGTCTCTACTAAAAATACAAAAATTAGCCAGGCATGGTGGCACATGCTGGTAGTTCCAGCTACTCAGGAGGCTGAGACAGGAGAATGGCTTCAATCTGGGAAGCGGAGTTTGCAGTGAGCCAAGATCACGCCACTGCACTCCAGCATGGGTGACAGAGTGGAGTCCAACTCAAATAATAATAATAAATTTTTTTAATTAAGAAAAACAAAAAAACACAATTATACCTAAGCACATGGAGGTCCTTATCTCAGCCTACTGAAGTTATACATCAACCAGAGAGATTTTTTTAGCTGAGACTCAGAATTTGATTTTTTCATAAGTCACTACTGAGACATTATGAGCCTATAAATAGGGCTTTCTACCTTAAAAGGACTGGTCGTGGGCTTACACATTCTCTGGATTGAAGTCACACATTAGCTCTTCTTCTGTCTGATTTGAATCTGCTATTTCATTTTAACTTTACTTCACATAGGTTATAACTTGCTATTTGCTCCTTGTTTAGATGTTACCTTTGTGGCTTTCTTAAGATATTGTAATTGTCTTTCTGCATGGCTCAAAAGTTATTTTAATGGCATTGCATAGGATTCTTCCCACATGTATATTATTCTTATTACACCTCTCTGAACTTGATCATTCAGTATCTTTTCTTTTTTTTCTTCCTATTTTTTAGGTCACAATTCATATTGATATTTAAATGGCATCTGGATGCTGCATATTGCATATTAGAAACAAAAAAAATTGGTAAAATCCCAATACGAAGAGAGAGAACAAAACAAGCAGAAAAATTAACCTGATGGAAGCAAATAAGAACAAAAGAAAACAAAACCTATAAGCAAATAATACCATGGGAAAATAACAGAAGTTTTTGCATCCATAAACCAAGGATATGGTGCCTCACGCCTGTAATCCCAGCACTTTAGGAGGCCGAGGCGGGCAGATCACCTGAGGTCAGGAGTTCGAGAGCAGTCTGGCCATCATGGTGAAACCCTGTCTCTACTGAAAATACAAAAATTAGCTGGGCATAGTGGCGGGTGCCTGTAGTCCCAGCTACTCGGGAGTCTGAGGCAGGAGAATCACTTGAATGCAGGAGGCAGAGGTTGCAGTGACCTGAGATCACACCACTGCACTCCAGCCTGGGCAACAGAGTGAGACTCAGTCTAAAATAAAAAATAAAAAATAAAGCCAAGAAAGAACACTTGGAAATTTAAACTTAGGGAAGCTGAAATTGAACATTTTAGTCAAAGAGCTGGGAAGCCATTTATCTTCCAGTAAATGGGGAAAAAATAGAGATAAAGAAACAGAACAGGGCTGGGCGCAGTGGCTCATGCCTGTAATCCCAGCACTTTGGGAGGCCGAGATGGGCAGATCACTGGAGTTCAAGAGTTCGAGACCAGCCTGGCCAGCATGGTGAAGCCCCGTCTCTACTAAAAATACAAAAATTAGCCGGGCGTGGTTGCACACATATGTAATCCCAGCTAGTCGGTAAGCTGAGGCAGGAGAATCACTTGAACCTGGGAGGCGGAGGTTGCAGTAAGCTGAGATCATGCCACTGCACTTTGGCCTGGGCGACAGAGCGAGACTCTGTATCCAAAGAATAAAAAATAAAAAACAGAACAGAAAGGAGATGAATGTAGAGGATCAATCCAGAAGATCAAGAATTATAGAAAGAGAAAAGAAAAAAAGGAAAGACAGAAATATTTTCAAGGCAAAATACAAGAAAATTTCCCAGAGGGATGCAGACTCTCCACATTGAAAGGCCCTTCTAAGTGTCTAATATCGTGAATATTTCAGGACATCAGGAATAAAAAGGCAATTGTAAAACTCTGCAGAGCAACCAATCATATTATGGTTATTTTTTCGCAAAGAACAGGCCTTTTTACAGTGAGATATCATGATGGATTTTATTCAAAACAGCAGGATGGGGCAGGGCTTGTCTGCAGGAGTTTAAGTGATACAAAATTGGCCATGTATTCATGTTTGAATCTGCGTGATGAGAACATGGGAATTCATTAAACTATTCTGTATCTGTATATGTTTGAAATTTGCCATAATAAAAAGTAAAACAAAAGGAAACAAAAACGCAAATGCTTTTTTTTTTTTTTTTTTTTTTTTTTTTTTTAGCATTTTAGACTACATACATAACATTGGAGAAAGTGTTGGAATTATGGCCGGAGGACAGAATTTAGAGTCCTGGCTCTGTCCCGTCCTAACTACAACTTTACACAAGGCGCATCATTTCTCTGGATGTCAGGTACCTTCTTTGTATTACAGGGGTATTAAACTAGGGGACACTGAGGGTCCCTCCCAGCTCCACTGGTCCATAATACAGTCAATTTGAACACTGTCAACTGAGACTACCATTATTTTCTTTTCTTTTTTTTTTCTTTTTCTTTTTTTTTTTTTTTTTTTTTGAGACACAGTTTCGCTCTGTCACCCAGGCTGGAGTGTAGTGGCGCGATCTCGGCTCACTGCAAGCTCCGCCTCCCGGGTTCACGCCATTCTCCTGCCTCAGACTCCGGAGTAGCTGGGACTACAGGCGCCCGCGACCACGCCCGGCTAATTTTTTGTGTTTTTAGTAGAGACGGGGTTTCACCGTGTTAGCCAGGATGGTCTCGATCTTCTGACCTCGTGATCCACCCGCCTCGGCCTCCCAAAGTGCTGGGATTACAGGCGTGAGCCACCGTGCCCGGCGAGACTACCATTATTTTCTAAGAAAGCGCTCTCACCTCTAAAATAACAAAATAACAAGAAGCAGAGTGCCATAAGACTTCTCAACACAACTGGATAGTGGAAGATAGTGGAGTACTGCCCTTAAAATTACCCAGCCAAACCATGAATCAAGTATGTGGGTGGACCAAACCAAGGAAAAGAATTCACTGGATCCAGAAAAAGGAGCCCCAACAGAAAAGAAACAGTGTGGTAGTACAGAAGATCTCAGGGTGACAGCTTGTGCACTAGGGCTTTGCAGCACCTGGTCCAGGCTGCAGCAGTGGGAAAGGCACTGTGGGAGGGAGGACTCCAAGAAAATATGGAAACGATCAATTACCTAATATGCTTCAGCATGGTGGGGGAAAAAAACCCTCAAAAATTGACAGAGCAGATGGACCACTTCAGGAAACATTAAAGATAGGTACATGGAATACATAATGTCTTAAACTATTAATTCCAGAAAAAATAAAAATTTGTACAAGATAAAATATACAACGAATAGGATCATCACCAAACCATAGTTACATTGACATTACATATTTACATATTACACGGACCACTGATTTATCCAAGATTTTTTTAAACTGTGGGAAAAGAGGAGGAGAAGTAGAGGGTAGTAATATAACAGACAAAGTGATCCATCCACCTAATAGGAAATTAGTAGTTTCAAGTTGATAAGTCAAGAAATAATATAAGTATACTACTTAGAAATATGAAAGTTAATGTCAGGGTTTTTTGGGTTTTTTTTGTTTTTTTTTGTTTTTTTTTTTAAGCTAAGTTAGTTCAAAATAGTTGCCTCCAGGAATAGAGGACAGATATTTCCTTTTCTTTTTTTTCTTTTTTTTTTTTTTTTGAGACAGTCTTCCTCTGTGACCAGGCTGGAGTGCAGTAGCATGATCTTGGCTCACTGTAACCTCCGCCTCCTGGGTTCAAGCCATTCTCCTGGCTCTGACTCCCAAGTAGCTGGGATTACAGGCGCCCACCACCACATCCAGCTATTTTTTGTATTTTTAGTAGACACGGAGTTTCACCATGTTGCCCAGGATGGTCTCGATCTTCAAGGACAGATATCATTAACGCCTCTCAGTACTATTTTGAGCACCTAGTATATGCCATGCATATAACTCCCTCTCCCCAAGACCCCAATCATCAGAACCAGCCCACTCCCAAGGAGACATACGGCGATCCTTTTGATCGCCTCCCCCAGGACCCTGCCCCATCCATTACTGCTTCTCTCAGTTTCATCATCAGTCAATCTCTCCCTCTCTACTGGCTTCTTTCCCTTTGCTTATAACCGTGTCCAAGAACTTCCAGCTTGGCAACAGACTAGCCAAGTTTGGCTTCATTCCCTGGATTCTGATCTCATTTCTTGGCGCAGAGTATTGTTGGAATGCTATCTACTGCTAATGAGCCCTCTTTGGGCACAGCTCCAGGACCTCCCACATATGGGTACTTGTTGGGTACTCTGTATACCACAGCTTAGGGCATATAAAGCCAGGCCTACCTGCAGCAATGGGCATTAGGAGTCAGAAGTACAATAACTGTGGAAATAACTTCAAACAATAGAGAAAGAAGAAGGAAGAGTCAAGCATAACACCAAAGGATAGCAGGGCCATTATTGACATTGGAATCTCAGGAGCAGAGGCATTTGGTGAGGGAGGTAAGTAAGATGATAAATTTGGTTTTAAACAAATTGTATGTGAAGCTTATAGAACTGGTAGTAATCAGGACAAAGTGGGCAAATTAATCACAATCCAGGATCAGTGAAATACAATAGGAAAGGCTTTGGGGTTAATGGATACTAGATTCACAGTCTGGCTCTGCCAGTTACTAACTGAATGACTATTGGCAAGTTACTTAACTTCTCTGTGCCTCAGTTTTCTCATCTGCTTAATGGGGATTGTATACTGAATAGAAAGCAGGCATGATGAATTTGAGATATCACCAGGGAAAAGCCACTTGGATCAGAAAGAACAATCTGACTACAGTGTGAAGAGTAGATTAGAGATATCAAAAGTGCAGTTCAGTATCCTGGTTGCAATAGGGCAGAAGACCAAGGATGACAGGCTCAAGGGGTACTTGAGGGAGGGACAATTAGAGAATAGAGAAAAATGGATGATTTAGGAAATGTATGGGATATAGAGCTAGTAGGATAATGTGATTTATAGGATTGGGGTTTGTGTAACAGAAGTGTATTAATGCTCCACTTTTGTGCTTTTGGATCCCTTTACCAATTTCATGCCATGTTTTCACTTCCAACAGCCAATATCTGCAAGGAGATCCAGAAATGCCTAGGGTTTACATCTCCCTGGCAAGGGCCCTACAAATGACTCCTGGTACAGAAGTTTAAAGTCTCCAGCTTCCTTGCCCCAGTCCAGACCGCTCTGAGGTATGACTGTCTCCAGAATTGCTCTGTGGGATTGAGCCTACCTTATCCTCTATGGGATTTTGTTTGCTCTTGAACACTTGCTTGGCTTCCTTCCTTCCCTGTCTCTCTTCCCTGATTCCTTATTGTTTTTTCCTCAAAACACTTCCGAATAAATTGCTCTCACATGAATCTTCATCTTAGGGTCTACTTCTGGGGAGTCCATCCTGAGTGTAGTAGTCAATAATGCTGCTTATTAATTTTTCTATTGGACACCTGGTAGTGTTATACTTTCTGACCTCCTGTGGTTGGGTGGTTGAGCCAGTTATTAACAGCTCTAGCAGAGGTAATATGTGTCACTTCTAGGCTAAGCATCAAATTGCCAACAGGAAACCCTTTGGAACTCTTTTCTGACTCTTGTGGTAAACAAAAATGTTGCAGATTGTGGCTGCTCCATCATCCTGGATCCTAGAGTTGGTTTGAGAGTGGAGCAGAGCGTCTGCTCTAACTCAGTAGTTAGGATGAGAAATAAACTTCTGTTGTGTTAAGCCATTGAGAGTTGGGGCTGTTTGTTACTGCAGCATAACCTAGCAAATCCTGACAGACACAGAGCATGAGAAAAAGAGAAGGATTAAGGATGACTAAGAATTCTTGGGGAGTGGGGAGGGATAGCTTTAGGAGATATACCTAATGCTAAATGACGAGTTAATGGGTGCAGCACACCAGCATGGCACATGTATACATATGTAACTAACCTGCATATTGTGCACATGTACCCTAAAACTTAAAGTATAATAATAATAAAATAAAAATAAATAAATAAATAAATAAATAAAATAAAAAGAATTATTGGCTGGGTGTGGTGGCTCACACCTGTAATCCCAGCATTTTGGGAGAATGAGGCGGGTGGATCACCTGAGGTCAGGAGTTCAAGACCAGCCTGACCAACCCCCATCTCTACTAAAAATACAAAAATTAACCCGGCTTGGTGGCATGCACCTGTAATCTCAGCTACTTGGGAGGCTGAGGCAGGAGAATTGCTTGAACCCAGGAGGCAGAGGTTGCAGTGAGCTGGGATTGTGCCACTGCACTCCAGCCTGGATGACAGAGCAAGACTCCATCTCAAAAAAAAAAAAAATTGTAATCCCCAATATCTGAGGCGGGGCCTGGTGGGAGAGGTGATCCCCAATGTTGGAGGTGGGGCCTATTGGGAGGTGATTGGATCATGCGGGGGAATTTTGCATGAATGGCTTAGCACCATTCCCTTGGTACTGCCCTTGCAACAGTGAGTGAGTTCTTATGAGATGTGGTTGTTTACAAGTGTGTAGCACCTCCCCCTTTACTCTCTTGCTTCTGCTTCTGCCATGTAAGACACCTGCTCTTCTTTTGCCTTCTGCCAGGAGTAAAAGCTCCCTGAGGCCTCTCCAGAAGTAGATGCTGCAAGCTTCTTGCACAGCCTGCAGAACCATGAGCCAATTAAACCTCTTTTGTTTATAAATTCCCCAGTCTCAGATTTTCTTTATAGCAATGCGAGAATGGACTAATACAGTAATCTTCCTGGAATATATATTATTTGGGCTAAATTTCTGATATAAATTGAATGACAGAAAATTCCATATATATTCTCTGAGGAGGGTTTGGTGTGCAAGCATTTTTCTTTGTAAATCCCAAGAAGGTGGCAAAGTAGACAACTAATCATGAAAGCTAAAATTCTTAAAATTTATGGCTAAGCAGAAACTACTGGAGCTCTGGAGACAAATCCCTGAGGTATCTAGGCAAAGCAGGACTTCTCTTCAGGAAGGAGCTTTGGAACTTCCATAGCATTTATTTCAGGTATCAAAGTTGTCCTGTGAAGTTTTGTGGCTTATAGCCCGTCTTGATCTCTCTGTGTTTCAACAGGGTTGCTCTGTATCTGCCAACAATTCCACTGAATAGTGACTGCTACCACTTTTGTAGCCATGAAATTTTCCCAACAAGTATTATCATGTCTTCAGTAGAACAGAAGGAAATAATCCACCACTGAGGGTTCTGGAAGTGATTTTCATCACTAAGAGTGACATTGCAAGATGACTACAATACATAGCTAATGTGATGTGTAAGGTTTTATTTCACAGAACAGCAAATCAACTCAGCTCACTGAACAGACGTGGTCTTTGTTAAAGTATTTATATATTTGTTGAAGTCTAGTAAGATTTACAAGAGTAAAAGAAGAATAATTCTGGTATATAAGTAAAATATCAGCATTTGAAAAGATGGGGGCATTTGCAATGCTGGGAAAAAATGGGGGAAGAAAATAACAGAAACAAAAAGGTGGGGCTTGGTGGCCCAGCTACTCAGGAGGTCAAGGCAGGGGGTATCACGTGAGCCCAAGGGTTCAAGACCAGCCTGGGGAATATAGCAAGACCCTGTCTCTATAAAAACATTTTTTTTTTAATTAGCCAAGTGTGATGGTGTGTGCCGGTAGTCCTACCTATGCAGAAGGCTAAGGCAGGGAGATCACTTGAGCCAAAGAGTTTGAGGCTGCTGTGAGCTATAACTGCATCACTGCACTCCAGTCTGGGTGATAGAGCAAGACCCTGTCTCTAAGAAAAAAAGCACATACAGAAATAGAAATTTAAAATTTGAATACCATACAAGAACCACCAGTATGTGTTCAACAAGACATCATGATTTTAAAAACCCTTGTTTTAGGGAGTTAAACTCAGTGAACAAAAGCATGGCTTTGGTATTCATGATGATATCTAGAAAAGCAATCATCATCCTTTAAAACACTTAGGAAATGATTTAGGTATTCTCCATATTCTCCCAATTATAATAGATTCTAGAGTGTTTGATGGGAAAGTTTTCAATTAGTGAAAACACTTCGTGAATGCGCAAAGCATTGGCCGGGCACGGTGGCTCATGCCTGTAATCCCAGCACTTTGGGAAGTTGAGGCGAGTGGATCACCTGAGGTCAGGAGTTTGAGACCAGCCTAGCCAACATGGTGAAACTCCGTCTCTACTAAAAATACAAAAATTAGTCAGGTGTGGTGGCAGGTGCCTGTAATCCCAGCTACTCAGGAGGCTGAGGCAGGAGAATCGCTGGAACCTGGGAGGCGGAGGTTGCAGTAAGCCAAGATCGTGCCATTGCACTTCAGCCTGGGGAAAAAAGAGTGAGACTTCATCTCAAAAAAAAAAAAAAGAGAATGGGCAAAGCATAGAGTAAATATAAAAAGCCAGTGTTAGATATAAAAAGCATAAGCTATAGAGGAAAATATTTATAAATGTAGGCATTAAAATTTTAATTTCTCTATTTATTAAAAGATACTTTAAAAATAATTAAAACTTCATCCAAAGATGCTGATAATAATACAAGCAAATGTTTATATTGTGTTTTCTAATATGCTAGGTACTGTTATAGGACATTACATACATTGTTTAATAATGTATATAATTTACATACACATTTACAGATGAGAAAATTGAGGAACAGAGAGGTTTTTTTTTTTAAATGAATAAGCAAGCTATGAACCAGGAGAATAAACCCAACACACACACACACACACACACACACACACACACACACACTCTCTCTCTCTCTCTCTCACAATACATACATAGACATATGGAATTCCCACAAAACAATAAATAGAATAAAAATAATCCAGTACAAAAGTGGGCAAAGGATATGAAAATAAGAGGAAATTCAAGTGGCCATAGCCATATAAAAAGATGTGAAATCTCAGTACTAACCAAAGAAATGCAAAGTAGAACAATAATGAGATAGCATTTCCATTGCATCCAATTATCAAACATTTAAGTCTGACAATACCAAGTGTTGGTAAGAATACAGAACAACAAGAACGCTATTTTTTTGTTGTTGTTTTTGTTGTTTTTGTTTGTTTTTTAAACTTACAGCATTTTATTAATTTATTACATAAATGTACAATTGGTAAAACAATTTACTACTAAAATTCAGATTGTTTCTCACTATAATGCAAAATGTTACTCTGAATACCTACTTCATGCATCACTCTAGGTCAACCACAAAAAGCCTCTCTGCTTACATTTTCCTCAGGTGTCTTTCATTTCTGTAACAAGAACACTGTTACACTGTTGGTGGCCGCATAAACTGGTGCAACCACTTTAAAGAACAATTTGACCTTATCTAATAAAGATGAATAGGTTCACACTTTATTATTCAGTAATCCCACTCCTGAACACATACCTTGGGACAATATGAGCTAGGCCAGACGCAGTGGCTCACGCTTACAATCCCACGCTTATAATCTCCATTTTGGGAGGCCAAGGTGGGAAGATCACTTGAGCCCAGGAGGTTAAGGCTGCAGTGAGCCATGATCACCCCACTGTACTTCAGCCTGAGAGACAGAGCAAGACCCTCTCTTGATTTTAAAGAAGAGAAAAAAAAGAAAATATGAGGCTGGGCACAGTGGCTCACGCCTCGAATCCCAGCACTTTAGGAGGCCGAGGCAGACGAATCACCTGAGGTCAGGAGTTTGAGACTAACCTGGCCAATATGGTGAAACTCCATCCCTACTAAAAATCCAAAACTTAGCTGGGTGTGGTGACGCGCCTGTAATCCCAGCTACTTGGGAGGCTGAGATAGGACAGTCGCTTGAACCAGGGAGGTAGAAGTTGCAGTGAGCTGAGATCGCGCCATTGTACTCCAGCCTGGGTGACAAGAGTGAAACTCCGTCTCAAGAAAGAAAATATGAGCTCATGAGCACAAGGAGACATGAATGAAATGCTCATTGAGCATTGTTTATTATGGCTAACTATTGAAAACCATCAATTTCTACCAGTAGAAGATAAATTATAATTGATTTCATATGCTAGGCTAATATATAGCAGTGGAAATTAATGATGTGTACCCATCTACCCCCATCCCCACCCTAACTCTGTGTTTCCTGGGTTTACCAGACCCTTTTCTTCACATGATCTTGCTGTAATCAAGGCAAATACAATTAATTAATGGTTTTCTGTTTATTACATTGGAGTTCTTTCCATATTCTGTCCTTGAGAGTATCCAACACCACTTTCTCCTTTTTTTCTTTTTGAAATTAGAGAATTTCTAAATTATTTACATATTTATACACAATTGCTTGGTTTTCTCCTCCAGAGGGCTAATCGCGTTTATGATATATGTGGTTTGCTGGTGTTATTTTGTGGCAATCTTATTTCTAAATCACTGGGTGGGGAATATCTCACTGTGGTCTCCACATGGAAAAAAACAATGTTGCATGAGCTGAGTTTTGAAAGATGATTAGAGTTTGCCTAGCAGACCATGGTAGGTAAGGGCATTCAAGCTTGAGGGATGAAAATGAGTACAGTCACAGAGATGTGAAACAGCTGGGCTTGTTCAAGGACCTAGGGGCAGTTTATAAAGTTCTCAGTATGACTACAGCAGCATCAAAGCTAAGTCCAAACATGGGGAAGTCAGTCTGGGAGGAGGTGGCTCTGTCTCTGGGTAGTGTGGGAGGGAGCCCATAAAGAAGGCATTGCCCTTTGGCTCCCTCTCTGCATGGTCACAGTCTTGCTTTCATGCTGCTTCCCCTAAGGTCTTTTCATTATCCCTGTAACAGTAGTCTTGTTGACATATTAATCTTGAAAACAACTGCTGAAAGGACTCCACTTTGGAAGAAGGTGCTCAGGAGGAGCATTCTTTCTTTCGTTCCCCCACTGTAGATCCCTCTGAAAAGTGGCCAGAGTGGCTCAAGAGAAGGCTGGAGACAGAGGCAAACAGAGCCCTGACCACATAGGCTTGGCGCAACAGGCAAAGAGCTTGCACTTAACCCGGTAAGTGATGGGAAGTCTGCAAAAGGTTTCAGGCAAGGGAGCACTGCAGTTTTTGAATAAAAACAACACACATTAGAGAGTAAACATGGCTGGGTGCAGCTCTTGCCTGTAATTTCCGCACTTTGGGAGGCTGAGGTGGGAGGAGACGATCACTTGAGCTCAGGAGTTTCAGACCAGGCTGGGCAACATGGCAAAACCCCATCTCTCTAAAAAAAAAAAAAAAGAAGAAGAAGAAAAAAATAGCAAAATTAGCCAGATGTTGTGGTGCATGCCTGTAGTCCCAGCAACTTGGGAGGCTGAGGCAGGAGGATCACCTGAACTTGGGAAGGTTGAGGCTGCAGTGAGCTGCAGTGGAGCCACTGCACTCCAGCCTGGGTGACAGTGTGAGACTGTCTCAAAAAGCGGGGGAAAAGAGTAAACATACCCCACACCCCCGCAACACACAAACATATATGTGAATGTATAAATAAATAGACACAGTATATTAGAGACATTAGATAGGTCCTCCATAAATATATCAAATATATATGTAATTATATACCCAAACAATTGCTTAGTTTATTCCTATGTGATGTGTATATACATGTACATATGTATATGTATATAACCCATATGTATATGTGTAAACCAAAAAGTGACTGAGGCAAATAATTGATTTAGAGGTTTATTTTGTCAAGGTTGAGGACACACCCAGGAAGAAGAAACACAAGTCACAGTAGGATCTGTGTCCTGTGCTTTGTCTTGCAAAACGATAAATAAAAATAACCCAATAGAAAAATGGGCAAAGGATATGAAAAGAAGAGGAAACCCTCAAAAGAGGGTTCGGAGGACTTCAATATTTAAAGCGGAAATAGTGAGCAGGAAGGGAAGGAGGAAAGGGGAAGAAGCGGCAGAGGGTAGGTAATGAGGCAAGCGGTCATATTCTTGTGAGGCCTTTTTTTTTTTAAGCACCCAGTGAATCTACATTTTACATGTGAAAAAAAGGAGTCAGGGAAAAGGCAATTACACATTTGACTTGTGCTCACATCTACAGTTTACATAAGACAAAGTAAGCATGTGAAATTACAGCTATCTGTGAACTAAAGGAAAGCAGTTTTTGTGTGACTCAGGTCCCAAGTTTAACTTTCCCTTTGTCATGGTGAGTTGAGGATCTCAAGATTTTATTTTATGTATACAGATATGTAACATGTATTATATATGTATGTATATAATTTACATACACACTATATATAGAGAGGAACAGAGAGAGAGACACAGAGACAGAGAGATGCATAGATTGGATGGATACCTCTCCAAGTATCAACAGTGGCTCCTACTGTTCCCCAGACTGGGACTCTGCCCCTTCCCAGCTTCTCCACCTTCTGAAATGCTGCTCATTCTTCAAACTGCGTTCAAATCCTGGTTTCTCCATGAAGACTCCCCATTCCCACCCTCTTCACCAGTGTTAATCTCCTCAGTGTTCCCATACACTTCGTTTCTTCCACTTTGGCATTTATTTCTGCCCTGTTTTGTCTCTAATTCTTTGTATCTCTTAACTAGACTGAAACAACTTTGAGGGTAAGAGCCATTTCCCAGCCATTTTTTAAAAATCCCACAGCTCTAGCACAAGGCTTTGCATGTCATTGATTCTCAATAAATAATCATTGAATGAAAGTCATTCAAAGAAACTTTATTTTGAGATAGAAATATTTTTTAAGTTATAATTTCCTTTTACCCTCTGTTGATGTCACCTAACAGAAATCTACAACTTTGTCCTAATTTCATTACACTTAAAGTTTAAAACCTCATAATAACTGCAGGCCAAAAAAATCTTATTTTCCCAAACAGTGTTGTTTGATGTCTTACATATTGGCATCTATATTGTGGAATTTCAACCTTGTCTGCTCATAGTAATCACCTGGACAATTTTTTTTTTAAATACTGTTTCCAGAGGCACGACTTCTGCAAAATCTCAATTCAGATTTTGGATCACTCCGGGTGTGGTGGCTCACGCCTATAATCCCAGCTCTTTGGAAAGCTGAGGCATCACCTAAGGTCACGAGTTTGAGACCAGACTGGCCAACATGGTGAAATCCTGTCTCTACTAAAAATACAAAATTAGGGCCGAGTGTGGGGGCTCACGCCTGTAATCCCAGCACTTTGAGAGGTCGAGGCGGGAGGATCACAAGGTCAAGAGTTCGAGACCAGCCTGGCCAACATGGTGAAACCCCATCTCTACTAAAAATATAAAAATTAGCTGAGCATGGTGGCGGGCGTCTGTAATCCCAGCTACTCAGGAGGCTGAGGCAGGAGAATTGCTTGAACTTGGAGGCAGGGGTTGCAGTGAGCTGAGATCTCAACACTGCACTCCAGCCTGGGGGACAGAGCAAGACTCCATCTTGGGGAAAAAAAAAAATTAGCCGGGCATGGTGGCACACGCCTGTAACCCCAGCTACTCGGGAGGCTGAGGCAGGAGAATTGCTTCAACCTCAGAGGTGGAGGTTACAGTGAGCCGAGATCGCGCCATTGCATTCCAGCCTGGGCAACAAGAGTGAAACTCCGTCTCAAAAAAAGAAAAAAAAAGAAAGATTTTTGGATCAATTATTCTGAGGTACATCCTAAGCTTTTTTTCTGAAACGGAGTCTCACTCTTATCGCCCAGGCTGGAGTACAATGGCGCGATCTTTTTTTTTTTTTTTTTTTGAGACGGAGTCTCGCTCTGTCGCCCAGGCTGGAGTGCAGTGGTACCATCTCGGCTCACTGCAACCTCTGCCTCCCGGGTTCACACCATTCTCCTGCCTCAGCCTCCGGAGTAGCTGGGACTACAGGCGCCCGCCACCACGCCCGGCTAATTTTTTGTATTTTTAGTAGAGACAGGGTTTCACCATGTTAGCCAGGATGGTCTTGATCTCCTGACCTCGTGATCCGCCCGCCTCGGCCTCCCAAAGTGCTGGGATTACAGGCGTGAGCCACCGCGCCCGGCCAATGGCGCGGTCTTGGCTTACTGCAACCTCTGCCTCCGGGGTTCAAGTGATTCTCCTGACTTAGCCTCCTGAGTAGATGAGATTATAGGCGCCTGCCACCACGCTCAGCTAATTTTTTTTTGAGATGGAGTCTCAATCTGTCGCCCAGGCTGGAGTGCAGTGGCGCGATCTCCGCTCACTGCAACCTCTGCCCTGTCACACCGGGTTCAAGCTATTCTCCTGCTAAACCTCCTGAGTAGCTGGGATTATAGGCGCCCACCACCACACTTGGCTAATTTTTGTATTTTTGATAGAGACAGGGTTTCGCCATCTTGGCCATGCTGTACTCGAACTCCTGACCTAAGGTGATCCACCCGCCTCAGCCTCCCAAAATGCTAGGATTACAGGCATGAGCCACTGCACCAGGCCAATTTTCTTTTCTTTTTAGTAGAGATGGCTTTCACCATGTTGACCAGGCTGGTCTTGAACTCCCGACCTCAGGTGATATGCCTGCCTCAGCCTCCCAAAGTGCTGGGATTACAGGAGTGAGCCATGGCGTCCAGCCAAGATATTTATTTATTTATTTATTTGAGATAGGGTATCCCTCTGTCACCCAGGCTGGAGTGCAGTGGTGCGATCATAGCTCACTGCAGCCTCAAAGTCTTGGGGTCATGCCATCTTCCTGCCTCAGCCTCCTGAATGCTGGGACTACAGGCATGTGCCACCAAACCTGGCTATTTTTTTTTTTTTTTTCTGGTGGATACCGGGGGTCTCACTGTGTTGCCAAGGATGGTCTCGAACTCCTTGGCTCAAACAATCTTTCTGCCTTGGCCTCCCAAAGTTCTGGGGTTACAGGCATGTGGAACTGCACCCTGCCCTAGATCCTTACTTTAGAAGTTTCTCAGGTAATATTAGCATGCAGCAGGGTTGAAGTTTTACTGATCTAGTTCATTGACTTATGCTTCATGGGCCATTAATCCTTTACCACAGGGAGATCAAAGACTTTGCAGGAGTTCACTTGAGATCCAATCTCACTTGGCCATCTGGCTGACTCTCTGGGTGCTACTCATTTCCACCAAAATTCTAGCAATGTTAAGCATCTCCCCACACCCACATCAGGAACACTATTCTTACTTTACTTTTTCACCTTTTTTTTTTTTAACAAATTACAAGTTTTGTCAGTTTGCTTTTACAGTTTACTACAAATGTCCTTTAATAATTCTTCAACTTTATTGTTTAATTTAAAAAAATATATACTATGGGCCAGGCGCGGTGGCTCATGCCTGTAATCCCAGCACTTTGGGAGGCCAAGATGGGCAGATCACCTGAGGCCGGGAGTTTGAGACCAGCCTGACCAACATGCAGAAACCCCATCTCTACTAAAAATACAAAATTAACCGGGCGTGGTGGCACATGCCTGTACCAGCTACTTGGGAGGCTGAGGCAGGAGAATCGCATGAAGCCGGGAGGCGGAGGCTGCAATGAGCCGAGATCACGCCATTGCACTCCAGCCTGGGCAACAACAGCGAAACTCCGTCTCAAAAAACAAAACAAAACAAAACAAAAACAAAATATATATATATATACACACACACACTATACAGGCTCATGCCTGTAATCTCAGCACTTTGGGAGGCCGAGGGGGGGTGGATCACTTGAGGTCAGGAGTTCGAGACCAGCCTGGCCAACATGGTGAACCCCCATCTCTACTAAAAATACAAAAATTAGCTGGGCGTGGTAATGTGTGCCTGTAATCCCAGCAACTGAGGAGGCTGAGGCAGGAGAATTGCTTGAACCAGGGAGGTGGAGGTTGCAGTGAGCCGAGATTATGCCACTTCACTCCAGCCTGGGCGACAGAGTGAAACTCCGTCTCAAAAAATAAAAATTACCTGCACTCCAACCTGGGTGACAGAGTGAGACTTTGCCTAAAAAACAAAAACAAACTATTCATATAAAAACACATATTGATATATATGTATTGAATATACATGAGCACACACACACACACGTGTGTCCTTATATCATTCTGTATTTTGCTTTTCTTTCTTTCTTAAACTTGTTCTTGAATCTTTCAAATGTACGGAAGAATATATATAAGAAATCAACAGTCAATAAATAGGAACATAAACTCAAATGGTCAATAAACATATGAAAATATTCTCAATTTTATTGTAATTATGAAAATGCACATTCAAACCACACTAAGAAGATACTGTACATCTATCCGATTCAAAAGTTTAAAAGTCTGACAAAGGGAGGATGTAAAGCAAAGGGAATGTTAACATAGTGCTGATTTGAGTAAAAGTTAGGACAACCACTTTGGAGAAGAAGTAGGCAATATCTAATGTATTAGTCAGTCATTGCCATAATGCTATGTTAAAAAAAAAAAAAAAAAAAAGCCCAAATAAGCAAAAATTTGGCTGGGCATGGTGGCTCATGCCTGTAATCCCAGCACTTTGGGAGGCCGAGGTGGGCAGATCACTTGAGGTCAGGAGTTTGAGACCTACCTGGCCAACATGGTAAAACCCTATTTCTACTAAAAATACAATACCTTCCCCAGCTGTCTCCACCACACTGTCAATCTCACTCACTCTTTCCTAGCTGTTTCTAATCCTTCTTTAACAAACAATTGCTGGCTTTGCATTTCTCTTTCCTCCAAAATCACCAAGGCCTCGACTTACTCACTGCTAAAAAAGAAAAAAAAAAAAGGGATTCTGTATATTTTTAAATGAAGAGTGTTGTTTTCACCTAAATCAGTCTGGCCTTGTGTATGACAACATAAAAAAACTCTGTCAAGGATAGAGCCCAAAAACTCACCAACAAAGCAAGTAATTACGCTGAACCCCCTTGGGCACTCTCTAATTGGATGTCCTATGTCCTCCCAATTCTTAGTCCTTTAATACCTGTTTTTCTCTTTCTCTTAATTCAGACCTTGTGTCTTCTGTTTAGTTTCTCAATTCATACAAAACCACATCCAGGCCATCACTAATCATTCTATTCGACAAATGCTCCTTTTAACAACCCCACAATATCGCCCCTTGCCACAAAATCTTCCTTCAGCTTAATCTCTCCCACTCTAGGTTCCCACGCCGCCCCTAATCCCGCTAGAAGCAGCCTTGAGAAACATCACCCATTATCTCTCCATACCACCCCCCAAAAATTTTCGCCACCCCAACACTTTTGTTTTATTTTTCTTATTAATATAAGAAGACAGGAATGTCAGGCCTCTGAGCCCAAGCTAAACCATCATATCCCTTGTGACCTGCACGTATATCCAGATGGCTGAAGTAACTGAAGAATCACAAAAGAAGTGAAAATGGCCGGTTCCTGCCTTAACTGATGACATTACCTTGTGAAATTCCTTCTCCTGGCTCAGATGCTCCCCCACTGAGCACCTTGTGACCCCCCGCCCCAGCCCGCCAGAGAACAACCCTTTGACTGTAATTTTCCACTACCTACCCAAATCCTGTAAAACGGCCCCACCCCTATCTCCCTTCGCTGACTCTCTTTTCAGACTCAGCCCGCCTGCACCCAGGTGAAATAAACAGCCTTGTTGCTCACACAAAGCCTGTTTGGTGGTCTCTTTACACGGACGTGCGTGACATGTATGTTTTTGTTTAACTTGTATACAAAGGCTTATGGATAGGTGCAAAAATAAATTCTCTTTTGCAACCCAGAACTCATTGTTCAGTGTGAGTTTTGATACATATAAGAAGGGATATTATGATACCTGAGACAGTTAACTGATGGGAGTATTGATAGCCATAAAGGTTGGTTCCAGGCCAGGCACAGTGGCTCAAGCTTGCAATCCCACACCAAGGTGGGAGTATTGCTTAAAGCCAGCAGTTCAAGGCCAGCCTGGGCAAGAAAGTAACAAATACCTCATCTCCACAAAAATTTAAAAATTAGCTGAATACTGGGGCATGTGTCTGTGGTTGCAGCTACTCAGGAAGGGGAGGCTGAGGCAAGAGGATTGAGCACAGGAGTTGGAGGCTGCACTGAGCTTTGATGGCACCACTGTACTCCAGCCTGGGTAACAGGCTTTTTTTTTATTAAGACAGACCCTGTCTTTTTTTTTTTTTGAGACGGAGTCTCGCTCTGTCACCCAGGCTGAGTGCAGTGGTGCAATCTCGGCTCACTGCAAGCTCTACCTCCTGGGTTCACGCCATTCTCCTGCCTCAGCCTCCCGAGTAACTGGGACTACAGGCGCCCGCCACCACGCCTGGCTAATTTTTTGTATTTTTTAGTAGAGACGGGGTTTCACTGTGTTAGCCAGGATGGTCTCGATCTCCTGACCTCGTGATCCGCCCTCCTTAGCCTCCCAAAGTGCTGGGATTACAGGCATGAGCCACCGCGCCCGGCCCAGACCCTGTCTCTTAATAAAAAAAATTGATTCTAGGACTGTAGAAGAGGTAGTTAAACAGCATGGGATATGAGGGAAATCCTCAGCAGTATTAATTTTGCATTCCAATTTCATATTGACTTGATACATACGATGGCTTTTTGTTTTAAAGGCTTTATCTTGATGATGTCTGGAGTTAAAGGTATTGGCATATTCCACACATCTGTACCATTCTTAAGTGTGATCACTTAGGAATAAATATGATTTGAACTTATTCATGTTAATAGAAGGGTGCCAAATTGAGAACCAGGCAGATCCACCACCTACAGTAAAAAGGACCTTAAAGTAAATTGGTTGAAGAAATTAGATCCCAAAGATTCTTGGTGAATTTTGAAGTCTTCATCAGTATATCCATATTAAAAGGAGATAACAGAAGCCAAAATAAAAGAATTATGGGCTGACAGGACAACTGGATTAAAATAAGCATCAGTTTTATTAAAAAGGGCTAACTTGAAGATAAATCTTTTGACTCCAGCTCTTTAGAGGATCTAAAGTGAAGTTGATGGACAGTGGAAGAAATCACAACATGGAATTCCTTGAATAAAAATTATTAACTTTAAATAAAAAAAAAGAAAAAAGTGAAAAGAGACTCTACAAAGCAGAAAAAACATTTGCAATAGTACATTCTACAAAGGCCTTGTATCTATAACGTATGAAAAACTGCTACAAATCAATAAGATAGAGACAAAAATGAAAATAAAAAACGGACAAAGACATGAAGAGGCACTTTACAAAAGAGGATATTCAAGTGGTCAATAAGCATATAAAAAGTTATTCATCAAAGAAATAAGTTGAAATTAAAAAGATGGAAAATGATACCATGCACACAGCAAAAGAGAACTACAGTAGCTATAGTAGGATCAAAGTAGACATTAATGCAAAAAAATTACTAGATATAGGGCATTTTTTATGATAGAAGGGTCAATCCATCAGGAAGATATAACAATTATACACACATAATTACCTAAAACTGAGCCCCAAAATACATGAAGCAAAACCTGACGGAACTGAAAGTAGAAATGGACAATTCAATGATAGTCAAACTTAAATACCACACTTTCAATAATGAGTAAAACAACTAGACAGAAAATTAGTGAGGAAATAGATGACTTGAACAATACTGTTTATCAACCAGGCCTGACAGACATATATAGGACACTCCATTGCAAAGCAGCCCAATACACATTGCTCTCAAGGGCGCATGGAACACTCTCCAGGATAGACCATATTTTAGGCCATAAAACAAGTCTCAATGAATTTTAAAAGATGAAAATTATATAAGGTATGTCTTTGTCAATGGAATGAAATTAGAAATAATAAGAAAATTTGAAAAATTAACAAATTTGTAAAAATTAAACAACATGCTCCTAAGTAAACAGTGGATCAAAGAAGAAATCCCAACAGCAATTCAAAAATACTTTGAAGTGAATTAAAACAAGCACACAACATACCAAAACTTGGAGGATGCAGCAAAACTAGTGCTCAGAGGGAAATGTATACCGGTAAACATCTTCATTGGAAAAGAAGAAAGATCTCAAATCAGTAACCTAACCTTTTACCTTAAGAAACTAGAAAAAGAAGAGCAAACTAAATCCAAAGCATGAAGAAGGAAGTAAATAAAAAATGGAAATAAGGCCGGGCTCGGTGGCTCAAGCCTGTAATCCCCAGCACTTTGGGAGGCCGAGGCGGGCGGAACACAAGGTCAGGAGATCGAGACCATCCTGGCTAACACGGTGAAACCCCGTCTCTACTAAAAATACAAAAAATTAGCCGGGTGTGGTGGCGGGCGCCTGTAGTCCCAGCTGCTCGGGAGGCTGAGGCAGGAGAATGGTGTGAACCTGGGAGGTGGAGCTTGCAGTGAGCTGAGATTGCACCACTGCACTCCAGCCTGGGTGACAGAGCAAGACTCCGTCTCGAAAAAAAAAAAAAAAAAAAAGAATGGAAATAAATAGATAATAGAAAAACAATAGAGAAGGTCAACTAAGCCAAAAATTCGTTCTTTGAAAAGATCAACAAAATATGACAAGTCTTTAGATAGAGAAGACTCAAATTTCTCAAATCAGGAGTGGAAGAGGAGACATTACTGTTGATCTTACAGAAATAACAAGGATATAAGAGAATACTATGATTAGTATGCCAACAAATTAGATAACTGAGATGAAATAGACAAATTCCTAAAAATACACAAACTGTAAAAATGGGCTCAAGAAAATCTGAGTAGAACTATAACTAGTAAAAAGAATTAGTAATCCAAAACTACCCACAAAAGAAGCCCAAGCACAGATGGCTTTACTGCTGGATTCTGCCAAACCTTTAAAGAGGAATTAACACTAGTCCTTCTTAAATGCTGTCAAAAAATAGAACAGGGGAGACTTCCTAAATTATTCTATGAGGTCAATATTGCTCTGATAACAAAGCCAAAGATATCACAAGGAAAGAAAACTACAGACCAGTATCCCTTATGAACACGGGTGCAAAATTCCTCAATACTGGAAAATCAAAGCCAGCATCATATAAAAAGGATGACATGCCATGACCAATCAATTTATCCCACAAATGCAAGGTTTGTTCAACATATGAAAGTGAATCAGGCTGGGCATGGTGGCTCACACTTGTAATCCCAGCACTTTGGGAGGCCGAGGAGGGTGGATCACCTCAGGTCAGGAGTTCGAGACCAGCCTGGCAAACATGGTGAAACCCCGCCTCTACTAAAAATACAAAAATTAGCCAGGCATGGTGCCTCACGCCTGTAGCCCCAGCTACTAGGTAGTCTGAGGCATGAGAATAGCTTGAACCCGGGAGGCAGAGATCGTGCCACTGCACCCCAGCCTGGGCAACAGAGTGAGACTTGGTCTCAAAAAATAAATAAATAAATAAATAAATAAAGTTAATCAATGGAAGGCACCAAATTAACAGAGTAAAAGAAAATCACAAGATAATCTTAATTGACACAGAAAAAAAATTTGACAAAAACCAGTAAAGGGCATCTGTGAAAAACCCACATCCAACGTCATACTTAATGATTAAAGACTGAAAGCTTTTCCCCTAAGATCAGGAACAAAACAAGGATGTTTTCTCTCATCATTTCTATTCAACATTGTACTGGATGTTCTAGCCAGGGCAATTAGGCAAGCAAAAGAAATAAAAGCAATCAAGATTGGAAAGGAGAAAGTAAATTTCTATTTGAGGTGTCATGATCTTGTACATAGAAAACTCAAAAGAATCTGCAAACGAACTATGAGAGTTGATGAACAATTTAATCAACATTTTCTCTCTACACCATAGACATACTACGTTTTGTTGTCTCAGTTTCTCACCAGCTATAAAGAGTTTTGATAAAGATAGACCTGTATTGCTTATTTTAAAATTCTTTGGTCCCATTCCTGATTTCCTGGATTGGAATCTCACTACCAATAATGATATGCAATATATAAAAATGTTAACACCAAAAGTTGGAAATGGATTAGAAAGAGGCAAGACTGGGTAGTGGAATTATTGGATGAGTGGTTTATATTTTGTTGATTAAATTTTTCTCATTTTACATGCTGAACTTATAGTCCTTTTACACTAAGAAAAATCTTAATAGGTTTTTGGTTAAGAAACTTATGACACATAACATATAATATGCAGTGAATACATTTTTGTTTTGGTTTGTTTTGTTTGTTTTTTGAGACAGGGTCTTACTCTGTCACCCAGGCTAGAAGTGCAGTGGCACGATCACAGCCCACTGCAGCCTTGACCTCCCGGGCTCAAGCTAACCTCCCACCTCGGCCTCCTGACCAGCTGGGACCACAGGCATGCACCACCATGCCTGGCTAATTTTTTTTATTTTTTGTAGAGACAGGGTCTCCCTGTGTTGCCCAGGCAGTGAGAGAGAAGACCCAGGTCTCTGCATTTTTTATACTGAAGCTTGAGAACCAGGGCAAACTGGAGAGCCCAAGGAAGCCTGCCCCACACTGAAGGCCTAGTTCCACTCCATCCCCACCCCAGCACTAATCCATTTCGCTGTAGCATTTTCAGATCAAGGCCAGGATGAAAAATTGAGAGACTTTGTGTATTGTGTCAGCCTTGATATGGGGGAAGAAAAAGAGAGTCCCTTCTCTAAGCCTTGGCAGAACATGCCTTTCCCAGTGGGTTGTGTCTTTGTTTGAGCTGAAAGTTCATCTTTGTTCCTGTCTCTCATTTTGGCTCCTTTCCAATATAAAAGAATTCAAATGTTTTGCCTGATCTTTTTTTAAGTCATCCTTGTCAAGTTGGAGTATTCAGTTTCACAGGTTTTGTTTGTGTGATTGATTTTTGTTTTTTGAAGTTGGAATAGTCTTTGCTTTATATATGTATTTTTTATTACAACATCGATTGCTTCCATATGCAAATTTTTACTTTGAAAGCATTTTTAGTTCCAGCATTATCTACAGTACAGAATTTAGCTGTTAATCAAATTCCTCAATTGGGCAACTAAACTGACATAAAGAAAGCCAAGCAGTAACGTCGTTGCTTTCTGCTTTGCAATATTTTTCTAAATTAGTAAATTAAACTGGTGGTAGAGGGGTGGGGGAATGGGAGGGGCAGGAGGATGAATGGAGGTAGGGAGGTGGGATGATAATGGCTCTCTACCTTTAGCAAACACTTACAGGTATAAATACTACATATGTTTTGACTAACTGAGTGTATAACAAGTCCTCAAAGTATAGACTATTCCACCAAAAACCAAAATAATGTACTGAAATTAATTTTCAATTATAATGAATTATGTCTTGTTATAAGGCCCTATAAAAGATGATCCCAAATTATCTTGAATCTGCCTGCCAGTGTCAAACCTAATGCAGTTAGGGTCACATTAGCATAGAAGGACACTTTGTTCTGATTAGAAAAGGTACTTCCTCTGAGGGGAACATCACACACTGGGGCCTGTTGTGGGGTGGGGAGAGGGGGGAGGGATAGCATTAGGAGATATACCTAATGTGAATGACAAGTTAATGGGTGCAGCACACCAACATGGCACATGTATATATATGTAACAAACCTGCACATTGTGCACACGTACCCTAGAACTTAAAGTATAATAATAAAAAAAATATATATATATATATATATATATATAAAAAAAGAAAAGGTACTTCCAATGGGCAGGCAGATTAGAAAATGGCACCTCTTCCTCCGGGTGATGAAGCCTAGAGTTAGGGCACTTGGCTTGGCATGCAGAACCTGGGCAGGTTTTCAACCTTTTCTTGTGCCCTCTCTGGTGTGTGCGTGACCTTGTGTGAGGCCCTGCTGTGTGTGGAGGCCTCAGAACAAGGACAATATGTCATGTGTTCCCAGGATGTCCCTTCATCCGTGAACTGATTCTGTAGGGGGCACTGGGCAAACATTAAAGTCCAGGGACTCATTTATTCCATGATTAACAGGGCAGAGGCCTTTACCCAGCTGGGCAGGAAAAGGACCTGCTCCGTCTGTCTTGGATCTGTCCCCACCCTTTGATCACGGATACCTTTGGTCTTGAGAACTGCATATTTGGCACAAACATCTCCATCTAAACCCCTGCTCTAAGAGACTTGATCAAAGGCTGACATTGCTTTAGCATCCTAAGGCCACGTGCCTGGGATGACCTGGCCCACCTTGAGTTCCAGTCTAGCAAAGCTCAAGGCTGCCAAAAGAATTTACCATTTGTTCCAGCAACACCCGGTCATGGGCCCTTCACATCCCTTTCTCAGAGCATTTATTTGAAAAAACTCCCTTTGTCCCTTTGAGATGGATGTGTATCTTCTACAGCTCAGGAGTGTCTTTGTCAAGGCCCTGAAAACCCATTCCTTTGATGTTATGAAGAAGGATAAGGCCTCTGTCTCTCAGACTCTGAGGGAGGGTAGAAGCCTAACTTGGATAAATGCCAGTTGGCAGAATCAGATGGCCTAATTACATGGATATTGACCCTACCTCACTTCCCCACTTTTTGTAATGTTTCACTTCTGTGACGCTACAGGGGCCAGGCCCGCTCCTCTTCCCTACTCCCCCATTTTCCAAGACACCTCTGTGCAACTCACAGTTGAACTTAGCTGTTTCCCCTACCACAGTTAATTACTGAATAAAATCTGTCTTTGCTGTCTTCAACTAGTATCCAGCTTTATCTTTTTTTTTTTTTTTTTGAGATAGAGTTTTGCTCTTGTTGCCCAGGCTGGAATGCAATGGTGCGATCTCAGCTTACTGCAACCTCTGCCTCCCAGGTTCAAGTGATTCTCCTGCCTCAGCCTCCTGAGTAGCTGGGATTATAGGCGTGAGCCACCACGCCCAGCTAACTTTTTGTATTTTTAGTAGAGACGGGGTTTCACCATGTTGGCTAGGCTGGTCTCGAATTCCTGACCTCAGTGATCCACCCACCTAGGCCGGCCAAAGTTCTGGGATTACAGGCGTGAGCCACCACACCCGGCCCCAGCTTTATCTTTGACAGTTCTTCTACAAAGTCCTTATCCTGCATCTTTCTATAAAGTAATATAACCTGCTATAACTTAATGTTACAGCACACATATTGTACCATGTTGGTACCTAGTTTCTCCAAGTATAATATTTGATCACTGGGCTGGGCATGGTGGCTCACACCTGTAATTCCAGCACTTTGGGAGGCCAAGGTAGGAGGATCCCTTGAGCCTAGAAGTTTGAGACTAGCCTGGGCAGCACAGGGAGACCCTGTCTCTACAAAAAATAAAAAAAAATTAGCCGGGCATGGTGGCGCATGCCTGTGGTCCCAGCTGCTCAGGAGGCTGAGGTGGGAGGTTAGCTTGAGCCCAGGAGGTCAAGGCTGCAGTGGGCTGTGATTGTGCCACTGCACTCTAGCCTGGGTGACAGAGTAAGACCCTGTCTCAAAAAAACAAAACAAAACAAAACAAAAATTTAATCACTGCATATTGTGTGTTATGTGTTATAAGTTTCTTAACCAAAAACCTATTAAGATTTTTCTTAGTGTAAAAGGACTATATGTTCAGCATGGAAAATGAGAAAAATATAATCAACAAAATACAAACCACCCATCCAATAATTCCACTACCCAGTCTTGCCTGTTTCCAATCCATTTCCAACTTTTGGTGTTAACATTTTTATATATTGCATATCATTATGGTCTAAATATTCTGTGAATATATCTGTATGATTAAGCATAATTTTAAAAGCAAAAGTGGGATCATAATTTTTAAACAGATGCTTTTTCTACTTAACATTTTCCCATGTCATTAAATATTCTTCAGAAATGCGATTTAAAGATTACACAACATTCCATTGTATGGATGTACCAACATTTATTTAACAACTATCTTACTGTTGGATTCCCCCTTCCTTTCCCCACTACCAATATTTTCCCATTACAGACAGTATTGAAATAATCTTGTAGGCAAGTCTTTGGGCTTATCCTTAGTTATTTCTTTGGATGAATTCTGAAGGGAGCATTTAACTCCACTGCCGACTCACCTCTGTCTCTTGGCTTCTGTGCTATCACACTCTCCCTTGTCTCTCTGACCATGCTGTTTCTCCTGCAGGATCTTCTGTGGTCCCTATAAGATTTTGGCTGGACCTATGCTTTTCCCCGCCATTCTCTCTGAGCAAGCTCACTCATTCCAAGGCTTCAATTACCATGCCTATGCTGATATCTCCTGATCAATATACCTTAAGTCTACATATTTCCCCTGAAGTCCTGAAGATCTCACTATTTTAGATGTCCCCACTTGGATGTCTTACAAGCACATAAAAACTCAACATAGACAAAATGGAACTCATAATTTTACTCCCCAAATCCTTATCTGCAGTGATTGCTATTTGAGTAAATAACACCATTATTTATCCAGTGGCTCAAGTCAGGAACCTGATGGTCTTGCTTGCCTTCTCTATTATATTGCTTGTTTTGCCAGACCCTGTTGATTCTACTTTCCACCTTTGAGCTCCAGAATCTATTTACTTCTCTTCATCCTCACTGTCACTTCTAGATCAGACTGTCATCTCTTTACTAATGCAAATATGGTCCTGTCACTCTGAAATTTAAACTCCTTAAATGGTGATATGGTTTGGCTGTGTCCCCACCCAAATCTCATCTTGAATTGTAACTCCCACAATTCCCACATGTTGTGGGAGAAACCAGGTGAGAAGTGATCAAATTAGTGATTAACAGCACAGGTCTTTCCTGTGCTGTTCTCGTGATAGTGAATGCGTCTCACAAGATCTGATGGTTTTAAAGAGGGGAGTTTCTCTGCACAAGCTCTCTCTTTGCCTGCTGCCATCCATGTAAGACATGACATGCTCCTCCTTGCCTTCCACCATGACTGTGAGGCCCTCCCTAGCCACGTGGAACTGTAAGTCCATTAAACCTCTTTCTTTTGTAAAATGCCCAGTCTTGGGTATGTCTTTATCAGCAGTGTGAAAACAAACTAATACAAATGGATTTCCATTACCTTTGGGCCTGGGTCCATACTCCTTACCATGGTTGAACAGGATTTTTTTAAGAATAACAGGTCCTGCCTATTTCTGCAGCTTCATTTCTTGGTACCCAACACTCTGCTACAAGCCATGGTTTCATAGGTCAACTTCTTGTTGGCTCTGCCTGTTCCACTGTTACATGATCACATCACAGGGTATATCTAGTATGGTGCCTGGCATAACAGACATTTCAAAGGACGTGTTGAATTAATAAATGCATAAATATTGGGTGAGAGAGTGTTAATATAAATATTTTCTAGAAGCTAGATATATACTGATTGAAAAACAGTAAAGTCTAGAGTCTAGTCTCCAAAATCTAGAGTATTTCAGAAGAAGAGTCCAATTCCTGTTCCATAGCCTTGGATTAATTTCTTCACTTCTCTAAGCTTCAGTTTCCTCATGTGTTAAATGAGGATCATAGTATCTACATCAAGCAGATATTGTGGGCATTAAATAAGATAACTTAAGTATGATATTTAGTACAATGTCTAGCATATAAACGTTTGATAAATGAAATCCAGCAACAATGACAATGATGATCATGATACATTGCATCCAGACAGGTGTTCCACTTTCTGCCAAACTGTTACAGTGTATAGATGTTCCAATATGCTTTGCAAGTTGCTATTAGTAATTTTATAAAATGCCCCCTGTTGTCTTTAATAATATAGGTGAAAATTTTGTATTTCTTTGATGAATAGCAATATACCTATTATTAAATATCCTTTTTTTTTTTTTTTTTGAGAGAGTCTTACTCTGTTGACCAGGCTGGAGTGCAGTGGTGTGATCTTGGCTCACTGCAACCTCTGCCTACCAGGCACAAGTGATTCTCCTGCCTCAGCCTCCTGAGTATCTGGGATTACAGGTGCCCACCACCACACCCAGCTAATTTTTGTATGAGATGGGGTTTCACCCTGTTGGCCAGCATGGTGTCAAACTCCTGACCTCAAGTGATCTGCCTGCCTTGGCCTCCCAAAGTGCTGGGATTACAGGTGTAAGCCACCACACCAAGCCTAGACATTTTTGTATTTGTACATTTTGGCTTTTTTTTTTTTTAAAAAAAATGTTTCAGTGACATCATTCAGTGACATGCACATAACTTTTTTTTCTTAAGTATTTCTTTGGATAAGTTTCCAGGAGTGGTATTATGGGAAATATATCCATATTTTCATTACTTTTGATATATATGCCAGGTTGCTGCCTATAAAACACGGACCAAATATTTTAATTTTAGAATCCCTCTCTACGGGCCGGGCGCAGTGGCTCACACCTGTAATCCCAGCATTTTGGGAGGCCGAGGCGGGCGGATCACCTAAGGTCAGGAGTTCGAGACCAGACTGACCAACATGGAGAAACCCCGTCTCTACTAAAAATACAAAATTAGCCGGGCATGGTGGTACATGCCTGTAATCTCAGCTACTTGAGAGGCTGAGGCACGAGAATCGCTTGAACCCGAGAGGTAGAGGTTGCGGTGAGCAGAGATAGTGCCATTGCATTCCAGCCTGGGCAACAAGAGTGAAACGCTGTCTCAAAAAAAAAAAAAAAAAAAGAATCCCTCTCTACATCCTGATTCTTCTACTTGTTCTAACTAAAAATGCAAAATTTAATTATACTTTTCTGTGTATTTGTTTTTCTTTTTCAAATTTTATTTTAGATTCAGAGGGTATATGTGCAGGTTCATTACATGGGTAAATTGCATGATACTGAAGTATGGGGTACAAATGATTCTGTCACTCAGGTACTGAGTATTGTACCCAATAGTTAGTTTTTCAACCCTTGCTCCCTCTCTCTCTCCCCCCACAAGTCCCCAGTTTCTATTATTGCCATTTTTATGTCCATGAGTATCTAATGGTTAGCTTCCACTTGTAAGTGAGAATATGTGGTATTTTGTTTTCTTTTTTTCTTTTTTTTTGAGACTGAGTCTTGCTCTGTCGCCCAGGCTGGAGTGCAGTGGTGCAGTCTTGGCTCACTGCAACCTCCGCCTCCCAGGTTCAAGCAATTCTCCTCCCTCAGCCTCCCAAGGAGCTGGGATTACAGGTGCCTGCCACCACGCCCAGTTAATTTTTGTATTTTTAGTAGAGACAGGGTTTCAACATATTGGCCAGGCTGGTCTCGAACTCCTGACCTCGAATGATCCGCCTGCCTCAGCCTCTCAAAGTACTGGGATTACAGGCATGAGCCACCATGGCCGGCCAAAGGATGGTAAATATATATGGTATAGTAAACATACTCTAGAAGTATTCTTTTTTTCTAGCTATATGAAAGTGACAGTGTTTAACTTTGAGAATTAGTTAGGATTGTTGGTAAGTAACAGAGAAGACTGGAGGTGAGCAGCCTGGAATTGGTGTAGCAGCCATATAACATCACCATTGTCCCAGGTTCCCGTCTCTTGGCTCTAGCATGTTAATACATGGATTTCATTCTCATGATCAGCTCATGGTTCCAAGATGGCTGCTCTGCTCCCAGACCTAAGTCTTCCTTCCAAACAGGAAGAAGGAAGAAGTACAAATGTTTGACAAAAGATAAAGGTATATGCCGATTGAGTCCACCCTCTTTTATCAGAAAATAAAAGCTTTCTTGGAAGACACATCTAATAATCTTCTGCTTACAACTCGTTGGCCAAAATGACCATATGGCTATCCCAGCTACTAGAGGAGTCTGAGGGAGGAAAACAGTTTTAGTGGGGCACATTGCCACCATGAACAAAATTGGGTTTGTCCTAAAGAAAGAAGAGAATGGATATTAATTAAGCAACTTGCAGTACCTACCATGGATGTAAATATGTATGTGATTTTTCATTAACAATATGAAAAACTGTACATTTTATTTCTTTTAAACCTAAACTAAACTTACCAAATTCTCTGTCCTTCTACCACATATTAAAGCAAATCAAGCAG
This sequence comes from Homo sapiens, assembly GCF_000001405.40. Lineage (NCBI taxonomy): Eukaryota > Metazoa > Chordata > Mammalia > Primates > Hominidae > Homo > Homo sapiens. The sequence continues at coordinate 74,870,628 of NC_000005.10, read as the reverse complement.
CAAGACAAATGCAACTGGGCTTCTCAAACTTATTTCTCTTTTCTTCAGGTTCTTTTCTCCCCCCAGGGCACAGTATCACTCAGGAATTTGAAATCTGCAGTTATAGTAGTGTTTGACCAATAAAACTCAGTCAAAACACTGCTTTTAATTCTGAAAGCATTCCTGTGACATGTTTTCTTACATACCAAAGGAAGAAATCAAGCATTCTAGGATAGCTGTCCTTTTTCGTCTTTTAGTGCCTGCAGGTAAGATTGTCTTTCTACATTGCCATGGCTGATATTATTAGCTAACTAGTTAGCTGACTGGCTAATAGTTTCAATCTAGAAATCCCTGGGCTACCTCAGTTATTAAAATGTTCTCCTGTGGCTCACGCTTGTAATCCCAGCACTTTGGGAGGCCAAGGCGGGTGGATCACAAGGTCAGGAGTTCGAGACCAGCCTGACCAACATGGTGAAACACCATCTCTACTAAAAATACAAAAAATTAACCGGGCATAGTGGTGCGTGCCTGCAATCCCAGCTACTCAGGAGGCTGAGGCAGGAGAATTGCTTGAACCTAAGAGGCGGAGATTGCAGTGAGCAGAGATCACACCACTGCACTCTAGCCTGGGCGTCACAGTGAGACTCAGTCTCAAAAAAAAAAAAATCCCTGTGATTTTATGTATTTAAAACATATGATGGATTCTAAATCTACCCATTTATGCCGAGACCAGCTCAGCTGGGGAGACCCTGGCCCAGGGGCGCTAGAGGAATTAAAGACACACACAGAAATACAGAGGTGTGGAGTGGTAAATCAGGGGTCTTACAGCCTTCAGAGCTGAGAGCCTCAAACAGAGATTTACCCACATATTTATTGACAGCAAGCCAGTGATAAGCATTGTTTCTATAGATTATAGATTAACTAAAAGTATTCCTTACAGGAAACAAGGGATGGGCTGAAATAAAGGGATGGGCTCTGGCTAGTTATCTGTAGCAGGGGCATGTCCAGGCACAGGTCGCTCATGCTATCGTTTGTGGTTTAAGAACGCCTTTAAGCGGTTTTCCGCCCTGGGTGGGCCAGGTGTTCCTTGCCCTCATTCTGGTAAACCCACAACCTTCCAGCGTGGGCGTCACGGCCATCACGAACATGTCACAGTGGTGCAAAGATTTTGTTTATGGCCAGTTTTGGGGCCAGTTGATGGCGAGATTTTGGGGGGGCCTGTTCCCAACATATTTATGTCTTATTGGAGTGTCAAAGATGATGATAAATCTTTCTAAGGAAATGTGTCTTTTCCACGCGCTAAATAAACAGAATGAAAACTTGTAATTATGCCCTGGAACTGGGGGACGGGACTTGGAGAGCAATTACACTTAAATGATGTAAAAATGAAAAATGTGTTTTTCAAAAACTAACAGATTATAAAATTTTGCTTAGTATATACCAGAGGAAGTTTTTACAAGTTTTCTTTCTAACTTGTAAACTTGTAACTAGTTTTAATTCTTCCTTCCTGTCTGGGAAAATACTAGATCTAAGAAATTATTTAAACTTGAAAGTATAGGACATTTAGTATGTTTTAGGGCTTCAAAAGCAAAATCTATCCATATGGTATAGGATTTTGTGCACATTTAAGGCAGTATGGAATTCTGGTTAAGGGAGTGTGCTCTTGAGCCAACATGCTAGGATTACTATCTGTGTGACCATGGGCAAATTGCTTAGTTTCTCTGTGTGCCTCAAGACTCCTCTTAGGTAAACTGGGGGTAACAGTGTATACCTGCAAGGATGGTAAGAGGATTAAGTGAATTAATTTCCATAAAGAAGTCTGTAGAGTGCCTGGCAATTTGTTAGCTGTCAAAAACATCAGTTATGATTTTAGCTATTAAGAATTCCTCTTCCCCAGTGCAACTAAAGAGCTCTTTTCTGGGTCATGTGTATTAGTAACCTCCAAAATCCAGGGTTGTGGCAAGCTTCTTTTACTTAAGATGGTTCCACTCCTCTTTAAACATAGAGGAAAAATACAATCAGAACGAACTCTTAACATGTTTCCTTTGCTAATAACAAAGTAATAATTAAAGCAAGCATTGCAAAAACAAAAACCAAAGCAATAATCCTTTTACTCTAAAAACGGTTCAGAAAAAAGCCTCAAAGCATATTTCAAAATATTGTGGTAACAATTTTCAGCATATACTAATCTGACAAAGGCTCATGTTTTTAGTTGTTGTTCTTTGCCCACTAAGATAAGCAAAATTTATCTCAGCCAAAGAGGGAAGTCAATGGTGATTTAAAAAGAAAAAACCAAAAACTCTCAAAAATAGTGTCATTTGCAAGTAGGGAAAAGAGAATCAGGCCTGGCGCAGTGGCTCACGCCTGTAATCCCAGCACTTTGGGAGGCCGAGGCGGGCGGATCGCTTGAGCTCAGAAGTTCAGGACCAGCCTGGGCAGCATGGCGAAACTCCGTCTCTACAAAAATTAGCGAGGTGCGTTGGTGTGCACCTCTGTCCCAGCTCTTCCGGAGGCTGACGCCGGAGAATCGCTTGAGCTTGGGAGGCAGAGGTTGCAGTGAGTCGAGATCGCGCCATTGCATTCCAGCCTGCCTAGGCTGTGGGAGTGAAACCCTGTCTCAAAAAAAAAAAAAAAAAAAAAAAAAAAAATTGGACCTTTTCTTTTATAGGTCTGGGTGAATGTAGTTCTGTCTCCTACCAGAATAGCCAGACATCTGGGAGCCAGGCCTCCCTGACCCAGGCACAAATACCCGCATACTTCTAAAACAATAGCTAAGAGTCAATCACACCCAGGCATTTCAAATATTATCAACAAGTTGTATTGGTTAGCTTTACACTAAGGCCTGAGGCTTCAACATCTGTAGGGCATAGTCTGGTAGCCAAAGCTTCCCCAAATGGCAATTGTTTGGGATTACCCTGGGGACTCCTACTTACACATAGCTCTAGAAATGTAAATACAAGTCATATAATTTCATTCATCACTGGCTATGGGTAGAACCCAACTACCCAAAATTCCTGCTCTATTAAATCTAATTCATTAAGTTTCATTAAAATGGTAAATGATGTGTAATAGTAAAGATTTTGGCTAATTAAATATTATACAAATGAAACAATAGATTCTTATATGGCAGAAAAGCTTTTTTTAAAAATCAGGGTCAAATATATCTATATCAACAAGCATTCTTTGAAGTATTTTTTGATCTTGCTAATTTTGCTAATCATTAGTAAATTCGTGAAAGTTGGTATTGTGATTGCTAAATATTTCCCAGGAATGAAAGAAGCAATTTTCAACTTTTCTGGATGAGCTGAACATAATACTACGGTTCTTGGATGATGAGTAAAAGAAAGTCTTGACATTAATACTTAGATACAATATTGTTTCTCAATACAGTTATTAAATATATTTAGACTACAATACGCATTACCTTAAAGACAATTTATCATGTTTTAAATGCTGGAGGGCTAATTTTCAGTAGGAGTGTGTAATTAGCAAAGGCGCCAGAGGCCATAAGACGGTAGAATAGAGCTGGGAGAGGCACGGGAGGAAAGCCGGATGGAACCCTGTTGTCTTTCTGGGTCAGGGTTATTCTGTACCGGTTAAACGGTGAAAGAGAAAAGGTCAGCGCAGGAATGTGGTATTTCCCTGACATCTCCAGATGAAAGTCCGGGCTCTAGGACTTCTGTAGACTGTGAAAGCAGCCCACGATTCTAACTTGCATGCACCTAAGTGGCAGTAGGTTTAGGATGAAAGTGGTGGGGCGGAGGCCGGCGGTCCTCGCCCGTGCCCTCTGCACCCCTGTCCCGAGGCCGGGATGGCCGCGCCCACTCTGGGTAAATTTCAGGAGGGCCTACGCGGGGCTGGAGAACTCCACCGGGCTATGCGAACAGAATCCTGCGAAGGTCGGCATTAAAGGAATACGCAAAATCAGCGTTGCAGCCCCCGCGGCTTAACCGCATCTATTTTTATATCTAAGCCAAGGTCACTCTTTAATACCAGGCCATTGCCCTGAGCTGGGCGTCGCGCTGCCGGGTGACGGCGGCCGGGGCGGAGAGAGGGGGCGCGGGTGGCGAGGCGGGGGCCGCGTGACGCCCCCGGGCTGGCCAAGCCCGCACCTGCCGGGCCGGCGCCTGAAAGCCGGGGCTGGAGGGAGGCAGGGCGGCGTCCCAGGCTCCGAGGAGGGGCCGCTCCGCGCTGGCGGGCGGGGGGATTCGCGGTGGGCGCGGGCGCGGAGCGGAAGCGAAGGCTGGAGGCGCTGCGGCGCTAGTGCGTCACGTCGTCGGAGGGCACGGTGGGCCGCGGCCGACCCGCGACGAGGAGCCGGGCGTCCGGGGCGAGCGGGAGGCAGCCGCACTCGCCCTGGCAGCCGCGAGCTGTGCGGCCTGGGACCGGCCGGAGGTCGCCAGCGAGCAGCCGCCGGCTCCATTCATTCGCGCGGCTCCGCCTCCTTTCCCGGGCTCTTCCAGCGGCTCCCGGGGCGCGTCTGAGGTGAGTGCGCTCCCTCTCCCCGGCGCGGACCGCTGGGTGAGGCCGAGACGGCCGCGCCGGGCCCCGCGCCCCCGCCAGCACCAGACCCGCGGACACCGAGCGGCGACGCGGGCCACCGGCTGTGGGCGGCCCCTGCGGGCTGGGCCTGGCGCAGACCAGTGCGGGCCGCCTGGACCCGGGGCTCGCGTCCAGCTGGCGGCGGTCTGCGGGGATCCCGTAGGGCGTGTGGCGCCCCCAGGTGCGCCGGCCTCCGCCTCGGCGCCACCATTTTGTGTGAGGGAATGCCCGTCTTCGCTCGCCTCCGCCGCGGGCCGGTTCGCAGCTGCGGCTTGCCGCCCCCTCCCCTCGCCCTCTCCCCACCTGGATGCTTGGCGTGCGAGCTGATTGCTTTGGCTTGGGGAGACGCGGACTCGGGGAGGTGTGGAACTTCAGCGTTTAGACTCGGTTCACCCGACCAGGTGGCCTCCAGAGATGCTCTGACCGCCTTCCTTTACCTGTAACTACTTTTGGAACAGATATTGTATGATTCTCCCTCCTCTGGAATGCTGGTCGTTGCAGTTTTGTCCTAATTGTGTTCTCAGCTCTCCATTATGCCATTTTTCAAGAGGCCTGTGCCTCAGGAGGTGAAGCCTTGAACCCTGGGTGGTTTATGGCTCGGGGGTCTGGATTACACTGACTCCCATGACTGTCCTTGGGGAGAAAGGATGAAGCATCTCACTGGCTTTTCAGCGTCTGGGAAGCGGCGTGGGTATCGTATCGGGTGGATTCGAAGATAACCACCTGATGCAGGTCACCTTCCCCCGCTGGGAGAGCCGTTCCTAACGTAAATTAAAACGTGTGTACGGGTTTTTGGGGGATTGGGACCGGAGGGACATATTTCTAAAAAATTTCCAGAAGGGAAAGTTTTCATTGTGATTCTCACAGAACTGTGACACAATTTGTCATTTTCAAGGTTCCTGAGAATTTGGGAATTCTTTTAATTCGTTGGCTTCTTGCGAATTACTACTTACGAACTGAGCAGATTATACCCAAGCCATTTATATTTTGTCATTGCATCACAGACAGGGATTACAATCGGGAGTGCTGGCTGTTGCATAATGCACACATTTGGGCCCTGGAGGGAATTCACCGAAGTGGATCTGGGTTTGGTGTGCCATGCGTTTTTATTTTTTACACAGGATGTACAGATGATCTTTGCAAACTACGTCCCTTATCGTGCTATAAAGTGTTTACAAGAGGAAAGATTTTTATTGACTAGTATGGACCAGACTAAAATTTTTAGTGTTTTAGTTTTGCTTGTTTTGGAGGAAAGGCAAGGAATGAGATGGTGAGAGGCACCTGGGAAAAGTCCGTTTATCCTAACACTTGAAGCGCAAACAAAGATAAAACATGATCGTCTTTCACAGAAATCTTGTAGCTATTATAGTGGACTTTTCTCTAAGTTAATGATGGGGATCTGTTTGGGGAACTTAGAAATAGCTTATGTGAGTAGCAACATTGACCTTCCACATGAGTGACCATAAATTAAGGTGTTTTACCTGTGGATTTTAGGTTCTAAAAGGCTTCAAATTAGTCTGACCTTTGAGATAGTATTCATGTCATTACAAGTGGTATTTATTTAATAAAGATGGGATATAGGCCGGGTGCGGTGGCTCACACCTGTTTTCCCAACACTTTGGGAGGCCAGAGCGGGTGGATCACGAGGTCAGGAGTTCAAGACCAGCCTGGCCAACATGGTGAAACCCCGTCTCTACTAAAAATACAAAATTAGCCGGGTGTGGTGGCACATGCCTGTAATCCCAGCTACTCGGGAGGCTGAGGCACAAGAATCACTTGAACCCAGGAGGCAGAGGTTGCGGTGAGCCGAGATCGTGCCCTTGCACTCCAGCCTGGGCAACAACAGTGAAACACCAAGATGGAATATATATCCAACAAAGGATTTTGATTTGGAGAAAACAAAATAATTAAGTGCTTTTGAGGTAAAGTTTCCATGCCATCCTCCTTATTAAATTAAACTATTTATTTTCTGTTTTGTTGAAGACTCTCCCACTAATTTTGTCTTCAAACAAGTGATTACATATTGTGTACCATCCCTGGCAAAAATATCGTGCTTCCCATTATAGATATGTTTATTCTATAGGGAGAATTATGGAGGCGAGAAGAACCTTGGACATTTAGAGATGAGTCTTGGTTTAGGGAATTTAAGTAAGCAAAGATTGCCTGCTAGAGATTGCAGGTGACCTGTCTGGACCTATCCTAGGCCTATGGGGAATGAGATTTTTTTTTTTCTAGCAAATAACAGTGCTGAGTCAAACACAACTCTTAAACTTTTACATTGATTCTGTTATTATACAAGTCAGAGAAGTTCACTGAATTGGTAAGATTGTATTGACTCCAGTTTGGAAGTGATCTTGGTGTGCTTTTGTCTTTGAAGTTGCTTGAGATTTTGAGCATTATTTACCAATGGTTGAGAAATTGAAAAGAAAAATCGAATATTTTTCTCTATTAGCTCCTACCTAAATACTCCGTTTTAAGCCTTAAGCATACTATGTTCAGTCATCTGCCTAAAAATTCAGTAAGATTTACTTTTTAAAGGTAAGTACAACATAAGAGAGTTGAGTATTCATGTAGTGGTTCCCACAATATCTGTCAAGGATTCTGTATAAAGGATTGTTGTTTGGGTAGGAAGTTAAACAAAACTTGTATGTTCCTTCCCCTAAGATTTTATGATTCTAAGTGAAAAAAGGAATTGTGTGATTATTGTATTTAAGACGATAGTCTCTTCACATGCCATTATTTTTTGTATATTTAGCTCTGAAATTTAAGTTCTAAATTTGGTATGCCTCAGTGGTGGTAGGAATATTTCACAATTGTTTCAATGATAACAAGAAAATCACTTAAGGTAGAATTTATTAAGGAAAAGGTGTGATGATTTAAAGATAATAAGGGAAAAACTAATAATTTATCAGAGATATCCTAGAATGCTTATTAGACTCATGGAGTTTTAGAGTTGGTATATGATACCTTAACGTTTACATGCTCTGTATAGGGGACTACTCATCTATGCTAACCTATTTTTTAGGCTAGAAAGTTTGTGACGTACCTAGATTCCTCCCACCCCTGCCTTTTTTTTTTTTTTTTAAATGAATACAGTTTTGGTTACTAGCTGTTCCAATAAGATGCTAGTTTTAGACTAAACAAAGATAGCTTTCATTTATTCCACAAACATTGAGTGTCTGTTGTGTGTTGTAGGTCACAAACAGGCCCTACTGTCACGGAGTCTATAGTTTAGTGAAGTATTGTGGATTACAATGTTAACAATTCCTTAAGGTCTAACTGTACAAAGATTTTTGAAAATACGAGTTGGGAACAAATTTAGCAAATTGCATTTTTAAAAAAGCGCCAAGTTGCATGTTGTCACACTTTATTTGTAACTTCTCAGGTATAGAATTAGTTTAATTTGGAAAATTCATTCCAGTAGTCCTTGTAAGGTGTACTGTTAGGCTGGGTACAAAAACATGAATGTGCAAAGTAATCTAGAAATTCAGTCTTAAAGATGAGACAAACATTAAGCAGATAATTCTGTCCTGTGAGTGAACTGAACAAAGTGATATGGGGCATGCCGAGGAGGGCTGCATTAATTCTGTCTGAGTGACTCTGGAAGGGCTTTACAGAGGCAGTGACAGTTGAACTTGGTCTTGAACAATGGATGAGTGAGAACTTGTCAGAAGCTTTTGGGGATGTGGGATATGACGAGAGACAGTCCCAGCAAATGCTAAAGCATAGAGTTATAACTGGTCCTGTTCTGAAAACAGGGAAGTCAGTTGATCTGGCCCAGGTCCCATGGTGGGTTGGGGCCTGATTGTGAATGGATGTGTATGAGTTTTGCTCCATGGTGATGGGGAACCAATAATGGGTTTTCAAAGGAAGGAATGAACAGAATGGGGTTCTCTCTCTCTTTTTAGGAAGAGCATTCCAATAGCAGTTTAAACGCTGGATTGGAGTGGAGAAAAGATACGAGCTTTTATGATAATCTTGGCAAAGCCTTGAAGCAAAGCTGTGGCTATGGAGGTGACAGAGGAGGGGCTAGAGTTGAGACACATCTGCTGCAGTAGAAAGGCAGTATTTGAGGTGGAAAGAGATGTGCTTTGGTGTCACACAGACTGGATTTAAGTCAGGGCACCAGGGCTCTGTTGCCATGGTTGTATAAATGAGGGATAGTTACTTAGGCTTGGCCTCTTTAGCTATAAAATGAGTATGAGACATGCCTTGCAAGCTTATTGAAATGACTAGAAGTAGTATATAAAGCTCATTGGCTGACGTGCATAATGATAATATCACCCAATTTTGTTAATGATATCAATGAAGAGTTGTGTTAAGGGAAAGGATGACTTCAATAAGTTTTAGCATACAACTGGGTAGGTGGTTGCTTTGTTAACATACAATGTGAGGAGAGGAAGAAGAGAGGATTGTAGAGGGAGAGAAGTTAACTTTTTTTTTTGGCTCACTGCAGCTTCTGCCTTCTAGGTTCAAGTGATTCTCCTTCCTCAGCTTCCCTAGTAGCTGGGATTACAGGTGCCCATCAGCACGCCTGGCTGATTTTTGTATTTTTAGTAGAAATGGGGTTTTACCAGGCTGGTCTTGAACTCCTGACTTCAAGCGATCTGCCTGTCTTGGTCTCCCAAAGTGCTGGGAGCCACTATGTCTGGTCAACTTTGGATATACGTTATTTAGTTTTGGGTTTCCTGAGGGAGAATCCAGGTAGAGGTATTGCGTGAACTGTTGCAAATATGAATCAAAGATCTAGGCAGATAATAGAGATTTGGGAGCTACCAGTGTATATATTTGGTAAATGGAGCCAGTAGACAGGGTAAGATTTCTAAGTAAGAGCAAGTGGAATAACCAAGGCTTATAGTTAGGTGAAATATTATAAGTTAAAATGTTAAAAGGTTCCTTGAAGTCTAAATGCACACAATTTTTGAAAATACGAATTGGGAACAAATCCATTTATTAGACTGTTTTTATTTTTGAAAAGGAGCCTCACTCTGTCACCCAGGATGGAGTGAGTGGTGCAATCTCAGCTCACCGCAAGGTCAGCCTCTTGGGTTCAAGGGATTCTCCTGTCTCAGCCCCCTGAGTAGCTGGGATTGCAGATGCACGCCGCTATGCCTGGCTAATTTTTGTACTTTTTAGTAGATACGGGGTTTCACCATGTTGGCCAGGCTGGTCTCAAACTCCTGACCTCGTGATCCGCCTGCCTCGACTTCCTAAAGTTCTGGGATTGCAGGCATGAGCCACTGTGTCCGGCCTAGACTTTTTTTTTTTTTTTTTTTTTTTAGTGCTACATTGCATTTGGAGGGATCCCTGCATTTATGGATTGTGCAGAGGAGAGGGGTCAGTTGCTGAAAGAAACTAAGAAGAAGAGAGAGAAGAAGAATATTTCACCTAACTATAAGCCTTGGCTATTCCACTTGCTCTTACTTAGAAATCTTATCCTGTCTAGTGGCTCCATTTACCAAATATATACACTGGTAGCTCCCAAATCTGTATTATTGGCCTAGATCCCTCTCCAGAAAGTCAGATTGTCCTGAGTGTCAAGGAAAGACAGAAACTTTTAAGTGACAGAAGGTGGTCAGTTTGGTGTAGTCTGTCATAAGGTCAAGAGGAGTAAGAATGAAAATAATCAATTGAATTTGGGACTTGGAGGGTTATTGGAGATCTTATGAGTAGGAGTATTAATATAGTGATAAGGACAGAAGCCAATTTAGTAATTCATAGAAGTGGAGAAAAAGTCAGTGAGTTTGACTTATTGTTATGTAATGAAAGATAAAGTACTAAACCATATTAGTAAAGAATTTTGTAGTCTAAAAGCTTTTATACATGTATGCCAGTGCTTTCAAGTTTGGATTGGCTTGTGATATACCTGATTAATTTATTCTGATACTTCCATCAACAGTAGTTACTACTCAGTGCAGATCTACAGTTTAAGCCCATAGGCATAGGTTTGAATCCTGACTTTGCTGTTTCTAGCTGCCTTTTATTAAGATACTGAATCTCTCCTGGCCTCAGTTTCCTCATCTGTAAAAGAGTGGTTATTACAGAATTTATCTCAAAATGTTGTTGACAGAATTACCTCAATGTGATAATGTATTAATGGTGAGCTACTAATATCATTATCAGTGGAATTAGGATAGCTTTTAGTATCTAGTTCAGTGATCCTCATCTTCTTACCTTTTCTCCCTTTTATTATCTCTCTACACCCACCCCATGTACCATGTATGACACTTCGTTGAGGTTCTTTTCTTTTCTAATAGCGATGGGGTCTCGCTTTGTTGCCCAGGCTGGTCTTGATCTCCTGGCCTCAAGCAGTCCTTCTACCTCAGCCTCCCAAAGTGCTGGGATTATAGGCATGAGCTACCATGCTCAGCTGAGGTACATTTCAAAGCAGTTATTTGCTTCCTTATTTAAAAAAAATCGTGATGTATCTATCACTCATCAATCACAGCTTTTGATTTACATGAGATATAGTATAACCACAAGTTGAGTTGATAGAAATGTTAAAAATTAAGAAAACCTTCGCCGGGCGTGGTGGCTCACGCCTGTAATCCCAGCACTATGGGAGGCCAAGGCGGGTGGATCACGAGGTCAGGAGTTTGAGACCAGCCTGACCAACATGGTGAAATCCCGTCTCTACTAAAAATACAAAAATTAGCCAGGCTTGATGGCATGTGCCTGTAATCCCAGCTACTCAGGAGGCTGAGGCAGGAGAATTGCTTGAATCCAGGAGGTGGAGGTTGCAGTGAGCTGAGATTGTGCCACGGCACTCCAGCCTGGGTGACAGAGCAAGACTCTGTCTCAAAAAAAAAAAAAAAAAAAAGAGAAAACCTTCATTTTTTGTTAGTTTGTGTATTAATGTAGGGGAAATGTATGTTTTTTGGTTTTTCTTTTTTTGAGATGGAATCTTGCTCTGTCACCCAGGCTGGAGTGCAATGGCACTGTCTCAGCTCACTGCACCCTCCGCCTCCCGGGTTCAAGCAATTCTCCTGCCTCAGCCTCTTGAGTAGCTGAGACTACAGGCATGTGCTACCATGCCTGGCTAATTTTTTATATTTTTAGTAGAGATGGGTTTTGCCATGTTGGCCAGGCCCATCTTGAACTCCTGATCTCAGGTGATCCACATGCCTTGGCCTCCCAAAGTGTTGGGATTACAGGTGTAAGCCACCATGCACAGCCTTGTTTTGTTTTTAAAAATGGAAAATAATTAATGTTAGCCCCCTCTATAGCTTTTATGGATCCCAAACTAAGAGGCTGTCTTCTAATTTTAGATATGGCATTGTTCTGTATTATTTATACTCATGAGTGGAAAATATAGCTAAATTTAGCAAAAAAGTACCCAAATTTTTTTTTACTTTTTAATTTTTCAACTTTGATTTTAGGTTCGGGAGGACATGTGCAGATTTGTTAAATGGGCGAATTGCGTGTTGCTGGGGTTTGGTGTACAAATGATTTAGTCACTGAGGTAGTGTGCATAGTACCTGATAGGTAGCTTTTTGACCCTTACACTCCTCCCACCCTCTACCTTCAAGTAAGCCCTGGTGTCTGTTGTTCCCCTCATTGTGTCCATGTGTACCCAGTGTTTAGCTCCCATTTGTAAGTGAGAACATGTGGTATTCGGTTTTTCTTACTTTGTTAATTCCTTTAGGATAATAGCCTCCATCTGCATGCATCCATGTTGCTGCAAAGGACACGATGTTTTTGTTTGTTTTTTTGTTTTTTTGAGATGGAGTCTCACACTGTCACCCAGGCTGGAGTGCAGTGGCGTGATCTGGGCTCACTGCAACCTTGGCCTCCCAGCTTCAAGCAATTCTCTTGCCTCAGCCTCCCAAGTAGCTGAGATTACAGGCACCTACCACCACGCCCAGCTAATTTTTTTGCATTTTTAGTAGAGACGGAGTTTCACTATGTTGGTCAGGCTGGTCTCAAACTCCTGATCTCGTGACCTGCCTGCCTTGGCCTCCCAAAGTACTGGGATTATAGGCATGAGCCACCGCGCCTGGCCTTGTTCTTTTTTTTTTTGACTGTAGTATTCCATGAAGTACCCAAATTGTAGACATCTTGATATTTGGCTTTAGAATATAATACATATCTAAAAATACTTGAAATTAATTTCAAACCATGAAAGAGGAAATAGAAGTGATTCTGAATAAATTTTGTTTGGAGAATACTAATTTTTTTGTATCCGAGTAGCATCTATGGATGGAAAAAATGGCATACTGGCTTGGATAGACCCAAGGGAAGTTCTTGTGCCTGTGACAGTACTTACAATGGGCAGAGAGAAGTTTCTCCTGTCTCTAGTTGGAAACATACCAACTGTAACTAACAGTATTCTTTGACTAGTTTGTTGGCTGGTCATGTTTTCATGCACTGTAATTAATTCATTTTTGGGTAGAATTTATTGTTGGAAAGTCTCAGTTCTTTTACCCTTTAAAGATATACAGAATAAGTCTAAACTTCTAAACTTTTCATCAGCATATTGTTTCTTCAAATATTTTAAGGGAAGTTTTTTTTTTTTTTTTTTTTTTTTTTTTTTTTCCCGCGGCAAGGTCTGGCTCTGTCACCCAGACTGGAGTGCAGTGGTGCAGTCTAGTCTTGACTCACTGCAGCCTCTACCTCCCTGCAACCTCTGCCTCCCGGACTCAAGCCATTCTCCCTCAGCCCCCTGAGTAGCTGGGACTACAGGTGCGTACCACCATGGCCTGTAATTTTTTGTATTTTTTGTAGAGACGGGGTTTTGCCGTGTTGCCCAGGCTGGTCTTGAACTTGTGAGTTCATTGGCTCTGCCCACCTTGGCCTCCCAAAGTGCTAGGATTACAGGTGTGAGCCACCATGCCCAGCCAAGGGTAGCTTTCTTGCTTCCCTTCCCCAGTGAGAATTATTTCTCCCAATTTCAGTTCCTTATCTGGTGTACCATGGTTTCAAGATCCTTTGCCCTCTTGGCCTTCTCCGTTGGAGGCATTCCAGTTTTGCAGTGTGATTTTTTTTTTTTTTTTTTTTTTGAGGTGGAGTCTCACTCTGTGGCCCAGGCTGGAGTGCAGTGGTGCTATCTCGGCTCACTGCAACCTCCGGCTCCGGGATTCACACCATTCTCCTGCCTCAGCCTCCCGAGTGGCTGGGACTACAGGCGCCCACCACCACACCAGGCTAATTTTTTGTATTTTTAGTAGAGATGGGGTTTCACCGTGTTAGTCAGGATGGTCTCGATCTCCTGACCCTGTGATCTGCCCACCTCGGCCTCCAAAAGCACTGGGATTACAGGCGTGAGCCACTGCACCTGGCCTTTTTTTTTTTTTTCTTAAAATGTGCCCCTTGGAAGGGAATAAAACACTGCAGATACTGTCTGATCCATGAAAAATGTAGGGATGTTTTTCCCTCCCTAGATGGAAAATTTATTTAATCTTAAAAAAAACCTTGGTTATGGTTCATATTTAATCTAGTATCATCTAAATCTCAAGGTCTTCTTTTTTGTCTCTGTCCTTCAGCAATGGATGATTAAAAAACTATAGTGCAATGTAGTGTATTTTATTTTTCCCCTAGCTCTATTTTGGAGTAACTCATTAAATAAATATTTGTCCAAACAAAATACCTAGGAATAAACTTAACCAAGGAAGTAAAAGATGTCTGCAATGAAAACTATAAAACATTGATGCAAGAAATTGAAGAGTACATAAAAAATGGAAAGATATTTCATGTCCATATATTGGAAGAATCAATATTGTCAACATGTTCATATTACCTAAAGCAATCTACAGATTCAATGCAATTTCTATTAAAATACCAATGACATTCTTCACAGAAATAGAAAAAAAAATCCTAAAATGTATATGGAACCACAAAAGACCCCAGAATAGCCAAAGCTATCCTGAGTAAAAAGAACACAACTGGAGAAATCACATTATCTGACCTCAGATTATACTACAGAGCTGTAATAATCAAAACAGCATGGTACCAGCGTAAAAACAGACACATAGACCAATGGAACAGAGTAGAGAACCCAGAAATAAATCTGCGCATCTACAGTGAACTCATTTTTGACAAAGGTAACATGAACATACACTGGGGAAAGGAAAATCTCTTTAATAAATGGTGCTGGGAATACTGGATATCCATACGCAGAAGAATGAAACTAGACCTGTATCTCTTGCCATATACAAAAACCAAATCAAAATGGATTAAAAACTGAAATCTAAGACCTCAGACTATGAAACCATTAACATAAAACATTGGGAAAACTCTCCAGGGCATAGGCGTGGGCAAAGATTGCATGAGCAATACCCCACAAGACAGGCAATCAAAGCAGAAATGGATAAGTGGGATCATGTCAAGTTAAAAAGCTTCTGCATAGCAAAGGAAACAACAAAGTGAAGAGACAACCCACAGAATGGGAGAAAATATCTGCAAACTGTCTATCTGACAAGGAATTAATAACCAGAATATATAAGGAACTCAGACAACTCAATAGTTGAAAACATGTAATAATCTGATTAAAAAATGAGCCAAAGATCTGAGTAGATATTTCCTAAAAAAAGACATACAAACGGCAAACTGGTATATGAAAAGGTACTCAACATCATTGATCATCAGCAGAATGGAAATCAAAACTACAATAAGGCCAGGCACGGTGGCTTATGCCTATAATCCCAGCGCTTTGGGTGGCCAAGGTGGGCAGATTGCTCGAGCTCAGGAATTCGAGACCAGCCTGGGCAACATGGTGAAAACCCATCTCTACAAAAAATACCAAAAAATTAGCTGAACATGGTGGTGCATACCTGTCGTCCCAGCTACTGGGGAGGCTGAGGTGGGAGGATCTCTTGAGCCTAGGAGATGGAGGCTGCAGTGAGCTGGGATTGTGCCACCGCATTCCAGCCTGGACAACAGAGCAGACCCTGTCTGAAAAACAAAAGCAAAAGCCAACAAAAAACAAACTACAGTGAGATATCATCTCACCCTAGTTAAAATGGCTTTCATCCAAAAGACAGGCAGTAACGAATGCTGGTGAGGATGTGGAGAAAATTGAACCCTCATACACTGTTGGTGGGAATGTAAATTAGTATAACCACTATGGAGAACAGTTTAAAGGTTCCTCACAATTTAGAAATAGAGCTACCATATAATCCAGCAATCCCACTGCTTGGTATATACCCAAAAGAAAGAAAGAAATCAGTATATCAAAGAGATTTCTGCACTCCCGTGTTTATTGCAGCACTATTCATAATAGCTAAGATTTGAAAGCAACGTGAGTGTCAATCATCGAATGAATGGATAAAGAAAATATGGTACATATGCACAATGGAGTAGTATTCAGACATAAAAAGGAATGAGATCCTATTATTTGCAACAACATGGATGGAACTTGAGATCATTATGTTAAGTAAAATAAGCCAGACACAGAAAGACGAACTTTGCATGCTCTCATTTATGGGAGCTAAAACAATTAGAACAATTAAATTCATGGAGATAGAGAGTAGAGTGATGGTCACCAGAGGCTGGGGAGGGTAGTGGGTGGTGGGAGGAAGTGAGTCTGGTCAGTGGGTACAAAAACATAGTTAGATTGAATGAAGAAGATCTAGCACTTGACAGCTCAACAGTGTGATGATAGTCAACAATGTATTCTACATTTAAAAATAACAAAGTGTGATTGGGTTGTTTGTAACACAAAGGATAAATGCCTCAGGTGATGGATGTGATTATTATTATTATTATTATTATTTTTGAGATGGAGTCTCGCTGTGTCACCCAGGCTGGAGTGCAGTGGTGCAGTCTTGGCTCACTGCAACCTCCACCTCCTAGGTTCAAGCAGTTCTCCTGCCTCAGCCTCTTGAGTAGTTAAGACTACAGGCATCCGCCACCATACCTGGCTAATTTTTTGTATTTTTAGTAGAGATGAGGTTTCACCATGTTAGCCAAGCTGGTTTTGAACTCCTAACCTCAGGTGATCTGCCCATCTTGGCCTCCCAAAGTGCTGGGATTACAGGTGTGAGCCACTGCGCCTGACCTATATATGATTATTTACCCTGGTGTGATTATTATGCATTGTTTCCTGGATTGAAATATCTCATGTATCCCATAAATATATACACTGCTAGGTACCCACAAAAATTAAAAATAAAAGATATATTGGGTAGGCATTTTACTTCATCAGTTTTTATGTTTCTTTTTTTTTTTAACTTCAGCTTTAAAACACTTGGCTTCATTTTTATTGTGTAGTAACCATTTAAAAATTCTGAAGAAGATTAGCCGGGTGTGGTGGCAGGTGCCTGTAGTCCTAGCTACTCGGGAGGCTGAGGCAGGAGAATGGCGTGAACCCGGGAGGCGGAGCTTGCAGTGAGCCGAGATGGCGCCACTGCACTGCAGCCTGGGCAGCAGAGCAAGACTCTGTCTCAAAAAAAAAAAAAAAAAAAAAAAATTCTGAAGATGGGTCACAGTGATTAGATATAGAAAGTCCGAAGAAACTATATTGCAAGGTTTGAAAACACTTAACTCCTAAGCAGAGACTGAATAATCTGGTTGTTACATTCTTTAATTTTATTACACTTAGATACATCATGGATTATGTTGGCCTGTTGTCTTGACCTTTAAACCTGGCCACCAGGTTAAACCCCTCTGGAGACAGATTGCCTAGGCTCAGAGCTGGACTTGGCCACTTCCTAACTGTGTGAACTTGGACAGCTTACTTAACCTCTCCACATCTGAGGCTCCTCATTCAGAAAGGGTGTATAGGAATACCTGATTCATAGGATCATTTCGAGGAATGAGATGTGTAGAGTGTTTCAACACAATGCGAGGTGCAAGATAAGCAATCAGTAAATGGTGGTTCTCTTGTTATTATCATCAGAAAATACATTCTGAGTTTAAAAAAAGATTGTAAATGACATTTTGAGGTTATTATCCTTTTGTAAATTAAGACCTTTCTTCCTAGCTTCCATCTCCAGCTAAGCTATAAGTGCTTGGAAGGAAAGTAATCCATTGTAGACCTGTATGTTATTAATGAGAAGGGCTATCAGTGATCATTTGGCTCATCCTCACTTTTTACATGTGCTGAAAAAGTAGATTCTTTCTCTCTGGAGGTCTGAGCCTGGTAGGAGAGACAGATGAAGAAAAATGAACCACATTATTATGTATTATGTATTGTTATGTGATAAGTATATTAAAAGATTTATGCACAAGGTACTTACCATAGCAGCACCTCAACTTGTCTCCCTTCAGTTCTTCCTACCAATCCAACCTATATGTAGCTGTCAGGTAATTTGTCTTAAAGAATAGCCTTGAATGTCTCTTCCCTGCCCAAGGTCCCTTAATGGCCTGCTGCTTGTATACCAAGTGAAGTCTAAATTCTTTAATCTGGGATTCTTGGCCTGCTATGTTCTGTCCTTAATTTATTTTCCTAGTACTTCCACCACCATTTGCCGTTATATACCTTAACTCTCTTGGTAAATCCAACTACTTGCCGTTCTCGGTGTACTTTCAGTCATCCATTCAGCATATTCTTTTTGAGGGTCTTCCCCACTATCTGCCTCTTGAAAGGACATCTGTTACTTTTTATCTAGCAGCATGTTCTTGTTCATCTGTGGCAGCTCTTCCTCCTAGCACCAGTGTTTGGTTTATTTATACAAACTTTTATTCAGTCATTCATTTATTTAGTAAATATGCTTTGAAGTTAGATAAGACTACTGTCTCTTGTACCTTCTTCCCATGGGCCTGCTGCCAATGAGAGGTAAGAATTGTACTGAATCTGGGTAAATAAGCCCACCTGAGTTTGCAAGAGAGTAGCACAAGCAGGTTAATGAGGCCATAGCTCCAAGTGCAGAGTTGGAGAGGCCCAAAAGCACAGAATTGGAGAGCCTGTGGTTCAGGGGCTGCCATTTTTCCAAATTGCTGAGATACTCTGCTATATAATGGCAGCCCATGGTTATATTTCTTAGTTGTCTAGTGAAAATACTAGGGAGTTTGGTCGGGTAGTGATGGGGATTGTGACTCAGCAGAATATTTCGCAAATGGTATGCCAAAATTAAGTGCCAAGTTTTGGTTTCTTTTTGCTTTTGTTGTGAGTTAGACATGTTTCCTTTAAAATGAAAACATCAGTCTTCATTGTTCTAAATGAGACAAATCTCTGTGATATTTTATGTTAAAAATATCTACAACAGTGAACATATAGTTAGACTCGTGTTTTTAAAAATTGGTTGTATCCTGGAGGTTTACTATGTCCAATCCCTGTTAACTTTACTAAAGTCCCTGTATAGTCAGATACGTGGTAGAGAAGCCAGGTATAATGTAAGAAATTTTATATTGTCAGTGTTGAAATGGACACAATTTTATGATTTATTAATTTAAGTGCTTATTTTTTCTTTCCTGAGCTTTGTACACTGCTGATTTATAAAGAGTATTTAGTAGTCTGGGTTGTGAAGTACCAGAGTTGCTGACATATTCCACAGGCAAATGTATTACTTTACTGTACTACAGTATGTAGTAGGATCATGTGGAAGCTTCAATTACAAGCCCATTTCTATTTCTTTCTCTCTTAAATATCTATTAATTTATTGTTAGGCTTTTGCAAATGTTTCGAGGCAAGTAAGTAGCATTCTCTATTTCCTGTTCATAGAATATAGATATTAAGATAATGATTTATCATCCATTCCTGGGTGTGGTAATTCAGTATGTATTTTGTGTTCCAACTGTTGAGCACCTTTGAAATAACTTTATGAGTTTCATTTCAGCCTTATGAGTCCTGCTTTGGCTCCCCAGGGTGGAACACTAAAAATTGATATTTTGTCTCCCTTGGAATTAGGATGGAGGCATGTAACCCAAATTTTGCCTATCACAAGATAGGCCGTATCCAAGAGAGACTGCACTACGAAGTGAGCTACTGGAGGAAGGAGGCCCTAAGGGGAATTGACTTTCTTCTCTTGTGTTTCCTGCCTTGGGGCCCTCTCTCTTCTTCCTTCACCTTACCAGGAGTAATTACTGTTAACACTATAATGTATCCTTCCAGACTTTGCTGTACAGACATATTAATCTTTTAAAAAACTTAGCTGGGTGTGGTGGCATGTGCCTGTATTCTTAGCCATTCAGGAGGCTGATGTACGAGGATTGTTGAGCCCAGAAGTTTGAGGCTATAGTGAGCTATGTTCGTGCCACTGCACTCCAGCCTGGGTGACAGAGTGAGATTCTGTCTCTAACAACAAACAAAAACAAAGCAAAAAACTAATGCAAGTAGGCATTTTTTCAAAAAAAGAAGTGGTTTGTTTTTCCTGTTTTATGAATTTTCTATTCATGACCTTTGCTTATTTATTTGCATCTTAGCTTTTAAAAAAAACACTGCATTATTCATCTGTATTAAGGTATTAGATTGTATAAGTCATACTGGTTATAATTTGCCTCTGAGTTTTTTCTTTTTAGATGCAAAAGTTTTGATTGATTTCTAGTTATTAGTTGCAGCAGTTTATTCCTTTCTCAACCAGAAGGAATTTTCCTCTATGTGTTCTGTATGTTCAGGTAATTTGCCCATGGTTACATAGCTAGTAATCCTGTTAGTTTGGCTCAAGAATACACTCCCTTAACCAGTATTTTATACCAGCTTTCACACACTCTCAAAATCCTTTGCAATATAGCTGGATTTTGCTTTTGAAGGCCTAAAACATACCAAATACGCAGTATCTTCATGCTTAAATGATTTCTTATCTAGGAGTATTTTCCTGTACATGAAGAGAGAATTAAACCTTGAGTTGGAAAGAATACTTGGAACACTTCCCCTGACATATATTAAGCAATCTTTAACCGTATTAGGGCTGCCTGAGATGCTGTGCTTTCAGACATACCAATGTGATGGAAAAAAACAGACATCGGAGTCCGACTGCCGGGTTCAAATACTAGCTCTGCTGCTTACTAGTAGTGTGGCCTTGAACAAGTTACTCAGCCACTTTGTGTCTTTGTTTCCTTTTCGGCCAAGTGAAGAGAATTAAAACACCCACCTCATGGGTTTTAGATAAAAGTTACATCAGGTGATACACGTGAAGTGTTCGGAATAGAACCTGGCACATAGTCCACTATCGGATTAGTGGTTATAACTTCAAAAGATGGTTTTGCTTCCTGCTTGAAATAAGGAGAGCCAACAGATATGAATCCCATTCAACTTCCTGCTCTATTACCTAATTTATAGGCCGTCCTAACCCATACATAATTAAATGTTTTTACTTTCCCAGAAAACAGAAAAGGATTGCTGAACAGTGTTGAGGCCCATCTGAGATTTTGATAGTTGTAGCAGTTATTTTGTCATATTCAAAAACTCGGCTCTCATAGTAGAAAAAGATGAGTGGTTAGAGGAATCTAGCGTTTAGGACCTTGTGTAGGGCAGGAGTGATGGAAGAAAAAGTAAGGTAAAGGGATTAGTTGAGCTGATGTAGTACAGGGCCCAGGTTAATTAGGGAAGGAAATGATGTTAGAAAACAGAAAAGGGAGGGATCAAGAGAGGAATCATAATAAGGTTCAGAAATAAGGTTGAGAGCATTGCTGATTATGTTGCCTGGATACCTAACCTATTCTCGGTGTTGGAGAGACCATTGTGAGAGTTAGGATCATGAATTGGATTGGTTGAGATAATTATTTTTTTCCCTGAGAATTCTTTCAGCTCTATAGTGTACATACTTCTTTTTGGGTCTGCCTCTCTCCACAAAGCCCCCAAATAATAGCAGTAACCTGTAAGAATCATGAAATAACTTACGAGCTGAACATGTAGAATATGTTCCCATCTTTTCAGAATATAGTTGGCATCCAGTAATCAACAATAAATAGGGAAAAAATCACAATAATATAAATTTGTTTTCTAACTCTTTTCATGCTTTTCTTAAGGTTATCCATTCTGTCAAATACATAATTTTTTTGGGAAAAAGGAATTATTAAAAGGTAGATACAATATAGCAGATGCTCATGATCTTAGATCTCTTATATAAGAGGTCTTGGTATTATGTTTTTATACAGCTTACCCTGGATTAATGAGCATACCATTCGCTTAATTTGTAAATTAGTTTGGACACTTTTTACACTTCGCTGTCCATTCTGTGTCAGTTTTTTGATGAGTTCACTTAAGGCTACATTAAGCTTTCTCATTCATGTAGAATCTAGTTAGGCCTTTTGGTTTATCTCATGGACAGAGCATAAAGTACTTGACAGAATTTGATCTGACAGCTTTACAGTTACATAACATAGAACAGAAGCTTAAAAACAACAAAAAAGAGAGAGAAGCAAGGGATTTATCATAGCAACCTATATTTCTCTCTGGAACTTTACCACCCTTCCGCTGCCTCTCTAAACTATAGTAGCAGAACCACTGTTAGGCTTGCAATTTACATAGTCTTAAATTAACCAAGACTCAAAAACAAACAAAAAAAACAATTCCAAGCATTTAGAGGTGAAAAGGTCTTTAGGATTATCCTGTCCAGTTGCATCACGTTACCAATGAGAGTACAGAAGCCTAAAGAGGGTAAGTAACTTGCCTATGGTCATAAAGCTAGTTAGCGGCAGAGCTGACCCCAGAGCCAAGGTCACAGAATTCCATTTCTAGTGCTCTTTCTCGTGTAATATGTGAATAGAATATTTAATAATATAATCGTTATATTTTACAAAAGAAAATGTTATGTAACCATGACAAATACTATATTTGATTTTGCATATTTAATAAAAATAATTATATTTAAAAGTATATCTGATTGCCTAGGTTCATATTTCTCTAGTCTTACTAGTGGTATGATGTTAGTCAAGTCTCTTGAACTCCAAAACTGTTTCTTCATCTATCAAATGGGGCAGATAGGAGTTCCTTGTTATATAGTAAATGTGACAGTCTCTCTAAAGCCTGATAAAGGGATATTTCTCAATAAATGTTACCTGCTGCTGTTACTGATTTATAATAATAATTTCTAATTCTTTCATCTTCCTTTAAATTCGAATAAAATTTAGCACTGAGAATGACTGGAAACAAAAGTAATGGATTTCAGAACAGATTTGCAAACATAAAAATATTTTAGAAGAGAGGTATAGGTGTGTGTGTGTCTGGGCCTTTGGAATTAGGGAAGTATTTTCCAGTTTTTTTCATATTAAAAGCTATGATGGATACAGTTGTTTTTAAACCGTGTTCAGAAATCACAACATTTAACTAAGGGGTTTCTCCCCTGGTGCTCTTCTGTATGCAAATTTGAGGTTATCTAAATTGTCAGACTCTGGGACACAGGGTTGTTTTGTATTTAAGTAACATTTTGTATATGAAAAAAATCTTTGACAGTAATAAAAATAAGCCGAGAAGTCATTTTTTCTGTTAAAAAACCTTACTTGAAAAAGAGAATGAAGAATCACTAATTTCTGTTTTCACACTTTAGTGATATTCTACTTGCCTTTGATCTGTAGTAGTGTGTTTTTGTATAGTGCTGTGTTTTCTAATGTGCTGACATACTACTGGCGATTTGGTAGATATTTTTAGATTATATTCAGGTGAACATTTAAATTATAGGAAATTTAATGCTGATTAGGAAAATGTATAATCTAATATACCAAATTGGTGGTTTCATAGGTCTTAATATTTTTCCCTTTATTGTTGTACCCACATGCAAGTCTTAATAGTTTAGGGTTAATAAAATGTTTCTAAAAAAATGAGTTGAGATTCTGATACATGCTACAACGTGGATGAACTTTGTGACCATTATGTACAGTGACATAAACGTGACACAAAAGGACAGTTATTCTATAATTTCACTTAAAATGTTCCTAGAATAGTCCAATTCGTAGACAGGAAGTAAAATAGAGGTTACCAGGGGGTGGTGGGGGGAAGGAATGGACAGTTAATGTTTAATGGGTACAGACCATGTTTGGGGTGATGAAAAAGTTCTGGAAATGGATAGTGGTGCTGGTTGCACAACATTGTGAGTATACGGAACTGTATACTTAAAAATGGTTAAAATGGTAAATTTTGTTATGTATATTTTACCACAATTATAAAAGGGGAGCAGGGATGGGATGAGAAGAATGCGTTTTGGTTTTTTGTTATTTTAAGTGAATTGAGAAAAATATTATATAGTGATACCGGCACTTGACACTCAGAAAAATGTTGATGGTGGTATGCAAATTACTGAGGTTTGGACAACACTGGGATAGAGGAAAGATCAGTGGACTTAGGGACACCTGTCCTGTGTTCCAGTCTCACCCCTGCCATGACGTAGTAGGGTGGGCCTGTATACCACTCTTATCTAAAGCCTCTTAGGACCACGCACAGTGGCTAACACCTGTAATCACATAATCACACTGGAGGCTGAGACGGAAGGATTGCTTGAACCCAGGAGTTTGAGACCAGCCTGGGCAACCTGGGGAGACCTCATCTCTATAAAAAATACAGACTAGCTGGGTGCGATAGTGTGTACTTGTGGTCTTAGCTACTTGGGAGGCTGAGGCCAAGACTTCTAAGACTGTTTGCTACCCTAAAGTTCTGTGATTCTGTGTTATGACTTTGGATTCTTTATTTAGATGACCTATTGCTTATTTAATAGAATTTTCTCCTTTTCAGTGATCAATCTAAAATAACGTGCGTATTTAGAATTTTAAATATGAAATTAGCATTTAAAATCTTCTAAGAACCATAGTATCATAGTAACAGTAAGTGAAAAAGAAATCACTTGTGAACTTGAACTTGCTGTTCTATCAAACTCTTATGTCCATTTTGTATTCTTTATGCTGCCATATTATTTTTATGTGGTTGTGATTATGCTTTTATAGACAGAGTTTCTGGCAGCAGTCTTCAAATACAAATTTGCATTTCATTCTTTAGATTACAATTGCTCTTAGTAAATGAAAATTTAAATGTGTTTCATCCATACTTTGTTTTGGTAGCTAATATTCAAGTGAATCTTTTGAATTGATTTAAGGAGAATACTATGACATTAATCCTTGAGCCTCATCTAGCCAATGATATGGTATAATAAATGTCTTAGTGCTTTACTTGTATGTATGAGTCTTTGATACAATTTGGATATTTGATATTAGGAGTCTTGTCCATAAGAGAAGAAAAACAGTTATTACGTTCTGTTTTCCTAGTCATACTACTTCTATCCACTATTGACCATTTGTTTCGTGTTTATAATTTCATCTACAATTTTAATCTTCATTGGAATTGTTAGATCTGACTATAGAACATAATGTTATATTTCCTTAGTTTGCTTTTACATATAGAATTTGATAGAAATACAAAGATTTGCCCAAGCTAACAAAGAAGCTTCCTTCACAATAGAGCTACTGTTTTATTTTGTGATCCTTTTCTACCTATAACATCTTACTTGCATAAGCTCCTGGTTGATCTCTCTTGAAATTCATAGGCTTTTGAAAAGTTGGCTGCAAATCTTGTGGTATTACTCCCAAATCATTTCACAAGTTTTTCTTACCTTCTCTTTAATTTAGACATTTACATTTACTAACAGTTGAAATGAATTTGTGCTTTCTGTTTTTAAGTTTTGATTTTTAAAAATCAATTTGATGTAGAAATGTACATATTTATATAAAATTAGGCTCCCAACCATATGTACATCAAGTTTTATTTATTTATTTATTTGTATTTTTTGAGACAGAGTCTCGCTCTGTCACCCAGGCTGGAGTGCAGTGGCACAATCTCGGCTCACTGCAACCTCCACCTCACAGGTTCAAGCAATTCTCCTGCCTCAGCCTCTTGAGTAGCTGGGACTACAGACACGCACTACCACGCCCGGCTAATTTTTTGTGTTTTTAGTAGAGATGGGGTTTCACTGTGTTAGCCAGGATGGTCTCGATCTCCTGACCTCATGATCCAACCACCTCAGCCTCCCAAAGTGCTGGGATTACAGGCGTGAACCACCGCACCCGGCATGTACATGAAGTTTTAAAGTCCTTAGGACTTAACTTTCAGATTAGGGTAAAAATAGTTCCTCTTATCATCATCATATCTTGAAAATTCAGAAAAACATACTCAGTTATTAACTGTTACAGCGTATGTCAATCCTATCTCTTTTTTTGGTGTTTCTCTGGATTTTCAGTTTCTTGCCTTCTGATACTTTTGTGATAAAATAAGTTTGAAGGTCATTTCAAAGAGGAAAGTAACTTTTAGTTGATCTTCTGCCTTCCCCTTTATAAAACTGTTTTAAATAAAAATTGAAGAGGTTATTGGGTAAATGCCAACTAGGTAACTTTTAAAACAAGATATTCTATACTAACTTTATACTTCCTTTAAGAACTAATAGCTTAGTATTTGATTTAGATCATAAGTTTATTTTTTGTTTTTATTTTTTTGAGACGGAGTCTCACTCTGTCACCCAGGCTGGAGTGCAGTGGTGCGATCTTGGCTCACCGTACACTCCACCTCCCGGGTTCAAGCAATTCTCCTGCCTCAGCCTCCCGAATAGCTGGGACTACAGGCATGTACCACCAGCCAGCTAATTTTTTGTACTTTTAGTAGAGACGGGGTTTCACTGTGTTAGCCAGGATGGTCTCCATCTCCTGACCTTGTGATCCGCCTGCCTCAGCCTCCCAGAGTGTCGGGATTACAGGCGTGAGCCACTGTGTCTGGCCCATAAGTTTATTTTTTATTTAATTTTTTATCATGGAAATTTTTCTTTTCTTTTCTTTTCTTTTTTTGTTTTTTTGTTTTTGTTTTTGAGACAAGGTCCCACTGTGTTACCCAGGCTGGCACGATCATACCTCACTGCGTCATTGAACTCCTGGGCTCAGGTAATTCTCTCACCTCAGCCTCCTGAGTAGCTGGGACTACAGGTGCATACCACCATACCCGGCTAATTTTCATATTTTTGTAGAGCCAAGGTCTCACTGTGTGGCCCAGGCTGGTCTTGATCTTCTGAGCTCAAGTGATCTACATCTACCCTCCTTGGCCTCCCAAAGTGCTGGGATTACAGGCATGAGCCACTGTGCCCGGCCTTGTCATGGAAATTTTCAAGAGTAAATAAATCCGGATACTCTCTGCAGTGCATTGACATGTCTCTTAAGTTACTTTTAATTTATATTTTCTTTCCATCTTACTTTTTTTCTATAAACTCCATGTCATATATTTGGAAGAAACTGAGTTATTCTAAACTTGGTTGACTGCATACTTAAGGCATCATTTAACATATTTCTCTAATGGCTTGGTTAGATTTAGGTCTGATTTTCTTGTTGAATCACATCAGGATGCAGTAGGGTTGTCTCACTTTCAGTAACATTGGTTAGCCTGGGTATATAGACCTAACAACCATGACCACGTAAGTCTACCAGAAAGCTCATGCAGGAGTGCTTATAGCAGCTTTATTCATAATTGCCAAATATTGGAAATAGCCAAATGTTCATCAGCAGTATAATGGGTAAATTAACTGATAGATGCAACAGTGTTCATGTTTCTCACAGAAGTAGTGTTGAGTGAAGAGAGTTAACACAGTAAAGAGCATACTGAATGATTTCAAATATAAGAAGTTCAAAATGAGCAAAATTAATGTCTCATTTAAAAATAAGATAGACCAATGAAATAATACCACCTATTAAAAAAGTCTTTTCCCCGCCAAATGAGATGTCTCCATTATTACATACTCAATTTCCATAGGTATGTGTATTTCTATATCTTGTTCCATTTGTTGATTCACATGCCTGTATCACATTGTTTTAATTATAGAAGTTTTATAAGATGTTTTAATCTCCGACAGGGTGCATTCTTCTAGCTATTTTTGCTTGTCTGTTCTTTCAAATTAATTTTATAATCAACTTTTCTTGCCTCAGGAAAAAATAAAACCTTAAAGGTATTTCATTAGGATTGCATTAAATTAATAGATTATCTTAGGGAGATCCAGTACCTTTATGATGCTGAAGCTTTCTTTCCAAGAACATGGTTTCTCTTTTGTCTTGTTCACTTTCAGGAATGTTTTGTAGTTTTCCTTATATAGATTTTGTACTGTTTCTGTTGTTGAATTTAAGCCTATTTTGATTTTTGCTGTTGTAAATGAGGTCTTCATCTCTATTTATACTTTCTTTTTCTATTTTTACTTTGCTGCCCCCGCCCCCCTTATTTCTTCTTACTGTTACGTTGTATGTATGAAGACTGGTGTCTTTATGTATGCTAATTTTATGTCCTATTTTACTAAATTTTCTTGTTGCTTGGAATAGTTTTTTCATGGATTCTTTTGAATTTTTCAGTTAAGTATATTATTTGCAAATAATAGATATAGCAATAGCTTCGCTTCTACCCTACTCCCACCCCAGTTATTATGCCTCTAATTGCTTTCTCTTGTCTAATTGATCATTGCCTACATAATGTTATATAGTAGTGGAGTCCTTGTTTTTCTAATCTTTAGTGTTAAAACCTTTAGTGTTTCCCCATTAAAATCTTGCTTAAAAAACAAATAACAACAACAAAAAACCCAGCAAGATAGTCCTGGCACAGTGGCTTAGTGTCTGTAATCCCAGCACTTTGGGAGGTCAAGGCAGAAGAATTGCTTGAGCCCAAGAGTTCAAGGTTACATAGAACAATGATTGCACCAATGCACTTAAGCCTGGGTGACAGAGCAAAACTCTATCTCAAAAAAAAAAAAAAGAAAAAAGCTATATATATGAGAATTATAATTTATAATATACCATAATATTCATCTATTGCAAACCGTACAATTCAGTGATTTTTTTTTTTTTTTTTTTTTTTTTTTTTTTTTTTTGTGATAGAGTCTCACTCTTTCACCCAGACTGGAGTGCAGTGGTGCAGTCTTGGCTCACTGCAACCTCTGCCTCCCGGGTTCAAGCAATTCTCCTGCCTCAGCCTCCCCAGTAGCTGGGATTACAGGCATCTGCCACCATGCCTGGCTAATTTTTGTATTTTTAGTAGAGATGGGGTTTCACCATCTTGGCCAGGCTGGTCTTGAACTCCTGACCTCATGATCCACCCTTCCTTGGCCCCCCAAAGTGCTGGAATTACAGGCGTGAGCCACTGTGCCCGCAGTGATTTTTTTTAGATTTTTTTTTTTTTGAAATTTATAGGGTTGTGCAGCTATCATCACAATCCAATTGTAGAACATTTTCATTATTCCAACAAGTTCTCGTGTCCTTTTACAGTGACTTTTATGTTGAGTGGTTTATGAGAGTATATTTATATGTGTATTTTTGTGTGTATGTACATATAAATATGTCTTATGCCTATGTGACCATATTTATTATGTAAGGACGTATCTGTTAATTTATTTCATTGCCTGTTTTTAATACAAATGAATAATGTTTGAAAGTTTTCTTTTTGACATGCATGGTTAAATCAGCAGGTTCAAGTTGTATTCTGCGGGCAAAGTGAAACAGAAAAATCTTGTTATAACAAAATATGGCAACATTGTAGTAAAATTTATTTTCTGTGAGTAAAGGAAGATGGCGTTTCATATTCTGAATTGTTTGTTCCATGTTGTTTGTTAAAGAGGATGGCATTCCCTGTGGATATGCTGGAAAATTGCAGCCATGAGGAATTGGAAAATTCTGCTGAAGATTACATGTCAGATTTAAGGTGTGGGGACCCTGAAAATCCAGAGTGTTTTTCTCTTCTCAATATTACGGTAAGGTGTTCTGCAGTGATTGTCATCAATCTTTTCAGTTCAGTTTATACATGAAATAAATATCCTTTTTTAAAAAAATCATTTTAAGTGTTAATCATTAATTTTTGAAATCTTTACAGAAATCTATTCAGTAAAATGGATAAATATTGGTTGATCAGTTTTTAAAAAGAGAAACTCCACAGGTTATTGCTATTTGACTTTATGGCTTTAAAATTATATGTGAGAATACCACCAGTTTTGCTAAGACTGTTTACTATATTTGAGCTGCTTCAGATTTACTTTAGATTTGGAATTTGTGAGTTTAGAAAATTTTTTAATTAAAAAATCAGCAAAACACTAAATTACATATTTTTTGTGCCATGAATCTTTTCTTCCTTTTTCTAAAAAAGTAAAATCAAATTTTCTAGTCAGTAAATTATAATATTTTGTGATAGATCATTAGACTTGGAACCATTAGGGTTTCACTGTGAACTGTGGTGGACAAATTCCTTAACCTCTCTAGGCCTTAGATTTTTCTTCTGGAGGTGACTTAAAGAATTTTTTAAAGTCTTCCCCAGCACCAATATTTTTATAATTCTCTGAATTGTAATGTTATCTCTAAATAGGGAATAAGTGTTGGATTAAATGAAGGCAAAAAAATGTTAAAGCATATTAGTAGCATGTATCTTCCCAGAAAAATTAATTTACTTGACTGCTTTTTTTTTTGTTTTTTTTTTGAGATGGAGTCTCGGTCTGTCGCCCAGGTTGGAGTGCATTGGCACGATCTTGGCTCACTGCAACCTCTGCCTCCTGGGTTCACGCCATTCTCCTGCCTTAGCCTCCCGAGTAGCTAGGACTACAGGCGCCCACCACCATGCCCGGCTAATTTTTGATATTTTTAGTAAAGATGGGGTTTCACTGTGTTAGCCAGGATGGTCTCGATCTCCTGACCTTGTGATCCGCCCGCCTTGGCCTCCCCAGAGTGCTGGGATTACAGGTGTGAGCCACTGTGCCCGGCCTGCTTTTTTTTTTTTTTTTTAACTAGATAATGGAATATCTTCCTCAAGTAGGCTAAATAACAGATGATAAATTATAGTTGTTTTTTAAATGACTTTATGGGCCATATTATAGCTTTGGTTTTTATTCAGATGTGTGGCTAGATACATAATAATATTTATGAAACAACTTTTCATATTTTCCCTAAGACAATAAAATTATTCCAAAAGGGAAGTCTATCTGATTTACTCTTTTTTTAGAGACTAGAAATAATGTCTCCTATAAAATAAATTAAAATTAACGTAGGAAATATTTACTACTTTGATAAAAGATTGATTTTTTTAATGTATTTTCTTAACAGACTGTTCACTAATCTTTATTAATTTGTCATTTCAGATTCCTATTAGCCTGTCAAATGTAGGCTTTGTACCTCTTTATGGTGGAGATCAGACCCAGAAAATTCTTGCTCTCTTTGCACCTGAAGATTCACTGACAGGTCTCTTTTTGCTTAATTTTTATAAATTAAGGAATTTTTCTCCAAACTGTTAGAAATTTATTTAAAAGGTAGCTACATGAAGGAATTTGGTTTTTTTTTTAAAGTGTTTCAAATTGTAATTTTATTAAAATGTAATTCTTAATTGCTTATAGCTACATGTTTGATGGATGAATGTCTGCTATCACACTGCTATAAAGAACTTCTTGAGACTGGGTAATTTATAATAGAAAGAGATTTAATTGACTCTCATAGCCAGGCACGGTGGCTCATGCCTGTAATCCTAGCACTTTGGGAGGTCGAGGTGGGTGGATCACCTGAGGTCAGAAGTTTGAGACCAGCCTGACCAACATGGTGAAACCCTGTCTCTACTAAAAATACAAAATTAGCTGGGCGTGGTGGCACATGCCTGTAATCCCAGCTACTTTGGAGGTTGAGGCAGGAGAATCGCTTGAACCCAGGAGGTGGAGGTTGTAGTCAGCTGAGATCACACCATTGCACTCTAGCCTGGACAATAAGAGTGAAACTCCATCTCAAAAAAAAAAAAAAAAAAATTAAAAATTGACTCACAGTTCCGCATGGCTGGGGAGGCCACCAGGAAACTTGCAATCATGGCAGAAGGGGAAGCAGGCACGTCTTACATGGTTGCAGGCAAGAGAGAGTGTGTGCGCACGTGTGTGAAGGAGGAACAGTCAAACATTATGAAACCATCAGATCTTGTGATAATGGGACCCCCCCACCCTGACCCATGATCGAATCACCTCTCACCAGGTCCCTCCCTCTACATGTAGGAATTGTGGGGATTACAGTTCAAGATGAGATTTGGGTGGGGATGTAGCCAAACCATATCAGTGAAATAAAAATGGTATAAATGAGGCTACAAAGTACAATATTACTATTTGGTAAGGTTTATATAGATACTCTTAAATATAAAGTATATGGATACTTTATAGTACAATATGGCCTTATTAAGTCTAAAAGTGTACTTTAAAACTCAAGTGTTAATGATTATTTATTCTATTTTAGCTGTGGCACTTTACCTTGCTGATCAGTGGTGGGCTATTGATGATATTGTGAAAACATCTGTTCCTTCAAGAGAGGGGCTTAAGCAGGTAACAAGATCCTCTAATTTTGAGTGTTTCTTTTGAGGCCATTTCACAGTGTTTCCTGTAAACAGTGATAGTTTTTGAGCTCTTCCCCATTTAAAAATAATCAGGTTATATTAAACCCTAGAATTTCATTCTTACGATGAAGCCAGCATTCGGGTTGGGCTTCCTCCATTTTTATGTGATTCTATAAGTATCTGAGATTGGGTGAGGAAGAATGAATACCTATGGGTTAGTTGAGCTTTGGCTACCTTTATCCAAGTTAGCTTCTGATTTTCTTATTTGATAGAGGAAAAGCTAGTTCCCTTTGTGTGATTGTTTAGCTTCTGTCTCTAGGAGAGACTGACCAGGAAACTTGTTTATTAGTAGGGCCTCTTCAGGTGGTCTATATAGTGTTCCTAACAGTGGAATGACCAGGTTCAGGAGAGAGCAAGCTTCCAACCTCGGCAGGGTTATAGTAGAAGGCAGCCAGCTGAAGAACGTTGCAGGAAGGAAGCTGGTTTTCATGCTAGAGATGAAAGGGTTTAAGAGACATCTCTGGTGCTCTAGTTATTGGAGGATAAATAGGACAGGATATGGAAAATCTATAGAAACCAAGATGTAACATATTTGAGGAGGCAGGGCATAATAAAAAAAGATGAAATCTTTGGTGGCTGGAAGAGTGAGATTTATAATAATATTGGAGAAATAGGAAACTGACTTGGTAGAAGTGCATTAGACTTTGCTTACCTAAAAAGAATACTGACTTTTTGGAGAAGCAGTACTATTCATTAATTAAGTATAGAGTGTCTTGTTAATCCTAAAAGAAAGAGAGCCTTAATGAGGATCATGAATTTTTTTTTTTTTTTTTTTTTTTGGGATGGAGTTTCGCTCTTGTCGCCTAGGCTGGAGTGGGGTGCTATCTCTGCTCACCACAACCTCAGCTTCCTGGGTTCAAGCGATTCTCCTGCCTCTGTCTCCCGAGTAGCTGGGATTACAGACATACGCCACCATGCCCGGCTAATTTTGTATTTTTAGTAGCGACGATGTTTCTCCATGTTGGTCAGGCTGGTCTCGAACTCCCGACTTCAAGTGATCCACCCGCCTCAGCCTCCCAAAGTGCTAGGATTACAGACATAAGCCACCACGCCCAGCCAACAGGAGAATGAATTTAACAGAAATATATATGTGTCTTGATATTCTTCCTTTAGAACACTTCTAGGATAGGCCAACTCTGTAAAAACTTGTCAGATTCGCAGGGTTCCAGCTACTGTTCATTTTTTTTGTGGGCAGTTGAACCAGTCAGAAGAAACAAGGAAAGCATATCAAGAAATTTTGATCCTGTTACTCCAATTCACAGAAAAACAAAACTTGATGCTTGCTTAAAGGGGCAGTGGCAGCAGGAAAAAAAGAAACTGAAGAAACTTGCGGGTTACTAGGGTGTTTTTATTTCTTCCCTTTGAGTTGGGAACTTTGAAAGAGATGGGAGGATAAGAGAATAATGCACTTAGTATTATTAAGTATTAGTAACTTTTGGATATTGCATTAATTCTTCAGTGTGCCTTAAGATTCCCAAAGTGGTAGGCCCATCTGCTGAAGGCTCGGAGAATGTGTGTACCTGGTTATCTGCCAGTCTGATATGAAACTTTGAACAGAAACTGAAGGGGAGGAGGGAATTATATCCCTGCATAAAGCTGTAAAATTGGAGGAGTAGATAGCAATAAAGGAGTATAATATGTTCTCAGGAACAGTTCTGATAGTGAAAAGAAGTATGTATGTCAAGAAAATAAGCATTCTGATGTGTTTTAACATGACTGAGGTTTGGCATATTATAGATATGAAGGCTAAAGGATGGAGAAGGAGAAGGGAAAATCTTAATATGATGGTATATTGTAGCTTTTGCTGTTCAAGTGGAGAAACTATGAAACCTCCAGATATGGATTGGGAAAAGAGGAGGAGTCAAAACCAAAAATAAGACTACAACTATGTGGACTCTTTCAGCCTTAGTTACCTTAGGGACAACATTCCCTCTCTTTTTTTTTTTTTTTGACACAGGCTTACTGACGCCCAGGCTGGAGTGCAGTGGCATGATCTCGGCTCACTGCAACCTCTGCCTCCCGGGTTCAAGCAATTCTCCTGCCTTAGCCTCCCGAGTAGCTGGGACTACAGGTGTGTGCCACCTTGCCCAGCTAATTTTTGTATTTTTAGTAGAGATGCGGTTTCGCCATGTTGGCCAGGCTGGTTTCGAACTCTTGACCACAAGTGATCCACCTGCCTTGGCCTCCCACAGTGCTGGGATTACAGGTGTGAGCCACCACTCCTGGCCTACGTTCCCTCTTAAATAGAGAAATCAGTGAAGGGGGACTGCTATTCCAGTCAAATCCTGGCCAGTAAGGAAAAATTGGTTGGTAAAGTTACAGAAGGGTGTAACCCTTTTTGTACTTAACAAACACTTAACTTGGAGCAAGTTGACTTTATTTTTATAAACCTCTCTGTACCTGGAAACTGATGCTCAATTATATGGACGGGAGGTCCTCAGTAGTATGCTGCAAGACTTTGTCCATTGTGTCCTTCATTTTGTCAGTGACTTAGAGGCATGCTTATCAATTCTGCATGTCACTGTGCTGAATGGAGGAGCTAATCTGTGAAGGGCAGAATTAAAAAACAAAGAGAAAGATCTAACATAATAAAATTAAATAGGGAGAAATGTAATACCTATAGGTTCAAAAAATTAACTGTACACCATGAACACCAAACTGAAACAACAGTACGTATGAAAAAGTATTGGGCTTTAATTAATTAGCAGTAAAATCCAGATAAGCAAAAAAGCTAATAAAAACTTTGTTTATATAGAAAAGCCCCATTGTCTCAGCAGCACCTTCAAAATATCTTCATGAAATCCACATCCCGAACATGAAGAGAGATGTTATGGATCTGGAGCAATTTCAAGAGAGAGCACTGAAATGGCAAGAGTACCCCAAATTGTGTTAGATTAGCCTTTTCCTTCATTTATAACCATGTTTAACATTGCTGTGAAATTTAGGGGAACATCATGGCTCTATCTTCAAATATTTATAGGCTATGTGGCTGCAGAATATCAAAATATAGTCTTTGAGAAATAGATTTCAGCTCTGAATAAGGAAGAATTGTTGTTGGTCAGAACTGTGGGTTCAAGGAAGGAATGGGTTGTCTTGGAAGCTATTGCTAGTCGGCTGCTATTTCCTATGTTTGTTATGTGAGATCCCCTGCCAGGGATATTTTTGAGAGTAGTATATGTATATGGTCAATCTTTTCTCTATCCACTGAACTAATTAGAGCCTGAACTTGTTTTAAGAGACCTGGGGGAATATAGGCTTATGTACAGATTTTTTTTTTTTTTTTTTTTTTTTTGAGACACAGTCTCACTCTGTCGCCCAGGCTGGAGTGCGGTGGTGCAGTCACAGCTCACTGCAACCTCAACCTCTTGCGCTCAAGTGATCTTCCCCCTTTAGCGTCCTGAATAGCTGGGACTACAGGTGTGCTCAGCCATACCTGGCTAATGTTTGTATTTTTTGTAGAGACGGGTGGGTTTTGCCATGTTGCCCAGGCTGGTCTCAAACTGAGCTCAAGCGATCCACCCACCTCAGCTTCCCAAAGTGCTGGGATTACAGGCATGAGTCCCCGTACTGGCCTGTGTATCAGGAACACCTCACTATTTGATATCAGAAAGTTCTGAGTGTTGGTGCGGTCCCTGTGACCATGTAGCCCTGTGTGTAGGAAGTGAGACTCTGTTTCTGTTCTATTACTGCCCTAAGTATGTTTTTATTAGACTTCTTTGGTATCCCCGTCTTTGTTGACAGCAAAGATAGGGCTATTAAATGAACATTTTACCAGGAAAAGATGAGACACATTTCTTTCCCAAGAGTGTAATTATGGCTTCCCTCACCAAATGATGTAATTGTTCTTAAAGTGTTCAGGGGATAACACTAAGCTGCCTTTTTTTTTTTTTTTTTAAATGTGGAGACTGAAAAGCAGTTGAAGTAGTTTACTATAGTGAGGGCTGTGATTAGGGTTGGTAAGACCCTGGATCTGGGCAGCTGGAAGCAGAAAGAAGATGGTGAGTGCTGAAAGACATGCTCGGGATTGGTACATTGGGGACCTGTTTTTTGCCCGATTTAGAATTTTGTTGAAAGGCAGTATTCTATGCATAATATGTGTGTGTGGAAATGGATTGTAATCTATGTGAATGATTAGTCTCATCTCTGTGGTAATAAAATGTTTTGCAAATTTTTTTGAATGCATTTGAAGTGCTTTGAATTCCAGTATGAGGTATGGGAGCAGGGAGCAAAGTAAATAGCATCTTGTGATTGATGCATATTATAACTGCTGTGCCTGGTGTTTGACTCTCTTTGTAGGTGAGCACTCTTGGGGAGAGAGTGGTTCTGTATGTTCTGAATCGAATTATTTATAGAAAACAGGAAATGGAGAGAAATGAGATCCCATTCCTGTGTCATAGCAGTACTGATTATGCTAAGATTCTGTGGAAGAAAGGAGAGGCCATTGGGTTTTATTCAGTTAAGCCTACAGGTGAGTCTTTAAAAGTTATTTAAACTGTGTATTATGGAAATCTCTATTTTAGACCCCTCCAACTGTATCAATATCTCTGTTAAATTAATCTCTAGCATGCAAATTGAGGTGATTTTAATTAGTATTTCTTGGGAGTACTTTGATTCTACCATCCTATGACAGTGAGGATTGTTGGGAAAGTGTTTTGAAAAAACAAAATAAAAATAAACATTTGATCCCGAAGAAGATTTCTCCATATATATGGAGACACAGTTGTACGTTGAACCTCATATTTGTCTATCTTCTAGCCCTCACATTTCCAAAAGTTGTTGTTTACTTTGATTCCTGTTGCTGTTACTGTTACAGGTTCCTTCTAAAACCCCAGTCTACCTGTGGCCCAAATGCATAGCCTGTTTATGCATAGCACACCTCATTCAGCCTGACATATGAAAGAGCAACTTGGCTAATTACCAAGAAAAACAAAATGCTTTAATATATTTAGTAAATACAAACAGCTTTGAAATTGTTAGTCTAAAGTTTGGGTTTCTGATCGTAAGAGCCAGCTATACCCTATCCTTAAAAAATAGTGCAACCTCATACCTGCTTTACCTGTACTCCCATTCATTCAGCTCCCTAGAGCAGCTGGAGCCAGGAAGCTCTAACCTACTTACTCTGTGTACACATACAATCCACACCTTGTGACCATCAAAGAACAAAGTCTGCCTTGTTTTGTACCTTGACCAAAAGACCTTTCACAGAGAATACACTTAGTTTCTTTTTATTTCCATTTCAGATTTTCCAAACTTAGTTCTTCTGGTCACATCCAGTCTAAAGATCCTACCAAATTCACTGCTGATCTAATGAACAGTTGTGACTGATACCTTGATCCCATAATTAGTACACATTTGTGATGAGAATTAGTGCGTATAGTCCATAAAAGGAAGGTCATTTTTTCCCAAGAATAAAAAACTGATGTGCAGTTTAAAATGGTTTTTCTTTAGGTAAATACTTTGGGTGCCCTTTATTGTCTCTGTTCTTGTATAAATTTGAAATAGAACCAGTAACTTTTGTAACTTCAGAAAAATACTGATTATACATGAGGAGAAAGAGTTTTCAATGGAAATTTAGTGTGCATTGCAGAGAAGACATCACTTTGTTGTTTTTAAATGTTTTAATGTTTGCAGTTGGGGTGTGAATTAATTGCTTTGTGATTTATTTTATATAAGGCAATTCCTGTGGGAATTGGAGGCTTTTTGTTTCTAATACTGGCTCCAGGGGAGTTTCCTACCTGATAGACATTTGGAGCATAACTAGTTTATACTTTTGTATTGAGGGCTTCTTTCTATGAAAGACACACAAAGGCACAGCCTTCCTATTTAGTGTTTCTGATCAGTATTTAACTGCAGGAGTGTGCTCTTCTTATTATGCATGTTGAGGCTCCTTCTCTGGCACCTAGCCTCTATTTCTGCTTGTTCTGGTAGTTAACTATTTTATAGCATTGAGTTTCCAGGTGCTACTGTATCTGCCACTTTTAGTCCCTTCCATATATCTCTAATTGTCTTACATCTTTACTATTTTAGTTCTTTCCCCGTTGTACCAGATAACAATGGAGTTAAGTGGGCTTATACTAGCCTTTGAATCAGTAGCCATTTAATTCAGGCTGGAAGTGTTTTTTCTACAAAGGAAACCTAAACATAATTTAAATATTTTAGAGAAATTGTCCAGAACAAATACTAAACACCTTGTGATGGAAGTATTTCTGATATGTGTGTGTATATATATATAAATAAATGTTATATTTATATATATAAAGTATATAAACATACAACGTATGTATTTATATAAACATATTTCATATATATACTGATATGTATGTAATATTTTTTTCTACACTAGTAGCAAAAAGATAAAATCTTTATTAAGAAGATTTGTAGTTGAGTGAAAGTCTTGTGAAATCATTTATTATTTATGATTTTTAAAATAGCAAATAAGTTTATGGGGCTATTAGGACATAGAATAGCCTTGATAGAAAAAGGAGACTTTGTTTATGAGGTCAAATTCTCTTACAGTACAATGAAATTCAAGAAACTATGTAAATTCTTCTTTGCCTGAAATAGATCACTGTGAGAGACTTACAGTTTGTTTGTTTTTTGGGTTAGGTAGATAGTTTTCTTATAAAGATATTTGTGTTTTTTTGGTTGTTTTTTTCTACTGTTATTTTAATGTAGTGAGCTCATTTCTTTAAGGTGTGTTTCATTTTTTCTCATTATTTATATGATGTTTTATATTTTCAAACAATTCTGCAAAAGCACCAAATGTTTCAAACCTAGTCTTTCAAATGAAGTAAAAAAAATTTTTAAATTAGTGTTTATTTTGCAGTTGAAGGAAAGCTTCAGAAAATAGTTGCTTGTGGTTCCTGAATTTATCTTAATTTATTGGTAAAATAAGTTTTTACTTCCTTGACCAACAGTTGTTTACTTAACGTAATTGATTCTTTCATCAAATATTTTTGAAAAAGAACATTGAGTGAGATTGAAGGTATTGTTACTGATTTCAAGTCATGGTTAATTCTTGAGATCTGTCCGTGTCTCATAATGTTTTTAGTTATGATGGCTGGTTCAAATCTGTGCTTAAGCTCTAGGGAGGAAGCAGAACAAAGCAAAATGATTTATAACTTGACGTATACCACACTCCTCACAAGTCGAGGACAGTGAAAGGATTCATAAGAAATTTGAAAATACACAGATTGAATATCTCTAATCTGAAAATTTGAAATCCAAAATGCTCCAAAATTTGAAACATTCTGAGCGCCAACAAGACCCTCAAAGGAAATGCTTGTTGGGGCATTTCAGATTTTGGATGTTTGGATTAGGGTTGCCCAACAAGAAAGGAAAATGCAAATATTCCAACATTCCCCCCAAAATCTGAAATCCAGTCACTTCTGGTTCTCAGCATTTTGGGTAAGGGTTATTCAATCTGTACCTTAGTTACTCTCTATTCTTTTTCATTTGCATACCTCAAGACTGCTGATGAGTTTGAGTTTGAAGAAATTATTAATGAAATAATTGGGACAGCTTTTTCAGACAAGTCAATCTATTCTTTAGAAACTTCGCTATTTAGTCTACTGTACAACTCAGAAATTATCGTAAGACAAAATCAAGCATTAGTATCAAAGAGATTTTGGGTTTTGTTATAGTATTGCTATTAACTTGTAAGTTGTGTAGCAGTCTTTTTTTGGCTTTTACTTTTCTCCTTTAAATAAGGGAATTAGGCTTGACCACAGATGATCGTTGAGACTTCTTTTGGCTCTAAAGTTTTCTGAATTCTGTGGTTAGAAGTGGGGACTGTCTGTGGGCAGAAATCCTTGGTCTCAGGTCTGGCTTTCAAAAGAAAAGTTGAATTTAAGAGAAAGGTTGTTAAGTTGAAAGACTATGATAGATAGTAAAGGAAGATTTATTTCTTGGAGTCTTGAGAAGAGAAGATTCAATAAGAGTAAATGCAGGTAGTGTTTTGTCATCAAAGCCCCAGTGTATGACCCTGAGACATTATGCTATATAGGAATAAAGATTATTTCTCAATAGGCGAAATTATGAAAATGCAAAACTCTTCAGCTACTCATTTATATATCAATATTTTGGGTCAAATGCTTTTATGATTTATTCTTAGTAGGTTAATTTTCAGACATTATAGTTTCAAGTTTGGGCATTATCTTGTTATTCCTTAAATACAGACTGTAAAAATTATGTATTCCCTGTTTAAAAAAAAATAGATATGTGATGTATAGTCATGGTGACAGGTACATGATCTATAGTGAACTGGGATATATGCAGTTTTTTTGAATAACATTTCTAAGGCTAGGAATTATTTAATGATAGTTCCTAATAGTAAACACCCGT
This sequence comes from Homo sapiens, assembly GCF_000001405.40. Taxonomy (NCBI): domain Eukaryota; kingdom Metazoa; phylum Chordata; class Mammalia; order Primates; family Hominidae; genus Homo; species Homo sapiens. Next base: position 74,830,550 of record NC_000005.10, on the reverse strand, counting down.
TGCATTGTATTTCTCATAATCTCCTGTGTCTATTGGCACCTTCCCCACAATCCACTGGGATAGTTAGTATTTTTTTCTGTAGTTGTCATTATTGCTTAGTGGGATTAGAGCACATCTTCACAGGATCCATAGTTAACAGTCCCTCTACTTATCAAGTTTGGTTTTCATTATCCTTGTCAGTTTTTTAGGCTTGTAGCAACAGATCATGACTAGTAATAAAAGGTATTTATTGAGCACATCATGTTCGACATTGAAGAGTTATAGTTTACTTCTTTCTTTTCCTATATTATAGGTAGTTTTATAGTAATCTGTAATCTTAAGTCAAGTTGCAAGTTCCCCATCATCAAGGGCTTCTCTTTCCTCTCTTTTTATGTTGTTGTGTGAGGGGGATTCTTATCTAGGTAAATGGAATTATTTAATTTTTCTAATATTGTGCTGTTTACTTTTTCCTAATGACCATTAGATTAACAAAGTTGATACAGTAATTACTTTTGGTAGAACATTCAAAATGCTACCACCTTAGGGAATAAATCATTAAGTGATCTGTATTTTATTCCCCATATTTCTTTTTTTTTGAGATGGAGTCTCACTCTGTCACCAGGCTGGCTGGAGTACAGTGGCACGACCTCGGCTAACTTCAACCTCTGCCTCCTGGGTTCAAGCGATTCTCTTGCCTCAGCCTTCTGAGTAGCTGGGGTTACAGGCACGTGCCATTACGCCCGGCTAATTTTGTATTTTTCATAGAGATGGGGTTTCACCATGTTGGTCAAGCTGGTCTCGATCTCCTGACCTCAGATGATCCACCTGTCTTGGGCTCCCAAAGTGCTGGGATTATAGGCGTGAGTCACCACGCCTGTCGGGCTTCTTGTAAAGGGTCGTTTAATTATTTTTTTGAGCTAGGGTCTTGCTCTGTTGCCCAGGCTGGAGTGCAGTTGCGCAATCATGGCTCACTACAACCTCAACCTCCTAGGCTCAATTGATCCACCTGCCTCAGCCTCTCAAGTATTTTAGTTTTCTATTTAAGGAAGGAAATCTTGCTATTACTTTTCTTTGTACCTGTGTTTATATAACTTAATTCATAAAACACGGGCTTAGCAACAAATAGAGATTAGATCTGTGTCATAGGAAAATGACAAATTATTGCCTATCTTGGACCTGCGTGGTGACTTGCATTCACAAGAAACCATAGATGCTAAATCCACAAATACCTTTATCTTATGGCATGGCACTAAAGACTTAAAGGAAAGCACTTGATGAAAGATAATAGAAAATGTTCATGGTTGCAAAATCAGATATTTTATAGTCGTTCCGTTTGAGTACTTCATGTGTAACAAAAACTTACCTGCAAAAATAGTTTATAAAAGGATGAAAACTGCAGAGAAAGCCTTTTTATGACACAGAAGGGAGCGTAAAAGAAGAAAAAATTGTTCTATACTGAGTTTTACAATAATTGCTATACTAAGTTATGTAATATTTTTAGTTTATTCAGGACACCGTTCAAAATTCATTGACCTCAGGCGTAGAACTTTGTATTCAAAGTCTGTATAAGTCATACATGTACTCTTGCAAACTTTTCTCAGAATTTTGTAGTGAAAATTTGGATGGCATGTTGAGGAGTTTATATTGCTAGTGGTAGGCAGGGTGTGGCTATAGTGCTAATGCTTTGGTTAAAGAGGGTGGGTTGAACACGTGCCTCAGCCTCTACTCTCTCTTGCAAACACCACCAGAATGACACCAAAGACATTTTTAAACAGCATAAATCCCACATGACGAAGTGAGTAAGAGGAGAGTGTAACAGCAACAAAACTTTATAATCTGGGAAAAGGGTAGATTATGTAGTAACTGAATCCTAAGATGCCATTGCCCAAGGCAGGAAGCACCACATTTATATTTTAGAACCTTTAAAAAGTTCAGTCATTATAACACTAGCTACTTCTGGGAGGTGGAGCCTTAGAAAAGGATTGGCTGAAAGTTCCTTCCCTAATGCAGCACAGCTGGACAGTTACCCCAGCCTTGCTCTGGGAAAAGACCTGCTCCTGGGGGCACATGGAGACTTTCAGGTATGGTGGCAACATTTGTGTTAGGGAATAAATTATCTTCCTTCTCCCATTTTACAAAATGAAGGTATATCTTTCATCTAACCTTTATCTTGCTAATCTGGAGTTGTAAAAAGGTCTGGAAGTCCCACTTTAAAAAAAGAAAAAAGAAGGCAGGGAGAGGCCTCTAAATAGTTTTGTAGTAGTGTAAAAGTGACTGGATATAATTAGATGATATTCTTTTGTAAGTCAGGTGGTTTCTATTTGTTTTCAACAAAAATGAAAGAGGATTTGAGTTGTGTTTAATAATGCCAGATTATTAAAGATAATTTTTTATAATAGATCACTGTGTGATATGTGGCACATAACTAAGGACACTTACATTGCTATAACGAAGGGTTTTCTGGTTCCTTCTTATTTGAACAAGGTTCTTAAGCACTTATATCTATAAAAATAAAAAATAGGAATAGGATTAATGCTGAACTTTGTCTCATTCTGGTAGTAAGTAATTCATGAACTCATAAACTAATTAAAAAATGATACACTCCAGGCCAGGCATGGTGGCTCCCTTCTGTAATTCCAGCACTTTGGGAGGCCAAGGTGGGCAGATCACCCGAGGTCAGGAGTTCAAGATGAGCCTAGACGACATGGTGAAACTCCGTCTGTACAAAAAAAAATACAAAAATTAGCCGGGCATGATGGCGGGTTCCTGTAATTCCAGCTACTCAGGAGGCTGAGGTGGGAGAATCGCTTTAACCCGGGAGGTGGAGGTTGCAGTGAACCGAGATTGCACCATTGCACTCCAGCCTGGGTGACAGACACTCCATCTCAAAAAAAAAAAAAAAGATAAGCTCCATCTATTTCATTAACAGTTGTATTTAAAATAATATTTGGTTTTATTTTGCTTAGTAATTAGTTTTCCCGATATATGTGTTTTGATTTGTTGTATACTAATATAATAATTATAATAATTCCAAATTTCTTTTGGATCAATACTTAGAACATTAGGATCACAAGATATTTTTAGAATTTATATACAAATATATTCTTGTAGAGAAAAATGATTGGATAATCAGTAAACTTCCATGCATAAAAATATTACATCAGGATAACATTCTGTGGAATAAATATCATAGAAATATTAGTGCAAGGAGAAGAAGGAGCAGTGTAAAACTGTTAAGGAATAGTTTGTTCAATGGATGGTAACAGTTACCAGATTGATTATAGTTTCTAGAGTCCATTTGATACATATAAAAGAAGGGTGTAATAGTTTTGTTTTTCTTTAAGTCAATGTTATTTATTAACTGCAAAGGGAAAAATGGTAAATTTACACAGAGAAACCTGGCAGGTACCATGTTAACCAACAGATTATGGTTAACATCACTAGTAATAAGACATATCAACATCATGTATCCCATGATATATGATGTACTGAGAAGGGCACAGTATCATTCTGTAGCATTTTTGCCCAAAATTTATGATCTCAGTTCATTCATGAGAAACCATTAGACAAAGCCAAATTAGGAGAGTTATTCTATAAAGTAACTGACAATCAGCCATAGTGTCAAGGTTATGAGTGACAAGGGGAGATGGAGGAATTATCGAAGACCAGAGTTTAGGGATATATTAAACTAAATGCAGGAAGGAATTCTGGATTGGATTCTGAAACAGAAAAGAACATTAGTGGAATAATGTGTGAAATTTGAATAAAGTCTGTAGTTTAGCTAACAGTATTATAGCAATGTTAATTTCCTGGTTTTGATAATAGTATTTTGGCTATATAGGATGTTAACATTAGGGTGAAGGGTATATGGGAGCTCTTTGTAATGTTTTTGTGACTTTTCTATAAGTCTACAATTGTTTTTAAAATAGTTTTTTAAAAGTCAACAATATGTCAGAAATAACATCTTCTGTAATTATTGATTGAAACTTAGATGAAAATTTTTAGATATCACAAGGATGTGTGAATATATGGTATTTCAAAATTATTTTATGGCTACATGAGCAAAAACGTCTCCTTTGAGGAGTTTGACTAGGCCAAAAGAAAAAAGAAACTAAAAATACCAATATAAATGGTTCCCCTAGGAAAGGCTCCAGCCATATCATCCTGCTGTGAGGTCCATTGCCAGCAAGCCCCACCATACACACAGAGCTTCTAATTAGCTTTTTAATATCTCATTCTTAATTATGAACAGATAGTCATAGGTAAGGAAGGCCACTGATGTGAAAAATGGTGATTAAAGCAAAAGAGAGTAAAAGAGATTTGGAGGAGAAGACAATGCAAAAAATGTGGCCCTTAAAATTTTTGGAAAAGTTAGTCATTGCATTTATGAAATAAGAACAAGAATGTTCACAGAGCTCTTAGAAACTAAAACAAATCCAATAGAGTTGGAGGAGGTTGATCAGAAAGGAGTGCAGAAACAACAAAAAACAAACCTAAATGATGGTAAATAGGAAGAGATGATAAAATTAGAGGGATTATTTAAATAATACATGTTTCAGGAGGAGAGAACAAATTGGAGGAGAAAAAATCACCAATAAAATAATTCACTAACATTTCTCAGAACTGTAGAACACACATTTCCAGATTAAAAGGGCCCATTGAGCATCCATCACAATGAATTAAGATACACTCATACCAAGATTATTGTGAAATTTCAGAGCATCTGGAATAGAGAAAAGATTTTGAAAGCCTCCATAAAGTGAGAGAATGATTTAGACAAAAGATCAAGAATCAAAACGTTACTAGAGTTCTCAACAGCAACATGAATACTAGAAGTGGAATAATGCCTTTAAGATACCAAGGGTAAAGTGATTTCCAGTGTGTTCTGTGCCCCGTCAAATTAATAAAGAGTGAGAGTGAAAGAAGGAAATTTCTAGACTGTCAGTCTTAAAACAATTTACCTTTTATATACCCCTTTTCTGGAAGTGAGTAGAGTTTGTGCTCTCCTAAGATAAAGAAAATCAAGAAGGAAAGATGGGATTAGGAAACTAAGAGAGAAAAGAAAGGAGATCCAACATCACAGCTATGTCAGTTGTGGAGCTGCTCTTTGTTAAAACCACTAGCTTTATGTGGCTGTTGAAGTTAAATTTTAAAATTCAGTTTCTCAGTCATGCTGGCCACATTTTAAGAGCTCAATGGCCACATGTGACTAGTGGCTACTGCATTGGACAGAGTAGATACAGAACTTTTCCATCATTGCAGAATGATCTTTTGGACATTTCTTTTTCTAAAGATTGACTGATCTAGATTGGAGCAGATCACAAAGCTCTGGGACGTTGATTTAAGAAGATAGAGTTCATAGAATACCTGATGTATTTGAATTTATTGGGATAAGATTTACATAGTTACTGGAGACTTTGGAGGATGAGAGAGATAGTAATAAATATTATTAAGGGAAATCAAAAAGTGTAAGAATAAAGATAAAAATAAACATTCATGGTACACTATATGGCTCAGTTGTCAAAAGCATTTATATAGTCATAATGTAAATACTGAAAATTGATCTAACAAATCACAAATTACTATTTAGGGGTGTTGGGGTTTTTTGTATGGGAAGTGTGTTTATGTTGGAGTTGAGATTGGGGTGTGTGAATGTATTTAAGAGCTAAATTCTCACCTTCCAAGTTCTAGCTATCTATGCCTAAAATGGAAAAATGAAGAAATAGAAATCAAGAGGTATAGTAAGTTACTTAGAGAAGTAGAAGTAAATACCGAAAATATCAGCTAAATGACTTCAAAATGGTTGCTTTTGGGGTGTAGAAAGTGTGTTTGTGTGTGTGTATGTGTGTGTGTGTGTGTGTGTATGTGTGTGTATCAGGAAAGTGGTCACAGAGCTGCTTTTTTTTTTTCTTAAGTCTTATATGACTATTGTATTCTAAACAATGTTATGGATGACTTTGATTAAAAACAAGAAGTATACATTTAAAAAAATGAGGCCATGTCCAAAGTGTAATCACTATCTACCACAAAACTAGCTGAACTTTATAAATCCTTCTCAGCCTGGAATGATAAGGACTATCTGTTAAAGGGCTGTGCTAATTAGAAGATTAATGAAAAAGTCTCATACAGTTACTAAAATAATACAAAACAAATCACTGGTTAATTCAGTGGAAGTTTTGTGACTTTTGGCCTATATCAAGAAGTATATAAAGATGCAAATTTGTGTAAATAGCATACCGTATTTTAGTGTAGATAAGCTCAGAGAACACAATTGAGGTCACTATCATTAGTCGCTATTTTTGAAGTACTCATTGTTATTTGGCTTCAACTGTCAATTGCCTTGATCCAATTTGAAGACTTAATATTTTGGGGAAGAACAATCTAGTCAACAACTACTATAAGTCAGTTTAGCCCACTACTGAAGGGATTTGTGACCAATACCAGGAAGTGTATTTCTGGTTTTTGTAATCTTCATTTGAGGTGATTTGTAATGGAAGCATTTTTTCTTGTCCACATTTACTCGTCAGCTTTCCTTGTGGCTTCCAGACCTTTTACTAGGGGCTATATCCATGATCTTCCCTACTTTTTTGGACAGATTACTCACTTCCTGTTCACTAAAATTCAGATTTCTGGGCCTTTTAAGGTTATTTTAAGGAATAACAAACATTGTGATGTAAAATTATAAGGATTGATAGTATAGCTAAAAGTGAAACCCAGCTGAATTTTTTGTTGGGAGAGTGTGATTATATTTTAAGGACTTGAGTCTGTCTAGGTGTGATTCTTGTCTTTGGGAAATGTGCAAAGGCATGTGAGAGTCCCGTACTACTCTGTGGCTACCTGAAATGTATCATTGGGAAACGAGATGGCTGCTTTGTTGAGGTGAAGTTCTAGCTATCTGAAAAACCACTTGCTTGCCAATAAGGGTTCTGTTTATTCGAGAGATAGAGTTGACTTTAGTGGAAACACAAAGATGATTTGTCATGGGTTCAGTTCTCAAAGCACCAAAAATCTAGTGGATGAGACAGTAAAACCCACAACATCATAGTCGATAAGCTGTATTATTAGATAATCAAAATTCAGTTTTGTAAGTAATACATTTGAGGTATCAACAATGGCAGTCTTTGAAAGCAAGTAGTTAACTTTGCCTGGAGGGAGGTGTGACTGGGAAAGTGATATTTAAAAGTAGTTTTGAAGGGTAAGTAGTTTGTCAGTAAGAGAAGGGGGAAGGGAAAGAACATTCTTGGTAAACATGAATGGAATATAAATATATGCAGAAGGCAGAGAGTCATGAAAGTTTAGGGCATATTTGGAACTACATCCTGAATAAGGTGGTGGGACTAACAAGTAGGAGAAGTGAAGATGGAGGTCCCATTGCAAAGGATCTTAATTGTCCTACAAAGAAGTGTGGCATTTTATTGGCCAGGAAGCTATCAAATAATTTTATGTAGAAGTAACATGATTAAATATTTTAGGGACATACTGTTTGGAGCACTTGGAAAATTGTATTTTAAAGTCAGGGAAGTCAATTAAAAGAGCTGTTTTAGTAGTTCAGGTGAATGAAGGACCAGAACTAGGAAAGCACCAGTAGGAGTGGAGAAGGGAACATCTGAGGGAGAGTTTCAGGTGGACAGAGTGTGGTAACTCCATAGTGTGTAGGCGGGGAGTGGAGGAACTAGTGATGAATCTGAATGGCTTTGGCTTGGGTGCTTAGGTATTGGTGGGAGGCTGTTAATTAAGATTGGGAATAGAAGAAGAGGAGTAGTTTGATAATACTTTAGTTCAATTTTGACATGGGCATATGTGTCCCTAAGGCATATGTAAGTAGACATAACATAGAAATGTAAGTTGGAGCACATGGAAGAGGTATGGATATTTATGTGGGCCCCAGAATACTTAAAGTAATTTTACAGCGTGGATGAGATCAGTCAAAACTGTTGTATAAAGTGAGTGTATTTGTGAATATTGGTATGAGGAAATGACACTGAAAACAGCCTAAAGTAACCAAACATTACTGGAGGGAGTATTCTGGCAAAAGGTAGTGTCTCCTGAGATGTGACCACTGATGACCTGAGAGTTAACAAGGAAATGTTGATCTGCTGAGAGATAAGAGGAAAGTTAGCTGAGGCTGCTAGCTGTCCATAAAATATTTGTGGTTCATTTTCTATATTCTAGTCATTGGCCAGAGCTGCCCAGTCAGGGATTCTATTTTCCAGTCACTGTTACAACTACATGGGGCTGTGTGACTAGTTCTTTACAAAATAATGAAAAAGATGATGCCTGTGACTTTGCGTCAAAGTGGTTAAGATGCATTCCTTTTCCTCATCTATACAGAGGACTTTGAAGATGTAAGGGATGAGGAAGCCACAGGATAAAAGGAACTTGGTGGCCCTGGTGGACCACACTTCCCAGTATTTACATCCTTGTGTAGCCTGTTTGAATCTGGGCTGGCCCTATAACTTGCTTTAACCAGGAGAATGCATAACACTGTGCTCAGCCTTAAGAAGGCTGGCAGGTTCCACTTTGGCACTCTTAGAAGCTAGTCACCATGTAAGAAATACAACGACCTGGAGACTACTCTGAGGTGAAGAGACCCCAGCAGCTCCATTGAAGAGAACTGAGGCTCTGGCTGACAAGACCAGCTGTTTCTTCCACCTGCAGCCACTACAGACTGTCCCACTGTAGGAGTGAGGCCATTGGATCTTCTGCCATCCCAGTGCCCTAGCTGATGCCCTATGAGAGTTGTGATAAATAGGAAATAAATTTTAGTTCTAAGCCAATATGTTTTGGGCTGGTTTTTAGGCAGCAGTAGGTAACTGAAACAGTTCCTTCATGATTGTGAGGAGGAAACCATCCACTTCCCAGGAACGTGTAACTGTTAATTTGAACAAAAAAGGAACTTTTATTATGTTAAACATTCCAGGTTTGGTTTGTTACGGCAGCTAGCATTGCCTTAACTAATTTATAGAGCATGAAGACTGTAATGAGAATACCTAGTGGTATATGACAGGTTCGCTCATCTGAGGATAATCTGAATTTCTGAATAATCTGAATCTGATAATCTGAATCTGAAATTCACTTTATGTATGTCTTCAATGGAGACAGTCACACACTGATGGCTTCATGAGGTGTTAAGTTTTAAGGGGAGAGAAGGCATATTCCTGGGTGGACAAAGAATGAATGGTGATTCTATGAGAAGAAGCAGCTGCTCAGTTGTGGCAGAATATCTGTTCTTGAATTCAATACATAGACCTGAATGGTGTCGCTGAAATTTATTCATTTATTAAAAAGTTGATCTTAAGTGCATATAGATAGGGAAAGGGAGGCGGGGGAAGTGTGAGAAAGAGCAAGAGGAAGAAATTGAGAGATAGTCATAGATATTTTATAAGCTCTGTCCTCTTAGAACTTAGATTTTAGAAGGAGACATAGCAATGAATGGACAAGTAGATGATATGCTGTCAGATGATGTGAAGACAACCAAAGTAAATTAAAAGAATAGAACGTGTGGGACAGCAGGTACTATTTTAAACGGAATAGTTAGGGGAAGTCTCTCTGAATGAAGTGATGGAATAGTGAGATCAGGAGAAGAAATTTTCAGGCAAAGAGCTGAAAATGCAGAAGCCCTGAGGCAGAAACAAGTTTGGGATACTTCAGAAATAGTAAGAGCAGTGTGGCCAGAGTATAGTGATTGATATGGATTAGGAGAGAGGCAGGGACTGTATCCTGAAAGGTTTTTTAGGCCAAAGAAAGAATTTGAATTTTTTTCTGCAGGTGATGGGAAACTATTGAAGGGTTTTGGGTATAGGAGTAACATCTGGTTTGTCTTTTAAAAAGGCAAATCTGGCTGCTCTGTGGGAAACTGGGTGCAGGGGTTCTGGGTGCTGCAGAGATGGCAGGGTTGAGTTCAGCTAGCTAAGAGGCTGTTGTAGAAGCCCTGGTGAGAGGTGACAGTAGCTTAGACAAGGGAGATGGGGTAGAGGTGGTAAGAAGTGATCATGTTTGAGATTAGTTATGAAGTGATTCCTGCAGGATTTCTGATGGATTGTACGTGGGCTGTGAAGGAAGAGTCAAACATGAGTTCCTAGAGTGGGCGAGTAGGGGCGAGGTTTACTAAAAAATTGGTAAACTAGGTAGAGTAGGTTTTGGGGCTGTCTGCAAAATCTGGTTATAAATGGTTTATTGGAGTCACTTGTAAGTTGATATTTTGTTTTTACATTTTTAACAACTACCTGAGATATTCATATACCATACAATTCACCCATTTAAAATATACAATTCAGGCTGGGTGCGGTGGCTAATGCCTGTAATCCCAACACTTTGGGAGGCTGAGGTGGGTGGATCACCTGAGGTTAGGAGTTTGAGGCCAGCCTGGCCAACACAGTGAAACCCCATCTCTACTAAAAATACAAAAAATTAACTGTGTGTGGTGCTGCATACCTGTAATCCCAGCTACTAGGGAGGCTGAGGCATGAGAATTGCTTGAACCCAGGAGGTGGAGGTTGCATTGAGCCAAGACGGCCCAGTGCACTCCAGCCTGGGCAACAGAATGAGACTCTGCCTCAAAAAAAAAAAAAAAAAAAAGGATACAATTCAGTTTTTAAAAATACATTCACAGAATTATGAAACCATTACCACAGCTAATTTTAGATAATTTTCATCCCTCCGCTAAAGAAACTCTGTTCATTAGCAGTCTCTCCCCATTTCCTCCTCACTCCTAGGCCCCAGCCCTCAACAACCACTAATCTATTTTATATGAATAATATGTGACTTTTTGTGTCTGGCGTCTTTTGTTTAGCATAACATTTTTAAGTTTTATTCATATGGTAGCATGTATCAGCACCTTATTCCTTTTTATGACCAAATAGTATTACCTTGTATAGATACACCAGTTTTGTTATCAGTTGATAAATAACAGTTTGGGGTTGTTTCTGTTTTTTGTCATTGTTGCTATTTTGAACAATGCTGATATGAACAATTGTATACAAGTTGTTGTTTGGACATGTCTTCAAGTCTCCTGGAGTGTGTATGTAGTTGTGGAATTGCTGGGTCATATGGTAACTCCGTTTCGCCTTTTGAGAAACTGCCAAACTGTCTTCCATAGAGACTGTACCATGTTACATTCCCACCAGCAATGTGTGAGGGTTGCAGTTTCTCCACATCTTAGCCAACACTTGCTATTTGTCCTGTTGATTATAGTTCACCTAGCAGATACGAAGTAGCCGTGCCATTGTAATTTTGATTTGCATTTTCCTGGTGGCTAAGAATGTTGAGCATCTTTTTGCGTGCTTATTGGCCATTTGTGTATCTTCTTTGAATAGAAATATTTCAAATAATTTGCCTTTTTTTTTTTTTTCTTTGAGACGAGTTTTGCTCTGTCACCCAGGCTGGAGTGCAGTGGTGCAATCTCAGCTCGCTGCAACCTCTGCCTCCTGGGTTCAAGTGATTCTCCTGCCTCAGCCTCTTGAGTAGCTGGGGTTATAGGTGTGTGCCACCACGCCCAGCTAATTTTTGTATTTTTAGTGGAGACGGGTTTTGCCATGTTGGCCACGCCGGTCTTGAACTCCTGACCACAGGTGATCCGCCCACCTTGGCCTCCCAAAGTGTTGAGGTTACAGGCGTGAGCCTCCGCGCCTAGCCATCGTTTGTCATTTTTAATTGGGTTGTTTTAAAAACATTTTTCCCAGCCTTATTGTGATATAACTGACATACGAAAACCTGCCCATATTTAAAGTTGAAAATTGTGCTTTGACATATATATATATATATATATAGAGAGAGAGAGAGAGAGAGAGAGAGAGAGAGAGCTGTGAAACCGTCACCACAATCAAGATAATAAACGTATCTGTAATCTTGTCTTTGCCCTTTTGTAATCTATTCCTCTCTCCCATTTGTTCCCGAGGAAACACTTTGCTGCCTATTAGTGTAGATGAGTTTGCTTTTTCTAGGATTTTATATAAATAAGGACATACAGTATATACTCTTTTTGGCAGTTGGGTGGGGGGGGCGGGGTCTGGGTTCTTTCAGCACATTTTGAGATTCATCCGGTTATAATTCATAGACCATAGACTTAACTTTTTTATGGTGTAGAATTCAGTAACTTTTAGTATATTCATATATTTATACAGCTATCACCACTATCTAATTCCTGAACATTTTCATCACCTCAGAAAGAATCCCTGTACTAATTGGCAATCACTTCCCATTTCCTTTACCCCACAGTCCCTTGAAACCACTAATCTAGTTTCAGGCTGGGTTGTCTTTTTTTTCTTTTTGAGTTGTAAGAGCCCTTCATATGTGTTAGATACAAGACCCTTGTCAGATACATACTTTGGAAATGTTTTCTCCCATTCTGTGAGTTGTCTTACTTTCTCGATGATGTTCTTTGAAGCCCAGAAGTTTTTAATTTTGATGAGGTCTAATTTATCTACTTTTTCTTTTGTCACTTGTGCTTTTGGTGTTATATCTAAGAAGGCTCTGCCTAACCCAAGGTGACAAAGGCTTGCACCTATGTTTTCTTTTAAGAATTTGAGTAGTTTTAGATCTTATGTTTAGGTTTAGAATCCATTTGCAGTTAAAATTTGTATATGATTCTAGGAAGGTACCTGACATCATTATTTTGCATTTGGATATCTAGTTGTACTAGCAGCATTCGTTAAATATATAATTTTCCTCCATAGAATTGTCTTGGCACCCTGTTGAAAATCAATTGACCATAAATACGAAAGTTTATTTCTGGACCCTCAGTTCTATTTCTTCGATCTGTGTATGTGTTCCCATGCCAGTAACATACTGTCCTGATTACTCTAGCTTTGTAGTAAGTTGAAATTTGGAAGTGTGAATCAGTCTTGACAAGTTCTTTGTCAAGATTATTTTGGCTATTTGGGCTCCTTATTTTCCTGTGTGTTTGGGATGAACTTGACAATTTTTTGCAAAACAATTCGCTAGGATTTTGAGTCTTTAGGTTGTATTGGGAAATATGGACATCTTAGCATATTAAGTTTTTAGATCCATGAACATGAGATGTCTTTCCATTTTTTTTAGGTGTTCTCTAATTTCTTTTAACAATGTTTGTAATCTCTATTGTACAAGTTTTGTATGTCTGTTGTTAAATTTATTTTTTTTGATGCTATTATGAATGGTTTTCTTAATTCCATTTTTTGGATTGTTCATTGCTAATGTGTGGAAATACAAATGATTTTTATATATTGATCTTGTATCCTGCAACCTTGCTGAACTTAATAGTTTTAATAGTTTTGTTTTTTAAGTGGATTCCTTAGGATTTTCTATATGTAAGATCATGTTACCTGCAAATAGAGACTGTTTTGCATTTAGCTTCCTGATCTTGAATGCCTTTTCTTTCTTTTTCTTGCCTAATTATTCTAGCTAGATCCTCTAGTACAATGTCGAATGCAAGTGGTGAGAGTAAATATCCTTGTCTTTTTCCTGATCTTAGGAGGAAATATCCAGTGGTTCACCATTATCATGTTAATTGTGGTTTTTTTGTAGATGCCCTGTATTAGGTTGAGGAAGTTGAGTATTTTTATCATGAAAGGTTGGGTTTTGTCAAATGCTTTTTCTCCAGCTATTGAGATGATTAAGTAGATTTTGTTTTATTTACATTCAGATGAGCTCTTTCATTCTTGATTTTGAAGTCTCATGCTTTATAGAGGTTAAAGATAGACATTAGTAGTCATCAGCATTTGGATAAATGGCAGAAGTCTTGGGGGGTGAATAACAATACTCAGAGCACATAGAAAAATGTGGAATTTTGAGGAATATAAACAATCTGACATGTGCAATGCTAAATTAAATGTAATCTGAGCTAGTAAATTTAATGAAAACTTTACCTAAGACAGCAGGTTATAGTTTTTGCTTTACTAGGTAAATCCACAGCTTTTGGTGAATCTTAAAAGTCCCTGATAATATGGAAAGTTTTTCTGCTCTTTATTTGATTGCATTTGTATGAGTCAGACCCTGGAGAGCAGAAGTATTAATATGTAAAGTGTAGGTGAAGGAAGAGAACCAGTATGATTTTCTGATTTTCTGAAAGGAACATGTACATGGCAAGTAAAAAGTAGAAGAAATTTAAATGTTGTGAACACACTGCTTGTTCCATAAACTGGCCATTTTAACACTAGTCTGAGATACTGGAATTTCCCTTTACTAGAAGGAATGTTTCTGTGAAAATAGAAAAAAAAATCAATTTATGAGAAACTTTCTGCATTTCAGTAGTATTCTTTTGTAAGGAGCCTGAAGCATGTAGAGTAATGAACAACCATAGATCCTCAGACTTTGTATTGAGAACTAGAACTAGACAGTGCTTTCTCTTCTCATTCATTTTTGCTTTGTACTTCAAACTTGACTACCACTACTTATAATGTGTGTTAATTTCATGATCACTGCTATTGTTACTCTGAAAACCCTTCAATTTCAAGGCATTAAAAACATAGTGGTTGCGTTAGCTTGTTGATGAGACTGTTACCGGAAAGGGGTCCAAGAGAGGGTTTTTGGGTCTTGCACAAGAAAGAATTCAGGGCAAGTCCATAAAGTGAAAGCAAGTTTATTAGGAAAGTAAAGGAATAAAAGAATGGCTACTTCACAGAGCAGCCTCAAGGACTGCTGGTTGCCCATTTTTATGATTATTTCTTGATGATATGCTAAAGAAGGGGTGGATTATTCATGCCTCCCCTTTTCAGACCATATTGGGTAACTTCCTGATGTTGCCATGGCATTTGGAAACTGTCACGGTGCTAATGGGATTGTAGCAGTGAGGACAACCAGAGGTCACTCTCATTGCCATCTTGGTTTTGGTGGATTTTAGCCAGCTTCTTTACTGCAACCTGTTTTATCAGCAGGGTGTTTATGACCTGCATCTTGTGCCAACCTCCTGTCTCATCCTGTGACTTAGAATGCCTTAACTGTCTGGGAATGCAACCCAGTAGGTCTCAGCCTCATTTTACCCAGTTCCTATTTAAGATGGAGTTGTGCTAGTTCAAACGCCTCTGACAAGATTACTTGTTAGATTTGTACAAGAAATCTAGACCCTTAGAAATAGCCTAACTAAATGTCAGCAATTAAGATCTAAGTATATTGGCTGGGTGCAGTGGCTCACGCTAGCACTTTGGGAGGCTGAGGTGGGGCAGATCACCTGAGGTCAGGAGTTCAAGACCAGCCTAGTCAACATGGTGAAACCCCTGTCTCTACTAAAAATATAAAAATTAGCCAGGTGTGGTGGCGGGCGCCTGTAATCCCAGCTACTTGGGAGGCTGAGGCAGGAGAATTGCTTGAACTCAGGAGGTGGAAGTTGCAGTGAGCTGAAATCGTGCCATTGCCCTCCAGCCTCGGCAACAAGAGTGAAATTCCATCTCAAAAAAAAAAGAAAAAAGAAAAAAAATAAAAATATCTAAGTATATTACCATATGCATTACCTATTCTAAATTTAAATTAGTCGGTAGTCTCGGAGATTGTTCCAGAAAGTTATGTAAGTAATCCAATTCAGTCATAAATAGTTCATATTACTTGGTTGAACTGAAAAAAGTTGTTATATTGATCAGCTCATTAAATGATATGATTGGTAAGACAATTTGTGAGATGTTTGACATTTTGTTTCTTGTTTGAACTACATTATTGGAGTTATCCAAAATCATATGAATAATCTGAGAATAAAAGATTATTTTATTTGAGGCAAAAATAATAGAATAATGACTGATAACTATGAATTCTAAAATTAACAGGAAGTATGACACACCACCACGTTCCCTCAACTTGTAAACTACTTTGATATATTAAAGGAGTTAATACATCTATTGGAATGGTCAAAACCCAGATATAGAGCAGGGTTCTTAAAAGACAAATCAGCATAGCTGTATAATAAGGAGAGAGATATATAGAAACTACAAATTTTTTGTCCTGTTTAACTTTAAACATACAAAATGTATTTAGCATTGTATCTACAGGAAATTTTATCCATGTCTAAGACAGATGTTTCCAATTCGCCCCAATTTATAGTCCTTAAAAATTTGGAGAACTAATTCACTTCTTTACTATCATCAAGTAGATAAAAATGAAATGGTACTCGTTAGGAAAAATGTAGAGGGAAAATATGAATGTTTAAAAAAATACAGATCAGAGACATCCTCAAAGAAAAAAAAAGGATATTCAGGTACTAAGGTTGGAATGATAGTCTTCAAATACTCTTCAAATTTGAAATTTTAATAGTTGATGAGTTTTAGAGTTGCATGAGTCTATAGACAGTGATGGTATATATATAATACATATAGTGAAGTATATATTTTAGAATATGGTACTGAGCTATTTGTCCTATATTTGATGATACTACTAGCAAACATAAAATACATAGCTCCTTTCATTATCACATTATACATTATAATGTCTAATAGTAGCTGAAAAACACTTTATATTATAACATTTATATATTTAACGTTTTTTGATATAGAAGAAAACTTTTTTTAGAAAGACTGTTAACTCATGTCACTAAATGTATGTATATTTTTTAATGTGAGAAATTATTGGGTTTCTGTTCTTATTACTGCAGGAAGCATATGTGCCTCTTTTCTTACCCAAAGTTACCAATTGCCAGTTCTTGATACAATGTTTCTAAGAAAGAAATACAGAGGTAAAGATTTTGGGCTTCACATGCTGGAGGACTTTGTTGATTCCTTTACAGAAGATGCGCTTGGCTTGCGGTATCCACTGTCTTCTCTCATGTATACAGGTAAATGGACTAAGTTAAAAAATAATAAACTTGTCTTTGTGTCACTTCCGACTTGTTTCTTCAAAATACGGTAAATGTGTATATATCAGTATCACATAAATTTGGAACCTTAGGCTCTCTAGAACTTACTTTGGCAAATGTGCCCTTATGTATTTGTTTTCTCGGGGTTTGGCAGTCTTAAAAAACTATAAATGTAATTCATATACCATACAATTGCCGGGCACAGTGGCTCACACTTGTGATCCCAGCACTTTGGGAGGCTGAGGCAGGCGGATCACCTGAGGTCAGGAGTTCGAGACCAGCCTGGCCAACATGATGAAACTCTATCTTTACTAAAAATAAACAATTAACTGGGCGTGGTGGCACGTGCCTGTGATCCCAGCTACTCGGGAGGCTGAGGCAGGAGAATTGCTTGAATCCGGGAGGCAGAGGTTGCAGTGAGCCAAGATCATGCCACTGCATTCCAGCCTGGGTGACAGAGCAGGACTCCATCTAAAAAAAAAAAATCCCAAACCAAACAAAACAACATATGCCATAATATTTGCCCTGTTAAAAGTGTACAATTCAGTGGTTTTTAGTATATTCATAGTTGTTCAATCATAGCCAGCAGTTCCAGAGCATTCTTATCACTCCAAAAAGAAACCCTGTACCAATTCGCAGTCACCATCCATTTCCCCTTCATCCTGTAGCAACCACTAATCTGTTTTCTGTCTCTGTAGATTTACTCATTCTGGACATTTTTCATATAAATGGAATCATATAGCATGTGGCTTTTTGTGTCTGGCTTCTTTCACTTAGCATGTTTTTAAGGTTCATTCTTGTTGTACGTAAATTAGTACTTCATTTCTTTTTATGACTGAATAATATTCCATTGTATGGCTGTACCACAACTTGTTCTAAAGTGATTGCTGCATTTTACATTCCCATAAGCAATATTATATGAGGGTTACAATTTCTCCACATCTTCATCCTCACCAACATTTGTTATTATCTGTGTATTTTATTACAGCCCTCCACATCCTCACCAACATTTGTTATCTGTATATTTTATTACAGGCATCCTAGTGGATGTGCAGGGGCATCTCATAGTTTTGCTTTGCTTTGATGTTGAACATCTTTTCATGTGCTTAATGGTTATTTGTATATCTTCTTTGGAGAAATCTGTTCAGATCCTTTGACCATTTTGGGGGGGGGTTATTTGTTTATGGTAGCTTTTAAAATTAACAAAATAAATTTCAGACATACAAAAAGAAATAAAGAAGCTGGGAATGGTGGCATATGCCTGTTATCTCAGTTACTCCAAAGGCTGAGGTGGGAGGACTGCTTGAGTCCAGGAGTTTGAGACCAGTCTGGGCAACATAGTGAGACCTCACCTCAATTAAAAAAAAAAAAAAGTTTAAAAAGTAAGGCATTGGCTGGGTATGGTGGCTCACGCCTGTAATTCTAGCACTTTAGGAGCCCGAGGTGGGTGGATCGCTTGAGCTCAGGAATTCGAGACCAGCCTGGACAACATGGTAAAACCCCATCGCTACAAAAATTACAAAAAAAATTAGCTGGGTGTGGTGGCTTGTGCCTGTAGTCCCGGTTACTTGAGGGGCTGAAGTGGGAGAATTGCTTGAGCCCAGGAGGTCAAAGCTGCAGTGAGCCGAGATTGCACTACTGCACTTCAGCCTGGGTGACAAATTGAGAGCTTACCTCAAAAAAATAAAAAGAAATAAAAATAAGATATCAAATACTCATGTACTATGTCAGCATGTACCATCCATGAGAAATGGCTTGTTGCCAATATGGTCGAAGCCTTCTATGTACTTCTACCCAATTAGACTCACTCCCCTTCCCTGGGATGAGTACTGTACCTAACTTGGCTTTATTTTTCTCATACATTTCTTAGACTTGTAATACATACGTGTGTATTCTCAAACAATGTGTCAGGTTGCTTTATATATTTAAAAACTATAAATACATACTGTATGAATTCTACAGTTTGCTTTCTTTACTCATCTTTATATTTGTGAGATTCATCCATATGGATTCGTATAGTTCCATTTATCGTCAATGCCGTATTCCATTTTATGGACATATCACTTGGTGATTTAAAACCATTAGTGGGTTTGTTTTTGCATTTGTGTAAAGGTATACAACTACTCAATGAAGTAAGATTTAATTCTGGATAGTAATTAACCTAGAAACTCTTATAAAGTATAATTTACTGTTGATTTCAGTCTAACAGTTGACATTTATTTCCACTGAAAATATATTTTTATTCCAAATCTTCTGCACCTTCTTTAATACCAAAAGCAATCCAGAAAACAGGAACCAAGTACAGAATTAGATGCCCATCTTGAATCATATTTTCTCTCTAAATCCATACATGAGAGTGGGATGGGCATTGTGTGTCCTTGGATAGTCCTAAAATGCATTACCCCCTAATTACTGCTTTACTGAATTTGAGGAGAGATGCAAAGACATCCACTGCAGGCAGAATCCCTTAGCACTTACTCTCTTCTGTGATTCTAATGATAAATAAATTGAATACCAAATGATTTACAGATGATTATCAGCTAATTTCTATCTTCCTATAAAGCCTTAGCACTTTGGAAGGCCGAGGAGGGCAGATCACTTGAGGCCAAGAATGCAAGACTAGCCTGGCCAACATGGTGAAATTCCATCTCCATTAAAAATGTGAAAATTAGCTGGGCATGGTGGCACATGTCTGTAATCCCAGCTACTCAGAAGGCTGAGTCACCAGATTTTGCTTGAGCCTGGGAGGCAGAATTTGTGGTGAGCCAAAATTGTGCCACTGCACTTCAACCTGGGTGACAGAGCGAGACTCTGTCTGAAGGAAAAAAAAAAAAAAAAAAAAAATCCAGGCCTAGTGGTGTGCGCCTGTAGTCCCAGTTACTCGAGAGACTGAGGCAGGAGGATCACTTGAGTACAGGAGTTCAAGGCTGTAGTGAGCCACTGCACTCCAGACTCAGGGAAAGAGCCAGATCCTGTTTCAAAAAAAAAAAAAAAAAAAAGGGCAAATATCTATTAAGTTATAATTTACATACAATAACATGTACTTTTTTTTTTTTTTTTTTTTTTTGAGACGGAGTCTCACTGTGTCACCCAGGCTCTGGAGTGCAGTGGCACAAACTCGGCTCACTGCAAGCTCTGCCTCCCGGGTTCACACCATTCTCCTGCCTCAGCCTCCCGAGTAGCTGGGACTACAGGTGCCCGCCACCACGCCTGGCTAATTTTTTTGTATTTTTAGTAGAGACAGGGTTTCACTGTGTTAGCCAGGATGGTCTCGATCTCCCGACCTCGTGATCCACCCGCCTCGGACTCCCAAAGTGGTAGGATTACAGGCGTGAGCCACCGCGCCCAGCCTACATGTACCGTACATGTACCGTACACAAAAGTGTACATTTTTGCTGACTTCTGACAAACATATGGACCCTTGCTACTGTAGACGCAACCTAGATAGATAATAACTTTGTTTCCAAAAGTTCCCTTTGTGCACCAGTCCCCCGGCTTCCTTCCCTTCCAAACTCTCACTCCAGGCAAGCACTGATGTGCTTTCTGTCAGTACCACTTAGATTTTTCTAGAGTTTCATGAAAAATGGAAATATATGGTATCTCTACTTCTATGTCTGGCATCTTATTTTTGAGGCTCATTGATGTTGCATGTCTCAGTACTTCATTCCTTTTTAAATTTTTTATTATTTTGCTGAGTATTCCTCCCTTTGATTATACCACAATTTATTTGCCTGTTGATAGACATTTGGGTTTTTTCCTTTCTTGGCTATTATGAATAAAGCTGCATGAAAATGTCTTTGTATGATGGACGTTTGTTTTCATTTCTTTGTAGCGAATACCTAAGAGTGTCATTACTGGGTTTTATGATTGTGTTTAACTTTGAGAAGTTGCAAAACTATTTGCTAAGTAGTTATGTCATTTCGCATTCCCGTTAGTATAAATATGTGGAAGTTCTGGTTGCTCTGTGTACTCACCAACACTTGGTTTTTGTCAATCTCTTTAATTTTAATCATTCCTAGTAGTAAGTGGAAAGCACTCATTATGTGGTTTCAATTTATGTTTTCCTGAAGACTAAAGATTTTTGAGTATCTCTTCATGTAATTACTGGATAATCATCTACCCTAAAAAAGGGTAGAACAAGTAAAGTGTTTGTTCACATCTTTTGCTTATGTTGTATTGAATTGCTTGCCTTCTTATTGAGTTATGAGTTATGTTTTTTTTTTGAGACGTAGTCTCGCTCTGTCACCCAGGCTGGAGTGCAGTGGCACAATCTCGGCTCACTGCAAGCTCTGCCTCCCATGTTCACGCCATTCTCCTGTCTCAGCCTCCCAAGCTGTTTGGACTACAGGCGCCTGCCACCACACCTGGCTAATTTTTTGTATTTTTTTAGTAGAGATGGGGTTTCACTGTGTTAGCCAGGATGGTCTCGATCTCCTGACCTCGTGATCCGCCCACCTCGGCCTCCCAAAGTGCTGAGATTACAGGCGTGAGCCACCACACCTGGCCGAGTTATGAGTTCTTTATGTATCCTGGATATGAGTTGTTATATGTGTGTATTGTTAATTCTTTCTCATGGCCTTTTCATTTTCTTTAGTCCATGTGCATTTTTTGCAAGTAAGTTTTGAAATTATTTAGTTTACATCTCCCATCCTACTGTTTATTCTTTATTTGTCCCATTTGTTCTTTCTCCTTTTTTCTTTCCTTTTGGAAGTATTTATCAGTGTTCTATTTTATCTCAACAGTTGGTTTATTAGCCATGTCTTTTTGTTTTGTTTTGTGGCCTGTTGTGTTGGTTTTCTCCAGCTTCTTCCTTCCTTTTAGTTTTGGAAACTAAACCCAGAACATATGAGAAATATTTTCAAATATACAGGGAAAAAAATGATAGACTAGTGTCCTAATTTCTGTACCAAGTCTAGATTGAACAAATGTGAAGATTTTGCCATATTTGTTTTAGTTTAAGGGAGAACTAAATACAATATTTATTGATTGTAATAAAAGATACAATTGATGTTCTCTTTGAACCCTTCCCTAATACCACTCTGCTTTCTCCTTTCCTCCCCAGAGATAATTGCACTCCTGAAGTTAGTGTTTATTTTCCTACTTATGGTTTCATATTTATGTCTGTAAACATTATAAAATATTATTTAGTGTGCTTTCTTAGTTTTTAAACCATTTTTTGTTGTAAAAAATTATACATAATACCTTATTTGTAGGTGAACAGTTCAGTGGCTCTTATGCACAGTGTTTTGTACCCATCACCACTGTCTATATCCAAAGCTTTTCAATCATCTGCAACATCAACTTTCTCCCCATTAAACAATTAACTCCCCTTTTCCCCTACCCCCATCTTCTGGTAGGTAACCTGTTTTCTGCTTTCTGTCCCTATGAATTTGCCCATGCTAGCTACCTCATCTAAATGGAATCATACAATATTTATTTTTCTGTGTCTGGCTTACTTCACTAAACATAATGTCTTTGAGGTCCATCATGTTGTAGCATATACAGTATCAAAATTCCATTCCTTTTTATGGCTGGATAGTATTCTTTTGTTTGAATATACAGTATTTTGTTTTGCCATTCATCTATTGATGGACAGTTAGGTTGTTTCTACCTTTTGGCTATTGTGAATAATGCTTCAATGAATGTTGGTGTACAGATACCTGTTTGAGTCTCTGCTTTCATTTCTTTTGAATGTATACCTGAGGATGAAATTGGTGGGTCATACGGTAATTCTGTGTTTCATTTTTTGAGGAACTGTCAAACTGTTTTCCACTGTGGCTGTACCTCCTCCTCCTGGGTTCAAGTGATTCTCCTGCCTCAGCCTCCTGAGTAGCCACCATGGCCGGCTAATTTTCTGTATTTTTAGTAGAGATGGGGTTTCACCATGTTGATCAGGCTGGTCTTGAACTCCTAATCTCATGATCTGCCTACCTTGGCCTCCCAAAATGCTGGGATTACAGGCGTGAGCCGCTGTGCCTAGCCTTATTTAGTGTGTTTTTAAACTTTTTATACGTGGCATCATTTTGTTCATTTACTGGCCCACATTTTTACTGAGCATTTTTAAAAGAGTTATCAATGTTGATTTAGGTAGCCATAATTCATTTGTTTTAAATACTACACAGTATTTTTATTACATACATATTACAGTTTATTCATATATTTCCCTACTGTTGGGCACTTAGGTTGTGTCCGGTCATCCTAGTTTAAAAGTAGTCCTGTAATGAATGTTACAAATGTTTTTTGCATATGTACAAATGGCCCTTGACTTATGATGGTTTGGCTTTTGATTTTATGATGGTACAAAAGTGATACTCATTCAGTAGAAACAGTCATTTGAATTTTTATCTTTTCCTTTGCTAATGATATGTGGTATGATACTCTCTCATGAAGCTGGGCAGTGGCTGCCAATCACAGCTCCCAGTCAGCCAGGTGATCGCAAGGGCAACCAACCAATACTCTACAGAGTACTGTATTCAATAAAGTATGTGAAATATTCAACAGTTTATCATAAAATAGGCTTTGTGTTAGATGATTTTGCCCGGCTATAGGCTGAAGGCTGTGTTCTGAACTGTAAGTGTTCAGAACACATTTAAGGTAAGTGAGGCTAAGCTATGATGTTTGATAGGTTAGGTGTAGTGAATGCATTTTTGACTTAGTGGTATTTTCAATTTATGATGGGTTTATCAGAATGTAACCCCAGTGTAAGTCAGGGAGCATCTGTATAAGGAATTAGGGTTTATACCTAGAAGTAGAATTGGATCATAAAAGCCTTTTCAACTTTACTGTTGCAAAATTATTATCCCACCAGCAGAGTGTGTGTTTCCATTTCCCTTATTCTTCTTGGTGCTTGTCATATCCTGCAGGTGTGAAAATCATATCTTATCTTTCCTTGGCAGCTAGTGAGGTTTATCATCTTTATCTTTGTTTATTGACCACTCAGATTTCATTAGGTGTGAAATTCCTGTTCATAGTCTCTGTCAGTTTTTCTTTGGGATAACTTTGTCTTTTGAATTCAATTTCAGAAATTCTTTATATATTCTGAGTACTAATTGTTTGTTTTACTCTAAATATCTCCTAATCTGTGTCTTTCTGGTATCATTTTCATGTAGAATGGTGCAGTTCAATACAGTAGTCACTAATTTAAATATAAGTTTAAGTTCAGTTCCTCAGTAGTCACATGTGGCTAGTGGCTACTGTATTGGACAGTGCTGGTAATAGGACATGTCTATCATCACAGAAAGTTCTGTTGCACAGTCCTGATATACTAGGTTTTAAATCTTAATAGATCATACTTTTTCATCATGGACTGTGATTTTTGTGTCTTTGTAAGGAATCCATCTGAACCCTAATGTCCTAGAGGTATTCTCCTATGTTTTCTTTTAAACATTTTGTTTTTCACATTAGGTCTTAGAATTTGTTTAGAATTTATGTTGATGTGAGGTCAGGATCTGACTTTATTGCTTTTTTATATGGATTTTTATTTCAGCACCATTATTTTAGTAGTTTATCCATTCTTTGCTGAAGTGTAATGCCTTTTCTGTCATTTGGCAAGTTGTAGTGTACGTGTGGTTCTTTCCTAGTGGAGTTTCTTTGTGACTTATTTGTGGATTTTTTGTTTGTTTGTTTTTTGGTATTTTTCTTCTCCTTCTCCCTCCCACTCCCAGTCCGTTTATATATCCTTCTGTCAATACTAGGTTGTTTCAATTACTATGGTTTTTAAATGCTTGGTTTCAAATACTTGGTACTTGTTTCAAATACTTGGTATCTACTTGGACAAGTCTCTATCCTTATTTTTCTTCTTCAGAATTGACCTGAATATTATTTCTTTTTTTTTTTTTTTTTGGAGCTTTTAAATTCATGTATAATAGTTGTACATACTGAATATTTTCTTATCCTTTGTTCTTTCATTTTTGAATTTGGGATCAAGTTTTGTTAAGTTTCATTAAAAAATAAGTTGTGTTGGGATTTGTTTGGAATTGCATGGAATTTATAGATCAATTTGATGAGAACTGGTATTTTTATACTATTGAGTCTGACAATCTTTTTATTCAGTTTTTCTATGTCCCTCTGTAACATTTAATCATTTTTTTCTTTAAAAGCAAAGCACTTTTTTAACAAAAATTGGCCAGGCATGGCGGTGGGTGCCTGTAATCCCAGCTACTCAGGAGACTGAGGCAGGAGAATTGCTTGAACCTAGGAGGCGGAGGTTGCAGTGAGCCGAGATCGCGCCACTGCATTCCAGCCTGGGCGACATAGCAAGACTCCATCTCCAAAAAAAAAAAAAAAAAAAAAAAGCGAAGCACATTTTTAAAGGATTTTTATTGTTCAGTCGTGTTAAAACTTTTATTTGGGATTTTTATTTAGAATTTTTATTTATAAATGAAACTACTGTATACTTGAGTTGTGTTGCTGGTGTTTTGGTATCAAGGTTATGCTAGCCCCGTTAAGTGAGTTGGGAAGCTTACTTTTCAACTCCTGTTTTTCAAAACAGTGGATATTTGGGATTTCTAGAAAATTCTAAATGTGTTTTTCAGCTTGCAAGCAATACTTTGAGAAGTATCCAGGAGACCATGAACTCCTTTGGGAAGTTGAAGGTGTTGGACACTGGTACCAGCGAATACCAGTCACCAGAGCATTACAAAGAGAAGCACTTAAAATTCTAGGTAAGAGTGTTTTCAGTTTGAACATAAGTTCAGTTTATTTATTTTTGGTAGCCTGTCCTTGCTGGCCCATAAGTCCAGTTTAAAAAGCAGAGGCTAATAATGGTTGTGTCTTAGAGTCCAGAGTGGTAGTGTATTATAATGTGATTGTTCTAGTAACAGACTCTCTTGTCTAAGGTTTGAATTTTGGTAATGTATTAACTTTTGAGTCCTTAGTAACAAGGAGACCTAGAACAGCCCAGTAGGAATTGGTGGGTAAGAAATAAACGTAGATTACTCAAACGGCATAGAATAGGCACCAGGGGGTCCAAAGTACCCCTTAATCTCATGCACTTCTCCCCAAAGCTACTAAATACTTAAAATAACTATTTAACATTGTATATAATGGCAATGTTGCATTATAGGATATTGGTGAAGAGAACATCTCACACCTAGATTTTCGTGACCCTTCTGTCCAGGCTGCTCTTCAGAGCTTTTAGGAAAATCAGTACAATGTTAGAGTTAAAACCAAATACTGATTCGGTTACAGTTTTTAAAATTCTTCTATACGCAGCACTTTCTCAAAATGAACCTAAAAGACCTATGTCTGGAGAATATGGTCCTGCATCTGTTCCAGAATACGAAGCAAGAACTGAAGACAATCAGTCTAGTGAGATGCAGCTAACTGTAGGTACACTGTCTATATGTTTATTGTTGTATATAAAATTTTTGTGTTTTTAAAAAATAGATACAGGTTATATTTGAGTTTTAAATGTCATAGTTCATTCAACAAAGCTATGTAATTTCTACTGTGTTAGTTTTCCTGGCATCTTCTGTTAATATTACTAAGGACTTTAATTTTCTTTGAAAAATAATTTTAATGATGTTAAAAGTATGAGCTAATTTAAGGGTAATTTAGAATAAACATAAAATAATATAGAAGAAAATAAAAATCTATAATCCCACTATTCAGATATAGCCACTGTTAAAATTTTTGCATATATATTTAATATCGCATATTATAAAGCATGTATCTGTATATATTGTATTTTTATTTTTATTCTCTTGGATTGCTTCTAACTGCTGTTCTCCATTAATGTAATATTGGAAGCATTTTCTATGGCATTAAATCATTAAAATGTGATTGTTACATAGCAGCACACTATTCTATTATCTATTTTATGTAACTATCATTATTTGTTTCCTTAACATAGGATCCTTAAATTTTTAACATTTTTAAATGACCCAGGAGCAAACACATTTATATATGAATCCTTGTGTATATGTAATTACTTATCTTAACATACAAATTTCCAGAAGTGGAATTAGTAGGTGAAAGACTATGAAGTTGTTATGTTGTAAAGTTTGAGGCTGTATATGCTAGTCTTTGTAGAATGTAATGCACTTTGCAAATATTAGGTATCCTGAAAGTAGAAGGACAGGTCCCGTTACCAAACTCCACAGGACTTACCAGGTCCTTTTCTAGAACTGATGTTTTGTGGTACTGCTTAAAATATGGCCCATTGATGGGACTCTAGAAGTCTAGGGTTTTGGGGGATGGCATTTATTACAGTCATATTTTTGTATGTGTGTATCTAAGTTTATTTTTGGTGAGTGTTAGAAACACTACATATGTTGTACGTGTGTATCTAAGTTTATTTTTGGTGAGTGTTAGAAACAACTGCTTTAGGGAATTATTTGTGCTTATTTTCTGTCTCAATTAGCATGAGAGTTGACTATTCGAGTGGCAAATTTGTAAACATTTTTAAGAATAACAATATATGTAAGGAGTTAGATTCTTGGGATTTTTTTTTCCTACTTTTGGAAATTCAGACTTGAGAATAAGCTCCTGTTCTACTGCAGTCCAAATTCCTGAGAGATACACAGATTCATTTAGTATTGGCCAGTTATAAAATCAAGGAAAGTAGAAAATCTACTCTTCCTATAAATGTAACGAGAGCAATGATTTACTTTAATACTAAGCCAAATAATTTTAGATGTGTCATTTGAGTGAGAATATATGACAGTGGTACTATATCATACAGTTGACAGCATAAATTAGATTTTAGAATCTAACCTATTTAAGATTTTAGAAATTCATATTCTTCATATTACTTTAATGTTTTAAATAGTTGAAGGAAATGTTTATCATATTAAACTATTTATATCTCTTTTTGTTAGTAGCCACAAATAGTTTAGTTTATTTCAACTACATGATTTATTCTTTAGGTGATGATGGTATTGTTACCTGCTTTTTCCTATTATTTATCTTACACTTTTTGCACCTTTTATTTATTCATCTTTATCTACATTTTAACCTTTTCTTGTTGGACTACAAGTTGGTTGAAGCAAGATATTTGTCATATGATTTATCACAATTGCTCCCTTGCTTTTGTTCTATAAATTGAAGGCTGTGTGCCCACTATATTGTGGAGTTTTAGTAAGCATGTAATGGATGAATAAAGTAGTTACTATGGCAAGCATTGGACATATAAAGATATGGTTCTTAGACATGGGAGAACTAGATGGTCCATTGTTGGAAATATATAATATACTATAGCATAATAATTGCTTTATTATAGCAAGTAATTGGAGGTACATAGGAGAGGATGACTTTTAAAGGGTGGGTGGGAATTTTCTTAGGGCATTCCAGACGATAGCATGTAAAAAAGTTACAGAGGTGTAAAGGAAATGGCATGTTTGATATGAAAGAGGTATTTGGTATTGAATAGGTTGAGAATTTGTATTCTAAGCAGTGGTTGGCCATTAAAAGTTTTTTCCTCTTTTTTTTTTTATCAAAAAAATGGTACAATTTGTGATTCGAAAGTATCACTTTGTCATCAGGGTGGAGGGGTGTAGATGGGATGTGATTAGAATGAGGGATATGAGTGAGGAGGCTGTTGGAATAGTTGGTTCAAGAGACTAAAGATATAAACTAAAGCAATGGTAGTACAAAGGACAGGACAGTTTTGAGAGATTCTTCAGTTAAAATTGAAAGGCTTTGTGATTGATTACATGTGAGTTAGGAAGAAGTCATTGCTGACTCACTGTTTTCTGGCTAGAATGACTGACTGAATCGTCATTAAGCAAGATAGGGAATAATATTGGGGAAAGATAAAGTTCATTTTGGGAATGATTGAGTGTGAAATTGGATGGGACATCCACTGGGAGATATTTCATTGGAAATAAAGCTTTGGAAATCAGGAAGAAAGTTTGGAGGCTTAAGTCTCATATTTGAATTCATCAATAAGCAGATACTGAAGTAAGCATAGTGAAGGGAGAGCATGTGGACTGAGCAGAGAAGGTGGCTGAGGACAGAACTAGGAGACACTAGTGGACACACTATGACATATTAGATGACTTGCATATGTTCTCAGTCTTTTAAACTGAAGCTGAACTATAACCTTTTTATTTTTAAAGTAAATGTTGTTAACAAAAAGTGCTATTTGGAAAACATTTTACAAGTTTTTCTTTGAAACTATAAGTGAAATAGATCCATAGGGAGAAAAAATAGTCTAAAACTTTGGGTTTGAATCTCTCTCTTTTTTAGATTGATTCTCTAAAAGATGCCTTTGCAAGCACTTCCGAAGGTAAGAAATTCAACTGATATATCAGTAAGTATTTGAGACACTTCAAATTAGGGCTGTGTGTGTGTGTGTGCATGCATGTGTGTGTGGTGTGTCACCCTGAGAAAGTGAAGACTTAACCAGCTCTAAAATCTAGATCTGGGTTCTCATGCCACCACTGCCACTGATTTTGCTATGTGAACACTGAGTAAGCTATTGTACCTCTCTCTTCCTTGTTTCCTTAGCTATAAAATAGGGATGGTAATGTCTACGTTGTTTATTTTCCAAGATTATTGGGAGGGAATGCAAGTGAAATACAAAAACACTTTGCAAAGCCCAAGATAACATGGAACGTGAGGAATGACTTACACAGTTCATATAACTTGACAAAGTTACATAATTTAGAAAAAGATGTAAATTATAAAATAATTTTCTTAGCCTGACATAAGTGAGGGGAGGGTGAACCTGTGTAATGTGGAGGATATGTGTAAACTAGTGTAGTTCTTGCATTTCTGTGTATTTTAATAGGTAGTCCTTTTAATATATAATCAATTAAGTGCAGTTTTGCTGTTTTTCTCCTCAGGTCATGATAAAACATCTGTTTCCACTCATACTCGAAGTGGTAATCTAAAGCGGCCAAAGATTGGAAAGCGGTTTCAGGATTCTGAATTTAGCAGTTCTCAAGGTGAAGATGAAAAGACCTCCCAGACTTCACTTACAGCTTCAATAAACAAGTAAATAATTGTTGATTTTACTCTCATTTTTTATTTGTACTTTTATTTTTTGTTTATACTTTTATATTATCAATATTTAATATTTTATATATAATATATACTATTTTATATTGTTTATTATACTTTTGGTATACTTTTAATATACTTTTAATATACTTTTTGGTATTTAGCATTTAAGGTAGAGGCGATTACATTGTTTGTGTAGCAGATGACTTTGGTGTAGGAGTTTGTATTTGAATTATTTATATTTGAATTATTGTACAAGATTATTAGTTGTTTATCAGTGCTAAGTGTTGCCTTGACAATGCTATTGGGAGAAGCTGCTAATAAGAGACTGGCATAAACTCACTTCATGTGTGACAATCCAGGAGACTATTCTAGTGATTATATTATCCCAAATTAGTCATTATCACCACGCTGAATTTGATGGTATGGTTTTAAGTAATGCTGAGATATAGTCAGTTTTTTTCCCCCCGCATTCAATTCTTTTATTTAATTTTCTAGTGGACAGTTTACATATCTCCCTGTCTTTTAAGTTAGTGTGACAATTTTCCATAATAAACTACTTAAAAGAAAAGCTTTGGTCAAGAATGGAATGAAATTGCAAAAAAAAAACAAACAAAAACATTGCTTTTAAAAAACCAACATTTTCACCAATTTTATATTCAAACAAAACCACATGATATTGGCGTGATATGTGTTTTCAGTGTTTCCTTGGGGCTGGCTTCCTAGCCATCGTGCCACGGCACAGCTGCAGTCAGCCATAGTTTGTCACGCTGGATGGCGGAGGCTCACTCAGCTTCAAATTATCCTTGAAATCCCAAATTGTCATGGCTCTCCATCGATGCCAGTAGTGCAATATTTGCGACAATCTTTCTCATCCACCTCATAAATAGAGACTTGAGTGATGCTATTCTGGCGCAGCATCTTCAAAGCCATGTTGGAGCCCTCAGTCGTGGCCCTCTTGTCCGTGTTGCAGAAGCATTCCATGGCAGACATGTTGCGTTGGATGCTCTGTTTTGGAATGTCTAACTTGGAGACAAAGGTCAGGCAGCCACGGTCATCGTAGTTCAAGAGCATTGGTCAGCAGTCATGGCCAGCAGCCACGGCGCTGTTGTCTGAGACAGATGACACACTCAGGAGCAGCTGGAACTCCGTCTTCAGATTGAGACATGCACACTTTTTGAGGCATCAGCAGCAGACATGGTGCTGTCGTGGCTGGCCCAGGCCAGGTGGCTCCCACTGGCGGAGAAGCTGACCCCGTGGACCCAGCCACCAGTGCCACCGCCACCAGACTCTGACATCAGCTGCCCAAAAAGCATCTTGCTGTCCCAGGGCATGCTGGCCAGCTTTTCATCCACTTCTTTAATGTAGGAAGAAAACACTCTGTGTTTGAAGTCACATGATCCTGCTGCCAGCAAAACATTGTTGGGATGCCAATCCAAGCTGAGGACTGTGGAGCGAATCAGCTTTTTAATGTGCTTGCTCACCCACCAGTCATTTTCAGACTCAAAGTAACAAACTGAAATGAGTCGTGCTTCACTTCCCACAGCAAATTTGTTCTCTAGGGCGGACCACTTCACAAAAGTAGCTGTGCGATTAATTCTCAGGATCATCAGTGTTGGCTTCCAGACACCATCTTTCTGACTCCAGACATAGGCATTGTGGTCTGCCCCACAAGTGACGATGTGGTCATGCTTGGGAGCCCAGTCAATATCTGTGATGTGTCCATTGTGCTCCTTGAGTTCGTGAGCTTTCACACACTGGCGCCCATTCTTCTTATAGATGTGCACTTCGTGATTATTGACACTGAGGGCAATCTGGGTACGATCCCTGTTTCAGGCACGACAGTTGATTGGCTCTAGTAAAAACTGATGCAGTGACATTATTCTTAGTGTTTTCAAAGGAGAGAAAGCTGGGGTCGGGGCAGTCCGGACGGTCTTGGAGCAGAGGATTTACGGACTCTGGGCAGTCGATGTGAACAGGGCTCTAGTCAGTTTTAAAATACCCTCAATTTTACTTTATTGATTCATTTTACTGGGCTATTGGATATAAATTAGTGATAACCATAAATAGTACAGTGAATTCCTTCAGGAATTTAGTTGCCAACTGAATCAACAGAACACTTGAGTCTCAGCTTTATCCTCTTTCTTTGAATCTTAAAGCAAGACTCTAACTTTTATAATAAAATAAGATTTCTGCCCTAACAGTTCTGCCAACTGTTCCTGAGTCAACCATTTAGTTAATTCATAACTTTGCCATTTTAACTGTCAAATTATTTTAGTCAAGTAGAGAATTCTGTAGCTGTGCTAATCCTTATACAAATAATTTTAAATTTGGGTAATAAAGTATGTAAATGTTTTGTTTTGGTGAAAATTTGTAATGTTAAAGATAGATATAAGGAAATATTTAAATCTAGTAATAAAAATATGAGTTTAGAAAACTGTGGTTTTCTCACTGAGCAATATTTTGATATAGTACCCTTTTTAGAAGGGTAACAATATATTTTAAATTGAACCTCCCAGAATTATTGTGGAATTTTGTTTGCTTTTCATAAACGGAACAGTTAGGAGTTTATGCTTGACTGTTTGCTGAAACATACGAAGAACAAAACATCATCTTTGCCCTCAAAGGATTGACTGCCTAGGGGTAAAGAGAGATATGTACACAGTTAAGAGCACCGTAAGGCGGATTGTGATAGAACAGTAATGGAAAGTGCAGAATGCTGTGGATACAGAGGAAAGAGTGTTGGATTCTAATTGAGGGGATGGAGAGATTTGGCATTTGGGCCTGGGCTTCAAAGATAAGTAGAAACTCAACAAGCAGAGCTGGGAGAGAAGACTTTCTAGTGTAAAGGTCCACCAACTATGGCCTGTAGGCCAAATCTGGCCTGCCACCTGGTTTTGTGAATAAAATTTTTTTGTAAGACACCCATGCTCATTAAGCTTATATATTTTTATTGTTTATTAAGCATATATATTTTTATATATTATTAAGCTTATATATTTTTAGTTAATGTTTGCATTGGAACGGCAGAGTTGAGTGTTTGGAACAGAGACCATATGGCCCACGATGCCTAAAGGAAAGGTTTGCTGACTCCTTATCTACACCAAGGCTGAGAAATAGAACTTTCTGCAGTGATGGAAATATTTTGTATTTACACTGCCCAGTATGATAGCCATTAGCCAGTGTGCCCATTGAACACTTGAAGTATGGCTAGTGCAACTAAAGAACTCAATTGTTTCATTTAATTTTAATTTAAATGTAAAATAGTCAAGTGTGTCTCGTGGCTATTGTATCTACAGATTTCGACTAAAGCACTAACATGAGCAAAGGCACAAAGCTAGGAGGGATGTTGCTAAGGATAACTGATGAATAAGGTAAATAAAATTATAAGGGTCTAGGCTGGGCACGGTGGCTCATGCCTGTAATCCCAGCACTTTGGGAGGCCGAGGCAGGTGGATCACCTCAGGTCAGGAGTTGGAAACCAGCCTGGACAACATGGCAAAACCCTGTCACTACTAAAAATACAAAAATTAGCCGGGCGTGGTGGCACACTTCTGTAATCCCAGCTACTCAGGAGGCTGAGGCAAGAGAAACGTTTGAACCCAGGAGGCGGAGGTTGCAGTGAGCCAAGATTACGCCACTGCACTCCAGCGTAGGTGACAGAGGGAGACCCTGTCTCAAAAACAAAAACAAACACAAACAAATATGTTAGGCTTTCAAAGAAGGTACACTTTATTCACTGAGCTTATAGAGAACCACCAGACGTTTCTGAGCTGGGCTATCACAGGTGTAGATGATGTGCATTAGAAAGCCAGCTCTTTGAAAGCCTTGATGAAGATGTACTACAAGTCTGAAGCTGAATTGGGGAGAAGTACAGTGGTCCAGAGAGAACTGGGGCCTGAAGCAGAGCTGTGAAAATGGGCATAGAAAGTCAGGAATATATTTGAAAGGCAGTTTTGGAGTTAGAACTAAACCATATAATGTGTTGTCCAAGGTGACATTTTTGAGAATGAAAGGAGCATTATTAATAATTATGCCAGTATCCATAATTATGAACAAAAGTCTGTAAACTGGGACTGCTCCAGGTAAACTGGGATATATGCTCATTCTAATAGAATAAGATCCATGGTCCTTCAGTATAAATGAGGTTAAAAAAAAAAAAAAGATTCAGGCTGGGCGCTGTGGCTCACACCTGTAATCCCAGCACTTTGGGAGGCCAAGATGGGCGGATCACGAGGTCACGAGGTGGAGACCATCCTGGCTAACATGGTGAAACCCTGTCTTTACTAAAAATACAAAAAATTAGCTGAGCGTGATGGCAGGTGCCTGTAGTCTCAGCTGCTCGGGGGCTGAGGCAGGAGAATCGCTTGAACCTGGGAGGTGGAGGTTGCAGTGAGCCGAGATCGCGCCATTGCACTCCAGCCTGGGCAACAGAGCGAGACTTTATCTCGGAAAAAAAAAAAGATCCATTAAGATATGGATAGAATAAAAGAAGAAGGGTCTAGTTTACATAATTGAGAAGATGGTAATATTATAAGAGGATGAAGAGATTGGTTTTAGACTTGTAAAATCTGAAGTTGTTGACAACATAGTTGATTCTCTAAAATGTTACTTTAAGAAAGGACTTCTGAGATTTTATATTTATCCTTAATAAAACAAGTCAGAATGGTTTTCTTTTGTTTTTTAGATTGGAGTCTACTGCACGCCCATCAGAGAGCTCAGAAGAATTCCTGGAAGAAGAACCTGAACAGAGAGGGATTGAATTTGAGGATGAAAGCAGTGATAGAGATGCACGGCCAGCACTGGAAACCCAGCCACAGCAAGAGAAGCAAGATGGTGAAAAGGTATGAGATCACTTATTCAGCAAAATGAAAAAAAGTAAACTAAATTTTACCTTTCTTAATCACATGTTGTTAGAAAAGTATAGCGATATATTTTAGAGTGTTAGAAATTGCGTTTAGTGTTAAAAATCATATATATTAAGCAAGGTCAGGTACTAGAGTTGGGGAGAGGATAAAATTACAAATATGATTGTGTTTATAAAAGTTTGAGCTTATAAAAGTTTGAATTATATCGAAGATAAAATAGAGATGTTTAGTAAGATCTTTTGGTGCATTTAAAGTATAAGTTAATTTGTGGAATTAAACACACTTACATACACAAATGATATAAGATCTACCTTATAGAACCAGTTAAAATGCTTTCAGGTGCAATAAACCTTCAGGGGCACCCCCATTTTAGTTAGAGGGGTAGGAATTACTAATCCAGAAAAAAAATTTGATGACTGTTGATCTCACAAAGTTCTGGAAAAATAACTAAATTCATGTTTTTTAAACACTAGAAAAAAATATATAAACCCTTGGTAACTAAGTAAACTCTTCATCTGGGTTGATTTCTGCAGCTTTAAAGTATTTATCCCCAGCTTCTTTTTTCTTTCCTCTATCCATTTCCATTTTTCTCTTTAGTATCTTCAATCTTTTCCTTTCCACAGATTCTCTATTTCTTCTTTCATATGTTCATAAATTTCTTGAAAAAATCTTTCAGCTGTTTGCCAAGTCTAGCAGGCAGGTGAATAAGTGAAATTATATTACCAATTTTGTTTTCTTTTTCTTTTTGAGACGGAGTTTTGCTCTTTGCACCCAGGCTGGAGTGCAGTGGCGTGATCTTGGCTCACTGCAACCTCTGCTTCCTGGGTTCAAGTGATTCTCCTGCCTCAGTCTTCCAAGTAGCTGGGATTACAGGTTCCCCCCACCATACCCAGCTAATTTTTGTATTTTTAGTAGAGACGGGGTTTCACCACTTTGGCCAGGCTGGTCTCAAACTCCTTACCTCAGGTGATGTGCCCGCCTCAGCCTCCCAAAGTGCTGGGATTACAGGCGTGAGCCACCGTGCCCAGCTAATTTTGTTTTCTTAAGTTACTCTGATTTAGCTCCTGCTTCCTCTATTTCATGAAATGACATATGTTATGTCAGCTCACTGCAGCCTCCATCTCCTGGGTTTAAGCAATTCTCCTGCCTCTGCCTCCCGAGTAGCTAGGATTACAGGTACACCAACACGCCCGGCTAATTTTTGTGTTTGTTTTTTTTTTTTTTTTTGAGACGGAGTTGCGCTCTGTCGCCCAGGCTGGAGTGCAGTGGCGCGATCTCGGCTCACTGCAAGCTCTGCCTCCCGGGTTCAGGCCATTCTCCTGCCTCAGCCTCCTGAGTAGCTGGGACTACAGGCACACGCCACAACGCCCGGCTAATTTTTTTGTATTTTTTGTAGAGACGGGGTTTCACCGTGTTAGCCAGGATGGTGTTGATCTCCTGACCTTGTGATCCGCCAAGACGGGGTTTCACCATGTTTGCCAGGCTGGTCTTGAACTCCTGATCTGCTCCTCTTGGCCTCCCAAAGTGCTGGGATTACAGGCATGACCCACCATACCCGGCCTCATGAAATGATATTTTTATGTTTATTTTCGTAATATTTCTTTTTTTTTTTGAGACGGAGTCTCACTCTGTTGTCCAGCCTGGAGTGCAGTGGCACAATCTCGGCTCACTGCAAGCTCCGCCTCCTGGGTTCACGCCATTCTCCTGCCTCAGCCTCCTGAGTAGCTGGGAGTACAGGTGCCCGCCACCATGCCCCGCTAATTTTTTGAATTTTGAGCAGAGATGGGGTTTCACCGTGTTAGCCAGGATGGTCTTGATCTCCTGACTTCATGATCCGCCGAGACGGGGTTTCATCATGTTTGCCAGGCTGGTCTTGAACTCCTGATCCGCTCCTCTCGGCCTCCCAAAGTGCTGGGATTACAGGCATGACCCACCATACCCACCCTCATGAAATGATATTTTTATGTTTATTTTTGTAATATTTCTTTTTTTTTTTTTTTTTTGAGATGGAGTCTCGCTCTGTCACCCAGCCTGGAGTGCAGTGGCACAATCTCGGCTCACTGCAAGCTCTGCCTCCTGGGTTCATGCCATTCTCCTGCCTCAGCCTTCTGAGTAGCTGGGACTACAGGCGCCTGCCACCATGCCCTGCTAATTTTTTCTATTTTTAGTAGAGACGGGGTTTCACTATGTTAGCCAGTATTGTCTTGATCTCCTGACCGTGTGATCCGCCCGCCTTGGCCTTCCAAAGTGCTGGGATTATAGGCTTGAGCCACTGTGCTCAGCCTATTTTTGTAATATTTCAGTAGTTTTTGGGGAGCAGATGGGTGTTTGGTTACATGGATAAATTCATTAGTGGTGATTTCTGAGATTTTGGTGCACCCATCATCCAAGCAGTGTATACTGTACCCAACGTGTAGTCTTTTATCCCTCACCCGCCTCCTACCCTTTCCCTCAAGTCCCCAGAGTCCATGATAACACTCTTATGCCTTTGCCTCCTCATAGCTTAGCTCCCACTTATGAGTGAGAACATACGATGTTTGGTTTTCCATTCCTGAGTTACTCCACTTAGAATAATGGTCTCCAACTCCATGCAGGTTGCTGTGAATGCCATTATTTCATTCATTTTTGTGGCTGAGTAGTATTCCATGGTCTATATATACCACTTTTTTTTTTTTTTTTTTTGAAATGGACTCTTGGTCTGTCTCCAGGCTGGAGTGCAGTGGCACGATCTCAGCTCACTGCAACCTCCAACTCCCTGGTTCAAGTGATTCTCCTGCCTCAGCCTCCCAAGTAGCTGGGATTACAGGCACATGCCACCACACCCAGTTAGTTTTTGTATTTGTAGTAGAGACGGGGTTTCACCATGTTGGCCAGGATGGTCTCGATCTCTTGACTTCATGATCCACCCACCTCGGCCTCCCAAAGTGCTGGGATTACAGGTGTGAGCCATTGTGCCTGGCCTATATATACCACATTTTCTTTATCTACTCACTGGTTGATGGGCATTTAGCTTGGTTCCATATTTTTTGCAGTTGCAAATTGTGCTGCTATAAACATGCATGTGCAAGTGTCTTTTTCATATGACTTCTTTTTTTCTGGGTAGATAGCCAGTAGTGGGATTGCTCAATCAAATGGTAGTTCTACTTTTAGTACTTTAAGGAATCTCCACACTGTTTTCCATAGTGGTTGTACTAGTTTATGTTCCTACCAGTAGTGTAAAAGTGTTCCCTTTTCACCATATCCACTCCAGCATCTATTTTTTATTGTGGCCATACTTACAGGGGTAAGATGGTATCAAATTGTGGTTTTGATTTGCATTTCCTTGATAATTAGTGTATTAGTCAGGGTTCTCTAGAGGGACAGAACTAATAGGATAGATGTATATAAAGGGGAGTTTATTAAGGGGTTTTAACTCACATGATCACAGAGTCCCACAGTAGGCCATCTGCAAGGTGGGGAGCAAGGGAGCAAGGGAGCAAGGAAGCAAGGAAGCCAGTCCGAGTCCCAAAGCTAAAGAACCTGGAGTCTGATGTTTGAGGGCAGGAAGCATCCAGCACAGGAGAAAGATGTAGGCTGGGAGGCTAAGCCAGTCTAATCTCTCCATGTTCTTCTGCCTGCTTTTTATTCTGGCCATGCTGGCAGCTGATTAGATGGTGCCCACCTGGATTGAGGGTGGGTTTGCCTCTTCCAGTCCACTGACTCAAATGTTAATTTCTTTTGATAATACCACCCTTACAGCCACACCCAGGATCAATACTTTGCATCCTTCAATCCAATCAAGTTGACACTCAGTATTAACCATTACAAGTCTACCCCTTGTCAGCCTGAACCCATACACACTTGCTGAGATCATACATAATCTTCAAATAAAGACAATAATAAGGTAATAATTATGCCTAACATAATACAACTGTCATTCGTACAAGTGGAAACCCCCAACCCAAATAATATTACATAAACACTTAATGCTGATATGATGTCAATAAATCTTATGTCACATGATAAAGGAAAAGGGAAATAAAATGAAGATATTTTCTTAGTACAAATGTATACATGCACAAACATGTTCTTAACAAAATAAGGAAGAAATACTCATGACAATTACAGTCCTGGTTTCTGCAGCTGGTCACGTGGTCGAAGCTGGAGTTGATGACTACCTTCTTCTGCTACTCATTCTGTATTCCCTTTGCCTTCAGCAAGCACCTTAGTGGGTCATGTTTTTTTTTCCTAGTGGAGTAACCCAAACCTTCATTCCTGAAGGGTCTGGGCCATTTGTAGTCTTGCCTGGATTGGGCTGTTGTAGTTTCCCATTGACCTTAATCACAGGGCATCGTAATACTAAGAGACACCCCAAGGGATCTCCTATATTCCATGCATACTCTTCCTTACCTCCATTGTGGAGTAGTAGACTGATTTCATCTTGATAGTCTGGGTCAGTCACCCCAGCCAACACTGTAACTCCCTCCTTAGCCTGTTGACTTAAAGGTAGGAGGAGCCCAAAGTGTCCAAGTGGCAATCTTAACTTCCAGTTTAATGGAATCATTGTTGTGTCTCCTGGTGGCAGCGTTCGTCTCTCTGGAACTAATACCACTAGGCCAGCAGAACGTAATGTCATGGGGACAGGAAGCAAAAATGTTTCTAGTGGATCACTAGGGGTGATGGTGAGTGATGCCATTTCCACTTTTACCCCTGGATTCCTGGACCTGTGAATCCTGGCTATGGGAGAAACAGTACCATATACTGGATGCTTATTCAGAGCATACCCAGCCTGCTGGAGACCTTTGCCGCAGCCCTGCTAAGTATTATCACCTAGTTGGCGTTGTAATTGTGACTTCAAAAGGACATTCCACCATTCTGTCAATCCAGCTGCTTCAAGATGATGGGGAACATGGTAAGAATAGTGAATTCCATGAGCATGAGCCCACTGCCGCACTGCTTTTGCCGTAAAGTGAGTGCCTTGTTCAGAGGCAATGCTGTGTGGAGTAGCATGATGATGGATAAGGCCTTCCGCGAGTCCACGGGTGGTAGTCTTGGCAGAAGCATTGCGTGCAGGAGAGGCAAACTCATATCCAGAGTAGGTGTCTATTCCAGTGAGGACAAACCTCTGCTCTTTCCATGATAGAAGAGGTCCAGTGTAATCAACCTGCCACCAATTAGCTGTCTGATCACCCCAAGGACTGGTGTCATATTAAGGGCTTAGTGTTGGTCTGTGCTGCTGGCAAGTTGGGCACTCAGCAGTGGCCTTAGCCAGGTCAGCCTTGGTGAGTGGAAGTCCATGTTGCTGAGCCCATGCGTAACCACCATCCCTGTCACCATGGCCACTTTGTTCATGGACCCATTGGGTGATGACAGGGGCGGCTGGGTAAGGAGGCTGTGTGGTGTCCACAGAACAAGTCATCCTATCCACTCGATTATTAAAATCCTCCTCTGCTCAGGTCACCCTTTGGTAGAGTACTCACAGGGGATACAAATAACTTCATTTTTTCACCACTCAGAGAGGTCCATCCACATACCTCTTCCCCAAATTTGTCACCAGTTTTCCAATCATGCTTCTTTCAAGTCCCTGACCGTCATCCAAACCATTGGCTGCAGTCCATGAATCAGTATTATCACACATCTGTCTATTTCTACTTCCTTGGAACGTGCACAACCAGGTGCACTGCTCGAAGTTCTGCCCACTGGGAAGATTTTCCTTCACCAGTGT
Organism: Homo sapiens; assembly: GCF_000001405.40. Taxonomy (NCBI): domain Eukaryota; kingdom Metazoa; phylum Chordata; class Mammalia; order Primates; family Hominidae; genus Homo; species Homo sapiens. The sequence continues at coordinate 74,790,301 of NC_000005.10, read as the reverse complement.
CCTTCAGGAAAGGGGCTATAGGGCTGTAGCTGTCCACTTTTGGGTGGTGCCTGCATATCATGCAGAACCATCTTTGAACCAGTCCCTAGTCTTCTCTTCCTCTGTCAGCTGATTATAGGGAACTCCCCATAAGGCCATCGGTGCAGGCTAGGGAAAAGAAGGCCAGGGTGGCAGCAGTGGAGACCATGGGCGTTTGAGCCACTTCCTCATGTAACTTACTTGTGTCTTCAAGACCTGCTCAAGCCCGATCACATATATACCACTTCAATTTGATGATGGAATGCTGCAGTGCATGACCCACTTTATGACTAGATGGGTCAGAAAGCACCCAGTTCATGATAGGCAGTTCAGGTCACATGGTGACTTGATGACCCATAATCAAGCATTCGGTTTCTACCAAAGCCCAGTAACAGGCCAAGAACTGTTTCTCAAAAGGAGAGCAGTTATCTGCAGAAGATGGCAGGGCCTTGCTCCAAAATCTTAGAGGCCTCCACTGCGATTCACCTATGGGAGCCTGCCAAAGGCTCCAAACAGCACTTGTCTCTCTAAAGGAGAGTAGTTATCTGAAGAAGATGGCAGGGCCTTGCTCCAAAATCCTAGAGGCCTCCGCTGTGATTCACCTATGGGGGCCTGCCAAAGGCTTCTCACAGCATCCCTGCCTGCCACTGACACCTCAAGCACCATTAGATCTGCTGGATCATATGGCCCAAGTGGCAGAGCAGCTTGCACAGCAGCCTGGACCTGTCGCAGAGCCTTCTCCTGTTCTGGATCCCACTCAAAACTGGCAGCCTTTTGGGTCACTCGATAAATGGGCTGGAGTAACACAACCAAATGAGGAATTTGTTGCCTCCAAAATCCAAATAGGCCAACTTGTGCTGTGCCTCTTTCTTGGTTGTAGTAGGGGCCAAATGCAGCATCCTATCCTTTACCTTAGAAGGAATATCTCAACAGGCCCCACACCACTGGACCCCTAGAAACTTTACTGAGGTAGAAGGTCCCTGAATTGTAGTCGGATTTATTTCCCATCCTCTGGCATGCAAATGTCTCATCAATAAGTCCAGTGTGTTTGCTACTTCTTGCTCACTGGATCCAATCAGCATAATGTCATCAATGTTATGGGCCAGTGTGATAACTTGTGGAAGTGAAAAGCGATCAAGGTCTCTTTGAACAAGGTTATGACACAAATCTGGAGAGTTGATATACCCCTGAGGTAGGATAGTAAAGGTGTGTTGCTGGCCTTGCCAGCCGAACGCAAATTGCTTCTGGTGGGCCTTATGGACAGGAATGGAGAAAAAGGCATTTGGCAAATCATTGGCTGCATACCAGGTACCAGGAGATATGTTAATTTCCTCAAGCAATGAAACCACATCTGGTGCAGCAGCTGCAATTGGAGTCACCACTTGGTTAAGTTTATGATACTCCACTGTAATTCTCCAAGATCCGTCTTCTGCACAGACCAAATGAGAGAGTTGAACCGTGATGTGATGGGAATCACCACCCCTGCACCGTCCTTGATGGTGGCACTAATCTCTGCAGTGCCTCCAGGGATGCGATATTGTGTTTGATTGACTATTTTTCTTTCTTTTTTTTTTTTTTGAGATGGAGTTTCGCTGTTGTTGCCCAGGCTGGAGTGCAATGGCACGATCTTGGCTCACCGCAACCTCCACCTCGTAGGTTCAAGCGATTCTCCTGTCTCAGCCTCCCTAGTAGCTGGGATTACAGGCATGTGCCACCATGCCCGGCTAATTTTGTATTTTTAGTAGAGATGGGGTTTCTCCATGTTGGTCAGGCTGGTTTCGAACTCCCGACCTCAGGTGATACGCCCGCCTTGGCCTCCCAAAGTGCTGGGATTACAGGCATGAGCCACCGCCCCCGGCCTGATTGACTATTTTTCTAGGTAGAGGCAACTCTAATGGTTTCCATTTGGCCTGTCCCACCATAATAGCCCTCACCCCACCAGTCAGGGAGCCATTGTGGGGGCTCTGCCAGCTGTTAAGTATGTCTATGCCAATTAATGCATTCTGGCACTGGGGAAATGACCACAGGATGAGTCCGGGGACCCACTGGACCGACTGTAAGTCAGACCTGAGCTAAAACTCCATTAGATTACCTGATCTTCATAAGCCCCTACTTTAACTGGAGGACCACAGTGACGTTTTGGGTCCCCCGGAATCAACGTCAGCTCAGAGCCAGTGTCCAGTAGTCCCTGAAATGTCTGATCATTTCCCTTTCCCCAGTGCACAGTTACCCTGGTAAAAGGCCAGAGGTCTCCTTGGGGAAGGATGGGAGAAAGACTCACAGCATAAATTGTCTCTACTGTAGTGGGGTCCTTCCTCAAGGGGCTTCATTCAAGGTGTTCTGGGTCTATAAAGTGGCTCAAGTCTGGAAATTGAGGGGCTGTGATTCTCTCTTTTTTTTAATAATTCAGATTAGTCTTTTGTCCACTCGACCTGGAAGTTTTCCACTTATATGAATTAAGTAGGAATTCAGTAGGCTTCCTATCAATTCCACTTCTGGGAACACTGTGATTAATTAGCCAGTGCAAAAGCTGTACACAAGTCAGATTATTCTGATTGCTGCTTTGCCTCTGCTGCGGTCCATTATGGTAGCTCGCCCACCTTGCATTTGATGGTTGAGTGCTCCCACTTGGCCTCTGCCACGTCAGGATCCAATTATTCCCGTTCTAAATTTTGTAGTTGAGTGACTGCAGTTCCCACTGTTAGATTTGGCATACAGAGAAGAGTAATCATAGAGCTCTTTGAAGATTAACATGCTGCCCTCACAAATCTCTTTCGCAAAGCATCGGTCAAGGGTATATCTTCTGGACCCTCCCAGCTGGGATGAGTAGGTCTAAAGTGACTAATCCACTCCACCATCCCAATCTCTCTAAGCCTTTGGATCTCTTCCTCTACATTAAACCAAGGGAGATCAGCATTTCCAGCTCGCTCAGAGTGAGCCATCTTTTAATCCGTATTTCAGCTAACCAAGCAATCAAGCTATTAGAACCTTTTTAAATTCCCTGAGCAGCAACATTAAATGCAGAGTCCCTACTTAGTGGGCCCGAATCAATAAATTCAGCCTGATCGAACTCTATGTTCCTTCCACCATCATCCCACACCCTTAACATCCGTTCCCACACCTGTTCTCCAGATTCCTGCTTATATAAATTAGAAAACTCTAGCAGTTCTTTTCAAGTGTAGCACACCTCCTTGTGGGTCACACTCTGAACTTCACCTCTAGGAGGCCACCGGGACTTTAGTCCAGTTATAGGTCTAGAAGCAAACAGGGCTGGCTCTCTTCTCCTGAGGTGATGTTACCACTACTGGGGATGGCGAAGCTGTTTCTTCTGGCAAAAAGTCTCATCAGAGTTTACAAGCTCTGTGTCCCCAGCATCATCAGGGTCCTCCCACGTGTCCCCATTCCAAGTTGCAGGGTCCCATTCTTTTCCAATCAGGGCCCTCACTTTAAGAGTAGACACCTGGCGAGGCTGTGCATGCACCTTTCGTTGCAGGTCAGCCACTTACATGATAAGAGGTTGTGTCTGATTTTCCACAATTTCAGCTCTTTGTCTACAGGAGATAAGACTCTCACTTGGGGCTTTTAAAGCGAGTATCTGCTTTTGAAGCCAGGAGTTAGAATCCCTGAGTTCATCATTGTCTTTCATCACTTTGTCCAGTGAACTTAGGAGCAGCCAACTAACTTCATTATGTTCCTTGGTTCTCCATATGGTCAAAGGTATTATGTTTAGAGTCACCAAACTTCTTCCCTCTCACGAGCGGTGTATCAGGAGTGTCAAATGCATTTATTTTGCATAACTCTAAACAGTTCATGCCAAAGACTATCAGTGTTCTCCATACTATTAGAAGTAGAGTCCTTAGCATTTTGGTGTCTGATCATATTAAGGAGCCAACTTCAGAAACCCCAAAACCTACGAAAGAACTCCATCCTTAATATTCTGTTCCTCTAGAACCACTCCTGGTACCAAAGCCTGTTAGGGTTCTCTAGAGGAATGGAACTAATAGGACAGATGTATATATAAAGGGGAGTTTATTAAGGAATATTAACTTGCATGATCACAAGGTCCCACAATAGGCTGTCTGCAAGCTGAGGAGCAAGGAAGCCAGTCTGAGTCCTGAAGCTGAAGAACCTGGAGTCTGATGTTTGAGGGCAGGAATCATCCAGCACAGGAGAAAGATGTAGGCTGGGAGGCTAAGCTGGTCTAATCTCTCCACGTTCTTCTGCCTGCTTTTTATTCTGGCCATGCTGGCAGCTGATTAGATGGTGCCCACCCAGATTGAGGGTGCGTCTGCCTCTCCCAGTCCACTGACTCAAATGTTTATCTCCTTATAGACACACCCAGGAACAATACCTTGCATCCTTCAATCCAATCAAGTTGACAGTATTAGCCATCACAATTAGTGATGTTGAGCATTTTTCCATGTTTGTTGGCCATTTGTATATCTTCTTTTGAGAATTATCTATTCATGTCCTTATCCCACTATTTGATAGGAAACTATATATATACATACGTGTGTGTGTGTTTTGAGACAGATTCTCTGTCATGCAGGCTGGAGTGCAGTGGCACGAACTCAGCTCACTACAACCTCCACCTCCTGAGTTTAAGCGATTCTCATGCTTTAGCCTCCCAAGTAGCTTGAATTAGGCATGTGCCACCATGCCAGGCTAATTTTTGTATTTTCAGTAGAGATGGGGTTTTTGCCAATGTTGGCCAGTCCGGTCTTGAACTCTGGACCTCAAGTGATCCTCTCCCCTCTGCCTCCCAGTGTGCTGGGATTACAGGCATAAACCACGGCGCCTAGCTGGAAACTGTATTTTTAAATGGTACTTTTATTGTAGAAAATTGGGAAAATGAAAAAAAGCACATATAGGAAGTTAAAAGCACGTATTTTTTAAAAACAGGATTTGTATGCATCTAGATGTTTATGGAAATACGTATTTGTGGGGTTTTCTTTTTTTTCTTTTGAGACGGAGTCTCGCTCTGTTGCCCAGGCTGGAATGCAGTGGTGCAATCTAGGCTTAACTGCAACCTCTACCTCCCAGGTTCAAGCAATTCTCTGCCTCAGCCTCCCGAGTACCTGGGATTACAGGCGCCTGCCACCATGCCCAGCTAATTTTTGTATTTTTAGTAGAGATGGGGTTTCACCATCTTGGCCAGGCTGGTCTTGAACTCCTGACCTTGTGATCCACCTGCCTTGGCTTCCAAAGTGCTGGGATTATAGGCGTGAGCCACGGTGCCTGGCCTTTTTTTCACTTTTAAAAAGTTAAGATTATATTGTACATACTTCATGTAACCTGTTTCATCAATAAGACATATACCAGTGACAGTGACAACTATCATTTTCATTTTTTTTTTTTTTTTTTTGAGACGGAGTCTTGCTCTGTTGCTCAGGCTGGAGTGCAGTGGCGCGATCTTGGCTCACTGCAAACTCCGCCTCCCGGGTTCACGCCATTCTTCTGCCTCAGCCTCCCGAGTAGCTGGGACTACAGGCGCCTGCCACCACGCCCGGCTAATTTTTTGTATTTTTTAGTAGAGACGGAGTTTCACCATGTTAGCCAGGATGGTCTCGATCTCCTGACCTTGTGATCCGCCCGCCTCGGCCTCCCAAAGTGCTGGGATTACAGGTGTGAGCCACCGTGGCCCAGCCTATTTTTTTTTTTTTTTTTTTTTTTTTTAGCCTGGGTTGATTACCCTCTCTTCCTGAAGTTCTCTAGTCTCCTCACTTTATAATACTATTGCACTTTGGTTTCTTGTTTTTTTTTTTTTTTTTTTGAGACGGAGTCTTGCTCTGTCTCCCTTGGCTGGACTGCAGTGGCATGATCTCTCTGGCTCACTGCTACCTCTGCATCCTGGGTTCAAGCTATTCTGCCTCAGCCTCCCAAGTAGCTGGGACTACAGGCGAGTGCCGCCATGCCTGGCTAATTTTTATATTTTTAGTAGAGAGCGGGTTTCACCATATTGGCCATGCTGGTTTCTTGTTTTTTCTGTCTCTGAAGTATTATTTTTATTTTTTGACTCTTCTCCTACTTGCCTTTTCCCCCTTATTGTGGACACTCTAGAAAAAGTCCTTGATTTTCTGAACTTTGGTTCATTTTATCTTTTTTGAAAATACATCCGATCTCATGACTTCAACTGTTTTATCTATGGGAATGACCAGTAACTCTAGATTATATGTCTCTCGACTCTGGTCATTTTTATGAGCTTTATATTACCTTCTGTGTGAACTCTATTCTGTGTATCATATGATATAATAAAATAGATATTTTATAGACAATTTTTATTTTAGAACAATTTAATAAATTTTTTACTATAGAAAAATTAAAAACCGTGATTTCTCTTTTGGAAAAATTTCCTTGATATGCTTTTAGGGGTCCTACACAGTCAAATCTATTTGTGAACACTTGAATGCATCAGTTTTATAATTTTAATAATGGTAATAAAATTCCCCTTAATTATTAGAATGTCAGGATTAGAAATACTTGATATTAAATAGAAGTAAATGGATAAACATTGGGAGAATTTTAGAAATTGGAGAGTTCATGTTATCAAATAGCATTTCCATACTTTAATGATATGCAAGGAGCAGGACTGTTCAGAAATGACCCTGGTGTTGACTGAGACTAGGGCTCTCTCCTCCCAGCAAGATGCAGCACCCAAACTGAACTTCCCATAAGACTGGTAGTGCTTCCTACCTCTGGCACAGAAAACTGTAATTTCCCATAGATTCCAGATGCTGAACAGCTGGTGTTATGTAAAGAGCTAGCATCAAGTCTATACTCTGTCTGGTGCCTTTTTCCTGAAAAAGTTCTTTCCCTGATTGCCCTCTAAGAAGGAGGAACAACAAGTGGGTAGGGTCTTTTCATTGAATCTCCGACCCATACTGTGTGTCCACAGAGCATCCTGGTCCTGCCCCATCTTTCCTTAAGAGCAGTGGGAGTACGGGGTACTCAGGATTATTTTATTTTGCTGATATTGCCTTATGAGTTTCCTCCTTCCCCCAGTAAGACTGTTCTTTAACCCATGTCCTATAATGTAAATTTGAGTCTTGGTGTAGGATAGGTAGGCACTGAGAAGGGACCCGTCATGCATGACAAATAAGTTAGTTTGTAATCATGTCCTTACTTTTTCCCTCTCTCCTCATGGTGTAGGAATCTGAATTAGAGCCTATGAATGGTGAGATAATGGACGATTCTCTTAAGACCTCACTTATAACAGAAGAGGAAGACTCCACTAGTGAAGTTTTAGATGAAGAATTAAAATTGCAGCCTTTTAATTCCAGTGAAGACTCTACAAATCTTGTTCCACTGGTGGTAGAATCTTCAAAACCCCCTGAGGTAGATGCACCAGATAAGGTAAGGGGGCAATGAGCTATTTTTTAATAAAGTTTACCAATGTTGGTGACATTAGCGAGGAGGGTGCATGGTATATATATTTGCTTCCACCTTTACATGTACAGTGCTTTAGGAAGATTAACTTTTATACTAGATTTGATATTATAAGAAAATCAGTAATATTCTATAAATTCAAATAATAACCTTATTCATATCTGATATGTGGTAACAAAATGAGTTTTATTACTTTTAATACTTTGTAGTTAGGAAATGCTTAGAAAATTGGATAAAGCATTATTTACCAAATATTTGAGTACCTATATTTGTTACATAGACTATGACCAAAACAGTAATTTATATTTGTTTTAATTAGGCAGACAGATTAGGTTAGTGGGGGAAAAAACTTGTTGGAGTATTTTAAAAGAAATTTAATTTTGTTACTTTTGAATATTACAACTTATGGCTAAAAAACTGTTGTATGGCATTATTAGTGTCTCACCTAAGCAAAAGAATAAAACTTCCATTGCCCTAACTTATCTAATGAAATCGTAGTCAAACGTAGTGTGGTAGCGCAGTGAAGTCCCAAGGTATTTTTGGTTCTGGCTCCAGTAACACCAGGAAACTAAAAAAACTGAGTTGATTCATGGTTTTAAAGAATCTTGATATGAAGCTTAATGTGTCTTAATTATGAAATAATTATTTCATTATATCCTCAAAGTAATAACTTAGTATTAAAATTACCATGTGAAACAATTTTGAAGAAATTGAGTTGTATTCAGAATATATACACATATAGCAGAACAGAAATTCAAAAAAATACTCGATTTTGAGTAATGAATACCGAATTAAATTCTAGTTCAGTGTCACTGCATATTAGAGCCTGAGAATTTATTTTTAGAACTGTAGTACAAGTTTATTTGTTGACCAGGTTTTTAATTTTCAGACCCCACGTATACCTGACTCAGAAATGTTGATGGATGAAGGCACATCTGATGAAAAGGGGCACATGGAAGAGAAATTGTCCCTACTTCCAAGAAAGAAAGCACATCTTGGGAGTTCAGACAATGTTGCTACTATGTCAAATGAAGAACGATCTGATGGTGGTTTTCCAAACTCTGTGATAGCTGAATTTTCCGAAGAACCGGTCTCTGAGAATTTGTCTCCTAATACTACTTCCTCATTGGAAGACCAGGGTGAGGAGGGGGTATCTGAGCCCCAGGAAACATCTACTGCTCTTCCTCAGAGTTCTTTGATAGAGGTTGAACTTGAAGACGTGCCATTTTCACAGAATGCAGGACAGAAGAATCAGTCAGAGGAGCAGTCTGAAGCATCTTCCGAGCAACTGGATCAGTTTACACAATCGGCAGAAAAAGCTGTGGATAGCAGCTCAGAGGAAATAGAAGTGGAAGTGCCTGTGGTAGACAGGCGGAATTTAAGAAGAAAGGCCAAAGGGCATAAAGGACCTGCTAAGAAGAAAGCTAAGCTGACCTGAAGGAAGAAGAAAGTGGATGATAAATCCTCTTCTTTGTAACATAGTTGTTGTTTTTAAAATATGGTAATTAATAAACAGCATGGGGCACAGGACAAAAATTTCCAAAATTTCAATTTGAACTTACTTACTATGCAGTTTTTTGCTTCCCTTTAGAACGTAGAATTCACCATTGTTTTTAATTTTCCAGGCTATTTTTGGTAAATGCAATTTTTTATTTTTATTAACCATGTTTCAATTTTGGGAAACCAGATCATATTATATTTTCTTTATCAGGTGGTACATCTGACCATTATTTCAAAAATATAATTAAAAAGCTGTGAAAGTAGTAGGATTTCCATTACTTATAAGGATCACAGAAATCTTTTATACTAAGGGTTTTAATAGTAAAACTTGGTGAGGGTTCTAGAAGTTTTAAATTTCAAAACTAATCACCAATTTTTTAAAATGTAGGCATGCCTAAACAAAAATAAGTGTCAATAAATTAGAAAAAATATAACTTCAAGTAAATGAGAGCACAAAAACAGAAACTTACGGTCAAAGGTTCATGAAGATATTTTGGTTTTGGCCTCTTAATCCTAGATATAGATGCAGTTTTTTCCTTTGACTTCACTATCTATGGAAAGGTACACATAAAATCTGTTTCTGATTCATTCTATCATCTGATGTTAACAGTACTGTCAGGGATTTAACTGTGGCATGTGGGGACTAATTATTTAAAATTTCATTTGAAGTATTAGTTTGCTGTAATTTTTTTTGTCTGCATATGTGCAGACGCCTAGAAGTTTAGACTTTCACCTTTAATCAGGTAAAAATCACAACTATACTTTGGAGACATGGTTTAATTTGGACTTCTGGTCCTGATCAGATAGATAAATTAAGCTGGAGATTTTACTTTTATCCCAACCCAGTTAACATCTATATTTCAGAAGTATGAGGCTCCTTCCTAAGGCATCTCCTTAAATCTTGCCACCTCCCTAATTCTACAGTCTTATTTATATTCCCCCACAGCTTTCATCTACTTCTGTAACTCATGGAGTGATTCTCCAATCAACAGATCTTCCTGCCTGCCGGCTTATGCCCTTGATGTCCATTTTTGGGTAGGTTTGGAGGTGCACCCCACAATGTTAGACCTATATGGCAGGAGTAAAACTGCCCCCAGTGTTAGACCTATATGGCAGGGGTAAACTGCCTTTGGGGGAGCTGTGGTTACAAGGGCTTCAATCATATTGGAGGCTTCAATCATCCTTTGATTTGTACTGAGTACTGGTTGCAAGCTGGCCTGTTAAGTATATATTGTGTTGCCATAACAAAGGCCTAGGAAAATTTGAAGAAAAAAAACACTGAACTGTTATTTTTTGTAATTTATTTAAAAATGGACAAAATGGTTATTAGAATCCAAAGATAATCTAAAAACAGTTCTACTCTTTGGAAATATTATGTGTACTCAAATTTGCACTTAAGTTGGAGAATGTTTTGAGACCATTTAAATTGTTTTAAAAATAGCTTGATCTTGATCCTTATGCAAAAGAAACTAAGACTTTGTGTCATTATTTGAGGTAGCTAAGGACTGATGTTGAAAGTGTATTCAGTCTATAGTAAGCTGATGTCAGGTCAGTAAATTTTGTTTGGGGATGTTGGTATTTTCGATCAAGTTAAAATCTTAAAGCAGACAAAAATAGTAAACGCTCCTATTTGTGTTAGATTTTGAACAATTGTATTACCCTATATTTTCTTTAATTAGTCAAAGGTAAGCCAGATTATTTCATTCTAAATGAAAATTAAAGCACTTTGGCCATTTATTTTTTCAACAAATGCTAATACTAAGTAAAAAAAAAAAAGTATGACTACTATTAGTGAATCTACCAAACATTTATGCTGTTTTATACATTTTATGAGAAACTTCTGTCAATATCACAAAGGGAAATACTCTGTTAAGATTCAGTAAATTCTTAATCTTTACATGTTTCATTTCTTAGATTTGAAAACACTTGTAGATATTTTATTTTTACTTGGATTTGTTTAAAATACTTTCTTTTCAAATTATTTTAAACATGGAAACGCTTCATGAATTTGTGTCATCCTTGCACAGGGGCCATGCTAATTTTCCCTGTATTGTTCTAATTTTAGTATATGTGCTGCCGAAGTGAGCACTAAAAGACTTTCTTTAGACAAGTGTAGTTTTTTAAAGATTGAGCTCACTGGCTCAACTCTTGATGTGTGAATATAGTTGAGTTTACAAAAAATGTTTATTAATCATATATGACCATTGGGGGCTAACAGTATAAACTTATTCTTGTTAAACTTGTTTGGGTTAAATAGTAAGTGAATTGTAAACAATTTAGAAGTTTTTTGTTCAGCACACAAGAACACTTCTGTTACAGATTCTCTCTGACAGAAATTGTTATTTTGGGGTTTATAGATTATAGAGGGAAAAGTTAGATCACTTGGAAAAACCTAACTCTCATGTTCAGTAACTTGAGTATAGAATTTATACCACAATTTATCTTCAATAAGGAACCTACATGAACTTAATCAGTTATCTGTAGTTTTTGCAAGGCATTAGAAAAAATTTCACAATTACAGAGGACTGAAAATGTGATTTCAACCGGCTAGTCTAGTTGTTGAATGTCCAGTCACATTACACATAGTCCTTTGTGAACTTATTTGTGAAGGGAGTTCACTTTTTATGTACATACGTGTATATTTCCTTGTGTAATATAAAGCAGATGGTTATTAGTATTTTAGTTCTTTCAAGTTTAAATTATTCAATTGCTAGACATCACAGAAATTAGTATATTTAAGAATTTATTATAAAGCTCCTCTACAACTTTTAAAGGTGAGAGGGTCTATTATGATTTTTTTATAAAATCAAACAGCATGATTTAGAACGTCAGTCTTCTACTTAAAATGTGTCTATATTCATGGTATTTCCATTCAGTGTAGATGGTAAGGAAAACATCTAGTCATTAAAGATTTACTTATAGCAGACTCCAGAACACTACCTACAATGGGGTTTCAGTGACTAGAAATCTTGAAGGTTTATGATTGCATCAAATTGAGCCTGTACTAATATCTAAATATCTGCTCTTATGTTCTGCTTTATCCCTTGGGATTACCTTCTAAGGTTTGGTCACACCAGCAAACTGAAACAGATCTTAATGTACATAAAAAATTTATACTAATATTACTCATCTGTGTTACAGTATTTTGAAAAATGTTTCAGGTGTCATCTAGTCGTCTTTCATGGGTGTGATTAGTTACAAATGTTATGCTTATGTTTTCATACTTAATATCAAGCTTTCTTTGTACCTTACAAGATAGTATTTTTGGTTCTAAAAAAAACAAGCAAACTTCATTTTTGTAGTATCCAGAAATTACCTGGAGTCAGTATTTTTATTCGCCTTCTAGAACTTGTGATCCACACATCACCCATTTATATTAGTGGTAAAATTATCTGCTAAAATCTAATTGTAAGAAAGGCTTACCTTCTGTCATCAAGTGATTGTATCATCCTGGATCGTCATTTCCAAGGAACTAGCCTTTCTTTTCCTAAGCGTCTGTATGTGTTCTAAAACTTCCAGTATATATTTATAGAACTTAGAAAAAATGTTACATTATTCAGAGTAGCAAGTCTTACTGGAGTACCTATGTTTGTTTTCTTGGTTTTTATTTTTTTTTAAGTTTAAAAGTAGTAATTAAACCTATATTTTGTGATTGTTTCCTGGTCTGTGTTTTTAAATTCCTTTCCTTCAGTTTTCCTCATGAAGATGTTTCAGATACTGAATTTGTTTAGACATTGAATGACTTTGTTAAAGGCACAATTAATCACATTGGTTGTACTCTGAAGACAGACTTCTTTAAAAAAAAAATAAACAATTTAAAACAATGTGGTGATTATAGATTAATGTAATATACGCCATCCTTAAAACCACAACATATAACAGATCACAAAAGTGCTTTCACCAAGTTACAACCGTAAATCCTTACCTTTTTACATCATCTAAGTAACTGCAAATAAATTTCTCCTCAGGGAATCAGTGCAGTCTTCTTTTTCCTTTTAAAACTTAGCTGGAGTTACTTAAACTAATTCTTAATACTATTCTGAAAGTATAAATATATTGTTTAGAATACAGAAAATGCTAAGAGAGTACAAAGACTTTAGTATATTTTTTTCATTTTCATGATTCAAGTAGAAAATAGTGCCAAGTAGGTATTATTATACATGGTAAATGAGATGAAAAAAATGTTTAGAATGTGAATTCACTAGACCTTTGCTGTACTGGATTTCACAGGTGAAAAGATTTCTCTAAGATTTCTGAACTTTTAGTGTCTTCTCACATACTTCTAGTGTAAACAAACACTATAAACTTAACATCTGTATTAATGCTACCTACCTTTTTTAGGATTAATGATTAACGAGATTTTGAAGATACTTCAGTTAAATTCTCAGACACATAATTGTGTATTAACCTTTTTGAAAGGCATTTTCAATGAACACTGGTGGTTTTTTCAGGAAATTGCTGAATACCCACTCACAAATGCAGATATTGATGAAGTAGGATATTTGTATATTTGCTTTTTTTCAATCATTCAGTTTTATGAACATGGGGTCAAAGCGTATTTCAAAATAAAGACCATTTATAAAACTGGACCACTTTAATGTTTACAATTTAATAAATCTCTTCATTGCAGACATGTATGGCTGTTTGGTAGTATTCAGAAACATCACAGTAATGGCAGTTTCTTCAATTGGTGTGTAGTCCTCAATAATTATATATGAAATTGCTGTCAAACCAGTAAGACTGCATTTATACATCCATCATTTTCAGGATTGTTGGTAACCTGGGCATATTTTCCTAAGGAAAACAAAACCAAAAAAGGGAAAAGGGAGGGTTGTTAGCTAATAAAAATTAATTTTAAAGAATATAACTTTTGCCTTTTTTTTCTTTTTGTCTTAATACAGGGTTTCACTCTTATTCCCCAGGCTGCAGTGTGGTGGCGTGATCTGGCTCACTGCAACCTCTGCCTCCTGGGCTCAAGCGATTCTCCTCACTCAGTCTTCCGGGTAGCTGGGACCACAGGCACACGCCACTGCCTGGCTAATTTTTTTGTTTTTGTATTTTGTAGAGATGTGGTTTTGCCATGTTGCCCAGGCTGGGCTCGAACTCCTGAGCTCAAATGATCCGCCTGCCTTGGCCTCCCAAAGTGCTGTGATTATAGGTGTGAGCCACTGCGCCCAGCCATGCCTAAAATATTTCTAATTACCACTTTCAATAAATAAGAAATGAACCATAAAGGATAAATGAGATTTTACAAAATTCAATCATTTAAGGACAAATTTGAGTTCTGAATACAATTTTCATACAAATAGTGTTTTTGCAAATAATGGCCAGCTCCATGTTATTAGTACATTGCATTAACAGGCTTTTGTGGATTGACCTGAGCATTGTCACTTTTTCACATAATTCTTCCTGGAAAATGTATCAAGTTTCAAATGAGTTTCAAGTCAAGGTAACAACATATTTTAAAACTGAGGTCAGCTGACATGAAGTATAAACCAATGACTGAAGAAGTTGTAGCGTGTATTCTTCCCTTTCAAAGAAATTGGATCTGGGTACTAAAGGTAGAAAACTAAGCAAATGAGGGCGTTTAAAATTACTGCATGACACATTTCTGTTTTAATTATTACTGATCTAGTGTGATTATATGTTGTATGCCTCCCTCGGCTCATGGTTAATTTATTCTATTTTTTTTTTACAATTTTTTTTAGTTATAACTTTGCATCTGCTTCCCTTGTAATAAAGAATTTTTATTAAAAAAGATCAAAATATTTTTATTTTACTTATTTTTGAGATGGAGGCTTGCTCTGTCTCCCAGGCCGGAGTGCAGTGGCATGATCTCAGCTCACTGCAAGCTCCAGGTTCATGTGATTCTCCTGCCTCAGCCTCCCGAGTAGCTGGAATTACAGGCACCCACAACCACACCTGGCTAATTGTTTTGTATTTTTAGTAGAGACGGCGTTTTGTCATGTTGGCCAGGCTGGTCTCCAACTCCAGTCTCAAGTGAACCGCCTGCCTCGGCCTCCCCAAGTGCTGGGATTATAGGTGTCAGCCACTGCGCCCAGATAGCGAGGGGGCTTTTTAAAGCCTGGAAGCTTCTACATGATTTCTGAGACCTGTTAATGGGAATTAACAGAACGAACTAAACTGTGTTAAATCACTTTCAATTATTATTATTACTTTTTGAGACAGAGTCTCGCTCTGTCATCCAGGCTGGAGTGCAATGGCACGATCTCAGCTCACTGCAAGCTCCACCTCCCAGGTTCAAGCGATTCTCCTGCCTCAGCCACCGGAGCAGCTGGGATTACAGGTGTGGGCCACAACACCTGGCTAATTTGTGTATTTTTAGTAGAGATGGGGTTTCACCATGTTGGCCAGGCTGGTCTTGAACTCCTGACTGCAGATGATCTGTCCGCCTCAGCCTCCCAAAGTGCTGGGATTACAGGCTGAGCCACCGCTCCTGGCAGTTTCAATGATCAGTTTACCTACGTGGGACAGATAGTTCTATTTCTTTAAATGTAATAGGTATTTTCTCTTAATGTTAGCATGTAAATATAAGAAGTATTTACATAATATAAAGTTGTGGCAAAAGAAATTTTTTCTTACGGAAGACATCTTTAGTCATTGGCTAATACTTCATGTAAGCTGACCTCACTTTTAAAATATGTTTGATATATGCCTCCCTTCCTCTGCTCATGGTTAATTTATTCTATTTTCTTATAATATTTCTTAGTTATAACTTTGCATCTGCTTCCCTTATAATAATTTTTATTAAAAAGGTTAAAAAAATTTTTTTTGAGATGGAGATTTGCTCTGTCTCCCAGTCTGGAGTGCAGTGGCACAATCTCAGCTCACTGCAAGCTCCGCCTCCTGAGTTCAAGTGATTCTCCTGCCTCAGCCTCCCAAGTGGCTGGGATTAGAGGTGCTCGCCACCACACCCGGCTGATTTTTTTGTATTTTTAGTAGAGGTGGGGTTTTGCCATGTTGGCCAGGCTGGTCTCAAACTCCTGACTTCAGGTGATCCACCCGCCTCAGCCTCCCAAAGTGCTGGGATTTACATGCGTGAGCTGCTGTGCCTGGCTAAAAAGGATAAAAATAAATCTAGCAGAATGTATTACACCTTATGTAACTAAAACCAGTAAGCTAAATTTTAAAACAATTGTATTTATAACAACTTTTTCTATAAAGTATTTTTTACTAAATATTTACATCTGATTTACAGTGTTTTAGCTCTACTGCATTAAAAAAATTTGCTGTATATTTTATTAATACATCAACTTGAATAGTATTTCTATTAGTACTGCAGAACACAGCAGCCCTGTATTCAAAAATTCACTTACCCCAAATAACTTTGCCTCCTTGTGTCACAAGGCCCAATTCGCTCACATTTACTTCAATGACAGTACCTTTGGTAATAACACCCAAAGTTGTATACAGTGGGGATGAGGGATTCTTCTTTACACCAAGTATTGGTAGGCAAAAGGTGGCTTTCAGTTCAGGATGTGTTACATGGGCTTTCTTGAAACGCAAGCCCTAGTAAGTCAAACACAACATAAGAATGTTTACGTCCAAAATGTTAACAGTGATGAGTAGTGGTCGTTTTCGCTTATCTTTTTCAACCATCTCCAAAAAACTATGGTTGAATAATGTCATCTTAAAGAAGCTAACAAAATATGTTTTACAGAGTAAAAAGCTGATGGTTACAGTATAAATATGTGGGGAAAACACCCACACAAATACTTAAGAATTTCTTTTTCTTTTGAGACAGGGTCTTGCCCAGTTGCCCACGCCAGAGTGCAGTGGCGTGATCTTGGCTCACTGCAGCTTGGACTTCTTGGGCTCAAGACATCCTCCCACCTCAGGCTCCTGAGTAGCTGGGACTACAGGCACGCACCACCATGCCTAGCTTATTTTTTTTTTTTTTTTTTTTGGTAGAGATGGGGTTTCGCCATGTTGCCTGCTGGTCTTGGACTCCTGGGCTCTCAACGTATCCACCCACCTCAGCCTCCCAAAGTGCTGGGATTACAGGCCACCACAGCTAGCCTCTGAAAAGTTTTTTTTTTTTTCACCCTGTAATAGCTACCTAGCAACATACCCAGATTTTTACTGTCTAGTCATCTACACTTAGACTTACTAAGGACTTTATATATACCAGGCCACTATGCTAGCTCACAACTGGCTCACTTAAACACAATAACCTCACAACAAACACATCCCCTCTCCTCTGTTTTCAAATGATGTAACAAGGATCAGCAGGTTAAATGACTTGTTTCCAGATTAAATGGTGAGTGGTAAACAGACTCAAACCTTAATATCCTGATTCCAAGTCTTTATATAACTCGGCTACCTTCCATGATGAAAAAAGGAGTGGACTGTCAGCTTTCTTTAGGTTGATGGCAATATGAGACTGGAGGAGACCCAGAGGAGTCTTTGTTACAGAAACTGGTTATGGAGTCACCCAGTCACCTAATAAGGTCTTTTAGGGTGTAGTACTTTAAACGTCACAACATTTTGCAGTCTTCATTTTTGTGTGCATGGGGATGGGGGGAAAAAATCACTAAATCAGTTTCTTAGTAACAGACTCATTAATCAAGCTTGTAAGAAACTGACACCATTCAGGATGCCATCTGATTATAATGACAAATCTGTGAAACTACAGAAAACCTAGAATAGCCTGACTTGTATATTCTCTCCCTGTAGAACTGTTAAGGCTACCAAAATATATTCAGACTATGAATATGAAACCAAAACAAGTCGAGTCCATGATATAATCCGGGGTGGGCAAACATTTTGTGTAAAGAACCCAATAGGTAAACACTTTAGGCTTTGTCAGGCCATATGGCCTCTGTTGCAACTGCTCAATTCTAGGGGTAGGGGTTATGCAATATGTAAATGAACAGGCATGACTGTGTTCCATTAAAATTTTATTTACAGAAACAGGCTATTTGCCAATATTTTAATCTATTAAAAATTACTCACGTTGGCCGGGCACGGTGGCTCATGCCTGTAATTCCAACACTTTGGGAGGCTAAGGCGGGCGGATCACGGAGATCGAGACCATCCTGGCTAACACGGTGAAACCCCGTCTCTACAAAAAAATACAAAAAAATTAGCCGGGCGTGGTAGCGGGCACCTATAGTCCCAGCTACTCGGGAGGCTGAGGCAGGAGAATGGCGAGAACCCGGGAGGCGGAGCTTGCAGTGAGCCGAGATCGTGCCACTGCACTCCCGCCTGGGATACAGAGGGAGACTCCGTCCCAAAAAAAAAAAAAAAAAATTACTCAGGTTGAACACTAGGATTATGGCATGTTGCAACTTTCCTCTCTCTGATACTTTGTTTTTTTGAGGCTGTGTATCTAACTGGGAGAATAGTTCAGTCTCTTTGAAGGGATTTTGCAAAAATATATCTTCAACTATGTTTCTCCCCAGGGGTGGGGAAGTTTGGGGTCACATTACTATTGCTGCCTTCAACAGAAATTAAGCTATATTAAATTATCTTCCTTTTTTCAAAGATTTTCTTTTTCTTTTTTTCTTTTTTTTTTTTTTTTGAGACAGAATCTTGCTCTGTCCCCCAGGCTGGAGTGCAGTGGCATGATCTCCACTCACTGCAAGCTCTGCCTCCCAGATTCACGCCATTCTCCTGCCTCAGCCTCCCAGGCAGCTGGGACTACAGGCGCCCGCCACCATGCCCGGCTAATTTCTTGTATTTTTTTTTTTTAGTAGAGATGGGGTTTCACAGTGTTAGCCAGGATGGTCTTGATCACCTGACCTCGTGATCTGCCTGCATCGGCCTCCCAAAGTGCTGGGATTACAGGCGTGAGCCACCGCGCCCGGCTTTTCAATGATTTTCAAAAGCATTTAGATACTTTCCTTATCAAACTGGAATTGACTCTTATAAAACAGTCCTACTCAAGTTTTCGAACTGCTGTCAAAGACAAGAAGTGTTTTGAGACCTAGACAATATCAGGCATATTGTAGATCACTAGTTTAATGAGGAAAATATGACTGTGGAAAATGAAGATTCTAATATGTCATGTTTAAAAGTCAGAATTCACTGACAATGTCTTATGATACTACTTTTTCAAATCTCTCACGAAGCTGAAAAGATTTTTTTTTTTTTTGAGACGGATTTTTGCTCTTCTTGCCCAGGCTGGAGTGCAATGGCGTGATCTCAGCTCACTGCAACCTCCGCCTCCCAGGTTCAAGCGATTCTCCTGCCTCAGCCTCCCTAGTAGCTGGGATTACAGGCGCCCGCCACCACGCCCAGCTTATTTTTTGTATTTTTTAGTACAGATAGGGTTTCACTACATTGGCCAGGCTGGTCTTGAACTCCTAACTTCAGGTGATCCACCCACCTCAACCTCCCAAAGTGCTGGGATTACAGGTGTGAGCCACCGCACTGGGCTAAAGATTTTTGACTAGTGGAAAAAGTACTAAATAACTTCTGTCAATAAAATAACAAAAATTGCATAAAAATATCTTTCAACCTGTTCCACATCAATTTAAAGAATTTCAGGAAATGATAATGTTCTTTATCCGATTTAATAAAGTCAACTAACATTTCGGTCATTACACTCTTCCAAGGACTTACCATTGGCCTGATGAATCTTTCATATTTAGGTGGTTTTCTTGTAAAGCCATCTCCAACAAAGCACACTTTAGTAACCATTCTCTTCCATGCCTTCTTCTTTCTCTTTCCTGTTCGAATAACTTTTAATACTTCTGTTTCTCCCTGGGCACGTACTTTAGGCAGAGGGACTTCCCATTTTCCCTAAAAATATGCCACAGTTAAAAGTTTATATTGTTATTAAAGGACAATGAGAATAAGTCAAATATGTTTTAGTTGTACAAAGTAAT
Source organism: Homo sapiens (assembly GCF_000001405.40). NCBI lineage: Eukaryota > Metazoa > Chordata > Mammalia > Primates > Hominidae > Homo > Homo sapiens. Next base: position 74,770,544 of record NC_000005.10, on the reverse strand, counting down.
AGATCTATTTTTTTTGCTTGACCATCAACACATTTTTGGCTCAACCGTCTTCTAGAGGTCTGTATTGTCTCATAAGCTGCAAATTAAACAGAACAAGTTTATATATCATGGGTATGTTAAATAAATGGTTGGCTTAAGCTAAAAATCTTAATGCTGTGTTATGGGTGAGAAAATACCACCTGTAATGTGGTGGTTTTTTTTTTTTTTTTTTTTAGATGGAGTCTCGCTCTGTTGCTCAGGCTGGAGTGCAGTGGTACAATCTTGGCTCACTGTGCAGCCTCCGCCTCCTGGGTACAAGCAATTCTCCTGTCTTAGCCTCCCGAGTAGCTGGGACTACAGACACACACCACCACACCCAGCTAATTTTTGTATTTTTAGTAGAGGTGGGGTTTCACCACATTGGTCAGGCTGGTCTTGAACTCCTGACCTCAGGTGATCCACCTGCCTTGGCTTCCCAAAGTGCTGGGATTACAGGCGTGAGTCACGGTGCCCAGCCGATAGTGACTTCTATAAGCAGTATATGTGTTTACTAATGTTTAATAGCATAATACTGGAAGAGTGTTTCCACCTCTTAATATGTCTCTGTATTTCTTCCCGAGATGGATCTGTAGATCACTAGCAAGACAAAATCCTCACCAGATGTTTTATGCCTCCCTTGAGTGCAAATTCTATGAAAAAACTGAAATAGTGTAAGGCAGTAAAAATAATTCTTTAAATATAAATACTGCATATTCTTTTATCTGGATTTCTGCTAATCTATTTACAGGTGTTTTAAAAAGCCACATTTTTTGTGACAACTCAGGGAGTTTTCCACCATTCTACTTTTTAACCAAGTTTGGCACTACAGGGCAGCACAAATAAGAAGCATTTGTATTTTTCTTTATGACTGCATAGCACTGTGGGTTTTCAAACAGGAAGACAAATATTGAATTTGAAATTCACTCCTTACCAGCTTTTTAATTTCATATGGCATTCTAATAAATTTTTTTTATAACTTAAATTTTAAAACCTTATGATGAGAAAGCAAGTTTTTTATTAAATTTACAAAGACTTCAACATCTAAATAATGGGAATAATAGCTGTACTTCATGTTTGAAATTAAACCGAGAAACAAGAACCTCAAATTTGAATTTAAGTAATTCTCCTAAACAAAACAAAGACTTCAATTGTTATTGCTTACCGCCTTCTCTTTTCTTTTCTGTTTAATCATATTGGAAAGTACTTTAGCTCGAGATTGTCCCTCTCTGTCCAGCAGATAGGCAGGTACTGCTCCCTGTGGTGTCTTTTCATCATTCTTTTGTTTGGTGTTTCTCTTTTCATGCATCTTGATACTACCAAGAAGGAAAAAAGATTCAAGATTATCTGTTTTAATAATGATTACTCAAAAGATGTTAACTTGTTATGACAAATAAATGAGACCACTTACGTCTTTTTCATTTGTATTTTCTCAGCATGACGCTGTTTATGGTAAAGCTTAGCCTTCAGACCAATCATTTTCTTTGCCTTCTTTGAACGTTCATGAGCCTCTCGACTTTCCTTCTTTCTCTTTTTCTCATGGTAATCCAAACGGTATCCATAGCGTTTACGGTGTAATTCAATATATTCATTCTGTGGCTATAATGATGGAAGAAATATTATTTTAATTTTTTAAAGTACTGACAATTATTCTAAAATGCTTTCTTTTACACAGCACAAAGACCCTGTTTCATCCAAATGTTCACTTACTTAAATGATTCTTGCACCATTAAGTTTATTCACATGATGTAAGTTAAATTTTGGTCTTGAATGATATGAGGCATCAGGGCTTACATCTCTAATAATCTCATTAGGGAATGGTCCAAAATCTACTGGACCACAAAAGGGATGAACTGATTACAGTATCTTTTTTCCTTGACATAATTTGCTTTTTTAATAACACCTTCATTTCACATTTAAAAAATTTAAGTCAGTTTTATTGAAGCATAATTTACACACAGTAAAACCTGTCCTTTTTAGGTATACAGTTCTAAGTTTTTCCTAACTACACAGTTCTGTAACCACCACAATCAAAATACAAAGAATTTCCATTTCCCCCTAAAATTCCCTATGTAACTTTTAAGTCAATCCTCTTTCCCAACCCTCAGTTTGATACCTATCCCTACAGTTTTGCCTTTCCCAGAATGAAACAGGGATCAACAGTAGTACATAGCCTTTTGAATCTGGTTTCTTGCTTTTGGGATTCACCCAATTTGCTGCAGGTATAGGAACTTCAATCCTTTTTATTGTTGAGTAGTATGCTATTGTATGGATACACCACTGTTTACCCGCTGACCAGATGATAGGTATCAGGGTTGTTCCCAGTTTTGGGTGATTACGAATAAATCTGCAATAAACAACTGCATGCAAGTCTTCATGTGGACGTGTGTTTACTGCCAGACCGTTTTCCAAAAGTGCATTATTTTTCTTTTCACCAGCAATGTATGGGATGCTTTTTGCATTTTAGACACGTTTTAAACACGCGGCCAGGCGTGAGTCTATTCGTATTTTAAGGCTGCAAAAATAAAAATGATACAAAGCCAAGTCCAGCACAGAGAGCAATGTTAAGTAACAACCAACAAGGTGTGCTGCTACCAACTGCTATCACATAAACTTTGCAGCAATCACATGAAGGGTGTATGGAATGCCATTTTGCAAAGAAACGCAGATTATAGAGACGTAACACAAAGAGAAAGGACCTGGCAGTTAGATCTGGGCCGTTAAGCCCGGCTTCGCAATTCATTAGCTGTCTGGTCTTTGGCAAGGACGCCTTCAGTTTCCTCAGCAGTAAAATGAAGGGGGCGGGACTGACATCTAAGACTGTACAAGGGACAACCATATTCCCATTAGGCTCTGGGGCTGATAACCACGCTTGTGGTGAAATCAGGAATTTTTAGGACTCTTAGCGGTGGATCAAAAAGAAAAAAGAAAACAGGACAGAGTAAAATCTTGCTCCAAAGCTTGTGTTCTGGCAAATACCGTCTGTGTCTCGAATGTGAAGTTGTTTCCACTCCTCAGAGCCCACCCCACGGGTCTACCATCCTTTTCTCTTGGCAGTTCTCATTTCCGCCTACCACCGCTCACCCCCTACCCCAGCGCCCCAGAGTCCTCAGGTCCCACTAACTCAGACGCTGTGTGTCGCGAGCGTCCGAGGCATCCTCCTTACCATGGTGACGGCCGCAGAGCCGCCAGGAGCAGCCGCTGGAGTGCGAAAACGCTCTCAATTTTCGGGTCTCAAAGACCCACAAGCCCACACCACGCAGGCCGGGACAGGAAAGAGTCACCCTTTAAAACGGCCGAGTGAAGAGCAAGAACCACGCAGCGGTTCCGAGCCTCTGTTTTCCGCTTTTAGCTAGGAGGACGGAAGTTGCTGGCAGGCGGCATTTGGCCGGTACACCGCCGGAAGTGTGGAGGTGTGGCTGCCCGAGGCGGTAGAGCGGAGAAAGCCTATTTTCTTTTCGTTTAGATACATTGCCTTTTGCCTAGGCTGGCGTCGAGACTTGAGGCCGTTGCAGACTTTGGCGCGGCTCGCGCCTCCTGCTTCAAGAGCCCAGCGGTGAGAGCTGGCCTGCGGCACGCGGCCTAATGCCAGGTGAGTACTGCTCCGAGCTGTGAGACATCGCGCGCCTGTGACCCTGTCACAGCGCTGGGTACCGCTGACCTTTCAGGCTGCGACGGACACAGCCAGCCACGGAAGAGGACAACAGGGCCTCCGGACTCCCCTCGGTGTTCGCTCAGTATGGAAGTTTTTCTCTATCATTCGGCGAAGTCGACTCATCTTTGTTCCGGTCACTCTGTGTAATGTGTGCATGATTGTGAAGGATACTGAGGAATGAAAACTTAGTGTACAGAAAAATGGAACTACTGGGGCTTTGCAGCTGTTAGAAAAGAAGAAGATAACATTCTGGTTTTTTGGAGGTACAGGACTGATTCCAGAAATTTCTGAGGCATTTTGGTGCACCGAATCAAATGCTGAGTGGACTTGTATTTAGTGGCCCCCTAGTGTCAAGAAGTAATTAACTACCAGAAAGTACGTCTACTTAAATACACTATCAGGTTTACCCTTTTACTGCACAGTTGCAGAAGTTCCCTTAATTACTTCACAGCTTGCAGCGTGATTCAGTTGATGAACAAAAAGAACTGTACCAAAAGAATACTTTCATTAATTCTTAGTGCTTGTATTTGAGGCAGTATTTTGTTTTTGTTTTTGTTTTTATGGGTATTTTGAGACGGCATCTCGCCCAGTCGCCCAGGCTGGAGTGCAGGGGCACGAGCTCGGCTCACCGCAGCCTCGACCTCCCGGGATCAAGCGATCCTCCGACCTCAGCCTCAAAAGTAGCGAGCTACAGGCTCGCGCCACGAAGCCTGGCTGATTTTTGTAGTTTTTGTAGAGATGAGGTTTCACCGTGTTGCCCAGGCTGGTCTCGAACTCCCGGGTACGAGCGATCCACCCGCCTCGGCCTCCCAAAGTGTTGGGATTACAGGCTTGAGCCACAGCGCCCGGCTTTGAGGCAGTTTTTGTTTTGTTTTGAGACGGAGTTTCAATCTTGTCGCACAGGCTGGAGTGCAAATGCGCCATCTCGTCTCACTGCAACCTCTGCCTCCCGGGTTCAAGCGATTCTCCAGGTTCAGCCTCCCAAGTAGCTGGAATTATAGGCGCTCGCCACCACACCCAGCTAATATTTTTGTATTTTTAGTAGAGATGGGGTTTCACCATGTTGGTCGGGCTGGTTTCGAACTCCTGACTTCAGGTGATCCACCTGCCTCGGCCTCCCAAAGTGCTGGAATTACAGGCGTGAGCCACCGAGCCCCGCCTTTGAAGCAGTTTTTTAAGGCTCCATTTTCTAAGGTGATCTCATCATTCTCTTTAAAACCAGAAATAGTAACTAGCATTTGTATATTTTAGGTACAGTACGTTATATAATCTCTTTGCCTTTAATGCGCCCCTCCCCGCCGTCCCTCAATCCCCCGAATTTCCTCCCTCATCTACTTCAGGTCTTTGCTTAAATGTCACTGTTTGAATGAGGCCTTCCTTGATCTCTTTACTTACAGTTCTAACTGTCCCAATTCCTCCTTCCTGCTTCATTCTTCTCTACAGCACCCTATCATCATGGGAGAGACTATGTATTGTATTCGTTACTTTTGTTTGTTGTCTGTATCCCCTGACTACGGTAGAGGCAGTATGAGGGCAGAGATTGTTGTCTTTTGTTCACTGCATTAACGCTGATATCTAGAAAGCAGTGGGTAGGCAGACACACAGTAAATTCTTGTTGAATAAATGGGAACGAATAGGCTTGGGCGGGGGAGGGCTGGGTTGTGCAAATTATCTTTTTATTGACAACCACTGAGTTAAAGAAGAGGAAAATGTCTATTACAGTCACAACTGTGGAGAGACTATGAGGCCCTGAACTTTGGCGTTACCAATGAAAAGGGAATGGATTCAAGGCCAGGCATGGTGGCTCACGCCTGTAATCCCAGCACTTTGGGAGGCCGAGGTGGGTAGATCACTTGAGGTCAGGAGTTCACGACCAGTCTGGCTAACATGGCGAAACCCCGTCTCTACTAAAAATACAAAAAGTAGCCAAGTGTGGTGGCACATGCCTGTAGTTCCAGCTACTCGGGAGGCTGAGGCAGGAGAATCGCTTGAACCCAGGAGGCAGAGGTTGCAGGGAGCTGAGATCAAGCCACTGCACTCCAGGCTTGGTGACAGGGCAAGACCCTGTCTCAAAAAAAAAAAAAAAAAAAAAAAAACAACAAAGGGAACAGATTCAAATATATTTAGGAAATCAAATGTAAGTATTAGATGACTTTCTAAATAAGAGTAGTGAATGTTTCTTAGCTAAGATCCAGAAAGAACAGACTTAGGAGTAGTAATGAGGTTTCACATATCTTAATAACATGGATCACAATGGTTTAACACAGGGGTGTCTAATCTTTTGGTTTCCCTGGGCCACACTGGAAGAATTGTCTTTGGCCACACATAAAATCACTAATGATAACTAACAATAGCTGATGAGCTAAAAAAAAATAAAAAAAACCTCATAATATTTTAAGAAAGTTTACGAATTTATGTTGGGCTGCATATAAAGATATCGTGGGCCGCATGTGGCCTGCAGGCCACGGGTTGGACAAGCTTGGTTTAACATGGTCTGTCTGTCTCCCCAGCATCCCCAGTCTCAGCTGCGTCCTTATATTTCTAATAGCTTTGATATTGTACTTGAAACATAGTGAATATTTAGCAAATGTTTTTAAACTAAAGATGCTTAGTTTCTATAATCAGAGAGGAAGAGGACTTGCTTTTATATATTTTTTACATGATTTAGTTTTTACATGGTATGGTAGGAAAATCAGAGTATACAAATGAATCAATAAATTTTACTGCCAATTAGAAATTACCAAGTTAATATGTGGATGCTTAGCTTTTTATGCTTAATTCTATACATTTACATAACAATGCATTTTGGTTGATACAATGTTTTGTAATTTCAATAAGTTGATTTCTACTGTATCGCCATATCTTTCTTTAAACATTACATTGACAAATAAGGGACATTTTAAACCTAAAAACCATATTTCTCATATTTAATCAGAATTTTCCATTTTCTGAATGATGCATTGAATTTTTGGTAGCTAAAAATATTGTTCCAACTTTTTAAAAGTAATACATTTTACCATACATATTACATATGTCTAACTTACATATGCCTTGCTGACATGTAATACATAAGTTTAGTTTTTTGATTTTGTATATTTATTTTTTCAGACAGTAACAGTTTGGAGGATCAAGATGTTGACCAACTTGAGGATATTTGCAATGAGTCATCAGACAATACCCAGTGTGTATATTAATGTAAGCATTTCTTATAAAATTAAGTGTCCTTTAACAACCTCAGCTCCTTTACTGCCTAAAATGCCCAGTATATCTCATCAGCTGTTGATTCCAAATTTAGTTGAGTCATAACCTTTGGAAATCTTCAAGCTAAACTAATTTGAAAGTAATTACCTTAATTTATTAAGAAATATAAGAGGAAATTACCTTAATTTAAAAGTAAAAGAACAGCTGTAGCTAAATACTGGTCTCATGGAGTACTAAAATGCCAGTTGTTTTTGAAGGAGGGGTAGGGTTTTATATCTAAGAATGTCATCACTTAATGCACATCTTTAAACTACTAACAAATAATGTGCTTTGTAATATTAAGTATCCATGGATTGAGACTCTTATGAAATAAAGTTTCTGTTAATATCAAAGTACAACATAATTATACAATGGTTGATACAACTACTTTTGGCTGTCTTCTGCAGAGCTGTTGGAAGCCAGCTTCTTCGGCAGTCTGATATTTGTCTCAGGAACATTGTTTTAGTCTTTAGCTCTGGTCTGACTCCTGAATCCTCTTCAAAACACTATAAATTATTTTCTAAACTATCACATCTTCAGTATACTTAAAGATATTAAATCTCAAACATAATAATACCCTTTTTATCTATAGCTAAGTGAGAGATTACTTTAAAGCTTGTTTGGGTTGTTTCTTTTTATCTTCAGTGACTTAACAGGGAGTACAATAGTTTCCCCTTATTCATGGTTTTGCTGTTTAGCTGTTTCAGTTGCTCAGAGTCAACTGTGGTCTGAAAATTAAATGGGAAATTCCAGAAATAATTCATAAGTTTTAAATTGTGTGCCATTCTGAGTACTGTGATGAAATCTCATGCCATCCCACTTAATCCCACCTGGGAGGTGAGTCATTCCTTTGCCCAGCATATCCACATTGTATACACTCCCCACCCATGAGTCAGTAGCCATCTGGGTTATCAGATTCACTGTTGTGATACTGCAGTGCTTGTGTTCAAGTAACCTTTATTTTACTTAATCACGGTCCCAGAGCGCAAGAGTAGTGATGCTGGCAATTTGGATGTGCCAAAGAGAAGCCATAAAGTGCTCCCTTTAAGTGAAAAGGTGAACATTCTTGGCTTAATAAGGAAAAAAACAAATCATATGCTGAGGTTGCTAAGATCTATGGTAGGAATGAATCTTCTATCCATGAAATTGTGAAGAAAGAAAAAGACATTTTTGCTAGTTTTACTGTTGCACTTCAAACTACAAAAATTATGGTCACATAACATGATAAGAGCTCAGTTAAGATGGAAAAGGTATTCAGTTTGTGGGCAGAAGACATGAACAGAACCATGTTCTGATTGATAGTAATTAGGTTCTGTACTATCTGAGGTTTCAGGAATCCACTGGGGGTCTTGGAATATAACCCCTGTGGATAGGGTGTGACTGCTGTATGGGAGAACCTGTAACCCTTAAGAAGCCTTACCATTCGTCTACAGTTTTTTTGTTGTTGTTGCTAAGAAGCCTTACCATTCATCTACAATTTTTTTTTGCTACTTTAAAAATCACCTGAGCAGCATTTTGAAGAAGATATATTTCTGTATTCCATTTGTGATCTCATTAAGTGGCCCAAGGAGTTACCCAGTTTTTCTTCAGTGCTTTTATTGCTGACGCTTTCAGACTATGCACGCTGTGATAGACACTGGGTCTTATCCTAGTCATTATGCAGTGGAATTATTTTCTGAGGATAGTAGCTTATTATTGCCAGAAACTTGGTAACTAATGTAGAAATAATATAGATCGCACAGATACGCAGTTCATGAAACAAAAAGCAGATTGTGGTGGCCCTAAATCATTACATACACTAACAATTCCAACTACATTGGCAGCTATTAAATGTATATCTAGTGGTCTGGGCATAAACTGAGGTGGAGAATATTCAGCCTTTACATGAGAACATGAGAAGGTTAGGTAAGCAGCTAAGGTAGAGGAGGTAGGCTTGGCCTTAAGCAGACCTGCTCTAACTCAGTGATTCTCAGTTGAATGCTACATTGGAGACACCCTGGGAATTTTTTTTAAATGCCACTGCCCAGTTCCTCCAGTTCTCATTTTCTCTCCCCACCCCCGTGTCTTCAAGAAGCTTTCCAGATGATTCTAATGTGTAACTGTAATAAATCCTGAAAACAACTAATGGTTTTAGAGTTCATTGCCCCCTACAGACCTTTCAGCAGATGTAGAGGAAAACCAAGGTGTATCCTGGGTGAGATACCTTATTTAACCTTTCTGACTCAGCTTCTGACTTTCAGAACTTTAGGGTTGTGGTTCTCAATCTGTAGCTATTAGAATCAACTGGAGAGCTAGTTTAAACAGATTGTTTGGCTCCATCCCCAAGAGTTTCTGATTCTCTTGTCTGGATTGGAGCCTAAGCATGTTTTTCAAACAAGCCCTCAGCCCATGCTAATGCTGCAGGTTGAGGAAAACCATTGTTTTAAGGTCAGCTCAAAATAGCAAATCAGTATTAATTTTATCCTTATTCTTTCCCCTAGGATATATTTGGATTGTCACTTTTTAAAAGAATTGGAGTTAATAAATTAGGACTACTTTAAAGCTATACAAAATATTTTATCTTCTGACAAAGCGTAATTACAATATTAACACTGTAATAAGTGATGCTAAAATAAAATTAATGCCAAGTTTCTTTTTCTCTTTACTAGAATATATGCTGCTATAAAATAAGAGCAAGTTTAAAAAGATTAAAGCCACATGTGCCGCTTGGAAGAAATTGCAGTTCTCTACCAGGTACAAATGTTAGAGTCTTCTAATTTTATCTAAGCTGTTTGCTTTATCTCTTTTCTCTCTCTTGTTTGCAAGAATCTCCCTTATTAGGGCTCTGTAACCATTTTTTACTTCTTGGCTATTTCCTTGAGATTATTAGGGGCGGGAGTGTTCAGATAGGTGCCAGAAGGAAATACTAGTAGAGTTGTGCTCCTTATCTGAGGAACACGCTGATGAACTGAGCAAAGGAAAGGTTGGTGGCTTTAGTAGCTAGTTTGCAAGTTTAACATGTGAGTGTAATTGTAGAGTGCTCTTGTGAATTTCTTTTTCTAGTTTATTTCTGTTTTTTATGCAAGTGTTTTCTGTCAAGAGAGATTTACTAGAATAATTTATTTTGAGGATTGTTATAAGTAGTTTGGCTAAGTATTTGGGATTGTTTAGGTTAGATACATGGCATCAGAAGCTGGAAGGTGGAGGAGTTGACTTACTTTTGAATGTCCTTTCTGTGTTTGAAACAAGCAAGTGTATGGTAGACTCTATGAAACTAGTTTAATTCTGTTGCTGTTCTCATTACTGTGTTTGTCATGTGAGAATAATAGAATAAAAATACTGATTGGCTGTTGACTTACAAGGGCAGATTAATTTAATGGGCTACGTTATTGGTGTGTATCTAGGTCTCTGAATTTGGCTAATATGAATTTAACTGTAGTAGTATAGATTATCTTTTGATCTTCAAACCACCATGAAGTTTCAAAAATAATATAAAATTCTCCTTTTTGTATTATAGAAACATGGGAGAAATGGTTTAAATAACAGGAAGGCTTTAATTAAATTTACAAATGTAACTGCCTTGTTTCTTTAGAAATTACTTCTTAATATTAGTAAACTATATATTAAGCATAGAATAAGCCATATGGACTTTTTTATTTAAGAAATACTGCTTGGCCTTTCAAAAGTATTAAATTGTTATAGCTTCTATTCAGTGAAACCTCCCAGGCAGTCTTTAAAGGTATTGTGTCCTGGGATTGCTGAGGAAGGCAAGTTCCAAATTGTATAATAATTCATTATCAGCTGACATGAGGATCACTCTTAGCTCTTCAAACCCTGGAAAAGGCAGGTTTATAGGACTGTGCATTTAAAATTTTTTCTTTGATTCAGGATCATTGCCTTAAGATTATTATTATGAGCATTTATTCTAGTTCTACAATTTTGTAAATGGAAGTGAAGTAGGTGGCAGAGATTGGGGTGAATCTGTATTTTTCTGAGGATATGATCTAGAACTTGATGTTTAAAACTTTTACCTTGTTTTATTGTCATCCATAGCTTTCCTTATACATTGCAAGGAAATAAATTTTAGTTTATTTTAGATTTATTTAGCTTGAATTTTACTTTATTTGGACTTACAGTATTTGCTTAAAGTTATTTTAAAGTCTTTCATTTATAAATTAAAGGAAAATTTCATAAATGTAACAGTTCAATTTTAACTTTCTTTTCATTAGGCTTAATAGGAAATGATATCAAATCCCTTCATTCCATCATCAATCCTCCCATAGCTAAGTAAGTACTATCATTATATCATGCTTTTCCATAGACTGTCACGAAAATTTACAGGTTTTTTCTGATGGACAAGAGTGAATGCTGTAATTTCTATGACTTTCTGCCCTAGCCAATTTTAAGTAGATGTTGATAATGTATCTTAGCTATTTTTTCTCAATTAATGCTAAAAATTTTTAATGTAACAACAGCACACTTTTCTAGAATGAATATAAGATAGTCTCAAAATTGTAGGTTGTAGTTAGCCCTTTTGTTACTTAGCTATCTTATCAGAGTAATGTGGATATACTCTAAATGTTTTCCATTTTTCTAGTTTTTACACAGTTTTATAAATTATAGAAATACCAGCTTTGAAATTTGGATAGCATATATACTTTGGTTTTACAATTTTAGTAAAGTTTACCTTATTTTTTCCTTTTAAACAGAATCCGTAATATTGGAATTATGGCTCATATTGATGCAGGCAAAACTACCACCACAGAAAGAATATTGTACTATTCCGGATATACAAGATCACTGGGAGGTTAGAATGGATTCCTCCTCTTCCCACCCCCCCATTAGCAAAAGCATCATTGGAAAATATTTTGGTTAACAAGTCAACTTACACACCTTGAATATGGCATAGAGCTACTGATGTCTAATCCACAATTTAAAGATAAGATAGTTGCAATACCCACCAAAGGGTCTTCTTAGATTCAACTAAATATTCAGACTTGTAAGACTATCATAGGCCCCACTGGACACTCGTCTACTCAGAATGCTACAGGACAGGAACCACAGCTTACCAACAGACCAGCATTAGGTGTTTCTTTCTAGTAGAGTCCTTATAGCAGTCCCCGTAGCTATCTGGGAGCTATCTTCTTTGGCTGCTCCAGAGTAATGGATTAGATGCAAGGTGACAAGATTCATAGGAGCCACCCTAGCTTAGAAGATTCATGCCCCATAGGAATGAATGTCTCTTGTTATAACTTCATAGGCATAGCTTCCAGGTGTCACCTAAGGTACATGCCATACACAGGGAAGCCCAGAGTTCGGTATCTCCATAAGGTACTTATATATATAATTCATTTATAGTTCTTCGCAATTCAGATTTAGTTTACCAATCAGAAGTTGTTTTTTCCATAAGTTATATTGCCTAGGAATGTAGTTGACATACCTCTGTTATCTGGTTTCTAGAAGAAAAGAACCAAAAAAAGTAACCAGAAGTTAAATTCTCACATCAAAGAGGATTTTGTTAATCCTTAACCAAGTTATCTTTTGTCTTTTAAATTGTAGTTAAAAAAACATAAAATTTACCATCTTAACTATTTCTAAGTGTTAACTATTTTGGTAGTGTTAAGTATATTCACATTATTGTGCAACCAATCTTCAAAACATTTTCATCTTTCAAAATTGAAATTCTATACCCATTAAACAACTCCCATTTTCCCCTTTCCCCGGTCCCTTGCAACCATCCTTCTACTTTTTCTTCATGACTTTGACTACTCTAGGTACCTCATATAAATGGAATCGTAAGTATTTGTCTTTCTATGACTGGTTTATTTCACATAGTACAGTGTCCTCAAGGTTCATCCATGTTGTAGCATGTGTCAAGATTCCTTTTTAATTTTTTAATTTTTTTTTTTTTTTTTTTTTTTTTTAGAGACATAGGCTCTTGCTCTGTTGCCCAGGCTGGAGTGCAGTGGCCCAGTCACAGCTCACTGCAGCCTTGAACTCTTGGGCACAAGAGATCCTCCTGCCTCAGCTTCCTGAGTAGCTGGGACTACAGGCAGGTGCCACCACACTTGGCTAACTTTTGTATTTTTGGTAGAGACAGGGCCTCAGTGTGTTGCTCAGGCTGGTCTCAAACTGGGCTCAAGTGAAGATTCCTTTTATAAGGCTGAATAATATTCCATGTGTTTTTATTTATTTATTTCAAACTAATGCAGTTTATTATAACAAGAAGGAAATCAAGCTTTACAGTAATTATAGTCACTAAGCTGAAAAATCACCTACAAAAGTCATGGCAATAACTTATTTACAGTTAAAAAAGAGAATATCAAGATCTTGCTCTCATAGTAAGGTAAACTAGACATGTACACAATCTTATGATGCCAAGAAACTGAATATATAAAAATAGAACCCACATAGAATGTTCTCTCTCTCTTTTATATACACACACATTTGCTCTGTGATTGCCCTTAATTTTATGTCTTTATCATAACTGGTTTATTATATTTATAATTAAAGATAATCTTAGACTTTATATTCTAAAAAGCAACTAGGTTAACAGTTTTCTCCCCTAAGGCTTATTTTATTTTATTTTTTATTTCAATAGGCTTTTGGAGAACAGGTGGTTGGTTACATAAGTTCTTTAGGGGTGGTTTCTGAGATTTTGGTGCACCCATTACCCAAGTAGTGTACACTGTACCCAATGTGTAGTCTTTTATCCCTCACTCCCCTCCTGCCCTTTCTCCTGAGTCCCCAAAGTTCATTGTATCACTCTAATGCCTTTGCATCCTCATAGCTTAGATCCCACTTATGAGTGAGAACAAATGATGTCAGTTTTCCATTCCTGAGTTACTACACTTAGAATCCTGGCCTCCAATTCCATCCGAGAATAGTGGTCTCCAGTTCCATCCAGGTTGCTGCGAATGCCATTATTTCGTTCTTTTTTATGACTGAGTAGTATTCCATGGTGTGTATATGTGTGTGTATATATATATACACACACACTTTACACTGTTAGTGGGAATGTAAGCTAGTACAACCACTGTGCAAAACAATGTGGAGATTCCTTTAAAAACTAAAAGTAGAACTACCATTTGATCCAGCAATCCCACTATTTGGTATCTACCCAGAGGAAAAGAAATAATTATACGAAAAAGATACTTGACCACGCATGTTTATAACATCACAATTCGCAAAAATATGGAACCAGCCCAAATGCCAATCAATGAGTGGATAAAGAAAATGTGGTGTATATGTCCACTCCACATCCACTCCAACATCTGTTATTTTTTGATTGTGGCCATTCTTGCAGGAGTAAGGTGGTATTGCATTGTGCTTTTGATGTGCATTTTCAAAGAAAATGTGGTGTGCATGTATGTGTATATGTATGTATATACACATATATGTATAATGTTGGCTGTGGGTTTGTCATAGTTAGCTTTCATTACTTTAAGGTATGTCCCTTCTATGCCAATTTTGAGGAGGGTTTTAATCATAGAGGGATGCTGAATTTTGTCAAATGCTTTTTCTGAGTCTATTGAGATGATCATGTGATTTTTGTTTTTAATTCTGTTTATGTGATATATCACATTTATTGACTTGCAGATGTTAAACTATCCCTGCATTCCTGGTATGAAACCTACTTGATCATGGTGGATTATCTTTTTGGTATGCTGTTGGATTCAGTTAGCTAGTATTTTGTTGAGGATTTTTGCTTCTGTGTTCATTAGGGATATTGGTCTGTAGTTTTCCTTTTTTTGTTGTGTCTTTTCCTGCTTTTGGTATTACGGTGATACTGGCTTCATAGAATGATTTAGGGAGGATTCCCTCTATCTGTAGAATAGCATCAATAGAATTGGTGCCAATTCTTTGAATGTCTGATGGAATTCAGCTGCAAATCCATCTGGTCCTAGACTTTTTTTGTTGGCAACTTGTTAATTACCATTTCCTTCTCACTGTTATTTGTCTGTTCAGTTTCTGTTTCTTCCTGGTTTAATCTAGGAGGATTGCATATTTCCAGGAATTTATCCATCTCCTCTAGGTTTTCTAGTTTATGCGCGTAAAGGTGTTCATAGTAGCTTTGAGTGATCTTTTGTATTTCTGTGGTATCAGTTATAGTATCTCCTGTTTTGTTTCTAATTGAGCTTATTTGGATATTTTCTGTTCTTGGTTAATCTTACTAATGGTCTATCAATTTTATTTATCTTTTCAAAGAACCAGCTTTTTGTTTCACTTTTTAAATTTCCATCTTGATATCATTGTTGACCCAATGATCTTTCAGGAGCAGGTTATTTAATTTCCATGTATTTGCATGATTTTGAGGGTTCCTTTTGGAGTTGATTTCCAGTTTTATTCCACTATGATATGAGAGAGTACTTGATATAATTTTGATTTTCTTAACTTTATTGAGACTTGTTTTGTAGCCTGTCTTGTGGTCTATCTGGGAGAATGTTCTACATGCTGATGTATAGAATATATATTCTTCAGTTTTTGGGAAGAATGTTCTGTAAATATTTATTAAGTCTTTTTGTTCTAGGATATAGTTTAAATCCATTGTCTCTTTTTTGAGATGGAGTCTGGCTGTGTCGTCTAGCCTGGAGTGAAATGGTGCAATCTTGGCTCATTGCAACCTCCACCTCCCGGGTTCAAGCAATTCCCCTACCTCAGCCTCCCAAGTAGCTGGGATTATAGGTGCCCACCATCATGCCCGGCTAATTTTTGTATTTTTATGTTGGCCAGGCTGGTCTTGAACTCCTGACCTCAGGTAATCCGCCTGCCTCAGCCTTCCAAAGTGCTGGGATGACATGCATGAGCCACTGCGCCTGGCCAGTCCATTGTTTCTTTGTTGACCTTTTGTCTTGATGACCTGTCTAGTGCTGTCAGTAGAGTATTAAAGTCCCCCACTATTATTGTGTTGCTATCTCATTTCTTAGGTCTAGTAGTAATTATTTTATAAATTTGGGAGCTGCAATGTTATGTGCATATATATTTAGGATTGCGATATTTTCCTGTTCGACTAGTCTTTTTATCATTGTATAATATCCCTCTTTGTCTTTTTTAACTGCTGCTTCTTTAAAGATTGTTTTGTCTGATATAAGAACAGTTATTCCTGCTCACTTTTGGTGTCCGTTAGCATGGGGTATCTTTTTCCCCCCTTTACCTTAAGTTTATTTGAGTCTTTATGTGTTAGGTGAGTCTCTTGAAGACAGCAGGTACTTGGTGAACTCTTATCCATTCTACCATTCTTTATCTTTTAAGTGGAACATTTAGGTCATTTCCATTCAATGTTAGTATTCAGATGTGAGGTACTATTGTCACTATCTATTGCCTGAATACCTTGTTTTTTTTTTTTTTTTCATTGTATTATTGTTTTATAGGTCCTGTGAGATTTATGCTTTAAGGAGGTTCTATTTTGGTGTATTTTGAGGATTTGTTTCAGGATTTAGAGCTGCTTTTAGTAGTTCTTGTAGTGCTGGCTTGCTAGTGGTGAGTTCTCTCAGCATTTGATTGTCTGAAAAAGACTATATCTTTCCTTCATTTATGAAGCTTAGTTTCTCTGGATACAAAATTCTTGGTTGATAATTGTTTTGTTTAAGGAGGCTAAAGTAGGACCCAAATTCCTACTAGCTGGTAGGGTTTCTGCTAAGAAGTCTGCTGTTAATCTGATAGGTTTTTATTTATAGGTTACCTGATGTTTTTTCCCCACACTCTTAAAATTGTTTCCTGTCTTGACTTTAGATAACCTGATGACTCTGTGCCTAAACGATGATCTTTTTGTGATGAATTTCCCAGGTGTTCTTTGAGCTTCTGGTATTTGGATGTCTAGATCTCTAGCAAGGCCAGGGAAGTTTTCCTTGATTATTTCCTTAAAAACATTTTCCAGACTTTTAGATTTCTCTTCTTTCTTGGGAATGCCAGTTATTCTTAGGTTTGCTCATTTCACATAATCCCAAACTTCTTAGAGGCTTTGTTCATTTTTTTAAAATTCTTTTTTCTTTGTGTTTGTCAGGTTGGGTTAATTCAAAAGCCTTGTCTTTGAACTCTGAAGTTGTTTCTTCTCTTTTTGAGATGGAGTCTTGCTCTGTCACCCAGGCTAAGGTGCAGTGGTACAATCTCGGCTCACTGCAACCTCCACCTCCCAGGTTCAAGCAATTCTCCCACCTCAGCCTCTTGAGTAGCTGGGATTATAGACACACACCATCATGCTTGACTAATTTTTGTATTTTTGTAGAGACAAGGTTTCACCATGTTGGCCATGCTGGTCTTGAACTCCTGACCGCAAGTGATCTGCCTGCCTCAGCCTCCCAAAGTGCTGGGATTACAGGTGTGAGCCACCACACCTGGCCTTTGAAGTTGTTTCTTCTACTTACTTAATTCTATTGCTGAGACTTTCCAGTGTATTTTGCATTTGTCTAAGTGTGTCCTTCATTTCCAGAAGTTGTGATTGTTTATTTATGCTGGCTGTTTCTCTGGAGATTTTTCCGTTCATATCCTGTAATATTTAAACAGTTTTTTTAAGTTGGTATTCACCTTTCTCTGGTGCCTCCTTGAGTAGCTTAATAATTGACCTTCTGAACTCTTTTTTCTGGCAATTTAGATTTTGTCTTGGTTTGGATTCATTGCTGGTGAGCTAGTGTGATTTTTGGTGGGGGGGATTAAAGAACCTTGTTTTGTTATGTTACCAGAATTGTTTTTCTGGTTCCTTCTCATTTGGGTAGACCATGTCAGAGTGAAGATCTGGCACTTAAGGGCTACTGTTCAGATTCTTTTGTTTCACGGGGTGCTCCCTTGATGTGGGGCTCTCCTCCTTCCCCTAAGGATGGGGCTTTCTGAGTGCAAAACTGCAGTGATTGTCCATGTGTTTTTGTACGGCTATCTTTTGAAGTTCTTTTCTAGTTCAGACCATAGCCTAAAAACTATCCAGGTTGTTGTAGAACTTGCTGATCCAAGGTTGACTTTATTAGTCATATGAATAATCATAAAGATAATGTGAAATAAAGATCTTTATAATTGTGAAAATGCTTACTACTGTGTAAGTGTTTTTAAAACTTACTGTCTCATTTAGAACTTATAGTTAGTTATTTGGTCTGTATCCTTAATGATACTATTTTCTTTGGCAGTGATGTTGGGAATAACTGACACTAATACAATTATAGATATTAACATAGAGTTATATTTGAGTTGCTGTCAAATACATTTTTCTTGCTATTTCCTCCTCTGGTGTTTAGACTATGTGTGTGTATACATATTTATACATATGCACATACACATACACATATATGGGGCAACTAGCTACCATTTTAGGGGTTTAATGCTGAAATAAATGGTAGTATAAGGCCATGATAATGGTAAAGACCAACTGTTTATTTCTTTTACTGTCTATAAATTTAATTAGAATAATATGCTTAATTCAACTACAGAATTTTACTGCACAATAATTTCAGTGAACTTTTTGGATAAAGTTCAGGATAGTTTTTTTGTGACTTTATACTGTAGAAGTTGTATGAGACTACTTGCACTTGTACAACTAAATCCCTTCTCTTTGGAAAATTTAGTAATGAGATGGGTTTGTAAAGGATAATTTAATATTGGATGAATTTTTTTCTCTACCTCATTCCGTGTGGCTATCATTTATCATCTACTAGACTAGGTACTTTATATATATTGTCTCCTTTCATCCTTATAATAACAACCCAGCAAGGATGGCTTTACTAGCCTTATTTTACAAACTAGGTTAAGTAGTTTGCCTCAAGATCATAGAGTGCTAAGTGGTAAAGTTGGGATTTAAAGCTATGTCTGTCTGTGTTCTTTCACTGTACCACTCGGCCTCCTATCAAGGGATCAGGAGGGAGGGACATCAGATAAAAAGGGGGTAATGATAGTTAAGCTATGTAAGAAATAAAAGAAGTAAGTAAGTAAAATAAGTTCAGTAAACTTAAAAGATTTTCATCTTGATGAAAAATTCCTTTTATGGCAAAGTTACTAATCTAGCTGAAAAACTTTTTCTACCATGAGGATTTACTTAGTGAAAGAGTAAAGGCTCTATTAAACCAAATATTTTAGGAAAGATTTTTCTTAAGGCAGGTTAAACTGTGTCAGGTAGATATTGAGCACGAATAAAATACACTTGCTATTAAGACTAAACTGTATCATCTTTTTCCTGGCTAGATGTTGATGATGGAGACACAGTGACAGATTTCATGGCCCAAGAGCGAGAAAGAGGCATTACTATTCAATCAGCTGCTGTTACATTTGATTGGAAAGGTTATAGAGTCAATCTAATTGATACACCAGGTATGGTACGATTCCAGTAACACAGAGATGCTGCGTCATTTGGAGTTTTTTTGTTTTTCTGGGGTTTTTGTTTTGCTTTTTATTGTGGTAAAAAAACATGTGTTGCAAAATTTACCATCTCAACCATTTTTAAGTGTACAGTTTAGTAGTGTTAAGTATAATCACATTGCTGTGAAACAGATGTCCAGAACTTTTTTATCTTGCAGAAATGAAACTATATTCATTGGACAACAATTCCCTTTTGCCCCCTCCCTTCACCCCTGCTAACCACTGTGTACTTTGTATACCTATGTATTTGACTAGCTTAGATGCCTTATGTAAGTGGAATCATACCGTATTTGTCCTCTTGTGATTGGCTTATCTCATTAGCATAAAGCCCTCAAATTTTCTCATATTGTAGCATGTGACAATGTGCTACAATATTTTCTTTTTTATTCTGTGTAGTATTCCATTGTATGTGTATATCACATTTTGTTTATCCATTCATACATCAGTGGACATTTGGGTTTTTTCCACCTTTTGTCTACCAGTGCTGCTATGGAGGGTGTGCAAATAGCTCTGAGACTCTGCTTTCAATACCTTTATATATATACACATATATATACACACACACCCCTCCCCAGGAGTGAGATGTGAGATTGCTGGATCATATGATGGTTTTGTTAAAAAGAAGGCATTATACGTCTTATCTTTTTCTTAGGTCATGTGGACTTTACCTTGGAGGTTGAGCGGTGCCTAAGAGTGTTGGATGGTGCAGTGGCTGTATTTGATGCCTCTGCTGGTGTAGAGGTAAATAATATTGCCAAAGTAAAGGGAATTAGAACAGCATGATTTTTTAAAAAGTAGAATATGTCAAATTTAGTTAACTGTAACCATCTATTTGGTAAGTTCACATAAATCAAATAATGGTAAAAGGAAATCAGAATTTATATTGAGATGTAATCTACATGTAATCTCAGATATTTCATAGTAAAAGGAGAAATAGGAAAGCTGGTGTCAAGAACTTTGAGAGATCAGAGATTCTACCTTACTTTTGAGCTAACAAGTTAGCCTGCCATAGTTTAATGGATTCTGGCAGAAGACACTGTGGTGTGAGATTGATTATACACTGTTATTTCTGTTTCTTTCTGGGTCACTTTATTTCCTAATAGTTCCATTTTTCTGTTGTTGTAACTTTAGATAAATTTGACGTTTAATCATTCAAACAGATTGCATTACTTACAAGATTGAAATGTGCTTGAATAGGAAGTTGCTGAATTCATGAAGGAGAAGGCACTTGTTTTAAACAATGAATGAGCTTTTAGCTGGCAGGTGGAATGGTGGGAGTTTTTTGTTTTGATTTGCAATATGTTTTTGTTCTTTGAAAATTTATGATATTCACCCTCCACGCCTCACACACATACCTCATCATACACAAAAATTAATTTGGAGTGGATCACAGTGTTAAGTTATGTATACATAGCTTCTAGAAGAAAAATATCTTTACAGCCTTGGGGTAGGTAAAAATTTCTTAGAGGACATAAGAAGCATGAAACATAAATAACAAAAGTTGATTCCTGGAACTTTATCAAAACTACAGCTGTTCATTAAAACAAAAAAATTAAAAACACAAGGAATAGACTATGAGAAGATACTTGTAATGTTAGATAAACATATTATACAAATATTAAATTTCCTGAATGCAATAATAGTATTGGTTATATAAGAGAATATGATTGTTCTTGGGAAATAAATACTGAAGTATTTATAGTACGTATCTATAACCATGGATTTGTATCCAGACTATATGAAGAACCATAAATCAATAATAACCCAGAAGAAAATGGACAAAAAACTTGAATGGACACTTCACAAAAGAACACATGTGAATGAATAGTAAGCACATGAAAAGATGTATAATCTCATTAGTCCTCAGGAAAATGCAAATTAAAATCACAGATTCAATTTCACACCCAAAAGAATGCTTATAATTAAAAAGAGTGATAGCAAATGTTGGTGAGGATGTGGAGCAACTAGAAATCTTACACATTGTTGATAAGACTGCAAAATAGAGGCCAGGCATGGTGGCTCACACCTGTAATCCCAGCACTTTGGGAGGCTGAGGCAGGTGGGTTCGCTTGAGCCCAGGAATTAGAGACCAGCCTGAGCAACATGGCGAAACCCCATCTTTATAAAATACAAAAAAAATTAGCTGGGTGTGGTGGCGTGCACTTGTCATCCCAGCTACTCCAGAGGCTGAGATGGGAGAATTGCTTGAGCCCAGCAGGGAGGTTGGGGCTGCAGTGAGCCTTGATTGCACCACTGCATTCCAGCCTGGGCAACAGAGTGAGACCCTGTCTCAAAAAAAATTAAAAAGACTGCAAAATAATGCAACTACTTTGGAAGACTATTTGGAAGTTTCTTTATTTTATTTTATTTTATTTTATTTTTTATTTTTTTTATTTTTTTTTATTTTTTTATTTTATTTTATTTTATTTATTTTATTTTATTTTATTTTATTTTGAGACAGGAGTCTCACTCTGTCGCCCAGGCTGGAATGCAGTGGTGCAATCTTGGCTCACTGTAACCTCTGTCTCCCGGGTTCAAGCGATCCTTGTGCCTCAGCTTCCCGAGTATCTGGGACTACAGGCGTGCACCACCACGCCTGGCTAATTTTTGTATTTTTAGTAGAGACAGAGTTTCACCATGTTGGCCAGGCTGGTCTTGAACTTCTGACCTCAAGTGATCCACCTGCCTCAGCCTCCCACAGTGCTGGGATTACAGGCGTGAGCCACCGCACTGGTGGATAGGAAAGCCAACTGGTACGTATGTATAATTAAAAAGAACGGAAATACCTAACAATGTGGATGAATGTTAAAAACATGTTGAGCCAAAGAAGCCATGCTATTTTGTATGAGGTTCAAGAATAAGACACTGAAGCTATGGTGACAGAAATCAAGACAGGTTGCTTATAGGAGACAGGGATGAGAAAAATTTCAGGAGTAACAGAATGTTCTATGTTCTAAGTGGGGTAGTAGTTACACAAACGTACTTTTATCAAAACGCATTGAGCTATACACTTAATATCTGTACTTTATTGTATATAAATTTTACCTAAAAAATAAACTGGCTGCTTTATAGTACACTCCTATATTTCTTTTACCTCAAAATAAGTGTCTGAAATAATTAAGGCAAAATTCCTATTTCATAGATCAGAAACCTGACATTAAATGAGTTCAGTGTCATATGACATTTACTAGGAAAAGTGAAGCCAAACAAGAAGTAGGTCTCCTGATTCTCAGTTAAGTTCACTTTCCATGATTCTCAGTACCTCCTGAGGTGTTAATTCTCTTTGTGTGGCCACCTAGTTCACCCAGAGTATTCTCAAGTGGTTTGAAGCACACTCCCCTTCACACTTCATCACGTTCCCGGCTGTGTTAACTTGATAGCTAAAGAGTGACCCTAAAAATATAAGTGCAGTTGCACTAATTCTCTGCTAGAATAGGGCCCAATTTATCTGACAGTAGATTTTTGGATCTCTTCATTCCAGGTCTAGTAACATAGTTACTTTTGTTCAGTATGTATTTTTTTCCTCATCTTTGCTTTAGGCCCAGACTCTCACAGTATGGAGGCAAGCTGATAAACACAATATACCTCGAATCTGTTTTTTAAACAAGATGGACAAAACTGGAGCAAGGTATTTGAAATGTGTTTCATTGGCTTATCAGGGTGAAACTACAATTTGAGCTTTTAATGAACTATAACTTAAATTTAGGAATAGCTATTTTTTTTCCTATTGTATTATAGGGTATAAATATTCCATGGAATCCCAGTTTATTCCCATAAAAAAATTCAAAGCAGCTAATCCATAGGTTATATAACAATTTGGGAGTAATAGCTGATAGATGGTGAATCATCCTGTTTCTAGTATAGAGAGACTGAATCATATTTCTGAGATCAAAGTGGCTTCTTGATGATTCCATTGATTCTCTTTAGAACACAGGTATAGTCCCTATATTGCTGAAGGTATGGCGCTTCCCATCATCGCTAAAGATAGAGAATAGAGAACTGTTTCCTGCATTTGAAGGTGTTCTTCCATATTCTCTGATTTTCTTAGCTACTGGGTAAGATACTGTCAATAAAGAACTGGAAGAAGAGAATGTAGATGCTGTAAGACCTGCATGTAGGGGCAGAAGAGAGTTAATGCTGAGATGTATTGGTCATGGTCAGAGACTTACAGAGTGGTGGATGCATTGTCCTGGGAATATAATTCAGATAATCAAGAATATTTGAAAGATTTGGAGAAAATGTGAAAGGGAGAGAATCAAGAATATTAAAAATTCTAGAACAAATGTGATAGGGAGAGATTGTGGCCTGTGATGGGAGAATGGCAAAAATGAAACATAAACTATACCTCCCCTAAAACTACACAGTAATTAATATGCTTTGTGTTTATCTCCCTCTCTATAGTAATTCTGAGGCTGTTTGTTTAAAGAACCTTGTCTTGATTATTAATAGCCCAGCAACCTTTAAAATGTACTAGCCTCAAGTTCTGACCCTTTTCTGCTTGGAGTTCCTGTGGTAGATGGAAGTACTTATTTATTGTCAGGCAGTGCCATTGGCAATGGGGAGGGATATGACTGGAAAATAGGCTGGTTCTGAAAAACAATGGGACCGGAATGACCTGCATGTAAATCAGCTTGTGTGCCAAAGATGGCATGTGTTCTATAGGTAGCCAGCTGCAGTGTTAGCATAGAAATGAATAGCGTAGCATACGATGTGAAGAATGCCAAAGACTAGGCAGGCTCTTGGAAGAAAGCTAGTTGCCTTGTATGGTAGTAAACCTAGTTGTAGAAGAAAGAATCCTTGGCTTATCACAAATCTTGCATTGGAATCCCAACTGCACTTTATTATCCTTGTTACCTTGATCAATTCATTTAATGTTAATTGCAAAGTATAGTTATGCGAAGCTCACAATAATAATACCCTAAACAGCTCTGTGGCTGGATTAGGGTAATTACTGATATCTGAAATTGACATAAAAGTTTATTCCAGACATTTTCCTATGGAAAACTGTTAAATAGTGAGCGTTAAGGAGAATAAAGTGAGTTAAAATTTTAGAAAACATTCTTAAAACCTGAAAGAGTTTTTTTTCCTCTCTTGATACCTTTGGTAAAGAATTTTTAACCATGTTTTTAACTATAATTATTTTGCTTTCTACAGCTTTAAGTATGCAGTTGAAAGCATCAGAGAGAAGTTAAAGGCAAAGCCTTTGCTTTTACAGGTAAATTGGTTAATAGCATCAGCTTCTTCTCAGTTTCCTCATTAATTTATTTTGTGACAATATATACATTTCCAAAGCTATCTCATCATTTTTGAAGAAGTTGGGGTATAAATAGAAATAGCCACAGATTATAGTAATGGTGATAATAGACATTTTGGGGAAAATGGTACAATTAGAAAAGACTTGTCATCATTGTAGTTTTCAGTGAGTGATCATGTAATAATGTTAATCTCACTCTGACTTACAGTTACCAATTGGTGAAGCCAAAACTTTCAAAGGAGTGGTGGATGTAGTAATGAAAGAAAAACTTCTTTGGAATTGCAATTCAAATGATGGAAAAGACTTTGAGAGAAAGCCCCTCTTGGAAATGAATGATCCTGAATTGCTGAAGGAAACAACTGAAGCAAGGAATGCCTTAATTGAACAAGTAAAGTATAATGAATGATAAAATGAACACCAATGTGTGCACCACTTATCTTAAAATATAGTCATACTTTAGCATCTCTCGGGGATTGGTTGCAGGACCTCCTGTGGATACCAAAATCTGCAGATGCTCAAGTCCCTGATATAAAATGATGTAGTATTTGCATATAACCTATTGATGTCTTCCTCTATACTTTAAATCATTTCTAAATTACTTATAATACCTAATACAATGTAAATGCTATGTGCCATTTTTTGTTCATCTCTCTCTCCCACTAATCATCTACCTGTCCCCCAAATTATTATTTCAATATTTCTCTTTCATTTGCTTTTCGTTGAGATGGAGTCTTGCTCTGCGGCCTAGGCTGGAGTGCAGTGGCACAATCTCAGCTCACTGCAGCCTCTACCTCCCAGGTTCCAGTGATTCTCCTGCCTCAGCCTCCTGGGTAGCTGGGATTACAGGCACGCACCACCACTCCAAGCTAATTTTTTTATTTTTATTTTTTGGTAGAGATGGGGTTTCATCATGTTGGCCAGGCTGGTCTCGAACCCCTGACCTCAGGTGATCGCCCACCTCAGCGTCCCAAAGTGCTAGGATTACCAGCGTGAGCCACTGCGCCGGGCCTCATTTGCTTTTCTTTAGTTTACCATAAATCCTTAAAGAACTTAGGTTTACATGTTTTGAACTTTACATAAATGAAATGTTACTGTTTGTATTTTATGACATTGCTCAACATTGTTGGAACTTTATCCATGTTGCAAATATGTGTAGTTATAATCTATTCATTTCAATCTTGTATATTGTTATAATATATGATTTTACCACACTTTATTGGGTATTCTCCTGTGGATGGGCTTTGAGGTTGTTTCTCTTTTTTGCTGTTACAAACAATGTGGCTATGAACATTTTTGTATCTACTTGTGCACATGGGCAATAGTTTCTTTAGGATTAAACTAAGGAGTAGCATTGTTAGGTCAAAGGATATGCATGTCTTTTACTTTACTTTTCACCAGATGTCAAATTATTTAGAAAATTTTAAAACCATCAATTTTATAGTTGGTATATAGCTCTGGGCCTCATCCACCTTCAAAATTATAATCTTCAAAATAGCAAGATTGTTAATATTTGTAATTTTATATTATATTGTTAGTATATATGGCAATAAATAAAACATACCTTAATTTCTTGAATATTATGGTAGAGAAAAACGTTTGAATCAGAGCCCTTGATTTTTCACTTCTAAATTGAATTGGTCCAAATAAATTTATTCAGCATTCATTTTTTTTTCACTTATCTTTTGTACATAGTTTTTTTTTTTAAGTATAGTCATGTACTTCATGATGACATTTTAGTCAACAACAGACCACATGAATGTTGACAGTGCCATAAGATTATAATACTATATTTTTCCTGTACCTTTTCTATGTTGAGATACACAAATACTTACCATTGTGTTACAGTTGCCTACAGTATTCAGTACAGTAACATGCTGTATGGATTTGTAGCCTAGGAGTAATAGGCCATAGCCTTGGTGTAAAAGCAGGCTATGCCGTCTAGGTTTATGTAAGTACACTCTATGATGTTGGTAGAATGACGAAATCACCTAACACCACATTTCTCAGAACTTATCCCTGTCACTAACTGATTCCTGACTGTATGTAGTAATCATTGCAACTTTATCATTAACATAATAATTGTTATTTTTGTTATTGAGTTAATGAGGGCCTACTGTGTGCTAGGTTAAGTGCTTTACATATACTTTTTAATTAAACCCTCACAAGAACCTTATATTGTCCCTATTTTACAGATGGGGAAACAGCAGCTCAAATGCTTAAATAAGTTGTCACACAGCTAATAAAGTGGCTGAGCTAGAATCTGAACCCAGGTTAATCTGTTTAGAGCTAAAGCTCTTACCCGCTTTGTTATACTGCTTTTTTAATTTGGGGAGCATAGAAGATATAAAAGTGGAATTGACGTTTATTAATAATTCATTCCTCTTTGAGTTTGTTTGTGTTGTTTTAATACAGAAGAGCTATAAGAATAAACTTAAGAAGGATCTTGTAATCTAGTTGAGGAGCCAACACACACTTGCCCATGTCTCATGGTCTTCTAGGATGTGATAGTATGTGACAGAAATCTCAGAAAGAATCTGAGACTGTCAGTAGCTAATAATATGCTAATTATAAGAAATACATAAGTATGTATAAAATTTACAGAATAAGACTACTTCACACCCATTAGGGTGCCTACTGTCAAATACAGAAAATAGGTGTTGGCAAAGGTGTGGAGAATTATAACTTTGCGCACTGTTGGTAGGAATGTAAATGTTGCGGCCACTATGGAAAACAATATGGCGATTCCTCAAAAAATTAAATATGGAGTTACTATATTACCCAACAGTTCCACTTTTTGGGTATATACTCAAAAGAATTGAAAAGAGTCTCAAAGAGATATTTGCACACACATGTTCTTAGCAGCATTCTTCACAATAGCCAAAAGGTAGAAGCAACCCAAATCCATGGATCCAGAGTAATCAGATTCAGAGACAGAAAGTAGAATGGCAGTTGCCATGGGCTGGGGAAGGGCAGAGAGAATAGAGTGTTGTTTAATTAATGTATATGGAGTTTGTTTTGCAAGTTGAAAAGAGTTCTGGAGATTTATTGTGCAATAATGTGAAAGTACTTAACACTACTGAACTGTGCAAGAGTACAGTGGGCTGGGTGTGGTGGCTCATGCCTGTAATCCCAGCACTTTGGGAGGCTGAGGTGGGCAGATCACGAGGTCAGGAGTTTGAGACCAGCGTGACCAACATGGTGAAACCCTGTCTCTACTAAAAATACAAAAAAATTAGCTGGGCGTGGTGGCACGCGCCTGTAATCCTAGCTACTCAGGAGGCTGAAGCAGGAGAATCGCTTGAACCCAGGAAGCAGAGGTTGCAGTGAGCTGAGATCGCACCATTGCACTCCAGCCTAGGTGACAGAGCCAGACTCCGTATCAAAAAAAAAAAAGAGTACAATGGTAAACTTTATGTTGTGTATATTTTGCGATAATTTAAAATTTTCCTTTAAATTAGTGGATAAGATTAGTGTGGAATAGAATCAACTTCCAATATTGAAGGTGCACAGTAATAATAGCTAATACTTATTATACACTAGTATATATTCTTAAAGCATAATTTGAATTATTTAATCTTTATAACAGCCTCAAGAAGTAGATACTACTATCATCTTTGTGAGTTACTAAGGCAGAGAGGTGAAATAACTTGACCAAAATTTGAACAAGTGGGTAAGTGGTGGAACCATTTCTAGGTAGTCTGATTCCAGAAGCTGAGCTTAACCATCACATATAATGCTTTCCAGAAGGATGGTTAGGTACATTTCTGCTATACTTAATCCTGTTAACAGTGTGGTTTTTTTTTTTTTTACCAAGTTTGAACGTTTTGCTCCCTTGTACTGTTATATGCTTTTGAAGCTGTTTTATTAATTTGTCAGCTGAATGATCCCATTTCGTATAGTCGGATGGTCATGAAAAGAATGTGAAATAGACAATTGCATTTTTATTATTGAAATATTGCCTACGCCTCCCTTCCCTAACATAAATGTATTTCTTCAGTGCGGGATTACAGCAACATTAATTCTCTTAGTTTGACTGTCTTGGGAGATCTGGTGAACATTCAGAATATTAGAGGAAAACCAGATGAAACTTTTTTATAAACTAAAACCTCCAGATTTATCTAAGAAAGGCCAATCCATTGTATGTGCTATCATTGTAAGTTGCACATTTTCTTTGATTTCTTTTGAGCACACTGATAGCATTTAATTAAGATGCTTTATCAGGATCTGGCTTTCTGTGAATTTAGGAAACTCCTAATAGTATCTTTAGTTTTCCATTTCTTTTCCTTTCAAAGAAAAACATTTTTCTTTATCTCTTTAGAAGAAGTGAAGAGTTGCTTGGCCTAGGTAAGGTAGCTGTCTTGAAATATTTGAATATTGTCTGTTTATGGTGTTTGGACAAATTAATAGTTAATGAAAGTAAATGCAAGTTATAGAACTCTAAAACCTTTCTTTATAGGTTGCAGATTTGGATGATGAATTTGCTGACTTGGTTTTAGAAGAATTTAGTGAGAATTTTGATTTGTTACCAGCTGAAAAGGTAAATTTTATTATTCAATGGCTTTCACAAAATTTTACTAATTGGATGTAGTTTGATTTCTCTGCCTTTGATGTGTGTGCATTTTTTTTTTAAACTTTGCATATTATTAGAAAGTGGTAAGTTTAAAGTTAGGAGAACATTAAGTTAAAGTCACTACTAATACAATACTTATTGGCAGTGATTTATTACTTTCATATATACTTTACAAAATTAAAAATTGAATCTGTTTAACTTCTATTGAGTCTGCATCAGTTAACTACTCATTCTCTGTAGTCTTTTCATTCTGATAATTCCTCTAAGGATGTTTAGGGAAATCACAGAAAGTTTATATTAAAATTTACTGTTGTTTCAGGCTACTACAATTACCATTTTTCTGAGAACATTATTTTCTGAATCTTTTTAAATTTTTCATGGAAACTCATTACAGTTCTTTGTTTTTGTCTTTTGACATACAGTAAGCCAGAGAAGAGGCAATTAAAATATTGATAGTAACTGAATTATGACAGATTTCTTGAAGGAAACTCTGTTTTGTTCTGCCAGGGACTTTCCCCATGGAATTTGGCAAATTTACTGTTTATTTTTCTTTATGAAACGTAAGAGTTGCCAAGCAAAGTATTTCTAAGTAATAATCTGTAAAATGAGCCAAAGATGAGCCTAGCAAATTCACTTAGTAGTCATTAAAAGAATTAAAAACACAAGAGCTGAAACATGTTATTGAGCCACTCATAAGTTAGAATGAAAAAAAGTATTTTTTCTTTTGAATGAAATGTGAATTTTGAAACTGTTTATTTTTGAGTGTTTAAATGTGATATTTATTGTACCCTATCTTCACATAACATGATTTATGTTTTCAGAGAGCTCACAATCTAAAGTAGAATTGACCCACCAATAATAGCTTGCAAACACACTCAAGCTTTTCTTGTTTTTTGAAATCTTTCTAAAAATTTTCCTACTTGGATTTCTCATTTTTCCCTTAGGATTTTGTTTAATATGGATTTAATTTATTTGAAGAAATGGTAACTCAGATTTACATATTTTATTTATGATCAGTTCCTCTGTTAGACTATCAAGGTTAAATCACAAGTATATTCATTTATTCAAGAAATATTTTTAAGCACCTGTTTTAACCACTTTTCTTGTTGCTGGGGATTTAGCAGTATTTCCAGGGGTAATGCTTATATGGATTTTACATTCTAGCGAATAGGAGACAGATAAACTAATAAATATCTAACATCCAGATAGTGATGAGTGTTAAAAACTAAGCCAACAAAATGATGAAGGTGTGATGAGGAGTGCTGGTTACATGGCTGGTTAGAGAAAACCTCTAATTTTGAGCTTCTCGCCAAGACCAGTACACAAAATAAATGCTCATTTGTATCTCTGCTCTGTAGCTACAGACTGCAATACATAGAGTGACACTAGCTCAGACAGCAGTGCCTGTGCTTTGTGGAAGTGCCCTGAAAAACAAAGGGATACAGCCCTTGTTAGATGCTGTTACTATGTACTTACCTTCACCTGAAGAGCGTAACTATGAATTTCTGTAAGTATGCAATCACATATATTAAAATTCTATAGCTTTGAAGAAACAAGTAGGCAAATACTTTTATGAAAAGTAGTTAAATCACCATTTTTGAATAATAGTGGTGAGTGTTATTGCAAATGATGTAATAAGGAATCATAGTAATTTTTGCTTGAAAGGAACATTTTTCATCTCTTGTAAAAAGAGATGTCTTACACATAGAGCTAAGAGGTATGTCTTTTCACTGTGTAAAAGTGTAAGTGTTGACCCTGCCATCTTAGTCTTAGAAAAGTGATATCCTGGGGATGTTTGTTAAATATTCTATAGTTATATTCATCTGGATTTCAGGATTTTTCATAAGCTCAAAATATTTTGTGGCTATAAAGAAAGGTCATTGTTTTACTCCTATTGTCACTAAAAGCTTTGTACTTAAGTAATAAGTCCTTTAAAATCTGAGTAAGCAATGTGTAAAATGGCAGAGAAATGGACTTTAATTATCTTAATCCTGACATTAATAACTTTTCATATCTCTAAATTGGAGAGGCATGATGGTGAAGAGCACAGGCTTTGTACTATTGGATTTAAATCCTAGCTTTTCCAAGTTCCTTAACATCTCATCTATAAAATGCAAAGAATAGGACCTATCTCATGGTGTTCTTATAAGAATTAAATGATTAGTAAAGCACAAAGAACAGTGCCTGGTATAGTAAGCTCTATATTAGTATGTATTAAAGTTAAAAATTGGAGGGAATGGGAATAAGATTGGAGAAGTTCTGTCATAGAAGTGTTTAAACTACTTTAAGTCAGGAATTCCTTTGAAACTAATGAAAATATGGAGCTCTCCTTAGATGCGCAAAATTTGGCAATTGCAGGAGAACTCAATTCTAAAACTTACCAGTGATTACCAGTTTAAGAACATCATTCTGTTAAGAGTGTTGGTTATGTGAACAATTTCAAGTTTATAGTATAGATTTTTATGGTTATGTAATGGACAGAAAGTGGAAGGAGAGCGTAAAAGCAGTAATTGGAAAGTACCTATTTATTTACCCTGTGCAGATTTCTTGATAAGTAGTGTGATATTCCCAGGTATAGCCTTCATGGGGAGAGCTCTTGGCAATGAAATTATTCACAAATAGAAGTAATATTTGGAAGAGAATCTGTTATTTTTAGTTTTGAGGAATTAATGGTAAGATCTCCATTGAGTAATTTAGTCAATGGAAGAAGAGAGTTACGTAACAAAGACATTATTTAGTGGCTCTAAGTAGCTCTACTAGAAGATAAAATAGATCTTTGGGGACATTAAGGTTAAGTTTCTGCAGTTATGGGAAGTGTATTTTATAGGCCTTTTTGGAATGTTTATTTTATAGGCAGTGGTATAAGGATGACTTATGTGCATTGGCATTTAAAGTTCTCCATGACAAGCAGCGAGGACCACTGGTTTTTATGCGCATTTACTCAGGCACTATAAAACCCCAGTTGGCCATTCATAATATTAATGGAAACTGCACGTAAGTAGAAGCTTAGATTATTTTATAAAACTGTATGCACTTCTTTAAAAATACTTTTACTAACATAAAATTGTGATTTTACAGGGAGAGAATAAGTCGTCTGCTTTTGCCGTTTGCTGACCAACATGTAGAAATCCCTTCATTGACTGCTGGTAACATTGCTTTGACTGTTGGGCTTAAACATGTAAGTGACCAAATGATTTCTCTAGGAAATAACAGCTTAAATATTTAATTACAAGTAAGCAACTTGTAATATCAAAAACCCATAAACAATCCAAATGTCCATCAATAGTAGAATAAAGAATATTATGGCATATTTGTCAACATGGCTGAATCTCATACATTTACTAGGAAGAAAAGTAGATTACGGAAGACCACAGACGGGATGGATTGTATTCATATAAAGTTCAAATCCAAGTAAAATAACATACTGTTTATGGATATATATGTATATACATATATGTGTGTTTTAAGTTTATATAAAATATTGTTTTGTTCCCATTGGGTTTATTCCTATCTTGAGCATTGCAAAAAATTTAACCTAGACTTATAACTGATCAGGTTATAATGTTTTGTTAGTAAAGCCTCCATGAGAGCAAGGATTTTTGTCTTTTTTGTTCAATGCCCTACAGTCCATAGATCAGTGTTTGCATATAGTAGACACTCCATAGATAATTGTAGGATGAATCGATGAAAATACTTGATGTTGTATTTATTTTTCATGGGTTAAAACTAAGGATATTTCATTTATATGGATTAAATCAAATATTTTCTCATTGACCTTTATGTAGTAAGCATTGTTATTTTAAACATTTTAACTCTTCATGACTAGTTTCAAGTTTGAAGATCCTTCAGTAGAAAATTCCTATAGGCTGGTCACTGGACTTCTGGCATTGGAATGTCCCCTCTATCTCCCTGAAGGCAGGAGCTCCTTGTATGTATTTGAAGAAGCTCTACAAATACATTGGGACTATTGCTTCAGTAGGATTGTTTTTACAGAGAAGGAAACTGGCACAGAACTTCACAATATAAAAGTTTAGAAGTGAAATTACAGTTTTTAAAAGATAATTGGGCTCTACATGGAAGCCAGCAATCTGCACAGTTAAGGGTATTCTGGTTAATTATATATTTTAGTTAATAGGAGATTTTCTGTAAAAAAGGAATAAATTCTTATGGGTGGTAGAACACTCTAATGGACTTCTCCCTAACCTGTCTTGTCATGATTGAAAATTTAGGAAGGTACATTTGTTTTGCCAAATGATTTTGGATGTGTATGTGTGTGTGTTTTATTGTTTGTTAGAATTTATTACAACAGTATTTTGGATAGAATTCTTATGCAAGTTAAATTAGCTTTACTTATGCAAAGTTATTAATGAGCTTTTTGAATTTTATTTCTCTTTTAAGTTCTGATGAAAAGAAAGGGCCACAAAAAAGTTTTCTTATATTGTGGTTCTTGGTGTAAGATGAGCGCTTGCTAAATGCCACTTTCGTTCCAAGTCATCTTGTTTGCTTGCAGACTGCCACTGGAGACACCATTGTCTCATCCAAGTCCAGTGCATTAGCTGCAGCTCGTAGAGCCGAACGGGAGGGAGAAAAGAAGCACAGACAAAACAATGAAGCAGAGAGACTTTTATTGGCTGGAGTGGAGATTCCAGAACCTGTTTTCTTCTGTACCATAGAACCCCCATCACTGTCTAAGCAGCCAGGTATAAATGGTCTTAGTGTGTCAACTAATTAGTGCGCTGATAATTTATATAAAATAGTTGCAATATACCCTCAAGAGATTTCTTATGTGATTGAGGTAAATTTTATCTGAATATATTGGTAAACATTTCTTGTGGTTGGTCTTGTTTTTTAAGATGTTTTGATTTTTACAAATGCCTTCATTTTTTTCTCTTCTTATTTCTTGGCCATTCTTCTCATATTATATTCTTCCTTACTCTTGTAGTGCTATCTATGGGATTCTAAGTAATTGGCCTTAGAACTGCCCTTCTAGTATATTAGATTAGACAGTAACTGATTCATAACCAATTCAGTTTGTCATCATCATGTATAAAAATGCTGTTTTACCTTGTTTTCTACCTCAACCTCTAGAACTCAATGAAGATATTTATATACTGTGGATAATCTTGTTTGACCTTTTGTTAGTAACTTTGTTCTTTAGCATTTTAGCTCAGATTTTTTTCAGTGGCTTCTCATTACTTCTAGCACACACCCAAACTCTTTAGTGTGGTATGTAAAACCCATGATTCCAATTATAATTTCCAATTAGATTTGGTTACATATAGCAGAAAACCCCCAAATAACAATTGCTTTAATAGGACAAAAATTTATTTCTCTCTATCTCCTAACAGAAGCCTTGAATTGGTAGTCAGGGATTAGAGTGGCTCCACAATGTTATCAGGGATCCAGGCTCTAATCTTTTTGTCCTGCCTGAGTGCATAGCTCCTGGAGCCTTGGGCATCACCTTGGAGTTCCTGACAACAGAAAGGAGTAAGGGGAAGGAAGAAGATAATACCCCTTTTCTCTTAAGATTTCTTCTATGTCATTGGCCAGCACTGAGACATATGGCAGCCTGTTGCAAGGAAGTCTGGTAAAAGCAGCCTTTTAAGTAGGCAGCAGCAGAGTAGAGTGGAAGGCTGCTAGTAGTCTCTGCCACAGCCTTC
The DNA here is from genome assembly GCF_000001405.40 of Homo sapiens. Lineage (NCBI taxonomy): Eukaryota > Metazoa > Chordata > Mammalia > Primates > Hominidae > Homo > Homo sapiens. Next base: position 74,735,835 of record NC_000005.10, on the reverse strand, counting down.
TTGCCTGGCTTCATTTCTTGTGAAACTTCCGCCTTCATTTTGACCCTCTTCTTTAACCCAAATTAGAATAAAACTATAGTACCTAGCCACACCTTATGCTCCCACAGTAAAATAATTGTGATTTCCTGAAGGTACCGTGCTCTTTTTTGCATCGCTATTTCTTTTCTTCTGTTCTCTCTTGCATTATAATAGTAGCCCATGAACTTAACCTGCCTGGAAAAGGTTTACCCTTTCTTTAGGTCTCACCTCAAGCATCACACTTTATGAGGCTCTCACTGAATTCCTATATTAGACTGTTTGTTTAAGGACAGACCTTCTAGTTCTAGAAGTGGCATTAGAAGCCCTCTTTCCTTTGAAAACAAGTTGGACTCACAGATTATGGGAGAACAAAAGCAATCTCTATTGCCTCCCCTTGTCTTCCTGAGGACCCTGTAGGGAGAAAGAAGGAAGATCCCTAGCCCAGTAGAGGTTACAGTTGCTCACCTCCCCAAATGGAGTTCACATGAAAGAAATCTGAATATAGATGTAAGACAGCCCCCAGTACTGAAGGAAACTGAAACTGAGTCTTTTTGTGTCCACTTGCTGAAGGAATAGCATTTAAGTTAAAATGGGCCTAACAGCAATTTTTCTGTTACTTTAAATGCCTTGAGGACAGTTAAGTATAGTTTTTATTCTAGTGGAAAAGGATCAGGTGATGATGCATCTGGCTGCCTAAGTATATCAAAGTTAACCAAGCTGGTTGTATCAGGAGTGGCCAGGCATTTAAGAGCAGGGGCTGCCCAAACAAAGTAACCCATGGATTCTTTGAAATATATTTGAGAGTCATTTTATATTTCAGATGCAGCATGAGCACCTAAATTCAAATTGTGGGCTTGCAGTGAAATTGCACCAGCCAGTTTTGCATCTAAGAACTCAAGCCTTTAACTACTTTAGGAGAAAAAGTGTGGTATCCAAAGTCTCATTAATGGGCATTAGCTCAGGGGTCCTAAGCCCCCAAGAGGAAGGGATTTACCAAAGCTCCCTTACTTAGACTTCTTTCAAGCAGATCTACATGTTTCTTTTTTGTGCTTTTATTGTACTTACCCCATGGTCCAGTTATAACCCTCGATACCTGTTACAATGCTAACATCACAAATATTTTAAAATAATTTATTTTACAGTAAAAGTTATTTTTATTCCAAAAGTCACTTAGTGTCATACGCATGTACTCTGTTTGAGTATCTGTATGTGCTTAAAATAAAATATTATCTACAATAATGCCTCTTAACCTTGAACGTACATACACATCTCTTGGGATTCTTGTTAAAATGTAGACTCTGACTCAGTAGGTCCAGAACCTAAGATTCCGCATTTCTGTCAGACTCCAGGCATTACCAGTGTTGCTGGTCCTTGGAGCCCACTTTGGGATGTCAAGGGTCTAGAACAGTATTGTCTAGTAGAAATATAATGTGACCTACATATGTAATATAAAATTTTCTTATAGCCACATCAAACAAACTGGTGAAATAAATTTTCATAATATATCAAAATATTACTTCAATATATCAATATTAAAATTACTAATATTTACAATATTAAAATTATTAATATTACTGAGATATTTTACATTCTTTTTTTCACAGTAAGTCTCAGAAACCTGGTGTTTATTTTACATTTACAGCATCTGGCAGTTCATAACATTAATACCCCCAAATGGCTGTGGTTACCATTTGGATAGTGTGGGTCTAAAAGGCCTGGTTTGTATACCTAAGATACTTTGAATGTGTGACTGATAAGGTTAGCTCATTAATCCAGTGCTCAGCTCTTTTCTTTAGCTACACTTTGTCTGTGGAACTTCTAACATATTTCTTTTATAAAAAGAGGGAGAGTATACTTATCAGTTAATTGAGTGTATTAAAATATCACTTTAGATGGCATACTTAATGCCATCTAAAATATACATTATTTTCGCAATGGTTGTGATAATTCATCATAGAGTTATACTAGTACCTGTTTATTCATGATGTAATTTTAGCCTCCTTTTGGCACTTCATTATTGCCAGTTTTTCTGAAGGCATTTTACTTTTTTGTCAGCTCCTAAATTGATATTTGGAAAATAAAATCAGATGATGTTACTGTTCCTCTTAAAACCTTTCAGTGGCTTCGCAGTGCAAACCCAAACTTTTCATCATGGCCTACAAGACCTTACATGATATGATCCCTGCCACACATCTCCTTCCTCATCTGATGCTATTCTTCCTTTTGCCCACTGATCTCTAGCTGCTAGTCTTCTTGCTCTTTTTCCCAACAGCAGATTGTTCCTTGTATAGCCATTCCCTCTATCTGGGATTCCTTTTCTTCAGGATTTTGCTTATAGTTTGTTCATTTCTGTCTCAAGTCATCCTGGAGAGGCCTTCCTAGACCACTCAGTCTCAGGTAGCCTCCCATTATTATTATTATATCAGCTTCTTTTTGTCTCTGCAGTATGTATGGCTGTTTGAAATTGTCTTTTTTTTTTTTTCTTTTTTTGTAAAGACGGGGTTTCGCCATGTTGCCCAGGCTGGTCGCAAACTCCTGGGCTCAAGCGATCATTCTGTCTTGGCTTCCCAAAGTGCTGGGATTACAGACGTGAGTCACCACACCTGGTCGAAATTTCTTTTTCAAAATTTGTTTGCTTATCCATCTGTTTTACCCACTAGAACATATAATAAATTATTTAAAAAATGAAATGTAAAGATAACAGTTGTTTATCCCATAGATTTGGAACATGCGTTGAAATGTCTTCAGCGTGAAGATCCCAGTTTGAAAGTGAGGCTAGATCCTGACTCTGGACAAGTAGGTATATTATTGCTAAACTCCAGAAGCCTTTCTATAAGAGTGTGTGTGTGTGTGTGTGTGTGTGTGTGTGTGTGTGTGTGTGTGTGTGTGTCTAAAACATTAAGTCTGTGTCCTGAAAGAAAAACCTTTCTTTTTAAATTCTCTCATAATACAAATTTCTGCTTTTATGTTGACTATCAAGCTAAATAAGCAAATTTTCCTTATATAATTACACTTCACATTTATAAACTATTTCCCAACATTTTTTACCATTCCTGAAGACAGCTTTTTGTGAAATTTTGAAATAAGGTTTAATCAAGGCAAAGCCTTGAGCCTTTTACGTTAAGGCTTATAAAAGAAGCATACTAGAAGGAGGATTGGAAGGTGCTTTTGAAGACAGTAAAACACCTAAAATGGGAGAGAAGTGATAGATTACAATGTAACACTGTGAGAGGAAGTGGAGTTTTAAAGTAGGTGCAGAACTGTGCTGTATAATATAGCACAGTAGAACAGATGTTTTGATTCATCAAGAAATGATTAAATTACATTCTGCATCCTCTTTTTAGGAGGACAGGGTAATGTTTACATAAGATTTTAGAAGGAGTTTCTTAAAAAGGTTATAAATTTATCTTTAAAAAGGATAAACTGATTTAGTTAACCTGGAAAAGCATGGAGTACTTTGTTTTCCCAAAATGCCAGCCAAATGAGGTAGTAATTTAGTTTAATTGATACTGAAGAGTATGATAACAGTAATTAAAACAGAAATGTTTTATTTTAAAAAACCTATTATTTAAATAATTGAAATGTAATCCCAGCACTTTGGGAGGATTGCTTGAGCCCAGGAGTTCAAGACCAGCCTGGGCAACATAAGGAAACCCTGTCTCTACAAAAAAAAAAAAAAAAAAAAAAAATTAAAAATTAGCCAGGCATGATGGCATACACCTGTGGTCCCAGCGACTCAGGATGCTGAGGTGGGAAGGTTGCTTAAACCTGGGAGGTCAAGGCCACAGTGAGCTGTGATCATACCACTGCACTCTAGTCTGGGTGACAGAGCGAGACCCTGTCTTGAAAAAAATAAATAAAAATAAATAAAATAAAAACTGGCACTACGTTTAAAAAAAAAAAAAGCAAATAATACACAAATCTACCAAGTAAATAATTAAGTCCGTTTCTCTGTTCCTCCATCTCATTCTGCAGAATAACCACTGAAAACTTGGTGAATAGCCTTTCACACTTTTTACCCAAACATATGTTCTTCTGCTGTGCTGTTATGCAGCAGCATAATATAGTTTTGCAAGTATATATGTACAGATACCTATAAACAAGTCATTTTATTTGTATTATTTTACAACTATTTTCCCCAAATAGTTCACTTTTTAACTTAAAGTATAGCAGTCCTATACCAAGTGATTTTTTTTTAAATTTGTGATTACAGTTTTATTACAGCAAAAGGATTTAAATTAGGATCAGCCAAAGAGACACTTAGAGCAAAGTCTGGGAGGGTTTTAAACATTTGCAATGCTTCCTTTATCCTCAGGGACATGTTACCCTCTTGGCAGAGTATTGCCAACCAGGGAAGCTCACCCGAGCCTTTGGTGGCCAGAATTATTATTGGGGCTTGATCATACTGTCCATGTAGTTGACCTTTAGTCTCCAGTCCCTTCCATAGATTCAAGCTAATACGCTAATACCTTTAGTCTTCATTGGTTCAAAAAAGATAAAAGTCAGTTTCTCCCTCATATGAAGGTTCAAGCTAGTCTGAAGGTTTTGACTGCTTACAAAGCTGTAAAGTGCCCTGGATGATTGGGAAATGCCCATGTTGTTGGGAAAGGTTTTTTAGAAAGGTTATTCCCCCCATTTACAAGGTATAGCCCTCATTCTGATGTGTCATGACAGTTGCCTACATTTTCGTTAAGAAAGGGGCTTTGGCCGGGTGCGGTGGCTCACGCCTGTAATCCCACCTCTTTGGGAGGCCGAGGCAGGTGGATTACCTGAGGTCACGAGTTCGAGACCAGCCTGACCAACATGGAGAAACCCCATCTCTACTAAAAATACAAAATTAGCCAGGTGTGGTGGCACATGCCTGTAATCCCAGCTGCTTGGGAGGCTGAGGCAGGAGAATCATTCGAACCTGGGAGGTGGAGGTTGCAGTGAGCCGAGATCATGCCATTGCACTCCAGCCTGGGCAACAAGAGCGAAACTCCATCTCAAAATAAATAAATAAATAAATAAAAAATAAAAGGGGCTTTACCCTCCTCTTATAGGCACCACCCAGAAGCTGTCCACATCAATTATATTCATCTTCCATTGGCCAGAAATTTGGCTTTGCGGTTGGGAAGTGTTGGTATTTAGCTAAGTGTTGGCATCATTAGTCTTAGCCAGATGCTACTTGCCCAGCAGATAATTCAACTATCAAAGAAGAAGGAGAGAATGGCCAGGTAATTCATTGTTTATTGATTCATTATTCCAGTCAGAAAAGTCAAAAGCAATGTTTTGATGTAAAAGCCCCGGGCCAAAAAGAATTACAAAGGAAACTGTAATTAATTAAAAATAAGTATGTATTAACATCATACTTTTATATAGTATTCTGCAATAAATATAATTTACCCTTAATCTTTTATTTCATTCCTCTGGTAACCAGACTGTTCTGTGTGGTATGGGGGAGTTACATATAGAGATTATTCATGATCGAATCAAGAGGGAATATGGACTGGAGACCTATCTCGGGCCTCTCCAGGTGGCATATCGAGAGACCATCCTAAACTCAGTTCGTGCCACAGGTAAAAAGTAAAACATTTAGGATTTGCTTTTTCTCTCTTTCTGTCTTTCTTTCTCTATTTAGTTGCTGAAAGCAGTGTTCATAGTCACTAATGTCTTCTATCAGAGGAGACAGTTTTTATGTATGTGGGGTTTTTTTGTTTTTTTAGGATTTTGTTTTGAATACAGAAAGCCCTATTTGATTATCAGCCATAACATCTCCTGGATGACCACTCATCAACCAAGTGTCCTTTTCAGTGGTCATGGAATAGAGTAAGCCACTGAAGTCGATGGCTTGTCCCAGTCCTCACTATCAGAACTAGTCTAAGAATTTGAAGTCAATGTGTTATTTTTACTCTATAAAGTAAAAGTAGAAAGTCAGTTTCAGTACTTAATAAATATGATTATTCTATGCTGATAGTAATCTTGAGAAACTATAGTTTTTATACTTCTATTCCCAAATGTAAAAACTCACAATTTTTCTGCATATGATTTTAATTTGGTTCCCTTAAGCCAAAAAACATGACAACAATTATTGCTACTCACCCCCAAGAAGAAAGTGTGGAAAGGTTTGTGGGAAATTGTTTAAAAAAAAAAAAAAAAAGACGTTTAGGATAACCAGGTACTTTCAAGTTCCTCATTAGTTTGTGAGAAGTCCTGATGGTTACATTTCACTGAAACTTGAAAAATTAAGCAGAATACAGGAGCAAATAGCATGAGGCGTTCTCTTTCTGGACTGTTTATCTGGAAAAACTAAAAATGCTAGAGAACTCAAAATAACAACTTTTAATGTCTGAGCTGACTAGAATGTAATAGAATTTTCCAGAAGTCAAAAAGGAAGTAGGAGTAGTAATCTGGGAAAATAAGTCAGCACTATAGGCTAGAGTTATTCTGGAAGAATCTGTAATTGTCTCTAACCTAGTGCTTGAGAGCCATATCCTCATGGAAAGAATTAACTAGGAAAAGTCCTTTCCACAAAAGCAGAGGGCAAGGAAACTTGCTTGTCTGGCTGTATGGTAAGGGAACAAGATTTCTGAGAATTTGTAATCATAGGCTTCTGATACAGGTCTTTAGCCTAAGTTCATAGAACCAGTGTGCCCTGAAAAACTCCAGACCAAGAAGAACTTAGTTCTTTAGTGTAAAGTGCTCATGGCTTGGTAGTATCCCAAGGAACCTGGAAAAAAGGGCTTCTCCAAAGATATCATCAACCCAGGCCTCAGATGCCACACATGGCCAGGTCTGGTGGCTCACGCCTGTAATCCCAGCACTTTGGGAAGCTGAGGTGGGCAGATCACGAAGTCTGGAGTTCGAGACCAGCCTGGCCAATATGGTGACCCCGTTTCTACTAAAAATACAAAAACTAGCTGGGAATGGTGGCGAGTGCCTATAATCCCAGCTACTCAGGAGGATGAGGCAGGAGAATTGCTTGAATCCCAGAGGCGAAGTTGCAGTGAGCTGAGATCGTGCCATTACACTCCAACCCAGGCAACAGAGTGAGACGCCATCTCAAAAAAAAAAAAAAAAAAAAAAAAAAGAAACCCCCACACATAAAAGAATATTAACTCATAATAAAATTAAATCAGAAAACCATGAGAAAAAGCACAATGAGCAAAAAGGCAATAGAAACAATAGGTAGTCATACCAGCAAAGGCTTCAGTTATTGGAATTATGAGATGTAGAATATAAAATACTATCTTTGAAGAAATAAGAGAGGCGATAGAAAGTACAGTTGACCCTTGAACAACATGGGTTTAAAGTATGTATGCAGGTACACTTACACATGGATTATTGTCCTGCCTTTGCCATCCCTCAGACAGCAAGCCAAACCCCTCCTTTTCTTACTCCTCAGGCTATTCAGTGCAAAGATGACGAGGATAAAGACCTTTATGATGTTCTACTTTTACTTAATAAATAGTAAATATATTTTCTCTTACGATTTTCTTGGTAACTTTTTTTTCTAGTTTATTGTAAAAATACAATATAAAATACATGTAACGTGTTAATTGACTGTTTATTTGTTGGTAAGTCTTCCTGTTAACAGTATTCTATAGTAGTTAAGTTTCAGGGGAGTCAAAATTTAGGCATGTATTTTTTACTGCATGGGGGTTTAGCACGCCTAGCCCCCACATTATTCAAGGGCCACTTGTGTTAGTAAGGAACAAGAAACGATCAAAAATAGGTGCGATGGGCATGATCTCACATATGTGGAACTTTTAAAAGTCTAACTTGTAGAAGAGTAGAATGATGGCTACCAGAGGCTGAGGATTGGAAAGCTGGGGAAAGGAGAGATGTTGATGAAGTGGGGTACGGAGTTTCAGCTGGACAGGAGAAATAGGTTCTCATGATCTGTTACACAGCACAGTGACTATAGTTAATAATTTATATTTTAAATCTCAGTACAAAGAAATAAGTTTTTTGACATGATAGATGTTAATTTGCCTGATTTTTATCATTCCACGATGTATACATGTATTGAAACATCACATACCCCATAAATATATACAATTATTTGTTAATTAAAAATGAAATAAAACATAAGAAAGGATAATGGAATATCATGCTATGTGTGAGAGAGGAAATGGTCAAAAAATGATGGTGAGGGGGTATATAAGGACACAGGAACCAGCTTGAAGAGACTCTGCTGGCCAAATCTGGATTAATTTGAATACCAAGTATAGACCATTGGGAAAAAATAGTTTCTAAGTTCATACTTATAATAATACATAGGTAAATAGGGAAGAAGAGGGAGGGGTCTTCCTCATAGTGGAATGCCAAGTGCTGACTGTTAGAAGTTGGGGAGTAGGGCTGGAGTCGGAAAATAGTGCAGACGACTCTCCCAAACACATAGAACAAAAAAGTTGCCGTATACATATGGCATAACAAATTTAAAATGAAGCAGAAGTAAACTATTGCTTAGAAATACATGCATATGTGATATAACACTAAAGAAAATAATGAGGATAACATATGATAGTGGTTGCTTCAGAAGGCATCTAAATATTGGTAATACTCTCTTTAGTAGTTTTAGGTTTCATGAATGCTCATTTTTAGCTTGTACATAAATATGTATATACTCATATATAAACGTATATTTATATATAAACATGTATATATTGAGACAATGTCTTGCTCTGTTGAGCAGGCTGGCATACAATGGCAAGATCTTAGCTGACTGTAGCCTTGAACTCCTGGGCTCCAGCAATCCTCCCGCCTCAGTCTCCCAAGTAGCTAGGACTACAGGTGTGCACTACCATACTCAGCTAATTTTTATTATTTTTTACAGAGACGGAGTCTTGCTATATTGCCCAGGCTAGTCTCAAATTCCTGGCCTCAAGTAATCCTCCCACTTTGGCTTCCCAAAGTGCTGGGTGGGATTACAGGTGTAAGCCACCACATCCAGCCTGTATAATTTTAAATAGAAAATGTTTCACAGTATAAAACGTAAGCATACAAAGGAATTATGAAGAATTATAGACTATAATTCTTAGTTTTGAATTTGGGCCATGAATCACTGCATTACATGGTCCCTCACATAAATATGGCATAGTTTTGTTTTAGTAAAATATTGGAGATTGGTAACAGACATAGTAAAATATTGGAGATTGTTGGTTTTTAGCAAATAAGAGATGCTGTTTTCAATCTTACCAAAAACACTTTACTGGTTTTTTGGGAAAGAAATTGTAAACAGTAAGTGCATAAAATATTGCTGGAAAAATACACAATATAAAACATTTTGTGGGTTGTCAGGATTTAAAGTCGTTTAATTTTCATTAGCTTACCTTTTATATTTGTAAAGGTTTTATCATTTAATTTTTTTAATATAAAAGTTTGTAACTAAGAGGATTTCAATCACCTACAAGACATTTTGAAAAGTTTAAAAGTATAATCTTCGTAACATGTGCCTCAACATATCTTAATGTTAAAACAATAGGTGATACAGAGCAGGTTTTTAACATTGATCAACACAGAAGCAGATGCTTTGTTGGTAGAGCTCTTTACTCTGATTTTTATACTGTATTTAGTGCCATTGTTAATATTCTCTCCCACTTTATCTTGTATGAGACCCTGAGCTTGTTGATGATAATTTTGCTGTTTATAGTACCTTGATACCTTTCCAGAATTAATCTCTGAGGTGCCATATTCAATTTGTTTACAGATACCTTAGATAGAACTTTAGGAGACAAAAGGCATCTTGTGACTGTAGAAGTGGAAGCAAGGCCAATTGAAACATCATCTGTTATGCCTGTGATTGAGTTTGAGTATGCTGAAAGTATCAATGAAGGCCTTTTGAAGGTCTCCCAAGAGGCCATTGAAAATGGAATTCACAGCGCATGTCTCCAAGGTAAGACACTCAAATGAGAGTAAGCATTAGTATCCCACTCAACCATTTAATCACTCCTTATATTACAGATTATTTCAGTCTTTTTCCTAACTTTGTTAGTGTTTTCTCCCTATTCCTTTGCACTTCTCAGTTACTTCTCACTTCACATCTAGCAGAGTATGATACAATTTTTTTCCCTTGTCTAGGACCATTGCTTGGATCCCCAATTCAGGATGTAGCAATTACTTTACATTCCCTGACAATTCATCCTGGCACCTCCACAACTATGATTTCTGCCTGTGTCTCAAGATGCGTGCAAAAGGTATAGAACTATCCTAATCCTTATGGCTTTAAGGTGACTCTTCTGAGTATAGTACCACTGATCTTGCAGACAGCTGTGTTTACAGAGCCTTATCTTGTGTCTTTGCCTCCTCAGCCTTGTGGTCAACAAGAGTTCTTATCATGGAGAATCTCTGATTTCTTAATCACCAGGTTTTTATTTCAAAGAGGATCTTAGAAATTACTATGTAACATGGATTGCTATTGGAATATACTCTGATAAAGAGGCAAGCTTCCTTAAGTGACATTTCTGCTTTCCCCATCCCTGACAGACAGCTATTAGAGGCAAGCATGGTAGGTTTGAGTAGAAGCCAGATTTGAGGTTAGCTTGGCCCAAAATGGACTGTAATCTAAAGAACACTGAAGATCCAATATTGGTTCCAGTTTTGGAGATTGTTATTCAAATAAGATTGCTTTAGTGCTTGCTTCAGCAGCACATATACTAAAATTGGAACGATACAGAGAAGATTAGCATGGCCCTGCACAAGGATGACATGCAAATTCTTATAGAGTTCCATATATTTCTCTACTTATATTAAATTATAAAGATTGCTTTAATCAAGGACCATTGAAACCAGTTAAGTCCCACTGAATAACAGATTCAGGCTAAGCACCTTCTCTTCTCAAAGCATCAAGCAATGGGTCTTCTTGGTGTGGTTATCTGGGGAGTTTGTCCTTAAGTGTCGTGGACCCTCCGCTTCCTGCCTCATGAACCTACCAGAACTGGATTAACTCCCAGGAGTGTGGTATGCTGAATGCTGATTCCATGCATTCTTCTCAGCATTGAACTACCCTAATTTCTTAGGTGATTGCTTTTGCATTATTTATACTTGGTTTTATAGCCATTTTTTAATACTTGGACTGTGTTTGAGACCCAATTTTCTGTAGTTTTATTTGAATCCGAAATTACAAAGTTAATTTAAGTATTCCAAACCCCTAACCTAAGAAAGCCAAACTTGATATCTCTTCGACATGAGTTTAAATTTATACTTCTTAAAAAGCTTTTTGATTAAAAACAAAGCTTTGAAAAAAGTTTAAATATTGTTCACCTAAGAGTATGTTGGAAATGTTACCTGCAAAGTAGTTATGACGATATTGTTGAGAAAATTCACCCTCAAGTAATTTTTAAATTGTTTTTTTTTTTTTTTTAAGAGACAAGGTCTCACTATGTTGCCCAGGCTGGTCTTGAACTCCTGGGCTCAAGCAGTCTGCCAACCTCGGCCTCCCAAACCCAAAGTGCTAGGATTACAGGTGTAAGCCACCATGCCCATCCCCAAGTAATTTTTAAAGTTTCTCTGGAAATTGGTTTTAATATTGAAACTAAGGTAATCTGAAAAATAATGCAGTTTCTAAATTGACCCCAAGCCCTCAATATATTGGCCTGTCCTTCAAAATGTAATATGCCTTCTAAAAATAAAGTCTGCATTTCCATGTTCATTTGCCTTTTTAATAAGATTATGCCAGAGAACAAGAATTAACTTTATGGGGGCTTACATTTAGTCATTAGTGTTAATTCGTTACTTCAAACAAAACACTCCTAATGGAAGTACTGCTACCCTTGTTAAGCTTCTTCTAATGGGGAATCTCCTTCTCTCTGCTTGTAAGTGCTTCATGTATTTATTGAGTCATCTGTGTTGTGCTTATAGTTCACCAGGCACTGAGAAGGACACAAATAGGATTATATTTTACTCTACCTAAAGGAGCTTGTGATTTCATAAGGGAATTAAATATAGCCAAAGTATTAGATAAAATGGGTGAATGCCATGAAAGTAGTAGGAAGCAGGGAATTGGGGAGGATTCTTGGAAAGATTTATATTTGAGCTGAGATGATTTTGGAGGACGTGAGCATGGTGGGGGACATTCCAGACACAGATAAGAGTCCTTTTAACTGTAGTACCAGATGAAGGCAGGGGAGTTGTGTGTTGAAAAAGTAAAATGGTTTCAGACTGTAGAGAAAACTTTAAAAACTACATTAAAGAGTTTGAACTTTGTTCTGAGAATGGTGGAGCATAATTTAAAGGTTTCGAAGAGAGAAGTATCAAAGTACAGAAGGGATTTGAATAGGGAAGAGATAGTAGAGGACAGGAAATGGACTAAGTTTGACCTAGGATGCCAGCAATAGGAATGGGAAAAACAAAAAAAATCTTACAGCTTACTTGGGGAAAAGGAAGTCAAAGGTGAACTGAAGACTACTGATGTCATCATCAGAAAAAGGGATGTGCATAGAAGTGTTTGGAGAAGAAAATGATGAGCTCAGTGTGGGACATGTTGGAGAGCTGCCGGATATTCAGACACTATCCCAAAGCAGGCCAATGGAGTACAGGACTGGAGCACTCAAACTATGGGCTGCATAGGATTTAACGTTTTTGAGGAAGCCATGTTGAAGTCGTTTTTGAAGCTCTCCAGATAGGTAATATTGACAGGAAAAGATTGTGAAAAGAGGACTAAGAACAGTTCTGTGAGCATGGTATGCCCTAGTTAGATATGCAGAATTCAATCTTTTTTAGGATTTTTTTCTCTTAATTTTTACATCCTTTTCAATTCCATTATTTTATTCTGAAAGACATTTTCAGTTTCCACATTCTTTATGCATGTTCTTCTTGGCCTTTGAAATCTAAGATTCTAAATAAGAAAAGATTTTACATAATGTTTCTACTACCTTATTGCACTAAATTTTTCCTTTTTTTTAAGCTCTCCCCTTTATTGCTGTCTCTGGCATGTGGCATGGCATGGACTGTAATTATAGACATCAGGAACAGAAACATGAGGTTTAAATATGAACAAATGAATCTTTGAAAGGGGAGGACTTTCTGTGACTCTGACCACATGTTCACAGGCATTTTTTATAAACATCCCCTTGCATCATACCATACAAAAGATCTATAAATTCTGTTATCATGCTTATTATACAAGCAAATATTATAGTTGTTGCCATCTTATAAAACGTTATCTTTAAAGAGAGAGTTAAAGCAAGCTTATGTCTTTTTGTATGAGCTCTAGGCTGTATTTATTTTAAGTTTTTATTTATGAAAGATAAGTTAACATTCTTTAATTTCTTTAGGCTCTGAAGAAAGCTGATAAGCAAGTTTTGGAGCCTCTGATGAATCTTGAGGTTACAGTAGCTAGAGATTATCTCAGCCCTGTCCTGGCAGATCTGGCACAAAGAAGAGGAAACATTCAGGAAATTCAGACTCGCCAGGACAACAAAGTTGTTATTGGATTTGTTCCCTTAGCAGAAATTATGGTAGGTACTTTGTAACTGAAAAGTACATATTCTTCTTAATTCAGGGGATATTATATGCCAATGAATAGACAATCAGTAACCTGAAAGAAACATTAAGGCTTTGATTTAGAGAATACATGTTAAGTTTCGTTTCAACCAGCAGGAATGGTTAGGACTTTGAATTTAAATTGTTGGCGAAATCCAGGGATTATAGCACTACAAGGGGGTATTTACAGTCCCAAAATGTGGTACCAGCCTATATGACCATTTTTTCCCTGCCAAGCATTTATCTTACTTCCACCATTGTCAGTTTTAAGGCAAGTTATCATTCTTCTCCCGTCAGCCTCTTCTGCTCCAGGACAGGCACCTGGGTTGCCGGCAAAGCCATCTAACAAATACATCTGCAGCACACTTGCACTACTCTGCTTTCTGTCCTCAATGTTTTTATATCCAACTTACCCTGAAAAAAGTTAAATCATCTGTTTGGAGGAAGTGATATGGCTAAGCCACAAAAGTGGCAACATCACTTTTCCCTAATAGTCAAAAGATAATCAGCAGGAAGAGAAACTTGAGGCTTAAATTTGATAATATAAATGACTTAAATTATTTTGATTAGGGTTATTCAACTGTGCTTCGAACGCTAACATCAGGCTCAGCTACTTTTGCCTTAGAACTATCTACTTATCAAGCCATGAATCCTCAAGATCAAAATACACTGCTCAACCGGAGAAGTGGTTTGACCTAAATGTTTTAGTTTTTGGAGAGAAATTCAGGAGCACCTAGCTACTTCATTTTCAGTAAGAACAATTTTTATTGCTTTATTTATTGGACGAATAAAGTACTGTTTCAGTACATTCAGAGAACTAGATAAAAGATATAACTTAAGCTTTGATAGTGGCACTGGAGCCACCCGTTTTAATTTATATAATGAGAAATGTGCTTTGATGTTTAAAGCCACTGTACCTGAATCATGCTGTTCATCTATGAAGTTATTACTATAAGTAGCCTTCAGAAGAGTGGTATCACAAAGTTGTGTTTCTTTTGTGTCCTTAAGCTTGTCTCACAAGAAAGATGCCAGGCCTCTAAATGTAATAAGATAGAGGGTCAAAGGTTCAATCAATAAAAATATTTTATTCAAAAAACAGTCTAATATCTTATTTTACATGATTTCAAAATAAAGTTGATTGTAGTACAGATTGCTGTGGCCTTTTTCCCCTCCATTTTTTACATGTTCTCATGGTTACAATATCCAGCATAAAGAGGTTGTGCAGCTATTCCACGTCTGTAGATAACATGAATAAAGATATTTTAGATTGATTTAGATTGATATCATTCATAAAGATATTTTAGATTGATATTCATGTCATCTTAGAAACTTAAATTAGAATCACTAAATCACAGCATTACTGAAAATAAGGGAAGAAAATTAAAGCAACTCAAGATGGAGTTCTAAGTTACACCAACATTTTTTGTATCTATAAAACAGTCACAAGTCTGAATATATCTTTACAGGTATTATTACTTACAAAAAAATAATTCCTGGTTTCTTCTAATTACTATTTGTTAGGTAACATACATTTCTATTTATAGCAAAAGAAACTAACACTGAATAAGAAGGTTAAAAATCACACTGGACTTAATAGATTTCTTACTCGACCATCCTGCAGCGGTGCCTTGTCAGTCTGTCATAGGCGTCATCCATATCTCTGACATCTTTGGAACTCCAGAGTCTCTCACCAACAGCACTTGCCCGAGGCCTAAAATTTAAATCACACATCCCCCCGCAAGCAGTTTAAATTTATGTTTAGCACTTTTGTGTTTAGACAGAGAAGGAAAGCTAAGGCACCTTAATTCTTAAATGTTATCAGGTAAATCCCATACCATAATCTTGGAGTGAGGTTAGTTGCATCCACATATTCTCCCCATAGACAAGCTTCTCCACCAATGAAAAGTTGTTTCTGTTTCTGAGTACCTAAATTAAAATCATTGAATTAAGTTCAGAAGTTCAAAGCTTATACACAGAGGCAATATTTCATCAAGATTTGTTTCCTCCATCTTTATCCTAGGGCAACATTTCTTGCCCGTGGTTAGCAGGACCTTGGGAGATGCTAATGGTTGTGGCACAAAAAAGATGGCCCCTCCTCTTCCCCCACCCCCCAAAAAAATGGTTGCAAACTTTATCCCCAGCCCTGACCCACGGTTCACAGCACGTGTTAGCACCATAGATTAATGTAGTGGGCCAGTATTAAACAGTTTTATTTTGGTTTTATGCAAACTTACCTGGACACCAGAAACCATTTTTTAAATCCCTGGTTGCCTATTTAGTAGTGTGCCAGGGAATAGAAGTTGGAATACTAGTTTTTTAGTGGACTGTGACCACCATGCCTACCTTTAATTTCTACCTCTTGGCATTTAAAACAGAAATTGAATACTTAATGTGTGTGTTTTTTTTTTTTTTTGAGATGGAGTCTTGCTTGGTCACCCAGGCTGGAGTGCAGTGGCGCGATCTTGGCTCACTGCAACCTCCACCTCCTGGGTTCAAGCAATTCTCTGCCTCAGCCTCCCGAATAGCTGGGATTACAGGTACCCATCACCACGTCCGGCTAATTTTTGTATTTTTAGTAGAGACAGAATTTCACCATCTTAGGCAGGCTGGTCTTGAACTCCTGACCTCATGATCCACCTGCCTCGGCCTCCCAAAGTGCTGGGATTACAGGCGTCAGCCACCGTGCCCAGCCACTTAATGCTTTTTAAAAATCAGTAATTATCGCTTTTTGGTCCTCATAAAATGCATTGTATATAAAATTATCAATTCTTAATAGACCTATGGTTTTGAAACTTTTTTAAACAGCAAAATCCTTTTTCAGTGATTTTTCACTAAAGGCTAATGTACAAAATTGGACAAACTAGAATGTTTTTTATGAAGGGGATCTGAGAGCCTGAAGCTCCACCCTTCAGATGTTCCCTCCTGTCCCATCCACCAAGGATTCTACTCCTCAGAATCCTAAGACAACACAGCCTGAAATCCACTGAACTAAAACTATAGCTTTGCTTAGGTGTCTTACATTGGAGAAGCAGTTCAGAAGAGGGCATGTAAGGTTAATGCAATCAAATACCTTTAGAATGTAGAGAGTGAGGAGCCATCACTGAAAATGGAGATAAAATCTAAGGGGATCTATAATACTTTTGAAGTTCTTGAATTTAGGCAACTGTATGGTTTCTTGAGAGTTTAAAATGATACTGAACTTAAAAAAACACATAAAATCAAGGATCAAACATAAAAGATAGTTGGTAGGTAATATCTAGGTAAAGACTTCTGGGGTGGGAGGTTAGGGAAGAAAACTCATAAAACAAAGGTAACAATGGTTGCTTCACTTACCATCAGCTTCACAGTAACCCACAACACTTGGACCAACTGCTTCACTTACCGCCAAAATCAAGAGGTTCCACTTTATAGTATTTCCTCCAATCTTGTCCATAGCTAATCAAATCTAAGTACCAAGGAGCAGAAAGGATTACAGGGAAGCCAGATGCTGTGACTCTACTGAGTTCCTCAGGATATGCGCTGTCTTTCCATACTTCAACTATTGTGCCCGGCGCAAGCTATTAACGTTACAAATTGCAATACATATTATTAGGCCTAGAACAGTAGATGAAATTGAAAGTTTAAGGCATTATTACTAGGAACATAATTTTCTAAGATCCTTAAAAAAAATCTGCATTTTCTTTTTCCTCTTTTCTTCAGAGTTAGTGCCATGTGATACTCATTTTAGGGACTTAAAAGTTTCATCAACCTTAGGTTTGAATATTTAACTTTTGCTTATATATGGATACCACATAGGTTCAGTTAACTAAAGCTGAGACTTGCATTTTAGTCTTATTTCTACCAAACCTAGCTTGGAACTATGAGGTCCAAAGTGGTCACTAACTACACTAGAAAGGTAATACTAGTAGTTAGACTTGCAAATTCCCAGTTGCCCCAAGAAAAATAATTAAGTCTCTTATATTGATCAGATGCAGTCTTCACAATGCTCACCTTTGCTTTATCATCAAAAACCTCCTGCCAGACAATGGATCCCTTGTTTATGGTTGCAATAATATCCAAAACCCTAGTATTACAAAAAAATTATAGTTATTTTAGATCATAAGCTTAACAATATATTTAAAACATGTACATTTTCTACCAAGGATTTCTTGCATTTTGAGAGGTGCCTTTTAGTATAGTTCAGCTTTATAGCAGAAGCAGCTCAAGTTGGGAAGTGTCACAAGTAGTTCCTCCTTTTTAGCACTTGATACAGAACCTAACATAGTATGGGGGTTTAATAATCATTTGCTGAATGAATGAGTTAAACATGCCCCTAAGATAGGAAGAAGTGGCCTCAAATTGAGTTGGTAGGCAACTCAGGAAATTGTACAAACAGCAATCTCTTACAATTTTATGGCTGTCTTAAAATGGTAGGGACCACGATCTAGCCTGTCATATCACATAAATTACATGTAACAGTTACTGACAATCCACAAATATTTACAGATATTTACATAATGCCAGGTGCTCTGCAGATAAATAACACTTAAATGCATCACACAAAAAGCTGAACAGGCAAAGGCTGGAATCTGGGCTTGCCAAATAAATGGTACAGCATAAGGGTTGGCAACTACAGCTTGCAGGCTGTTTTTGTATGTCTCATGGGCTAAGAATGGTTTTTATATTTGTAAAGCATTTTTTTTTAAGTTTTAAAATTTGAGGTTTTTTTTAAGTTAAAAAAAAATTGTATGTGGTCCATGGGCAATTGTATGTGGCCCATGAAGCCTAAAATCTTTACTCTCTGACCCTTTACAGAAAAAGTTTGCCAATCCCTCTAGAGCAGCACGGTCTAGTAGAACTTCCTGGGATGGAAATGTGTATATATATATATATATATGCATTTTTCAGTATGGCAGTCACTAGCCTCAGCTGGCTACTGAACACTTGACATGTGGCTAATGCAACTGAGTAGCTGAATTTTTAACTTTCATTAATTTTAATTAATTTACATATGGACAGACACCTGTGGCTATGGCTACTGTATTGGGTAGCACAGGTATATAGTAAAATATATGTTCCTGGAATTGACAAAATGGAATGAATTCCAGGGGCTGGATGGTAGTGAAGACTTCACAGGGTAGCCAGGGCTTCAAGCTGAGTTTTATATTTATTGATGGATTGATTGATTGATTGATTGAGACAGTCTCACTCTGTTGCCCAGGCTGGAGTGCAGTGGTGCGATCTTAGCTCACTGTAACCTCCATCTCCCAGGAGATTCTCCCTCAGCCGCCCGAGTAGCTGGGACTACAGGCACCTGCCACCATGCCTGGCTAATTTTTTCATTTTTAGTAGAGATGGGATTTCACCATGTTGGCCAGGCTGGTCTCGAACTCCTGGCCTCCGGTGATCCACCTGCCTCGGCCTCCCAAAGTGCCGGGATTACAGGTGTGAGCCACCATGCCCAGCCCAATCTGAGTTTTTAGAACAGATGACTGCCTTCCTATATTTCAACAGCTATTGGAAAATACTTGGAGTCACCATGTTACTGATTTAAAGCAAGCAGTGGGTATTGCCTCCTTTAGTGATTTTTCACATCTACACTTAGGCAAAGGATGTAGAGAAAATGTAAAAAATAAAGCACATTACTAAATAAACTTTTACAAAAAGCATTAATACAGAAATAGGCTTTCAAACAACTTACTTTTGAATGTAGAAAGATTCTAGTTTCTTAAAATCTGTGCCAAAGCCTTTTTGCCTCATGAAATCTTGAATTTTTGGATTTGATTCCCTGAAGCAAAAAGTGATTAAAATTTCATTAGAAGTTTGATATGCTCAGTTTATTATTTAGAGCAGTATACATGCCTAACATCAGTTGTGCAGACTTAAAACTATTAAAGTTTGTAGGTAGTAAAAAGAAGCCTAAAAACTTAATTACAAGTTATCTTAATTATCCATTGCAAACAATTTTTTCAAGAAGCTGATTTCCTTTAAAAATGGCTTTCTTTACCTTACCACCTTTCTCCTCCATCTAAAGCTATTTGCAGAGAGAATTTTTATTTGAAAAATCTTTCCTATTTAATCATTGATTGCCCTCTTTCACTAAAGGTGTTCTCATTTCACAGTAGTCTTTTTTTGAATCTCCATTTTCTTCTGCATCTTGTTTTTCCTCAAGCTTTACTTTGCCATACCAAAATGTACATTCTCCACAAATCTACCATCTCAGGAGTCATGTTGCCCAGTTTAAACCCTTACAAGCAGGCATGTTACTCTTAAGTCTTCCTTATGGTGTGGAGCCCTCTACAGCTACTTCAATGCAACAGGTTTTTTATTCCATTTTTTTTTTTTTTTTTTTTTTTTTGAGATGGAGTCTCACTCTGTCACTCAGTCTGGAGTACAGTGGCATGATCTCAGCTCACTGCAATCTCTTCCTCCCAGGTTCAAGAGATTCTCCTGCCTCAGCCTCCCAAGGAGCTGGGATTACAGGTACCCACCACCACGCCCAGCTAATTTTTGTATTTTTAGTAGAGATGGGGTTTCACCATGTTGGCCAGGCTGGTCTTGAACTCCTGACCTCAGGTGATCTGCCTGCCTCTGCCTCCCAAAGTGCTGGGATTATAGGCGTGAGCCACCGCACCCAGCCTCTCTTTTTTTTTTTTTTAAAGGGGTTTTAAGGAATCATCTTACCAACATTTAAATTCCACTTCATCTCCTCCCAAATGAATGAATTGATCTGGAAACACCTCACTAATTTCTTTGAAAAATGTAGTAAGGAAGCTGTATGTTGTATTCAGAGTAGGGTTTATAGGTCCAAAAGAGTCCAACTTGTTTTGTCTACTGTAACATGGAGTCAGGAGGTCTTTCTGACCTAGAAGAAAATATTAAGATTCTTTTTAAAAGAAGTGTACTCATTATAAAGATCTGGTTTTCCACATGATTTTACTACGTCATTTTATTGAAGCTACAAGATTTTATACACAAAAGATGAACATGTTTACTAAGAGCTAGTAATTTCTTCCAGATAAGAAGGGTTTCCTGAATCCTGTCTCTTTGCCTCTTTGTTTCCCATTATATCTGAGATTTTATCTATGTCAAATGTTAGTAACTCCCAAATCTTCAGTTTGCCTCAACGCTTTTTCTTGAGCTTCAATTCATATTTCAAATTCCCTGCTGGATACAACTGAATATCCTAGCTGTACTTCAAATACAAGCTAACAAAAAACAACATCTGCAGTCCTTAAGCTCCCTTCTCTAGCTTCTCCTGATTTTCGTATTCTAATAAGGGTACCATCGTCATCCTAGAGTATATACCTCCTCTCTCCTGGAGTCCATCAGTTGCCAAATTCTATGGATATTTCCAGAATGTCTCTCAGTTCTGTCCATTATTTTACATTCCCACTATCACCCTCCTGGTCCAGAACTCCAATCTGTCACTTTCCCAAAGGTTTTCCCAAAGTGTGGTTCCCATCATGTTACTCCTCTGCTCAGAAATTTTCACTGGTTTCCAGTGTGTCCTGATGAAGTTCACATTCCTCACCAAAGGCCCGCTAATGTGCTTTTCCAGATTTACCTCTCACTATTCCCCATGTCTACTCTAATAATATTGAGCAATTATAAATGCTTGGTACTGTGCTATGTGCTTTACATTATTTAATTCTCAAAAAAATTACATGATAGCTACTACTAATTCTCATTTTAGAGATGGAGAAACTGAAGATGAGATATTGTAACTTGCCCAAGGTCACCTAGTTTATAATGGCAGAAGCAAGATTCAAACCCAAGCTGTCTGGCTCCAAAGCCAAAGTTCTTAATCACCACCCTATAATGCCTCCTACTCTGCTACACTCTACTCCAGCTACATACTTGTCAAGCATATCTTACACTTTTTGCACACATTTCCTTATGCCATTTCCTCTACCAGAAACATGAATATATTCTGTGATCACTCAAAAGCATTTTAAGTGTTACCTCATCTATGAAACCATTTCTTGAATTCACTTATCATGTTCTACTTTTTGTAATCACTTTTTGTTTTCTTTCATTCCCTTTTTTATACTTTAGGCAGTACCTAATCACAATGACTTGCTCACAATAGACACAGAGTAGCTATTGAATTGTATCTGTCAATAGTATTACTGATAGGCCAATCACAATTAAGAACAAAATGAGCAAACACTAGGTCATAAAATAAGAAATGCAATACCTCAAATATTCACTTTTGCAACTTATAAAATACAACTCCTGGCCAGGCGCAGTGGCTCACGCCTATAATCCCAACACTTTGGGAGGCCGAGGCGGGCCGATCATGAGGAGGGGAGATCAAGACCATCCTGGGTAACACGGTGAAACCCCGTCTCTACTAAAAATACAAAAAATTAGCGTGGTGGCGGGCGCCTGTAGTCCCAGCTACTCAGTAGGCTGAGGCAGGAGAATCGCTTGAACCTGGGAGGCAGAGGTTGTAGTGAGCCAAAATCATGCCACTGCACTCCAGCCTGGGCAACGGAGTGAGACTCCGTCTCAAAAAACAAAACAAAACAAAAACAAAAATTAGCTGGGCATGGTGGCGCATGCCTGTAGTCTCAGCTACTCAGGAAGCTGAGGCAGGAGAATCGCTTGATCCTGGGAGGTGGAGGTTGCAGTGAGCCGAGATTGTACTACTGCACTCCAGCCTGGGTGACAGAACAAGACTCCATCTCAAAAAATAAAAAATAAGATAAAATGAAATAAAATACAACTCCTTACCTTTTCCCCAAGATAGTGTATGCCCAGGGGTATCAAATTCTGGCAGGACTCGAATTCCTCGTAATCTGGCATATTCAATCACCATACGGACATCATTTGGTGTATAAACATGAGACAAAGAATAGCTTCCCTGTAAAAGCCATATTTATTCAAGTTAAAATGTACAACGTAGATTTGATCCTGGAAATTGTTAACAATTGTGCTTGCATTTGATATTTGACAGCTAATTTTTTCACTATGACAATGTATTAGTTTCATGTGATATTAGATGACTCATTTAAAAATAATATAGTGCCATAGTTTCAGGAGTAGAAAATTTCAGAAAGAAAATTTCTACTAAGTCGTACATACTCAAAGGATGATAGCCATTTTGGGGCTTTTGTCAAATCATTTGTTTACCATATTTTAGCAATAAATTCTCAGTATACTTTGGGCTAACCGCAGATTTACTGGTAGAAATATCTGTCTCCATCAGTGCCTCCTGTTTCAAGAGTTTCTACTATCATGCTGTTTCAACTTCCATGTAAGAATACAACAAAACAAATGTCTCCAAAGTGAAACTTCCGAAAACACTGCTCTTGTCAATTTTAGAGTCAAAATGCACACCTTATTACAAAGCATAGCTGTTGTCCTTCAAAGGACTATCAGCTTGAATTACTATAAGCTTGAAAAATTCCCATATAGACTCCAGAATAAGTGACTTGTTTTTTTTTAATGATTACCTCAGTCCCTTTATAGGTCACTTGAAAAATTAGAACTCAATATTGTTTGTAACTAAAGTTGTGAGCTGTTCCTTAGCACATTTCTCAAACTATGGCCTATAAGTGCTCAGTTGCGGAAAAGCAGTCTTGTCTCCCAGCACTGCAAATCAAATTTCTATCAAGACTAGATTCAACTACCAGTTTATAGTAAATACAGGGACATATTAATTGACACTGTGGGGTGCAATCAGCAAAACCCAGACTGTGGGAAACTGTAGGACACATGACTCAGTTTCTTCAACAACAATTACAGGAGAAAAAGGTGGGAAGAGCAGACCTGTAGATCAAAAAAGAATTACTAGACATATTAACTCACCACAATTATGGAGCTTATTTGTATCCCACTGCAAATGTTTTAAAATAATTTTTTAAATAAGAGAAAAAGACAGTTGGAGAAATGTGAATTTTTTTTTAAAATTTAAAGCATTTCTTTTTTTTATTATTATCATACTTTAAGTTTTAGGGTACATGTGCACAATGTGCAGGTTAGTTACGTATGTATACATGTGCCATGCTGGTGCGCTGCACCCACTAACTCGTCATCTAGCATTAGGTATATCTCCCAATGCTATCCCTCCCCCCTCCCCCACCCCACAACAGTCCCCAGTGTGTGATGTTCCCCTTCCTGTGTCCATGTGTTCTCATTGTTCAATTCCCACCTATGAGTGAGAATATGCGGTGTTTGGCTTTTTGTTCTTGTGATAGTTTACTGAGAATGATGATTTCCAATTTCATCCATGTCCCTACAAAGGACATGAACTCATCATTTTTTATGGCTGCATAGTATTCCATGGTGTATATGTGCCACATTTTCTTAATCCAGTCTATCATTGTTGGACATTTGGGTTGGTTCCAAGTCTTTGCTATTGTGAATAGTGCCACAATAAACATACGTGTGCATGTGTCTTTACAGCAGCATGATTTATAGTCCTTTGGGTATATACCCAGTAATGGGATGGCTGGGTCAAATGGTATTTCTAGTTCTAGATCCCTGAGGAATCGCCACACTGACTTCCACAATGGTTGAACTAGTTTACAGTCCCAACAGTGTAAAAGTGTTCCTATTTCTCCACATCCTCTCCAGCACCTGTTGTTTCCTGACTTTTTAATGATTGCCATTCTAAATGGTGTGAGATGGTATCTCATTGTGGTTTTGATTTGCATTTCTCTGACGGCCAGTGATGATGAGCATTTTTTCATGTGTTTTTTGTCTGCATAAATGTCTTCTTTTGAGAAGTGTCTGTTCATGTCCTTCACCCACTTTTTGATGGGGTTGTTTGTTTTTTTCTTGTAAATTTGTTTGTGTTCATTGTAGATTCTGGATATTTCCTTTGTCAGATGAGTAGGTTGCGAAAATTTTCTCCCATATTGTGGGTTGCCTGTTCACTCTGATGGTAGTTTCTTTTCCTGTGCAGAAGCTCTTTAGTTTAATTAGATCCCATTTGTCAATTTTGGCTTTTGTTGCCATTGCTTTTGGTGTTTTAGACATGAAGTCCTTGCCCATGCCTATGTCCTGAATGGTAATGCCTAGGTTTTCTTCTAGGGTTTTTATGGTTTTAGGTCTAACGTTTAAGTCTTTAATCCATCTTGAATTGATTTTTGTATAAGGTGTAAGGAAGGGATCCAGTTTCAGCTTTCTACATATGGCTAGCCAGTTTTCCCAGCACCATTTATTAAATAGGGAATCCTTTCCCCATTGCTTGTTTTTCTCAGGTTTGTCAAACATCAGATAGTTGTAGATATGCAGCGTTATTTCTGAGGGCTCTGTTCTGTTCCATTGATCTATATCTCTGTTTTGGTACCAGTACCATGCTGTTTTGGTTACTGTAGCCTTGTAGTATAGTTTGAAGTCAGGTAGCGTGATGCCTCCAGCTTTGTTCTTTTGGCTTAGGATTGACTTGGTAATGTGGGCTCTTTTTTGGTTCCATATGAACTTTCAAGTAGTTTTTTCCAATTCTGTGAAGAAAGTCATTGGTAGCTTGATGGGGATGGCATTGAATCTATAAATTACCTTGGGCAGTATGGCCATTTTCATGATATTGATTCTTCCTACCCATGAGCATGGAATTTTCTTCCATTTGTTTGTATCCTCTTTTATTTCATTGAGCAGTGGTTTGTAGTTCTCCTTGAAGAGGTCCTTCACATCCCTTGTAAGTTGGATTCCTAGGTATTTTATTCTCTTTGAAGCAATTGTGAATGGGAGTTCACTCATGATTTGGCTGTTTGTCTGTTATTGGTGTATAAGAATGCTTGTGATTTTTGCACATTGATTTTGTATCCTGAGACTTTGCTGAATTTGCTTATCAGCTTAAGGAGATTTTGGGCTGAGACAATGGGGTTTTCTAGATATACAATCATGTCATCTGCAAACAGGGACAATTTGACTTCCTCTTTTCCTAATTGAATACCTTTTATTTCCTTCTCCTGCCTAATTGCCCTGGCCAGAACTTCCAACACTATGTTGAACAGGAGTGGTGAGAGGGGGCATCCCTGTCTTGTGCCAGGTTTCAAAGGGAATGCTTCTAGTTTTTGCCCATTCAGTATGATATTGGCTGGGGGTTTGTCATAGATAGCTCTTATTATTTTGAGATATGTCCCATCAATACCTAATTTATTGAGAGTTTTTAGCATGAAGGGTTGTTGAATTTTGTCAAAGGCCTTTTCTGCATCCATTGAGATAATCATGTGGTTTTTGTCTTTGGTTCTGTTTATATGCTGGATTACATTTATTGATTTACGTATATTGAACCAGGCTTGCGTCCCAGGGATGAAGCCCACTTGATCATGGTGGATAAGCTTTTTGATGTGCTGCTGGATTTGGTTTGCCAGTATTTTATTGAGGATTTTTGCATCAATGTTCATCATGGATATTGGTCTAAAATTCTCTTTTTTGGTTGTGTCTCTGCCCGGCTTTGGTATCAGGATGATGCTGGCCTCATAAAATGAGTTAGGGAGGATTCCCTCTTTTTCTATTGATTGGAATAGTTTCAGAAGGAATGGTACCAGTTCCTCCTTGTACCTCTGGTAGAATTCGGCTGTGAATCCATCTGGTCCTGGACTCTTTGGTTGATAAGCTATTGATTATTGCCACAATTTCAGCTCCTGTTATTGGTCTATTCAGAGATTCAACTTCTTCCTGGTTTAGTCTTGGGAGAGTATATGTGTGGAGGAATTTATCCATTTCTTCTAGATTTTCTAGTTTATTTGCATAGAGGTGTTTGTAGTATTCTCTGATGGTAGTTTGTATTTCTGTGGGATTGGTGGTGATATCCCCTTTATCATTTTTTATTGCGTCTATTTGATTCTTCTCTCTTTTTTTATTAGTCTTGCTAGCGTTCTATCAATTTTGTTGATCCTTTCAAAAAACCAGCTTCTGGATTCATTAATTTTTTGAAGGGTTTTTTGTGTGTCTATTTCCTTCAGTTCTGCTTTGATTTTAGTTATTTCTTGCCTTCTGCTAGCTTTTGAATGTGTTTGCTCTTGCTTTTCTAGTTCTTTTAATTGTGATGTTAGGGTGTCAATTTTGGATCTTTCCTGCTTTCTCTTGTGGGCATTTAGTGCTATAAATTTCCCTCTACACACTGCTTTGAATGTGTCCCAGAGATTCTGGTATGTTGTGTCTTTGTTCTTGTTGGTTTCAAAGAATATCTTTATTTCTGCCTTCATTTCGTTATGTACCCAGTAATCATTCAGGAGCAGGTTGTTCAGTTTCCATGTAGTTGAGCAGTTTTGAGTGAGTTCCTTAATCCTGAGTTCTAGCTTGATTGCACTGTGGTCTGAGAGATAGTTTGTTATAATTTCTGTTCTTTTACATTTGCTGAGGAGAGCTTTACTTCCAACTATGTGGTCAATTTTGGAATAGGTGTGGTGTGGTGCTGAAAAAAATGTATCTTCTGTTGATTTGGGGTGGAGAGTTCTGTAGATGTCTATTAGGTTCACTTGGTGCAGAGCTGAGTTCAATTCCTGGGTATCCTTGTTGACTTTCTGTCTCGTTGATCTGTCTAATGTTGACAGTAGGGTGTTAAAGTCTCCCATTATTAATGTGTGGGAGTCTAAGTCTCTTTGTAGGTCACTCAGGACTTGCTTTATGAATCTGGGTGCTCCTGTATTGGGTGCATATATATTTAGGATAGTTAGCTCTTCTTGTTGAATTGATCCCTTTACCATTATGTAATGGCCTTCTTTGTCTCTTTTGATCTTTGTTGGTTTAAAAGTCTGTTTTATCAGAGACTAGGATTGCAACCCCTGACTTTTTTTGTTTTCCATTTCCTTGGTAGATCTTCCTCCATCCTTTTATATCGAGCCTATGTGTGTCTCTGCCCGTGAGATGGGTTTCCTGAATCCAACACACTGATGGGTCTTGACTCTTTATCCAATTTGCCAGTCTGTGTCTTTTAATTGGAGCATTTAGTCCATTTACATTTAAAGTTAATATTGTTATGTGTGAATTTGATCCTGTCATTATGATGTTAGCTGGTTATTTTGCTTGTTAGTTGATGCAGTTTCTTCCTAGTCTCGATGGTCTTTACACTTTGGCATGATTTTGCAGCGGCTGGTACTGGTTGTTCCTTTCCATGTTTAGTGCTTCCTTCAGGAGCTCTTTCAGGGCAGGCCTGGTGGTGACAAAATCTCTCAGCATTTGCTTGTCTGTAAAGTATTTTATTTCTCCTTCACTTATGAAGCTTAGTTTGGCTGGATATGAAATTCTGGGTTGAAAATTCTTTTCTTTAAGAATGTTGAATATTGGCCCCCACTGTCTTCTGGCTTGTAGAGTTTCTGCCGAGAGATCCGCTGTTAGTCTGATGGGCTTCCCTTTGTGGGTAACCCGACCTTTCTCTCTGGCTGCCCTTAACATTTTTTCCTTCATTTCAACTTTGGTGAATCTGACAATTATGTGTCTTGGAGTTGCTCTTCTCGAGGAGTATGTTTGTGGCATTCTCTGTATTTCCTGCATCTGAATGTTGGCCTGCCTTGCTAGATTGGGGAAATTCTCCTGGATAATATCCTGCAGAGTAGGACTTGGTTCCATTCTCCCCGTCACTTTCACTTTCAGGTACACCAATCAGATGTAGATTTGGTCTTTTCACATAGTCCCATATTTCTTGGAGGCTTTGTTCATTTCTTTTTATTCTTTTTTCTCTAAACTTCCCTTCTCACTTCATTTCATTCATTTCATCTTCCATCACTGATACCCTTTCTTCCAGTTGATCACATCAGCTCCTGAGGCTTCTGCATTCTTCACGTAGTTCTCGAGCCTTGGCTTTCAGCTCCATCAGCTCCTTTAAGCCCTTCTCTGTATTGGTTATTCTAGTTGTACATTCGTCTAAATTTTTTTCAAAGTTTTTAACTTCTTTGCCTTTGGTTTGAATTTCCTCCTGTAGCTCGTAGTTTGATCTTCTGAAGCCTTCTTCTCTCAACTCATCAAAGTCATTCTCCGTCCAGCTTTGTTCCATTGCTGGTGAGGAACTGCGATCCTTTGGAAGAAGAGAGGTGCTCTGCTTTTTAGAGTTTCCAGTTTTTCTGCTCTGTTTTTTCCCCATCTTTGTGGTTTTATCTACTTTTGGTCTTTGATGATGGTGATGTACAGATGGGTTTTTGGTGTGGATGTCCTTTCTGTTTGTTAGTTTTCCTTCTAACAGACAGGACCCTCAGCTGCAGGTCTGTTGGAGTTTGCTAGAGGTCCACTCCAGACCCTGTTTGCCTGGGTATCAGCAGCGGTGTCTGCAGAACAGTGGTTTTTCGTGAACCGTGAATGCTGCTGTCTGATCGTTCCTCTGGAAGTTTTGTCTCAGAGGAATACCCGGCTGTGTGAGGTGTCAGTCTGCCCCTACTGGGGGGTGCCTCCCAGTTAGGCTGCTCAGGGATCAGGGACCCACTTGAGGAGGCAGTCTGCCCGTTCTCAGATCTCCAGCTGTGTGCTGGGAGAACCACTGCTCTCTTCAAAGCTGTCAGACGGGGACATTTAAGTCTGCAGAGGTTACTGCTGTCTTTTTGTTTGTCTGTGCCCTGCCCCCAGAGGTGGAGCCTACAGAGGCAGGCAGGCCTCCTTGAGCTGTGGTGGGCTCCACCCAGGTGGAGCTTCCCGGCTGCTCTGTTTACCTAAGCAAGCCTGGGCAATGGCGGGCACCCCTCCCCCAGCCTCGCTGCCGCCTTGCAGTTTGATCTCAGACTTCTGTGCTAGCAATCAGCGAGACTCCGTGCACGTAGGACCCTCCGAGCCAGGTGCAGGATATAATATCCTGGTGTGCCGTTTCCTAAGCCCGTCGGAAAAGCACAGTATTCGGGTGGGAGTGACCCGATTTTCCCGGTGCCGTGTGTCACCCCTTTCTTTGACTAGGAAAGGGAACTCCCTGACCCCTTGCGCTTCCCGAGTGAGGCAACGCCTCACCCTGCTTCGGCTCGCGCATGATGCGCTGCACCCACTGTCCTGCGCCCACTGTCTGGCACTCCCTAGTGAGATGAACCTGGTACCTCAGATGGAAATGCAGAAATCACCCGTCTTCTGTGTCGCTCATGCTGGGAGCTGTAGACGGGAGCTGTTCCTATTCGGCCATCTTGGCTCCTCCCCCCGAAATGTGAATATTGATTAGCTGTCTAGATTACTCTTAATTTTTTAGCTGCAATCATGTATTATGGTTATTTTTTCTTAAAGAACAGGCCTTTTTACAGTGAGATACAATGATGGATTTTATTCAAAACAACAGGATGGGGCAGGGCTTGTCCGCAGGAGTTTAAGTGATACAAGGTTGACCATGTATTCATGTTTGAACTGGCATGATGAGAACATGGGAGTTCATTAAACTATTCTGTATCTGTATATGTTTGAAATTTGCCATAATAAAAAGTAAAACAAAAGGAAACAAAAACACAAGTGCTGTTAGCACATTTTAGCCTACATACCTAACATTGGAGAAAGTTTTGGAATTATGGCCGGAGGACAGAATTTAGAGTCCTGGCTCTGTCCCTTCCTAACCACAACTTTACACAAGGCACATCATTTCTCTGGATGTCAGGTACCTTCTTTGTATTACAGGGGTATTAAACTAGGGGACACTGAGGGTCCCTCCCAGATCCATTGGTCCATGATACAGTCAATTTGAACACTGTTAACTGAGACTACCATTATTTTCTAAGAAAACACTCTCACCTCTAAAATTCCCTACTTCATGTAGTTTCTCAGAGAGAAAAATAGTCATTTATGGATTTCCAAACAATTATGTTTAAAACAAATACACTGTTGGACAACTTGATAAATATATTATCTTAACCATATGTAATTTGAGAATTATTCAGGGCTTCTACCTTGTTAAATTTCGATTTACACTTCCCCAAGATTGTTTATATTCACAGTAACAATTACAGTAACCGTTATAACAATAACAAAAAAAGTTTTATGGATGTAAAATGCTAAGTCACAGCCAAAAAAATTAAAAACCATAAACATCTGATTTTTACACTTTGATTCTATCCATAAGAACAAACATTTAAGCTACAAACTTGTAATGAAACTATACCCAATGTTTTTGTAGACAGAGTACAATACAATTTACTCACTTTATTGCTTAACTCAGGAAAAGTGATGCTCTGATATGGGAAAGACTGGTCATCAACTATGTGCCAGTGAAGAACATTAAACTTATTAAAAGCCATGGCATCCTGCAAGCAAACATATTTAAAAATTATTTACTGCAGATATCATATACAATCCATATTACCTATCTACATTTGGAATTGCTTCCAATATGTCTGCTTCCTTTAAAACTTTTTTTTTTTTTTTTTTTTTGAGACAGGGTCTCACTCCATTGCCCAGGCTGGAATACAGTGGCATGATCTTGGCTCACTGCAGCCTTGACCTCCCAGTCTCAAGTGATCCTCCCACTTCAGCCTCCTGAGTAGCTGGGACTACAGGCGCCCACTACCATGCCCAGGTAATTTTTGTATTTTTTGTCGAAACAGGGTTTTGCCATGTTGCCCAGGCTGGTCTGGAACTCCTGGGCTCAAGCCAACCACCCGCCTTGGCCTCCCAAATTGCTGGGATTACAGGCATGAGCCACCACACCTGGCTAAAATTTATCTTTCAGCAAAGAAAGAATGAGAAGAAATAGAAATTCTTCATCATATATACTTCACATGACACATCAGTATACAAAAAGCCTCTGGAGATGTTGTATTTATTCTAGACGGTGAGTTGTAACTTTGCTGTATGGGAGGAGAGCAAGATTCCCAATATGTAGCAGTCTGCCAAGAATGCAAAATGGTTCTTGGCTGCCACTGTGTTTGGGAATAGAGCAAAGGAAAAACGGAGCATTCATTTAAGTACCAGGACTTATAATTCCCACAGTTCTGAAATTTGAGTCCCAACCAAGAATTTCATTGCAAACTCAATACAATTCCCCCAGAGAAATTTTTGGGCAAATTGAGTTATTAATTTTATATATACTCTAGAGGAATAACCAATATAATATTTATATAAAATATAAACACTATTTTTAAAAGATGAAAAACAATAAGGGAGAAGATTTGTCCAACAAGATCATCAAAACTTAAAGACTCCCTCTTCATCAAGGCTGAAGGGATTTGGCTGATGGAGTTAGGACATCTTTTACATACAAGGGGATTGTGCAGATAAATATATTGAGGATAAAAGGAGGGTTTTCACTCTCAGAGAAGGGAGCCAGAAATATAGGTGTTAACTGGAATTGAGCTTATTAATACAAACTCATGGTTTTTAACATAGACCAGGGGTTGGTAAACATTTTACATAAAGGGCTAGACAGTAAATATTTTGGCTTTGCAAGCCATAGAGTTTGTTACACCTACTCCACTCTGCAATTGTAGAGTGAGACAGTATGTAAACAAACGTACGTGCCTATATTCCTGTAAACTTTATTTGTGAGGCCAGACACGGTGGCTCACATCTGTAACCCCAGTACTTTGGAAGGCTGAGGCAGGAAGATCACTTGGGCCCAGGAGTTTGAGACCAGCCTGCATGACATAGTGAGACCCTATCTCTACTAAAAAATTTTTAAGAAATTAGCTGGGCATCGTGACACATGCCGGTAGTGCCGGTAGTCCCATCCATTCTGGAGGCTGAGGTGGGAGGATTGCTTGAGCCTGGGAGGTTGAGACTGCAGTAAGCTGAGCTCATACCTCTGCACTCCAGCCTGGGGGTGACAGTGAGACCAAAACCCCATGTTTGTGAAAATAGATGGTGAACTGGATTTGGCCTTTGGGGTATGGTTTGCCAACTCCTGATATTAGCAGATATAGAAATAGGGAAAGATGTGTGTGTATTCATACAAATGTATACATACACAGGTACACACGTTTTCTAGCTCTCTCTGCTCAGAGGGTCTACAAGCAATGACATCCTAGTAGCAATGAGCACACCTAGAGCCTAGATATTGGTTTCAAAATGTTGTTCACCACTAAAAGGGTTCCTTGAAGAAAAGTCTGAGGACACAGAAAAGACCGGGACAGGGAAGACAGGCCTGAAACATCATGTGCCAAAAAGTAAGACAGTGCTCCAAAATTAAAGGGAACCTGCAAGGGATGTAAGAGGCAACTTGAAGGACTTCCAGTGACCAAAGCTGGGATAATTTGACTATTAAACAAGGAAAGTGGCTGGGCACAGTGGCTCACGCCTGTAATCCCAGCACTTTGGGAGGCCAAGCTGGGTGGACCACCTGAGGCTAGGAGCTCGGGACCAGCCTGGCCAACATGGCGAAACCCCATCTCTACTAAAAATAGAAAAATTAGCTGGGCGTGGTGGCGGATGCCTGTAACTCCAGCTACTCAGGAGGCTGAGGCAGGAGAATCGCTTGAACCTGGGAGGCAGAGGTTGCAGTGAGCTGAGACTGCACCATTGCACTCCAGCCTGGGCGACAAGAGCGAAACTCCATCTCAAACAAACAAACAAAAAAACAGGGAAAGTAACAGATTACAATCCTGAATAACATAGTAACCCATGAGTCCACACTGATAAAAATAACGAATACTTAAATAAAAGAGAAGGGATTGCTCTACCTTACACTGAAATGCCAAGTAATAAATGATAGAAGGAGTGATGGAATTAGAAGCATCACCACTCGGTAGCCACCTTAGTAATAACTGATTTAGGCAAGAATCATCTGTGGATGCTAAAACTAGTGAGTGAACGCTGGATGAAGAATGGGATTTTACACGGTCTCAAGATTTCTTCCCACAAGATACTTAATTACTTGTTAAGTACAAAATGCTTTTTAATTAACATCACAGTGGAGAAACCTGGCAGATGACATCTTAGGCAAGTTATAAGTGAACAATACCAGAAATGAAATAAATAAGACATTGTGTCACCTGATAAGCACTGAGAAGAACACAGCATCATTTCTGCTTTATTCCTGCCAAAAATGCATAACTGAATATTATCTTCTGGAAAATGGACAAGCTAAGGCATACTCTACAAAGCAACTGGCCTATACTCTTCAAAAATGTCATGGTCTTAAAAGACAAGGAGGCCGGGCGCGGTGGCTCACGCCTGTAATCCCAGCACTTTGGGAGGCCGAGGCGGGCGGATCACGAGGTCAGGAGATCGAGACCATCCCGGCTAAAACGGTGAAACCCCGTCTCTACTAAAAATACAAAAAATTAGCCAGGCGTAGTGGCGGGCGCCTGTAGTCCCAGCTACTTGGGAGGCTGAGGCAGGAGAATGGCGTGAACCCGGGAGGCGGAGCTTGCAGTGAGCCGAGATCCCGCCACTGCACTCCAGCCTGGGCGACAGAGCGAGACTCCGTCTCAAAAAAAAAAAAAAAAAAAAAAAAAAAAAGACAAGGAAAGATAGTCAGTTGCAGATTAATGGTGGCCAAAGAGACATACAAGTAAACGGAACACCTGATTTTGGATGGGATGTGGAACCTATAAAAGACATTGTTGGAACAATCGAAATTTGAATGGGGTCTGCGTATTAGATGCAGTATTGTGTCAATTTCCTGATTTTGATGGTTGTACTGAAGTTATTAAATGTCCTTTTTTTAAGAAATTCATCCTGAAATATTAAGGGGGTATTGATGCATCATATGTGCCCATGTGGTTTAGAAAACGTATTTTTAGAGAGGGAGAATAAAGCAAATATATAGCTTAAATAAATTTAATATTTAATAAATACAATAAAAATTTTAAAGTGGAGTATCTGGGTAAAGAGTATATAGGAGTTCTTTGCACACTATTTACAACTTTTCCCTAAGTTTAAGACTTCAAAATACAAACAAAAACAAAAATAAAAACTGCTAAAGCTATAGAAATTAAAACCACATGTACTGGCCCAAGAAGATAAAGTAGTAAAGATTATGACTTCAGAAAGTAACTTCCATATTTATTGGAATTTAGTATTTAATAATTATAACTGAATTTAGTATTTAGTAATTGTCATTGAAAGCAATAGGGAATTGTAGATTGCTCAGAAATGAGGGGATTACTGGCTAACCATTTGGAAAGTAAAATTAAAATACCTAATAGGTTTGATACACTAAAGTAAATTCTAATAGAATCAAGAATTTAATAAGAAAAAGTATAATGATACTAAAATAAAATTTAAGAGGCTATTTTTATATTTATATCCTTGTTGTAGAGGAGGATTCTAAGCATACTTCCCAAAGCCAAAAATGATAGAAAGGATAACATTGAAATATACTACTCCTTTAAAGAACTTGTGGCTGGGCATGGGTGGCTTATGCCTGTAATCCCAGCACTTTGAGAGGCCAAGGCAGGTGGATCGCCTGAGCTCAGGAGTTTAAGACCAACCTGGGAAATGTGGCAAAACCCCATCTCTTAAAAAAAAAAAAAATGTTAGCAGGGTTCTTTGCTAAAAAATAAAAATAAAAAAATTTTGCCAGGCATGGGGGCTCACGCCTGTAATCCCAGCACTTCGGGAAGCTGAGGAAGGTAGATCACCTGAGGTCAGGAGTTCAAGATCAGCCTGGCCAACATGGTAAAACCCTGCCTCTACTAAAAATATAAAAATTAGCCAGGCATGATGGCGGGCACCTGTAATCCCAGCTACTTAGGAGGCTGAGGCAGAAGAATCACTTGAATCTGAGAGGCGGAGGTTGCAGTGAGCTGAGACCGCACCATTGCACTCCAACCTGTGCAACAAGAGCAAAACTCCGTCTCAATAAATAAATAAATAAATAAAATGTAAATGTCTACAGGCATTATAAACACAGTTATTAAAACAAATTTAGAAATTTAGAAAAAATTCACAACAACATATGATGGGTAAGTATATAATATAAATATAAGGTGGAGTATGGTGCCTCATGCCTATAATCCCAACACTTTGGGAGGCCAAGGTGGAAGGATCATTTGACACCAGGAGTTTGAGGCATTATGGTGAGACCCTATCTCTACACAAATTTTTTTTAAATATAAAAAATTTAAATTAATTAAATTTTAAAAATAAGATACATATAAGCAAATATAAAAGTATCAGTGGCACAATCTATAGACAACTATAACATTAAAACATTAAACCAATAAAGAAGGTATTCACATTCTAGACGACAAAATAAACATAGAAAATAAACTTACAGCTGGGCACAGTGGCTCATGCCTGTAATCCTAGCACTCTGAGAGGCCGAGGTGGGCAGATTGCCTGAGCTCAGGAGTTTGAGACCAGCCTGGGCAACATGGCAAAACCCTGTCTCTACTAAAAATACAAAAAATTAGCCGGGTGTGGTGGTGCATGCCTGTAATCCCAGCTACTCAGGAGGCTGAGGTCCAAGAATCGCTTGAACCCAGGAGGCAGAGATTACAGTGAGCCAAGATTGTGCCACTGCACTCCAGTCTGGGCAACAGAACAAGACTGTCTCAAAAAAAAAAAAAAAAAAAAAAAAAGGAAACTTACAGTTTATAATATAAAATATACAAATAATTAATATGTAAAAAAAAGGCTTATATTCACTAAAAAGCAAGGAAGTGCACATTAAAACAAGGAGATATATTTTATCATTAGATCAGCAACAAACATGGCAAAGATGTACCACACTGTTGGCCAAGCATATGTGGCTATGACCGACCTGTCTAGAAGGCAGCCTGACAGTATATACCAAAAGTTAAAATGTACCAAAAAATAAAATATATACATCTTAAGCCCAGAAATTCACTTCTAAGAATTTATCCTCCAGAAATAATCTTATCAAGTGTACAAATATATATGTATAAAACACTGCAGTAGTATTTATGATAATAGTTAATTAACTTAGATGTCCATCAGCATGAGACTAAATAAAATGAAATATTCAACTGTTAAAAGAGTAGCAAAGGCCAGGTGTGGTGGCTCACATCTGTAATCCCATCATTTTGGGAGGCCAAGGCAGGCAAATCACTTGAGGTCAGGAGTTCAAGATCAGCCTGACCAACATGGTGAAACCCCATCTCTACTAAAAATACAAAAATTAGCCAGGTGTGGTGGTGGGCACCTGTAATCCCAGCTACTCGAGAGACAGAGGCAAGAGAATTGCTTGAACTCAGGAGGCGGAGGTAGCAGTGAGCCGAGATTGTGCCAACTGCACTCCAGCCTGGGTAACACAGCGAGACTCTGTCTCACAAAAAGAAAAAAAAGGGGGTGGGGGGTAGCAAAAGTACAGTCTCATTTAAGTTTTTTAAAAAGTCACATTGTATATGTTAATATATTCATTTTGTTTGTTTGTTTTGAGATGGAGTCTTGCTCTGTTGCCCAGGCTGGAGTGCAGTGGCGTAATCTTGGCTCACTCCAACCTCCCTCTCCCAGGTTCAAGCGATTTTGTGTCTCAGCCTCCCAAGTAGCTGGAATTACAGGCGTGCACCACCACGCCTGGCTAATTTTTTGTATTTTTAGTAGAGATGGGTTTCACCATGGTGGTCAGGCTGGTCTCGAACTCCTGACCTTGAATGATCCACCTGCCTCCACCTCCCAAAGTGCTGGGATTACAGGCGTGAGCCACTGTACCCCACCTAGTATATTCATTTTTTAAGTCTAAAATGAGACAAGTAGCACATAAAAATGTATGTCAATCTTTGGCAAATGAAATTATGGGATGACTGCCTATTTTATGCACATTTATATTGTTTAAACTTTTTACACTAAGCATCTGTTTCTTAAAAGTGACAAGACTGTCTTTTGGAGAAAAAATTCAGAGTATTAATGTAAATGTAAAAATAATTTTTAGGCCAGGCGTGGTGGCTCACACCTGTAATCCCAGCACTTTGGGAGGCTGAGGCAGGCGGATCACAAGGTCAGGAGATTGAGAACATCCTGGCTAACATGGTGAAACCCTGTCTCTACTAAAAATACAAAAATTAGCTGGGTGTGGTGGTGTGCACCTGTAATCCCAGCTACTCGGGAGGCCGAGGCAGGAGAATTGCTTGAATCCGGGAGGCGGAGGTTGCAGTGAGCCAAGATTGCACCACTGCCCTCCAGCCTGGCGACAGAGCAAGACTTCAACTAAAAAGAAAAAAAAATAATAATAATAATAATAATTTTTGGCTGGGCACGGTGGCTCACACCTGCAATCCCAGCACTTTGGGAGGCCAAGGCAGGTGGATCACCTGAGGTCAGGAGTTCGAGACCAGCCTCAACATGGAGAAACCCCGTCTCTACTAAAAATGCAAAATTAGCTGGGCGTGGTGGTGCATGCCTGTAGTCCCAGCTACTCAGGAGGCTGAGGCAGGAGAATTGCTTGAACCTGTCAGGCAGAGGTTGCAGTGAGCCGAGATCGCGCCATTGCACTCCAGCCTGGGCAACAAGAGCGAAACTCCGTTTCAAAATAAATAAATAAATAATAATAATAATAATTTTTAAATAGCATAGTTTCATCATAATGATCAAGTGAAGGTGCAAAAAAACATGGGAGGAAACCTCCCCACCCCTACAAATTGGCAGGTGATGGTGGGGATTAACCAATAAAAAAAAGCCCATAGGAGAAAACAGTTATTGTCAACCTTCTTCCTAACCCATACCACCCCTGAGGTTCCATATTCCTTTGGAATAGTTCCCTAGGTATAAAGGAGCTCCCGGACTCCTTTCTAATGCCACTTACAAAAAAAGTAAGAGGTGGTCACAAAATTTAAATGGCACTAACTAGAAGTATGGTGTGGTGGCCACGTATTCCTTTTTTTTTTTTTTTTTTTGAGACAGAGTCTTGCTCTGTCGCCCAGGCTGGAGTGCGGTGGTGCGATCTCGGCTCACTGCAACCTCCACCCGGGGAGGGTTCAAGCAATTCTCCTGTCTCAGCCTCCCTAGTAGCTGGGATTACAGGCGCACGCTACCACGCCTGGCTAATTTTTGTATTTTTAGTAGAGATGGGGTTTGGCCATGTTGGCCAGGCTGGTCTCGAACTCCTGACCTCAGGTGATCCACCTGCCTCAGCCTCCCAAAGTGTTGGGATTACAAGTGTAAGCCACCGCACCTGGGTGGCCATGTATTCCTAATCAAAAGTCTAGACACATGATTTGACAAATGGGAGTATATGTAAAGGGCCAATGGGCAGTGTTTAAACTGTCCTTCTCTTAACAGTCTTGGCTAAATACATGTTATACGTGGCTCTCGCACTGAAAACAGGAGGGTGATTCTCAAGGGGACCTCCACGTCACAGCTGAGGAAATACACTTCCCTAGGAACTGAGGAAAGAATGCCCAGTGCTTATACAAATTCCCCTGTTCCAAACTACACAATAGTAACCAACATAAAGTTACAACATAAAGGAGACATCTTCAGAATAGACAACAGATTAGAATGAAGTAATTACTTACCAGAGTTTTAAGAATAATCTTAACTGGCAGATAATGTCTGGATGTATCAATCAAAATTCCTCTGTGAGAAAACCTTGGAGAATCAATAATGGTGGATTCATTGATGGTGAACTATGACAAAATAAAATTTTGATTTAGTTTTAGAATTTTCTGTTGTCTTGAACTCAATGAAGACTAAATCTATTTATACAAGCATTTCATAAAATATTAATTTAGAACAACAAAAATGTATGAAATTTACATTTACCGGCTAAGACAAATATCTGGGGAAATGAAATCTTCAGGAAGCAATAGCTAAACAGGTTACATTTTTTTCTATTAGCAATTTGTCTAACAATTTTTAGTAACATATAATAATCATACTTACAGTTCCATAAGAATCTTGATAAACTAACTGGCTAAAGGTCTCTAAACCTGAGGAAAGTAAAATTTATTGCATTAATTTATAAATCAACAAATTGAGATGATAAAAGTTATATTATTCAAACAGACTCATAACCAGGTAAGGCAAATATAATTGAATATAGTGTTATACCTCTATCCTCTAAAATATATTGTTATACCTACACCCTCTACCATAATTTCTAAAATCAAAGCCAAATTAAAAAAAAATCCATTGCACTTCTCTACTCATCTAATAAAAGTGCTTTACTTCATTGTACCCATACCCTGGGGGTTGTTTCAATATAGACAAAAGAAGAATAGTAATTTAATAAAATACTGGTTCCTTAATAAATTTATGGCATCATGAGAAAGAATTTTTATAATCAAATATAGTCACTTTTAGAAGGTATCTAAATGCAACAGGGAAAAATGGCTGGAAAAACCATGAAACTATAAATAAAGGCCAATTTACAATATACAGCATTTTACTTATAGCTGCAAAGACTACCTTCTGAACATTTTTTACTCAAGTGGATTATTCCCTTAATATACTAGTTGACAGGCTAATTCTTCTAACTGGCCTTGACTTTATTCAGATTCCTCATTCTAGCTGACAGCTATATAGCCAGGGAATTTTTAACCTAAGAACAGTTCAGTCATCTTTGCTACGCCTTCCTGTCTCTCCAACCTCGTCAAGTACAGGTTCATGCTGGGAAGAATAACTCTGAAAGTTTCTGTTAAGTGACATTACGTTCAATAATGATCAGTTTAGAGTACATTACTCTGAAAGTCTGATGGTAAACAGAAAATATGGACTTCTTGGACTAGAAATCTAGTCACTGCATACTCGCAAGAGTGGTTTTATCTTTTTTTTTTTTTTTTTAGACGGAGTCTTGCTCTGTCACCCAGGACGGAGTGCAGTGGCGCGATCTCGGCTCATTGTAACCTCCACCTCCCGGGTTCAAGTACTTCTCCTGCCTCAGCCTCCCAAGTAGCTGGGACTACAAGCGTGCACCACCATGCCCGGCTAATTTTTGTATTTTTAGTAGAGATGGGATTTCACTGTGTTGACCAGGCTGGTCTCCAACTCCTGACCTCAAGTGATCCACCCACCTCGGCCTCCCAAAGTGCTGGGATTACAGGCGTGAGCCACCGTGCCCAGCCTTGCTAGAGTTCTTTATTTTGGTATGGATCAGAACAAACATCAATAAGCGTCTCTTGGCTGGGCGCAGTGGCTCACGCCTGTAATCCCAGCACTTTGGGAGGCCAAGGCAGGTGGATCACGAGGTCAGGAGATCGAGACCATCCTGGCTAACACAGTGAAACCCTGTCTCTACTAAAAATACAAAAAATTAGCCAGGCGTGGTGGCAGGCGCCTGTAGTACCAGCTACTCGGGAGGCTGAGGCAGGAGAATGGCATGAACCCATGAGGCGGAGCTTGCAGTGAGCTGAGATTTCACCACTGCACTCCAGCCTGGGCAACAGAGCAAGATTCTGTCTCAAAAAAAAAAAAAAAAAAAAGCGTCTCTTCTCCTTAGCAGACGCAGATGAGACAGGCAGATTGGACTAATAAAAGCTTAAAATCACTAATATTATACATAAATAAAATTACATTTGTAGTAAATATCTAGATATTTTCATATTCTATTTTGAATAAAATTATAATCTTATGGTATAAAATATATAGCATAACAATGATTATTTTAGGTAACACTCTGAGTCAGATTCCAAATCTTTATTTATTTTGTTTTTTGAGATGGAGTTTTGCTCTGTCACCAAGGCTGGAATGCAGTGGTGCCAGCTCAGCTCACTGCAACCTCCCTCTCCCAGGTTCAAGCAATTCTCCTGCCTCACCCTCCCAAGTAGTTGGGATTACAGGCATGCGCCACCATGCCTGGCTCATTTTTTTTTTGTATTTTTAGTAGAGATGGGATTTCACCATGTTGGCCAGTCTGGTCTCGAACTCCTGACCTCAAGTGATCTGCCTGCCTCAACCTCCCAAAGTGGTGGGATTACAGGTGTGAGTGACTATGATCAATCCCAAGCCTTTATTTTAATGACTAAGTTTGGTTAGTTCATGTTTTTTTAAATTCCCTTTCTAAAAACTCTGCTATTCGGAAGTCAGTACAGTATCTTATCTGCCTAGAAAGAAAGGTAAAAGAAACTTTTGAACAGCAAATGTCCTGAGGTCAAACTTTGAAGTTCAGACTCTGAAATTCTCATGAGAAGCTTTTCAAGTTACTCCCTGCCCACTGCCTCTAACCAACTCTATAGCATATTTGCCTTTTGACACTGTTCCTTATACAAACTTAGTTATGTTTCTAAATCTACAGGAATTTAAAATTAGGGAAGAGAGATGCTTGCTTCTGAAGTCAACAGAAGTGATAGCTGAAACAAAATTCCCTAATCAGGACAGGTTGGGGCCATGTGTAGTGCTATAAACATTACAGTCCCAAGAGCATCAATGAATTACAGCACTGCAGGAATGTAATAACCTTCAAACATTTTTTGAGAGGTCAAATGAGTTTTCTCCCATGCTGTATTTATTTATTTGTATTTTTTTGAGACAGGGGTCTTGCTCTGTTGCCCAGCCTGGAATGCAGTGGTGTGATCTAGGCTCGCTGCAGCCTCAACGTCCTGGACTCAAGCAATCCTCCCACCTCAGCCTCCAGAGTAGCTGGGACTATAGGTCCACACCACTATGCCTGGCTAATTTGTGTACTTTTTGTAGAGATGGAGTTGCACCATGTTGCCCAGGCTGGTCTCAGACTTCTGAGCTCAGGCAATCATCACCTACCTCAGCCTCTCGAAGTGCTGGGATTACAGGCGTGAGCCACTGTGCTGACCTCTCCCATGCTTTATGTAGTACATGTTCAATGGAAATCATTTTGGAACTACATAACAAAGCATTCTGTAAAGGATCTAAGGCGGCAAAGTTTTGCTGTGCTTAATTTCACAAAGCACCAACTGAAAATTTTCCTTTACTGGAAAGTAACAATGAAACTGCATGGAACTTACCTCGTAATGCTCCCCAAACTCTGTTGGCCTTAAGGACAGCCACTGGTTCTTTCACAAGTAAAGTATCTGTATTGAGGATTTAAAATCACACACACACTTTTGTTAATCCCTCAATGACACACAATAAGTTTCCTAAACATGTCATTGATATTTCTGGACTATTATTTTCTCCCAAGCACATGACCTATTTCTCTAACTGCCTCCTGTACATCTCCATTTGGATGTCCTGCAGGTTCCTTCGACTCCACATGCCCCAACAGAACTCTTCCCTCCCTCCTCCGCACACTTCAACCTGCTGGTCTTCTGTGTTCCT
This sequence comes from Homo sapiens, assembly GCF_000001405.40. NCBI lineage: Eukaryota > Metazoa > Chordata > Mammalia > Primates > Hominidae > Homo > Homo sapiens. The sequence continues at coordinate 74,693,391 of NC_000005.10, read as the reverse complement.
CATTTCAGTGAGTCACAGCACCACCATCCAGTCACTTGAGTCACTCAGAACGGGAATTTGGGTGTCAACTCCATGTTTCCTCATTTTCCTAAAAGAGTTAGTCTCTCCAACTTCTCCTCAACAGAGTAGGGTCCTAGTTAAGCTAAGAGTTTAGTTGAAAGTGCAAACATTCCTCAGTTCCTACTAATCCTTGGTAACGCCCTAGGTGTCGCTCAAATCTACTCCCTTTAAGGCCAGAGAGTATCTCCACTCTTTTGCATTCAGAATTTTCTACTTGCCCTGTACCCACCTTCCCTCAGTATCATCCAAATCTGCCTTAAGACTTACTCTCCAAATCCCTTTAGCTTAGTTCAGCTTTGTCTCACTCAATAAAAATAATTCAGCTTTGTCCCACTCAATTAAAAGTTCACATCATCCAGAATGGGACTCCAGTTAGCTGCTTCTGGTGAGAGGCTAATCTTTCAATCTTTGAAGCACACTCTAAGGTTGGCCCAATAGTCATTTAGTCTTTTAGAGAGGTCTGGAGTGGAATCAACCACATAGTAAACCCACAGATGGTAAAGAGATTGAAAGCTAAAGGGTGTAACAGCTTTGGACTTTGCCACGGCAAAGACACTGATGGGCTGGAGATTAATGATTTAATACTGTGTCCTCTGGGGTGGTTTATCACCTTCTACCACCACCACCATTCAGATGCTCACAGAATAGTTAGCTGCAGGTAGGCAAAAGTGCTCTATCAGTAGTGTGAGCATCTCAGGTGATAGTCTTCTGACAAGATAGCCTTTTCCATTAGATAACCACACTCCATTAGATGAGTTAGCCAATGCCAGGCTAAGAACTATATTGCTATTTATGAGCATAGTCTAATTATGTTTCCTCTACATCTATAGCAAATTCTTGTGTTGTTGTTGAGACAGAGTCTCACTGTGCTGCCCAGGCTGGAGTGGAGTGGCACAATCACGGTTCATTGCAGCCTCGACCTCCCAAGTAGCTGGGACTGTAGGCATGTGCCACCACGCCTGGCTAATTTTTCTCTTTCTTTTTTTTTTTTTTTTTTGTAGAGACAGGGTTTTGCCATGTTGCCCAGGCTGGTCTTGAACTCCTGGGCTCAAGCCATCTACCGGCCTCAGCCTCCCAAAGTGTTGGGATTACAGGTGTCAGCTACTGTACCCAGCCTGTATCAAATTCTTAATCAGCTACCTAGAGCTCACTGCTCCATTGGTCACTGTTTAAAAACATTTTTTTGCCACATTCTAGTTTTGAGATCTTCCAGAAATAGCACAGTCACCTAAAAAACATTAATATATTGCATATATTTGATACCAATTATTTTCTAATAGTTGACAACTGGCTGATATTAAACAGGACTGTAATTCAACTCAGTGGAAAATACATATAACAATTAGAAATTTGGTTTTCTAAATATATGGACACATAGCTATAGAATTTCCATTTTTACTTCACAACCAAGTTATTAGTGTTAACAATGATCACTTCCCTGAAGTGTGAAAGGAATTATATCATTGACTTTTCAGTTAGCCCATTCTGTATCTTTTTGCACCATAAATACATTTGTTTTGGAGGGTGAATATACAAATGACATATCTATATATTCTGTTTAAAAGCAATATAATATAGATAAGGCTAAAATCTCCTTTGAGATACTCACCTAACTCCCTCTACCTTCCTCAGAGGAAATACTTATCGGGCATTTTCTTAGGCTTGACATAGATGTACACGGAAGGAGAAAATATAGTATTGCTTTATGCGTGTGTTCCTGCACGTGTGTTGATATATAAACAGGGTCCACCTCTACACATAATTATACAGCTTCCTTTGTTCAACTCAGCAGTTTATCTTGTCAGTTCTCCATGTGTGTTCTCAGTAATACTGCTTCTTTATTCTTAACTGTTGTGATTATACTGTTTAGTATAGATTGACAAGATGTATTTAGCCATTCCTCTATTGATGGACATTGAGTTTTATTGACAGTTCTTCACATTACAGGCAAACTGCATCAAACATCCTTGATTTATGTGTCCATTTATCTGCAGTAAAAACTAGTCCACTTCTCAGGGCATGCATATTTTTATTTTTAATAAATAGTGGTGCTTTAACATGTGTCACCTCCTCCAACATGTCCTCCCACTCTGGACATTTGATATCTTGTTATTTCCATTCATATGTGTTACTTTTATCATCATCATCAACTAGTTTAAAGACTAAAAACTAGTTTATTCTTCAGCTGAAAATTTCACAATAACCTTGTCTCAAGAAACTTCCCTTTCAGAATAAAGAGGGTTTGTAGAACTGACTGAAAGATAAGCTATGACTCTCTAGTCTCGATACATTTCATTTTGTGGAATTTACAATCTGTTATCTGTATTGCCAATGGACAGCAAAGATTCCTTGGCAACGTAATGACCATTTCCATCTCAATTCAGGTTGCAAAACCTACTTCACATGGTGTCTGAGTGCTGAGTATCAATTGAAATGATACCTGATGTTGGTGAATTTTCCTATTTCTCTTCTAAGAACAGCTATGGAATTGAAGAGAAAGAAAGCTTTTTTTCAAAGAGATGTATTATTGAGAAATCTCATCTAAACCAGCAGGATGAAGACATGTACTTAACTGTGAGGCAGTCTGGGGGTAATGGAGTTGCTCTTTTCTCTAAATTTGTGGCATCCTATCTTTTTTTTTTTTTTTTTTTTTTTTTTTTTTTTTTTTTTTTTTTTTTTTTTGAGACTGTCTCACTCTGTCCCCCAGGCTGGAGTGCAGCGGCATGATTGCAGCTCACTGCAACCTCTGCCTCCTGGGTTCAAGTGATTCTCCTGCCTCAGCCTCCCGAGTAGCTGGGATTACAGGTACGCACCAACACGCTTGGCTAACTTTTTGTATTTTTTAGTAGGGATGCAGTTTCAGCATATTGGCCAGGCTGGTCTTGAACTCCTGGCCTTAAGTGATCCACCCACCTCAGCCTCCCAAAGTGCTGGGATTACAGGTATGAGCCACAGCGTCCAGCCTCTATCTTTACACTTAGTTCCCCTGTCTGCTCTTTCTTGCACGAATCTTATATTACACATGTCCTTATACTGCCCTTCTTTGATTCCTTGGTGCAATTCCACATTATTCTCAGGCAGTATACCCTATAGAAATGGCACGCCCACTTATTTGTTCTAAAACAATTTGGGAAAAGCCCTAGAGAATAACGTTTTAGGCAACAACGAGGACAAAATCATACAGCTAAATGTTGATTATATTGTACAGCAGATTACAAATGAAACTGCTGTACCCACCCTCTCCCCTAGCTCTGCATTATCTTTCTGTAAAATTAGATTATAAATAGAGATCATGGATACAGATGTTTTCAAAGACAAAAAGTTAAGAAATTACCTAGATGTCCAAAAGAGATTACCCAAGTCAGCTCATCCATATAGTGACAGAACATTATTCAGCCATTGAAAATGATATCACAGAAAACTAGTGAAATTCATGTTTAATTTATAATGTATTTTGCAAAAAAGCATGATATAAAAATACAACAAAAATACAAGAAGCACATGTACAGAATTACTGCCATTTTCATGTCAATGCTTATCATGTTTGTATTTATGTCTATGTAAAATGTTTACATGTTTTACTCTGCAAAAAAATACACCTAAAATGACAGTGATTAATTCTATCTGCTGGGATTATGAGTGATTTATTTCTTCTTCTGCACTTACTGTACTTAATAAATTTTCCACAAAGACTATGTACTACTTTTATAATCAGACTTTAAAGGTTATTTTTAAAATAGGAATCATAAACTCACTGGTTGAGAACTCAGTGGTTCCTAGCATGGAGTCAGTTTTTGGCACTTAAGTCCGTCAGCGAGCACCTGGGATATAATACACTCACATTGCATAGGTACTTACAAGACTCATCTGAAGATATGTTGGGGAAAGCATCACACTCTGACTGAAGGGTGATTGAGACAAGAAGTTGCTGAACCTGGGTTTTAGCCTGGAATTCAGCAGGTTCATGATGCCACTTGTAGAAACCAAAAATATAGCCATGATATCTGTTTGAGAAATAAATGTAAACACATTTTAGAAGGATTTTAGCCAAATTTTTAAAACAGATGTGCTAGTAACATTGTAGTTAACTCCTCAAATCCATGCTGCCCATTGTAAGTCCAACTAGAGATTCTCACCCCAAGCTGTACATTAGAATCACTTGGGAAGTTTTTTGAAAATCCCAACGTCCATGCCTTCAGAATCAGAATCTATTAGAATGGGATTCAGGCATGGGAATTTTAAATGCTTCCCCACACTCTGAAGTGACATATGAAGCCCCGTTAAGAACCAATAATGAAACCATCATGGTAATCCATCACTCTTGGGAATGAAAAACCAATTCTGACCAGTGATAGGATGTGGGGGTTAGGGGGAGTTCTGAGCAAATCACAAGAAAACTTCGTTTCTCTGTATGTGAGAGCTGGACTAGTTGCCACTACACTAAAGTGGACAGAGCAGAGATGGAAAGAATATGGATCCCTGGTAACACTGTTGAGCCACTTGGTCAACTTGCCCTAAATTCATCCCTACTTTTGGACATCCTAATGTGTGAAATAAGTTTTCCTATTGTTTGAGCCAGATTGAGTCAGAGTTCCTGTTACCTTCCTGCAAAAGTATCCTAGCTTACATATAAAGCCCCAAAAGAAGGTCCAGAATTCTCACCAGAGCCTTTAAAATTTACTTTTTGTTGGCCAGCTGCAGTGGCTCATGCCTGTAATCCCAGCACTTTGGGAGGCCAAGGCGGGAGGATCACGAGGTCAGGAGTTCAAGACCAGCCCGGCCCACATAGTGAAACTAAAAATACACAGTCTCTACTAAAAATACAAACAATCAGCTGGGTATGGTGGCAGGCGCCTGTAATCCCAGCTACTCAGGAGGCTGAGGCAGGAGAACTGCTTGGACCCGGGAGGTGGAGGTTGCAGCAGTGAGCCAAGATCGCACCACTGCACTCCAGCCTGGGTGACAGAACGAGACTCCATCTCAAAAAAAAAAAAAGTACCTTTTGTTGGTATCCAAAAATCAGAGAATATTAAATAAAAATTCTGTAAAGGCATTAAATATTGTAAAGGCATTAAATATTAATATTAATATTAAATACAAAAAAAGTACCTTTTGTTGGTATCCAAAAATCAGAGAATATTAAATAAAAATTCTGTAAAGGCATTAAATATTGTAAAGGCATTAAATGTTAAATACATAAAAATTCTGTAAAGGCATTAAATAAAAATTATGTAAAGGCATTAAATAAAAAAGATCAGACAGGCTTCAGAGCAATTGTTTTTGGTATCCAAAAATCAGAATATTAAATAAAAATGTAAAGGCACTAAATAAAAAAGATCAGATAGGCTTCAGGGCAACTGTTTAAATAATATTTTACAGATTTTGGTAAGCCAGAAGGTTATATATGCTACTTATGTGTAAGAACGTCTTATGCTTTTTTGCAGAAGAGGTCGGAAAATTCTGACATGTTTGGAAGTGTATGGAAGTTAACCAATGAGAGAATGGAATGGATGTAGGTGTTGAGGGCCCTTCTCATAGGAAAACCCTGACAGATTAAAAAGGAAATTAAGACCACCGAAATACATACTTACAAAAGGTTAAGATGGTAAATTTTATGTTATGTGTATTTTTTCCTTAATTAAAATTTTTTTAAAAAAGAAATTAAAGCTGCTGGCAGCTTTGAGATCAGAGTTGGAAGCTGGCTTAGAACCTTGACCCTAGGTAGTAAAATTCTAACAGAAAACTCAAAGGGCTGTGAGGCAGTATGTCAAAGGTATGTGGGTTAGTTTAGCCTTCCAGGAAATGAAGGAGTGAAGCTATTTGTTTATTTTTAAAAATGAGTGACTAGCATGTGATGAACGCTGTTCTAGAAGCTAAAGAAGCAGCTATGCATCTAACAGCCAAACTCTCTGCCTGCAAAAAGCATACTGTTTCAAAGCAAGGTTTGTGATACAACCTGGGCTCTTCAGAGACAGGGGCTATGTGATGCTGAACAATCTGGGGCCTAGACTGTGTGTTCCTGACCACGTCGCACTTTGTGAACACTCCCATATTTCCAAATCTTTCCAACTCCACTGTGCTTTTACTCTGAGATACCTGCTGCTCCTTCTGAGTTCCTAGAATGCTCACATGCATGCCTTCAAGTCTTAGCCATAAGGGCCAACACATTTTATGACCTGCTTCCTAATAATACCAGGCATAATTAATGGCTGCTTCACTCAGAGGCCATGAGTTAGGCAAACTCTTCAGGTAATCACCCGCACATGCCTTGAAATACCAAGCCTTGCCTTCGAACCATCTCAGCTGATTTAAGTCCTGGTTATCTACCTATTGTTAACTTACATCACCCATGCTTTCTTGTCACAGTCAGTTCAGCATATTACCAAGTCCTTGTTTTACTTAGCAGTATGACACAGAAGGAAAATCCAATTCTACAAGCTGAACTCCAAGGCAAACATAATAAGCGTGTTTGTTTTTAAAAAGATTTCCAACCCTAGTCATGATCTTCTGAGACAACCTTCATGTACTTTCCATGCAATCTTTCTGAATATCCCAATGCAACCAAACACTTTGGTTCTACATCTTAACCCCACTCTGGCCTTAGCAGATTGGATACCAAAGGCTCATTAGTGTGTGTGTCTAAAATAGAGACTGATAATACCCATTTAGTTGTACAAAACAGAAGGAAACCATGAGCCTTCTGATTGTAGAGAATGAACCATTTCTGCCATCAGCATCTTGGGCCTCTGCAGCTTGAGCCTAGGCACCTGTCCTATCTGGGGTCAGAACACATTATTCAGTTAGTTTGACATTCCCTCCCCACCTGTTCAGGGTCCTGCAAGCACACTTAAGCTCTATAGTATCCACTGGGTACAGCGACAGGCTTGGGGAATGCCAGGAGGCAGTACAGTTAGCACCAAATTACAATTCTGCAGGGCACGATACGCCTTCAGGACAGTCCCACCTACACAGGTCTCACACTGAGGGGACAGTGTGTGGCGTCTTCAAACATCTCCCCAGGGGAACCTGCCTTGTCTATGGTGTGATTGGCTGACTCCCATGACAAAACTCACCCTGTCTGCAGCCAAAGGGTGAGAGAGACAGAGGCGCTATCTAGGGGTCTGTAAAAGAGGAAGCAGGGAGAGCAGGCAACATGATCGGTGTTGAGAAACAAAGTTGGATACTGCCTAACCACTGACCGCAGAAACGTAGTCAGATGCAAACATGTCACATTTTATATGGAAGAGATTTTAGGAGAGAGGGCAGTTTTAGGCAGTGCTCGAAACTGAGGACTTCTGCCATTTGAGCTGTTACCAGGAGATGTGAGGAGAGGTGAGGGGGCGAAACTGGCCTATAAATGACAGTCAGCTTTGGGGGATTCCTGGTCCCTCAAGAGAGCTTGTCTAAGCCCTTCGGGTAACTTATCCCTTTGCACGTCCTTCAAATAAGGAGCTGTCACTTTCCTCCCCAGCTCCGGTGTCCCCTCCGTCCATGCCATTTGCCCAACAAGGCCTCAGAGCAAACTCCCTCTTCCACTTACTATCCGGCTCTCAAACCAGGGTTCCTGAGCACCCAAGGTGTCCCTTAAGAAGCAGTAGGAGGGTGGGGGCAAGAGCGTGGGTTCAGTCCATGTGGCGCTGGGCAGATCGCCTGCCAGCTCCCAGGCGGTTTCTCGTCTGCGCAGTGGGGTGGTGAGGGTCTGCACAGCGCTCCGGGGTGGTCCGCCTCTCCCCTCCCCCAGGACAACTCCCGGCCGGGCCGGGAGCGCTCACCGTCGAAACGCTTCCTCCAGCAGGGTGCAGGAGGGGCCCGCCGTGGAATTGGGGCTGTGGCTGATGTAGAAGTTCTCCGGGGCGAGATGCAGCAGGTTCGGGGTCATCTTCACCAAGAGCGGCAGGGGCCACAGCGCCGGCCCCGGCTTGGCCGAGACGCTCGGGGCCCGAGCCGCCTCCGCCACCTGCACCACCAGCGCCACCTGAGTCAGCAGCGCCAACATCGCCGCCAGCAGTGTCGCCAACAGCAGCGCCAGCAGCATGGGCGGCCGGGGCAGCCCCAGCCCGCACAGCTCCATGGCCGCTCGGCTGCTTTCCGCCCGGTCTGCCGAGCCGGAGCCTCGGGACCCGACTTCCCGCCCGGCCCGGATCAGAGGAAGCGCGGCCGCGGGTGAGTCACCGAGTCAGATGACTGCGCGCGCCCGCCCCCGACTCCGCCTCCAGGCCCCGGGAGCGTCCTCGCCCAGCCCGCCCTGTCCAGGTCACCTCGAGAATTTCCTCCAGGGGTGCCCTCGGGTAGGAGCAGAGCCCAGACAGCAACCTCAAACACGGGATGGCTAAAGTAAGAAAAATGCCCGGTGCTGGCCGTACGTGGTGGCTCACGCCTGTAGCCCCAGCACTTTGGGAGGCCGAGGCGGGCGGATCACCTGAGGTCAGGAGTTCAAGACCAGCCTGGCCAAATTGGTGAAACCCCGACTCTACAAAAATACAAAAATTAGCCGAGCATGATGGCGGGTGCCTGTAGTCCCAGCTACTCGGGAGGCTGAGGCAGGAGAATCTCTTGAACCCGGGAGGCGGAGGTTGCAGTGAGCCGAGATCGCACCACTGCACTCCAGCCTGGGTAACAGAGCAAGACTCCGTCTCAAAAAAAAAAAAAAAAAAAAAGAAAAGAAAAAGAAAACGGCCCAGTGCACAGGCTCGGGACGCCAGGCCGACACCGGGTCGCCGCTCACGCTGTCAACACGGGCGCTCTCCTGTGGATCCCTGGCTTCGGTGAAGCTGGAGAAGCCAAGCTTGAGGAGCACCTTTCTCCTCTCAGCCCAACCACCAGATAACCGAGATGAGAGCTGAGTTTATTTGCTCCTAAGTCTAGGCTTTTCTGTAACAGCACTTCAGCTGTGGTCAATAAAGCCTTCCTATCAGAACTCCCTGGGGCAGAGCATGCCCAAGGAATCCTGAGAGAGAACATCTTGGCTCATCTGTGTGGGTCCCGATATAAAGGATCCCAACTGACAAGTTTGATTTCATAACCCATCCCTAAGGAAGAGCCAGTGAAGTCACATGACGAACACGGACTGGAGATGCCAAAGGGAGAAGAGGTGTTCTCTTACCAGAAGGAGAAAACGCTAGGCAGACCAAAACCACAGATCTGCTATATAAGTATTCTGAAAATGAGGGTGGAAGAGCTTTAAGGAAAGACTTCAAAGAAATGTAATGATTAGGCCAGGTGCGGCGGCTCACGCCTGAAATCCCAGCACTTTGGAAGGCGAAGGAGGGCGGATCACAAGTTCAGGAGTTCGAGACCAGCCTGGCCACCAAAGTGAAACCCCGTCTCTATTAAAAATACAAAAATTAGTTGGGCGTGGTGGCGGGCGCCTGTAATCCCAGCTACTCAGGAGCCTGAGGCAGGAGAATCGCTTGAAACCGGAAGGTGGAAGTTTTAGTGAGCTGAGATCACACCTCTGCACTCCAGCCTGGGCAACAAGAACAAGACTCCATCTTAAAAAAAAAAAAAAAAGAAAGAAAAGAAATGTAATGATTATTGGGCCTCAGAAAATGAGACCCCAAAGTGTGGCACTTTGGCATGTTGAATACTTGGAACTGAAGAAAAGAGAGTCAGAAGATCTTTCTGACCTTCTCCTGCCTTTCTTTCTCCTGCTCCCCTTTCTTCCCCAGAGCAAGCCATAGAAACTAGAATTCCTCTTTTTCAAAATGGGTCACAGAAACTAGAGCCACTGTTGGGCATGGTGGCTCACGCCTGTAATCCCAGCACTTTGGGAGGCCAAGGCAGGTGGATCACTTAAGGCCAGGAGTTCGAGACCAGCCTGGCCAACATGGTGAAACCTCATCTCTACTAAAAATACAAAAATTAGCTGGATGTGCTGGCACACGCCCGTAATCCCAGCTACTTGGGTGGCTGAGGCACAAGAATCACTTGAACCTGGGAGGCAGAGGTTGCAGTGAGCCGAGATTGCACCACTGCACTCCAGCCTGTGCCACAGAGTAAGACTCTGTCTCAGAAAGAAAAAAAAAAAAAGAAGAAACTAGAGCCCCTATGCCCCCAAAGCCAGTCATAAAATCTAGAAATATTACTCTAATCTTGCCGTGTCTTTCTGTAGGAGCCAGCCATAAAGAGGTTCTCTGACCTACCTTGTCTGATAGTGGCTCTCAAGACTTTTGTTCCAGAGTGGCCCTGCACCGTATCCTGGAGGAAGGAATACCACACAGAGAGGCCAAGAAGAATTTGAACAGACACATCTTGCCAGGTTTCTCCTCTCTATTACCATTAGGTTGATCATATCCTTTTTGCCCAATCGCATTTCTGCCTGGCTGTCTGCTCTGCATCAAACCTAAACATCAAAATAGGCAGCTTTTCCTGGGTCTTTGAGCCTTCATTCTGAAGGCTCCCATGTCATGTAAAACTGATTAAATAAATCTGTTATGCTTTCCTTGTGTTAATCTGCTCTTTTGTTATAAGAGTGTCAGCCATGACTCATGATGGATGAGGAAAGGTATCACATCTTTCCACCCCTACATGGTGCATGTTTAAAATTCTTCCATAAAAGAAAACTTCAGTGGCACACTATTCTCCCCTATTCTTATAATTAAGACAAATATAATTTGCAATATCCATCTTTACTGCCACTTTTTACTGTCAATGGAAGCACGGCATAATGTTTCCAAGATTCAATCATCAATTTATGTTGTTGCAATTACTATATACTTAATTACAACTTCACATTGCATACTAGCTATCTATTGCTGTGTCACAAATTACTCCAAGATTTAGGAGCTTAAAACAACAACAGATAAATAATAAGATAAATATCTCACAGTTCTTGTGGTTCAGGAATTTAGGAGTCTTAGCTGGGTGATTCTGGATTAGATTATCTCATGAAGTTGCAGTTGTCTGAAGGTTTTTTTCTTTAGGCTTGGCTAGTGCTGGAGGATCTTCTTTTTTTTGTTTTGTTTTGTTTTTTTTGAGACGGAGTCTCGCTCTATCGCCCAGGCTGGGGCGCAGTGGAGCCATCTCGGCTCACTGCAAGCTCCGCCTCCCGGGTTCACGCCATTCTCCTGCCTCAGCCTCCGGCGTAGCTGGGACTACAGGCGCCCGCCACCACGCCCGGCTAATTTTTTGTATTTTTAGTAGAGATGGGGTTTCACCGTGTTAGCCAGGATGGTCTCGATCTCCTGATCTCATGATCTGCCCGTCTCGGCCTCCCAAAGTGCTGGGATTGCAGGCGTGAGCCACCGCACCCAGCCCCGGAGGATCTACTTCTAAGTTAACTTGCATGGCTGTTGGCAACAGATCTCAGTTTCTTGCTGGCAACTGGCTGAAAGCCTGAGTTACTTGCCATACCCACAATATAGCAGCTGGCTTCTCCCAACCAAATGATCTGAGAAAGACAGCAAAGAGGAAGCCACAATGCCTTTATATAGCGTAATCTTGTAAGTGACATGCATCACTGCTACCACATTATATTCCTTAGAAGTAAGTCACCGAAGAGTTTAAGAGTGGATCTCAGATGCAAGGAAATTGAAGGCTAGAAGACTAGGAAGAGATAAATTATCGGTGGGAATGACTGTGGGCATTTAGGAATTAGGGTGATGGAGGGTGGTTTCAGGAAGATTTGGAGTTACATTCACCAAGCCCTGAGATCTTGTGAAACTATCAGATCTCTTTTTTATTGCACCCCGTTATTAACTCTGACTCATTATTTAAAAGGGTGCTATAACACGGGAACAATATTAACATACTCATGGTTGGGTTAGATTTTATTTTTTAGAAATGGGGTCTCACTATGTTACTCAGGGTGGACTTGGGCTTGGGCTCAAGCAATCATGTCTCAGCCTCCTGAATAGTTAGTACTACAGGCCTATACCAATACACCCAGCTTGGGTTATATTTTAAATCAGGGTTTCTCAACCTCAGCACTAGTGACATTTTTGGCTAGATGGTTTTTTGTTCTGGGGAGCTGTCCTGTGCATTACGTGATGTTTAGTAGCAACTGGGCTCTACTCACTGGTCGTCAGTAGCACCACCCCCAACCCCTGAGCCTCAGTGGTAAAAAACATAAATGTCTCCAGATATTGCCAAATATCACCTTGTTGAGCTCCATTAGTCTAAGTAATAATCACTACAACTTATTCACCAACAACAAGGTGCCAGACATATTATTATCATCCTCTTATTTTATCCCCAAACAACTTAAGAGGTAGGTTTTATTGTCCCCATTTTAGAGGACTATGTTGAGGCTCCAGGGCCCCGAAGAACTAAATGGTTTGCTCACGATACCACAGCTAATTAAAGCTAACGCATGGAATTGAAACAACATGGAGCTGAAACAAAGTTTCCCCAGATGACTGAAATATGAAAAAGTGGACCACTATGGATTTACAGCAAATGTGTTTCCACTGAATTCATTTGTATGGTATCTGGTTTCCCTGAGGACCTTTCTAAACATGTAACACCATTGCTTAAAATGCATCACTGGATTTTTACTTTCTATAGGGTAAAATCAGACCTTTAATTAAAGACCATCAACCTACTAGTCTAATCAGAATCTGAATCAAGTTTCTCCACCTGGGTGCACTGTGTGCTAAATATCCCCAAAATGGAATCCTAACATGTGTACCTGCTGTTATTTTTCCCTTGCTTTTATTTTTCCCACATTCAAGGGGAGGGGAATTAGCTTCCACCTTTTGAAGGGAGGAGTATACTTTCTGACCACAAATTATTTCTATTTCTTCCATGCAAAACACATTCCCTTTCTCCCAAGAACCCCAAAAATCTCATCCCTTTAGAAAAGCAGCTTGAAATCCAGAATGTTAGCATATAAATTACATCCAGGTGTGGGTGAGATTCCTAGGATGCAGTTCCTTAAAGTTCTTCAAGTACAGTTCCTCTTAGTGTGAAGACCTGTGAACTAAATGCAAGTTATCTGCCTCCCACTCCTCCCCGACACAAAAATACAGTGGTGGACAGGTGTAAAATAACCACTGTAAACATTCCTGTTCAAAAAGGGAAAAATGAGAGGCAACAACGAGTCTGTAGCAATTCCAAAATCCAGCCAGGCAAATGTTGAAGTTCCTTGATCCGGATTCAAAGACTGAAAATAATTCCCTATGGCTCTTGATGTCACCTTGTGGGCAGTTCTGATTTGCGAGTCATCCTTCCTTTTTCATGAAAGATAGTATCCCTTTCAGTTCATGCTGGCAGTGTTTCTGCTGTTAAAGACTGTGTTGGTTCCTTGTTAATCTTACTGAAGTTCATGCCATTAGACAAAAGCCACTTCCACACATCTCTTCAAGATACGCTCTATTGTTTGAGAGGGTTTGTCAGTCATACTGTTAAAATATTTAGAGGACATTTTGTCTGATTGAAAGGTACTCTAAGACACCACAATAGATCTTTCTGAGGTCTTAAGGGATTTTATAATTACAACTTGGGTTTCCTATTTAGACCATGTTTTCCTGGGGTTGCCTGGACTTGATTTCTGCCTGAAAGCCATACTTTTTTTTTTTTTTTTTTTTTTTTTTTGAGACGGAGTCTCGCGCTGTCACCAGGCTGGAGTGCGGTAGTGCAGTCTCGGATCACTGCAACCTCTGCCTCCCGGGTTCAAGTGATTCTTCTGCCTCAGCCTCCCAGATAGCTAGGATTACAGGTGTGGGCCACCACTCCCAGCTAATTTTTGTACTTTTAGTAGAGACAGGGCTTCACCATGTTGGCCAGGCTGGTCTCAAACTCCTGACCCCAAGTGATCCACCACCTTGGCCTCCCAAAGTGCTGGAATTATAGGCATGAGCCACCGCGCCTGGCCAACAGTCCTCCCTTTAGCATATCTTGCTCTGCTCACATGCTAGAAGTCACCCTGAACACTAGCTGGCAATCTCCTTAGTTAGATAACAAATTCTCTTAGGTGGACACATCTACTTTCCACATTACTGCTGGCTACTGTGTTGCTAATCTTTCTGCCATGGCATAAGAAGGATCTATTTCTCCAGTTTCCAATAATATCGTCCTCACTCTTTTAAAGTGAGTCTCTTCAAGCCTATACCTCTACTAAAAGCCTTTTCAAGGTACCTCATGCTTTCACTAACCCTATCTTCAATGTCATTCCAGTTTCTGTCCACTGCCAGATTCCAAAATCACTCCCATATTTAAGGTGTTCGTTATGGCTGCATCCTACTTCCAAGTATCAGTTTATATATCCCAAGGATTATTTATCTATTGCTGTGTAGCAAATTACCAAGGCTTAAGATATGTACAATTCAATGTTAGTAGATAGTGCCAATTTTTCCCCCAAAAACGGCAACAGTGTATGAGTATCCATTTCTCTACAACCTCATTCCACATTATTAATCTTTTTCAATTTTGTAAGTTGTTTTAATTTACACTTCTTTGATTACTTGTGAAATTGAATAAAATAACCATTTTATAACTTCTACTAAGAACCTTTTTTGCCCTTTGTGTTGTTTTCTTTTCTCTAGTGATTTGTATGGGTGATTTTTAAATGGAGTATCCATCTGTGCTGTATATTACAAATATTTTCTCCCTTTCTGTTAATTTTCTTTTACCTTTATTTATGTGGTATGTTGTTTTACGGTAGCTTTTAACTTTTTTTTAGATCAAATTTGTCAGTCTTCCTTTTATGGTTTTGGGATTTGTCCTGATTAGGATTCATGATCATTCAACGATGATAAAAATTCCCTTTTTTCCCCAAGGCTTTTATAGTTTTGTTTTTGAATTGTATGCTTTATTCCAGCTGATGTTTATTTTTGTGCATAGTTAAGGTAAGGCTTTTTTTTTCCCAAATGGCTAGCCAATCATGAAAATGTCATATATTGAATAGGCTATTCCTCACTGATTTAAAACATGTTGTATAGTTTCTTCTAAATTTTCTTAAAGCTGTATAGTTCTGATGAGGCTCTTTATTCTGTTCTGTTGGTCTGCATATTTCTTTCTGGGCCACTTGCTATGCAGTCAATATTGCATGGTATTTATTTATTTATTTATTTATTTATTTATTTATTTATTTATGAGATGGAGTTTCACTCTTGTTGCCCAGGCTGGAGTGCAATGGCACGATCTCAGCTCACTGCAACCTCCGCCTTCTGGGTTCAAGTGATTCTCCTGCCTCAGCCTCCCAAGGAGCTGGGATTACAGGTGTCTGCCACCATGCCCAGCTAATTTTTTGTATTTTTAGTAAAGACGGGGTTTCACCATGTTGGCCAGGCTGGTCTCGAACTCCTGACCTCAGGTGATCCACCCTCCTGGGCCTCCCAAAGTGCTGGGATTACAGGTGTGAGCCACTGCTCCTGGCTGCACTATTTAAATCGTTATAATTTTGAGTTATGCTTTGATATCTTGAAGAGCATGCACACACATTGTTTTATTTCTAAAATTTCTTCCTATTTTAAATAATTTTTCCTTCCACATACAGAGCGATATAATGGACTGTGGAGACTCAGAAAGGGGAGGGTGGGAAAGGAGCTAAAAAAACTACACATTAGGTACATTGTGCACTACTCAGGTGACCAGTGCACTAAAATCTCAGAATTCACTGCTATATAATTAATCCTTTTAACAAAAAACCACTTGTACCCCAAAAGCTACTGGAATAAAGCATAAAAAATAATAATAAAAAAAGACTTAATTTGAGGTAGTTTCTTTGGAAAATAATTCCAAAAAGAAGCAGTGACAGTGGGGAGAGCGAGACAGGAAAGGAAGAAGATTAAATAAAGACCTGTTATGAAGGTGCACTGTTGAATTGCTGGTGTTGGCAAAGAGAGCTGAACTTGGCATGGACCTCTGAGAGTAGTACCAAAAAAAAAAAAAAAAAAAAAAAGAAGAAGAAGAAAAGAAATGCAAACTGTTTAATAGAATGCAATACAGCTGTCCTGCCCCAATAGAATCTGAGAGTAAAACTGATATTTATCATATTTCTCCTTTACCACCAGAGAAAATGAAAATATCTCAGAGCAGTCTGACCTATGTGAAATCTGCAGGCCCAGAGAGGCAAGAGTTTGGAACTTAGTCATGCAAATGTGTAACTGGCCTCCCTTTATGCTTGGGGGCAATTGTTTATTTTGTTTTTTTCTAGCTGCTTCATTCATTATCTTCATGTTTCTGGAATTTGTGATGCAAAGAACAACGTATGCTGGGTGCGGTGACTCATGTAATCCCAGCACTTTGGGAGGCTGAGGCGGGTAGATCACGAGGTCAGGATATCGAGACCATCCTGGCCAACATGTTGAAACCCCATCTCTACTAAAAATACAAAAATTAATGGGGTGTGGTGGCGGGCGCCTGTAATCCCAGTTACTCGGGAGGCTGAGGCAGGAGAATGGCATGAACCCAGGAGGTGGAGTTTGCAGTGAGCCGAGATCCCGCCACTGCACTCCAGCCTGGGTGACAGAGTGAGACTCCGTCTCAAACAAAACAAAACAAAACAAACAAAAAACCAGAGAACAATGTATAGCCAATCAATAGCTTATGTTATTTTAATGTAAATTCTGGATAAACAACTAGGAACTGCCCCTTCTTCCACCTTCCCGCACCGCTCCCCTTTTTTTTGAGAGAATCTCATCTGTCATGAAGGCTGGAGTGAAGTGGTGCAATCTCAGCTCACTGCAACCTCCGCCTCCCAGGTTCAGGCACTACCCCTGCCTCAGCCTCCCGAGTAGCTGGAATCACAGGCATGTGCCACCACGCCCAGCTAATTTTTGTATTTTTACTACAGTCAGGGTTTCACAATGTTGGCCAGGCTGGTCTTGAACTCCTGGCTGAAGCGATCCACCCACCTTGGCTCCCAAAGTGCTGGGATTACAGGAGTGAGCCACTGCACCCAGCCCCTTCTTGCCCTTTAAAAATTTGCATGTGGGCATGGTGGCTCATGCCTAAAGTCCCAGCACTTTGGACTGGCACTTCAGTCCAGAAGCTGAGGTGGGAAGATTAATTGCTTGAGGCCAGGAGTTTGAGACCAGCCTGGGCAACATAGTGAGACACCGTCTTTACAAGAAATAAAGTGCACTTGTAACTGTTCGTAATCAGAGTGTATATTCAGGGCAATTTGAATCTATGCTCCTGGGTTGCACTACTCAAGCTTGGCCCAAATAAACTCCTCTACTTGTATTAATAATAATAATAACAAAAATAATTTTTCCTTACATATGAAATTAAAGACTTGATTGACAAGGTCCAAAACAAAAAACAAAAACTGCTATTGATAGGAATTGCATTCACATTATAGCTCAATTCAGAGAAAACTGACATCTTTGCCATATTGGGGCTTTCCACTTAGAAATACTTTCTGTTAATTTATAAAGTTATTTTATGCTTGTCACCAAAGTCTTATACTCTACCTAGGTCTTTCACATTTCCTGTTAGGCATGCTTCATTCTTTTTGTTGCTGCTATTCATAAGATTCCCTCCCCACTCAATTTCCTCTGAGAGATTATACAAGAATGAAGTAGAACTTTAGGTGTTGGCCTGGAGAGATCTTTCCACTTGCTGCTTATACCACCACCTCACCCCCCGACCCCAGTCAGCTGTGGAAACACAGCTAACAAAGTCATCTTTGTAAAATGTAAAGTCAGTCATATCACTTCCTTGCTTAAAACATTTCAATGGCTTGTTCCCCATTGTCTTTAGAATAAAATATAGGATCCTTAATATGGCCTGCACAGTGTGGCAGAATCTGGCATCTGACCACCTCTCTGACCACATCACTTGCACCCTCAGTTGTGTGCTCCAGGGGCAGTGACCTTCATTTACTTAAATCCACTGAGCTTTCTCCTCCCTCACAGAATGGCCTCACATAATAGCAAAATGAGGAGGAGAAAGAGAACTAGTGGAGCCTCTTGTTGCTCTTTGCTGAGCACTTTTTTATGTATCAACTGACAAAGACCCTCTCTTGACCAAACTTTAGTCAGGCTCTGAGACCTGACTAAGCCTCTTCTGGACTAGACTTCGACTTTGGCCCCCATTCTCCCTGGACCTCCATAGCCCAGTTCTAGCAAGAATCCAGATAATTAGTTTAGTAAGAATCCCCCACTGTTGATATTTAATTGCTCTCGATACCTGATTAAATTTCTCATCCCCATCCTTGATGTCTGATCACCCTGGCCTGCCTTCAGCAGGAATCCTCTTACCTTTGATGGTTCCTTTTAATAAATTGCCATCCACTGACCCCCTCACTCTGCTGGTTGCTTATAAATTTCCAGCTGTCTTTGCAATATTCAGAGTTCAGCCTGATCTGACTCCCATGTTGCAATAGTCTTGACACCTATTGGAATAGTCCTGAATAAAGGCTTCCTTATCATTTTGACAGGTGTCCAAATAATTTTTTCTTTACCACAACTTATTTAGATAATATCCTCACAATATCTGTGGATCAGCTAGCTATGGGAAATGAGGAAAAGAGGAATTTAGGAAATTTATCAGATTTCTAGCTCAGACTTACAGGTAGATAATCTATCAGTCATTCAATGCTTAGTTACAGAGAACTGAGAAAATAAATAAAATTTAGAAGCTTTTTGGAACCTCCAAAAATGCCTTAAGCCTTGACAGAGATGTGACTGTGATCCGCATCACATATGCTTACAACTTCTGTTCTCAGATTATAGATTAGCTTACTTTCTTATTTTTCTCATTCTGTATAATGACTAGAGATAAATAAATGGCATCTGAGATAAAAACCTCCTTTCTTCTTCTTCTTTTTTTTTTTTTTTTCTGAGACAGAGTCTTGCTCTGTCTCCCAGACTGGAGTGCAGTGGCGCAATCTCAGCTCACTGCAAGCTCCGCCTCCCGGGTTCACGCCATTCTCCTGCCTCAGCCTCCTGAGCAGCTGGGACGACAGGCGCCTGCCACCATACCTGGCTAATTTTTTCGTATTTTTAGTAGAGACGGGGTTTCACCATGTTAGCCAGGATGGTCTCGATCTCCTGACCTTGTGATCTGCCCGCCTCGGCCTCCCAAAGTGCCGGGATTACAGGCTTGAGCCACCACGCCTGGCTGAAAACCTCCTTTCTTCTTAATTGATGACCTTGGACTCTTGTTATAGATTTAACTTCCCCTTTGTTCTAGTTTGTTTAGACCAAATGACAAACAACCAATGATTATTACACCCTCTGTTAAAAAATGTCAAATGTACCCTTCTCAAAAAGAAACATGGCCTATAGCCAATTAAATTGCTATAAGAATGTGCCAGACTCACATGAATAATAATGTTGTAATTCTGCTAAAAATTCCTCTGTTCCCACCTATACAAATGAAATATTTACTTCCCTGCTTCTGAATGCCAACTCCATTCCTTTGGAGTTGGTGTTTCTGGGTGGTTCATCCTCACACTTTGAGTATAACTAAATTCTGACCCTTTTGATTATTGTAGATTGACAGAACAGAATCCACTCCAGCTAGCTTTAGGAGGAATTAACTAATTACAGAGTATCGAGTGGCTCACAGAATCCTTGTGAGAGCTGAAGAACTTGGCTCTTGGCTGAAATTTCTTGAGTAACTGCTCTTGTCATGACCAGGAAGCTGCATGCCGGATGGAGAAGCCTCTGCTATAGGTGCTAACTCTAGAATTACACCATTTCAGCTCCAGTCTACACAGCAAAGGGATACGTCATGCCCTGTCTCAGTCTCCACCTAACTCACTTCTGAATTCAAGGCTCATGCAATCACATCTAATGAGCAGAAACTAAAGAACATGGAACCCCAGCAGCAAGGGAGTCTGGGAAGTGTAGTTGCCAGCCTCTGTTCTACCGGAGGACACACTGGGAGGAGGGGAGATGGATGGATGCCTAGTGAGCCACTTCAGCATCCCCATGGACAGTGATACAATTTGTTGAGGTGGGTGGACAGCCTAGGACCTGGGCAGACAAGCAAGCAAAGCTGCCTAACTCCTGCAGAAGTGGGAACATTCTGTGGCAGGGACGGAGCTCCTGAAATTAGATGATCACATTTTTCTACTCTCATGACATATCCATAAGCAACCCGAAATATTTGTGAATTCTGTCACTGCAATTATGAAAACTGAGATTGAGTGCCATCTGGCAAGGGGGAGCTAAACTGGCCTGTCCAGAAGGGCAAGAAGACGGCTTGGAGTTAAATCTGCTCTGGCAACTGGCAAGCATTTCTCCCTGCTTTGCTAAAATTAGCCACAAAAACAACTTTCTCTTCCTTATCTATTAAACAGTGCCATCTGGTGGGAATCCACACTATCTTGTTCCCCAATTCTCTACCTTTTCTATTAATGAATACTATTTATATAATTTGGGTATTCATTTGATCTGTTAATGCAGACCAAGTACCAAGATGCTAAGAAAAAAAAATCTGAATCCATCTGGAAACATTTTGGTGACCAAAGGCTGCTCTGATGCCACAAGAAGCAAACCTTCTAAGGTTTCTAAATCCAAAGTCTCCAGACTGGGGGCAAAGTTCATGTTGGCAACTGCATGTCTCCTACCCCTCTTAAAAATAGTCCTTCTTAACCTTCCTTCCACTCTCTACGATTTGTCTTGTATATGAGATGATGGAGAAAGCTGAACCGGGAGGGGACTGGGAAATGTAATAGACAAAGGACTTAATTTGACGTGTGGATATGAACAAGGAGGTGTGACAGGACATCTCTCAGGGAAGCAGAAATGGCACTAGCTACCCAGTGCAGGGTTTGCTAAGAGGGCATTGCTGTCAGTTGGCATGTCAGCCTGCCCTCTCCTCCCTTTTAAAGAAGTCTAGAGAGAGGTGGGGAGTTTGTCTTCGTGAGAGAGAATGTTCTTGGGGGCTAGGGATTGGAATTTGGTTCTGCTCTCTGTCAGAGGCATTCAGTGTGGTCTATAGCTTCAGAGGCTGTGGATCTGACTCTGGGGCATGGAGTGAGGGCTCACTTCTCACCAGGACTTACAGGCAGGCAGCTGGCACTGGTGGAAGTGCTCTGGGCAATATTGGCACGAAGAGCTGTGCAGTGTGCAAAGGACCAGAAAGCTCAGCTGGAAGCCTCCAGAGGCAAGTGGAAAAATAACTGCTTTTTTGTTGAAGATATGCTGGTTAGCTGAGGGGACACTGGGCTTCCCTGGAGGGCTGCCCTATTGGAGCAAGGAGTACATTCCCTGAAGGGCTCGCAGTGTGTACCACAGGCAGGGAGATGGATGAGGGGCATGTGGTGACCACTTTGACAGTTCACAAAGTCATGACGCTAGAGAGGGGTCAGGGTGGGGGCTATTGCCTGAGAACAAGCATCACATATATCGGGATAGCAGAAGCCTGGATCAGACTGCAAGCTTTGCAGGAACAAAGCACACAGACCTCATCAGCCCAAATTCCAGTGTGAGGCACAGAAGCAGGAATAACCAACAGCAAACGAGTGGCCGCCACCTATTCTCACCAAGGCGCCGGTCTCCATGTGAGGAGAATACTTTCCTAGCATTCACCAAGGAGTCCTCCCATTGCAGACAGACAGAATCGGACACCCAGGAAGCATCTCAGGTATCATGGGACCTGGGATTTTTAACCTCACTGTGCATCAGGCTCATCTTGAGAGCTTTGAAAAAAATATCAGTGTTTGAGTTTTGGCCCAGATCTATTAGAAAAGAATCAGCAAGTATAAGATAAAATTTATTTTTACAGTTTTACTGAGTGTGATTGACATACAATAAATTGCCTATATTTAAAGTATACAATTTGGTAAGTTTTAGATACATGGCGGTGGAACCATTGCCACAATCAGATATTGGACATACCCATCACTCCCCTTGTTTCTTCAGGCCCTTTTGCAATCTCCCCGCTTCACCCTTCTCTCCCCTCCCTGCCCCTGGCCCTACCTTCCATCCAGACAAGTACTGATCTGCTTTCTGTCACTACAGGTTAGTTTGCATTTTCTAGAATTGTATACAAATGTACCATATGGCTTTTTTTTTTGTCTGGTTTCTTTTACTCAGCATAATTATTTTGAGATTCATCCAGGTTGTAGTGCGTATCCACAGTTTATTCCTGTTATTGCTGAGTAGTACTCAGGGTGTGGAATTTGTTTATCCATTTACTAGTTGATGGACCTTTGGGTTGTTTCCAGTACTCAAGGGTTCAGTGGACGTAAGGTCTGATGAATACATAAGATTAATGAGGAGACGATTATTATTTTTATGGGTCTTGGAACACTTTGTTGCCAGTACTCTTGTGGCATTGTTGTCCCTTACTGTAGTTGTTTTTTTACCATCAGTCTTTCTGTGTACCACCCTATCCCTTGAGGATAACAATAATACTGATATAGGACTTTTCTCGGTCACTTTGCTGGCTGAAGACTTCCTGTCAGGAGACTTCCTGCCAGCCTTGCTGGGACCTGGGATTGCTGCAGAGATGCTCTGTCCACTTGGCCTCCTGGGCTGCACCCGGCCTGCATTCTGGTACAGATCCTGCAGCCACCGTGACTATGTGCTTGGCCCCTGGTGGGAGGGGGTGTGTGAGCGAGCAAGTGCGGGGTCCAGCCAATTGTTCCAAGCAGCACAGGAGCAGGCTCTGTGTGGGTCTTGTGGCTGGACCAGGCGTGTTGCAAACCACTCCCACAGTGGACTCCAGCATCTAAACAAGAGGAATGCAGTGGCGCCCGGGCAGGTGCACCCATGACCCCAAAGTCCCAGAGGGGGTGTTACAGAGTGCTAATTAGCTCTTTTAGTCTTGCCATCCACAGCCTGACTGACAGCATGTTAACAGTTCTGTTAGCATCTTGCCCCACCCTGGCTGGCAGCTCTGGGGGCTGGCTTGGCCCTGCTGCTACTTCCTGTTACATGAGGCAGCTGCGCTTCACTGGCGGAGGGCAGAGGGCCACAGTAGTACAGCCTTCTGTGTATTCGCATTTGGTGGGTCTTGGGTTCTTGTTTCACCTCTGAGAAGAATGAAATTGGGCTGACAATTGAAGGGCGAGGAGGGTGGAGAATAATTTTATTGAGCAATAAAATAGCTCTCAGCAGAGAGGGGACGTGAGGGTGGTCCCCCGCCTGAAGTTGATGGTTTCTCTCAGTGTGGCTGAGTCCAGGGCTTTTATGGGCTCAGAATAGGGAGTGTGTACTGACTGGTTTGTGAGTAGGCAAAAAAAAAAAAGAGGCTAAAACAAAGGCACCACTCACAGGTGGGCATGAGAGTGTACAAAAAAAACCAGTTAGGGAAGTGTAGGTATATGTAAAATAGGTGAAGGGTGGGGATCAATCAGAGGAAAGTGCACCAAACAGGAAGAGAGGTTCTCAATCAGTCCATGGATTTATGCAAGACTAGTACCTTGGCTTTCAGGCTTCAAACTCTCTTTGGTTTGAAGGTCAGGTTTCACTGGGGACCCACCCCTGTCTGCCTAGGATTGGTCTGCCTCCTGCTGCTATCAACACGTCTTCCACAGTTTTATATCACTTATGGTATTGCACATGGGAAGTTCTTGTTAACCTGGGGCTCCTGGCCTGTCTCTGCATCGCCCACTACCTTCTAGTTCTTTTTCTCCCCAGTCTCTTACTTATTTCCCCCAGTGTTCAGCCAAATTGAGATATGACTTTTCATTGTCTTATGAGGCCCTGAACTTCCGTTTTGCTGTCTTTATGCCAAGACCACACTGTCTTCCCTGGAAATCCTCCCTCTCTCCTCTGCCAGCCACTTGGCACCCTGTATCCCTAGCTCTGCTTGTCAACATTCTACAGTCAGCATGGTGCTGGTTTAAGAAGAGGCAAACAGATCGATGATGTAGGATTGATATCCTGATATAGATCCTATTCAGTGTAAAAATTTAATTTATGCTGGAGGAGACATGACAGATCAGGGAGAAAGAGAAGGATTTTCAATAAATAGCAAAGGAAGAATTGATGAGTTCCCTAGGGAAAAATCAATTTAGATAATTATCTCAGTCCTCCCAAAATTAATTCCAGATTTATTGATAAGGTAAGTTACTTAAAACCTAGAAGAAATTGAAAGTGCATATTTATCAAATCTGTGGTAGAAGGAGGACTGTCTCCCTTTTAGCTTAGATTTGAATAATGCTCATAACTGAAAAAAAAAATAGTTAAATTAAATTTTGTATGTCGAAAAAGTAACCTAAATTTAAAGGTACTCTTTGAACTTTAAAAAATACCATGGCAAACACAGCTAGTGATGGCATAGTATATTTACTATATGAAGTGCTCACACTTTGGAACCAGCCTGGCTAACATGGTGAAATCCCATTTCTATTAAAAATACAAAAAATTAATAGGGCGTGGTGGTGTGCTCCTGTCATCCCAGCTACTAGGGAGGAGACTTGCTTGAACCCGGGAGGCAGAGGTTGTGGTGAGCCGAGATTGTGCTGTTGAACTCCAGCCTGGGCAATAAGAGCAAAACTCTGTCTCAGAAAAAGGAAAAGAAAAGAAAAAAATGCCCGCACAAACCAATAAACATTCTGTAGAAAAATGGACAGAAGACTTGCATCCAAATAAGGAAATGCAATTGTTTAATGAACATAGAGATGAATGTTTAGTCTCAGTTTCTGCACTTGAATATGTGTACAGTTTAAAAAAGGAGACACAATCCTTCATAGACTAAATCACTCAAGATTGGAGACCATCAGAACATTTAATGAATTACACTATAGTTACCTATTCTTGATCATGACTTGTGTTTCTTTGTATCTTGATGTGTCCACTGCTTATAGCAGGAGGTCCCTGGGGGCTAATAAAAGCCACTATTTTTACAGCCTTGCTATATAGCAGATTCTTTACACACAGTATCTCAAACCCTTATAACAACGCTGCAGGGTACATAGGACTGGTCTTGTTTCACACATGAGGAATATGAAGCTCAGAGAGGCACTACTAGGAAGTCTGAGAGTCAGGATTTGAACTCCACTTGGCCTAACTGCACATCCTATTCTCTTGCCACGGGGGCCAGGCTACCTCTCTGAAATTCTCTTACATAGCAAAGAAAAAGTTAGCTTCTGCTGTTGCAGCCTGAATCTGCACTGCTTTTCCTCCTCCACCGTCAGTCCTGAAGATATATGAACAAGTTATAAAAAAACAGAACTGAAAAGAGAAAAGCAGAATTCAAAATCAAAGAACAAAGGTGCTGAGAAACACACACACACACACACACACACACACAAACAAAACAAAAACAAAAAAACAAAATAAAATAAAAAACCTAGCTGCTGGAAGAGGCGTATGGCTGCAACTCTCCTGAAGCCCTCTCCCAGGTAAATGTTTCTTGTCCCTATCAGGTAATCCAGTCTCCAAATGGATCACAATTAAGGCATTTTATGGCTGGATATTGAAGAGCCAGGCTCTGTCACTTTATGGAGCAATAGGACAGGTTGTCTGTCCCCTGAGAACCATTTAGCCCTTCCCAGTCTTACTCCTTGTGGACAGTGGATGTTATATAACCTGTGTGGTAATTTATGTTAATATAATC
The DNA here is from genome assembly GCF_000001405.40 of Homo sapiens. Taxonomy (NCBI): domain Eukaryota; kingdom Metazoa; phylum Chordata; class Mammalia; order Primates; family Hominidae; genus Homo; species Homo sapiens. Next base: position 74,667,924 of record NC_000005.10, on the reverse strand, counting down.
TATTATAGACAGTGTGATGGGGTGATGGCGGCTAGTATTTGAGGACCCCTTAATCAGGAATCCACACTTAGGGATGATTAGTGACTCTGAAGTGCCCTAATCAAGAAGATGCACTCCAGAAGTACAGATTTGAATACTGTTGTTGAAATCTAACGACACGGGGTTAGGGAATGATTGGATCAGTTAGCGAAATGCAAGTTGAAATCTGTGGCTGACTACAAAGACTGTACCAGCCCTGCTGCCCTCATACAAGCAAACCCAGCAAGCCCAGCCCGAGCCTTTGCAGCAGCACTTGACTTCTGGACATTCACTTGACCCTGTCTTCTCCCACTTCCCTGTGGACTCTGTCTCCTGACTGAACTTGAAAACTGACTAATTCTGTGGTTAGAATATTTTGTTCCTCCTTGGAGTGAAGCTCTCAGGCAAAGAATTGTTGTAATGCCTGAAGAGACAGATGAGACCTTTCCCAAACTCACAAGAATGGACTGTATGGTAATTTTTTTTTTTGAGAGAGTTTTGCTCTTCTCATCCAGGCTGGAGTGCAATGGCGTGATTTCGGCTTACCACAACCTCTGCCTCCCGGGTTCAAGTGATTCTCCTGCCTCAGCCTCCTGAATAGCTGGGGTTACAGGCATGCACCACCATGCCTGGATAGTTTTTTTTTTGTAATTTTAGTAGAGCAGGGTTTCTCCATTTTGGTCAGGCTGGTCTCGAACTCCCGACCTCAGGTGATCTGCCTGCCTCGGCCTCCCAAAGTGCTGGGATTACAGACGTGAGCCACTGTGCCCGGCCAATAATTTTTAAATTAATACCTGCTTGTTAATAAATATTGGCAGAATGTGGTGTCAGATTCCCTTTCACTGTAATATACGCAACCTGGTAGCAAGGTTGTCAGGAAGAGGATCTATAGACCCTACTGTCTCTAATGCCAGAGGCTACCAGCATTTACAAAAATAGCAACATAGAAAAACTAAATTCCCCAACACTTGCTGCTAGACACATTGACTTAGATGAGTTTTCAGTGTGGCCTAAGAACACGTCTCCATTATGTTCTGAGAGCTTTTCCCTATATATATGTGTGTGTGTTCTCTCTCTCTATATGTGTGTGTGTGTTCACTCTTCTAGCTTCAGAAGAGTGAAGCTAGAAAAGGTTCTGCTCCCCTTTCTAGTCCCTATTTCTGCTCTGAGCAGGTTGATTGATAGAGGGAGAGAATTGACCATGGTGAGGTGCCTTCTAATTAGCGGCAATGACTGTGGCTGCCAAGGCCAGCTCTGCTAATGCCCCAAGGCTGCTGCTCTGCAGTGTGGGCAGGGCCTCTTAGGGCTGTGACTTTGGGGGCAGCAGGGAGTGGGGGAGTTGGGGAAGGGATGGGGAAGCGGCACCTGCCCCTGCTGAACTTGATCCTGTTGTCTTTATGAGAACAAGACTTCCAACTGATCCAGGTGAGAATTTTGCCAGCTTGCAGACAATGACAACCAGGCCTCCAATCAGAGCCAACCTGGGCCATTTTCAATGTCACTGCCAACTTGACCTACTATTATGAAAATTGCTCCAATTACGTGCATACACATTTGCATGTGAAATGACAACTAAGTGCTTGCCTAAGAGGCAATTTTTGTAAATGAAGCCTGGGGTTACTAAAATAGGGTGTTTTGTCCTTTGTTGGTATTATTTGTGACCCATTGAGATGACAGCCTTCCTCAAGCATTGCCTTGTGGCCTGTCATAAATTACTTGTCCCTCAAATGCTTTCTATGGTTTGCAGTCGAGCCCCTGGAAATAAATGGGCTTCAATCATCAGTTTCAACAATTCTCCTGTCTCCAAGTAATAAAACATCTGGAAAATTGGGCTAAATGGATAAAACAGTTCTCTGTAATAAGTATCTGGCATCTGTACAACTCTGTATAATGCATTTTTTTAATGACCAGATGTGGTACTTCTGTGTTATAAAGAACAGAGGCATGTTTATTCATGCTTTTTATTGCATTTAAAATGCAAGGTATATTTTCATAGCTCCCCAGAGAAATGCTCTTCCATTGACTGAGAATTGTTGATGTGTTGGTTTATAAACTTGAAAAGTAAGGGAACCACTCAGAAAATTGCAGATATAATTTAAACAGTCATTAAACTGGACACTCACAGGGAACTGGCTTAAAAAAAAAGAATTCGGTATATAAAATTTCCCTTCTCTCCTAGTGAATTTGTTCCACAGAGTCTTTGGTCTTGCAGTTGTTTATGTTCTTATCTGTCTTCTGTAATATTTATAGCTTTCTGAAGATATGATTTCATCAAACTTGCTATTCACTTCTTCCCAGTTTCTCATTAAGAAAGCTTAGCTGGTAACCCACCTGTGTAGTCTCTATTTTTATAGTCCTTTGTAGGTTTCCAAGAAGATGTTTTTAACATGTGTGTGTAGGAAAGCAGGGGCATGGGAGATGCCTAGAACACTGTCCACGGGGCTGCTATTGCACAACTCTCCTCCTCCTACACACACACACACACACACACAGAGAAAAGTGTGCGTGGGCATGAGGACATGTATAGATATCCATATGTATTTTTAGAAAGTTAGGAAAAGAAGTACAAAAAAGAAAATTTTAAAAATCCTATGGAATTCTATTCAGTTATAACCACTGTTTACTTATGTACTTTTCATTTTACAGAATTTTAGCCATGCTTCCTATATTGCTTTGTCACTTGCTTTTATCACTGCAAATACCAGAAAACTTTTTCCTTTTATAAAATATTCTCTTAAGTTATGAGTCTGGATGGATTAATTTTTATTGAACCACTTTCTTATTTGGGGACATTTTAAATTTTCAGACATTTTCACTACCATAGCCTGTGATAAATATCTTTATGTGAAAATCTTTTTGTAGACCTCTGATTCGTTCTTAAAAGTAGAATTACTGGATCAAAGGGCATGAGCTCTTATTTTTGAGTCTGTTTTAGTATGCACTGTCCCAAATGCGCTTCTCCAAGGGCGTAATGGGATATGTCGTGCCCTCCCACAACGAGAGTGTGAGCATCCTGTTTTCCTGCAGGTGCTAGGTCCTCTCATTAGGAACAGTTCCATAGTAAAGATATTCATCCTCTTCCTGCCCTATTAATTGCCATTGTCTCCTTAGCTTGATACTTGCCTCTTAACTTGGACGATGAGCTGGAAAATTTTATTTGTTTTGCCAGATTTTTTTCCCTCTCTCCCTCCTTCTGACACTCTTCAGAAGTCTTAAACTTCTCTCTGTAACCCTTTCCTTTATGGAGTCCTTTTCAGTTTTTAAGCTTTCCCAGCTTGAAATCAGATTATCGATTTCCACTTTTCTTAAATTTGTTTTTTTATAGTTCATTTTTATATTTAACATAAATCTATCCAGAACTGATTTTGGCATACTACATGAAATGGGAGAATGTAATTTATTCTTTTTTAAATGGTTAACAGCGCCATCTATTCAGTATTCTCTCTCTCTCTGTTTTTTTTTTTTTTTTTTTTTTTAGAGATAGAATCTTGCTCTATTGCCCAAGCTGGAGTGCAATGGCACGATCATAGCTACTTTGATCTTCATCTCCTGGGCTTGAGTGATCCTCCCACCTCAGACTGTGTACTGAATAGCTGGGACTACAGGGGTGCACCACCACACCTGGCTAGTTTTTAAATTTTTTTTTTTTTGAGATGGAGTTTCACTCTTGTTGCCCAGGCTGGAATGTAATGGCACAATCTTGGCTCACTGCAACCTCCACCTCCCAGGTACAAGCCATTCTCCTGTCTCAGCCTCCCAAGTAGCTCGGATTACAGGCATGCGCCACCACACCCAGCTAATTTTTTTTTATTTAGTAGAGACGGGGTTTCACCATGTTAGTCAGCCTGGTCACAAACTCCTGACCTCAGGTGATCCACCTGCCTCGGCCTCCCAAAGTGCTGGGATTAGAGGCGTGTGCCACCACGCCTGGCCTAAAGTTTTTTGTAGATACAGGATCCCACTATGTTGCCCAGGCTGGTCTTGAAATCCTGGGCTCAAGCAATCCTCCTGTCTCAGCCTCCCAAGATGTTGGGATTACAGGCATGAGCCCCCACGCCTGGCCCCAATATTCCATTTTTAAGTAATCCATCTTTTAAACGTTGAGAGTGTAGGTTATTTCTCTATCTGGGTCTTTCTTAAATGTATTTATTTTCACGGATAATTCACTAATTTCTTTCCCCTTGATCTATATGTAATGGATAGGATTGATCTATTTTTGCTGATTGCAAATCATAATTCTGCCTGACTTTGAAACCCTTGACTCCCAACAGTTCTGTTTAGAAACTAATTCTTTTCCATTTTGCTCCTAGCTTGCCCATTGTATTTCAACATGGTATGAATCTCCATTGTGCAAGCATCTAAAGTCTTAAGCCTAAGAGCAGTCAGGCAGCACGTGATTAGAAAGAGGTCATCTTTTGCCAGGCACGGTGGCTCATGCCTGTAATCCCAACACTTTGGGAGGCCGAGGCGGGTGGATCACCTGAGGTTAGGACATAGAGACCAGCCTGACCAACATGGCAAAACCCTGTCTCTACTAAAAATACAAAAATTAGCCAGGTGTGGTGGCGGGCGCCTGTACTCCCAGCTACTCAGGAAGCTGAGGCAGGAGAATCATTTGAGCTTGGGAGGTGGAGGTTGCAGTGAGTCGAGATCGCACCATTGCATTCCAGCCTGGGCAACAAGAGCGAAACTCCGCCACCGCACTCCACCCCCCCAAAAAAAAGGAAAAAGAAAGAAAGAGGTCATCTTTGTAATTAGACACTGACTTTAGGTCTGTAGCAGATGCCCATATGCGTTCTTGGGTCTTCGTTTACTGAGTTCTAAACTGACAGAGAAGCTATGACTTGGAAGTGTGTACTTTAAAAAGTACTTATTTTGTTAAATCTTGCAGATAGGTTTGAAGAATTAAAAAATCCGTATGATGGTGGTGGGGAGGGGAAATTACTTAGGTCAGCTTCAAAAAGCCTGAGTTGGATTCCTCACTTAGCCAGTTTAGTAATTGTTTAGCCTTGGGGAAATGGCTTAAATTCCTCCAGGTTTTGTTTCCTCAGCAGTAAAATGAGGTTTGTTTCTGCTCTAGGACCACATCCTTTACAAAAAACCAAATTATAGCTGGTTAATACATTTCTGGAAAGGTGTTCAAACTCAGAGATAAAACTGTGCATATTAATATAATAATAAAATATGATTTTTACCTATAAATAAGCAAATGTTTCTTAAAATGCTTACTCCATGCTGGTGACAGTGTGGTCAAAGGGATATTTTGAGAATGTAGATTGGTACAGTCATTTTGGGAAGCACTTTTGCAAACAGCACCTTAAAACATCTATTCCTTTTGGACCAGTAGCTCCATCTCCAGTAATTTATTCTAAAAAAATTCACCTGAGATATAGAAAAAGAGTTATACATAAAGATGTTGATCAGAGAATAATTGGTAGGAAGCAAACCTCAACAATAGGGAGAATGATTAGCTTATTACATTTTCTAGTAGCATAATTCATTTACATTTTTGCTTAAATGACACTCACAGAGTAACTCAAAACAAAATGGGCAAAGAAGCATTTCAATTATTAGAAATAATTATGGAAATTATACTGTGCAATCATGAAAAATGACAGTAAGAGTAGCTGAATATCCTGAGAAAATATTCATGTTATAATGTTAGGTGAAAAACTTCTGAAAATAAAATTGTCTAATGAGTATTACCATGTCTGTGCACAGCACAAAGACTGAAAAAAAAAAGCTTAAAATCATGGTGGTTTTCTCTGGGGTATGGAGGATTTCTTTTTTTCTTTCTGCTTCTCTACAATGAACACATTTATTTAATGCTCAGCTAAAAGTAAGCCTATTTTTTAAATGAATGTTTGTTCTTTGAACAAAAAACATTCTGGAAAGAGTATCTATTCCTCTCGTAATCGTAGGGTTGTCATAAAGATCAAATAAGGTTGTCATGAGGACAAACAGGTCATTTTGTGAACCAGGAAGCACTTGGTATTTGGCTATATGTGGCCAGGCTGCTCAAGACTCCTGCTTAATTCAAATCTTGGAGTAAATGTACTAGGAAAACTCATTTTATGAAGAAAACCTGCAGTATGGAAAATGAACTATCCACTTAAAAAGTTATTGATCTTTCAATTTGTTTTGTAGGTTTGGAATTTTACGTATTGGATTTCCTTTAAGTAGAACTCAGTTTCAAATATAAGTCATGCAGGCCAGATGTTCTGGCTTGTACCCTTAATCCCAGCCCTTTGGGAGACTGAGGTGGGAGGATCCCTTGAGGCCAGGAGTTTGAGATCAGTCTAGGCAACATTGGCAAGATGAAAGAGAGAGAGAGAGAGAGAGACACACACACACACACACACACACACACACACACACACACACACACACACAGAGAGAGAGAAAATGAATTCATGACTTCTTTGTTGTAACACCACTGTCTTCAATCAAAAGGTCCTAAAACAATAGAAAATATTATTTAAAAAAATATGAGTCATGCTGTTCAGGACTAAAGGAGTAAAGATTTCTGAAGATAGAGGAAGACATGGGTCCCCAGCTGGCTTGCCTCCTGTTTTTCCTGATTTTCCTTTTCATTTTTGTTGATTTCACCCCATTCTCGTTCTCAGTCAGAGGATAACTCTTGATTTCAAGGACTGTGGATTTCGATTTATGTTCAGCTTCTGGAAGGCTAGGGTGATCTAACAAATGCTTATTACAGAAGCAACTGGCCTGTGCTATAGCTCTGGGCTTGTCATCCCAAAAGCCAGAGAGGCAACTTCTCAGCAGCCCCCGACGCCCACAGACATGTGGCTCACTGTGGCTCCAGCTGGTGCTGTCTGGAATGAAGGGTGAAGGCCACTCTCTCTCTCTCTCTATCTCTCTCTCTCTCTCTCTCACTGACCCATGGATTTCTTGTTGCCATGTTCCCTTTACAAGTGAGATGCTGTTATGCCCGGTGTCTTTTTCCTATATTTTTGCTTTCTCGAGTTGATCTTTTTCTTCCAGTCAATGCCTTGTCTTTCTTACTTGTCTGTAGTTGCTTCTCTGGCTTAGCTTGGTTCTTCTCGAATGGCAATTTGTGTATCCCCAGGGATCAGAGGCCTCTTTGATGAGATCTGTGAGCACTAGAACATTTTTTATGTTTTTTTTCCAGTGGTAATCAAAATATGATTTTACCAGTCATAAAGGCAACATTTTCTTAGAATATGAGTTTTGTATTGGGATTGCATTCAGCTGCTGCTAGGAAGAACAGATACAACCAAGGGTAGCTTAGGCAAACAAGTTCTAATTCTTCTCATTGACTGGGATTGGGAGCATCTGGAGTGGGAGCTGATGGCTCCATTTAGTGGCTTGATGATATTATGGCTGGTGTCCCTGTGACACTCTTGTTTTGTCCCTTATAGCTACAAGCTGGCTGCCACAGCTTCAGGCATCATGACCTATGTTTGAAGCAGGAAGAGGGAGAGAGGTGGCATCAGCCATATCAGCCTCTTTTAACAGAAAAGCAAAAATTTTCCCAGATACCTCCTAGCAGGCTTCCTTTTACATTTCTTTGTCACAAGCTGAGTCACACAGCTACTCCTCATTAAAAGGGAGGCTGGGAAATCAACTGCCTGGTAACAGGAACAGGATTGTAATCGTTGGCTTTGATCAATCACAAGTCATTATTTAGGGCTGAACATATTGTTTGGGATACAATTAGAGTTTGGCTATCAGGGAGGAATGGCTGTTGGGCATGAGATGAGTGAGCCCAGCTAAGTTGAGAGTCCCTGCACCCCACTGTCCTCCTCTTTCTTCCTTTTCCAAATGTCCCTTTATTTATTCATTTATTTTTTTTACAAAGATTAGGGTCTCTCCTCTCCCTTTGCTTCTTGCTGAGTAAAGGTGATGATGTCCTCTCTGCCTTTGTCTCCTAATCCTCTCCATTCCATCAGTTATAGACAGAGCATTTCCCCTCACCCTCCCCTTCTGCCCTTCATCCTCAAGGTGGAAAAGAACATTATTTCTACGCTAAGAGTTTGCTTTGACTTCAGAAGTATGATACTAAATTTCAGATATTTAGCAAAGTTTTAAGGTTTAAATTTCATTTATTCTCATCAAAATTCAATTTCCTGGGTTGAAGAAGAGCACTTCATGTGCAATATTAGTTTTTGCTGAAGTCCCCTAGAGTTAAGTGTTGGCTGATTGAAAAGATAAGGGAGAAAGAATTTAGCAAAATCCATGGTTTTTCCCAGAGCAGGAATGAGCTGGGCTTATTCTCCAGCTCTCACGCTTACCTTTCTTCTATTGGAGGCCCACCCCACTTTTTCTCCATATTCACATCTTCTAAGAACCTTCCCATCCTTCTTTACACCTTCTATTTTTTCTTTCTACTTTCATGTCTGCTGCTAACTGACTCATATTTCACTACCCTGCAATAACTTTGAGTTTAGAATCACCTGTGGCTTCCCCGCTATCATTTTTGTAATTTCCCTGAGACAGACAAGTGGCCTTGTCTCCTCCAGGATCAGCCCTCCACCTGCCCTGCACTGGGGATTGTGTGCTGTCCAGCGTGTTTCAAGCTTAATGTGCTCCTGGCCCTGACCATGGTCTATTGGGCAGACTAAGAAATCAGGCACTGCATGTTCTGTTCTTAGTTTTGCCATGAACGCTGTGAGGTCTCAGGCAGGTGACTTATGGTGAAAAATTTATACATCTCTGGGAAATAATTTCAAAATTCAGTATTCTCAAAGTATGTTGGGATTACTGATGCAAATATCATATAAGTACCAAAGACAAGTTTTTTTTTTCCAGTTTTAAAAGTCTCTTTTTCCCACAAAAGCTTTTAAATGTGATATAAAGATATATTAAAATGAAAGTTAAATGCAAGGAGAAAGCTACATATTGTACTGAATTGAAACATATTGGAGCAGAAGCTCCAGTCTTCTCATGGTGTGGGGATATACCCACAGTTAGCCAAACTGTGAGGCTCAAGGACATAGTACCTAAGATTGGCCTTACTTCTGACACCAACTGCAAGTTTAGAGGGTGGGTTCCCTAAATCATTCTCAGATTTGAGAATTCACTAGAAGGACTTCAGAACCCACCAAAAGCTATTATGCTCCTAGTTATCGCAGGAAAAGGATACAGATTAGGATACAGATTAAAATCAGCCAAAGGAAGAGATGCATAGGGCAGAGTTTAGGAAGGTTCCAAAAGTGAATCTTCTGTCATTCCTAGGACACATTATTTCCCTGGTACCCAAGAGTGATAATACATAAGGGATATTACCACCCAGGGAAGCTTACTTGAGCCTCAGTGTTCAGGAGTTTTATTGCGGCCCCGAGACATATGCATGACTGATTGATTGATTGATTGCCCACCTAGCTGATCTTAGCCTCTAGGTCAACTGATACCATGTGACCCAAAGCCTCTACTCTCAGTTACATAAATGGCCTCTCTGGTGTGACTGGCTCCATCCTAAGATCTGGTGGGTCCAGGCCCTGCCCTAAACAAAGAAAGCAGCTCAGGGCAAAGGCTGACCTGTCTTTGGGCAAGGCGAAATTCTTTACCATGCAGAATGCTTTGCTTTTTAGTTATTATTGACATCTGTGGTGGTGCTTCTGGGAGAGTGCTCAGTAAGAGAGGCCATCAGGGACATTCTGGAGGAGGAAATGTGTTCATGGGTGCCAGCCTTCAAATGCAGTTGCTTTGAGGCCCATTTTCCTTCTCACCAGGAATGCCCTCCTAATGCTGGGAGGCACATGTGCTGAAGCCCTCAGTGCTGCTAGTTCCCAAAGCTCACAGACATCAGACGTGCTGGCAAGGCAAGGGCTCTGGGGCCTTCAGTATTTCAAGATGCCAGTACCCTAGGGATTCACAGGCAGTAGACATTTCTGGAAGCTGATGACCTGCCATCAACTAGGTCACAGTCTGTGAACACTTGCACTGGAGATTCTTGGGAGCAAAGGCTTAGGGGATTCAAAGAGACCAAGTAGCTTGAATCGGAAAGTGGACTGAAAAACCCGGACTTCATATACAACAAAAGCGTAACATAGGCTGTTATATACAACAAAAGGGTAACATAGGCTGAGATCAGAAGACGCCACATGACATGTGAGGCACAGAGGCCACAACAGCAGCAAAAGGAGCATCTAGGACACAGAGATCTTTAGAAACCATGTGACTACACAAATAACAAGCGTCAAGTGTTCAAAGGAAAACACATTCTTATTTAAGGGTTTATTAGCTTTCTAATAAAATTTTGATGAATAGCTAACTCTCCATTCATTTTATTTAACAAATATTTTTTGTGCATGAGGAATCAGCCGAGAGCAAAATAGACAAAGTTCTTCCCCATGTGGAGCTTGCTTCCTTGTGGGAGTTGTAAATAATAAATAAACAGACATTGTGAAGTGGTGATAAGTGCTCCGAAGGAAAATCCAGCAGGGTGAAGGGATGGAGAGCAAGGAGGTTGCTATTTTAGACCAGGAGCTCAGGGACAGGCTCGCTAATAGGAGTTATCTGAGCAGAGAGTTGAATGAAAGGAAAGACCTGGTCACTTGGTTATTTATGGTAAAAGTTCCAGGCAGAAGAACAGTAAGTGCCAGTGTCCTGAGGCTGGAGAGTGGTGGGTATCTGGGGACAAACAGGGCAGCCAGTGTGGCTGGAACAGAGATGAGACTGGATAAGTAGGGCCTTGTGGCTCATGGAAAGGAGATGGAAGCCACTGGAGGGTATAAAGTGTACATTTATCAGGGACAACAAAAATTCACACACACGACCCCTCCCCACCAACAGTCTGGGAGGTTCTGTGTTGCCTCCTGTTCTTGTCGCTGTGTTGACCAGGGGTGACTGTGGAAGAGCCTTAGAGGGAGCTGAGAGGCTAAAGGGTTCCTATCAGAAAGGTTATGGAGTGACTGTGGAAAGCAATGGAATCCAGAGGGCACAGCCAACGAAGCAGCAGCAAGGGGGGCTGTTACTGAGATGAGAGAGACTTTGGAAAAAGGTTTTAGAGGCTGGACGTGGTGGCTCACACCTGTAATCCCAACATTTTGGAAGGCTGAGGCGGGTGGATCACCTGAGGCCAGGAGTTCAAGACCAGCCTGGGCAACATGGTGAAACCCCGTCTCCACTAAAAATACAATAATTAGCTGGGTGTGGTGGCATGTGCCTGTAATCCCAGCTCCTCAGGAGGCTGAGGCAGGAGAATTGCTTGAACCTTGAACCCAGGAGGTGGAAGTTGCAGTGAGCCAAGATCATGCCACTGCACTACAGCCTGGGCGAAAGAGGGAGACTCCATCTCAAAACAAAAAGATTTTAGAACGTTCCACTCTGTGTCATGCAATGTGTGCAATGTGGTTCCTCATCTGCTTCTCCTGACTTTTATTTTATTTTATTTTATTTTATTTTATTTTATTTTATTTTATTTTATTTTATTTTATTTTTTGAGACAGAGTCTCACTCTGTCATCCAGGCTTCAGTGCAGTGGTGTGATCTCAGCTCATTGCAACCTGTGCCTCCCGGGTTCAAGTGATTCTCTTGCCTCAGCCTCCTGAGTAGCTGGGATTACAGGTGCCCACCACCACACCCAGCTAATTTCTGTATTTTTAGTAGAGACGGAGTTTCACCATGTTGGCCAGGCTGGTCTCGAACTGCTGACCTCAAGTGATCCACGCTGCTGACCTCAAGTGATCCACCCGGCTAGGCCTCCCCAAGTGCTGGGGTTACAGGTGTGAGCCACTGTGCCCGGCCTCCAAGGGACTTCTTACATTAAGTTGCAAGGCTTTTTTGGAGTTGGAGTCATGATTCTTTTGGACACAATGCTCAGCTGAGACCAACCCCAAGGTGGCCCAGCTTTATTCAGGATTCATTTTTGTTTACAAAGTCCATGAAATGATTGATGAACTAGCTACTTAATAGCCTTTTCTAGTCAATTCTAAATATTTTCCTTTTCCTTGAAGAATTATGTCACTTCAGAATATTTATGTGACTGTCATCATGCAACAGGTAATCTCAGTAGGAATCTCAAATTTGCTACTGACAGCTGTATTATCTCAGGCATGTCACTTGATCATTCCAAGTGCCAGTATTCTTACCTATAAATGGAGATAATTTTTTCTAAAATTCTATTCAGAATTTTTGAGGATAAAAAGATATTGTGTATGTAAAAAGTAATGCAAATGACAATCATTATTTTAACTGATTTCTTTTAATTAGCAATTTGGAGAGTAACATGCTCACTAAATATATGTGGAGAAAATTCAAGAAATAATTAAAATGAATGATTCTGAGGCCAGGAGCGGTGGCTCATGGCTCTAATCTCAGCACTTGGGAGGCTGAGGCAGGCGGATCACTTGAGGTCAGGAGTTTGACACCAGCCTGGCCAACGTGCTGAAATCCTGTCTCTACTAAAAATACATTTAAAAAAACAAACAAAAAAACAAACTTAGCTGGGCATTGTGGTGCAGGCCTGTAATCTCACCTACTCAGGAAGTTGAGGCAGAAGAATCACATGAATCTGGTATATGGAGGTTGCAGTGGCGAGATCGTGCCACTGCTCTCCATCCTGGGTGACAGAGCGAGATCCTGTCTCAAAAAAAAAAAAAAAAAAAAGTTTAATGCTTGAAGGGTTATTATCTCCATGTTTGTCCAGGTATTGGTTAGAACATTCTTAAAAGCTTGATGTTCTTATCGCTGCCCTTTTTAGTGCCTGTTATGAACAACCATGTCATTTTCTATCCCTTTCTTAACAGATACCTGGTGCAGTTGCTGATGAGAAGGGGCACTCAAAACCAAGGAGAAACTAGTGTGGCTTTCCCAGTGCTACACTCACCTCCACCCTCTCTGGGAGCCTCTCTTGGGGGGCTCACCTGCTCCCATGGCCTGGTCCCTGCTCCTGTGCCTGTGGGATCCAGATCCGTCCGCAGGTCAAACACCAGCTTCAGGTCCCTGGACATTTCACCTCCCATATTCAGCGGTCCTGAGCTCACCATCTCTCCACTCCCCCGCTGTCCCAGTCAATGGCATCATCTGCAGTTTGTGTGTGTCCTGCTTCCCGGCCTCTCTCTTAGTGTAGCCCCTCATCATTGCCCACATTCAATTCACAGCTGCCCCTGGCCTGGCCTAGCTCCCCTCTAGCGCACTCCCCACATGGCAGCCAGAGTGTTGCTCTAAAATACTCGATTATGTCTTTCTAGTTTAACCTTTCAGAGGTTCCCTGTGGCTTTAGGCCCCATGTGCCTTGTGAGGCTCATTCCTTATTCCTCGTTTCCCCCTCTAGATCCACTAAACTCTCATACCCAGCTCAGAAATCACCTCCTCCTGAAAGCCTTCCCTCATCTGCCTAGAAAGTCTCTCATTTTTCTACACTGTATGCAATGTATTTATTTATATATTGGACCCTCTTAACCAGTAAGGGTTTACCTCACTTCCAAGGAGGCATTATTTCAGGGAATTGGGGAGCTGTTAGTATATCTCGTGGGAATGTCTTTGTGTGATTCTGTGGTTACAGCCATCTTCTGCAATGCTGCGTCTTGTCAGGCCTCTGGACTCAAGTGTGTTTTGCAGACCAGCAGTGTCGGCATCACCTGGGAGCTCGTTAGAAATGCAAAATTTCTGCCCCCATCCCAGACTTCTTGAATCAGAATCTGCAGTTTAACAAGTTCCCCAAGTGATTCGTGTGCACATTAAAGTTTGAGAAGCACTGGATAAATACCTGCTGTCTTGGAGACAGATGTTTTCAGTGAGCCACATTCCAGAGATGCATTGGCTCCTCACACTCAGGAGCACCTAGTGTGAGCTGGCTACACCTGGGTCCACAAGAATGATCTTGGGTGGGGCAAAGGGAGTGAGGGCAGCTTCACCAGGATGGAGCCGGGAGGACTCACTGTCTACACCTGGAGCCCCTCAAGCTGGCGTCCATAGGATAAGTGACACCTTGATCTTTTTTTTGCATGGGAAATTGAGATGTTTGGCATGGGCATGGCCTTATTACTGATTTAGAAGCCTGCAACTAGACCACACCCCTACTAGTCTCTGAGCTCTTTGAAGATGTGACCTATCGACCTCTATAACCAGACACATAGTAGGCGTTCAATAAATTTTTTCTGTTGAATTTTGGCTTATGTGCTATCTTTCCATTGTGCCTTTCATAACTCTCTGGTCAGCAGAGTGTACAATCCACTGATTTTGACAGAAGGATTTCAGTCATGCCAGGTTTACAATTCCAGGAACTTTATCAGGGCTTGACAGTATCACTTTTGGCCAAAAGTAACTATGACATCAACATCACAACTCCTATGAAAGCACCCCTTAGCAAACTGTAAATCTATATTGTACATTCAAGCAAAGAGAGAGGATGTATTTAATGGTTTAAAGTTGAGATCCTGCAGGAATTGATCACAGAAGCCCTGAAACCATGGCCTGGAAGGTTGGCTTTTGGAGCTTGCTGACCCAATGGTTTCATATGCTTTGCTGGCTTCTGTTGTTTCAGGTGGGAGCAGAAAGCGATTCCCTGCTACTTCATCTTGGCCAGAGGGGAAAGTTGCCCACCTATATTTTTTACATAGTATTTTTGTAGTGTTTTAATATTCACTGAATGATCCAGGAGTGGGATTACTGTGTAAATTGAGGGACAGCTACTTTTTTTAAACTTTAGCAAGAATTGATCATTTTGTAAAAATTACTTTAAAAAATTATTGACGTAATGTGAGTCATGGTACTTGAAGGGCCAATAGAGTACCCAGTTTCAGTCTGCATTTGTAGAAGCGTATTCACAATGACTCTGCATGTGTGTGTAACCACCTGACTCTTTTTATAATGCCTCCTACTGTAGTCAAGCTAGAGCATTCACATATTTGAGTGCATATAATTTTATTATACTTTTCTATTGGGTCCTCCTTTACATTACAGTTAAGAAATGTTAAAGTTTTTTGAAGTTATATTCAATAGAGTCTATTATCTATAAATTCCATTTCAGTAAAGCAAAGAGGGCATTAAAAATGACTGGTATATAAAGGGATATGTGTCACTAGCGTAGATGTGTGTAGTCGCCCAAGAGGGAGGCTTTTCCCCCTTGCTCCTTATGGGATGGGCCTGGGACTGCAGTGAGACAAGACTGAGTAGCCACCTTATTGGAGCTCAGAGAGGGTGATGGTTATCTCGGAGCTGGTGCTGTGGGCAGATGTGGGAGGACCAGATGAGCCTCTATCCCTGACTTTTGGCTGCTCAAGAACACTTTGGAACTTGGACACAATCCTGGGGGTAGTGGGGGTAAGGGAGGGAATCCCTTACATGACTCAAATGAAGTTTCCACCAAACTAGCAGATTAGGGTCTTATGGTAAAAAGTTCTGTTCTAGAAAAATTAAGTTACATTTTCTTATGGTCTGTTTGTCCTAACTATACCCAACTATGAGGACTCTTTTGAATGTAAAAAATTTTGCAAAACATCCCAACACATGGGAGCGGCTGCAATTTTCGTACCATTGATTAAGCAAATACATGAAGGCAAACGGCTACTGTGTATTCAGGAGTGGCTTGCTTGCTGGACACGTGGGCCAGGAGGCCCACACACTAGGAGAGCACAGCTCTGAAAAAGAAAGCGAGGGGTCTGGATTCTGCCATTTAATAACTGGATTCTTGCACAAGTTCAAACGCATCATTGCCCCTGTTTCCTCATGAGCAAAATGGAGATAATGATAGTATCTACCTCCTGGGATTGTTGAGAGGTAAACCACTGTGACTCTAAATGGACATTAATTATTATTTATGGTTGATCCATGCATATGTATTACCTACTCACGTAAAAGAGTTCATCATTTTAATTTCCACGTAGACATCTCATGCCAGAGTTGAGTATTAGACCAAGCAAAAGAATGCAGTGTCTGACTTTTTAGACACGTCCTAGTTTGTCTGGCATAAGAGTAGTTTTACACAGAGCTGGCAAATAGACTTACCTACCTGACCACAGGCCAGGAGGATTTGTGCTGGCATGTTCGAATTAATAACCCATTACTTATTGTGAACCTGGAGATATGCTCTGGCTTTCCATTACCTAAGTCTTATCACTTCTAGCACCAAGGCATACAGACCAATTAATCACCCAGGAGCAGAAATGAATTACCTCAGCCTTTGGGTGACTTGCTGTTTGGGTGATTTAATACTTCTTATCATGAGAGGAAAAGCACAGAGATGCTGGTTAGTTTATCCATAGAAAGGTTCATGCTTCAAAAGAGACCTCGGTTATTTGTACAGGTTTATTCATCATATGTCAATGATCGTCCTTGCTTGGAGATTTGGGGGAATCCTCCTTTAAGTGATGTCCCTGAATGTGGTCCTATTTCTTGAGGCATCCAATGAAACTGATTAAGCAAAATATTCTGGAAATGAAGCTTTCTAGATAGCCTAAGGCAAATCATTTGGGGTTAGTCCAAGGTGAAAATTTATTTGAAATGTTTTGTTAGACTTTCTTGCCTTAGCGAGTATAGAACAAAGGGCATAATTTTGATATTTCTTTGTGAGGTACTAGGAAGAGCCATTCATTCATTTGTTAAACGTATTAAATTTATTCATGCTATAAATAGTTACATTACTACTGTGTGCTGCGCTAAGGGTTAGACACACAGTGGTGAAAAGACAGAGGTAGTCTAATGGAGGCCAAGAGAACCCATGTTTAGGCTGAAATGCCACCATTTAGCAAATATGTGATCCTGGGCAAAGTATTTATTCTCTCAGACTCAGTTTCTCATCAGTAAAATGGGGCCCAATAATTATAATACCCACCTTGCAGGGATACCTGAGCATCACAAAGCATAAAAGCATTCTGAAACTGAAGATCTCTATGAATGGTCATATTACTGAATGGCTGAGAAACTTGCTTTATGAAAATTATCCCAAATCATCCAAACATTACATCATTGTAAGAGATGAAGCCATTTCTTCTAACTATTGTATTAAAAAACATTTATTTTTGCAGTTGCCTTTTTTTTTTTTTTTTTTTTTGAGACAGAGTCTCACGCTGTTGCCCAGGCTGGAGTGCAGTGGCGTGATCCCAGCTCACTGCAAGCTCTGCCTCCCAGGTTCACGCCATTCTCCTCCCTCAGCCTCCCGAGTAGCTGGGACTACAGGTGCCCACCACCACGCCCAGCTAATTTTTTTTTTTGTATTTTTAGTAGAGATGGGACTTCACCGTGTTAGCCCGGATGGTCTCGATCTCCTGACCCCGTGATCCACCCGCCTTGGCCTCCCAAAGTGCTGGGATGACAGGCGTGAGCCACCGCGCCTGGCCTGCAGTTGACTTTTAAAACTTCCTCATATTCGGCAAAGTAGTAACTACACATGGAGGCACACTCAGTACCGAGGGACAAGAGGAAAGGCAGCAGACCCCTGACACCTCCAACCCCCTTCTCCAGCCCAATCTGCGGAGGGGGCCATGAAACAGTTGCTATTTTCTGTTCTTCAGCTTTACCCCATAATAATATTGCCCTTATACTGTTAGTTCATGTTTATCAAGTAAATCTTACCAATTTGTTGCTTAGGTAAACATCATTTGCTTTTAAAAGAATGCTCCAACAGGGATATGTTTTTGTGTGTTTAGCATCTGTCCTCTAAAAGTTCAGTGTAGGAAAAATGTTTTATTAATTATTCTAGTGAGCTGGCTTCTAGACGATTGAGGTTTTACTGTGTTTGGCTTCTTCAAGAAGTGAAAGGCACTGTAACATGCTCGAGGAGGTTCCGTGCCCGCTCACTGACAGCATGCTTTGCATCTGTAAACCATTGTCCTATATAAAGACTTCAAACTTCAGCTGAATCTGTGCATCGTGGGTTTTTAAACATAATGTCACAGTTGCTGGCTACAGCCAAGAAGTTAAACACTTCCTTCATTTTCCATTGCATTTTTGCTCCAGATCCTTCCAGGAGGATACCCAGAGCTTGCCTGGACATTTGGATTACAGATTTCAAAGTGGGAAAAAGATGCTTCTCTCAATATTTGGGATTTGATCATAGTTGGGGAAACAGTGCTTCATTCCATAGTTAAGGAACTATGTCTGATCTAAATTTAAAAGAGCAATTTGATTAGGACATTCCTTTGCTTGTGAACTGATGTAACAATCTCTTATGGGTACTGTGTGCCAGAATGAAAGAATGATCTGGTAAGACATTCAATCAACTATGGTAAAAGAGTACAAGTGGATTAAAAAAACACAACTATACCATTTTAGTCAATTGATTCCAGCTTCTCATTTGTCACACCTTTATCAGGCCTGTCAACATGGAGCAAAGTAAACCAAGAAAATCATTTCTTAGAAATCCACTGGGTATGTGCCAGGTGTTCAAGGCTGGCATTCCAGAGAACAGAAAAGAATGGGCCTTAGATAATCAGGAAAATAGAGGAGGCAATGTAGTTCAGTGGTTAAGCACTCAGCTCTTGGCTTCACCGAAGTGAGACATTATTCTTTCAGGGTTGCTGTGGGGATTAAAGGAAATAAGCATAGAAAGTGCCTAGCACACAAGACCATATAAATGTTAGGGATTCTAGTCATTGTTACTAGCTCCAAGACCATCCCATTGGACAAATGAGTCCCTGTCCAGGGGCCCTCAGGACAACTTATATTATTATTGTGCACAGAGGGGGCAGTGGCACTGGGTTGGCTAGTTGGAAATTGCTCAGTCTCTGCTGAGAAAATACATGACCCAGCTGTGCCCTCTGCTAGCCAGTCTAAGGAACACAGGAGCTCACGGCATTGTTGCAGGCCGGCCGGACCCCAGATTACATTTGGCATTGCTCATTTGAATGCAGAAACTTTAGGGCTATGACAGCAAGAGTGGCTGCTCAAACGGATCCACAAGGGTCTACACACAATGTTCATTGTTTTCTTTTTCGGTAGGGTTGGTTTTGAATATCTTCAGACCCTTCTATAATTGGTTTTTCATTGTAGCCAGAAGAGGGCACTATTGCTTTACCCAAATTCTGTGCTGTGGTCTGTGGAAACCCGCATTTGTGTTCTGTGCTACAGTGTTCCATTCCTGGTTTTGTTGAGGGTGGCAGTTTCATTCTTAGGTGACTAGCACAAGAAACACACAAACAAGCAAAAAAAGCAAAACAAACTTTTGTCCATAATAACACACATGCAAAAAATTGGGATGTGGAAAGTTGTTTATATTTTATTAAGCCATAGAAAATTATGTATGGAATTTTAAAAATGAACATGTATGCCGATGACATTGATCAAGATTCTGCCTGGAAAACCACTGTTTGAAAAATTAGAATGTACCTAGGTGTTCCTGTTCACTTTCAACAAGTGTCCTAGAAGAGGTGTAGAAGAAATTGGTGCAGTTTTGGAAAACCCCGGGATGTTTCCTCCCACTATTAAGACAGTATAAGGGCAATATAACTGTGGGGTAAAGCTGAAGAACAGAAAATAGGAATGGTTGCATGGTTCTTTCTGCAGATTGTGCTGGAGAAGGGGATTGGAGGTGTCAGGGGACTGCACCTTTCCTCTTGTCCTTCGGTACTATTTGAGTGTGCCTCCATGTGTGTTTACTACTTTGACTAATATTAAGAATTTAAAAAGTCAACTACAAAAGTAAATATGTTTTTTAATACAATAGTCAGAAGAAATGGTTTCATCTCTTACAATAATCTAATGCTTGGACCATTTGGGATAATTTTCTTAAGGCAATGCAAGTTTCTCAGGCATTAAATAAAAGACCATTCACAGAGATCTTCAGTTTCAGAGTGCTTTTATGCTCTATAATCCTCAAGTATCCCTGCAAACTGGATATTATAATTATTAGGCCCCATTTTACTGATGAGAAACTGAGTCTGAGAGAATAAATACTTTGCCCAGGATCACATATTTGCTAAATGGTGGCATTTCAGCCTAAACATGGGTTCTCTTGGCCTCCATTAGACCACCTCTGTCTTTCAGAGTTGAAAGGAGATACCTTCCAAATGCAAATACAAGTACACTGATGGCAGGCCAAGCCTAGACACTGTAAGATCACAATGAAAGGCTGGGAGAGAAGCCTAGTGAAACTGGGATATTCCTTAGCACGATGCCTGTAAATAAATATTTGTTGAATGAATGACTGATTGGCTAAATGAATGAAACCACAATTTCTCAGATAACTGTGGGTATGAAAACTGACATAACTATTTGAATATACATACTTTTAAAAAGTTACCATTTCCTCCTGATATGTCAATATTTCCAAATATCCTCAGATAAAGAAATTGCAAGTCTTCCAACTTTATTTGGGATCTTATAGTGAATGTTTTCTAAAATTACTTACGAGGCTAAGAGAAATTTGCGGATGCTTGTATATATCCTTGTTCATGTCGTGTTTTCAAAATCATGAGGAGAAACACTTATGGAAACTTTCTTTCTGACAACACACGCATCAGTGTCTCTATCTCTTTCTTCATTCTTTGTTCATTCTGCTAATGTTAACTTGCAGCTTCCTGATTTCAGACTCCTGCCCAAGCTGAGCTATAAGCAGTAAGTAGCATCTGTGCTTGCAGAGTACCATAAAATCCTTTTAATATTCATTCAAAGGTGCAAGCCCTTGGACCACAAAGGTCCCTTCTTCTAGTCCCTTCTTCATGCCCAGACATGCTTAGAGACTTGGCATTGTGCCCTAGAAGCAGAGCATAGAGGCCAAACAAAACCTGCATTTTCATTGCTTCAAACAACGGTCAATTGTTGAATGTAATTACTTAGAACAAATTAAGAGTTTGGATCCAGGAGCCTTGGGGTACTCAAAAGAAAAACAGGGAGAAAAATGGTTCAGGATTCCCCTGGGTTGTGCAAAGCCACACCCCACAGAGGCCTTGTGTGATTCTGATAGATCTGAGTGAGCTTTTACCAAGCACACTCTCCAAGCTCTTCAGGGCAGGAAAAAGTAGGCATCTATATTCCATGTGTGATGTGTTTTGGCAGGGCTACCTTCTTCTAAATATAGCTAGCTATTTCTTTTTAAAACGTGTGATTTCTTAAATTCTTTTCCCTTTGCAGCAGCTTCGTTTTTTAAAGTAATGGAGAATGAAGAATGAATTGTTGCCGGGCGTGGTGGCTCACGCCTGTAATCCCAGCACTTTGGGAGGCTGAGGTGGGTGTATCACGAGGTCAGGAGTTCAAGACCAGCCTGGCCAAGATGGTGAAACCTCATCTCTACTAAAAACACAAAAAATTAGCTGGGCGCGGTGGCAGACGCCTGTAATCCCAGCTACTCGGGAGGCTGAGGCAGGAGAATCGCTTGAACTCGGAGGGCAGAGGTTGCAGTGAGCCGAGATCATGCCACTGCACTCCAGCCTGGGTGACAGAGTGAGACTCTGTCTCAAAAAAAAAAAAAAAAGAATGAATTGTTTGTTCATTGTCAACTTAAGACCAGTGGTCCCAGTACAAAACAGGAAGACAGTATCAATAACAGATGGGAAAAGGCAAAGGCAGACTCCATGAATCTGAGCTTTTGTTGCAAAAGCTGTCTGCTTTTTGGGTGTGCAAGAAGAGCAGAGCCTCAAGTAAACACTCTAAGAGATCTGTGAACTCATTCAAGACACCAGTGTGTCCCTTAACCCAGTGCTACTGAGCAGATGTGGAAATAAGAGTTTGATAAAGATTCAAGTCACTTTTATTTAGGAGAGTTACTTGGAAGGAAATATCTACAGGTTTCAAGAATATCATTCTCCTTAAGCAGTTTACTAAGGAATCATTATAAAAGCCAGCATTATATAGCCCTTCCCACATACCAAGCACTGTTCTATGTACTTTACACATACTAATTTATTTAATCCACAAAACAACCTTCCAGCCAGGTACTGTTACTATCCCATACTACAGATTAGGAAATGAAGGCACCGAGATATTGCCATACTTGCCCCTCAAACACCCAGCTACTAAATATAAAAGTAGGGATCCAAGTTTGGTTCTAGAGTCTCTACTCTTAATCACATAACTGTTAAAAAAAAATAGTATGCAGACATAGGAAGAATGGAACTTAAATGGAGATTAATGAGTGTCATTATCTCCAAGT
This sequence comes from Homo sapiens, assembly GCF_000001405.40. Taxonomy (NCBI): domain Eukaryota; kingdom Metazoa; phylum Chordata; class Mammalia; order Primates; family Hominidae; genus Homo; species Homo sapiens. The sequence goes on along the minus strand of NC_000005.10, from coordinate 74,645,891 downwards.
GATAGGTTTGCGGCTCTTCTTTTGCTTTTCTGTGTTTTCTATATTTCTACCATACATTGTTCTGAGAAAATAATAAGCGCTGTTTTAAATGCTGACCCTAAAATCTATAACCTACAATAGGCTGTGAAGATAATTGTCTTGAAAGGCCCTGGAGTAGAAACAACATAAGCAGTCTAGATCACTTGATTTCCTAATGACCTAACTTTATAGAGTAATACAAGGAAAGTGACTCAAATATGTCTCTCTCCAGTCCTGTAAGCAGCCAATAAACTGTCTACTCCTTGAAATGTCACTCCTTGAAGGGCTGTATAAGGTGAAGGAGTCTCAAAGGAAGAATGAATTTCCCATCTATAACAAGCCCCTAATAGAGGAGCTCAACACGAACAGTGGTGCTTAGTACTTACGGGACAAAGACAGACTTTCACACAACATTTTCCATTAAAAATCATAATACAAAAGTCAATTGTATTTATATGTAGCAGTAGTGAACAATTGGAATTTGAAGTTAAAAATCATACTATATGGAGCCAGGTACCATGGCACCCGCTTGCAGTCCCAGCTACTCAGGAGGAAGAGGCAGGAGGATGGCTTGAGCCCAGGAGTTATACGCTGCAGTGAACCATGTCGGCCTGTGAATAGCCACTGCACTCCAGCCTGGCAACTTAGCACGGGCTCACCTCTAAAAACAATCATACTATACAATCCAGCTTAATTCACAAAATACACATAAGGTGACACACATAATGGATGTAGGAAGCAACTGAAATGTTAAAATATGATCAAACCAATTCGGATGCAATCTTAAGAATACTCCTAAGGAGGCCAGGAGTGGTGGCTCACACCTGTAATCCCAGCACTTTGGGAGGCTGACATGGGTGGATCACCTGAGGTCAGGAGTTCGAGACCAGCTTGGTCAACATGATGGACCCCTGTCTGTACTAAAAATACAAAAATTAGCCGGATGTGGTGGCAGGCGCCTGTAGTCCCATTTACTTGAGAGGCTGAGGCAGGAGAATTGCTTGAATCTGAGAGGGGGAGGTTGTAGTGAGCCGAGATTGCGCCACTGCACTCCAGCCTGGGCAACAGAGTGAGACTCTGTCTCAAAAAAAAAAAAAAAAAAAAAAAAAGGAAAAAAAAGAGGAAGAATACTCTCAAGGTTTATCATGACAGATATTTAACATAAACATAACTTTTTTTAACGCACAAAGATAGAAGATGGCAAACCAAAATTTAGAAAACTATCGATTTAGACCCTTTGTCTTCCCCAGACAAAAAAGTGATAACTGTTTTATAAAATGCTGATAATTTCTTGTATCGATTACCTGTGTTTTTCCTTATTCTCATCTCTTTAATAAACAGCCAGACTTTCCTCTCTCTCTCTTTTTAAAAATAAGAGGATTGCTGATGGAAGCTGAGGTCTCATTTTCCTAGGTTTGTATATCTGTATTCTCACTGTTCTGAGGTCTTCAGATCCTCCTTTGGGAATGGAGGGCTTATTCCTCCAGCCTCTGTGTGTGCTGGCAGCTCCCTCAGCAAAAGAGCACCACCTTGCCCAAAGCCATGGTCCCTTCCCTGGGCAAGCTGCATTCAGCAACTGGGTGATGTAGCCCTATAAAAGCCTTCTTGCCCTAAATGCAGACAACCTGTGAGGCCATTTCAGCTCCAGAGGTCCCCATGGCGTCAGCCAAGGCTTGGCTGAGACCACATCCCAGCTCAGCATCTCCATCTGTCCACCCTGCTTCCCTCCCTTCCCCTTCAGGGATGTTGATCGCAACATATGTGCTACTGGGAGGTGTGGTCCCTGACTGGGCGTCCACTTCCCAACACGAACTTGACACTATGGAAGGGGAGCACAAATCTTTGGTGGGCAGTTGGCCCCTCTGCCACACTCTGTCTCCAGGACACAGCCTTGAAGTCCATCTAGCAAATAACTCGGGGAAGGAAAGCTGTGCTATCTTCCTTGCACAGATTCAGAAAGTGTCCTCATAAAACAAAGAGGGCGCTTTTGGAATACCAGCAGGGAACATGTCTGAATTTGGGTGGGGCTTCAGGAGACCACCGGAGGCAGGATGGCAGCTGCTTAGCCTACTGTTTGGTCTAATTCCCTGAGCTGTCCTGTCCCTGGTACCATGATCGCACCGTGTTAATTAAATCATTCTCATTAATTCAGCCCAAGTGTAAATTAGGAAGGAATGAAGATAAATTAGGTTTGAAGGCAGCTAATACATTTAACCGCATGCTGCTTATTTTGCGGCCTAACAAAATAACATTGTTAGGGGAGATAACAAGCCCAAAGCCTTGGGCACAGCTTCTTAATAGCATTAAAAAATGAGACTTTGGTTTGATGTCACAAGACAGAGGCAAAGACCTGCTCCCAAGGGCCTACAGGACTGGCCTAATGTCTTGTGTGAAGTGTTGGCTATTGTGTAATGCGGATACAGTGTAAGCAGCATTTCCTGACTTGTTTGTGACTCAGATATCTGCTATGTCTATGGTCGTCCAGTTTTGATGACAGCCCTGTTTAGAAGTTTCTTCCTGTACAAAATGAAGACTTGCTCAGCTTTTCTTTGTGTGAGTGGGGTGATAAGAGTTACCTTTAGGATTGGCTGAGAGATGCTGTGGGATTACACCGTTTGAATTGCTATGATCATAAATTTGCTAACTTGCAAATCATTTTCAGCTGAGATAAGCATTAAAAACTGCCCAACTGCCCGAAAACTAGTCATAGATTGGCTCAAGCAAACCAGAGTACAGTTTGTAGGAGGTCATCAGTAGCACCCATGATTTCCAAACTTGCAAGTTTAGTTCTTGTGACTTTCAGCAGGAAAATGTTTTCCAGTTTTTAGGACTTACATAAGCTAATTTCTTTTCTCTTGTATTGCTTATCTCCCCGAGGCAGATGAAGCGAATGTATACGGTCACTGAATGCATTTCAAGATTTTCCAGTCTACAGCTTTTTTTCCCTTTCTTCTATTGAAGCATAGAAAGTGGCAACATTAGGTAGAAAAGATACAGGAAAGTGGCACCAGCGGATGGTGACACAATGGCCAGCGGATTTCTTTCCTTTCTCAGCCCTGCCTGCTTAGCAAAGTTCTTTGCAAAGGGATCTGAACTTTGCTGTTCCCTTGGTTAAGGACATCCCGCAATTTCTAGGTGGTAAAGATACATACCTGTCCCTAGTTCTGTCGCTTCCTGTGGCAAAATCCCCAACCAACCAGCTGAGCTATGTACATAGTCCATTTCTAGGCAAGGTCATCTAGGTGCCGTTTTAGGTAGATTTGACTCACAAAGGAAGCAGACAGAGTGGGTCTAGGAGGTGTCTAAAAGGTGCGTTGGTGGCTGCCTTGATGAGCTCCCCCACACCTTGCCACAGGCTACAGAAACATGTTTTAAAAAGACATATGTGCAATAGTTACACATTTCCGCCTCCCATCTTTTCAGCACCTATCTCTGGAGTCTACAGAGTTTCCATCTGTCTGGTCTTTGCTTCAGAACCTGGGTGCTGCTTGCCAGCCCTCTCCTAACCTCGCAGCCCCCCTGGCTCTCCATACGTGGTTCTTGACATGAATTGATCCGGGCTGTCTCTGTGAATCAGCCTCAAGCCGAGACTCTGCATTAAAAAATATATATATTGAAAGGTTCGTGGTGAGGCTGCCGAGTTAATGCTAACAAAGGACTTCAGAGGGCACTGTCTTTCTTTGTTTGCAAGGAGCGAAATTTCTCGGCGCAAATACCAGGAAGGAACAAGGATAAAGGAAAATGAAATTAGAATGAAGAACTGACAGTCTTGGTTTCAGCAGTCTGGACTCTGGAAGCGCCATGTGGGGCCTCCTTAGCCAGTTTAAATCGCTCCTGCGCCTAGTGTTTTAAAGCAAGCTGGGAGGCGAAGCGCGGGCGCTTGGGGACGCGGGGACCCGGGGACGGAATAAACTCTGTCGTGGGGCCCTCACTCTCGAGCTGCAGAGCTGGGACATTGTTGCTAAGTGACTACGAGCCAGGCAATTCACATCTCCCTGGGCCTCGGTTCCCCACCTGTAAAACAAGGGGGCTGGACCGGTCATCTATCCCGTTCATTTATAGACTTAGCTCCAAATACCGAATAAAAGACAGATATTTTAACTCCCAGTGGAAAGACAAGCCTCTAGTTGCAAAGATAAATGGGATTCGTAAAAGTGATCACCACGCGAGATTATTTTTCGAATCGCCTTCCCTTCTCCTGACACGCGGGACTATTAAACGTGTGTGTGTGCTGGGCCATTTCTTTACTGAACTCCAAACTAACACCACCGAGCGATAAAAAACAGGAGAAGGTGATGGAGGCTTAATCGCTAGGAGAGGAGGCGGCGTGGCTGCTGCTTTGAGGAGTTCACTTTGAATCAAGCGGCCGCGGCGATTGGCTGAAAAGCACGTGGTGCGCGCCCCGCAGGACTGCGCCCCGGCTGCCCCTGCAGTCGCCTGGCTTAGGGCAGAGTCCAGCCGGGGGTGCCGCACCCACTGGGGAGTGGGGAGGGAGGACACATAGGAAATGCCTGGGGCTGGAGTCTCTTTGGCTCTCTGCCAGCAAGAAACTTAAACGTCCTGGCTTGCTCAACCCGAGTGTCCCTAAACTGTCCAGACTTTTGCCCGTCCATTGCCACTATCTCTCCCCACTCTGGGTGTCCTACCCAAGGCGCTGTCTATGCGTGCCCAGGGCCTGTCCTGCGGATACCCAGCTCGCCCCTTGCAGCCCTTTTTAGAGCATCTCGCGGGCTCTGGCATCACCAAGCGCACAGCCCCGGGCTGCGCTCCCCTAAGGTGGGTCCCTCAGATCCGGGGCTGTCCATTAACCAGGCTGGCCCAAAGAGGCGCAGACACTCGAACCCGGGAAAACTTATTTTATTCTCGGTTCCCGGGGTTGCAGCTGCCAGCGGCTGAGACAGTGCGTCCGCTTTGTCTCTCTGCACTCCCCGCAGCCCCCCTCTCCCGCTTCCTCTCCCGATTAACTCCCCCGACACGCTCTTCTCTAGCTCCTCTCCTCCTCCCACTCCTTCTCCTCCTCTTCCTCCTCCTACACCACAGGCCGCGCTAATGCGCTTCCTCCCTCCCCCGGTGTCGGTCTCTTTGCATACGCGCCCCCTCCCCTCCCCGCCGCGCCACTTATAGCGGGGCGCACGGCGGCGGGGCGCAGACTGCTCTGGCAGCCGGAGAGGAGGCGGTGCGGCGGTGGCGCTGCGGAGACCCGGTCCAGACGCCTGGCGGCCGCCGGCACACAAGGCGCTTTCTAGCTCCCTCCCCCGAGCGCACAGCCCGCCTCCTTCCGCGGCGCCTGCAGTGGCAGGCTTGCTCTGCCCTACCGTGACGCGCTCCGGAGACGCTCTGCGGGTCCTGGACACCGGGTCCGCGGCGTGGGGACGACAGACGGAGGCGAACGCCATCGGTAGCCGGTCCGCGAGCCATCGTTCGGGGCGCAGTCCTCTCCCCGGCTGGCCCTCCTTTCTCCGGGGCATTCGCCACCGCTTCCCTGGGCTGAGACGACCGGTTCGTCGCCTCCTTGCCCGTGACCGTCGCTAGAACTCAGTTGTGCGTTGCGGCCAGTCGCCACTGCTGTAAGTTTCCCCCACTGCCCCGGACCTGTTGCAGGCGCTGCGGGCTTCAGGGGCTGCTTCGGCTGCAGGGGTGTGTTCGCGAGGGGTGAGCGTGCTCCGAGCACTCGGGAGCTTCGACTAGAGGGCAAGGGGAGCTCTTCTCGGTGCGGAGATCACGGTGCCCGCCGCTGCCCTCCCACAGCAGGCAGAAGCCGGGCATCGCCGGAGAGGTCGACCGGCCTCCCCTCCGCGGTGCAATGTCTGGGGCGAGCCGCTGGGGAAGCGAGGAGCCGAGCTAAGGATACAGTCAGCCTCTCTCCTCTGCGGAAAGCAGCGCTTTCCTGGGGGTGAATGTCGCGCTGCGTCGCTCCCCGCAGCCTCCAGGGCCGAGCGCGCGGGATGGTTGGCCCACGTTGCATCCTCCCCGGCTTGGAGGAAAGTTGGGGCCATGCACAGACACCCTGAGTGCGGGCATGTTCACTGCGGCGGAAATGTCTATAGAGAATGAATGAAAACTGCTTTCTGAAAAACTAGTTTCTTGATCTGTCGTGTTAACATTATTAGTTACAAAGGATAGGAATTGGTGGGCCTGGAGATGAAACACTGAATTTATCCACATGCGGTTTGGTGTCACACAGGCATGGCCAGCTTGTTAAATAGCGTTGCAAGTGTTAATAAAAAGACTCTGGCAAGAAGCTACTTTTGTTAACAAGATCTTTATAATGTTCTATTGTTACCGGTAATGTAAATGCCCAGAAAAAAATCTGCTTAGTTTCTCTTTTGATTGGATTGAGATCAGGTTCAAAACCTGGAGAAGGGTGCGGGACGCTAAGCATTGGAGGCAGAGAGCCTGAGTTAGGAGCATGAAGTGAACTGAAGTTACTGTAACTGAAGCCCTTTTGATGTTCACAGTAATAGCAGCCCTTTCTCTGTCTTCTTTGCAGACGTAGGTTAAGTACATGTGTGCATTTTCTTGGCCACTTACTTGGTATGCAAATGTGATTTCTCTGGGGGCTTAAAAATGCTCGAAAGATGATTCATTTTATGTTGAAGGTGTGTTCAGTGACTTGTATACATGGTTTCTGCTGATATTTTGAGGTTTGCACAGTTTTAAACCAGAAAGCAAGTATTTCCTCTTGGGTTTCCAAGTTTACTTTTTATTTTAATCAAACATTGTTGCAAGAATGTTGATTGTGATTTTGACTGTGACGTGCTTTTCCATCTGGGTGGTATCCAAGATGACAGGCTAGGCTCTTCCTTCTGGCTTGTTGGGCCAACCTGGAACATACAGGAGCATAAACACAGGATGCGGAGAGATGTAGATCCTATATCCTAAGGTCTTCTAAGCAAATTGTTTTCTTAGGTGTAAGTCTGGTTGTGAATGTTGTTTTGCACCATCCTGAATTTAATGTTCAAGGAAATGTGTTCTGGGCCTAGCATGATTCCAGCTCAATGTGTAAGCATTTTGGTGCCTGTGCACCTAGTTTCAGGGAGCCTCATTCTTCCTTCACTCAGGGCAGCATTTGCTCTGAGAGAGGCGGCAGATTCACAAGAGTAAGTAGACAGTCTATTGAGGTTTAGGTTTAAAGTCTTCCTCCAGATACTCCAGATTGAATGTACTAATTAAAATAGCAACTACAGTGGTGGAGCATTGAGAATGCTAATGAATGTTTTAACCCTTTGGAAACCTGATGCATTCCCATAGGTTCATATGGTCATTCTCCAAAACACTGGGCATTGGTTAGAATGGAGTAGACAGTAGATGCTTAGCTTGAGGTGGGAGTGAAGCTGGCTCCTCACCATTTTTTATATCTCAAGTCACTGTGGAAATTACTGGGTGCTTTGTAAAGTCTTCCTAACACTGGAGCTCTAGGACTTTGTTGCTTCCTTTCTTCCACTCAGCCATGTTTACTCATCATAAAAAATTATATTCCAAAAAGGAAAGAAAACTAGTTGCATCACCTAATGGTATGAGGTATATGTGTCATGCCCCTGCCTTTGTGGTTTTCTGTGCAGTCTTATAGTGGGGCTCACATCTGGTTGGGGAGGTGCAGGTTAGTATTTTAGCCCATGAATCTGTGGCAAATCATTCATTTGCATTTATTAATAATTCTTAGAATATGCATTTAAAAATGTCTGAATGGTTAAAGGAAACAGAGTTTCAGCTGCGCTTTTGGGACTGGCTGTTATGTGTCTGGAACAGATACTGCAACCAGCCACACAGTTTACCCTCTGGGGATAAACAGCGGGATAAACAGCTTCCTTAGGAATCCTTGGACAGGCAGGTTCTTGAGGACTTCATTCCTTTGAAGTAACAGAGGGATGGTGTAAAAGAAAAGGATGAAGGCATGTGATTCAGTTTTTGAAGATGGGTGACAAGCATTTCCTATGTCTCTACCCTACTGTTTTCTTACTGAAGAAAACCAAAAGATAGCATTAGATTCTACTATAATTTCAATGTAGATACCAAGGAAAGCACTGTAGTCAGCAAATAAATTCTGGGGTGGCCCTAAATTAACAACAGCTGGCAAAATACACACACACACACACACACACACACACACACACACACGTATTTTTTGATTTAAATAAAGCAGTGTTTGCATTTTGAACTCCTTCTATGCAGGTGTCAGCATTTGCAGGTATACAGGAACAGTCCTAGTGATGCACTATTTAATCAAAAGACGGATGGATCTTTTGTTCTTGCAGCTGGTTTTCCAAGAATTGATATAAAGCGGGAAGAACAGAAAACAGCAGTCATAAGTATGCTACTCAAAATATTCTTCTTTTTATGTGCCAAATCCTCACATTGGAAGCTGTCCCGAGCAAGACAGGTAGTTGGTGATTATGGCCAGAATTTATTCTGTGCTTTGACTAAAGGCTTGCTGATCAATATATGGTTAATGTTGAAATTGGGGTGCTTTTAGGACTCTTCAGTGGTAGAGCTGTCTGGTTAGAAATTAATCTTTAAGTTGGGATGCCGAGGTGGGAGGATCAGGTGAGGCCAGGAGTTTGAGACCCGGTCTCTACAAAAAATACAAAAAATTATCTGGGTTTGGTGGTGCACACCTTTAGTGCCAGCTACTCGGAAGGCCAAGGCAGGAGGATCACTTAAGTCCAGGAGTTCGAGGCTGCAGTGAACTGTGATTGCACCACTGCACTCAAGCCAGGGTGACAGAGCGAGACTTGGTCTCAAAAGTATATATAAAATGAAATACATTATCTGTAACATTTAAATAAAGGTCTGATCATTGCAGAAGTTGGCCTTACATTTCCCATTTACTGTATGTGCTGGGAGATTGGATCTTACCAAAGGAATTCTTAATGGAATTAATTATTAGGTGTTTGTTTTACGCATGGCTTTATGTTGCATGGGGCATGAAAGCCAGTGCCCATCCTGGCATTATAAGAGCAGGAGACCTGGCATTTTAAGTGGCCCGCAGTGAATGAGCTGGACTAGGACAGGGAGCTGTGGGAATGAGACTCACTCCTCTTGGCTTTTGCTGACTTATATTCTAAAAGACTTCGATGGCCTGAAAGTTGGCAATCAGGTTTTCCAAGATGAACCTGCTTTTTATGCAGTGATTTTTTTTTTTTTTTTAAACAGTGCAGAGTTCAAATAGCTCAACAGTATTAGCAGTGAATATCCTTCCTTCCGGGTAGTTGTCTCTGGCTTTGTCCTGGAATGGCCATACACTATTCTAGAATAGTAGGTGGCATGGTCAACAACAAAGTGTTCTGTTTTTTGTGCAAAACCATTGTTGCTTTCGTTCTGCTGTTCTGAACATCAGGAGCATCATTTTCAATTTATTATTATTATTATTTTTAGGAGTGGAAACAAAATGTCAGTCAGTGTGCATGAGAACCGCAAGTCCAGGGCCAGCAGCGGCTCCATTAACATCTATCTGTTTCACAAGTCCTCCTACGCTGACAGCGTCCTCACTCACCTGAATCTTTTACGCCAGCAGCGTCTCTTCACTGACGTCCTTCTCCATGCCGGAAATAGGACCTTCCCTTGCCACCGGGCAGTGCTGGCTGCATGCAGTCGCTACTTTGAGGCCATGTTCAGTGGTGGCCTGAAAGAGAGCCAGGACAGTGAGGTCAACTTTGACAATTCCATCCACCCAGAAGTCTTGGAGCTGCTGCTTGACTATGCGTACTCCTCCCGGGTCATCATCAATGAAGAAAATGCAGAATCGCTCCTGGAAGCTGGTGACATGCTGGAGTTTCAAGACATCCGGGATGCATGTGCAGAGTTCCTGGAAAAGAACCTGCATCCCACCAACTGCCTGGGCATGCTGCTGCTGTCTGATGCACACCAGTGCACCAAGCTGTACGAACTATCTTGGAGAATGTGTCTCAGCAACTTCCAAACCATCAGGAAGAATGAAGATTTCCTCCAGCTGCCCCAGGACATGGTAGTGCAACTCTTGTCCAGTGAAGAGCTGGAGACAGAGGATGAAAGGCTTGTGTACGAGTCTGCAATTAACTGGATCAGCTATGACCTGAAGAAGCGCTATTGCTACCTCCCAGAACTGTTGCAGACAGTAAGGCTGGCACTTCTGCCAGCCATCTATCTCATGGAGAATGTGGCCATGGAGGAACTCATCACCAAGCAGAGAAAGAGTAAGGAAATTGTGGAAGAGGCCATCAGGTGCAAACTGAAAATCCTGCAGAATGACGGTGTGGTAACCAGCCTCTGTGCCCGACCTCGGAAAACTGGCCATGCCCTCTTCCTTCTGGGAGGACAGACTTTCATGTGTGACAAGTTGTATCTGGTAGACCAGAAGGCCAAAGAAATCATTCCCAAGGCTGACATTCCCAGCCCAAGAAAAGAGTTTAGTGCATGTGCGATTGGCTGCAAAGTGTACATTACTGGGGGGCGGGGGTCTGAAAATGGGGTCTCAAAAGATGTCTGGGTTTATGATACCCTGCACGAGGAGTGGTCCAAGGCTGCCCCCATGCTGGTGGCCAGGTTTGGCCATGGCTCTGCTGAACTGAAGCACTGCCTGTATGTGGTTGGGGGGCACACGGCCGCAACTGGCTGCCTCCCGGCCTCCCCCTCAGTCTCTCTAAAGCAGGTAGAACATTATGACCCCACAATCAACAAATGGACCATGGTGGCCCCACTCCGAGAAGGCGTTAGCAACGCCGCAGTAGTGAGTGCCAAACTTAAGTTATTTGCTTTCGGAGGTACCAGTGTCAGTCATGACAAGCTCCCCAAAGTTCAGTGTTACGATCAGTGTGAAAACAGGTGGACTGTACCGGCCACCTGTCCCCAGCCCTGGCGTTACACAGCAGCAGCTGTGCTGGGGAACCAGATTTTTATTATGGGGGGTGATACAGAATTCTCTGCCTGCTCTGCTTATAAATTCAACAGTGAGACTTACCAGTGGACCAAGGTGGGAGATGTGACAGCAAAGCGCATGAGCTGCCATGCTGTGGCCTCTGGAAACAAACTCTACGTGGTTGGAGGATACTTTGGCATTCAGCGATGCAAGACTTTGGACTGCTACGATCCAACATTAGACGTGTGGAACAGCATCACCACTGTCCCGTACTCGCTGATTCCTACTGCATTTGTCAGCACCTGGAAACATCTGCCTTCTTAAATGCAGTACATTCTAAAGAGAGTGAGCATGAGGTAAGAAGTTTAGCTATAGATGTAAGTATGCATATAATTAGGCTATTGTGTAAGTTCAGTACATGGGGTGAGATCTGATCCACAGAGACTGTACTGCAGAAGTACTACCAAAGCTGTAAAAATAAGAGAGCTGGTGCCCCTAGAACTTATCCACTTGTGTTGACCACAGCCTCAGCCCCCACCATGGCATTAGCCAGTGGTTCTCAGCTTTTACTGAGCCTCAGAATCTCCTGAAGAGCTTTTTATTTATTTTATTATTATTATTATTATTTGAGACAGAGTCTCGCTCTGTCACCCAGGCTAGAGTGCAGTGGCATGATCTTGGCTCACTGCAAGCTCCGCCTCCTGGGTTCACACCATTCTCCTGCCTCAGCCTCCCGAATAGCTGGGATACAGGCGCCCACCACCAGGCCTAGCTAATTTTTTGTATTTTTAGTAGAGACGGGGTTTCACCATGTTGGCCAGGATGGTCTTGATCTCCTGACCTCATGATCCGCCCGCCTCGGCCTCACAAAGTGCTGGGATTACAGGCATAAGCCACCGCACCCGGCCCTGAAGAGCTTTTTTAAAAACTGCCCATCCCAGAGACTTAGTTTCATTTGGTCTGGGGTGGGGTCCAAGCATCAGTATTTTTAAAAAGTTTCCGGATGATTCCAATGAACAACCAAGTTGAGAACCCCTGACCTCTGTTAAGTATGCCAGCTAATGTTTATTGAGCCCTCACTGTGTGCTTGCAGCGGTGCCACGTGTTTCCCACGGATCATCTCATTCTATCCTCACAACAACCCCGTGGGGAATTATTACTAGCTTCATTTTATAGATGAAAAAACCTTCATGCATTACGGAGGCTAAGCTGCCCGAGTTAGCAGAGCTTAGTAAGAGGTGGAGCTGGTTAGGAAGTCAATGCAGGGGGTCTGGCTCTAGGGCATCAGCACTGGAGCATCGTGTTGCACTGCCACCGAATAAACTTGAGCTTCACATCCATGACACCAATGTCATCCCAGGTGATACTTCATTTATATTCAAATTTTGCTTCCTCAAACCCTTTGTAGAATGATTAGGGTTTAAAAATGTATTGCTCAAATTCATTCCTAGTTTATTCTCTCCAAAATTATTAGCTTATTTTAAATGTTTTACTTAAAAAGTAGCCCCCTTTAAGGCGTTTATTACCTTTAAAGATAAATCTATATCTGTCTTTGTAAAAGGTTGCATGTACATAGCAGAAATTTGTGCAGATAACACAGAGCCACCTAAACTTCCCAAACTATGGCCTTTCAGAGTTAATCAGTCAGGCCGACCCTATTGTCAAGGCTAACAAAAGTTGTGTTTCTGAGTCATATATCTGAGTACATAATAGTTGTCTGTGTATTTAAGAGTATAGAATACTCTTGGCTCAAATAATTAATAGGCCTACACAGTTCAGAGTTCGCAAAGCTCACGGCTGCTTTGCTGCTAAGCATTCTTAGGATTGGCCCCAGGAATCGCTTAGGCATGTGTAAGTATAGCCCAGCGCACACAGGATGTGTTGACTTGTTTTGGTGATTCATGGGCTTATTACTAATAATAAGAGAAGAAAGTAACTGCTTTGGAGGAACTACAATGAAAACAAACTCATTTACTTGGGAACTTTTGGCTCTGTTTTCCCTAGTATGTTTCACACCTTTGAAGGGGACTTCAAAGGGAGAAAAGGAGATCTAGGCCTAGTGGCAAGCTAAGCACAGAGGGGTTTCATCTCATTGGTCTTTTCTTTCCCTGTCCCTTACAGCTCATTTAGAAACATCATTAAACTTGGCCTCACTCTCACATTTCAGCTTGCCATTTTATTTTCTTTTTGAGACAGAGTCTTATTCTATTTCCCAGGCTGGGGTGCAATGGTGCTATCTCAGCTCGCTGCAACCTCCGCCTCCTGGGTTCAAGGGATTCTCCTGCCTCAGCCTTCCAAGTAGCTGGGATTACAGTGCCCGCCACCACGTCGGGCTTTTTTGTATTTTTAGTAGAGATGGGGTTTCACCATGTTGGTAAAGCTGGTCTTGAACTCCTGACCTCAAGTGATCCACCCATCTCAGCCTCCCAAAGTGCTGGGATTACAGGCGTGAGCCACCGCACTTGGCCTCCAGCTTGCTATTTTTTTTACTTCTTCAGTTATCTCTTCCAGCCTTCGTACAGTTATCAGAGTTCTGAGTTATGTCATGCTTTCCTGGAATGAAACTCCTTCAAAGCAGCAGGAACAATCAGACACCTCCTCTGGGGAGCAACTGGGCTAATAGTGTCTCACACCAAACTGGTTTTTTGTAGCCTTGCTGGCATCTCAGTAATCTTGAATAAACAAATGCTCTGAAAGTGGTTATTTCATTTGAGATATGAATGCATGACTCACCTCTAAAGCAGGTTTAAAGAACCTCCTAGGCGAAAGCATCAATTAACAGCACACTTAGTTGGGTGTTAGTCCAGAACTGACTATATTTGCACAGAAGAGCCATAAAAATTGCTACCAGGGTGGTGGTACATAAAAAATGACAATGGGCAGGCTGGCTGGAATCCTTGGAACAAGGTAAGGAAATTGAGGCAGAAAGAGGAGAGAAGCCACATGTGTATTCTGGCCCTAGTTTTAAGTTCTAGACCTTCCTGAGTTTTAGGTTGCTTCTCTGTCAAATGAGTGGTTTGATCTTTAATCTCCTGTGATCTGTCCCAACTCAGACTTGGGTCAATTGATAGGGGAGTTAAAAGAGGCGAAAATACCTAGCCCAGTGCTTGACGTGTAGTAACTTACTGTGAGATAATGGCAGTGGAATTAGCTTTCTGTGTGGTAGGAAAATGAGGTTTCTTTGACTATTATCTGCTTGTTATCTTTAGACTTCACTTTTGGTTCCTCCTTTTTCAGCCCAGAGTGAACATGTTGGCAAACACTTGACTTCACCCTACCCTGGGTGTTTGAACTGAATCATACCCTTCCGGTCGCTGGGAAACAGAGCAAGTAAAGTGTTAAGTTATATGTGAAATAACATCCTCTTCACCCTTGGCGCTACCAGTGAGAGAGTCAAGCACATGAAAACTAAATTTGACAGGGCCAAGTTTGCTGCTTTTAAAGGGCAGCGTAAGCGCCTGATCAAAGCCACTCTTTGAATTTCCGACAGGGAGAATGTTGGTTAAAATTTCTAAAGTTTACTACACAAGATAGTGCTAAAACATTTAAGAGGGGGTTGGAGTGCCTTAAAGTGCTGGGTAGGTGGGTCTCAGTCCCAAACTGCAAATTCCTCTGCCCTCCAAATGTAGGTGCTAACGGAATTAATAGAGTGTTTAACAGAAAGTTTCCCTAGGTCTTAAAGCTCATCCACCTAGGAGGTTTTATCTGCCTCCTGCTGCTCTGCCAGTGGGTGGGAAGGGCAGAAAGGAAATTACTTTGATTATCCTCTGTTTTCATGGTGCCGTGTGGCCTCAACCTAACTTAGGCTTTGATTTGCTTTGTTTCTTCTCTAGATTTTGTTGTTGTTGTTGTTGTTGTGTGTCCTTTTTTTTTTTATTATCGTTCCTGTTTGAATATGCAATTTTTTGGGGGGAGGGTGTGTGTATTCCTTTTTTCCTGTTTGAATATGCATTGTCTTGAAATTTTATATTATTATAAGATACATTCTTTTGGCCTAATGTTGACATATAGGTTACAAGGAGGTGGAGGTGGGGCAATGACACCGTAGTCTAAGGCATGCCTTGAAAGCTTGAATCACTGTTAGGAAACAGCCAAAAGAAACAACTCATGAAATGAATCAGGCTTCTGAACACACAAAAGCAAAGAATTCAGTGCAAGGTCATGAGTGGCTCCTCCAGAATTCCCTTTGTCTGTACTTAGACTTACAGCAATAGGGATACAAAAGCCCTCTGCACAATTTCCCCAGATGAAATGAGAAATAAATAAATGGGAAGAGTAAGCAGTGTGAGGAAATGCAAGCTCTATGAAATGTGCAGGCTTTGTGGTTACGGCACTTTGAATTGATATTCACACTTGATGTACGTAGATTCTGTAGCACTGGCATGCCGTAGCTGCTGGCACCTACGTGTGGACTGACGAACTTTGAGAATAAACTCCAAACTTGGGCTGTTGAGGCCTGATACATTGTCATGTGAAAGGAAGCGAGACTGATTTCTGCCATAATGGATAACAGAGATGCATTTAAATAAGAGGATTAGTATGTCTGCCTCCTAGATGGTAAAGTTAATTTGGAATCTTTCATGGTACATGGGCCAAGGAGGGTTTGCACAGGAATCTCCCTTCTTTTCACCCCTTAGTGATCACTTTACAGTCGCTCTGTTTAACCACAGAAAGAAATTTTATGAATGTTGGAAGCAGAAGATGGCAACTCCTAATAGCATCTAGACATATAGGTTTGGATTTGAAAGTGTGTATGCTTAGGAAAGAAGTGAAGGTCCTTCTTTAGACACCACTGTTTTTGTCAGGCCAGCCATCTGCATGGATGTGTACGTGCACACGTGTGTGCATTTAAGGCAAGTACTTTAAATATCTTTGCACAGTTCCTACTGAACATGTAAGACCTTTGGAAGCAATATTGTCCAGCTCCATACCAAGTTTAATTTAAAAAAAAATTTTGTGGCTAATAAGAAAAATTTAAAAACTATGGCATCACACAAATCCTTCATGCTTTTTTGTTTTGTTTTTTTTCCTTTTCCTTCTATTTCAGCTCACTCCATCACTCGATGAGATAATATGAGATTTCTACTTCGGAGAGGCCAAGTCTAATGAAGAGAAAAAAAGGAAAAGAAGTTGCAAGACTCGAATAAAATCTGCTGCACCTTGTAAATGCTCTAACTGGACATGAAGGAAAGGGGCGAGGGAGGGGGGTGGGATTTTTGGTGCAAGTAGCACATGGTTTAAATATGAATGAACAAACCTGTGATCTAGTCCTTGTCTTGTAATTGTGGATTAATGTCAATGTTAATCAGCCCCTCAAAGGGAGAGAAAAGCTGGACCTTTTCCCTTGCTGTACCATATTCAGCATTTGATTTCCATGGGCCCCACCATTTATGTGTAGAATTTGAAATGGTTGTCACCTCTCTCTGAGGACAGAGCTTGAAGCCTCCACACCAGCTGCTGCTGGAGATTCAAAGCCCAACTGTGGGTCCGAGAGGGAAGCTGGCTGGGCTGGCTGAAGAATGAAGACCACTGGACTCTCCGTTAATCTCTAAGGGGTCTGCTCCCCAGGAACGTTTCTGAACAATGGGGACTTTGTTGGTAGCCATTTGGTAGATGTTCTTTTCTATTTATAAGTGACTTTAAACTTTCCCTTGGCTGTTAAGAAGTTTGTTATAGATTTAGCTATTTATTGTTCGATGCCTGCATGCTGAAACAATGCCTACAGCTGTCTTCACATGTATGGACGTGTGTGAATGGTTGTACGTTTTGCACATTTTGTGGCTGTTGAGATGTGCTTTGCTGCACAAACATGAAAATTTTTGAGTTACAATTTGGAGCATAACTGGAGGGTGGGTTGGGGAGGGGTGGATTTTTAAAATGTCAAGACAGGGAAGGATGACAAAATGGAAATTTAAATGACATCCTAGAGGTAGAGAAACCGTGGAGATCGCTTTTCTCAGACTCACCAACTTTTAATGGGATTTCATGGGGTTTGGTTGTGCTGATAGGGTAAGGGGAGGCTGCTTTCTGCCCTTCTCCCCACTCCCATCTGATTTACTTAATTCAGTCTCAGCTGCTGAAATTTGGAAAGGACCAAATTGCTTTACAGTTTTTTTCTTTGTGTAGTATCTTGAAATCCTGGAAAATTCTATGGAATAGTTCTGTATATAGGGCACAAGTAAAGGCATTGTCCAAAGTTTATTTATTTATTTATTACCCTAAGAATGCTTTGCCATAACCACATTTAATGGGAAAAACGGCAGTATCACAGATGTAAATTAACTCACCAGATTTACTGGGCCTGAACTCATTCTCTTCTTGCTATATGATTTAGCAAGTTCTAGAAGGTCTCCAAGACAATAATTACATTGGCACAATGTATACTTCAGTGCTCACCCGTAGGCAAATCTCTTTTTAAAAAACTCTTTGGTGCACAAGTAACACATTTGGCCACAAAACACCAAAGAATTGTAGGCAGTGGCCCCTATTGAGAAGTTTTCCGGTAGAGTTGGAAATCAGTTGTGAATACATTCTTTGCTAGTTGGAGTGCTTGTTTACTAAGCATGTGCCGTCGTAGGTATTAGTGCTAGTCTCAGATAGGTGCTTCCCCTGAGGTGCAGGGGAAGACCAAAGTTTGCAACTCGAACTGCTTTCGTCCATGTTTCTCACATTGCTGTATTTTAGAAAATAGGGGTTAAGACTGATAACAACCTTTTACATTGTGACTGTGTTTGCATTGTCTAATGACAGATAAATCCTTAACATTTCTCTCCACCTTAGTACTTTAGACTAATTGTGTTTGTCCGTCCATGCCATGAATGAGTGGGCTGTAGTTGGGCCTAAATAAATGAGCTGTTGGAAGAAAAGAATCACAGTACTTTCCAGCAGTCAGTCCCTGGTTCCTAGATGTGTTCTAAGCAATGCAAATGTCTAATTGTCCCCCAGTGGGCATAGTCAGTGTCGTTTATATTGTAGCAGTTACAGCTCTGTAGTTTATGATGCAAATCTGCCAAGAGAGATGTATGTGTCACTGCATGGCTTCTGAAAGCAGGATGAATTTTCTGCAGCTGTTTCAAAGTTGGGGTCTGTTCTTGAATCCTCTATTAATTACTGTGTGTGAGCCAGAGGGAGCTGTGGTAAGGGTTGGGCCCCCAGCCTGTAGGGAACTTTCTGGACTCCCACTCTTTGAATCGATATAGGCATTTGGTCTCACTACTTGACCATTCTCACCCTGTGAAACGTCCCACACTTTGAAGCAAATACAATTCACAGCACAGTACACACAAAAACCTTGGCATAAGACAGAGAAGGTTCTTCTTATTTTGTGGGCTGGTTGCTGTAGAAACACATAACAAAGGGCAGCCCTCCACTTCTGGTATAATTGTGTAGCCCCTTTTCTTTGGGCTTGACACCTGTCTTGAATAAGAGTGATTAGAGCTGCATAATGTCCCTCTCTTGGCTATTGACCATGTGGTTCACGTACAAAACTCTGTATAAGTTGAAGGAAAATGTTCATGTTCATATGTACTTGTTTGCTATGACTACATTTTGAGGTTTTGTAAAACTGTTATTTTTTTTTTTTTCACAATGTGAAACTGAAGGTCAATAAATTATTAGAGATTTTCTCTTCATTATGTGTGTGGGTCTTCATTTGAATAAGACACAATTTGAGGCATTGTAAACGTGTGCCTTTTCTCGTTTATCCAAAGAAGGATCATTTCAGATATTCCGAACGTGTTTTATTTCACCATTTAGTGATATTTACAAAGGTAATTTTGCATATTAAATAAAACTTCCTGACCATTAGAGTATCTCTTTAAGCAAGACAAAATTCCTCATTTATGGGTTATTCATAGCTGGGAATATAACAAGTCACACACCATGCGATATTAAGACAGCATACTTTATATTGGAATGAATTTAGTTTTTTGAAATCCTCACGTGGGTTATATTTTGACAGAAAGCTGTTAGAGAAGGAGCTGGAGTTCAATCCTCTTTTCATCTGCTGACATCTGCTTTAGAAATCATTTAAAGTGGAAATATATGCATATTATTTCTGTACTGCCACAGAAAAGCACAAGTTTAACCCCTCAGGGATACTTAGTTTGTTCCAAGCTGATGGCTGTCCTAGCTGGCTCTGCATAAGGCCAGTTGAAGCCTCCTGCCCCTACCTCATGATGGCTTCATGTCACACTGAGATGCTCCTTTATCACTTGGGTTGGAACCCTTATTGTTTCAGTGTGCAGAGCAAGGTTGGGCATAACCTTTTCTGGGTAGAAAATAAATATTACCTAATTGGGAACTCTAGGAGAGCTCACAAGTAGGCATAATGCAATTACAGCCTTTGGACTTTGACCAAGATGCCAGAGCAGATGCCTTGGGTTTGACAGGAGGATCATTCGGTTCTGTGCTGTGTGAGGCTGGTCTAGAGCCAAGCCTTTGGGGACCAGTGTCAGCCTTCAGATTCCAAGTGCATGATGTTGAAGACCCGTGGAAACCCTGTTGATGACACCATATGGATGACACCAAATGACAGGGAAGAACGGCGGGTTAGTTAGGAGTTGACGGATGGGATTTAGACTCAGGAAAAAGTCTTGATGTTAATCCCTAGAGGGGTTGAGAATGGTTCCTGTAGACATGATTGTGAACAGATCTTTCATTCTCTGGAGTTGTTTCTCTTTATCATCTCAGTCGGAACATGTAGACAGATTAAAAAGATACTTCAAATTCTTAATTTTCATTCATTTGGAAATTTCATTTCATTTAGATAGATCACACCAAACAGTAGCTATGGTAATAAAAATCTGGCCACAGTAGGCAAACGGGTTGGAGGTCGGCAGTCCAGGGCCGGGACAGCACCCCCATGAGGCCATCAGGCCTCATGCTTGCAGGATGGCAGCTGCATCTCATGGCATCTCATCTGCTTTCCAGGCAGCAAAAGTGGGGCAGACAAAGGGGAAAGGGCTCAGGCCAGAGGACATTCTCCCTTTTACTTTGAATAGTAATAGTTTACCCAAAAGGCTCACCGGGAGACTTACACTTACCTCTCAGTAGCCAGAACTGGGACATGTGAACTTCCCAAGATATAAGAGAGCTTGGGGAGGGCAGAACTTTTATCTGGCACACTGCCACCCCACAGCAATGTGATTTAATTAGTAAGGAACAAAGGGAGAGCAGACGTTGGAGGGGGAAATACACAGATTATTCTCTGCAGTTGGTAGGCTTATCTACTACAGCAATGGTTCCCAGCCTTTTTGGCACCAGGAACTGGTGTTGTGGAAGACAGCTTTTCCATGGATGGGGACTGGGCCTGGAGGCGGCAGGGATGTTTTTGGGATAAAACTGTTTCACCTCAGATCATCAGGCATCAGATCAATCTTGTCCAACCTGTGGCCCAGGATGACTTTGAATGCAGCCCAACACAAATTCATAACCTTAAATTATTTGTGATTTTTTTTAGCTCATTAGCTATTATTAGTGTCTTTTATGTGTGGCCCAAGACAATTCTTCTTCTAATGTGGCCCAGGGAAACCAAAAGATTGGACATTCCTACACTAGATTTTCATAAGGAGTACAAAATCTAGATCCCTCACATCTGCTGTTCACAATAGGGTTCCAGCTCCTATGAGAATCTACTGCCCCCTCTTCCCCGGCTCCGCTGATCTGACAGGAGGCGGAGCTCAGGCAGTAATGCTCACTAGCCAAAGGCTCACCTCCTGCTGTGCCGCCCACTTCCTAACAGACCACGGGCACTGGGCCATGGCCCAGGGGCTAAGGACCCCTGTACTACAGGGAATCATCAAAGAGTCATTGTAAACTATAGCCCCATTCATTAAGTGATGAGCTGAGATTGTGCTAAGGACCTGCTTTACAGTCATCTCATTTAATCCTCATGACAAATTGAGGTAAATATAGCGAGATTTCTAAACGTCTCTGAGCCATAGATACTCGATCTGTAAAATAAGCATGACTAACATTCTTTCTAATAGAAAAATTTAATAATATAAGAAATTTAAGAGTAAATACCAGGCTCAGTGCCTGGCACATAGTAGGTCCTCAGTAATT
The DNA here is from genome assembly GCF_000001405.40 of Homo sapiens. Taxonomy (NCBI): domain Eukaryota; kingdom Metazoa; phylum Chordata; class Mammalia; order Primates; family Hominidae; genus Homo; species Homo sapiens. Next base: position 74,624,974 of record NC_000005.10, on the reverse strand, counting down.
TTTAGTTGCCATTTTGAAACATTATGGGGAGAGATACATACATAAAAATCTGAGTGCTTATTCTATGCCAGGGACTGAGTTAAGGGTTTGCAAGCCTCTCACCTTGCTCATCCCCCCGGCAACCCTGTGAGAGCAGGTGCTATTATTACTCTCATTTTGGAGATGAAGAAACAGGTCTTGAGAGATTATGTAACTTGCCCAAGGGAGTGGTGGAGGTGGATTTCAAGACACACTCTGACCTGCTCCTCCAGGTCCAGGAATGTAGAGGAAGGTGATTCACAGGGCTGAGCCTGACTGTGAGAAACCCAGGGCTGCCCTGCATTCCATCGTGCCTGGAACACATGACTCTGTAAGGTGGTCCGAGGAGACCTGCCGCTGGTGAGCCTTGCCCTGGACATGAGGACTGAAGAAGCCAGTGGAAAGAGTTGATTGAGACTCAAAATGTTCCTTGACAGCCAGTTTCAGAAGATAAGTTGTAGAGAATTTAAAAATGAACGGGGGCTCCTGGGTGGTTGTTACACTTGATCATTCATTGAGCTGTACACGGATGCTTTTTGTGCTATTCTGTTTGTAAAATGTTTATTGACTAAATGATTGAATATACCCATGGATAATGGCCAGACCGTGTATGAAAATGGAACTCTGACCCACAATCTGCAGCAACCAGCCCAGGAAACCAACACATTGTCTATGGTGATCAGCCCAGGAAGCCAGCCTGCTCTCCGTAAGTCAGACCTGTAGGAAGTTAGACCACTATCTCTGGCAACTGGTTTAGAAAGCCAGATCATAATGCCTATATTATTCACAGTCAGCCCCAAATGGCCAGGACTTGACCAATAACTGACTACTTCCCTGATTTTTGTCCTTGCTTCTAACTAAGGACCAGCCAGAGAAAGCCAAATATGCACCCCTACTCAGACACCACAGGATGCCCACTTCTGGTTGGCCCACTTGCAGCTTCCCCATGCCAACGGCCTCCAATCAAACCTGAAGACATCCCTTTTTTCCCCACAATGAAACTTTCCCTTTTCTTTGTCTTCCTTTGAGTCTCTGCCAAAATGCAAGTGACGGTGGCTGACTCTCTTGCTATATAGCAAGCTCTGAATAAATAGCCTTTGCTTGTTCACATTTGGCTGGTCATTGTTTATTTCCACAGACAAATGTTTGCTCGATAAAATAATTAAATGTTTCAATAAAAAGGTTCACAAAAATGAAGTGGGGACCAACATTGTGGGTTCTAGGCAAGCTGGGTTTTCAGAAGGTTGCTGTTATCCTCCTGACTGTCTGAGTAAATAAAATGTACACAGTGCATATAGCACGAGAAAAATGGATTTTGAGTTAATGGGGTTGAGATTAGGGAGTCTGGTTTGCAAAAGGAGAACAGTTGCTTTGTTTGGGAATATTTTGAATAAAGTGAGAACACTTAAATAAGTTTTACAGCCATATTCATGGTGCACATGAATGTATGAATAAAAGCAAAAACTTAGCAGTTAATTCCTGGTCTTGCCTGTCACAAATCTTAAGTGCTTTGCCTGTCTGACACATACTCAGACTAAGCCATCTGTCCTGCATTTGAATTTAATCGTAGACAATGAATTTTAAAGCTCTGTTATATGTCAGACATTGGACAACTAGGTGCAAGACCTAACTTTCAGAGGGAAAAAAATGTATATTGAGGCATGACGATGAATTAAAAGCAATTTGACTAAGTAAATTATAAATCTACCATAATCTTGTCCAGCTCTGCTTACAGCCCAGCTCGCTTTGTGAGTCCTGGGGAAACCAAATGAGACAAAGTTTCTGTCTTTCTCTCTCTGGTCCTGTTTCCTTGGCAACCATAATCTTTATCTCTGCAAAGATGGGGGACTGCAGCAAGAAAAGGCAGTTGGAATTTCAGCAAAGACTCTCACTAACCTTTTTCTTGTGTTATCAGATGATTTGTTTTGTTATGAAAAGTTATTTTACACCCGCTTTTTAGATAACGTGGAGAGTGTTTATTGGATATTCTAGAAAGGCTGTGAGGATTTTTTTGTCCATGAGATATGCTAATATTGTATCCACAAAGAAGATGAAATCAGCCCTTTGGTAGACACAAACTAGGCACCTGCAAAGTGGGAACTAAAATCTCTCTCTCTCTCTCTGTCTCTCTGAGGCTCTAAAGAACACATATGAAAACTCTAAATTGCAAATACACCTGCCCCACTCACCCACCCACATACATTCTGGCCAAGGCATTGCTGCCAGAAGAACCATTTGCAGAGAACAAATTTTGTAATTTTGAAATAATTTCTATACTCTGAGGAGAAGTGTGGGGAAGGGCAACCCACCCCTACAGAGAAGGAAAGGAGAAAGGAAAAGCAGAAGACAACCTTGCCGGAATGTTTCTGGTAGTGGTGGCCTCTTCACAGCCCTTTCTGGTACTTCCAGAGGGTCCACCTATTCAAGAGATGGGGGGGGCCAATCAGCAGCCTTTTTCAAAACGGGAATACCTAAACTGCATTTTGAGGGCTGTTAGTCATTCACACATTCGTATGAATCAGGTCCATCTGAAGGGTGGGTGGGGGGTTGGGAGTGGGGCTCAGACCTAGGGGAATCCCAGGAATTAGGAGGCTTGGAGGTGTGGGAGAAGAATGAGAAAGGCAAATTTTTACTTCAAAGTGTTATGGTTAGAGAGGGGAAGAAATGAATAGGCAGAGCACAGAGGATTTTTAGGGCAGTGAAACTATTCTTACGATACTATAATGAGTAATGCCTGCCATTAAACATTTGTCAAAACCCATAGAATGTGCAACACCAAGACTGAACCCTAATTAAATTGCAGACTTTGGGTGATAATGATGTGTCAGTAGGAGCCTAAGAAATGCAGGTTGTAACAAATGTACCACTCTGGGCTGGGATGTTGATAGGAGAGGGAGGTTGTGCCTGTCTGGAGCTTCGAGGTATTTGGGAACTCTGCACTTTTTGCTCAATTTTGCTGTGAACCTAAAGCTACTCTTAAAAATTAAAGCCTATAATGCTCTCCTCTCCCCAAAACACCCTACAAAAACGTTAGAAACAAAAGGAGTCTTTTAGGGTTGTCAGATAAATTGTTTAATAAAGCATAGAGTATATTTTTTTTAATGTTACCTTGAATGAACATCAGGTACTGGAAAGAAAGAAAAGTCTTTCTCTCTGCAATATTGTCAAATATACATTTGGTCCCCTTCTTACATACAGCTCCTAAAATCCTTGGAATTGCCAGAGCGATGGGTGTCTTTTGTATGCTAATAAGATGACTGGTGGCCGGGGGCGGGGGGCGGGGGGGGGGCCCTAGTTAGCTTCAAGGTGAGAGCTGCATAGGCATGATTAGAGGACTGAGATTTTTAGCTCCTCCAACTGTGTGGGATGCCAGGACTGAAAGTTACGTTGATCACCAATGATTAAGGATGTAATCAATCATGCTTATGTAATGAAGCTTCCATAAAAACCCAAAAAGGGCTGGGCTTGAGAGCTTCTGGATAGCTGACCACATGGAGGTTTCTGGAGGGTGATGCATCCAGGGAGGGGATGGAAGCTCCTTGTCTCTTCCCATATATCTCACCCTATGCTTCTCTTCATCTGTATCCTTCCTACTGTACTTATAATAAACCAGTAAACATAAGTAAAGTGTTTCTGTGTCCTGTGGGCAGCTGTAAGTAACAAAGTACCAAACTCAATTAGGAAGCTGTGGGAACCCTGTTTTCCAGTCAGTTGGACAGTGGTGACAGGCATCTGAAGCAAGGGCAGTCTTGTGGGACCACACTCTCAGCCTTTGGGATCTGACACTATTGGTATGGACAGGAGACAGAAATACTGGGTAGAAGAGGGCAGTTCCCCGACAAAGGCCCCACCCTGAAGCCTGGAAACCCGTGGCCCTAAATGAAAGCAGGCATTCCTCTTTTTGCGCCGAAATGTTGCCTTTTGGCCTGCCACACCCCTCTATCCTGTACCCATATACACTCCAAATTCCAGGCTCCACAAACACATGAGCAGATGAACAGAAGAGCAGAGGAGCAGAAGAGCGGCATGGCAGAGAAGGAGAGAAGAGAAGGAACGCCTGAATGTCGACAGGAGATTGGCTGGGGACAGTTGGAGGGGAGATCAGCCACAGGATGGCCAAATTCCAGGGGAAGATCATCTTCCTACTCCATCCTCTTTCCAGCTCCCCATCCATCCCGCTGAGAGCCAACTCCATCACTCACTAAAATCCCCCGCATTTAACATCCTTCAATTTGTCCGTGTGACCGGATTCTTCCTGGACACCAGACAAGATCCCAGCTACCAACAGGGCACTGAGCTAGTTAACACTTAAGCTGTCTGTGGATGGCAGAACTAAAAGAGCACTGTAGCATGCCCACTAGGGCTTTGGGAGTTGCAGGCTCTCACCTCCAGATGCTACTTTGGGGCTGGAGCCCAAAAGCACTTGCCCCAGCTGCTGCACCTGCCCATCTGCATGCTACCCCTCCTTTAAGGGATTTGAGCACTTGGCGGCTTGCTGAACAGATGAGCCATACCCCTGTCGCACATCCTGCTGGGGGCGGTGGGGGGAGTTGGGGGGCAGGGGGAGTGGTCAGGCAACTCACCTGTCTCACTATCTCCATGTAGCTTGTGTCAGATTGAATTGTATTAATGGACATCCCACTGGTGTCTGCTGCAGAATCTGCAGAATTGCTTGATTGATGTGTGGGAACCCCCACCCCTACTCCACATCTCGTGTTGAAAGTATTGAGTGACTGAGTTAGCATGGGAAAAAGCCCATTCAGTTTTTTTTTGCTGTCTCTAACATTTTCATTCCTGCATTCCTTGTTCCCTAACATTTTCATTCCTGCATTCCTTGTTCCAGGACCCAGAATCAGGCCAGCACCAGTGGAAACTCAGAGAATGGAGTCCTGAAGGCTGACCCAGAACCCAGCTACCAATTATAACATCACTTCTAGGAGGATATGAGTCCCACATTCTCAGCAACCAACTCAAAACTCACTAATAAGTTAATGCTAGTCTGTATTTTGGCAAATACCTATCCATAGATATCTGCACTCCCAGTATAAATACTGAATCAGAAATTTTTATTTCTGTAATATTTTACTTCTTAGAATACTTAGTGTTCAAAATTTAATTACTGCAGTATATTTTTATTTTTCTTTTTAGGTGTTTCCTTGGGGCAGAAAGTTAAATGTCCATATGACTAGAAATTTATTTCTTCATTCATTTATTTCCAGGGAAAAAAAAACCATGAAAAGGGTAATAATCACTGACAGAAATGTGGAAATGTTCAAAGAGATAAACCAAACCATTTGGGAAGAACAATGGCCTTTTCAAAGAGTTCCACTAGAGCTGATTGGAGATAGCTGGAGGGAGACAGAGCCTTCCTCTTGCATGGCAGTAGGTTGGCCTTGCTGGCCTGGGCTAGGGCAGGGTTCCTGGAACTTCCTGTGAAGAGGCAGCCTTGGGACCCCTGGGGTAGAGAATGCATGGGGTGGGGCACAGAGGCACGATGAGGTTGTGTAGATGCTGCTGGGTGCCCTTTGAACCCAGCAAACTGGAGAGAAGGCTGTGAGGAGGAGGAGTCTAGGGCAGTGACTGCTGGCATAACCTCTGGAATGGCACTCACAGGTTCTCCTGCTTTCCAAGAACCAGGACCAAAGGCAGAGAACCCTGGAGTCCCAAGGTCCCTGGGTGGGCACTGCTTGTGGTTGGTCATATAACATTCAGTGAGTTACAGAAGGCTGGGTGGTGAGCTGTCATTAGCAGATGTCTTCCTACCTCTGAGAACAAGGGATAGGCATGACTCCTCCCTTTGTCTCTAAGGATGCTGGTACATGCTGTCTCAGAACCAGAGGGGAGAGGAGCTGTCTTGGAAGGGGCTGCTGGAATTGCACCTGGACACCAGGGGCCAGGCATTAGCCCTCCACGAGGAGCAGAAAGAAGGGGAGACAGAGAGAGGAGACCACCTGTCCATCTTCCTCTCTCCAGGCTTAGCCTACATACACAAACTCTAACTCACAGGGGGGCCTAGAAAGATATCAGAGTCTACAATGGGCATAGCATTAGTCTCTGTGAACTATGGTTACTGGGTAGAACCTACAAGAAAAGCAAAGTAAGACAGGTAAAGGAGAGGAGGAGCTTGTGCCCAGCAAAGGATCCCCACTACCCACTACCAAATGGGAAACATCAGGGTTTAGAGAAAATGTTTTCTTGTTTTTTTTTTTTTTTTTTTTTTTTTTGAGACAGGGTCTCACTTTGTTACCCAGGCTGGAGTGCAGCAGTGCGATAGTGGTTCACTGCAGCCTCAATCTCCCCAGCTCAAGCAATCCTCCCACCTCAGCCTCCCTATTAGCTGGGGCTATGGTAGTCACCACACCCAGCTAATTTTTGTGTGTGTGTGTGTGTGTGTGTGTGGTTTTTTTTTTTTTTTTTTGGTAGAGATGGTGGTTTCCCTATGTTGCCCAGGCTCGTCTCGAACTCCTGGGCTCAAGCGATCCACTGCCTCAGCCCCACAAAGTGCTGGGATTACAGGCGTGAACCACCACACCCAGTTTAGAGAAATGTTTGCTTTGGTTTACTTTGCTTTCCTTCACTGGGGTCTGGCCTGGGTTGTGATCTGGAAGTGCTCCCTACCTTCTCTGGCTCTCCCCGCTTCATTACTTCACTAGAGTTTCTCCCTATAAATCTATTGCTCACTGAATCCTGCCTTGACATCTGCTTCTTGGAGGACTCAAACTAAATCAGGGGGGTTACAACTGCAGACAAGGATTGAAATCATTCCTACCTATCACTCATCCTTATGGCCCTGTGGTTTCCTGTGTGGGCAGGGCAGGTATAGGGGCAGGTGAGGGGAAGACTTTAGAGGGGACGAGATTGCCCCAGTGACCCATCTTTGAGCAGCTCACTTCCAGAGGGATTCTTTCTTCCCTTTCTTTTTTATATTTGGGGAGATGACTAAATGGTTTTGAAAACGTCTCAGTGTTTGGCACAATCTGCCCGAGCATAGTGATACGACTGCTCTGTTCACAACTACGCTGCAATTTTAGACAAAATTTTCAGAGCATCTCAGCACCTAACAACGCATAAAAACCTGGTGGTAATTTCAAGATACGTAACATCTGCTTATTTCATTTTGTTACAAGTCACCTGGGCAAAAACTCTTCCTAACTCTGCCCCATAAATGAGCTAATATCCAAATAGAACATTCTGCTTAACAGCAGTAGCAATTATCCTGTGGCAATCCATTAAAAAAGCCTTAAAGGTATGTCGCTTCTCCAGGTTAACAAAACAAAACCATTATTTTTCTTTGTAGCTCAGATGGGCTATTTGCTCTTTGTAGCTCAGATGGGCTATTTGCTAATGTCTTACCAGCTCTAACAGCTTATTCTCTGAGAAGGAAATAGTCGTGGTTTCTTTGAGAAAAACTAGTCCTCCTATCTTGGGGTTTTAAATAAAAGGATTTGGGAACCATTTAAAGTGCATTGTAAAATAATGTGGTTCTACAATAGCATTATGGCCCCCGCACTTTCCAATCATTTTAAAAGCATGCCTGCCTATTACATCTATTCAAGATTTTCCAGTGGAGACCTTTGAGCATTGTTGTGAAATAGATAACAAAGACACTGAGTTCCACAGCGATTTCTCCTCTCATTATTTTTTTTCAAACTGCTAGAATGTAATTCAGGAAAAAGATAGGTTGATTAAATACATCTGCAAGAACCTTCTGGCTTTGGAAGCAGGAGAAGCCCACACTGGTCACCTTCAGTTTATTATATATCCTGACCCCTCTTCGGCACGTGTCTTTCTTCAGGTCAGTTTTCTGTTTCTTCTGTATAGTTTTGGAAGATGCCTAAAGAAAAATGCCTTGGAAAAGACTACAAGTTGACATCACTATTGTAAGGTATATGGGTGTACATTGGTCAAGAATTAGGCTGAGGCTGACATCCAGGCCTGCTTGAGTCAGTGGGATTGTTGCGCAGGTGCACACCTCCACTTGTTATATAACCTGTTTACGTAAGCTCATTCTTGGCTCGGAATTTACTTACTATGGTCTGTAAAAGGTATAACTGCCCTGCTGACACTGTACAGGCACTCCTGGGCTCAGCTTGACATGGCTTGGGGGTGCACTGGCGCCCAGAGAAAGAGAACCAGAGCTGTCTGTCTTGCAGATGGACAGAGGGGAGCCAGGGCATGGCACAGCTCGACATGGCTGGCGCTGGTGGCCAGAGGGAAAGAGTTAAGCTGTTGACCTTGAAGACAAGGGAGAGCCGGCCGTGCAGCTGTGTGTGGGAGCAGCCAAGCCGCAGAGCCGGCTGCTGAGAGGAGCTGCGGAGCCGCAGCAGACCGCCGAGATAAAGGCGGACAGTGTAATAGAGCTGCCGGTGAGAGAGCTGTTGAATAAAACTACATTTCACCTGCTTAGAGCCCCCCGAGTGTTCTTTCAGCTATTCGCCTATCCACCCACTCCCCTCGGACCTCAGTACGGGCCCGAACCTGACCCTGGACCTGACAATTGGCGTAGTTGTGGACCTAACAACTATCTTGATGCCATCTGCCAGGACCTGAGAAGAGTCTGGGCCTCTTAGTGGGGCAAGCATTGCAGGCGGTAATCCTCATCTTGCATCCCTTGGCCAAACTCTAAGAGTGTAGGAAATGACTGATAGTAGTCTGAATGGGTAGAATCCTGTCTGTAGCAACTTAGCTTTCTGTGTTCCAAGCAGGTTTTCTCTGAACCCTCTCTCTACCCCAAAGACAAAGCTCTCACATCAACATGGGATCAGAACTGGTTACCAGTCTGGGGTTTACAGCTGATCTTGAATCCTGATTCTCAGCCTATGCTTAATTTTCTGTGGTGACAATTAAAGCTCATTAAAAAGCTGACACATTGTTTCCAGCTTGTCTCTGATTTAATTAAAAGTCTTAAGGAGGGAGGAGCAGAAACCATATTAGTCACAGAAAAAAAAAGTCTGGGGCCTCCCTTTTTATCTCATGAAATTATTTATAATTTGAGAGTTATTCAGCGACTTCCATGAAGAGCCCCTTCTGTTGAAATGTTAAAAGAAGATGAAGTTAAACCTAATCAGTATGTTGTCCTTCATCCAGAGGAAATATTGACGAGCTGAAATAGAATCACTGACAGCCACCTGCCTTCTTGTCAATTCATCTTAGAATTTAAACTGAAGGAGAAATGACAGATAATGAAGAACAAGTTTTTTCAATGCAGAAAAAGTTGACTGGAGACTTTTTATATTTCAGCCTGATAAATATAATTTCAATCTTCTTTTTACCCAAATTAAAATATCTAAGTAACTCAGGCTGTTGCTTTTATAGTGTGGTGCATAAAACTGTATTGATTTAAACAGTAATAAGTACTCAACTTGTTATTTAACCTTATTGTCATAGTTTCTGATAGGAATATCTTCCAGGGAATTAGAAGAAACAGTTTTGGAAGTGAGGTTTGGGTCTTTACGTCCCACCTATTTTGGGATGGTGCCCAAAAGTGCACCAAGAGCCCAACTGAAAAAAGTTGACATTTTAGCTTGCTATTGGAAGGTAATTTTTTAAAATAACGCAGCTTTTGAAAAATTAAGAATCAAGGTAAATCCTTGGCTAAGCCTTTATAACTAATGAATTTTTGAAAGACTGTATACTCCTGAGAAGTACTAAATGTATTTAACTGCTTGAAAAGATTAATTAGCTCATTGCTATAGGAAACACCCTGTTCCATTTTGTATCCATGAAGGCCATGGGTCAGCAACCAATAGCAGGCTAATGGGGCTAGACCAGATTGGTTACCTGTTTAACCAGTGGTTCTCAATACCTGAAGGTGCTCAACCTTTCAGTGTCTATTAGACTCACCCAAAGGACTTTGAAAACTAATGGCCGGGCACTGTGGCTCATGCCATTACATAATCCTAGCACTTTGGGAGGCCAAGGCAGGTGGATTGCCTGAGCTCGCAGTTTGAGACCAGCCTGGGCAGCATGGTGAAACCCTGTCTCTACTAAAAATACAAAAAAAAAAAAAAAAAAAAAAGAAAAATTAGCCAGGCCTCGTGGTGTTCCTGCAGTCCCAGTTACTCAGGAGGCTGAGGCACGAGAATGATTGAACCCAGGAGGCGGAGGTTGCTGATCTTGCGGAGCTGAGATTGTGCCACTGCACTCTAGCCTGGGGGGACAGAGTGAGACTCCATCTAAAAAAAAAAACTATTTATGCCCAATTTCAGTCCTGGTGCCCCCGCCCCAGGTCCTGACTTAATTGGTCTGGGATCAGGTGCATGCTTCTGTAAGCTTTTGAAGCTTCTTAGGTGAATCTAAGTGCTTTATCCCAAAGCAGTTCAAGCAGGTGGTGCCAGAATCACAAAGTGAGGAGAGAGAATTTCTCCGACCAAATTTACTTTTGGCAATTACACTGCCATTGCCCTGAGTTTATGTGTGGAAAGTTCAAGTTTTGTGCACATGAGTGTGTGTGTGTGTGTATTTGTGTGTGGGTGTGTGTGTGTGGCAGTGAAGGGTACAAAAATTGTTTAAAATTTAGAATCTTTTCTCTGATAGTCGGGGTTGGGGAGGTCCCTATTTTTGTCCCTCTCTATACCATACCACATAGGGACTGGCTTTTTGGATTAGTTATCCATGGCTCAAAGTCTGTGGAGTCCCAATTTCAGTAAGTTTTTAAGGAGAGCTTTTCAGAAATGATATTCCATACCCCAATTCTCCCTTATTTTGGACCAGGATAGAACCAGGCTTTTTAGTTTTAACTAGTTTTAAAAAGTCTTATTTATTTTTTTACTTTGGGGAAATAAAATGTATTCCTCATTACTAATAAATGCCTCATCTAGCATGGGGCTGGATTTGTAAGTGGGATGTATGCTTAATGTAGCTGTGAATGTAATTTTACAATTAGAGTTGGTGCCCACCTTTAAGATTGGCTTATATTTAAAAGCTGATAAATAAGAACTGATCGTTTGAAATCTGGGGCACATCTTTCTCCAGAGAGGATGTCATCTTTGATGGGTGAAATTTCTATAATGGCTTTCAAAGTTTTGTGGTCCAAATGTAGCTGATCCCTAATACTATACTTGTTTGGTTGCTGAGCACAGGTGAATTTGGTCATGGATGGAGCAGGGAGGATCAATCATACTGTACTTATTAATTTGCAACTTGCCTTTTTCTCTTAATATGATATTGAGTTTGTTCAATGTGAGTATTTTTCTCATTTTGTTTTCTTTTTCCCTGAAAGGGGGTTAGACATGTAAAACATTAGGAATAAAGTAGGCACCTTGGCTAAGCTTGTATTTCCACTCAATTACCAGATACATCCAACCAGAAAGAGTCTTTGTTCTTGTTTCACATTCTTTGGCCTCCTCAATTCAAGCTGCCTAATAAACACTTGTACTTCACTTCTAACTTCCTTCTTTGGTTCCCCTATCAGTTTAGACCAGGGAGTCCAAGCATGTTCGAATGGATGGAATCAGTAGTGTATTCTCAGTGGCTTGGCGAGGGACAGAATTTCTCAATCTTCCATAGCATTATTTTACAGAAGTGGTCTGTTGGCAAACAGCTCAGACTGGCCAACCACTTTTTTTTGACAGTGTCTTGATCTGTCAACCAGGCTGGAGTGCAGTGGCATGGTCATAGCTCACTGCAGTCCCAAACTCCTAGGCTCAGGTGATCCTCCCACCTCAGCCTCCCAAGTAGCTCAGACTATAGGTGTGCACCACCATGCCTGGCTAATTAAAAAAGTTTTTTTAGAAACAGGGTCTCACTTTGTTGCCCAAGCTGGTCTTGAACTCCTGGCCTCAAGCAATCCTCCTGCCTCGGCCTCCCAAAGTGATGGGATTACAGGTGTAAGCCACCACACCCAGCCTTTCAAACCACTTTTCTTATTATCTTTGCAATGCATTTAATATTCCCATTGTGGTTGGTATGCTTGGCATGGCTGAACTCCTCACAGTGATGTGCCAGGATCTACAGTAATCAACACTGTCTTGGGATGTAAGAGCTGATGCATTGAGCAGCAGAGCAGGTGCGTGACAGGATATTACGCTAATTATATGTGGGAGAGAAGGTGACCTGTTTATCTCAGGAAGAAAATGAACATGCAAAGCATTTACTCAGGTTGACTGGGGTACCTTATACAGCCTTCCTGTCTTTAAAAGCAAAAGTAATATCTTTATAAAAGCTCTCTCTGAAGTACAAATGACATGACGAAGTAGTAAATGTACCATTTATTATTAACTCGACTTTTAGCCTTGAACTGACTGTGGAATAGAATTGTACATATTTGTGTATTAATGAAATGAAAGTTCAGTGAATGAGAGCATTTCTTTCTTAAACCAATATCCTCTTTCTTGGGAATTAGTGCTTTTTAAAAAAATGTTGAGGCAGGCGCCACATCATGAAAGTAAGGCAAACAGTATCGCGGCTGCGGTAGGAACACCTGGTCTAACTTTATTTTCCTAGCTTGCAATTACATAAACTTATGTCATTGGAAGCAGAATGCATTAGGTTACGTAGTGTCTTTAATCTGGAATACCTCTGTACTTGAAAAACATTATTGCTTTAATCATCCCCACACCCCTAAGAAGAATTAAAGGTGGGAACTCTGACCAGCATCCCAGTATTACAGGTAAATGAATTAAGAAAGAGATGCTGAATGACTGAACAGCCTCTGCAACACGCGGACAGCCTGGGGGCAGCAGGCTAGTGCTGAGGAGGTGGGGCCAAGCTTTCAGACTCTGATCTGTGTTGAATGTCAGATGACCAAGAAAGTTGATGACCTAGTGGCACACTGAAGACTTAGATTAACAACTGATTTGAAAGGAGTCACAGTACCAGGTAAATAGCCCTCATTCTGCTTGATCGAGTATAACACTTTTCTGGAATGAGAGGAAACTAAGTGCTTTCAAGGGGTTTTGCATTCTTGGTTTGGGGCAGCCTGGTCAGAAAGTAAGAACTTAGTATTCACTGGTCTCACTTTTGGATTCTCCTCCCCTACTGTCCCTTAGGACAGCAAGCACCCGCTCACACACAGACACACAGAGCATACACATACACACATACCACACACACATTCAAACACATGCACACATGCTCCTCAGCTGCACTCTGGCTCTGTGAATCTTTTTTAGTTGATGGTTCAAAGAGAATTACAACATTGGGATATTAAGAATAAAATTAAAACTCTATGTCATCTAAAAAATTTCAAAGAGCAGGCTAGACATGGCGGCTCACGCCTGTAATCCCAGCACTTTGGGAGGCCGAGGCGGGTTTGAGAGCAGCCTGACCAACATGGAGAAACCCCGTCTCTCCTAAAAATACAACAATTAGCCGGGCGTGGAGTGGCGCATGCCTGTAATCCCAGCTACTCAGGAGGCTGAGGCAGGAGAACAGCTTGAATCCGGGAGGCGGAAGTTGCAGTGAGCCGAGATCGCGCCACTGCACTCCCGCCTGGGCAACAACAGCGAAACTCTGTCTCAAAAAAAAAAAAATTTTTTTTTCAAAGAGCAAAGTGCCTGATGTTATTGAGCCAGATTGTTATCTTCTTGGATACCTAGTGTCTCTCTCTCAGAGAGAGCTAAATATACCCACGGCCACTTTGCTGTGAGGCCTGAGTAATGTAGTCTATGGCATAGACACACTGCTCTGCTGGCACACACGCCTTGGGCTTTGCTGGCTGCATCACATGTAGCAATTACTCCCCCAGGGATACATCGCATGGTGGGTGGATAATCTAGAAAAAAAGTGCTGATGTGCAATGATGCTGTACAGGACCACTTATTTTATTCAAGTGGGTGCAAAACAGTTACATAAAGTATTATTTTGAGTCTTGGTTAATTTCAGGATCTAGAAAAAGCAGCGTTGCTACACAAAAGGGGAAGATCTTAAGGTAGAGGGACTCTGAAGAGATCACCTAGTCCAGTGGTTCTCAACCCCATGAAATCTGGTACCTCTCATTTATTGCAAATATTTTTTCCTTTCCCCCTTTACTATCCCAAATTAAAATTGCTATATAATGTAATGCCCAATGTCCAAAATCAATTATAATGCTTTCACTGTGCCACAGGTCAGGTTCCCCAGGAAAAAGAACTTGAGATGGTGTTTGGGGACATACTCTTGGGATCAACACCTGTGAGAGGGAGATGGAAGCAGGCTTGGGCAGAGGGAAAAGTTGGGTCACGCTGCCATGCAATTCCACACGACCCAGCAGATCCCACAGGGAGCTCTGGAGCAGATTGCTCTTGTAGAATTGTGCCTAATTGGGGCCTTATTATCCCCCAGTGACCAGTAAGTGGATGAGGGCTCCTCCTATGGAGGAGTCATGGGGCAGGACCTTGGAAGAGGCAGCCTTTTTCAGACAGGAGCAATTGTGGGGAGTTGGTGGTGACCCTAAGCCCTGGCTGCTCACGATCAGTGCTCTCAGCTGCTAGGGAGGTCCTGAAGTGGGGATCTCAGTGGGGCCCGCAGGGTCCAGCACAAACTAATAAAAAGGAAAAATAAAAGGAAAGTAATTTATAATAAAAGTGTGCATATTTTTGGCATGGCCAAACTAAAAGACAGTTCTAAGTCCGATACCACTATTTGTAATGAATTAGTTTGAGCTTCACAGAAGTAAGACAATACTCAACTGAATATTGTCAACACTTTTTCTTTATATTTGACATTTTGAAATAAAGGCAAGGTAAGTACATTCGTATCGATATACAAAATGTGACATTACATATGCAGACCCATGCCTTGTTCTCAGAGATTTACTGAAAGGCTGGTCAATTTCAAACAAAACAAAGTATTTACACACAATGGTTGCGTTCTTGAAAAAGTCAATGTGTATTAAAACTGTTAAAAATACCTTGTGTGTATATGTTAAATGGAGTTAGATATATGGCTCAGATAATTATATCGTGTGTTTTTTCACTTCCGTGATTGGACATTTTAAATGTGGGCAGAAGTTAGGGAAATTTGTCATGGGGACCATATCCCACACGTTGCAGGGTGTTTACTGCCTCTGGCCCCACCCACTAAACGCTAGTGGTGCCTCCCCATCAGTGTGACAATCAAATCCTCCCACAAATTTCCATATGGCTCCAGGGGTATATCTTTTCATTTAAGAATTGAGTTAGTCAATCCTCTGCTTCTCAAGAATTTTTAAAGCAAAGTTTTTTAGGCAACCTCCATAGGTCTCCATTTCAACAAAGTGGTCCAGAGTAAGGAGGCTACACGGTGGCCATATGACCACATAGTGGACACCAAAGTCACACCTGGGTTCCTGCAGTCTTGAGTTCTGGCTTCTCTGGCCCTCCCGTAAGTCCTGGGGATGTAGCTCTCAAGTGTTTGAGCCCCAACTACGTTATCAAATTCACTATCAGATTCATCAATGACTGCCTCATTCACTGACTAACATTTGGGAACAGCTGTGTGCATCTTGAGATCCTTTACTCGGTAGGGTTTTTCTTGTCCACTATGTCTGCCCTCTTGCTTCTTGCTGTGACAAAGCTTACTCGGCTTACTCTTGCTGAGAATTTGCATTTAGAAGAGATGGATGTATTTTATCTGTGCAGCTGAATAACATACAGACAAATGAGTCACACATGGTCAAATTTCAGGAGAAAACAGAGGACTCCTGGGGGAAATAAATCTATCATACCTGTGTAAATATAAGCAGGGAAAATGGTTTCTCGTGAGCTTGATTTGAACCACATTAGTTGGGCAAATTCCATATTTTCTTTCCCCCCACCCCAATCTCTGTAGGCTCCAGCAAATACAGCAGATGTAACCCACCTGACAGGAATGATGAGGAATGTCAGACTGAGAACGAAGGAAACGAATTAGAGAAGGGGAAAGATTTCTAAACTGATTTAAAATACAAGACAATAGCAATGCCAGTTCAAAAATTGACAGAGAGCCTCTAATGTGAATGATTTTTATACAGAATGTTTTATGCTAATTCAGAGGTTAGGATTTCATCTTAAAGTGCTTATGCAGGCAAAACTGACACCAATGATGGTTCAGACTGCATAAGGGATTTCAAGACTCTGGAAATGACTGCCTGAGCCTTAGAGTCATTTGCATTCAGAAGAGTCACTGAAGATGGATGTGCTTTATCTCTGCACCTGAATAACATACAGACAAGTGTTAGTCTTTGTTTATGAATATTTTCCATTACCCCTCATTTTCCAACATATGGCAAACATTTCTTATTGTTTTGCTCCATCCCCTCTTCAACACTCTGCCAGAAACAGCTGGCACATATCTTTTAATGTTTTTACTGATGACTTTTCTGATGCTCTGGATTTCTTCTTGTGATTGGAGTGAAAAAATTATTGATCTACCAAAGACATTAGTTCATGGTTGCTGAGATGCCCGAGTGTTTTTTAAATGAATAATCAATCACATTGCTGATTTCACCTCAGAAAATGGGCATCTTAGGAATTTTCAGAATTAATATTGACATAAACACCATTCTATACTCAAAGGATCGCCACATGATAATGTTCTAAATTGTGGTATTATACCTTTGTAGACTTCACTAATTCATATTTCATCAGAAAATGTGGTGCTCAAAATTGTGGGTACACAGATCATTTAACAAAACCTTGTTAAATCTGATATAGTGAAGTCTTACTAATAAAGTAGTGAAGGATATGCCATCCCAAAATATGCTGCATTGTTATATTCATTATTTTGAGTTGAAAATGTTGGAGAAATTATAGTTTCAGAAAGGGCTTGCTGACCTGTCTGTTCTTGCATGCAGCCAGCCATAAAGATTACTCCAGGAGGGGGGCCTTTCCTGTACCAGAGCAAGAAAATAGACCTTATCACCAGAAGACTGGGAATTAGGGCTGCAATGGACCCAAATAAGTAAACTTCCCAAAGTAACCCTTATCATCTACTGCTTTTATACTCTGCCATATATCTCCTAGGGACTCCCCTAGAATTTATGTCCCTGGCCAGTTCCCCTTTGTCCTGTCATTTCTTCACAAATTTATTGTTCTTTGTCTAAAAAGTATAAAAGCATCTTGCTTTGGCCATTTCTTCGGACTTCACTCTTAAAGTGGAGACCCCCGGTACATGTAAAACTAATGAAACTTGGCTGGTTGTGGCTGGCTCATGCCTGTAATCCCAGCTACTTGTGAGGCTAAGACAGGAGGATTGTTAGATTGTAGGAGTTTGAGACCAGCCTGGGCAATATAGTGAGACCCTAAAAACAAAGACAAACAAGCAAAAAATCCCCGCAAAACAAAAATGTATATGCTTTTCTCTTGCTCATCTTTCTTACGTCAGTTTGGTTCCTAGACACAGCCAAAGAGCTCACATGAGAGCTAAGAGAGAGTGGGGGTGATGGACGTGGAGGTGATCTCTCTCTCTCTCTCCTACACTAATTTCAGTTTAATTTTGATTTTACACAACTTTTCTGAGTTTCTGGAAAATAAAAGCAAATCTGAGTAAGGACTCAAGATTTTCAAAGATTTTTCAAGTGCACATTCAAGAAGCAGGGCCATCACATTTGGTGGTATAGGTTATGCATGGCACACTTGCTGACGTGATGGAGAGGCCCACTGAAACCAACATATGCAGATGAACCTGGACTCCTTGGAAGTCAGCACCTTCAGATGTCTTATATTTGTATTCTAAAACCTCCTATTGGCTGGGCGCGGTGGATCATGCCTGTAATGCCAGCACTTTGGGAGGCCGAGGTGAGTGGATCACCTGAGGTCGGGAGTTCAAGATCAGCCTGACCAACATGGTGAAACCCCGTCTGCACTAAAAATACAAAATTAGTTTGGCATGATGGCTCATGCCTGTAATCCCAGCTACTCAGGAGGCTGAGGGAGAAGAATTGCTTGAATCAGGGAGGCAGAGGTTGCAGTAAGCTGAGATAGCGCCATTGCACTCCAGCCTGGGCAACAAGAGTGAAACTATGTCTCAATAAATAAATAAATAAATAAATAAATAAATAAAACCTCCTCCCAACCTCTGTTAGATTCTCAGGAATATGTACTAATATGGACAGATACATTGTGGCAATTCTCTAGTACTTCACATGAGAGAAACTTTACTATTGGAATCCTCCCAAAGTAGGTTAAATCAAAATAAATGAATAAAAATCATAGTCAACCAGAGTAATATCGTTTGGAATAAAAGTAAAGGAGACTCAGAAACTAATTTTGAAGGTAATTGCAAATGAGGACTCTAAGAAAATGTTTTCAGTGAAATCAATGTACAACCTTCCAAGTAGTTACTTTAAAAAAACCCAAATGTCTGCTTTTTTTTCTTTTTTTTTTTTCTTTGAAATGGAGTTTTGTCCTTGCTGCCCAGGTTGGAGTGCAATGGCGCGTCTAAGCTCATTGCAACCTCTGCCTCCCAGGTTCAAGCTATTCTCTTGCCTCAGCCTCCCGAGTAGCTGGGGTTACAGGCATGTGCCACCATGCCCAGCTAATTTTTTTGTATTTTTAGTAGAGACAGGGTTTCACCATGTTGGTCAGGCTGGTCTTGAACTCCTGACCTCAGGTGATCCACCCGCCTCAGCCTCCCAAAGGGCTGGGATTACAGGCGTGAGCCACCACACCCGGCCCCATGACTGCTTTTTTTTTTTTTTTTTTTTTAAATAAAATGTTCTCATTACTTAATATTTTTATTTTACATTCAGTTTTTAATTTTCTATGCTTCTATGGACAAGAATATTTGACATCTATATGTATAATTGACACCTATAACTTCGTCAAATACTTTCTTGGGCTGGTGACTAAACCAAAGGGAATAAATTCAATTTTATCTCCTCTTTTTGCCTCTGTTTGCACATTGTGTATGCATGTATGTGCACATAGGTACACATACATATATATACACACACATGTATGTCTCCTTTATATACATGTGTATGAATAGGAGTATATACACAAAAGTATATACATGTGTATTATGATTGTATATGTACTTTTATATACACAGTCATGCATCACTTAACAACGGAAATACTTTCTGAGAAATGTGTCGCTGAGCGATTTTGTCATTGTGCAAACATCATAGAGAGTATTTGCGCAAATCTGAATGGTATACCCTACTACATAGCTAGGGTGTATGGTATAGCCTATTGCTCCTAGGCTACAAGCCTGTATAGCATGTTACTGTAGGCAAAATTGGAACACAATTTGTGTATCTAAACATAAAAAAGGTATAGTAAAAATACAGTGTTACAATCTTATACTACCACCATTGTATATGCGGTCTGTTGCTGACTGAAACATCAATATGCAGTGTATGACTGTACATAAAAAACATACATATAGAAAAGAAAAGAGGCAAGCTATAAGAACATAAGCAAGGAAAGACTATATGTCCAGTAAAAGGGTACATTGTGGTCAGTTTTAGAGTGGTTGAGTTAATTTGAGATAAAAATGAGTTGTATTTAAATAAGTATCTCAAATGAAAGTTGTATTATTTGTGTGATGGTCACAGGTCAGAATTAACATAAATGGTTCTCTATATTAAAATATTTTAAAGCAAAAACTGAGTTTTTTTTTCTTTTTCTTTTTGAGATGGAGTTTCGCTCTTGTCATCCATGTTGGAATGCAATGGCACGATCTCAGCTCACTGCAACCTCTGCCTCCTGGGTTCACGTAATTCTCCTGCCTCAGCCTCCCAAATAGCTGGGAATCCAGGCGTGCGCCACCACTCCTGGCTAATTTTTATATTTTTAATAGAAATGGGGTTTTGCTATGTTGGCCAGGTTGGTCTCGAACTTCTGACCTCGAGTGATTTACCCTCCTCGGCCTCCCAAAGTGCTGGGATTACAGGCGTGAACCACTGCGCCTGGCTGAAAAATTTTTTTAAATGATAACAGTGGGCTAATTGAAAATAAAAAGGAACATGAATATTAAAGAGAAAATCAATCTAATTAAACACATGAAAATTGTCAATTTCACAGAAATGCAAATTAAAATACTATCGTTTTTAGTTTTTTATTTTTGAAACGTTTTCTTTTTTTTTTCTTTCTTCTTTTTTTTTTTGAGCTGGAGTTTTGCTCTTGTTGCCTAGGCTGGAATGCAATGGTGCTGTCTTGGCTCACTGCAATATCCACCTCCCTGGTTCAAGTGACTCTTCTGCCTCAGCCTCCTGAGTAGCTGGGATTACAAGTGCCCGCCACCACGCCTGGCCATTTTTTTTGTATTTTTAGTAGAGACGGAGTCTCACCATGTTGGCCACACTGGTCTCAAATTTCTGACCTCAGGTGATCCGCCTGCTTCAGCCTCCCAAATTGTTGGCATTGCAAGTGTGAGCCATCGTGCCCAGCCCTATTTTGTTTTTAATTGACACATTATAATTGTACATATTTATGGGGTACATTGTGGTATTTTGATGCATATATACACTGTTATGACAATCAGTCAGGGTAATTAGCATATCCGTTATCTCAAATGTTTATTATTTCTTTCTGGTGGGAACATTCAAAATCCTCTCTTCTAGGTATTTTGAAAATATGCAATACATTGTTATTTACTATAGTCACCCTACTGTGCAATATCACACCAGAACTTATTTCTCATATCTAACTGTAACTTTGTACCTCTTCACCAACCTCTCCTCATCTCCCTTCTTTTTTTCCTCTGGTAACCACTGTTCTACTCTCTACTTTTTTTTTTTGAGACAGAATCTCTGTCACCTAGGCTGGAGTGCAATGGTGCAATCTCGTCTCACTGCAATTCCACCTCCTGGGTTCAAATGATTTTCCTGCCTCAGCCTCCCCAGTAGCTGGGATTACAGGCGCCTGCCACCATGCCTGGCTAATTTTTGTATTTTTAGTTGAGACGGGGTTTCACCATGTTCGCCAGACTGGTCTGGAACTCTTGACCTCAGGTGATCCACCTGCCTCGGCCTCCCAAATTGCTGGGATTACATGCGTGAGCCACCGCACCCAGCCTCTACTCCCTACTTCTATGAGATCAACTTTTTAAGATTCCACATAAATGAAATCATGTGGTATTTGCTCTTCTGTGCTTGGCTTATTTTACTTAATGTCTTCTACATTTATGCATGTTGTCTCAAATAAAGGATTTCATTCTTTTTATGGCTGAATAGTATTCTGTTGTGCATATATACCACAATTTTTTAATACATTCATCCATTGATGGACACTTAGGGTGATTCCATATCTTGGCTATTGTGATTAGTGCTGCAATAAACATGGGAATGCAGATACCTCTTCCACACACTGATTTCCTTTCCTTTGGATATACACCCAGTGGTGGGATTGTTGGTTCATATGGTAGTTTTATTGTTAACTTATTGAGGAACTCCATACTGTTGTCTGTAATGGCTATACAAATTTACATTCCCACCACAGTGTACAAGTTCCCCTTTATCCACATCCTCGTAACATTTGTTTATTTTTTGTCTTTTTGATAGTAGCCATTCTAACTGGGGTGAGATGATATCTCATTGTGGTTTTGGTTTGCATTTCCCCAATGCTTAGTGATATTGAGTACTTTTTCATAACCTGTTGGCCATTTGTATAACTTCTTTTGAGAAATGTCAGTCTTTTGTCCATTTTAAAGTTAGATTTTTTTTTTTTTTTTTTGCTATTGAGTTTTTTGACTTTCTTACATATTCTGGATAGTAATCCCTTTTTAGGTGCATAGTTTGTGAATATTTTCTCCCATTCTGTTGATTGCCTCACCACTCTGCGGATTGTTTCCTTTGCTGTGCAGAAGCTTTTCAGTTTGATGTAATCCTGCTTGTCTATTTCACTTTTGTCACCTGTGCTTTTGAGGTCTGATTAAAAAAATTATTACCCAGATCAATGTCATGAAGTATTTCCCCTATGTTTTCTTTTAGTAGTTTCATAGTTTGGGGTCTTATATTTAAGTCTTTAGTCTGTTTTGATTTGGTTTTTGTAAGTGGTAAGAAATTGGGGTCTAGTTTCATTCTTCTGCATGTGGAGATCCAGTTTTCCCAGCACCATTTATTGAAGACACTTCCTTTCCTCAGTGTGTTTTCTTGGTGCCTTTGTCAAAGCTCAGATAGCTTTAAATGCATGAATTTATTTCTGGGTCCTCTATTTTGTTGCATTGGTCTGTGTCTGTTTTTCTGCCAGTACCATGCTGTTTTGCCTAGTACTGTTTTGTCGTATATTTTAAAGTCAGTTAGGGTGGTGCCTTCAGCTATGTTGTTTTGCTCAAGAACGCTTTGGCTGTTTGGGATATTTTGTGGTTCCATGCAAATTTTAGGATTGTTTTTTCTATTTCAGTGAAAAATGTCCTTGGTGTTTTGATAGAGATTGCATTAAATTGGTAGACAGTTTTGGGTAGTTTGGATATTTTAACATTATTAATTCTTCTAATCAATGAACTCAGGATAGCTTTCCATTTATTAATGTCCTGTTCAATTTTTTAAAATCAGTGTTTTATAGTTTTCACTGTAGAAAAATTAGACAACTTTCTTGGTTAAATTTATTCCTATGCATTTTATTGTATTTGTAGTTTTTATAAATGGGATTGCTTTCTTGATTTCTTTTACAGATAGTTTGTTGTTGGCATATTAAAATGCTACTAATTTTTTCCTGTTCTCCTTGCTTCTCAACAGATGCCACAGAATTTTAACATAAACATAATATTTACAAAAGCTATGTCACAATGGGGAAAATATTTTTGATGGGATGTTACATAAAAATAAAATAGCACTAGGAATTGTATGTCGAGTGTTATCCTGCAACCTTACTGAATTCATTTATTAGTTCTAACAGGCTTTTGGTGGAGTCTTCAGGGTTTTCTATATATAAAATCATGTTTCCTGCAAACAGGAATAATTCAACTTCCTCCTTCTCAATTTGGATGTCCGTTATTTTTTTCTCTTGCCTAATGTCTCTGGCTAAGACTTCTAGTACTGTGTCTTGCTCCTGATCTTTGAGGAAAAGCTTTCAACTTTTCCTCACTCAGTACGATGTTAGCTATGGGTTTGTCACATGTGTTTATTGTGTTGAGATATGTTCCTTCTACACATATTAGGGTTTTTATCATGAAGGATGTTGAATCTTATTAAACACTTTTTCTGCATGTGTTGAGATAATCATATGGGTTTTATCCCTCATTCTGAATGTGATGTATCAGGTTTATTGACTTATGTTGAACCATCCTTGTATCCCCGGGATGAATCCCACTTTATCGTGGTGAATGATCTTTTTAACGTGCTGTTGGATTTGATTTGCTAGTATTTTGTGGAGGATTTTTGCATCTATGTCCATCAGAGATATTGGCCTACAGTTTTCTTTTTTTGTTGTGTACTTGTCTGGTCTTGGTATCAGGGTAATGTTAGCCTTGTAAGGCACAAACTAAGACAAAATACCATCCTTTCTTTCTTTTTTTTTTTTTTGCCCAAGAAATTAGTAAAAGTTGCACTTAGTAAATGGTGAGAAAGTGAGAGAGAGAGCGAGCTGACAAGGATGGGTGCTTTCATACATTGTCAATGGGAGCATAAATTGATATACTATTTGAAAACACAATTTGAACTATATACATTTTAGGAATCTTTAAAAGTTTTATACCTTCGACCCAATTATGCAACATCTAAGAGTCCTTACTATGAAAGTAATCCCACTGATTAAAAAAACTTCTAGTTAAGGCTGGGCATGGTGGCTCATGCCCATAATCCTAGCACTTTGGGAGGCCAAGGTGGGTGAATCACCTGAGTACAGGAGTTTGAGACCAGCCTGGTCAAGATGGTGAAACTCCATCTCTACTAAAAATAAAAAAACTAGCTGGGTGTGGTGGTGTGTGCCTATAGTTCCAGTTACTTGGGAGGCTGAGGCAGGAGAGTTGCTTGAACCCAGAGGTGGAGGTTGCAGTGAGCCAAGATGGTACCACTGTACTCCAGCCTGGGCGACAGAGTGAGACTCTGTCTCAAAAAGCAAAACCAAAACAAACCAAAACAA
Organism: Homo sapiens; assembly: GCF_000001405.40. Classification (NCBI taxonomy): domain Eukaryota; kingdom Metazoa; phylum Chordata; class Mammalia; order Primates; family Hominidae; genus Homo; species Homo sapiens. The sequence goes on along the minus strand of NC_000005.10, from coordinate 74,601,051 downwards.
ACTTCTAGTTAAAAGGAATGTTAATGGGGGCCCTAAATGTCCCACCACAGAAGACTGGTGAGGCAAACAATGACATATTCACTTCATGAAATATTGTACAATTATTTAACATAATGTTTACAAAAGGTATGTCACAACAGGCAAAATGTTTATGATGGAATGTTAAGTAAAAATAAAATATCATTCAGTTGTATGGGGAGTTAAATCAGTCATATTAAAAAGAAGAAAAAGTAAAACCCAAAAATAATGTGTAAAAAAGGCTGAAAAGAATTATATCCAACAATAGGCTATGGTTTTATTTGGCTAATGATGTACTTTTTTTTTCTTACTTTTCTAATTTTCTTTATAGAACAAAACCTACTTCTAAAATCATAATTCATTTATTAGTTCTAATAGGCTTTTGGTGGAGTCTTCAGGGTTTTCTATATATAAAATCTTGTTGCCTGCAAACAGGAATAATTCGACTTCCTCCTTTTCAATTTGGATGCCCCTTATTTTTTTCTCTTGCCTAATTTCTCTGGCGAGACGTCTAGTACTGTGTTAAATAGAAGTGGTGAAAGTGGACATCCATGTCTTGCTCCTGATCTTTGAGGAAAAGCTTTCAACTTTTCTTCACTCAGTACGATGTTAGCTATGGGTTTGTCGCATATGTGTTTATTGTGTTGAGATATGTTCCTTCTACATATATTTAGGGTTTTTATCATGAAGCGATGTTGAATTTTATTAAACACTTTTTCTGCATTTATTGACATAATCATATGGGTTTAAAACCTATCCAATAATAACATACTAAGTAGGCTAAGATAAGTGAATGGTGCAGCTCCTATTCTGGTGTCAGATGAAAAATCCTACCTTTAAGGGAAATGGGTGAATTTTCCAAAAATTCTCGACATTGACATGGTTTAAGCTGAGTCATTACAATTAAATATGAGGTATAAAATGGACAATTATCTAGTTGTGTTTGTCACTTTGTATCCTTTTTGGTTGCCTGAGATGGTTCTGTTTACCAACCACCAGTGAGCCGCCATTTACCCCATGTTGTGTCAGTAAGCCAGACTCCTGGATACCTGCACAGACTGGATTCTCAAGCCACTCCTGGACCATTCTGAGAATTAATTTCTAGAAACTCATTATTGCCTGTCTTCCTAAGGGCCCAATTTCATCAAATCTGATATTTCCTGTCCTCTTAAAATTATGCCTACAGCTATCAGTAACATCAGAAGTTACAGCTAGAAAAATTAAAGAGATCTTAGCTATAATGAGCAAACTAGTCTGAGGATCTTCAAGGATGGGAGGAGAAAGGCATTACCAGACAATAGTTTTAGAAACTCCTTTTGCATTGCTTGATTGGAGAAAGGCCTGGCTTTGCCCTTCTCCCTTTCTCCTGGCTAGTGCCTACTCATCCTTAGGTCAAATTATGCATTGTCACTTTCTCATTCATGCTTTCCTTGACTCCCAAACCAGGATAGACCTTTACACTTTTCACAGCACCCTGTTCTTCTTCTTCCTAGGACTTGTAATTAGTACTTATTTTATTTACTTATTTAGACGGGCTCTTGCTCTGTTGCCCAGGCTGGAGTGCAGTGGCTCAATCATGGCTCATTGTACCCTCGACCTCCTGGACTCAAGGGGTCCTTCCACTTCAGCCTCTGGAGTAGCTGGGACCACAGGCACATGCCACCACACCTGGCCCAATACTTAATTTTTAAACCTTTCTTCCTGCTGGACTCTGAGCTCAAAGAGAGCAGAGCTCTTAATCTATCTTTTTTTAAATCATGTCCCCAGTACCAAGAACAGGAGCCTGGTATGCCCTAGGTGCTGAATAAATATTTGTTTAATGAATGAATTTTCCAGTGTGAAGTCTACTAAAGAATTAGTAAGATCTACCAAAGAACTGTTGGCACAAAACGAAGTAGTGGTGGAGTTGGAACTATAACTACTAAAAGCTTTATTATTTTTCTTTCTTCTTTAACATTTTTATTGTTTTTATTTCACATACGTGTGTGTGTGTGTGTGTATTCATATTATTTCTCTGGCACTGAGTTGAAGAAGATTGGACTTGGCTTTTCGTGCTTGAGGTTGTTGGAAATATACTTTGGTGGTTTCCTCTACTATGAGAATAGCAGACATTTGGAACCCTTCCCAAAGTACAATCTAAATACTCCTTAGACAACTTCATCCACTTGAGTGGTGCTTTTATGTAAAGTTTAGCACAACCTAAGAAATGCATGTGAAGGCATTCTATGATTTGGCCTGTCTATGAATCCTGAGACCCCAAAGTCTCCCTTTCCTAAAGTTCACAATAAATCACTTCACTTAGCACATTTTTTATTCTGCCACCTCCACTTCCCTGCCTTTTTAGAAGCAAAATTCTTGGAATTTATCTTACAGGCACAAATCACCTTGTAATTCTTTGCACTTACTTAGTAGCTATTGAGCATGTAACTATAGAGCTTAACAATTATGATATACTGTAATCATGCAAAGATTTTAATCTTTCAAATTAGATCTCACCTCCACACTGGGGAAGAAAAGGGAATTTACAGGATAATTAGCTCATGGGCTAGTTGGCACTTCCAGTCATTGTCAGGAAGTCCTCTGCATGAACGGTCTTAAGGTACCATTTATTTTTTATTAAGTGCCATTTGTTAAAACTACTTTGCATGCTTCAAATGAAAGAAACTGGAGCAAACGCTTTTCACAAGCTGAGCAGCCTTTTTCCTGTAATGAACGTTGGGCAGTGGTGGATAAATAATTGATCCTCCACATATAACAAGAGGCACAAGTCAAAATGTAAAAGTAATGGCTGGACACGGTGGCTCACGCCTGTAATCCTAGCGCTTTGGAAGGCCAAGGTGGGAGGATAGCTCGCGGCCAGGAGTTTGAGACAAGCGTGGGCAAAAACATAGCGAGACCCAATATTTGATTAAAAAAAAAAAACAAACCATGAAAAATTAACCAGGCGTAGTGGTGCATGCCTGTAAGTTGTAGCTACTCAGGAGGCTGAGGCATGAGGATTGCTTGAGGCTAGGAGTTCCAGGCTGCAGTGAGCTGTGATTGCACCACTGCACTCCAGCCTGGGCAACAGAACAAGACCATTCCTGAAAAAAAAAATTAAAGTAAGATGCCCCACTGAACTCTGCTGTGCCCCCTACACCCACCGAAAGAAGCCAGATTTGTATGTATTCTTTATGAATTGGTTTCACAGAACTCTGGGGAAAGAGAGTTTTGAGTTGCAGAGCTGCCTACCCTTACTCCAAACCAGAGGCGCTCCACCCTGCTGACAGGAGTGGATTGTGCACGTCTCAGTCTGCATTCAGTGACCATGTTTGTAACTTGAAATTGGCCATGGTCGGGTGCAGTGGCTCATGCCTGTGATCTCAACACTTTGGGAGGCCAAAGTGGGCAGATCACTTGAGGTCAGGAGTTCGAGACCAGCCTAGGTGATATGGCACAACCCCATATCTACAAAAAGTACAAACATTAGCCAGGTGTGATGGCACGTGCCACTCCAGAGTGAAACCCCATCTTGAAGAAAAAAAAAAAGAAATTAGCCACGACGGCACTAATTACACCATGAAAATCTGGCTTGTTATACATTTCCAGCACATCAATCTTAAACCAGTTCCAAAGTTACTTCTAGCAGAGAGAAGGAGAGAGAAGAAAGTACAAAAAGAGTAATAAAGGGAGGAGAGAGATAGTTGGGAAGACACACACACACACACACACACACACACACACACACACATCCAGTAAAACAACCTAACAGAGGAGTCCCTGGCCCAGAGCAGAGGCTTAACAAATGTGAATTTCTCCTTTTCTTTGGCAGTAGAGACGAGGAATGAGGACTAAGGGGCTAGTACAGCAGTGAGTGGCTGTGGGGGGTCTTTATGCCTTTTGAGTCAATTGTCTCTGATAAATGTGGCCTTTCCAGGGTTTGACCTACAAACGTGAGGAGGCCGAGAGGAATGTGGTCAGGAAAGGTGGGCGAGTTAAAAAGAGAGGTGGTGCTGTTCTGCATCGGCTCCCATGGCAGGAGACTAGCCAGAGCAGGGAAATATGCAGGAAATTCAGCCGTAAGTGCACAGGGATTGCTGGGGACTGTGTTCAGGGCTTTGGGAAGGCTCAGAGCAATTCTTTCCTAGAGATGTAATTGAACTTAGTGATTTTTCAACTTTGCAATCTTATTAGAAGCCATAAACCATTCTTTATTCACTATGATAAAGAGAATCATCAGGATGAAATTTCATCACCAATCAAAAAGTATTCTTGTGAGCTTATTATGTGACTTGTCCTCAAGCTGGTACTGCAGAGTGCAAGAGAAAGATAGAGCCTTTCTGAGCTTCCATGTTTGCTAATGCATTTCTTTATATTATTATGAGTTCCATTGCCATCATCAGTAAAATTATAGTACTGCTAATAGAGATCCATAATAATAAATTCTCTGCTATGGTTTTACACTTATTCATCCTTAGAGCTGGACTCCATAGGTCTTGTTTCCATGGGTCTCATCAGGGGCAAAGATAATCCACAGGAAATGGTAAGAGAACAATTAATCGCTGGGCAGTTTGATAGTCATGAAAAAATCCAGTGTGATTTAGAGAAGGGAGGTAGCACTGTGGGCAGGTACTTTTTTTTTTTTTTTTTTTTTTTTTTTTTTTTTTTGACAGAGTCTTGCTCTGTTGCCCAGGCTGGAGTGCAGTGGCACAGTCTTGGCTCACTGCAAGCCCCACCTCCCTGGTTCACACCATTCTCCTGCCTCAGCCTCCCAAGTAGCTGGGACTACAGGCGCCTGCCACCAGGCCTGGCTGATTTTTTGTATTTTTAGTAGAGACGGGGTTTCACCGTGTTAGCCAGGATGGTCTCGATCTCCTGACCTCGTGATCCGCCCGCCTCGGCCTCCCAAAGTGCTGGGATTGATTACAGGCAAGAGCCACCACGCCTGGCCAGGTAATTCTTATTTTAAAATTAATTATTAATTTATTATTATTATTGTACAAATAGGGTCTTTCTATGTTCCCCGGGCTGGTCTTGAACTCCTGGCCTCAAGCAATCCTCCCATCTTAGCCTCCCAAAGTGCTGAGAATATAGGTGTGAGCCACTGAGCCCAGCCCAGGTAATTCTTAAAGACTATGTAATAGAGTCTTTCTGAGATTCCATGTTTGCTAATGCGTTTCTTTATATTATTATGAGCTCCATTACCATCATCAGTAAAGTGATAGTACTGCTAATAGAGATCTATAATAATAAATTCTTTGCTGTGGTTTTAGACTCATTCATTCTTAGAGCTGCACTCCAAAGCAGGACATATGCCAAGTATTTTAAATCCCTGCTTTCTACTCACTGAGTCAAGTTCAATACCTTGTCTCCAACTTTTTATCCTGTGAGTAGCAGAGCCAGTGGAAAAACAAAACAAAATAAAACACAAGCTTCTACATGTGATCACTGGCTCAAATGAAATAATTTGAAGACCAATATCAGATTTGAGGATAGAAGTTAGCCCAGGAAAGTTCCAAAATGCCAGAGGAGAAGAGAACAACCAAGAAAGTAATATATATGTATATATATATATACTTCTTGATGTGGAACAGATTTCCTCTGTGGACCTTCAGACAATAGGGAGGTATGAGGACCATATATGGAAAAATTGGAAGTCAAGATAAGTTGAGATTAAGGTGAGCACATGGGTTTCGGTCTCAGCAAGGAGCAATTCTAGGAATGTTTTAGAGATAGCGCCAGGCAGGCCAGCTGAGGAAGTGGCTATGGGAACTCAGCATAAGTTCAAGGGTCAAAGACAGCTTTTAGACTCGAGGCCTTGGGAACAAATTACAGGAAAGAAATAAAGGAAACAAAAAAGATATTTTTATTTTCCAAAGAAGAAATTTAACTGGAACAATATCAGAAAATATAGACAGAAAGGATTAGTGTGTTTTAAAAGTGGCAGAGAAGATGAACAGGGGAGAAATGTAAATTTAAAAGCAGTCATCATCATCAGAAAAATGAAGTATTTAGTATTTTGGAAAGTAGGAAACTTAAATATCAAAGTATAAAAGAAAATCTAAACCTGGAACAGCTCCAAAATTGAATGGGCAATACGTTTTAGTCAAACTATTCAGAGAATATAGGGCAGAGCAGATTTCTAAGACAGAGATATGTCAGTTGTTTCCTGTTACACTGTTGTGCAGACAAGTCATAGCAACTAGTTTGACCAAAAGATACTGTTAAGATGGTTCTTGGATTGACCAGATCACTGTGTCCAGGAGAAGATAGGGATTCAAATCCTGAATGCATTCATTCCATTTTTCATTCACTCATTTAACAAATACTTACTGACTGCCTACTTCAAGTCCGTCTCTGTGCCATTGGGGATATGAAGATAAGACACAAGCAATCCTTGCCCTTGGAGGGCTCTCTGTCAAGCAGACAAAACAGATGGCTTAGAAAATATGTAATTACAAAATAATGTAATGATGTGTTGTAATTAAAGAAAGTTAATAGGCAATTGCATTGCCTTTTAAAAAGAGACTCCCATTTCATTTCTGAAATTATATGTTGCTTACCCTACATAAGAGAATTACCCAATTCCTTTACATTGCTCTGTGGGGACTCTGAGGGCAAAGGAAGGCTATGTTAGAATCACTCGTCATCACGCAGAGAAAGCACAGATGTGACGGGGAGATACAAAGCTTGCCTCTGAAGGACATTTTTTGTTGGAGAAGCTTTCATTTTTATAGCATTCAACATAGTTCAATACTGAGCATCAGTGCTGTAAGAATACCAGCATTCTTCATCTAGCAGAGCAGTTCTTGCCAGATGGCCTTTCCATTTCGCACAATGACATATGTCATTGGCAAACACAAAGGCAAAATGCTCAGTTGAAAAGTCAAAGATTCAGTCAATCAATAGGTCATCTTGTTAAATTGAAATCAAATGAGAAATTTTATTAATTTTGGAATTGAAAAGACATCTTTTGTTTTTCCAGAGAATTAATTAAATGAGAGGTGTTTTAGGGGTATTATATGGACAACAAGCATACTTTTAGAATCTTGTTCAAGAAGGGGAAAGACAATACTTGTAAGCATTCTGGGTTGCGCTGGGGAGGTATACCACGTGGTATATACATGGGTGATAGGATTTGATCTGTAGCATGAATTGATGATACAGGAAGTTCTTTATCACAGGGTTTGTCTCAACTTCTGCCTCATGCCTTTAGCCTACTGGCTTCTTTCTACACAGTTATGGTGTGAAGAATATGCCATTTGTAAAGCCCAAATCAGAAATGATCTATGAACAGAAGCTGTGTGTATTCATACAAAATGATATTGAGAAACGGCCGGGCACGGTGGCTCATACCTGTAATCCCAGCACTTTGGGAGGCTGAGGTGGGCAGATCACAAGGTCAGGAGTTCAAGACCAGGCTGGCCAACACAGTGAAACCCGTCTCTACTAAAAACACAAAAAATTAGCTGGGCATGGTGGCACACAGCTGTAATCTGAGCTACCCGGGAGGCTGAGGCACAAGAATCGCTTGAATCTGGGAGGCGGAGGTTGCAGTGAGCCGAGATGGTGCCATGGCACTCCAGCCTGGGCAACAAAGTGACTGCGTCTCAAACAAATAAACAAAAGAGAAATGTTGCTTCAGGCTGGGTGAAGTGGCTCACACCTGTAATCCCAGCACTTTGGAGGCTGAGGCAGGTGGATCACCTGAGGTCAGGAGTTTGAGACCGGCTGGCCAACATGGGGAAACCCTGTCTCTACTAAAAATACAAAAACTGGCTGGGAGTGGTGGTGGTGGACCTGTAATCCCAGCTACTTGGGAGGCTGAGGCATGAGAATCGCTTGAGCCCGGGAGGTGCAGGTTGCAGTGAGGCGAGATAGTGCCCATGCACTCCAGCCTGGGAGGCAGAGCAAGACTCCGTCTCAAAAAAAAAAAAAAAATGTTGCTCCAGAACGTGTTTCTGAAGAGACATTTGATTGTCAATTGTGCCTAGGTTGGTGTGAGTCTGTATGAGCAGGCTCCAGCACACACTGCTTGAAGCTCAAGTTTATAGTAAGATTCTGTACTTAGTTTATTTTCATGGGGAGTGGTCGTAGCAAATGGAGATTACTGAGGGGAGGTATAAGACACTCTCAAGTTACCCCTTGGTGCTGCCCTTCTCCTGTGGTCAAAACTCAGGAGAAACTGAATACTATAAATCCCCCTCTTGAAAGAATCTTAATGTCCATGAGCATCTTAAGGGATCCAAGTTCTGTTCAACTGAAATGTAGCATTTCTCAAATTTAAGTTACCACCGAAACCTGCCCCATCACCCTTCTGCCATGTTGTTTCCCTACCAAAGTCCTACTGACATTCCAAGGAAATTGTGTTTCTTCAAACATGTTTGTGTGGGTACTCCCAAAAGACTTTTCAAAAACTACGTGTTCCCTCGTGAATATTTAAGTTAACAACTAAAATTTTTCATCATGGATTTAAAGACGTTCACTCTCTGTTAATAGAAGGTAGAAAACATTAACCATATTATAATTTGAAATAAGATTAGAGCTGACTATAGCGGAAATAAATATGATAGATTTGATAAAATAGATTTTAAGTATCTTTCTGAAACACTGAATCAGAATGAATTCAAATATAAATAATTTTACCTGTGGGTTTTATTTTTAAAAAGTTGATAATTGTAGGAAACGTTCCAGGAACATTAAATAATCAATGCCACAAATCTGTATGGCGGTTGATTATTTTGAATTCATTACCTCCAAAAAAGATCAAGGCTCATCCTAACAGAAAGAGCCAAGATGATGGGGAAAGACAGGAAGTCTGTGGGGTTAAGGGACTTTGATGACTCATTACCCTGCTACAGAAAGATATGGGATAGGTTAAGGGTATGACTTTTTTTTTTTTTCAAGTGTGATTATGTTTATTAGACAGTTTTAGAAAAGACACCATACAGAAGTTGAGGATCTAGACACTGATTCCCTTAGAATGATCCACTTAGCGTATGGTCCTCCGTAAGTCTGCGGACCGCGGGGATGTGAGTAGCTCTCTTTGAAGACGTCTGCCTTAGAGTTCACTTCTGGGTGCTGCTTCTGTCAGAGGCATGTGAACCAGAGCAACTCCATCTTGAATGGGTAAAATGAAGCTGAGACCTCCTGGGCTGCATTCCCAGATGGTTAAGGCATTCTAAGTCACAGGATGAGACAGGAGGTCGGCACAAAATACAGGTTATAAAGACCTTGCTGATAAAACAGTTTGCAGTAAAGAAGCCAGCCAAAACCCACCAAAAGCAAGATGGCGATGAGAGTGACCTCTGGTCGTCCTCACTGCTACACTCCCACCAGCACCCTGACAGTTTACAAATGCCATGGCAACATCAGGAAGTTCCCTATATGGTCTAAAAAGGGGCAGCATGAATAATCCACCCCTTGTTTAGCATATCGTCATGAAATAACCATAAAAATGGGCAACAAGCTGCCCTCAGGGTTGCTCTGTCTATGGAGTAGCCATTCTTTCATTCCTTTACTTTCTTTTTCTTCTTCTTTTTTTTTTTTTTAACTCATTTCGAATATGAGAGCACGACAGAGTCTTGCTCTGTCACCCAGGCTGGAGTGCAGTGGCGTGACCTCAGCTCACTGCAACCTCTGCCTCCTGGGTTCAAGTGATTCTCCTGCCTCAGCCACCAGAGTAGCTGGGATTACAAGCACGCACCACCACACCCGGCTAATTTTTTACATTTTTGGTAGATATGGGGTTCCACCATGTTGGCCAGGCTGGTCTGGAACTCCTGACCTCAAATGATCCTCCTGCCTCAGCCTCCCAGAGTGCTGGGATTACAGGTGTGAGCCACCGTGCCCAGCCTATTCCTTTACTCTCTTAAAAAACTTGCTTTCAGTTTACTGTACAGACTCGCCCCGAATTCATTCTTGCACAAGATCCAAGAACCCTCTCTTGGGGTCCAGATTGGGACCCCTTTCCTATAACACAGCCACAGAATTGAGCAGTGACATCTGAATTGGTCTTTTGCCTAAGTCTCTTTTTGGTCCCCAACCATTTAGTTCCATAGCTCCCAAACCTTTTCTCTGTACTATGAAGCAAATTTCACAGCTGGTGGGAAGGTCCCTCCACAACACGGCCTTTGCTGAACTCATGCTTTCTTCCCCTCTGCTCAACCCCTTTCCCCAGGAGCCCTTCGCTCCAGCTTCAGGCATCTATAGACTCTTGCCACTGTGCCTTTGTTCTCTGTCTGGGAATATTATTCTGCAGCTATCTGCTTCTTCTACCTATTGAACAGTTTGACTCACCTCTCTGGGAGGGCTTCTTGTTCAGAGTCTCTCTCCCTGTCCCCCTGTCCTTTGTTTCTACTTCCAGTGTATCTTCTATATCTGTGTGCCTTGAATTAGCATTGCCTGAACATGTATTGTCTCCTTCATTATGTTCACGTCCAGAGCAGCAAGGACTATACTGTATTCACCTGTGTGCCCTCCTAGCACCTAGCACAGTGCTGGATAAATGTTGGTTGGTCGACCTCACCTAGTTTAAAACCATTTGGAATACGAGAGGCACATGGATCTCCAGGAGGAATGTTGCTCATCCTTGTGCCTGGGGGACCTCTGCCTAAGGTGTTCGGCTCTTTGGCACTACCCATAGCTTGGGAAACCAAAGGAATAAAACATCTATTTTCCCAACCTACCCTAACTAAAGTGGCAGTGGTATGTGGGTGACTTGCAAGCTGGCTTATATTTATGGAATAGCTGTGAAATTTGCAGGGCTACCCTCAGCAATACAAAAGCAAATGAGTATCTCCTTTTATTAAGAGAAAAAAAAAAGTCTTCATGCCCAAAGCATTGTAAGGAAAAGAAGACCTTAGTTTCCCCTAAAGGGTTTAAAAAAGAATTTCCGTTTCTGTTGTCTGTAGTATCTGTGTGGCAGGTCCCTAATCTTTTCTTTTTAAAATTTCTCTCAAAGGATGGTTAAAGAGTCTTTAATTAACTATTAAAATGAGTGTTCTAACATGGAGGACAAGATTTAGAAAATCCCTTTAATTACTGGAACCAGATTTTCTCCTGATTTGTAAATGCCAGTTTACTCCCCAACCAAATTTGGCTTTAATTAAACAGGTGGGAGGCTGAGGGGGCGTGAGTGCTGGAAAGTGCCTTAATTTGCATCGGCCCCAGTTTCAATGACCCTACGGTTTACTGTTTAAACTGGAAAAACAAGCAAAATGAGATTTGCTTTCCAAACCAGGAACTCATAGAAATGAGACACACCCTTGCCACCTCCAATTTATTCAAATACCACTGCTGCAGGATTACCAGAGGGTCCTTCAGTGGTATGAATTTATGAAGGAGCCATGCTTATTTATTTATTTTTTAAAATCTCTCTAGATACATTAATGAGGCAAAACTAGGCTTATGGTTCTAATGACAAAGAAAGAAAAACCAGAGTTTGCTCTACCCCTCTCTCAATTTAATGTTTAACATTCAGTGCGGTGCACAGTTTGTTGAGAAAATAAGGTACATGTTTTGTCATTCCCCTTACGGATTTCAGTCAACACATGGAGGTGTTTGAAATGATCTGCTAATCCAGTTTTCTTTCCTTGAACCATCTGGTTCAAATTCTGTCTACCTGCTTGGGGTGCACCAGTCTCGTCTGCATGTACATATAAGGAAGTCACAACTCATTAACAGTTTAGGGAAAATCCCTGTGGAAATATACAACTTTACTATTGTGGTAGGTTTCCTCTTGGGAGCAAATTAGATAGGACTTTGATATAAACCAAAGAAACTTGAGGGTTTTTGGAAGACATGAGTGGTCCTGAAAAAAACCATTAAACTAATTTAAAAGCTTTTATTTTAAATGGTAACAAAGTTGTTGCCTAAAGTTATTGCTTAACATTAACTCACTCACACCATAGCTCAGCTGTACATGGTCGAGTGCAGTGAGTGATGTACAGAATGTGGCCTTACTAATTTCATCATGGGGCCCCGACCTAATTTCAGGGATGATCATCCCAAAATAATAATTCTGTGGCAGACATTTATTATTGACCAAGCCATCAGACCTACACAATCTTCTTGTTGCCTCCATTTTACAGGCTGGAAAAGCGCAATACCCTCTTTTTCAGCCTTCCTTAAGCCAGGCATATCCACGTCACATGATTTTGGCCAAAGAATTACAAGTCAAAGCTTGCCGGAGGCTTCTGAAAAATATTTTTATTTCCTGATAAAAAGGAAAGGCAACACTGGATCTACCCTCCCCTTCTTAAGCCCAAGGAGAAAATTCAATGTAGATGTGATGTCTACAGCTGAGATAATCATCTTGTCGCTGAAACGGAAAAGCTATAGAAGTTGCAGGCATCAGTCTGCCTTTGGCAAGGTACTGAACAGAAACCAGCCTCCTTCTAGATTTCTTCCTATTTATTTAAGTCACTTTATTGGTTAATTGCAGCTGAACGCAATCCTAACTGATATAAACCCTTGAGAAAGAGCTTCCTGAGCATAATAACTTGTCAACTTTCCTTCTTCCACTGGGACACCTCCAGTGGTTGGGTTATCCATACAGTCCTGGGAAAAGGCATTTGGGCCTGAGCACTTGCTGGATGATAATGGGAGAAGTTGAATGAACAAGTCAAAGACCTCAGAAGAAAGATTAAGGATTATTCCCTGCCTCCACTATACCTATGCAAGAAGTGATCCAATTAGAATGTTCCAGTCTAACGATTTTATATGTTATGAGTGAAAATGAAAAGTCAGTTATTCATATAATGACACCCTTCTCCTCCATCACAGGCCCAGTCTCTGATTCACTGACACACTTCTCTCCCCCTACTTCTCTCTGCCTACTTCTCCAGCTGTTAGAAATCTCCTAATGAGGTCCATGCAATGGTTGATTTGCTTATTTATTTATTTGTTTGTCATAGGTGAAGCTCGATGCCAATCAACACTCACTTCCTCCTTCCCTCCTCCCCATTTTTCCTAAGCACTTTGCCTCAGCATCACAGGTCTCATCTTACAGAGTTACTTCAAAGGTGCAACATCATCATCGGAAGTTACAGTGCATGCAGATTTATAGTGTCTGACATGCTAGCTAAAAAAGAAAATCTTTGGTGATGAGGAAATAAAAAGAGAATCCTTAAGAGCAGATGCAGATGTTGTATTTCCTGATATAAAATAGGATAGAATATCTCAAAGAAATATGCTGTCATAAACATTTTTACTTTTCCTGAATGGGATTTTGTTGGGGGGAAGGAAAAAGAAAAAGTACTTCCTATTGACCTTACAGAATAGAATGGAAAATAAGGCTACAAAAATCTGACTGTGTTCATTTTGGGGTTTTCCCTAGAGGTGCACTGCTCAAGGACAAAGAATCTTTTCTAAGAGGAGGTTTTCCTCTGCCCGGAAAAAAAATCCCAAAGACAGACCCCCAATTCAGCAGGTCAAAGGTCCACTCCACCAAAACCTCCTCTGGGCCCAGAGGCGCTGCTTGGGCAGGAAATGGTAGATTTCCTCTTCAATAGGAAAACTGAGCAGGTTTGGGGAAGGGAGGCAGCTGTTTTTGACCACTCAAATTCAGAATTTAAACTGGGAGAGATAGCCTAGAGCTGAGATCCCATCCCCAGGTCTGTGGGGAAGGGTTAATGTGCTGCCTCTTTTTACAAATACCATGTTAGCCCAACTAGAAGTGCCTAGTGGGAGGCGCTGGTAACATTCTGCAGAGCTTAGTGGCCGAATGCCCTGGAGACAGTGTTCCCCAAAATGCATTTTGGTGTTGCATAAGACCTTAATAAGAACTCCATGAAAAGACATTTCCTTAGCCAAATAAATGTGGGGGAAACACTGACTTAAAGGTAAACAAGTTCCTTCACTATTGTGATCCTCTGAGTGGATCTAGTATCCAACATTCTCCAAATTTACTTGATGACAAACTTACTTTTTTTGTTTTTCTTTTTTGTGAGTAGCAAAATGCTCTTCAAACAGTAGCAAACAGTTCTGACAGACAATGAAGGGAAATGACACAGTGAGAAATCTGTTGCCAGCATCCATCTTCCCTCCCCTCCTCAATCTTCATCAGCTATGTAAGTAATAACAGCTAACTGTATTTGGTCACTTGTACCTCATATGTTCCTAACCCAGTTCTTCAGGGTAGATAGGAGTAACCATTCATTGAATATCCGAAATTTCTTGTAAAGAACATGGTCTTACCCAGAAAGAATTTGGAGGCTGACTATATTGTTCTGCCCCTACTTATTGGCAATGCAAAGTTTACCTTTTTGAAGGGGGAAAAGCTTCAGAGAATATGGTACTGTTTACACAGGCACAAGAAATTATTGGCAAAACTGCAGCTGTATTTTCCAGAGCCTCATGAATTACCCATTGCATTCATGGAGAAAGCTGATTGCTTTCCCCTTTTTGTTTGGTCTTGAAACAAAACCTTGGCTAATTCCTTTGTTGGGAGAGAAAATAATTTGAAAATGATTGTTCATTTTTTAAAAAGAAATTACTTTTTTCTTCTCCTTTTTTGCCAGCTGGGATGATTCACGGTTAAGATCTCTATTCTTTTTAATATCCCTACAATAGTACATATGCTGACAGCTAGAAAATCCACCTCCCCACCCCAGAACTTTTTTTTGAGCTCCAAACCAATTGATACAACCTATTGAACAGCCATTTCAGGATGTTCCAGAGGCCCCACAAATTGATCACTGTTCATTCAGACCCTGCTCTACTCTTTCAGCAATTTCTACCCTGACTAATTTCCATGACCCCAGCCCCAAACCTGGGAGTCATCCTTATCTTTCTCTCTCCCTGTCTGACTTTTTGCATCCAATTGTCAAGTCTACTTCAAAATAGCTCTCGAAAATGTCTCCTTGTCTCCATTTCTTTGGCTTAATTTGGTCAGTCTTTGCCTTGCTTGCCCTGAGCTAGGCATCTTCCTCACTAAGTCCCTACCTTCTCTGTATACCAACCTCCAAACCAGCCTTTCCATGTTAATTACCGGAGCAACCTTTTAAAAACAAATTAGGCCAGGCACAGTGGTTCACTCCTGTAATCCCAGCACTTTGGGAAGACGAGGTAGGATGATCATTTGGGGCCAGGAATTTGAGAGCAGCCAGGGTAATCTTGAATAGGAGCTGGGTAAAATGAGGCTGAGACCTACTGGGCTGCATTCCTAGATGGTTAAGGCATTCTGAATCACAGGATGAGATGGGAAGTCAGCACAAAATACAGATCATAAAGACCTTGCTGATAAAACAGGTTGCAGTAGAGAAGCTGGCCAAACACCACTGAAACCAAGATGGCGATGAGAGTGACCTCTGGTTGTCCTCACTGCTACACTCCCACCAGCACCACAACAGTTAGTTTACAAATGCCACGGCAACGCCAGGAAGTTACCCTATATGGTCTAGAAAGGGGAGGCATGAATAATCCACCCCTTGTTTAGCATAGCATCAAGGAATAACAATAAAAATGGGCAACCAGCAGCCCTCAGGGCTGCTCTGTCTAAGAAGTAGTCATTCTTTTATCCTTTACTTTCCTAATAAACTTGCTTTCACTTTACTCTACAGATTCATCCTGAATTCTTTCTTGTGTGAGATTCAAGAACCCTCTCTTGGTGTCTGGATTGGGACCCCTTTCCTATAACATATAGTCCCAACTACTCAGGAGACTCAGGCAGGAGGATAACTTGAGCCCAGGAGTTTGAGACTGCAGTAAGCTCTGAAAGCACCATTGCACTCCAGCCTGGGTCATGGAGCAAGACCCATCTCAAAACAAAAACAAAAACAAACACACACACACACACACACACACACACACAACAAAACAGAAACCCCAAAATTAGATTTGTTGGCTCCCTTGCTTAAAATCCTTCACCAGTTCCCTACTGCAGATGGGATAGAGTTCAGGTTTGTCTGTATAGCCTACCATCCTTCAAGATCTGATGACAACCTTTCCGTTGTCATCTCCTGTTGGCCCCCACCTCACCCTAGGCTCTACTCATGCTGGTTTCCTGGGCATTTATCAATGCTGTTGTTTCACATTGCTCTGCATGTTACCTTCTATTTCCTTTTCTTCAATCACCTTGGTTCCTTTTTTTGCCTGATGAACTTCTTTTTTTTCTTTGAGACGCTCGGCTCACTGCAACTTCTGCCTCCTGTGTTCAAGTGATTCTCCTGCCTCAGCCTCCCGAGTAGCTGGGATTACAGGCACCCACCACCACCCCTGGCTAATTTTTGTATTTTTAGTAGAGACTGGGTTTCACCATGTTAGTCAGGCTGGTCTTGAACTCCTGACCTCAAATTATCTGTCTGTCTCAGCCTCCCAAAATGCTGAGATTACAGGCGTGAGCCACCGTGCCCAGCTGCTTGATGAACTTCTATCCCATATCTGAAGCCACCATCAATTGCTTCTCTTTTGAGAGCCTTCTCCAGGCTCTTTATGCAGAAACAGCCACTCTGGTGCATTTTTGGGTCACCACTATTCCTTCATCAGAATCCTTGATTTTTACCTGGGTATACAAAAGTGTGAGAAATAATACATATTTGTTGTTTTGGCAGTGGATCATTATGTATCAAATTGATACAATCTGGCATATAGTGGTGCTTAAGAAATGTTCAGTGAATAAGCAAGTTGTTCATCCCTGAGGGTACTTTATTTTCCTGGACAAGATGATAAGATTTGGTGATTAACTGGCCTAACTTAGGAGTTGCCTAATGGAGGAGAGACCTATCGGGGGAATGCCAAAGATAAATTCTTTTCTCTTTGCCATCCTAGAACTCTCAGTGGGCAGATGGCAGTGGGCTGCATGCTCTTGTTCCTTCAGCACAAGTATTTTGGATGCCCTGAACTCCAGCCTCACAGAACCGGGACCAGATGTCACCAGGCTGGTGTCTTATTTCCTGTAGCCAGCTAAGCATCTGAGACTTTTAAATGACCAAATAAGCATCTTGCCTTGCCATTTTTCAAAAAAGCAAAAATACAAACCTAAATTTTTTCTCAAAACTCTGGGTTTTTGAGGATTTTAGGTTAGTGAAACTATTCTATATGATTCTATAATGATGGCTACATGTCATTATGCATTTGTTCAAACCCATAGAATGTATGATACCAAGAGTGAGCTCTGATGTAAACTGTTGACTTTGGCTGATAATAATGTGTCATTGTAGGCTCATCAATGATAACAAGTGCATCACTCTGGTGGGAGTAGGGGATATTGATAGGGGAGGCTATGCATGTGTGGGGACAAGGGATATATAAGAAATCTCTATAACTTTCAATCAGTTTTGCTGTGAACCTAAAACTGCTCTAAAAAAATCAAGTCTAGGCCAGATGTGGTGGCTCATGCCTGTAATCCCTGCACTTTGAGATACCAAGACGGATTACCTGAGTTCAGGAGTTCAAGACCAGCCTGGTCAACATGGTGAAACCCTGTCTATACTAAAAATACAAAAATTAGCTGGGTGCAAAAATTAGGTGGTGCATACCTGTAGTCCCGGCTACTTGGGAGGCTGAGGCAGGAGAATCGCTTGAACCTGGGAAGTGGAGGTTTCAGTGAGCTGGGATCACGCCACTGCACTCCAGCCTGGGTGACAGAGCGACTCTGTCTCAAAAAAAAAAAAAAAGAAAAGCCTATTAAAAAAATATTTGTGCATAGGATGCAGGAAGAGGAAGGTTGGCCAGGTACAGGACGTTTTGTGTATATGTTCCTTCCCCTTTTTTCCTAAGGTAAATCATACCCCCAATCTCTACCATCCTTCTTTCTCTTGCATTCCCCAGCCTCTCCCACTTCACTGGCTCCTGCCTCCTTACCTGTGATCAAACATAAGTTTGTCTCAACCTAAAGAATCTTCCTTGATTCTGCACCCATCACTCAGGCTATGTCCACCAAGTGGCCTCTCGTGACGGCCTCCGACTCTCATTCCTGTTCTGGCTGTTGCAATCTGACTTCCATCCCAAATATTCCATTTCTCCTGCCAAGGTCAAATCTGACCTAGTTGCCGAATTGGATGGAAAGTTCAGCCCTTGTCTAATTTACCTCTCTGCTGCCATTGAAACTCTGTGAGTTCTCTCTGAGGCCCCACCTCCTCTTGGCTGCTGTGACACTGCTCTGTCCTGGTCCTCTTCCTACCTCTCTGACAGTGTGCTTTCACATTGCTTTTTTTTTTTTCTACCTACATATTGATGTGAAAGTCTTACCCATCCCTTGAAACCCAGTCCAATTTCTACTTCTACAAAATCGAACCTCATTTCTAGAATTACTGATCATAACTTCATTTTTCTAAGACTCAGTTTCTTCATCTGCAAAATCAAGATCATTAGAGAACCTACTTCATAGGACTTTTGTGAGGATTCAATGTAAGGAATTGAGCATAGTGCCTGCCATTTACGGAGCTCTTAGTATACGTTGGCCATTATGAATATTATTTCTAAGTGGAATAAATGCCTTTATTACAGTACTTATGAATGGATATTTCTCTCTGGATTGAGGGATCCTGAGGGTGATTGGGGAATTGAAGAGGGGAGTCGGTTTCCTCATCTTTTTGTTTTATTTATTTTTTATTTTCTGAGACAGTGTCTCACTCTGTCGCCCAGGCTGGAGTGCAGTGCCATGATTACGGCTCACTGAAACCTCAACTTCCAGGGCTTAGATGAGCCTCCCACTTCAGCCTCCTGAGTAGCTGGGACTGCAGGAGCATGCCACCACACCTGGCTAATTTTTGTATTTTTTGGAGAGACAGAGGTCTCACTATATTGTCCAGGCCAGTCTTGAACTCCTGGGCTCAAAAAATCCACCCACCTCAGCCTCTCAAAGTGCTAGGATTATAGGCGTCAGCTGCGGCGCCTCTTTTGATTTCTTTCCAGTCACTCAAATTTCCTGTAGTTTGTATTGCTCTGACTCATAATAATGAATTCTGTATCATTCAGTACAATCCAGCTCAGTTCAACAAAGCCACATTAAGCTGTCTATTGAATATCAGACCTTGCACTAGGCTTTGAGATGCACAAATGAATGAAGATCAATCCTTGCTCTCCAGGAGTTCTAAGTTGGGCTAAGATCGCTTGGGTACAAACTGTCTAACTTTCACACCAAGTTGGAGATTTAGGCATGATAACTACAACAGGGTTGGTCTGGTGATTTGGGGTTGGATTGAGGGTTAATTCAATGTGTGGCTATAATTACACAATTGGGTGTGATGATGCCTGCGTCTCCCAGGTGATTGCGTTTACTCACACCAGTGAGACTGTTCAGGTGTGTTTTGTGTCCTAACAGCTTCTGCTTCTTTGAGGCTGATTTTCTTGGCCAGACTTCCACAGCCACTAGGTTCACTCTTCTAGGGAGTCTGCAGAACTTGTTCCCAGATGTCTCTTTCCTAAGGAGGGGAAGGGAATTTGGACTGGGTGACCTCTAAAGTCCCTCTGACCTTGACACTCTTTGATGTTAGAAAAGCAGCCCAGAGGCTGGGCGCGGTGGCTCACGTCTGTAATTCCAGCACATTGGGAGGCTTGGGCAGGTGGATCACGAGGTCAGGAGTTCGAGACCAGCCTGGCCAACATGGTGAAACCCCATCTCTACTAATAATACAAACATTAGCCGGGTGTGGTGGTGCATGCCTGTAATTCCAGCTACTTGGGAGGCTGAGGCAGGAGAATCGCTTGAACCTGGGAGGCAGAGGTTGCAGTGAGCCGAGATTGTGCCATTGAACTCCAACCTGGGCAACAAGAGCGAAACTCCATCTCAAAATGAAAAAAAAAAAAAAAAAGAAAAGCAGCCCAGAGCCAGAGGTCAGAGTTCGGCGGCAGCATTGATGCTGGCCTGTTTGGCTTGTCAGTGTTAATCAGTAAACGGGTTGCTAAGACAATATTTGAGAAACAGATTCTAGTGGATTAAGGTGGAGGTGGGGTAGAAGACAGTGTTCTTTGAAGACAACAGTAGTCAGAGGGAAACATAAAATAAGTCCAGTTTAGGCTCCACCCTCTCCGGGAAGCCTTTCTGCTCTCTTGGACCTAGGTGTCTATATTCTAGGTATATATATTCCAGATATAATATATTCTGGATTTAGACCATGATGGACCTCTGACCATAGGGCTTTGCTCTTTGTTTTTTTAAAATGAAGTGTGTTTTGCAATCACCAAAGAGATTTTGATCTACTCAAGATAGTGACTTTGTCTTATGCATTTTTTTGGAAATGCCCCTTTTCCCATAGCACCTAGTTCCAGCTAGAGGCAGAGTATGTGTTTCATGAGAATTCGACTGATAGCCTGACAGTTTCCAAGGTTTGCAGCTTAAGCCTTCTGTGGTGGGCAGCAGAGGCTCGAGGCTTCCTCTCCTCACTGCAAGTCCCTGAGAAGGATCTCGAGATGGTGCTTTTCCTGAAACCCCCCTGCACCCAATCCACTGCTACTTGAGCTGAGTTCTTTCATAGTTGGTTCCCAGGAACAATCAACCAAGTATGAAAGATGGGGTGACAGACTTTTCTTGGAATGCAGGTGGGGGCTGGCTTCCCATTCTCCCTGGGGAAGTAAACACTTTCCGTATATCCTTCACCCTGACTTCCATCTGTGGTTCAGGTCCCACAGATCTCTTAAAGTCCAAGAGGGCTGTGGAGGTGATGGGTGCAAAGCTTTTCAAAATTTCATGCAAATTTTGTGATGTATACTTTTTCTAGAGAATAGGTCTATTCCTTTAAATACCTTTATGTTCCCCCAAATGTGAAGAACTACTACGTTATCCACATTTCTGCTACACAGGCTTCTGGGGAATTATTTGTGTGGGAACAAACACAGATCCTACATGAGAAATAGGGGATGAGCAGGCCATGTGGCTTGGGGCCTCAAGCTTGAGGGTGGGGCTCCAGTGTTGCTGTTTTTAGTGGCAAACTTGTTCATGACTAGTAGTCAAGGTTCAACAGTAATATTGCTTTTAAATAAAATTCCTCAACTCGCCTCCCACATTAGCCAAATCTGAGGGTAGGAAGACCACCTCAAGATCGAGGGTCCTCAAAACTGGAAAGCCGGGGCTTCACAGAGGCTCTTTGGAGAGCTTGGGCATGGCCTGGTTCCAGCAGAGAATCTGGAGCAAGTATCTAGGAGTGGTTTTCTTTTTTCAGTAAGCATGGAAAGGAAAAAGTTGGGAGAGACTTTGCCTGAAATGAAAGCCCCTCGTACAATATTGCGCCCCCCAAAATCAAACAGTGACTTTCTGCTCCTGTGGCCAGAAGAATCTTCAAGTTTCAGAGAAAGCATCATGGCATATATATATAAATTTGAGACGGAGTATTGCTCTGTTGCCCTGGCTGGAGGGCAGTGGAGCGATCTCAACTCACTGCAACCTCCGCCTCCCAGGTTCAAGTGATTCTCCTGCCTCAGACTCCTGAGTAGCTGGGATGACAGGTGCCTGCCACCATGCCCGGCTAATTTTTGTATTTTTAGTACAGATGGGGTTTTACCATGTTGGTTAGGCTGGCCTCAAACTCCTGACCTCAAGTGATCTGCCCGCCTTGGCCTCCCAAAGTGCTGGGATTATAGGCGTGGGCCACTGTGCCCAGCCCGGATCCATATTTTTGTACAACGAGAGATTCACTTTTAGCTCTCACTTTAAGCAGGAAGTGGTTCTTTCTGACTAAAAAGGGGTTTAGCTGCCACACCTTCCATTTGCTGGACAATACAGTAAGACAGAGAGAGAGTGGTTACTGGGAGTACAAGCGATAACACTGTGCTGTCATTCCTGGGGTTAGCAAGCCACAAAGACTAAGGACTACTTGTGGTTGGAAACAAGGGCCCGGAAGCCGGCGGTGCACACTGAGAGGCATCGTCTGAACAACTGGGGAAACACAAATGAGGCTCCACATCTTGATCAATCCTGTTTATCACAAGGGAAGAAATTATGACTGGTTTTGTGCTAAAGAGAAATTAAAACTGAGATCAAAAGCAGTTATACACACTTTATGTTTATTTAAAATGCACACATACATGGTACCCATGCAAAGTAAACTGTGCATAATTCTCATGGAGAGCGTTTTTTTTTTGTTGTTCTAACAGTATCTTTTGTTGTCCTCACAGGGTTGTGAGTTAAGGAACTCTTAGGTAATGTCGTATTGAGGTACCTGATTTGGTAGACACGCCAAGATGTTGAAAGTCAGTATCAGGGCTCAGAGCATGAAAATCCGGGGATCCCCTTTGTAGAACTCTGCCTTAAGAAGGCTATTTCTATCTGGGTTTACTTCTGTTACACATAGTTTTAGGATTGTGGCTACCATGTTGAGTGTTTCTGTGACCACCAAAGTTCTATTTCTCTCTGTTACTAACTCTTTGAGTTTTAGTGCCTTTGTTTAGAGAGATTAGGGGAAAAACAGATTTTTTTTTTTGTATAATTGTTGAGTAGTGTAATTTTCAAATAATAATAATAATAAGCATTTCCTATAACTTAGGCACTATTTTAGTTGCTTCACATGTATTAAATCAGTGACATTTCACAATCACATCATGAAATAGGTGCCGTGTTTATCCCCATTTTACAGATGAAGAAGCTGAGGTGCTGAGAGATTGGAAACTAGCCTGAGGGGAATAGCTAGTAAGCAGCAAGGCCAGGACGCAAACACTGGCAATCTGGTCCCTTACTGATGCCATGCTTCTCTTCAGAGCGCCCAGCCTTTCAGCAAGATTCTCCAAAAAGGTTGTAATGATAAGGCTGGTCTTAGCAGTCTCTGGGCACGGGGCTTGCTCCTGTCACTGCTGGGCAAGGGTGGGTTGCTTGCTGTCTGTGGGCTCTCTCTTGCCTCTGATGAAGAAGGGGAGGAGGTTGGTGACACAGTGTCTTAAGTCGAGCATATGCATGCCTCTGTTTAACTCCTAAGGCATCTGTGTTGGGCACATAATGACAGAGAATTAATATTCAATGATCTCTTGACTGATTTTCCGCTTGTATAATATATGTTCCCAGGCAAGAAAATTTTCGTGGTATCAAAGCAAAGTGGAAATCAGAAAATGTGAAGGTAGTCTAAATGTCTTGCAAGCAGAAGTTTGGTAGGACCAGACATACGATTTAGTTAATGGTCTATTACTTTCCACTGAAAAGCTTGTTTTATATTAAAAATGGATCATTTCATTTGAAGTACAGTTGGTCCTCTGTATTCATGGGTTCTGCAGCCAACGATTCAACCAACATGGATGGAAAATATTTGAAAAAAAAAAAATTGCCTCTGTACTGAATAGGTACAGATGTTTTTTTTTTCCTTGTCATCATTCCCTAACCAACGTAGTATAACAATGATTAACATAGTATTTACATTTTATTGGGTATCATAAGTAATTTAGAGATGATTTAAAGTATACTGGGAGGATGTGCAAGGGTTCTATGCAAATACTATAGCATTTTATGCCAAAGACTTGAACATTTGTGAGTTTTGGTATCTGTGGGGAGTCCTGGAACCAATCTTCCTCAGATACCAAGGGATGACTGTAGATTATCTGAAATAATCTATTGAGAGACCGCTCTTACGCACCTGCACTGCAACTTATCCCCCTTCAGCCACACAAACCAATGGGCACAAAACATTAAGGCACACAAACACCAAAACAAAGAGATGGCTAGAGTGGTTGACAGGGTAAGCAAATTGCCTCCTAATCTAATACATGAAACCAGCCTTGCCACACCTAAGTAAACACGCTCTTCTGATGTTGATACTGCCCTCCAGGCCACGAATGATATTGCCCTCCAAAACACAAAGCTGCAGCAAAATGCACCAAGTTCTATGGCCCAACCCGTGGGCTTTCCAACTGGGCTCTTGTGAAAAAGCAGTGCAGGTGAGGGCTGGGCTGCCAGTGGGCGCGGGCTGTCACCAAGCTGGTGCCTTTCTGGAATCTGAGGCCTGAGGCTTTGTTTCCTGGCTAGGGATATTTTCTCAGAGTTGGAAATACCCTCCCTTCCTTGCTTTCCTTCATTCCCACCCCCTGTATCTTAAATCTGTGTCATTCTCAGAGCTCTCTGTGGAACTGAAACAATGCAAGAATCTGGCCTAGCCTTCCTCTGCTTGCCTAACTTCTTTCAGTTTCTGTTTGGCCCAACGGAATATGAGAGAAAGATTAAAAGCAGATTGTATGAAGCAAAATGACTAAACCATTTCTCGTAAAGGGCAATGTTTTTTAAAGAAAATCAGGAAGATTGCTTTGCCTGAAATAATTGTTACAATAAAGTATATTTTGAAATTATTATTATTTTTTTTTTGGAGACAGTCTTGCTCTGCCTCCCAGGCTGGAGTGCAGGGGTATAAACATAGTTCACTGCATCCTCAAACTCCTGGGCACAAGTGATTCTCCTGCCTCAGCCTCCCAAGTAGCTGGGACTACAGGTATGTGCCGCTGTGCCTTGCTAATATTTTTATTTTAGTAGAGATGGGGGTCTTGCTGTGTTGTCCAGGCTGGTCTCCAACTCCTGGCCTAAAGTGATCCTCCCGCCTTGGCCTTTCAAAGCACTGGGAATACAAGCATGCGCTACCATGCCCGGCTGAATTTAATTTTTCAATTTAATATGATCTGTTGCTCAGAAAAACCACGGTTATTAGCGTACACTTAGCATGGAAGGTGGAATACGTGTGTTAATGATTACCTTTTCCTTCTGTAAACACTAAGACCCACCGTAAGTGCCTTCACATGTAGCGTCTCATGTAATCCTCATGAGTGACCTGCAAGACAAGCTACTTCAGACAGGAGTCTGAGAGGCTGTGGCCTTGCTAAAGTCCAAAACCAGTTAGGTGTGAATGGAGACTCAAATCCAGATTTCCTATTGCCAAATACTGTGTTCTTCCTATTACAGGACTCTGCTTAATACATCATCCTCAAAAAAGTTGCTTCTCAGTTATTTTCTAAAACTCCTCACAACCCGGAGAAGTCAAAGGCTTGTCGTAGTCCGGTTTGCAATGTCAGAGCCTTCATATGTCATGAAATATTTGGAGTGCTGGGTGGGCAGGAGGGCCTTACGTCTGTAACGTTGAATACCACAACCCCGGGCCTCCTGGCAGTCTTTGACTAGCGAAGGGTGAAGTGGAGCATAGTCATTCCTGATTCGTGGTACTCAAAGAGCCTAAGCCGGGAACTCAGATAATGGAAATGAATTATGTGATTCAATTATACTATTCAGTTAAAGGTGAGTAATTATAGTCATCTTTATACTTTGTAGTCTTAACCTCGTGGCATTTCCTGACTCTGACATACTTTGGCATGATTACATCTACCAGCTGGGACTATGACTAATTCCTTTGAGCTATTCTCTGCTTGTTGTTCTTATTTGTGATGGGGAGCTATCTCTTTTAAATCTGCACCGAAAAGACCAATTATTATTATTACTTTTATAGATGTAGCTTAACACAGTGCTGGAACACAGTTAATGCCCAATAAATGGTGGTTATAATAATTAAAAATCAAGGTTTGCACAGGAACCTGCTGAACAAGTGATTTTTGAAGCACTATAGTCATCTAATAACTTGGGAAAGTTGTGAACGTTTTTCTTTTCTGGTTTTTTTTTTTTTTTTTTTTTTTTTTCTGAAATGGAGTCTCACTCTGTCACCCAGGCTGGAGGGCAGTGGCCCGATCTCGACTCACTGCAACCTCCACCTCCAGGGTTTAAGTGATTCTCCTGCCTCAGCTCCCCCAGTAACTGGGATTGCAGGCATGTGCCACCACACCTGGCTAATTTTTGTGTTTTTAGTAGAGGCATAGTTTTACCATGTTGCCCAGGCTGGTCTTGAACTCCTGACCTCAAATGATCTGCCTGCTTCAGCCTCCCAAAGTGCTGGGATTATAGGCATGAGCCACTGTGCCTGGCTGTGAACGTTTTTCAAAAGTGGCCACATCGGAAACCCAAAGAAAGGTAGCAAAAGAAATGATTGCCATAGCATCTTTATACTTAACCATTTTATTTCTTCGATTATTTAGTGAAAAAGATAGATGAGGACTTTTCAAAATTAACACTCACTTTATAAAGAATTACAATTTTGGAATAATAATGTGAACATGTTTGATTGGAAGAACTTTGACAAGCTTCCAATCATCACCTGGTATTGATAAAACACTTCCTGAAGGGCCACTTCAAGCTGGCACCTGCCTGCTCCAGCTCCACTCCACTGCAGAGATCAAACAACTGTCTCTGGATCCCTGGCCCATCCAGTTGGTCCTGAACCATCAGGAACAAACTTGGCAGAAAATTAAACACCTAAGTCTTTTGCTTTTTCTTTTCTCTTTTCTTTCTTTCTTTTTTTTTTTTTTTTTTTGAGACAGAGTCTTGCTCAGTCACCCAGGCTGGAGTGCAGTGGTGCGATCTTGGCTCACTGCAACCCTCACCGCCCGGGTTCAAGCAATTTTCATGCCTCAGCCTCCTGAGTAGCTGGGATTACAGGCGTGCAGCACCATGCACGGCTAATTTTTGTATTTTTAGTAGAGACAGGGTTTCACCATGTTGGCTAGGCTGGTCTCGAACTCCCGACCTCAGGTGATCCGCCCGCCTCGGCCTCCCAAAGTGCTGGGATTACAGGCATGAATCACCGCGCCCAGCCTAAACACCTAATTCTTATGAGCAGGTAAGGTGTGGAGTCAGTGTTAAGTGCCCAGTGAGCTGTAACCATCTCAACTCCCATTGTGTGCATCTAGTTTCTGATTTCTACTCCATTTCCCTCGACTTAGAGATTTCTACTACTGTGTTCCCTTTATCAAAATAGACAACCTTTGCCCAGAAAAGAGGTTGGTTGGACAATTGCATTTTAAGGGCAGGGGGAAAAGGACAGGGTGCAGAAAACAAGGGGGCACATTGTAGACATTTAAAAAGAAATAATAAAAGGAAATAAATTTGATCTTTTATTATCACCAGGAGCTGACCATCCTAAACAATGTCAGTGACAAAATATTCCCACGCTCTGCCAAATCTTTTGTTGGTCTAAGTACTAAACAACTGACTTTTAATAATTATAATAAGCTTCTACATAAGCTTCAAAGGAGCACATTTTTATTATTGTCCTTTACACATTGTACTTTCCATGGAATCTAATTCTAAGGACTCCTAGTGATACAATTGGTCTCCAACAGAGGCAGACTCAGACCCATGTTTGTAATGATTCAAAAACATTTGAGTTCAATTAGGGTGCAAGTTTGTCTCTCTATTCCTGTGGGAGCAAATATTCCTGCATTTAACCAGGGGATTAAAAATGAAAGTGATAAAACAGTGACATGAAAAACATGATCACTTGGAGTTTTTACGTGTGTTTAAAATTTTAAACAGGGAAACAATGTGAACTGCAAGATTCATTACTATAAGAGACCAATATGTATGTACGAGTTTTTTCTCCTTTCAAAAAATTCATAAATGTAAATCAGAAAGTATTAATATATTTTTTCCTTTTATGTATTTTAATATGTATTTTGTTATTTATTATTATTGTTTTAACAGGATGATTATACATAGGCAGTTCAATAAAAAATTTTTTCAGTGTGCTTTTTTTAACCATGATTATTAAGCTTATTACATGATTATTACTAAAAATAATTGTTTTCTACGGAGAGTGTTAAAAATAGTTCACTGAAGGTCTCAAATACTCTGGCTACAACACTGAATCCGAGCTCACACTACTTCTTTCACACTGTGGTTTGGATTATGGGCTATTCTTTTCCCCAGCGGACTCATTCCAGTATAGGGGGAAAATATTTCTTTCCCATTGCTAGGTTCATGGCTGAGGCCTTTCTGTCAAAAGACAGATTAATAAGAGAAAAGCATACAAAATATTCAATAGAAGTTTTATGTAGTATGGGAGCCTTCAGAAGGAAATGAGGCCCAAAGAAGCAGGGAAACCTGTCTATTTTTATGCTTAGGTTTGAAGAAGAGTGGACAGTTGTGAAATGCGTGATTGGACAAAGAGGGTATGATCTAATGGTAATAAACTGGGGGAGCTTAGCAAGGCCTGTTTTGTTCAGATTCTTCTCTGTCCCCGTGTCTTCAGAGATAAAGATGTTCTTTTTCTCTGGGTATGGGGAGAGCATCTCTGAAATGAGGGTCTCATGACCTGCTTCAGGGGAGAAGGGTGAGGGGAAGGTGAGAGTGACCTTCCTGCTTTTGCAGTTTGTTCAAATGCCAAGGTCCCTTATTTTGGGGTAGCATATTCTGAACCCCATCACCATCATTTAACATAGTCTCCTTATTCTTAGTTTATTCTCTACTGAAATACCAGCCTGCTTTGTACCAGACCTACTAGAGTTTTGACACTTGAAGGAGTCAATGACCATATCTCCCTGACAGCAAGAATTGAGATGAAAATGAAAAGTCTAGTTAATCATCTACATCTTTTGTTTACTCAAAGATAGACATCTGGTTAATTGAACATTTTTATTAGTATAATGATATCGTTGATGCTAGTCTGATATACTTTTATCTTTCAAGTACATTAACGGAAAATAGTCATGTAGGTGTCATTCTTATCAGTCAGTAAGACTGGTTAATATTGGCAAAATTAGTCTCTGCTGAATAGAACCCGAATCAGCAATGACTACAGGATCCTATTTGAGCTTCCTTTTGCCAGTACTGGTTTCAAGGGCTTGATTATAACTTGGGCCCCATGTGGCCCAGTCTCAAAGTGTTTCAAATAAATCATTGTTCAATAGAAAAATATGAATAATACCAACTTTACTTTTAACTTGTCTAGAGAAACCATAAAAGGAGAGAAGGAAATACATCCTTAATTTATACCATATTATCTTCAAAGTCTTGTTTTTCCATTTCAGCCACTCTTAGGGTGGTCTTTACAGAAATGAGCTGTCCTTCCCTATATCTCTCTCCAGCACCCTTAAATCCCAACCAATAAGTAACTCCAACCTCCAAGAAACAAAAACTCTCCCATATCCAGCTCCCTTTCTTCTCTTGTTGTTTCCTGTCTCTTCCATTCCTTCTGCTCTCCAGTTCTCTTTCCATTTCCCTGATTCTGCATCATACAAGTACAGAGAGCAGAGCTAAATGAGCAAAGACCACTTTTTAAAAAGCCTGTAGGAAAGAAAGGTATGCTGTGAACACACACAATAATGACTTTTGTCTCTGAGAGTTTCCTAGGTGTGCTGCTGTAGGAATTATACCTACATGACTGTTATACTTTGATGTAGTGCTATACAAATAATATATTTACTTTTTTCCCCTTGGACAGGTAGCACTAATCAGAAGCCATCTAAAGGACTTAAACTCAACACTTGATTAATTGGACCTAATAGAAATCTACAGAATACTCCACCCATAAACCACAAGACATACATTCTTTTTATCTGCACACAGAACATATTTCAAGATTGACCACATGCTCAGCCATAAAGCAAGTCTCAATAAATTCAAAATAATTGAAATCATACCAACCATACTCTCAGAACATAGTGGAATAAAAGTAGAATTCAATATCAAGAACATCTCTCAAAACCACACATGGAAATTAAACAACTTGCTCCTGAATGACTTTTGGATAAACAACAAAATTAAGGCAGAAATAAAGAAATTCTTTGAAATAAATGAAAACAAATATACAGTACAGCAAAAATCTCTGTGATGCAGCAAAAGTAGTGTTAAGAGGAAAGTTTATGGTGCTAAATGTCTATATCAAAAAGTTAGAAATATATCAAATTAACGATCTAACATCACACCTAGAGGAACTAGAAAAACAAGAACAAACTGACCTCAAAGCTAGCAGAAGAAAGGAAATAACTAAAATCAGAGCAGAACTGAATGAAATTGAGACCCCAAAATCCATACAAAGAATCAACAAAACCAAAATTTGTTCTTTGTAAAGGTAAAGAAGATTGATAGACCACTAGCTATATTAACAAACAAAAAAAGAAAGAAGATCCAAATAAGCACAATTAGAAATGACAGAGGTGACATTATAACTAATCCCACAGAATACAAAAGCTTCTCAGAGAGTATTACGAGTACCTCTATGCATACAAACTAGAAAATCTAGAGGAAATGGATAAATTTCTGGAAATATGCAATTCCCAATATTGAATCAGGAAGAAATTGAAACACTGAACAGACCAACATTGAGTTCTGAAATGGAATCGTAATTAAAAAAACCTACCAACCAAAAAAAAGCCCTGAACCAGATGGATTCACAGTCAAATTCTACCAGATATACAAAGGAGAGCTGGTACCAATCCTAATGAAACTATTCCAAAAAATCGAGGAGGAGGGACTCCTCCCTAAATCATTCTATAAAGCCAAGATCACTCTGATACCAAAATCTGACAAAGACACAATGAAAAAAGAAAACTACAGGCCAATATTCCTGATTAACATAGACACAAAGATCCTCACAATACTAGCAAACCAAATTCAATAGCACATGAAAGAGTTAATTCACCATGATCAAGTAGACTTCATTTCTGGGATGCAAAGTTGGTTCAACATACACAAATCAATAAATATGGTTCACCACATAAACAGAATTAAAATAAAAAACCTATATGATCATCTCCATAGATGCAGAAAGAACTTCAATAAAATTCAACATCCCTTCATAATAAAATCCCTCAATAGGTGAGTCATTAAAGGAACATAACTCAATAATAAGAGCCATCTATGACACACCCACAGCCAACATCATACTGAAACAGCAAAAACGAAACATTTCCCTTGAGAACTGGAACAAGACAAGGATGACCACTGTCACCACTCCTATTCAACATAGTACTGGAAGTGCTAGCCAGAGCAATCAGGCAAGAGAAAGAAATAAGAGGCACATAAATAGAAAAAAGAAGTCAAACTATCTGTGTTTGTGGATGATACGATTCTATACCTGGAAAACCCCAAAGACTTTACCAAAAAGCTCCTGGAACTGATAAATGACTTCAGTCAAGTTTCAGGATACAAAATCAATATACAAAAACCCATAGCATTTCTATACACCAATAACATTCAAGCTGAGAACCAAATCAAGAATGCAATCCCATTTACAATAGCCAAACAAGAAAATAAAATACCTAGGAATACATCTAACCAAGGAGGTAAAAGATCTCTACAAGGAGTAACACAATACACAGCTAAAATAAATCATAAATGTCACAAACAAATGGAAAAGCATTCTATGCTCGTGGATTGGAAAAATCAATATCATCAAAATGGCCATATTGCCCAAAGCTCAGTGCTATTCCTATCAAACTACTAATGTTGTTTTTCACAGAATTGAAAAAAACTATTCTAAAATTCATATGGAACCAAAGAAGAGTCCAAATAGCCAAAGCAATCTTAAGCAGAAGAATAAAGACAGAGGCATCACTTACTTGACTTCAAACTATACTAAGGCTACCGCAACCCAGAGAGAATAATACTGGTACTAACACAGACACACAGACCAATGGAACAGAATAGTGAACCCAGAAATAAAGCTGCACACTTACAGCCACCTAACTGTCCACAAAGCTGACAAAAATAAGCAATGGAGAAAGGACTTCCTATTCAATAAATGGTACTGGGATAGCTGGCTAGCTGTATGCAGAAGAAAGAAACTAGACTCCTACCTTTCACCATATAAAAAATTAACTCAAGATGAATTAGAGATTTAAATGTAACTACATACCCACAAAAAATAAAAATAAAAATAGACAAATTTTTTTTTAAAGTTTTAAATAGAAGACCTCAAACTATAAAAATCCTACAAGAGGCCGGGCGCGGTGGCTCATGCATGTAATCCCAGTGCTTTGGGAGGCTGAGGTGGGAGGATCACAGGGTCAGGAGCTTGAGACCAGTCTGGCCAATGTGGTGAAACCCCACCTCCACTAAAAATACAAAAATTACCCAGGCGTGGTGGCGGGCGCCTGTAGTCCCAGCTACTTGGGAGGCTGAGGCAGGAGAATCACTTGAACCCGGGAGGCGGAGGTTGCAGTGAGCCGAGATCATGCCACTGAACTCCAGCCTGGGCAACAGAGAGAGACTCCGTCTCAAAAAAAAAAAAAAAAAAAAAAAAGAATCCTAGAAGAAATCCTAGAAACACTCTGGATATTGGATATGGAAAGAATGTATGATTAAGTTCTGCACAGCAATTGCAACAAACCAAAAACTGACAAATGGAACCTAATTAAAGAACTTCTGCACAGCAAAAGAAACAACAAACAAGGTAAACAGACAACATACAGAATAGCAGAAAATATTTACAAACTATGCATCTAACAAAGGCCTAATATTTATGGAGCTTAAACAATTGAGCAAGCAAAAAATAAATGACCCGATTAAAAAGGGGCAAAAGACATGAACAGATACTTCTAAAAAGAAGACATGCAAGCAGCTAACAAACATATTAAAAAATGCTCGATGCTCGATATCACTAATCATCAGAGAAATGCAAATCAAAACCACAGTAAGATACCATCTTACATCAGTCGGAATGGCTATTATTAAAACGTCAAGAAACAACAGATGTTGGTGAGGCTGTGGAGAAAAGGGAACACTTACACACACTATTTGTGAGAATGTAAATTGATTCATCCACCATGCAAAGTGGCTTGAAGATTTCCCAAGGAACTTAAAACAGAACTACCATTGGACTCGGCAATCCCATTACTGGGTATATATCTAAAAGAAAACAAATTGTCCTGCAGAAAGGACATGTGCACTTGTTTGTTCATCGCAGCACTATTCACAATAGCAAAGACATTGAATTAACGTAGGTACACATTCAGTGGCAGGTTGGATAAAGAAAATGTAGTATATATATATATATATATATATATACATACCATGGAATAGCATGCAGCTGTACAAAAGAACAAACTCACTCCTTTGCAGCAACATGGATGCAGCTGGAGGCTATTATACTAAGTGAATTAACCCAGGAACATAA
This sequence comes from Homo sapiens, assembly GCF_000001405.40. Lineage (NCBI taxonomy): Eukaryota > Metazoa > Chordata > Mammalia > Primates > Hominidae > Homo > Homo sapiens. The sequence goes on along the minus strand of NC_000005.10, from coordinate 74,568,211 downwards.
AAACAAACACTGCACGTTCTCACTTATAAGCGGGAGCTAAGCACTGGGTACTCCTGGACATAAAGATGGGAACAACAGACACTGCAGACCACTAGAGCAGGGAGGGAGTGGGGAAGAAAGGGTTGGAAAACTACTGGGTACTATGCTCAGTACCTGGGTGATGGGATCACTTGTATCCTAAACCTCAGCATCACACAACATACCCAGATAGCAACCCTGCACATGTACCCACTGGATCTAAAATAAAAGCTGGAAAAAAAAAAGCATCAAAAGGCATAGGAAACCATAATGTTTGAGATCGATGACAGACCAAAATGCCTTAATAAGTCACTTGATTCAGGCCTCACTCAGCTCCAAGTCATTTCCATTTAATGGCTGCTCCGAGGCCTGTGCAAAGTTGTTCTCTGGTCTCAGTCCAGTCATTGGTGGTCAACTCTCCATGACCAATGGCCTTATTGTTTCACTGTGATGTGTTGGCTGCTGAGCTGTGTCAAATCTGCTTTCCTATTTCTCCTGTAAATATGAGCTCAGGTATTGCACTGTGGTTGTGGGGAGAAGTTTAGGAGCGGAAAGGACATTTTAAAATGTAAAATTACTATTGGCTATTGCTTGTTTTTTGCTCCAGGGGACCAGAAAAACAAGCTCAACCAGTGTCAAACTCCAAGAAGTCTATGAAGCTGCATGTTAATGGCTCAGGCTGGTTGTAATAAATTGCCAGGAACGGGGCATTTCCAGGTTGTTGTGGATTGTGAGGGAGAATGGCATTTTCACAGGCTCCTGATTATTCTGAAATGGAGTGTTTTCAGACATGCTAAGGAAACACACAACTGCACTTTCTACAGGCTAATCTTTCCACAAGAGTGTCTAGTGTTATGGCTGGAGATGTTTTGTCTTAATTGCTGTGATGGTTTTTTGATCGGTGAACTTTCTCTTTTTTCTTTTTCTCCAGTTTCATAGCCCAGTTTACTAGTTCACTTCCTATTGCACATTCACCCTTTCAAATGCAGTTTCAGATGATTGGCATTTTGTCTTGATCAAAGCTAAGAAGGATTTTGTTTGCTCTGTTTCCCAGTTACAAGTCAATGGGGTAATTTTTAGGAGATAATAGAGAACCAGCCAGATACACAGTTCTTCACTTAATTGGAGACCAGGAACCCAACTGTGTGGACCCCAGGAAGTCCCAGTGCAGGAATTATTAAAAGAATATGAATTTAGATGATAAACCCAAAACAGACTGATACAGCTTATTTCAGGGCTGGTCTATTCTTTCTGAAAGCAGAACTTCATCTAGTAACAAGTAAAAATCAAGTAAAATGCAGAGTAGATTTTTTCCATTTGTTTCTCCACTTTCATTTTCTCTGGAGTCAGTGACCTGTGGGCTCCTTTATGATCCTTGAGTTGGAGGGACCCAGGGGCCACAGTCCTGGTGCCCTCCTCCTCTCAAGAAAATCTCTCAGGTCAATAACCTTTTATTTCTGACCTTTTAACCGGCTCTAGTGGGCCATGAAAACCTAAATGCCATTTCTTTCAGATTCTTGGGAAGCTCCAAGTCTCTTGAATCCAATTCTCTAGGGGAGTTTTACACCCATATATTCAGGTCATTGATCCTGCAATAACAGCCCCAAGTCATTTGTGCAAGTCACTTCTCCAGGGAAGGAAAAGCTGCTGCTGAATAGCATCAAGGGTGATGTCACTAGATAGCTATAGTCCTCTCCAAAGTCATGAAGCTCTCATTTCTAGGCGCTGGGAGACTTGGAGAAGCATTACTAATAGGATGCAGATTGCCGTCTTGGTGGAAAAGCTTGAAAGACGGATCAACAAGACAAGTTGCTGCTTATTCTGAGATGTATTGAAATTTTTATCCAGAGATCCTGTGGGCAGCACGTGGGTCTTAAAATAAGAAAGCAGATAGCACCTGTTTTCCAATGTGCTTCTGGTGCCCACGTTTTGACTTGACATGATTTGGATAGAAACATTCCAGGCAATGACAATGGCTTGCCAGAAATATTTGAATACAACTTGAAGTTTCTGCACAAGGCTGACCTGCAAAACAGTAAGAGTAGAAGTCAAACTGGGGAAGTATGGATCTGCTCTTCTCTAAGGAACCTTGAAGGCCCACCCTAGGCAGGAGGTCTTTTCTATAAGACTTGATTAAATCACCAGTCATGTCATTTTTAGCGAATTAAGTATCCTTTTTCCAATTAGGAAACTGATATTTTACTTAAACAATTCTGGAGACCTTGGTTGAGGGTCAACCAATACCTGGACTCTAGCCCTGGCTGTGTCAGGGTTTAGCTGTACAATATTGGACTTTTAAGTTCACTTTCTCATAATTTCTGCAACTGGGCAATGGGAACATCATTATCAGCGTGCCTATTTCATAGGGCTGTTGTAGCAACCACGTAATATTATGCTCATTTTGTCCTTAGAATTTATTCAAACTTTTCTTGACAATGCCCTGGGGAAATGAGTTTCAAAAGTAGGCTACTCACCATATAAGTAATACTTCTTCACCCCTCTGCCAATTTTAGGGAGGGCGTAAGGTAGGAGGGTGGCAAAGCTTAAATTTGTGTTTTGCAGGCCTTAGTGTGAACTTGATACAGAATGTCTCTTTATCATTTTATTTATCAAGAAGGGTTATTTTTTAAAATATGAGATTTTACAGCTGAATGGCTGAAAAATAAGCTGATGAATATAAACTTTATAATTTAACAGTTACCTCCGTGTTTATAGCATCCATCGTACTTTTATTTTATTCCACACCAGGATACTGAATGAAGAGTTTAGAGTTTATGAAAACCTTATGGAAATCGTTCATCTTCCCTAATGCATGTTGGCTACCCTGCTGTGTGAGATGTGACTTCAGTTCTTTGCTTCCACTTTATAAACATAAGAGAACCAGAAAATTATTTAGTAAAGGCATTATTAGCAGGAGAGCAGTGATTTTGGCTGAATCACTGCTGGGCTTGGCAAGTTAATTTTTGCCTGCATGGTAGGTAGGTTCATATTTAGTAAATGATTTGTGGCTCTCAACAAGTGAGGGGTTATTGTTAATTTGACCAGACTGTTAAACCTCATTTCATTAAAATATGTAGTCCTCTGATTCCCTTAAATCTTTGCCTCAGGCTTTTCTTCTATGCCAAACAAAATGGTTGCTTCCGTTGTTGAAATGACTGGTAAATGCCAAAAGGATTCTCCTGCTGTAAAATGACATTGCAGTTAGATATAGTATTTTCATCTAATTTAGGTTATACTATTTCATTAAATTTCTTAAGAACTCTTTACAAATAAATCTATATTTAAATATGTCAATAATCCACACATTTTTTTGTAAAATATTAAAACAACACTGAAAATCAAAGCTCTCTTGCCAAATTGTCCCATTCTCCTTTCTCCAGTGACTCAGACCCACTTTCCCCCTTTTTTTTTTTTTTTTGAGACAGAGTCTCACTCAGTCGCCCAGGCTGAAGTGCAATGGGGCGATCTCGGCTCACTGCAACCTCCACCTCCCAGGTTCAAGCAATTCTCCTGCCTCAGCCTCCAGAGTAGCTGAGATTACAGGCACCCACCACCATGCCCAGCTGATTTTTGTATTTTTAGTAGAGACGGGATTTCACCATATTGGCCAGGCTGGTCTCGAACTCCTGACCTCAGGTGATTCACCTGCCTTGGCCTCCCAAAGTGCTGGGATTATAGGCATAAGCCACCGTGCCCAGTCTCCTTTCTTTTCTCTATGCATTTACATTTATATGTGTATATGTGCATATAAAAAAGTATATTTTGTTTTTGTTTTGGTATGTGTGTATATATTTTGGCATACATGGGGTTATATTTGCTTTTCAACTTGCTCTTTATTCCCTGAATATGTCTTAGAGATCTTTCCAAGTTTCTACCTGAGGATCTGTATCATTTTTTAAAACTACTACTTGGTATTCTAAAATATAGGAGTATAATTTATTATGGTTTCATAGACTTCTTCCAATTTTGTTTATCATTAGAAACAATACTACAATGAATATACTTACACAGGCCAAATTTATAAGTGGAATTTTTGGGTAGAAGGGTATGAAGATTTTTATTTTCTAGAACCAAGGGAAAGGTAGTAGTAAGTTACATGTGGGTTATGGTGTATCTATTTTGTTTGTGATAAAAGATATTTTGGTTTCTATTTCTATTTTCATAGTCTTTTCCTCCTAAGTCCCCTTTAGAAGCTATACCTGTCCTCATCTGTAGTTGAAGAATACGCTATTACTCAAAATAATTCTATCCCAGGAGCACATAGGTTACAAGGCCTTGGACACCAAACAATGCACAGAGACACCCAAATGAATAGTCCTTTGGAAAGAAAGCTGCTTTGCATAAAATTACCCTGGACTTGGAGAAAGCCAGAGAATGTTTTGTTCTCCCCATTATGAGTTGGCAGAGGTGGCTGAGGACAAGGCAATGGGGGAGGTAGATCATGTATATAATCTTTTCAGAAGCTAATGGGGCCTGGGTGATGAAAGGCCTAGCTTCTGGGTAGAATGAAGGCCCTACTCAGAGGACAGTGTTTTGTGGTCTCCATGCCCCTTGTATGGTTTTGTGGCCTCCGTGCCCCAGAGTGAGGCACCTAAGTCTCCTGGTGCCAGCCAAGTGGGCACTGTGGCCACAGACTTTCTCTTTGAGAAAAAAGGAATGCAATGTTAAGGTGAGTCCTTTCTCTCCTTTCCAGTGGAATATTTAAATTACGTTCATCTTTGATAAGAACATTTCTGGCAATATAGTGGGTCAGTGGAACCCATATTTCTAAGTAGAAAGCATAATAGATAAATCCAAAGCAAGATAATATGCAATTATCTATTTTTAATTATAATTATGCAGTTATCTATTTGCATAATAGATAAATCGAAAGCAAGGTTGAGAGTGTATAAGGTAAAAATGGTAAAATCAAGACAACTGATGATATATATAATTGTGGTTGGGCATGGTGGCTCATACCTGTAATCCCAGCACTTTGGGAGGCTGAGGCAGGCATATCACCTGAGGTCAGGAGTTCGAGACTGGCTTGACCAACATGGTAAAACCCTGTCTCTACAAAAAATACAAAATTAGCTGGGGATGATGGCACATGCCTGTAATCCCAGCTACTCGGGAGGCTGAGGCAGGAGAATCGCTTGAACTCGGAAGGCGAAGATTGCAGTGAGCTAAGATCGTGCCATTGCACTCCAGCCTGGGCAACAAGAGTGAGACTCCGTCTCAAAATAATAATAATAATAATAATAATAATAATAATAATAATAATAATAATAATAATAATTGTTATTATTATTATACTAGCTCACATGCATTGAACATATACCATGAACCAGGCACTGTGTATTATTGCTTCATAGCTCATTTAATCCTCCCAGCAACCTTATTATCACATTTTATAGGCAAAGAAACTTGTGCTCAGAGAGGATGCAGAACCAGATCAAGGTCACATGGCTGGTGAGTGGTGGAGTCAGGCTTTGTATCCAGAGCATAAGCTCTTAACCATTACTGTGATTATAATTCTCTACACTCTTGCCTCACGGTGTTCTTTTTAAATTTTATAATTTTAATTTTTTATTTCCATAGGTTTTTGGAGAATAGATGGTGTTTGGTTACATAAGTAAGTTCTTTAGTGGTGATTTCTGAGATTTTGGTGCACCCATCACCAAAGCAGTATATACTGTTCCCAATTTGCAGTCTTTTATCCCTCCCCCTTGTCCCACCCTTTCCCCTGAGTCCCCGGAGTCTATTGTATCATGCTTATGCCTTTGCATCGTCATAGCTTTTAGCTCCCACTTATGAGTGAAGACATATGATGTCTGGTTTTCCATTCCTGAGTTACTTCACTTAGAATAATGGTCTCCTATTGCATCCAGGTCACTGTGAATGCCATTATTTCGTTCCTTTTCATGGCTCAGGAGCATTCCGTGGTTTGTATATACCACAATTTTTCTATCCACTTGATTGATGGCCATTTGGGCTGGTTCCAAATTTTTGCAATTGCAAATTGTGCTGCTATAAAAATGCGTGTGCAAGTATGTTTTTTGTATAGTGATTTCTTTTCCTTTGGGTAGACACCCAGTAGTGGTAGCTCTACTTTTAGTTCTTTAAGGAATCTCCACACTGTTTTCCCTAGCGGTTGCACTAATTTACATTCCCACAGCAGTGTAAAAGTGTTCCCTTTTTACCACATGCCCGCAAAACATCTCTTATTTTTTGATTTTTTGATTATGGCCATTCTTGAAGGAGTGAGGTGATATCATATGGTGGTTTTGATTTGCATTTCTCTGATCATTAGTGTTGCGCATTTTTTCATATGTTTGTTGGTCATTTGTGTCTTCTTTTGAGAATTGTCTATTCTTATTTGGTGTTCTGAGAGAGAAAGTTTTTCTTTTCTCTTTTTTTGAGATGGAGTTTTGCTCTTGTCACTCAGGCTGGAGTGCAATGGCGCAATCTCGGCTCACTGCAACCTCCTTCTTCCAGGTTCAAGTGATTCCCCTGCCTCAACCTCCTGAGTAGCTGGGATTACAGGCACCCGGCACCATGCCTGCCTAATTTTTGTATTTTTAGTAGAGACAGAGTTTCACCATGTTGGCCAGGCTGGTCTTGAACTCCTGACCTCAAGTGATCCATCTGCCTCGTCCTCCCAAAATGCTGGGATTATAGGTGTGAGCCACTGAACCTGGCCGAAAGTTTTTTCTACATAGATTGTTCGTGTACCTCAAATTCCTGACTTCTTTCTCAGCAGGATGATCTGGGGTGTACCTAAAGTTCTCCAGGCTGTAAACTCAAGGGAAGGACAAACCAGCTCTGGTCAAGTAGCAGATGAATTCCTTTAGAGGAGAAAGATGATTTCCCAAGCTGTAATACCTTAATAAAAATATTCCTCAAGTCCAACCCTCTTAGCAACAACTTTATTCATCAAGCAAGCTTCTGCTATTATTATTATTATTATTATTATTGTTGTTGTTGTTTTTGAGACAGAGTCTCACTCTGTTGCCCAGGCTGTAATGTAGTGGCACGATCTCAATGATCTTGGCTCACTGCAACCTCCATCTCCTGGGTTCAAGGATTCTCGTGCCTCAGGCTCCCAAGTAGCTGGGTTTACAGGTGCATGCCACCACACATGGTTAATTTTTGTATTTTTAGTAGAAATGTGGTTTTGCCATGTTGGCCAGGCTGGTCTTGAACTCCTGGTCTCAAGTGATCTGCCCGTCTTGATCTCCCAAATTGCTGGGATTACAGGCGTGAACCACCATGCCTGGCCTCCTGCTATTATTTTGATTTTCCTGCTGGGAACAGAAGGCTCTATGAGGTTAACATGAGAAGTCTGGTCAAATGGCCATTATGTTTATTCCTAAAGTAATACACTAGAATTTTGGATTGCTGGCCAATCTCCTGTGATTTTGGTGAATATGACATAGAGAGCATTCAGAGCAAGGAGAGAAGGAGGAAAGGGGTGTAGAGGAACACACTTTTCTCCTTGACCTGAGACATAAGACGACTGGTAGCCAGAGTCTTCCTGGTCTTGAAGAGAACCTGCTGTCTATGGGCCTGGGGGCTGCTCTCTTTCCCTGGGAGCTGTTGGCCACTCTCATTCTATAGACTGGACTTGGAGAGTGACTCTGCATTCATTTACCAGCTTGTGCTTCAGTTTCATGTGTACTTCAATTGACTTCCATTTCTTTCTACCCACTACTTTGACTCCCTTTGATCTCTTACTATTCTCAGAGAACCTGAGTAATCACATATAAAAATAAAATTTCTGCTCATGGGGATGCCACATTTAGATGTGGGGGCTGTGAATGACTGACAGCTGTAGGCCATTTTAAGGGCCACAGCATCCACTGCTCATTTGTAAAAACTTACTTTCCTGCCAGTTTCCTGCCAGAACCAATGCAAATCAAAGTGTCAGTTTCTTGACTAAAATAACATTTTTTTTCCTTCTGCAAAAAGATGGAGTCAGCCAGACCCTTCTTATGCCCTTGGGGAGATGGAATAGCAGCGTGCCCTTCAACACGGCAGAAAGAGATAATTACTCCTCCTCCCAGCCCCAGCCCCTCCTGGATTCTGTGCTTGACTGTGCCCAAGACTGAGTGGAGCAGAGACCCACGCTGGCAGCCCCTGGGGGCACACGCTCCAGGTCTACATGGGAGCCTTGAACTCCGAGCAGAAGGGCTCCAGCTGCACATTATTGGAAAAGGCCAGGGCTCTGGTCAGAGTGACACAACCTCTTACTCCTCTCCTTACATTCCCATGACACCCCTCCAACACACATACACACATATGTACACATGCACACACACTCACATGTGCACACACATACATGCACACACATTCACAATACAAACAGATATACAAATACACACTCACATGCATGTGCCCCTCCACATACACACTCTCACACACCTTTGTGCACACATATATACACATGTACACATACAAACACTACTCTAAATAAGACTCAAGGCCGCATTTGTGCTGATTTTCCTTTGTACTCTAGGTAAACCTATACAACCTGACTTCATTTAGGTGCAAGGAACATAAACAGCCTGGAATTTATCTTCTTAGTTGTACCTTCAGGTTATTAAACATCTTTCAAGCAGATGCCAATGTTGAATCACATTCACCAAAAAAAAGTCAAAAAATTGAAAAACAAAAAACATATTTTTTTCAGTATGAGAAAAACTTTCTGGTTTAATTCAATTCCTTCCCCCTCGCCCCACCCTCATTTGTCACAAGTTTTATCACAAGTTCAAAAAAGAAGGCATGACTATGTTTAATCTTTCAGATGACCGTTTTCTTGTAATTCCTTCAAGCCTTAACAATTTTCCATTATGTCTTCCTTACCAAGATAAATGAAGGTGTATAACAAGCCTACAGGGCTTGAGAAGTCTGGGAGGTGAGAGAGAGTGGGGTGAGAGAAAACTAGAACCAAGCTGAACACACAGGCTAACCTAGTGCCTTGTCTTAGATTTAACAGCTGGTCACCATGATTTACAAGTCAAGATCTCATTCCTTGCATCTTATATCCCTAAGACATGAGGAATGGAAGGAATGAAAATGTCACTTATTTCTTACCTCAATGACTTATAGATTTTTAAGGAGTTTCTCTTGGACCTCAGAGCAAGTTGCCCCTGACAGATGACTTTGCTACTGTATTTGATTTCACATTCCCACTAAAGAGTGCCAAGCAAAATCTGTTACGTTTTAAATTGCCATATAATTTCTGCCCCCTTCCCTCCACTCCACCAATACGCCAAACTAAAAAATAAATCATGCCAAAGTCTTTTAACCACACTCTTTAAATTGAAACAAGCATAAGGGACATTTGTCAAGCAGACATCTGGGCCCATGGTTTAGGAAGAACTTTACCAGGTAATGTCCAATTTTCCTTGACAAATCACGGAGTCCAGCCCATTTGAGAGAGCATTCCAGGGCGATTTGAGGTGGCTACAGCGCTTCCTTTTGCATCTGATATAGACAAACGACCTGCGAGAACGCAAAGGGCTTTTAAAACGATCTAGTCATCCGCCGGGTCAATTGAATCATCAAATGTAGATGCTGCCTCCGCCATATGGTCCAAGTCCAGCTGATGCAGCTTACAGAAATAGCTTCTGAACCCAAGGTGACTGAAGATGAAAAGAGAAAAAGAAGAAAAAAATCTTGAAAATCAGGCTTAGTTCTTTCTCTCTTGTAGTTTCTGTATTGGCCAATCTGAGGAAGATATTTTCTGGAAAAAAGTAATCTCATGTCCTGCAGACAAGGAAGATGGTTATTATGAAGTCATTTTTGCTTCCTTTTTCTCTTCCTTCTCTTCTTCCCTCCTTCCCCTCCTCCTGCTCTTCCTCTTCTTGCCCCTTTCATCTCTTTCTCTCTCTATTTCTCCCTCCCACTCTCCTCCTTTCCTTCTTCCAGGACTTAGGAGGGCTTTGGTTACACAGAAGGCACCAATACTTTGTGCTCCTGCTTGATTTGGGTGAGGAGAGTGCCTGGTCAGACAGAGGCGGTGTCTGCTGGGACGGTGGCAGTAGCAGGAGCTCTGAAGGAGGTTGTCCTGCGCCGCTCTGCAGGAGAAGGACAAGCCAGAAGGGTGGGAGGAAAATTCCAGAAGACCGATCAGTCTCTTGCTGCGAAAGGAGACGAAGAAGGCTGAGAACTGAGCCATCTAAGAGGAACTTCAAGAGCTGGATTTCTGGGCCAAGAAATCCTTAAACTCCAAACAGGGCAAGTTTTCTAGGGAGACTGTGGATATAGCTTCTGAGGGGCAGCTATTCTGAACATGGAATTCAGAACCAGATAACAGCTTTGTTCCTGTTTAGAGTGTATGACCCACAGCACCTTGTGTCTGATGAGGACAGTAGTAGAATTTCATAAATTCCCCTGAAACGAATCGGTTGGCTAACATCTGGCAGGCCGTGGGGCACATGCAATTAGAAGTGAGGAAAAAAATGTTAACGTGACCCATATTTTTATGGAGTGAGAGTGGGTCTCCACCTCATTTCTAGCTTTCCTGCCCTCCTTTGAGGGCAAAGAGTGCAACATTGAATGGCTGAGAAACACAAAGATCATGCAGTAACACAAACACATTTATATTGGTTTCCTGGCCTCAAGAAAGGGGATTTCTGGGTGTCAAAGCCTGGCTTTCTTAGGGGTCTCTGAAAAAAAGAAGAAAATGCCTAGGATATTTTAAAACCTTTTAATCCTGGAAAATTTCAAACACATACACAAGTAGAGCATAGTATACTGACCCCATCTGCCCATCCTCCAGCATCAGCAGTGATTCACAGGAGCAGACAGCGCTTCATTTACTCTCCACCCCTCTCTCCCCATCCCTAACAGGATTATCTCGATGCACCTCCCAGACATCATATTATTTAATCTGTAGATACTTTACTGTGTATCTCTAAGAGCTATGACTCTTTCTTTCTCTCCTTTTTGAACATGCCCACAGTATCATTATCATGCCTTAAAAATTTCAATAATAGTTCTTTAATATCATCCACATTTCATGGATTTTTTGACTTAATTGGTTTGAGAACTTCCAGGCTGGTGGGGAGGGGCTCCCTGATGGGTCATTGGGCACCATGTCAATGCTGCTATTATGTAGCATCCATAGGTATAATTAGGCCTATGACCTTTTCAGATCCAGACAGCAACTAATGAAAATGCAGAGCAAAGGAAAAGAAAAATGTCCTGACTTAGCAGCAGCAATTCCCCTCAGGCATTGCCTTTTCCTCCTCTTATGCCATGACCAGTTACTGTTTCACAATTCTCCCATTCCATCGCTGTTCCTGTGCTGTCTGATCACTTACAAAGCAGCACAGGCTTTGATGGCATTGTGGTGTTTCAAAGACAATCTTTTTCTATTTCTAAGTGTATCACGTGGGTGCAAGCCATTGAACTCTAGACAAGTTTCAGATTGGGCTGTAATGATGGTGTGGGGTCAGTGACCAAGATTTGGGGAGAACACTAATGTTTCTTAGAGTTAAAAAGGAGACAAATGAGGACAAGGAGGCCTTTGTTTCTGACGGACCATCACTTCACCACGGAAGAAAATGGCAAGGATTGAACCCCGAGCGTAGAACTTTCTTTAGCATCTCGGGCAGGGATAACAAATCAACTGTTTGTGGCTGGAACAAAATGTTTCTTTATTTCCAGTCTTCACAAGAGAGGTGGATCATGCTGACCATTATTCGGTGTCCACATTAAGTGTTGAACTACAGCAATTACTTCAAAAGCTCTTTAGACTACTGTTTGTGGGTTCGTTTATTTTTTCCAATTTTTAGGTACAACCAACATCTAAGAACAATAATTGCCAAATGAATTGAAATGGCCCAGCAATTGCTCTGTGTTGCAGAATGTTAATTTGAAGAAAGGCCTTCGAGTCTTCTTCTATAGTTGCAGCTGTGTGCTTCAGTAGGGCTTTGTCTGTCTCCCTAATGCATTAGGAACATGATCATTATCACATTCCTGACACAGAGTGGTTCCATGTCTGTGCTATCAAGTACAGCAGGGGGGAGATAACGTTGCCTTTTGTGTCCCCATGATAGGCCCAGACATGCTCCTCGGTGGTAGCCAACTCAGTTGGCCCTCCTCAGGGACTGTCTGGCAGGGTGGGATGTGTCCCTTTTCTTTTCTGCATCAAAATGTACCTATTTGGGGTAGATTTCTTAGACCTTTGCTCTCTGTAGGTTGAATATTCATTGTGAATAATCACTTCAACACATTTAGCAGCCTTCTCCTGCTAAATATGAGGTTTGCCATTCAGTGTGATAAACCAAGACATAAGCAAGATACAGATTTTTGTGTTCAAGGAATTTAAAATCTTAGTGACAATGAGGCCTATCCACAGATAACCTAATTCAATCCGATCCAATGTCCTGTTGGTTTTATCTCTTAGATGCCACTAGGATCTGTCCATGTTTCTCCATAGCCATAACCCTCTCTGGCTCAAGCCACCATCACTGACCTGGAGGCTTGCAATGACCTGCATGTGGTCTCTGTGCATCCGTCCTTGCCTGTTTACAGTCCCACATCCTCCATATAGTGGACAAAGCCATCTTTTCAAAGTGGAAATGGTGATAAGTCTCTCCCAGGTTTAGAGGCTAAAGATTAAAATTCTTACCAAGGCTTTCAAGACCCCCCTCACTCTTTTGGCCCATTTCGTTTATCTCCACTTCAGCCTTCCTCTGTGTCCTGCAGCTTCTGGGCCATTTTTCAGCCCTCCTCACCAGGCTGCCTGCGCCACAACTCTGCCTTGCACGAGGTTCCCCTCTGCCTGGTGAACTCTTCCCTCTCATCTGCCTAATTAATTTCTAGGCATCCCTCAGCTCTCAGGTCAAACATCACTCTCCAGGGACTGTCCCAGAGGGCCAGATAGCACCCTGCTCCTCTCCTCTGCAGCAGTGAACACACTTGTCATCTGACACTTACTGTGGGGTGACTCGATGTCTGTCTCTCCATGCTCGTTGGACTGTAGTGGATGTGCAGCACAAGGACAGGGACCACTGCTTTGTTCACCATTACATCCCTCGTGCCCAACCCAGTTGCTGGTGTATGGTTTGTGGAATGGATAAATGAAACAAACACCCTAGCTCAGGGGTAGAAGTCATACTGAGAAAGATGGAACGGTGGCTGTTGAAATGGAAGGCAGAGAAGGGAGGGAATGGAGAGGTGAGAGAGACTTTGTGGTGGCAGAACTGAGGTGACTTGGAAATCACTAAAGGTAAGAACTTGAAGATGATTTTGCATTTCCAGGCTTGTTGGCTGTTTCCCCATAATGTGTTGCTCAGCACACCTGCCCCAAGAGTTAATTCATAAATGGGGAAAAGGGTTCCTTGGACAAATACATTTGAAAAGTGTTCTAGTCTAAATCTTTCTTTTGGAGCTTCACAATATAAACTATCATATTAAAGACTCTTTATGGTTATAGGAAGAAAATCTATTTGACTTGAAATAAGGAAGTCAGAGGGAAGAGCTGGTTGGGAGGTGAGGAGCACGGGGAGGAAAAGTACCTTTTCTGATCTCTTGAGTAAAAATGCCAGTGGATTTCCAAGAGGGGATGTTAAACATTGCCAATGTAGGTCTTCAGATGAGAGAACAGATATGTGAAAATACTCCTAAAACATAAAGCAGAATTTTTTATTCAGGCATGAACATGCCAGTCTTTTAAGGGAAAGGGCTTTCTGGAGATACAGTCCTTTTGCCCACAGACAAACTGTCTCGGAGGAAAGTTCAGGCATGGGAGCACATTGGGAATTTCTTAGGAATCCATAGACATTTTGATGAGACTCATACTATTTAGCAGAGTGGCATGGTCTGCTGGTTGCCTATACAAAGTGCTCTCTGTCTCTCTTTTTTATTTGTGAATTATATTATTTGGGATTGCAAATGTGTCCAGGTAAAATACTGCTTGCCCTAAATTCTCTTGTAGTTAGGGTGGCCAATTAAAGCAGACAGCAGGACTTTCTGTTAAGCTATTTAAAAAAATCTATACCAATGTCGATAGCAGCATTAGTCACAATAGACAAAAGGTGGAAATAACCCAAATCCATGACAGATGAATGGATAAACAAAATATGGTATCTATAGGCAACAGAATATTGTCCAGTTCTAAAAAGGAAGAAAATTCTGACACATGCGACAACACGGATGAACCTTGAGGTCCTCACACCAAAGTAAAATATGCCAGCCACAAAAGGACAGATATTGTATCATGCCACTTATCTGAGGTACCTAGAGTGTTCATGTTTACAGAGACAGAAGTTGGAATGATGGTTGCCAGGGGCTGGGGGGAGAGGGTGATATGGTTTGGCCATGTCCCCACCCAAATCTCCTCTTGAATTGTAGCTCACGTAATTCTCACATGTCATGGGAGGGATCCGGTGGGAGGTAATTGAATCCTGGAGGTGGGTCTTTCCTGTGCTGTTCTTGTGATAGTGAATAAGTCTCATGATATCTGATGGTTTTATAAAGGGGAGTTCCCCTACATGAATTTCCTGCCTGCTACCATGTAAGATGTGCCTTTGCTCGACCTCCTACCATGACTGTGAGGCCTCCCCAGCAATGTGCAACTGTGAGTCCATTAAACTTCTTTCCTTTATAAATTACCCAGTCTTGGGTATGTCTTTATTAGCAGCATGAGAATAGACTAATACAGAGGGGCAATAGGGAGTTAATGTTTAATGGGTACAGGATTTTAGTTTGGTATGATAAAAAAGTTCTAGAGATGGATGACGATGATGGCTACACAACAATGGAGATGTGCTTAATGCCACTGAACTGTACATCTAAAAACAGTTCACATATAAATTCTATTATGTATGTTTTACCATAATGAAAACAACAACAACAAGAGATTTAAAAATTCTTAAGTTTTTTAAAAAAGAGATTCACTTGACTAGGTGGGATGCATTTTTCTTTTTCTTCTTTCTGCCCTCATTCTAGATTTAATGACTGGTGCTCTAGCAGCCTCCTTGATCTAGAGGCAAACTTGAGTACATAAGGATGCAGTGCAAAGATAAAATAAGTCTGGATCCCTAGTGCTGCAGAAACATTATATCAGTTTGGATTTCTTAGCTCTCTTTTGTGTAGAAGAGAGAAAACTGTATCTTGTTTGAACCTCTCATTTTCGTTTTCAGTGATGTACCAGTAAACCTAATCTTAATGAGTACACTCGTTCTTTTATTTGTTGACTTATTATTTTATAAAACATGTATTGAACTCCTACTATGTTTGAGGCACTGGAGATACAAAAATGAAAAAAGGCCAGGCACAGAAGCTCATATTTGTAATCCCAGCAACTTGGGAGGCTGAGATGAGAGGATTGCTTGAGGCCATGAGTTTGAGACCAGTCTGGGCACCATAGCAGACCTCGTCAATATGAAAAATAAAAAATTTAAAAAATTGGCCTGGTGTGGTGGCATGCAACTGTAATCCCAGCTACTTGGGAGGCTGAGGGGGGAGGCTCACTTGAGGCCAAGAGTTTGAGGTTACAGTGAGCAATGATTGAATGATTGTACCACTGCATTCCAGTCTGGGTGACAGAATGAGACCTGACTCAAAGAAAAGAAAAAAAAAACAATTCTGCTCTCAAATCTCAAACCCTTGCTTTCTATAAGGAAGAGCAATAACCAAAAAGCCTAGTCAGGACCACTGATGTGATGTCCGGTTGCTTCCTCTCTGGTAAGCCGGTGAATCATACTTTGTACAGAAATCTTTTTAGATAAAGCCTCTTTGTAAAGAATTCAACACCTTAATAACTTTCAGGGGTGAGACTTTGCCAAGCTCTTGGCTACAGCACACGGCTGGGTATGAGTTGTACTATCTATGACTGGGCTAATTGTATGTTGCTGATGGCATATGTATATTTATTCAATATCAACCCACGTTTATCTGAGTCCCACTTTGTACTTGCAGTGAGCAGCAATGAACAATAGGCCTGACTGAAGCCTCAGTGATGGATCTTATTGCAAACCACAGACTTTTAAAATTCCCCATTCAGTGCAGAGTCTTCATAGAGGGAAAGAACTAAGATCCCTATTGATAACTACAGACACCGTGATGACCTCATTGTCTCTGCCTCTCTCCACCGCCAGAGTATTTCTTAAGGTCCCTGGGTAATGGTAACACTAACAGGCTTCTTTGCAGATCAGTCATTAATTTCAATTTTGAAAAGCCTTGGAAATTACATTAGAGCTCAAGGTTAGAAGAATGAAGCACTTGTACCCAAGAGTGGTTGAGAGGTAAGTGGAGAGGAATGCAGAAGCCACCTTGGGCAAGTCTCTTCTCTTCAAACTTGAGTTCCTCATTTCAGAAATAAAAGTGTTGAATGTGATATTTCAGGGTCCTTCCAGAGCTGATATTCTGTGATTTCTAGTTATTAATCTGCTTGAGTGAAATGGCTTACTGGAAGATTCGAACTTGTGCCTGTCTGGAATCCTAGAGTCCTGGGTCACAGGGTGTTCAATCATTCCTTCACTCACTCATGCATTCATCCACTGAACGTTTCTCAAGTGCCTTCCAAGTGCCTGTTCTTAGGTGCTGGAACTGTCGAGATGGATATAACACAGTTGTTACCTGAAGAAACTCAGGGTGCATCTGGTGAGGCACAAATACTTTATGAGGCAGTAAGAGTGTTAATAAAGATGAGAACACAAAGGAGGAAATACCTGTGGTAGGTGGGGAAGGTTTTCCCAAGGCAACCAAATGAGAGTCATGAGGGACCACTCATGTTAAGAATTTTTGTTCATTTTCTGGTTGATACAAGGGAGTGATCAAAAGTAGTTTCTAAAAGCATCTCACTTCCAAGGAGAGTTCAGGATAAGAAAATACCCAAGGAATTGTTCATATTCATAACTTGGTGGAATGTGACAGCAGAAATTGAAGGGGCTCCCAAGAAGATTCCATGGGCTCAACAGATAATCATTCCACTTGTCTTGCACCATTAACTTAACATAGTAACATGCTTTAACATGTCGTAGAATTCAATGTCAAATGCTCGGTTTAGGTCCTAATTTTCAATAGCGTAAAAATGCAGCGGGGTAAGACTTTGAACTTAGACCTAGGCCAAATCCCAGTCTTATGTAACCTTTGGCTGGCTTCTTTACCTGTCTGAATCCCAATTTATTTTTCCATAAGTTGAGAGCAATACTGCCTACCTTTTAGGGTTATGGGAATCAAAAAAGCTAATGAAAGTAATGTTTTTGGAATTTGTTAGTGCAATGATTCACTTGTACCTGTGATTTTTAAAACTGAAATCTCTCCCCACTAGACTGGGAATTCTGAGAGGGCAACAACTCTGCTTTTACTTCCCCTTGTACCTACAGTGCCTAGCACAGTGCCTGGCTTATGGTAACAAGTGATGATGGTGATGATAATGATGATGCTGATGTTTTCTTGTAAAACATGTTGGATGATGATGAGGGACACCCTTTCAGGGTTTCCCTCTGCAATATTTGTGAAAGGACTCAGAAGTCAGATGCAATGGCTCATTCTGTTTGTATAGGCCTTGTTTCCAGGCTCTACACAGCCATGCAAGGTGTTTCTTAGATGTCAGCTGGATCAGGCAAATTCTCATAGACTATCAGATTCACAGTGTCAGCAGGAAGGAAGTCCTGGGGCTATAGCTGGTTCATTTCCAAAGTAAGGTTCAGTCATCCATTATCATCCTTATATCCAGCCACCGGATCATTTGAGTAATACTCTCTCATTTTCTCTGGGGCCAGTCTCTGTAGGAATTTTCTAAAGCATGGAGTTTGGGAAATGTAGAATATTAAGGTCTAAGTATTCTTCTCCTACTTGGATTAAATATATTCAGATATCTTCCTCTGTCAGATTTGAAAGTTAAAGACACATCTGCATTGGACCATTTCAAAATACAAGTTTGGTGTTTTAGGCCTTATTCTCACTAGGATATGCGAAGAGAAGTGTCTTTCATAAGCGTAATTCTCTGCTTGGCAATTCGTTTCTGAACATGAAAGAAAGTGGCCCCTTCCTGTTTTCTTTCCTCTGAGATTGAACCTTTACCTATAGTTTCCTGGGACAATCTCAAGATCGTGGTGTCTTACAAAAAACATGGGCTTCAAAGTCAGACAGGTCTCAGTTCCAATTTGGGCTTTCTGACTTAACTGCAAAAATGAGGACAAGTGATTTAGACTTGCTGTGCCTCAGGTTCTTTATCTATAAAATGGAAATAATAATATATACTTCAGAGGGTTATATAAATGTCAGAAAATTGAGGACATTGTATTTGCCTTAGTTTCTCATATAGAGACTAATATACTTATTTGGAAGGAATACTTGGATAAGGATAAGCCACTTTGGGTAGAGGACGAGACCCCCAAGAGCAAGCTGAGATGCATAATATGATTGATACATTGAATTGCATTAGATAAAAAAGGAGGACTTTATTTAGCTTCTAACTTGGGGCAGGTGGGACAGAAAGGGGGCGGGAGAAACAGTGAGAGGTGGAGGGAGCTGTGTTATTTGCTGGGCTCTTTCTGCATTTCTGCAAACATCTCTCTTTCCTACCCACTTGCAAATCTGTAAATTTGATTAAACTGACCGGATTGGTGTGGAAACAAGCAAAGGGGGGCTGGTTTTCCATTTGGGTGGAAAGAAAAGGCAGCAAGTGTGAATGCAGAAACCAGATGCTGAGAGATTACTCTAAAACTCCAGGAATTCATGGAAATTGAGAGGAGGGCTTTGAATTTTCACAGCTTTTTTTAGAGTTGGAAAGTTTAAGCCAAGTTTACTAGAGCTCAAGGGACAAGGAAATCCCACCGGATAGCCAGATTCATGAGGATTTGAGTTAATGTCCCTAAACAATGTACTCCATAGTGATCACCTAATAATTGGGGGCTACTATCTTTGGCTGCAATCAAATCCAAAGTTGAGTAAAGTGTTTGACTTGAATTGTCCTTTCAATGTTGGGGGCCGAGGCTAGACCAAGAAAAGAGATGCAAAAATTAGTCACTTTCTTCATCCAGCCCTGTGCTGGGAAGTATCTGCCCCTGAGTCCAGACACTAGCGTTCTTGTTTTTGGTCTCCTGATAACTAGTTGTTGAGTTTTTGACATATCTTCTAAATCTCACCTTCAGGTTTGGTGTTTACTTTTTTTTTTTAATGAATTTCCCAACAATGATCTCAAAGGAATGTCGTTGTCAGGTTTGAATGGACAGTGGAAGTGCTTTGCCAACTATAAAGTATTATAGAAGAGTAGTGGTTAAGTGTTATCCTGGCTTCCCTGGCCACACCCTGCAAGCTGCAAAAGGACATGGACTCGCTGTCTGCTCAAGACTGTATCTCTCTGCCTAACACAAAGAAAGTACCAAAAAAGTATTTGTTGAGTGAATAAATGACAACGTACAGCACTTTTCTATTTTAAAATAACCACATGCGATAATGGACTCTCTGGCACTGTCTCTCTAGCATCTATGCTGACACTCCTGTGTTCCTCTGACTCCCCACTTCCATTTTCTCCTCTTCAGCCAATGACCTTGTCCACTGCCTTATGGAACACTTAAAAACTCGTTATTGCCATTCTTCCTCTTGAACCAACTGTACCTGCAGTTTCTATTTTTTATCCACAAACCCAAGCAATCTGGTTTCTACCCTGGCACTTGACTAAAATGATCCCCAACAGTTGATGCAAATTCACTGATTGGAAAGCCAGTGACCTCTTCTCAGACCTCATTCTCCTTCACATCTTTGCAACACGAAAGACACTCTGCTCACATCTGCTCTCTGGAAGTGTCATCCCTTGGCCGTTTGACTCTACCACCCCTGGTCTCCTCATGCCCTTCTGACCATATATGGTTGCATATCCTTGTTGGCTTTCCTCCCTTCCTCTATCCCTCCCCACCAGTGGACCAAATATGCATTCCCTGCTTACCTGGTATCCACTGGGCTCCACCCTTTCAGCCTGTCCAACACGTGCCATGCTCTGGGCACCAGCGGCTGCACCGGTGCCTTCTTGCTTAGACACCTGCTTCCCATAAGCTCCAACTCATTGCTTGATTCTTCAGCAAGGGCATTCTGTATTCTTGGTGCTTGGGATCCACCACCACCCACTGTTAGCCTGGGCTGATCTCCCCTTCATGAAGCTGGCGGGCGGGAGCGGATGTCCCTTCCTCAATCTCCCCCTTCTTGGAATCCATCACAACATCCTCTGGGATCTCTGTGCAGATGATGCACAGACCTGTTTCTCTGGCTTTCACCTTACCCTCACATAGCAGCTCTGTGGCTTCCTAGCTATTTCCACATGAAGCCCCTGCCACTCTCTCAGACCCAGCTCTACTGGAATCACATCCATTTTCTTACATAACCTGGAGTCACTTTCTTCACAATCAGTGACACCACCATTTGCCCCAATTTTTCAAGTTTGTCTTTGGTTCTGGTTTTCAATTTCACCTTTGATTCCTCCTGCTACTTCTATTTCTGCCCACTCTATTCGATTATACTAAAATAATTTGTTGCCTCTTCTCCATAATGTCCTTTACACTTTCCCGTCTTTCCATTCCCATGCCATTTACATTCCAATTCCAATTTAGTTCATCATCTCTAGTCTGAATGAATACCATATTCCCCAGCCCATCAGGAGAGGGTAAGGTTTGGTTCTACATTTGGAGTTGGGTTGTCTGGGTTTGTGCCAAGGCCTTGCTGCTTCTTACTGTATATTAAAGGGCTTGTCCTTGTCCCAAACCCCTGGCTGCAAGTGCATGGTCTGCTCCCTTTCTCTGCTGGAATCCTAATCTTCCTTTGTGGCTCAGTTTGCCTCCCCTCTTCCATGCAGCCTCCCTGACCCAGCTAGTTCACATTGCTTTCATGATCCTCTGAAACACATTGGTACCTGTGTATTAACAGTACCATGTCCTAGTTAGAAAACTTCTATCAGACCAGATTAATTCATTTAGCAAATGTTTACCAAGCTCTTTCCTAGGGACTGGGAAAATACTGTGGAACAGGACATATAAGAAAACTTATATTCTAATTGTGTGTGTGTCTGTGTGTGTGTCTATGAGAGAGAGAGGTAGTTAACAATCACATAAGTACATAAGCAATCAAGAAGGTATCTAGTGATAAGTGCTATGATGAAGATTTAACGGTGATGGACTTGAAAGTATTTGATGGTCTATTTTGGGTTAGCTGTGCAGAAAAGGATTTTCCAAAGAGGGAACATTTAAACTGGATCTGAGTCATAAGATGTGTTAGCCCTAGGAAGATCTGGGGAAGAATTTTCTAGGTAAAGAGGATAGCAAGTTGAATGCCTCAAGAATAGAACAAGCTTAGTGGTTGCCAGAAGAGAAAGAAAGCCTATTGCCTGTGGGGATGAGGAAGGGCAGGTGAGAGAGGTGGTCCCAAGGGCAGGGGAACCTCTGGTAAGGCACAGCTTGGTAGCCTCAGGTAGAAGGTTTTATTATTATTATTATTTATATTTTTGGGACACAGTTTCGCTCTTGCTGCCCAGGCTGGAGTGCAGTGGTGTGGCCTTGGCTCACTGCAACCTCTGCCTCCTGGGTTCAGGCGATTCTCCTGCCTCAGCCTCCTGAGTAGCTGGGATTACAGGCACCTGCCACCACGCCCAGCTAATTTTTGTATTTTTAGTAGAGATGGAGTTCTACAATATTGGCCAGACTGGTCTCAAACTCCTGACCTCAGGTGATCCACCCTCCTCAGCCTCCCAAAGCGTTGGGATTACAGGCATGAGCCACCATGCCTGGCCAGTAGCAGGTTTTAGATTTAAGTTAGGTGTGACAGGGAGACGTTTGAGGGTTTTAAGCCAAAGAATGATATGTTTAAACTTACTTTAAAAATATCAGTCTGTCTGCTGTGTGGGCAAACAGTGGTAGATCAACCAAGTGGAGATAGAGAGCCTAGTGAGGAGGCTATTGCAACGGTCTGAGTGAGTGATGGTGGTGAGTGCAGAGAGAGAGAGAAGGGTGCAAATTGGGGTATGTTTGGAAGACAAAGATGGTGGTCCTGGTTGACTGATTGATGTAGTTGTGGGGATGTCTTGGTCTTGGCTTGGGAAGTTGGGTGGTAAGTGTTGCTGTTTACTGAGGTCAAAGTGGCAGAAGCCTGACAGGGGCACAGGTTAAAGTGTTTTTTGATGGCCTCATAGTGACTTCATAGAGGGGGTGAGATAAACTGAGCCTTGAAGAAGGATTAGGAGAACAGTGAAAGGGATGGGTCAAGATCCTGGGAAAACCAGGGTCTGTTTTGGACATGTTAAAGTTCAAGGTGTCTACTAGGCCTCAAAGTGGGGATAGTGTCTGAAATATATATATATACACTTTTTTTTTTTTTTTTGAGAAGGAATCTCGCTCGGTCGCCCAGGCTGGAGTGCAGTGGCACGATCTCGGCTCACTGCAAGCTCTGCCTCCTGGGTTCACTCCATTCTCCTGCCTCAGCCTGCTGAGTAGCTGGGACTACAGGTGCCTGCCACCACGCCCAGCTAATTTTTTGTATTTTTAGTAGAGATAGGGTTTCACCGTGTTAGCTAGGATGGTTTCAATCTTCTGACCTTGTGTTCTGCCCGCCTCGGCCTCCCATAGTGCTGGCATTACAGGCATGAGCCACCGTGCCCGGCTTGGCGTCTGAAATATTTTTATTCACCTTTTTTATGTGCACATTTCTTGCTTTGCAACCTAGAGAGCAAGCAACTCAGGGTTAGGGATCGTGTCCAATATGTTTTGCATCTCTCACAGTGCTAGGGAAAAGCCCTATGTACAGCAGGCCTTCATTAGATTGGAATGAATGGATATATTTGATCAGCGGGAAAACTAAGGACTAAAGATGACTGAAGATGTCAAAACTAAGCCTTTTCTAATTAGCTCCAATAATTTTTTTGAAGTCAGACTTCATTGACTCTAGCAGTTTTTCAGCCCATGTTGCGAGACTTAGTATTGGGGAAGAGAGAATCCTAAAGAGCTTTGGAGTCCAAAATTCACTGCAGAGGGACTTCTGTTACAATTTTGACCCTCTACAAAACCTCAGACTACCAAACAATGGCCTTTTCTGTTCATAATTGTGCTAGGTCTATGCTTTCTGACTTGTCTTCTTGCCTGCGATAGCACCCCAGGTTCTGTTCCCTGTGGGGCTCCTCTAACACCCCTCCCCTCACTGATCTCCAGTCTCCATTGCCTGAGGAACTCTCTTTCTTTATCAAAAGCATGTCATCAGGAACCTATTTAACACCCTGCTGTGGGTTAGGGAGCTAGATATGCTCCTGGCCTCAAGATTTCTGACAACACTTTAGAATCTTTCTGCAGAAATTGTCATGGCTCACTCATTTCCATCACCATCTTCAGAGGGTTGGGGAGGTGACAGTGAGGACATCGTTCAGGCTCTGCAGCATGTGCCTGGATATGGGTGTTAACCTAAAGCAATGCACATCTCCCGGGCTGTCTGTGTTTCAGTGAAGTGGCTGAGAGAAAATGCTTGGGAGTCAGACAGCGCGGGCTCTGAGTCCTGACTAGTACTTTCTAGCTATATTTCTAAACCTCGGTTTCCTCATTTGGATCATAGGCTTTTAAAGATCTACTTTGCAATGAACAAACAGTTATCAATGAACAAATGTATGTAGGGTCACAGTGGCTGACACAGTCAGCATTCAATAAATGGTAACTTCTGCTATTATTATTATTATTATTATTATTATTTGAGACAGAGTCTTGCTCTGTCACCCACACTGGAGCACAGTTGTGCGATCTCAGCTCACTGCAACCTTCACCTTCCGAGTAGCTGGGACTACAGGCATGTGCCATCACACCCAGGTAATTTTTTGTATTTTTAGTAGAGACAGGGTTTCACCATGTTGGCCAGGCTGGTCTTGAACTCTTGGCCTCAAGTGATCCACCTGCCTCGGCCTCCCAAAGTGCTGGGATTACAGGCATGAGCCACCACACCCGGCCTCCTGCTATTAATAAAATTGGACATACCACGTAGAACACCAACAAGGGACTGAAAACAGACACAGATACAGCAAGAAAGTGCTGATAAAATCTTTTAGATATGAGAGAGGACAAAACAGAAAAAGGAAGAGTTTTTGCAAATGTAGGTGGTGAATGCACACGTGGAAACCTGAAGGCTATGTTATCAGCCTGATTCAATTCATGGGGACCTGATAAGGGAAAGGTAATATTTCCTGGAACTCACTCCATCAAGAACACAAAGATTTTATGACTTCTCTTCTTTCAGACACGCACAAAGCCAACAACACAATAGATTTTCTTTCCCAAATCCCTTCTTTAGAAAGCTTTGCGGCTAAGGACAGTATCTCTATGTAAAAATCCACTCCAGGGGGTCACTGACTGCCTCTGGGGTCAGGAAATGGCTCTCTGAAGAGCTTGCTGGGCTTTGTGGTTGGATGCCAGGGCTGAGGATTGCATTAAGTTCTTCGAATAAGCCTGTAGTTTGGCAAAAAGGCTTTCCTCCTGGGCAGCTGAATAATTTTTAGATGATCTAGCTGGCACATCGTGGAAACACGCTAATGAGTCAGGAGTGATCTGACTCCTCCCCTCACCCCACACCCCCGTTGCTCAAGGGTAGAGAATTTCCAGGGAAGCCAGTGAAAGATTTATGAGACTAATCCCGGAAATATTTCTTCCCCATCTATTCTTCTCAGCAGGGGTGCCAGCAGCCCTGGGTCTGGAGTGTGAGGGGTAGAGAGGGCAAATTAGAAGGGGACAAAAACGCTGACTTCTGCCTTCAAGTGCTAGAGAAATCGGCGACTATAGAAACCACCTAATTAGGGTTCCACTGTCAATAAAATATTCAGGTCTTTTTTTGGAATGTGCCTGCCTGCAGGCCCCACAGAGCTTCATGGATGAATTTGAGGAGGCTTGGAGCATTGTGGCTTGTGGAGCATGGAGTGGGGGAAAGCTTGTTTCAACTCTGGGCTGGGAGGAGTCTGACAAGTGAGCTCTTCTGACTCACTTTTACAGGGATGAGGGGGAGGAGGCTGCAGGGATTTAGCGGCGTAGGGCAGTGTCTCCCGTCACCCGTGAACTTCCCTCTCCACACCCTGCATGTGCTGCATCTTCTTTGGGTGGGCTGACCTCTCCATGACGTCCTGGTTTGGAGGGCTGTCCTGTCTTTCTTATAACTCCAGGCTCCTTTTATAGAAAAGCGAGGGGATGGGAGTTGGGTCACTGGAGAATATCTATAACAGGGTGCCACTCTTGGGTTAAAGAAAAGCTCCTGTGTGCCTTCAAAATATGATTTTAAAAAATATATAAAAAGGTAAAATAGAGTAAGAAAATTCAATCCTTCTGGCTCAGTTTCAGTCACGCATGGGCAAAGGGAACAGAACTATCAGGCATGATTATTTGCCACGACTTTCCCATTTTTTGTTCAGAAAAATATTTTAGTTGTAAAGGTTGGGAAAACTAGGCTATTTGAGTTTTGCCTCTTATGTCTTCCCCCACCCTGTTTTCTGTAAAGACACTGCTAGAAATGGCCAAAAAGGATGTCAACACTGGAAGAGGCTTCAGGCGCCAGCAGAGCCTGCTGGTGAGTAATGAAGAGAGGCATAAACCACAGGAAAGGCCCTTCTCTTGATTAACACGGATTCCATTCAGCATCACCTTTCCTCCTTGTTTCAGGTAGCCTCAGTCCTAAGATGGAGAGACCTTCTAGTCTCTGAGGAGAATGGTCCTGGGCTAACCTTTGGTTTGGACTTCCCTCAGACCCTCAATGGCTGCTGCCACCTGGGCACAAGGATGGCCTTCCTACCTGGGTCCTCTACCCAAAGCTTTCCAAACACAGATGTACTGTTTAATAGGGAAAAGGGACCTTTTTTTTTTGAGACAGGGTCTTGCTTTGTCACCCAGGCTGAAGTGCCCCAGTACAATCACGACTTACTGCAGCCTCAACCTCCCATCTCAAGCAATCCTCCCATCTCAGCCTCCTGAGTAGCTAGGACCACAGGTGTGCACCACCATGCTTGGCTAATTTTTAAATTTTTTGTGGAGATGAGGTCTCCCTATGTTGCCCAGGCTCGTCTTGAATTCCTGGACTCAAATGATTCTCCCACCGCAGCCTCCCAAAGTGTTACGATTGCAGGCATGAGCCACTTCCCATCTGGGGACTTTTAATAATATAATTTTGTGTAACTACTGACAGTCTTGGTAGCAGAAAGGGCATCCATGCCATTTCCCTTCCAGAAATTTCCAAATGGTCTCTGAAGATCTCAGAAGTAAGACTCTCATTTTTGCTAACAAAAGGAGGTTACCTAGCTAACTCCACCACTGCATTAATGTGTACATTTTGAGTACATCATTTTTTTTGGTACATCTTTTTTGAGTACAACTTAGTACACTAAGTTATAAATGGACTGGACTTGAAAATATTTAAATTTTAACCAAGCATCTAAGAAAACTCCAATTTGACTACAGGCTTCAGGTCCTTACCATATATGTCCCAGATTTCTGGGACAGTCCCAATTCCAAATATTCAGTATTGTGGTCAGACAAGTATTTTGGTTCAGGAAGTATGAAGTCTGCCTCAGGGAAAGAGGTAGGTGGCTGTCATAGCCCTAGTTTGCATTTTATAGTTTGCTTATATGGAGAGCAGATCTTGGGCAGCCTTCCAAAACACCAGCATCTGAATTATCTGTTTAAAATTACGAAAAACACCAAGTCATCCAATGTCAGGACTATTTTCAGTTTCCTGTCACTATATTCAACCTGAGCCCAATAGATTGTGTAATCTATTTAATAAACAATTTCTCCCTACCTGGCTAGCCCCAGAGATGAACAATTGTCACTAATCCAGGAAAGATTCCATTCAACATGTATTCACTCATAGCCCTGGGTTCCGTATGAGGTGAGGTATGTTACAGCAAAATTCTTCTCCTTTCAAAACCAGAAATAATAATAATTAATAAGCTTCTGATAATGGTTCATCCCACATTGTCAATTTATCTTTTGGAAGAAGATCAAAATGAATTAACCATAGAGAAGTGAAGCCAAACGGCACAGTTTCAAGATTTGACTGTGAGAACAAAACTTTTAATTAGGAGTTTTGAATTCTTCTCATGAGATCTGCAGGATTCCAGACCTTATCAACACTTGGGAAAATCCAGTGGATTTTTTTTTTTTTAAATAACCCCATGTTCTTTGCTAACAGGAAACAGAAAAAGACTTTTTTTTTTTTAATTTGGAATTGGTTCTGTTGTAAATTAGGATGACACTACTAAACAGTTTCAGATATAAATTACTTTCAATGATTTTTTTTTCCCTTTCATCCAGAACTGGAGCTTGTATTTCCTGTTGATAAAAGAAAAAAAAAAAAGGCACTGTATTTACCAACCTCCCTGATCCAGCCAATCCCTCTGGCCTCTGTCTTTCAAATGAATGTGGAATTTGCTTGAATCTGAGGAAGTTTAGAAGCGGAGCTCCAGACCACCCACTTTCAGGATCTATAAGATGGTGCTGGAGTTAGGCTGAGCTGAGGCACTAATGCAAGCTCATGGGTTAGACCAGAGGTTCTCTTGACTCCATCAGAAAAAGTAGTTTGCAAATATCTTCTTGCTAGTGTCCTCCAGTGGAGGGGCTGACTCCAGGGCCCCTGGCTGCTGACACAGGTTGAATCAATCTACTTGCATGTGTGGAGGAGCCTCTTTTTATACACAAAATGTATTTAGGTGTCTTCATTTTTTATAAAGTGGGATAAGAATGCCGAACATCCTTCCATCCATTACCTATTATGTCTTTCTACTAGGAAAACTGCCTTGAAGTCAGGGTTGCTTCGCATTTTCTGGTGAAGCACTAGTGCTGATTTTACCAAGTCCTAGAATCATAGAATATTCAGCCTGGATCCTTGTGAGTTCTTTTATTTGACGGGTGTGGCGACCATGGTCTAGAGCGCTATGAGGACTTTCCTAAAGTAATAGTGCTACTACTTATTTATTTGCTAATTTATTCATGCAACAATTTTTTCACATCTGCTATCTTCTGTCCTTAAAGAGCTTACAGTGTGTTCTGGAAGATTGCCGATAAGAAAATAAACATTACAGCCAGGCACTGTGGCTCATGCCTGTAATCCCAGTACTTTGGAAGGCCAAGGTGGGAGGATTACCTGAGGTCAGGACTTCAAGACCAGCCTGGCCAACACGGTGAAACCCTGTCTCTGCTAAAAATATAAAAATTAGCTGGGCGTTGTGGCGGGCACCTGTAATTCCAGCTACTCAGCTACTCAGGAGAATCGCTTGAACCTGGGAGGCAGAGGTTGCAGTGAGCCGAGACCGTGGCATTGCACTCCAACCTGGGCAATAGAGCAAGACTCTATCTCAAAAAAAAAAAAAAAAAAGAAAAAAAAGAAAGAAACATTACAAATGGTGATATATTTCATGAATGAAACAGATAGGCTGCTCTTGTAGAGAAAGAACAGGTGAGTGGTGGGAAGGGCCTCTTGGGTAGGGTTGCCAGGTTACGTCTTTGGGAGATGCGGTTTTAGGCAGTGGGAAGAGGAAATTGGGGGTGTGCTGAGAGTACGTTGCTGATAGAAGGAGGCAGGGGAGTTATGGTAAAGAAATGAAGACAACCTCAGGCCTTGATTCTCTGGCAGAAATCCTTTTCAGATTTCAAATGAATATCACTAGATCTTGAATGACCAGTAAGGTTTATTATTAGATATCATTCTAAACTGCTCTTTTTTTCTTTCATCTATCACAGTGGAAATAATATAAAGGCTACACCAAGTGAGGTTTTAGATAAAAAACTTATTCCATTACATTCTGATATAGAGAAGAGATGACGTTTACACCACCAGGCTTGCTGGGTTCTAATAGAGATAAATAAGCTCTGAGTACAAGATATGCACAAGGATAACTCAACACAGCCCAACTCCTGATTGCCCCTCCTCAGCTAGAAATGGACTTGCCTTTGGCTGGGTGTGGTGGCTCACACCAGTAATTCCAGCACTTTGGGAGACCTAGGCGGGCAGATTGCTTGAGGTCAGGAGTTCAAGACCAGCCTAGCCAACGTGGGAAAACCCTGTCTCTACTAAAAATACAAAAATTAGCAGGGTATGGTGGCATGCACCTGTAATCCCAGCTACTCGGGAGGCTAAGCCATGAGAATTGCTTGAACCCAGGAGGCAGAGGCTGCAGTGAGCTGAGAACGCACCACTGCACTCCAGCATGGGTGACAGAGTGAGACTCTGTCTCAAAAAAAAAAAAAAAAAAAGAAATGGACTTGCCTTCCATGTGGCTCTAGGTCTCCCCAATGGCACTTAGAACAATCTAGTTTTTCTGCATCCATCTGTCCTCTATGGTGTCTTGTAAGTTCCTTGAGGGCAGGGATGAGTTGAACTCATTCACCAGCAAACCCATCACCCAGCATATTGCCATGCTCATGAAGACTGCTCAATGAATGGTTGAATGGTTGATATAGAAATACTTAATCTTTAGGAAGATGTGATGCTGGAAAAACAGGGCCATTTTTCCCTTTTATGGCTTTTGCACAGTGCTTGTTATAGGGAACCCACAATTATTACTGTTCTTACCAATAACTGAAAAAAGGCTGTTAGAGGATCCTTGCTTAGTTCCTTTGATGAGGCCATTGGCTCAGTGACAAGAATATTACTGAGGATGGAGAACCAAACATTGAGCTGTTTAGCAGAACTTGCAGCAGAGCTATCATTGCATCATTCTGCTGAGATGTGAAGTAATGTCTGAGCCTTCGGTTCCCACTGTAGGGCAGCTCAGCCTGTGCTCCCAGTTCGGACAGTGACATAAACCCTGCATCCTGTCTCCTGACCCTTGCTCTAGAGGCTCCAGGTCAGTCCCACAAGAGGCAACTTGGCAGCCAGGCCCATTAGGAAGTACATGCAGCCCCAGGAGGTTCTCACAAGTATAGATCAACACTGTGTTTGCCATGGAAAGTTTGGAGGAAAGACTGTACGCCACTCAGTGAAATCCTTTCCTCTAATTCTCTGCTCCTGTCCTGCTTGCAAGCAAAGGAGAACAGCACAAGGAAATTGGGAACTGCATTGTTCTGAGGCCATCTACCCAAATGAAAAACAATGTAAATATTTCACACAAATCCCAGGTCAAATTCCTGTATATACCAAAGCAGAGAAATTTCTCTGAAATGATGGTCGTGGAGAGTAGTACCAATGATGAGAGAAGTTAGGAGTAGAACCCAGAGCCAGTCTGTCCCTGCGTGATGGGTACCGGGGGAGATCCCTCCTACTGTACCACCGTTCTGCAGTCACACTACTTCCTCATTAGAAAAACGCTTTCTCAGTGGCAGGGGAAGGGTTTAAACGCTCCAGAATCTGAGCTGACAATGGGATGTTGTTGCAGGTCAGAAGTGAGAGATAAAAACAAAGATAATAAAAAGGATCAATGCCCCTAATTTGTTGATTGGCTCTCTGCCCCAGCTAAACACTCAGCCAACACCCAGGGAAACTGGGCCACAGTTAACTGGGCATTTGGGCCAGAGGCACTAAGAGGTGTTTATTATTTAGTAGTGGATTCCTGGCTGGGCACGGTGGCTCACGCCTGTATTCCCAGCACTTTGGGAGGCAGAGGTGGGCAGATTGACTGAGGTCAGGAGTTCGAGACCAGTCTGGCCAACATGGTGAAACCCCGTCTCTACTAAAAATACAAAAAATTTAGCTGGACATGGTGGCCTGTGCCTGTAATCCCAGCTACTCGGGAGGCTGGGGCAGGGGAATTGCTTGAACCAGGGAGGCGGAGGTTGCAGTGAGCTGAGATCACGCCACTGCACTCCAGCCTGGGTGACAAGAGTGAAACTCTGTCTCAAAAAAAAAAAAAAAAAAAAAAAAAGGTGGATTCCTGAGAAGTCCAGTGTGGTGCTGCTTGACTGTTGTCCTAGCTACTTGGGAGGCTGAGGGAGTATCCCTTGAGCCCAGGAGTTTGAGTCCAGCCTAGGTGACATAGATTCTGTCTCTAAAAAAATTTTTTTTTAAATTGTTGGATTCCTATGTCCATAAGGAAGACTTCAGGAATGACAAGCTTGCCTCCTAATTTGGCTCCTCCTGAAGATACAGTATGACCTGCTTTACTTTGGGTTTAACATCCTATAATTACTGTCAGATGAAGAGAGACAAAGATTCACTGTATTTCTTACTAGTTTCTTTTTTCTTTATTTTTACCTAAAACATAAGCTGAAAAGCAGCAGAAAAAGAAAGACCCAGTACTTCAGACTAGCAGTGGGGCAAAACCCCCACATTTAAAAAGAAATACTAGTTTATTATGTTTGGGGTTGGAATCACCAAGAGACCAATTAACACCTTATTTTTAGGATTAGCCATTCTGGTATTTGCAGATAGTTTCTTAAACAGGACTGTTTGGAGTTCACACTGTAGGAGTAAGTGAAGTGTTGATAAAAGAGATTCCAGAACAAATAAAGATTTCTACAGTAAAAGCTGGGGAGGTGTGTAGGGCTCCAGTCTTTGGGTTCACAGCTTGGCTCTACATTCATTGCTGGAGGAATCCAAGCCTCACAAAAGACCGCTTTTAAAGAAAAACTCTATTTTTCTTAGAAGAACTAGGTAAGTCTAGTTTTTCTCTGAAGTTTGTTTTGTTACGTGTCTCTGTTACCACCATCCATGCAGTTCTGGGGGCCTGCATTTCCCAGGATTTGTAGCTTTCGGCTGAATTGAAAGTTTCTAGCTTGGGAATCAAATCTTTGTTGTTCTTGCTTGCAACTCGTTGTTATTTTAAATTGCTTGCATAATTGCCAAGGTAATTTGCATTTAGAAGAGATTGACTGCATTTTCTTTACCCATCCTTTGCTGTATTCGTTTGGTAAGCTTTTAAAGAATAAGTTTTGTAACGGGGAAGGTGGAGGTCAGATATTGAGGGTCAATTTGGTGTCTCACTCAGAACCTGCCTCTCTGCAGCATTAATGTGGTTTCTCTATGCTGTACTTTCCCACTGCCATCTCCTGGGGAAATAAGGCGGGGGGCTTCTTTCGAAGAATCTATAAAGATTAGATTAATTACTGGCCCACAATCCCATTATGTGAACTCACAGAGCCAAAGAACATTAAAGCTGGCAGAGAATAATTTAACCTTATTTTATAGATGAGGAAACTTGGGCCCAGAGAGGAAAAATAATCCCCCTACTTCTCCCACAGTCTCAAAGCTAATTACCAGCAGAACTGGAACAGAAACCAGGTCTTTTGATTTCTAGATTAGGATTCAACAAGTATTTAACTCATTAATTAGAATTTTCCTAGTTCCAACCTGGATGTCTTTCAGAATGGGTGGCTCAATTTTTATGTTTGCTGTTAAGATTCCCTCAGGGCTGCCTGGCTAATTTTATTACTATTTTGATTTTACTCAGTCAACATTTCAGAAATTTGCAGTCTTCCCATCATCTGTGTCAGAACTATCTGTTAAAAATGCAAATCTCTAGCCTTTTCCAATCTTCAGAATCCGAGTCTCTTAGAGTGCCCCCAGGATCTGCATTTTAATAAGCTTCCTTGGAAGAGTCCAAGGCACTTGAGAACAATTTTACTTGGCTCAAAGTCAAGTAAGTTAATACATTTTGTCGATTTAAAATGTTAACGTTTTGGAAATCAGGTGGCACCTTCTCATCAATGGTCAAGTAGGAAAAAAGTTGTTTTTTACATAAATGTTGTATCTGATAATCAATAGCGACTTAGGAGTTGAGGCCATGTTAAATTTCTCTTTTAAATCCTTTAGTTACTAAAAAGCAAAAACTTAAATTTGTATCTGAATTCAATTTCATGGCATTTGATTCTTTAGTGCTTAAGTTCTTCTTTAGTAGCAAAGAAAAAATATTGGGAAATTTTATTTTTTCAGGCCATGGGCAGCCTTTACTGAACCGTTATCTCCACAACTCAAGTCCTGTTCTACAGATTTTTCAAGACTGTTCATTATAAGACTCTGCCTTCTATTTTATAGTTTTTACTTTCTGAGATTACCTCTAAATTTTCATGCATATTTATTGTAAAATTTCTAACAAAATGTAGAATGATTAACTATCTCTATATTCCTGAAAGGGTTAAGGAACTTACCATGCATTTTCTATTCATTGAATGCCACTCCCATAGTATTGCTATCTAGGTTTTTAGATTTACCTTTTAAAAACACACATTAGTTACTTAAAGTAAATAGTTAATCATATTTATCAATGATTTCTCAATTTTGGGGCTTAGCATGTGAGTGATAACACACTCAGTCTTTTTTCTTGAAAATGATTTATTTTACTCTGCTGTGAATGATAGTTTACCTGGGTATAGAAGCCTTGGTTGATAATTGGTTTTCCTCAAGGCTGTGAGAAGATTATTCTGCTGTTTTCTGGCACCCATTGTAGATGAGAGTTAGTCTAATTGTCTTTTCCTTGCAGGGCAGCTGTCTTTTTGCTTTGGAAGCTTTCAAGATTATCTCTCTGCCTTCAATGTTCAGTAGTTTCACTGAAAAATGTTTCCTGTTATAGGTTCGTTACTATGTATTCTTTTTGGCACTTGGTGTATGTAACCTTTTCTTCTGAGAACATATATCATTTTCTTCCATCTGAAAAGTTTATAGTATCTCTTTGACTATTGATTCACAGATATTTTCCCCTATTTTATTCTTGAACTCCTATTAGACATATGTTAGATCTTCTCAATATGTCTTCCATGTCTCTGAATTGCTATTTCATGTTTTTTCCCCTTCCTTAACTCTTTATTGCTCATTCTGGGTAAGCTCCTCTATATAACCTTCTAATTTATTAATTCTCCGTCTTGTTATACCCAAGACAGAGTTAATCCTGTCTATTGAGTTTTTTACTCAAATACTATGGTTTTTATTACCAGAATTTCCAACTTGTCCCTTTTAATATCAACCTGCTCTTGTTTCATTTTTTAGTTATTTTCGTTCACAATTTACTATTCATTTTTATGAATATTCCTCCTTTCTTTT
This sequence comes from Homo sapiens, assembly GCF_000001405.40. NCBI lineage: Eukaryota > Metazoa > Chordata > Mammalia > Primates > Hominidae > Homo > Homo sapiens. The sequence continues at coordinate 74,534,287 of NC_000005.10, read as the reverse complement.
TCTCCTTGATGGTTCTAACAATCCCTATTTTATTTTATTTTTATTTTTCTGAGACAGGGTCTTATTCCAGTTGCCCAGGTCAGTGTGCAGTGATGCAATCTTGGCTCACTGCAGCCTCAACTTCCCTGGCTCAAGTGATTCTCCCACCTCACCCTGTTGAGTAGCTGGGACTACAGGTGCATGTCACCACACCTGGCTAATTTTTTTGTATTTTTAGTAGAGATGGGGTTTTGCCACGTTGCCCAGGCCACAATCCCTATAGTAAATTCACTTTCAGATTCTATTACAGGCATATCTCAGAGACACTGTGGGTTCATTTTCAGTACAATGCAATAAAGCAAATGTCACAATAAAGTGAGTCGCACAAATTTTTTGGTTTCCCAGTGCATATAGAAGTCATGTTTATACTATTCTATAGTCTAAGTATGCAACAGCGTTATGTCTAAAAATGTACGTCTCTTAATGAAAAAATACTTAATTGCTAAAAATGCTAACAATCATCTGAGCCTTCAGCAAGTTGTAATCTTTTTGCTGGTGGAGGGTCTTGCTTTGATGTTGATGGTGGCCGACTGATTAGGGTGTTGGTTGCTGAAGATTGGGAGGTCTGTGGCCATTTCTTAAAGTAAGACAACAATGAAATTTGCAGCATCAATTGACTCTTTCACAGAAGATTATTCTGTAGCATATGATGCTATTTGATAGCATTTTACTCACAGTAGAATTTCTTGCAAACTTGGAGTCAATTCTCTAACTTTCCCACTGCTTTATCAACTAAGTTTATGTAATACTCTAAATCCTTTGCTGTCATTTCAACAATGTTCACAGCATCTTCACCAGGTCTAGCAGATTCCATCTCAAGAAACTACTTATTTGATCATCTGTAAGAAGAAGCAACTCCTCATTCTTTCATGTTTGATCATGAGATTGTAGCAATTCAGTCACATCTTCAGGCTCCACTTCTAATTCTAGTTGTTTTGCTATTTCCACCACATCTGCAGTTACTTCCTCCACTGAAGTCCTGAACCCCTCAAAGTCATCCATGAGGGTTGGAATCAACTTATTCCAATATCTTGTTAATGTTGATATTTTGACCTCCTCCCATGAATCACAAATGTTCTTACTGGTATCTGGAATAGTGAATCTTTTTTAGAAGATTTTCAATTTACTTTGCTCACATCTATGAGAGGAATCACTATCTATGACAGCTATAGCTTCATAAAATGTGTTTCTTAAATGGTAAGACTTGAAAGTTGAAATTACTTCTTAATTCATGGGTTGCAGAATAGATATTGTGTTAGCAGGCATGAAAACATTAATATCCTTGTTCATCTTGATCGGAGCTCTTAGATGACTAAGTACACTGACAATAAGCCCTAATATTTTGAAAGAAATCTTTTTTTTTTTTTTTCTGAGAAGCAGGTCTCAACTGTGGGCTTAAAATATTCAGTAAACCATACTATAAACAGATGTGCTGTTTCCCAGGCTTTGTTGTTTCACTTACAGAGCACAGGCAGAGTACATTCATCATAATTCATAAGGGGTCTAGGATTTTCAAATGGCAGATGAGCATTGGTTTCAACTTAAAGACACCATCTGCGTTAGTGCCTAACAAGGAAGTCAGCTTGTCCTCTGAAGCTTTGAAGCCAGGCATTGACTTCTCCTCTCCAGCTAGGAAAGTCCTAGATAGCATCTTCTTCCAATAGAAGGCTGTTTCATCTCCACTGAAAATCTGTTGTTCAGTGTAGCCACCTTCATCAATGATCTTAGCTAGATCTTCTGGGTAACTTGCTGCAGCTTTTATATCAGCACTTGCTGCGTCACCTTACACTTTTATATTACGGAGATGGCTTCTTTTCTTAAACCTCATGAACCAACCTCTGTTGGTTTCAAAGTTTTCTTGTGCAGTTCCTCACTTCTCAGCCTTCATAGAATGGCTTAAGTGAATATTGTGGCTGGTATGATTTTCTATCCAGACACTCAAACTTTTTCTATATTAGCAATAAGGCTGTTTTGCTTTCTTATCATTTGTGTGTTTACTGGAGTAGCACTTCTAATTTCCTTCAATAACTTTTCCTTTGTATTCACAATTTGACTAATCATTTGGCCTAGCTTTCAGTCTGTTTCAACTTTCAACATGCCTTCCTCACTAAGCTTAATCATTTATGGCTTTTGATTTAACATGAGAGTTGCGGGACTTTTCCTTTTACTTGAACACTTAGAGGCCTTTATAGAGTTATTAATTGGCCTAATTTCAATATTGTTCTGTGTCAAGGAGTAGGGAGGCCTGAGGAGGAGAGAGATGGGAAAATGGCCGGTTGGTGGAGCAGTCAGAACGTATACAACATTTACCAACTAAATTCATTGTCGTATGTGTGTGTGACTTGTGGCACTTGAAAATAATTACAATAGTAATATCAAAGATTGCTGATCACAGATCATCATAACAGATTAATAACAATGAAAAGTTCGAAATATTGTGAGAATTTTCAAACTATGACAGAGACATAAAGTTAGCACATGCTTTTGGAAAACTGGCATGATAGACTTGCTTGAAGCAGGATTGCCACAAACCTTCAATTTGTGAAAAACAAAGTGTCTGCAAAGAGCAATGTAATAAAACGAGGTATGCCTGTATTTCCATTTCTTCTGGAATGAATGTATCCCAAATATTGATTTTCTTGGCTCCCTTTCTTAATGTTAGTTTTCTTTAATTGTTTTAGAATTTTAACTTGTGTGATGTACATTTCAAGTGGCATCACACACACTTTCTCTCTTCTTGCTATACCTTTCCCTCCCTGCTTGGTCACAGGGCCCCAGTCCACAACTTGGTTTTATGTTGGTGGCCCTGAACTTTTATCTTACGATGATATTCAGATATTACAGATTTAGTCACTGAATCAGGAGGCAGGTTGGCCCAAGTCTTGGTCATACCTGCTTGTTCCTACTTTTCTAGATGCACATTTATATAAGCCCTAACCTTAGGTAACAGCTGCACCTTTTTTTAGGGCAGAAGTTCCTCACCGCATTTAGGTTCAAGCAATAAGCCTGGATCCAGGCACCAACCACCTAGGGCCCTTTTACTCCCAATACTGCAGAGGAGTTATCTTGCCTATCTGTGTGTGTCTCCAGAGCCCACAAGCTCACAGCTTTAGTAACTACTGTGTTATATTTCTGGTCTGTTTCTAGCACATAGATATTTATTTTTCTTTATGTATGTATGGGCATGTGGTTTACTTTTTTTAAAACTTTCTTTTAAATTCGTTCTTAAAATATTTTATTTATAATTGCTAAGTGTTTGGAGTGCAGGTAGCGACTTCAAAGCATGAGCTTACAATGTCATTTTGATCTGCAGAGGCAGGCTCTGGGGATGAAAATAGCAGCAGTTCCTATGATGCCATCTTTGAGACATCTACCATTACCGCTACTGCTATGTTGATATTGTCCTTTGTTTCCCATCTATCAAGCATTATTCTCCTAAAAATGGCTCTGTGTCTGACAAAGCCCACTCAACATAGATTAATTCTCTCTTAAATGACTTTATTAAGCTCATTAATGATTCACTTAGCAACCCCTTTTGTAATAAATTTGCAATATTCTCTAAAGAAATCGATCTGGAGAAAAGCCAGAGTGATTTAGGAAGGAACATGGTTTAAAAATGAGTGAGTCATTCTCAAAAGCACACAACATGGCTGTAGAAATATTTTAATATGTTTATATCTTCCACAGATTAAACTAAGATCCTTTGCCAATAAAAAGACAAACAATAGAAAATTCCTACAGATTAAGAATACCAACCAAGATTTCAGTGAACTTACTTGCTTCAGCTCTGGGAGAACAGTTATGACATGGTGCTGAATTACATCAGTGAGGAACTAGAGGTGAGACTGGGATACAGGGGAATTTGGGTTTAGAATCCCCTTAGCAATGCAGTATGCAAATCATGAAACAGCATAAAGACACATGAATTATGCAAGAATATATAAGGGGTTTCCAGAGAAACATCAATTTCCATTATTAAAAATGGTTTGGTAAAGCAGTCCAAAAAATCATTTTTGGCAGGTCACTATTTTTAAGTGAGTTATTTGAAGTTCATCTACATTTTTTTCCCAGCGTTACACTTGGTGGTTAGGACCCCTTGTTACAAGGGGCCATATTAACACATAATTGTGGAAATGGACAAAGAAACAATTTTAATTCATATGGTAAGAGACAGGATAAAGATATGCAGGTGAGGGGTTCCCTAACACAGTCTATGAAGGTCAGAGAAGACTTCCTAGAGGAGGTAATGTCAGAGCTAACCTTTCGTGGAAAAATAACCATGCATCAGGCAAAATGGGGTGGTGGTGGCAGGTAAGAGTAAGGGGAGTTGCAGTATTTCAAGTATGGAGAAAAATAGGGTCATGACATACATGATTATTACTTTTCAGATGACCAGCATCTGCACCCTCTTCCTTTTTTATGTTAACATGATGATTTTATTTTTTAAATTTTTATTATTAATATACAATATTTGCACATATTTATGGGATACATGTGATATTTTGTTAAATGCATAGAGGGTGTAATGATCAAATCTGGGCTTTCTATCACCTTGAGCATTTATCATACCTATGTGTTGGGGACATTTCAAGACCTCTCGTATAGCTATTTTAAGATAATACAATACATTGTTGCTAACTATAGTTATGTTACTCTGCTATGGAACATTAGAATTTTTTCCTTCTGTATAACTATATGCTTGTACCCACGAACCAACCTCTCTTCATCCTCCCACCTCCAACCCTTCCCAGTTTACCCCCTTCCTTATATTGCACCGACTTCCTTTGGAGAATTACCTCTTCCTGTACCTGTCCTCCATAGTTGTATTATTGGCAGGAGGTAATGTAGGGGTCGCTTCCTTCTACTAGGGAGTTGAATGAATCACATTCTCCTTTAGCTGACCTCGGTACAACCATGGTACGAAGCTGCGGTGTACCGCTCAGATGCTTTTTGCTGAAACTTTGTTCCTGATCCAAGGCTGGACCGAAGCCTGGGAGGAAATTCATTGCAAGGTGGCAGGCCTGCTGGACTGTTCCTATTAGAACATTCTTGCTATACTTTCCTCCCAAGTGTCCACTGTTCCTGCCTTTTCCCAAACTTCAACCCTCAAATCATTTCAGTAAATTTCATTTTGTTTTTAAATGGTGAAACTATTTCATTTTGGGAGACAGCAAGAAGTTCAGCATGGGTGGAGCACAGCACATGCATAGTGGTAGGAGGAGGTCGTTGAGAGGCTAGAGAGATGGGTGGACTAGAAAGTGTCTTTTTTTTTTTTTTCCTGAGATGGAGTTTTGCTCTTGTTGCCCAGGCTGGAGTGCAACGGTACAATCTCAGCTCACTGCAACCTCCACCTCTTGGGTTCAAGCTATCCTCCTGCTTCAGCCTCCTAAGTAGCTGGGATTACAGATATGTGCCACCGTGCCCAGCTAATTTTGTATTTTTAGTAGAGACAGATTTCACTATGTTGGTCAGGCTGGTCTTGAACTCCTGACCTCAGTTGATCCACCCGCCTCAGCCTCCCAAAGTGCTGGGTTTACAGGCGTGAGCCACTGCACCTGGCCTAGAAAGTGTCTTATATGACATCAGAAGCATCCCAACTTTATTCCCTAGGCATTGGAAAGCCTCTGAATGATTTTAAGCATGAACAGATTAATATTATTTTTGTGGCAGCTCCATGGTGAACTATTTGGAAAAGGGTGGGAGAGAGGACAAGATTCAAAGGAGGGAGAGGGTACCTAGAGAAGATGCAGTAATCTAGGCAAGAAGGGATGATGGCTTGAGTTTCCAGGAGCTGGACTACTCAGTAGATGGACTATTCATGAGGAAGGGTGAAATGTGAGCCCTTGCTGTCAGGTATGGAGAGCTAAAAGAACAATGGATCCATACCAGAGATAAGGAGTATAGAGAGAGGGGCAGGAGTGTGTGTGTGTATGTTAGCTGGAGGGCTCAGCTTTGGTTCCAGTTCCTAACTTTGGACAAGCAACGGCTCTTCTGCTGCTGCAGCAGTGAGGAAACATCTGTCTACCAACTAAGATGCTGACTAACGTGGTCCAGGCTGGTGATTCCACCTGGGCAGGCCTGGTCTGAAAGGTGGGCCTGGAGCCTAGTGGAGAGAGACAAGCTGGGCATGGTGGGCCGTGGTTTGGTGAGAGTTCCAAGAAGTTCAGACATAAGAGGCCAGGCCTCCTGCCAATATAAGTGCTGTTGCCTCTGCTCACTCCTTTATCCCTCTGGTGGCCCCCAGGGCTGGTCTGTCTTGTTCCCTTTCCCCCTCCCCACACCTGTTGCCTCCTGCAAGATTTCCATCTTTCAGTGACGCACTGAAAAGTTCCTCTGACAGTGGAGAGAATGGTTTTGGTTTAGAATTGAACTGGGGTCCACACAACAAGTGTTTGGCTTCCTTGGTGGCAGAAGTAGGACTAGGAAACAGAAGTAACATCTGGTTCAAGATTGTTTATTGAGTTGATTGGTGCCAAGGTAGTTTAAGGCACCAGACCGTGTGACCATACTTTGCCTACTTTTACGGAGCTCACAGCCTGAGATTTCTTTACATTCTGGCAAAGTAGTTACTGGTAAAACTCAGTTTTGCAGAACATGGCATTCTAGAAGCAAAGGGAAAAATTACAGTTCCAAGGGAGAACTTTCATTCTATTGGGGAAAAGTCTATGGGGAAAAAGAACAACTTCCCTTTTCTTCTTCCTCATTTCCTTGGAAGTAGAAAAGAGGTACTCAAAATGCTCAGACCACCTCATCTCTGTACTTTACCATAAAATGCTTTGATTCCAGGACATCATTTCATGTCAGCTTTGGCTTATGGATCTAGGAAGAACATGGGGTCGTTGTAGACAGGAAAGGGCAGATCCCAAAGATAATTTTAAAGCAGGGCAATCTAGTTTTTAACATGAGGTGTGTTTTCTCCAACCTTATTTTTCTTTGGACTTCTCATCACAAATGATAATATGCTTATCATTTTGAATGATATTTGCTTATCACTTATATCTTCTCCTGGATTAAGAACTTCTTGAAGACATGACCTTGGTTTTACTCACTTTCTTACATTGTAGGGCCTCATGCAGAGCCTAGCACCCAATTAAAAAAGCTCAGTAAGTGATTGTGAAAAAGATGTGAATGATTTTCAGAAACTTCCTTATTCTTCATGTTTCCCTCCCTGCCTCCCCTTTCTAGAAGGCCCTCACCTATTCAAACTTAAGGATAAGGGAAGCGGAGGAGAGCATATTCAGGGATCTAACACTTCCCTACAGGAATCTGTATCCCTTACCTAGTTCTGACTTCTCCGTACCAGGAAAAGAATCTATTATTCAGTGAAGCCTCTGAAACTTATTAACATTAAGGTCCTTAATGACTGGTAACGGCATGCTTCCTTATCAAAACAAACCCTTTTATTGATAATATAAGGCTAAACCTTGATTTTTTTCTCTCTTTTTTCTGAATCTCCCCAATTTCTCTTTCTTTCTGATCACCTCTGTATCACTTTCCAATCACCTACTCACAAAGAGATTGAATAATTTTCAGCCTCTCTTGGTTTTTAGTAAACTCTCATTTGGGGTTATTTTAAGAGACAAGCAATGGTCTGAATGTATATTAAGAAGTCTAAGAAGATAGGACAGTCTCTAAATTAATTCATCTTTTAAATAAAAGAAAGCAGCAAGTCTTCTAAGGGACAAAAGAGAGGGAAAAAAGTCTAGGCTTATGCACCTGTAGCAGGCCCAGCCAATGTGTAGCTATGCTGTTGCAGAATCTTAGAATCACTAGTGTGTGCTGTACTTTGATGTTCACCTAGCTTTTGTGTGTGCTTTATTTCCCTTTCTAATTTCTCCTTAGAATCTTAGCAAAATTCTTTTGAAAAGCCCACCATATGTCAGCTGAACCAAAAGAGGGAGAAGAAAGGGAGCTTTGTGTACATTTAGATGAGAAAACAAGACTTGTGGTAAGAGTCTGATATAGCCCAGGGCTGGGATTTCTAATTTTGGGGGGTGCCAGACTCCTTTGAGAATCTTATGAAAACTACGGACTCCTTTCTTAAAAGAATGTACATATGCACAAAAGTTTGTGTCCAGTTTTAGGGAGCCAGAAGGCTCTGTAGATCCCAAGTAAAGAACCCCTCTCTTGGCAGGAGGAGAAACTGTGGGTGAAAGCTGATATTGGTTGAGGCCCTCATTCCTTCCAACCTGAATCAGTTCTTTTCTGAGATAATTTTTGTCTTGTCCCTTGGATTATTTTATTCCATCAAGATCACTGTGATTAATAGGTTACATTTATTATTTGTTAGCATGTGATCTCACTTAATCCTGCCAACAACCTCATGAGGTAATTCTATTATTTGCATTTTGTAGATGAACCTGAGATTTATCAAGGTTCAGGAACTTGTCCTCAGGTCCGACAGCAATTAATTCAAATCCAGCCCATGCCCTTAATCCCTTTGCTAAACTCGTCCATATTTTTTGTGTTCTGTTGTTTTTAAGGATGAGATTCCTTCACACATCTCAATGATAAAGAACACCAAGATGGTCCCCAGTTTTACAACCATGTACAGATGCATCCATTTCTATGAATGTCATATTCTTAACAGAGCAAGCTGTTTTCAGAATGTTCAACTGCCATTCTTTTTGACATTCTGGGCAAACCCAGCCCTGTAGGGACTCTTTTTCCAATAAGTGCTTGTCAGAGGCAAAGAAGATGATATTGTTCTCATTAGAGGACAACTGATGTCCTTCATTTCCATAACTATTATTTGAGCACCTACTGTAAGCCAAGGCCCTATGTTGGTACCTCAGTAGATCTCTCTGCTTATTGCTGACAACTCAGTGGGGGAATGGACACTGCTTAGGCAAATGTTGACCAGAATTGGTATATTTCAGACCAAAACTTCTGCAGAGTAATGGTTCAGGAGACTTAAAGTTTTCCTCCTAAATAACACGAATGGAGTGATCAGAACTTGAAGGGGAGAAGTTTATATTGCTATTGGAATGTAACCCTCATTAAGGAACAAAGAAAGATGAACTGGAGAGGGGCCTGGGCTTGAGCTTCCCTTATGGTTTTCCCATAAATTCACCATTATAGCTGGGAAAGCTATCAGCAGCCACAGCGTATTAGCCCATTTTCACGTGCTGATAAAGACATACCAGAGACTGGGCAATTTACAAAAGAAAGAGATTTAATGGACTTACAGTTCCATGTGCCTGGGGAGGCCTCACAATCACGGCAGAAGGCAAGGAGGAGCAAGTCACATCTTACATGGATAGCAGTAGGCAAAGAGAGTTCATGCAGGGAAATTCCCCTTTTTAAAACCATCAGATCTTGTGGGATTTATTTACTGTCATAGGAACAGCACAGGAAAGACCAGCATGAGAAGAACAGCATGGGGTCCTTCTGACAACATGTGGGAATTCAAGATGAGATTTGGGTGGGGACACAGCCAAACCATATCATTCCACCCCTTACCCCTCCCAAATCTCATGTCCTCACATTTCAAAACCAATGATGCCTTACCAACAGTCCCCTAAAGTCTTAACACATTTTAGCATTAACTCAAAAGTCCACAGTCTAAAGTCTCATCCAAGACAAGGCAAGTCCCTTTCACCTATGAGCCTATAAAATCAAAAGCAAGTTAGTTACTTTCTAGATACAGGGCGGGTACAGGCATTGGGTAAACACAACCATTCCAAATGGGAGAAATTGGCCAAAACAAAGGGGCTCAGGCCCATGCAAGTCCAAAATCTAGCAGGGCAGTCAAATCTTAAAGCTCCAAAATGATCTTCTTTGACTCCATGTGTCACATCCAGGTCAGGCTGATACAAGAGGTGGGCTCCCATGGCATTGGGCAGCTCTGCCATGTGGCTTTGCAGGGTATAACCTCCCTCCTGGCTACTTTCACAGGCTGGACTGGTGTTGAGTGTCTGTGGCTTTTCCAGGCACACAGTGCAAGCTGTCCGTGGATCTACCATTCTGGGGTCTGGAGGTTGGTGGCCCTCTTCTCACAGCTCCACTAGGCAGTGTCCCAGTAGCAACTCTCTGTGGGGGCTCTGACCCCACATTTCTCTTCCACACTGTCCTGGCAGAGGTTCTCCATGAGGGCCCTGCCCCTGCAGCAAACTTCTGTCTGGACATCCAGGCATTTCTATATATCTTCTGAAATCTAGGCGGAGGTTCCCAAACCCCAATTCTTGACTTCTGTGCACTTGTAGGCTCAACACCACATGGCAGCTGCTAGGGCTTGAGGCTTGCACCCTCTGAAGCCATGGTTCGAGTTCTACGTTGGCCCCTTTCAGCAATGCTGGAGTGGCTGGGAAGCAGGGCACCAAGTCCCTAGGTTGCACACAGCAGACGGACCCTGGGACCAGCCCATGAAACCATTTTTTCCTCCTAAACCTCCAGGCCTGTGATGGGAGGGGCTGCTGCAAAGGTCACTGACATGCCCTGGAGACATTTTCCCCATTGTCTTGGTGATTAACATTCTGCTCCTCATTACTTATGCAGATTTCTGTAGCTGGCTTGAATTTCTCCTCAGAAAATGGGATTTTCTTTTCTATTGCATTGTCACGCTGCAAATTTTCCAAACTTTTATGCTCTGTTTCCCTTTTAAAACTGAATGCCTTTAACAGCACCCAAGTCACATTTTGAATGCTTTGCTGCTTAGAAATTTCTTCTGCCAGATACTCTAAATCATCTCTCTTAAGTTCAAAGTTCCACAGACCTCTAGGGCAGGGGCAAAATTCTGCCAGTCTCTCTTTGCTAAAACATAACAAGAGTCACCTTTGCTCCAGTTCCCAACAAGTTCCTCATCTCCATCTGAGATCACCTCAGCCTGGATTTCATTGTCCATATCATTATCAGCATTTTGGTCAAAGCCATTCAACAAGTCTCTAGGGAGTTCCAAACTTTCCCTCATTTTCCTGTCTTCTTCTGAGCCCTCCAAACTGTTCCCACCTCTGCCTGTTACCCAGTTCCAAAGTCGCTTCCACATTTTCAGGTATCTTTTCAGCAATGCCCCACTCTATTGGTGTCAATTTACTATATTAGTCTGTTTTCACACTGCTGATAAAGACATACCCAAGACTGGGCAATTTACAAAAGAGAGAGGTTTAATGGATTTACAGTTCCATGTGGCTGGAGAGGCCTCACAATCATGGCAGAAGGCAAGGAGGAGCAAGTCACGTCCTACGTGGATGGCAGCAGGCAAAGAGAGGCCTTGTGCAGGGAAACTCCCTGTTTTAAAACCATCAGATCTTGTCAGACTTATTCACTATAATGAGAACAACACAGAAAAATGTGCCCCCATGATTCAGTTACCTCCCACTGGGTCACTCCCACAACATGTGAGAATTCAAGATGAGATTTTGGTGGGGACACAGCCAAACCATATCACATGGTGTGGCTGAATAGGACAGGTACACACCCACTTTGCAGTGTGGGCCATTAACAACTGTGGGGCATGCCATTTTATTGATAATTGTATTACACAATATAGAATTGTAAGATTTAACAGGTAAAAGGGCGATGTTAAGAATGTGTTGTGCCAGGTGTGGTGGCTGATGCCTGTAATCCCAGCACTTTAGGAGACCAAAGTAGGTGGATTGCTTGAGCCAGACAGACCAGGCTGGCCAACATGGCAAAAACTCTGTTTTTACAAAAAATACACAAAATTAGCCAGACATGGTGGTGCACGCATGTAATCCCAACTACTTGGGTTGAGCGGGGAAGATTGATTGAGCCTGGGAGGTGGAGGCTGCAGTGAGCTGAAATTGCATCACTGCATTCCAACCTGGGCAACAGGAGTGAGACTCTGTCTCAAACAATACAAACAACAACAACAAACCAGAATGAGTTGTGTAGAAGATTTTAGATTTCATTCTAGGCCAGGGCTCACCAGGTAGGATTCCTCACTTTCCTCACCTTTCCCATTTTCCAAATCCTAAGTGTGACAAAGACACATAGCACACCCTCCAGCCTTTTAGAACACACTACACACCTCTTGCACAGGGGAGAACAGGCCTGCCCTCATTGTTCTTTTAAAACAAATAATTCTTATAAGATGTTGCATCATGTCAAATATAAACACAGGAATTGTCTTGGTGCACACAAAGCACATCTGAAGAAGTGGCTTTGATGAATTGTTTTTGTTTGAAAAGTTAATACATATTTCCAGGGAGAATGAGCTATTCTAAATAGGATATTTTCTTTCATTCATACACAGTCACAAAATTCAGCAAAACTCCATGTAGGTGGTATTCATGCCATGTCACAAATGCACAAAAAGCAGGATCTTCTCCACAAATGCAGATGTTGCCTTCACTCTTCCTAGCTGACATTTGTTTTTACAGTGGTGAGAGTCAAGGATAGTGCCACCTCTCCCTGTGAACATCCTTCCCCACGAAGCTCAGGAGCCTGTGCCATTTAAATATATGTCTTGTGCCCTGAGAGTTAATGCTGGCGGTACCTTTAGGTGCAGTTATTTCCTCACTAGCTCAGAAAAACCAGAATGTAGCTTTTTCAAATAGGCAGAATGGAGCTTTTGAAAATGCAAATGTGTGTGTGCGCTTGAGACAGAGGATGGCTTATAATTAATGAATTTTGTGTATTGCTTTTTGTGTGTGGGGGGGTCAGCTCAATAAAAAACACATTGCCTTTTTTTTGTCAGTGACAGATATTCTTATCAGAAACAAGGCTCTTATCGTACTAGTTTCCCTCTGACAGAAGAACAAGGGACTGCTGTGCATGGTGCTGATGGGGAGTGCAGAACAGACACTGGGAGTGGCCAGGGGTTTCTTTAAAGACCATCTGAAAACATTGGCATATTTATTGGAATAGTCATTAAGAAGTATTTTACTTAATACTGCAGTGTGAGGTCCACTATAGGGTTAAAGTGGGGATTCCTCACTGTGGTCTGTAGTTTTTAAGGGGTAAACTTGCCAACTCTTTAGAAGAGACTGAACACCCATCACCTACTTTGTAGATGGTAAATTTAAAAAAAAAAAGCAAAAGAAACACATTTCTTTCCATGGACTTTCTGAACTTATTCATTTTTAACATAAATTTAGTATCCTCCATGAACATTCAAGAAACAATGCCAGCTGGGCACAGTGGCTCATGCCTGTAATCCCAGCACTTTGGGGACGCCAAGGCAGGCGGATTGCCTGAGGTCAGGAGTTTGAGATCAGCCTGGGAAATATGTTGAAACCCCGTCTCTAAAACACAAAAAACAAAAAATTAGCTAAAAACACAAAAAATTAGCCAGGCATGGCAGTGCACACCTGTAATCTCAGCTACTCAGGAGGCTGAGGCAGGAGAATCTCTTGAACCTGGGAGGCAGAGGTTGCAGTGAACCAAGATTGTGCCACTGCACTCCAGCCTAGGAGATAGAGCAAGACTCTGTCTCAAACGAAACAAAACAAAACAAAACAAAAAGAAACAATGCAGAAAACACTAAGTAGAAGTTTAGGGGCTCAAAAAGAGACCTCATCTCACTGAAGTAAAGGCTGAAGAGCAAGGGCCCTCTCTGTGGGGTGTGTATGTGGTGAGCAGGGGTCATGTTTCTGAGACCCTTTCTGAGCAGTTGCCTTTGTGAAATTCTTTTACCTGGTGACTAGTTTGAGGACAGTCATTGAAAAATTTAGGGCTTCTAAACAGATTCCAAAATTGACGTTGATGTTTTACTTTCTGGAATAAAAATAATTCTAGAAGGTTCTTTTTCCTGAAGGTGTAGACACATGGAAGCTCTCTGAAATGAGTTTAATTAAGGAATTAGAAGTATCCTTTGGTATGCTGAGCAGTCTGCCCAATTTTCATTTATAATGAAACCTACCTAGTTGTGTGACTTGGCCCAGCTACTTTTATTTCTCTGTGCCTCAGTGTTCTCATCTGTAAAATGGAGATGCTAATAGTATCTACTTCGTGGAATTCTGAGGATCAGATGAATTGGTGGCTATAAAGCTTGTGGCACGTAAGAAGTACATAGTTAATGCTATGTGTTAGCCCTTCTTCTTCTTCCTTCTCCTCTTCCTCCTCCTCCTGCCCCCCACCCCCACCCTTCACCTACCCATCTTCCCTACCTCTAAGCAATTATTGTCACCAGATCATGTGATCACACTGATCTTCTAGCCCGAAATAGTCTCATAATTTTCCAAAAGAAAAATTCCCTTGAAAACAGAATAACCAAAAGAAGACAGAGAAAGAACTCACGTGTAAGATTCTCCTTTAGTCTTGCTTTTCTTCAGGTCTTCTCTCCAATCTCACAAGCCTAAGGGCCAGGGCTTGTTTTCCTTGCTTTGGCCAAGGAGGTTAGCCTGGTCTGGGGAGCCTGGTCTGGAGGAAGGAGCACTGGTCCCAGAGCCTTGTTCTGGTCTTTGTTCTGTTTTACCTCTGTGCAGGGTTGCGCAAGTCATTCCACCTCCCTGAGACTCGGTTCCCTCCAGTACAAATGAGAAGATTGGACTAATCGATCTTTAGGCCTCTTCACAGTTTGGACAGCCTGGGGTTTCAGCCCCCTTTGAACCTGCAAACTGCATGTATAATTAAATATCTCCTGACTGGAAATGTCCTCTGAGCTCAGGATGGGCAATATCTAAGATTCGGGGTGTCAGTGCATTTCAGCCCTATTAACGCCTGTATTTAGGATGGGAGCTTCGTCTGTCCCAGGGCTGTGGTCATCATTCACCACCGGGAATCTATAATGACTGTGAGCCATTCCCTTTTTCTCTCCTGACCCTGACCCCAACTTCTTGGGACTTCCCCTTAGGAACAAAGCAAGAAGTGCTCAGATGAAGGCGCTGTGCTATGATGAGCAAGGCCACAGAACACTGTGACTTGGCAGAGCCGGCACGGTCAGTCAGGGAGAGTGTCACTGAAGAAAGTAAATCCATCAGCTCCCCTTATTACTATGTAAATGAATTTATCGTGACTGGGGGGCGGGGCAAGGACAGGGAGGCCTCCTGGAGTCCCAAGGGCTTCAGCCCTTCTGATTTGCTGGGAGAGCTGCAAACAGGAAGACAGCCCAGGACCACACCTATGTTTGAGAGCAGCTCCAGGGGCAGCTCTGCAGGGAGTGTGGCATGCCCTGGGGGTGTCGTCATCATTGCCATCTTAGCACTAAGTGTTTCACTGGACTCAGTCTTTCCAGCAGTGTCCTGAGAAGAGTGTCCTAAGTATGGGGTGGGACAGGGTGGGCACTGGAGAAGAGGAAGGGTTTTTTTTTTTTTTTTTTTGAGATGGAGTCTCATTCTGTTGCCCAGGCTGGAGTACAATGCCATGATCTCGGCTCACTGCAACCTCCGCCTCCCGGGTTCAAACAATTCTCCTGTCTCAGCCTCCTCAGTAGCTGGGATTACAGGTGCATACCACCACGCCCGACAAATTTTGGTATTTTTAGTAGAGATGGGGTTTCACCATATTGGTCAGGCTGGTCTCAAACTCTTGACCTCAGGTGATCCACCCACCTCGGCCTCTCAAAGTGTTGGGATTACAGGCATGAGCCACTGCGCCCAGCTAGGAAGGGGTGATTTTGGAACAGAAGTAGCATGGAGGGTAGAAAAACCATGAGGCAATGGTAGAAAAACCATGAGGGTAGAAAAACCTGGGGAGGGGAGATGCTGTTGGCAGGAGCTGATGCGGAGGCAGAGACAGATGGACATCCTGCTAAGATGGCAGTTTCTACATTGAAGTAATCAATGCCTGTGATTAGGCCTGAAGGAGTGCTTTCCGGGAGTGCTGGAGCTGTTCGTGTCCCTGGAGCTCGGGGCCCTGGCAGGGGTTTGCTCACGGTGGCTGCTCTTGCGCTCTCACATTTCTGTCTTCCTGCCCTGGCTCATGGATCTCCACGTGCCCACACCACCCCCCTCCCAACCCAGTTCTGATCATAGTTTTAGCTTGTAAGTTTGCTCAGAGACAGTTTAATTTCATTTCTTCTTACAGGCAAGGAACCTGAGGTCCAGAGATGTGAAGAGAGGTGGCTGATGTCACACAGCAGGGCAGGACTGGAACCCACGTCTATGACCACTGATTCAGTGCCAAAGGGAGAGAAGGGGGAAGGGGATTCAAATTTATTTAGAGCTTTTCTGTCCTCAGCAGAGAGAGCTCTAGTTACTTGTATATCAGCTATTTCATTCAATGTTACTCTGTGGGGTAGGTATTATCATCCCACTTTACACATGAGGGAGTTGAGATGTTGGAGAGGCAAATTAATTTGTGCTGACAAATTGTGAACCCTCATCAGATTCCAAGCCCCATCTTTGGGACCTTCACACTCATGTTCTTTCCTCTGTGCCTTGTAATACAAATGTCCAGCATTTCCATTACTCATGCAGCTGGTGAATCAAACCAACATTAAGCCTGTCCCTGGCTCTTCTCCCATCAAAACATGGCTGATCTATGCTCCATTCATTTTCCATCCTTGGGAGGTCATGAGTTTCAAACAAATTATTTGGCTTACACAGTACAGTACTGAAGTGAAATTTTGTCTTTTGTCCCTTCCAGGTATCCTAAGCAAGGGGTGTCTTCTGTCCCCAGGAGTTACTTGTCAATATTTTTGGCTGTACAATGATTGTGTGGTGGTACTGGCAATTAATATCCTGGGATTAAGGAGGCTGAACATCTTTTAATACTCTAGACAGTACTATACAATGAAAAAATATCCTAATCAGAATGTCAGTTGCACCCTGTCTGAAAAACATGGTACTTCTTTAAAATGAACGTGTCTTCCCAAAGACTGTGTTTCATTGCAGGAATTTGGGACAGAGGTAAGCCCTCTGGCTTTTGGTCTGGAGATCCTTGCTGCAGTAGGACATAGTAGATGACTGCATAGTGTTCAGAGAAGTCTGGCTCTGCTTAAATGCATCCTGTATAACGTTCCTACGTTCTCTAAGCTTCATTTCCCTATGTGTTAAATGGGGATAATTATAGCATCTGCCATACAAGGATTGTTGTATTGTTTTAATAAGTCACTATGTATGGAGGGCTTACAATAGTGCCTGGTATAATTAATCAATAGATGTTGGCTTCAATCCTATATATAATGTAATGCATTATACAGAATCATTAGGACTCCTTTGTAAAATGCTCAGTTATGTGTATTAACACTTTGAAATTCCAGGCCAGGCGTGGTGGCTCATGCCTGTAATCCCAGCACTTTGGGAGGCCGAGGAGTATAGCTCATTTGAGGTCAGGATTTTGAGACCAGCCTGGCCAACATGGTGAAACCCTGCCTCTACTAAAAACACAAAAAAATTAGCTGGGCATGGTGGCACATGCCTGTAATCCCAGCTACTCAGGAGGCTGAGGCAGGAGAATTGCTTGAACCTGGGAGACAGAGGTTGCAGTCAGCCGAGATTGTGTCACTGCACTCTAGCCTGGGCAACAGAGTGAGACTCTGTCTCAAAAAAAACAAAAACAAGAACAACAACAAAAAACACACACAAAAAAACAAAAAAGACTTTGAAATTCCTATTGTTTCTTTAAATTTGGAGTAAAAGAACCTCCCAAATTTTAGTATTCTTAAAATATCCACCAGCTATTGGAGAATAAGGGTTCTAGTAGAAGTTGAAGTGTTACAACTATATCAAATTTAAAAAAACCAGATACACCTATGAACATTTTCCCAGGCTTGAGTGATGCCTCTGGGAGTGAGTTGTCTCTTCTTATCTGGATCCTGGGATGGACACTGGTGTCCCTGGGGTAATCCATCTGCGCTCATGTCACATGCTATGGCTAGGAATAACCAGGAAATACTGGAGTGAGGATTCACACTGGCTCTTTTACATTTTCCCAAGGAGGAGGAGGAAAAGAAAGAGGAGGAGGAGGAGGATGGTTATAGTGGTTCTTACAAATCCCTCAGCTGGATGGCTGGATTTAGGGCTGGGCATTTGTGCTTTCAAGAGCCAGGTCATTCTAAAGGAATGTGAGAAGTGCATCTCTGAGGACAGAGATTAAACAGTGGGAAAATAGATAAGTGATCTGGGGGTCTGTCGACTAATTGCTAGCTAAAAGTTAACATTTCACTAGCTCCTGCTGAGAAGGTAATGGCCAGGCTTCACACATGGAGTTTTATTATGAGAAGAGAGAGTAGCAAGTGTGGGAAGATGAATTTATCATCCCTGCACACACACCACCTCAAAACACACCTGTTTTTTTCTTAAACAGCTCCTTGTTTAGCATTCTTACAAAAGGCATGATAATGTTGGAGGATCAATGTAACATACTGTAAGTGATAAGAAGTCCTAAATGTCCTAAATTTATTAAAGGCCTGTTGTGTCCTGGAAGCTGTACTAAAGCCTATGGAAGATGCAAAGAAGAACAAGGAGTGAGCCTTGGCCTCAAGAGATTTACAATATATTAAAACACCTAAGACACCAAATACGAGTGCTTTTCAGAGTGGTTCTTAGAATCACAGGTCTGTTACAAAAGGAGATTCTTAAGATCCAAAGCAGATGGGACCTAGGAATCTGCCTTTAAAACAAGCCCTCCAGGTAATTCTGATCTACCCTGTGGTTTGAGTAGCATTGGCCCAGAGCAAATGTAGGCTCTAAGCCTGGGGTATAAAGGCTTCAATTCTGTGTTATATAAGCAGTGTAGCCATATCTTGTAGGAGAGCATCAAGGCATATTTGAAAGAAGTGTGCAGCCTATAGGCCTCAAGATGAGAAATATGTGGCAGGTGTGTTTGCAAAGTGGGGGAATTAGCATTGGGAGGGAAAGAATAGCATGACCTTCGTGGTGACCAGTGGAATAAATAAATATAATCCCAATGTTTATGGAACGTCTTGTTGAGTTACTGATGTATTCATCATTAGGGTTTAAACCTAATGCTTTTTAGTGTGCTGTCAGATCAGGAGGGAAATCCAGAGGCTTGCTTCTCCACAAATATTTATCAATGGATGTTTTGGGAATTAAAACATGCCAGGAAATAGGGGCAAAGTACACAAGTGCCTGTCTTTGTGTGGGTAGGTTGTGTAGATTGGGATATTCACTGGATGGAATAGTTGGTGACCTGTATTTATTTGGGGTATTCCTGTTTGTGATGTTGAAGGCTAATTCCTAGGAGAAGAAACTGTGAAATTTGCAAAGAAGAATTTATAGAGGGCCAGTGAGCAGACAGAGGAATGATTGTGTTGGGAACAGGAGGCAGCTTGGGAAGCTCAGGAGTTGTTCTATTCCCTGGCTGTCTCCCCGGAGGACTTTCTGTGGCAGAATCCAGGGCATGTTGTCCAGCCTGGGATCAAGAGGCTAGGAAGGAGGTGTAGGAGTGTAAAGCCTAGAAGTGGACCTATGGCCGAGCAGAATGGTCCCTGCTTTCTGTGACTAAGGCAGCTCAGAGAGTGCTCAATTTAAGCCTGGAGTGGAAGTAGATGAACTTGCTGGAAAGGAGCATGATCCTCTGGTGGGGCTGCGGCAGAGTGGAAACGTGAGGACATGGAAGGAAACTGGTTCATGCTGAAAGCGCAAGTCCCGTTAACTGAATTGCAGAGAACAGTGTCTGTTAGCCTAACCTTGAACCCTGAGATGTTCCTCCACTGCTTTTATGTGACTAGCCATGGGAAAAAGGAGAAATAGAGTCGTAGGCTGGGAGAGTGATAGACTGGGGTGGAAATCTTTGGACAAATCCATTTCTTATTCTCTAGGTAGTAATGGGCCATGAGTTGAGGAGTCAATAGCAAGAACTCATAGGGGAAGACTTTGGTATGTGTTTGGGATTGTGCCTTTGGGAGTTTTTAAAATCCTGAGATGAGGGAACAGACTACTGTGAAGGCATGATGGATCCTGTGAACTGAACTTTTTACTCTGTCCTTGGGACAGTTATAAATTGAATGTTATCCTGGCTGGAAAACAAAGGACACTTAGTTTGCCCCTTTCCTGGCCCCTGATTGGGCACTTTGGCTCAAGGTAGACTGCACTATTTTTGTTTAGTAGCTTCTCCAGGCTGTTCTTTTTGTTACTGTAATAACTAGTTAAAGGTTGTGAAGCATGTTCTCCGACCTGTGTTATAACTCTTGATCCATCTGCAGGGCACTGGGTAACCTCATCCTCCTGGTCCTGGGTTTCTTTTTGGCCCCAAACAAGTGGTGAGGGGATGCTGGGCTCCATCACACCGGAGGTTCAATTTTGCATGGTGAGTAAACAAGCAGAGAAGGCTTAGAAGAGTCCCTTTTCCAGGAGTACCCCACAAGGCTGGTTTGAAGCAAGGCTGGAGCCCCAGAAAGCTGTTCTTTAGCTCCACAGTGGCAGCATGCCCTGTAGGAACCCCTCTGATCCTTTGTGACACTCTTGTTCACAGTCCTGTGAAACGGTGCTCTGTGGGAGACTCTAGTCTGCTAGGAGAGCTCCCTTATTCTCAGCACGGACAGAGGGAAACCATGAAGCAAGGGACCTAATTTATTTTTCAACAACACAACACACCAGTGCATACTCTTCCAAGTAAGTGAGTGTTAGCCCTTTCAAAGTAGCTCCAAAGTGGAGTGAAAATTCCCCCTTGTCCCTCTGTCATTTTCTCCGACTGTATTCAGTGAGGAAAAGTCTTTATGCTTGGAAGGTAAATTGATTCTCAAAGACCATCCACAGTCCTTAGGAGTCAGGTTCAGTAAAAAAAGTAGGCCTAATTGTAATATCCTAATATTATCTTCTTCATGTAAAATGGCTCTGAAAGCAATGACAACAATAATTCCAAAATGATTCCAAAAAATGGCAGCCCAGTTGAAATAATCCTTCAAGATGAATATTTTCATGATAATGTATAAGCCCCTTAGTAATGTGGCTAATCTATTTTTTAAACCTATTTCTCTCATATATATAATTCATATGCCTACTATTATTTGCCAACTAATACTAAATTTATAGTTCTCAGTGAGAATTGTTGTTTATCTAAAACAAACTGTTTCTGTATTTATAAGGTTCTTTACACAAATAAGGTGTTTAAAAAATTGGCTTTGAGCAAACAAAAATGCAGTATGATTTTACTAGAATGATTGCTTTGGTCAGCACAACTATGATGGACTAACAGCTTTTCTTCACTACATGTTGATAGAGTGAGAAGATTTAAAACAAGCATTATGTACATTAGCTGGGACACTTACTATTAGTGACAAATACTAGGAGAGAGGCTCTACTTGAACAGGCTCAAACTTAACTTAAAAATTATTTCTGCCTGTAATGGACCTTTTAGTTGTCTGAGCAATTGAGTGCTTTAAATAACCCCCATACATATCAAGGACATTCTAAATTTTTTTCCTTGGCATTTGGAAATTTCAAGTTAAGGATGCCTGCCCTTGCTCAAGTTACACACTCTTCAACTTGGGCAGTTGAGCAGAATTCAAAAGATAAGATGCGAATGAGTCTATCTATTCATGTCATCACACTTTGCTAAATTGCCAGGCTATTTGATGAAAGGATAGCTCAGTTCTCACTAAACTGCAAGTGGCTTTGGCAGATCTTTAGCTGGAATCCACTGAGGAGCTCTCATTTCTGAACACTGATTGGGAAACCAGTTGTATTTTAAAAGATTCTAACGATTTAGAAGCTCTGAGACCCCTTTAAATCTCTGTTTTGAGAGACCCATTGATTTATAGTAAAATATGAATGTAAGAGATGAACCTGTGGCATCATAACTAAGGGCGCTTGGCACTCTGGAAACTGGCTCAGAAGGTAATCAACATAGAGCTAGAGCCATAGTCTTAGTTTTTGCTGTAGTCAATCAAGCAAAGGGGAAATTTCTACTCAAAAACACATAAATAATTTTGATTTTTTCTGTATTACCTTGAAACTTCAAATGGGCTTATAAATAGGAAGAGAAAATATTGCCAGATGGGTTGTATTCAGTAGTTATTTTTAAATGAAATAAAAAATTATGGCTAAATCTATTGCCTAAAAATTGTGCTGTAAAATATGTAAATAGCCTGTATCATTAAAGCCTTTTCTTCGAGATACAAATAAATGGTTCAGAGTCCAAACTCTTCCTTAAGAGTTCAATTTACTTCTTCAAATTCCTTAAACTTGAGATAGGTTTTGCAGTTAAATACTCCTCATTTGCATGCTTAGTCAGAAGGGAGTATTATATATAGATTATATGGAATCTTAGCCTATTTACAAATAATGAATGTTACTGAAAATATTCTGTCATAGAGACACATGCGTGTGTATGTCCATCACAGCGCTATTCTCAATAGTAAAGACATGGAATCAACCTAAATGGCAATGATAGACCAGATAAAGAAAATGTGGTACAATAACACCATGAAGTACTATGCAACCACAAAAAAAAGAAGATCATGTCCTTTGAAGAAACATGGATGGAGCTGGAGGTTATTATCTTTAGCAAACTAATGCAGCAACAGGAAACCTAATACCACATGTTCTCACTTATAAGTGGGAGTTAAATGATGAGAACACATGGACACATAGAAGGGAACAACACACACTGGGGCCTATCAGAGGATGGAAGGTGGGAGGAGGGAGAGGATCAGGAAAAATAACTCATGGGTACTAGGCTTAATACCTGGGTGACGAAATATTTTGTACAACAACTCCCCATGATGCAAGTTTGCCTATATAACTAACCTGCACACATACCCCTGAATTTAAAATAAAAGTTAAAAAAGGACACATTATACAAACGATGTCAAAGGAAGTTTTGAAAACAAAAGTTACTCATGACCCCACTACCCCAGCATATTTTTTTATTTTTATGTATTATCTTCCAATTATTATTCATGTACATTCATATTCTTATGTACTTGCAATCATTATATGCACCATTTTATAGTCTACATTTTCATTTAGGATATCTGTGCTGGTTATTGGTTATATTATTGAGAATATTCAAAAAATACAAGAAAAATAAACAGGATGTTTGAAACTCATAAGATGTGTTAAGCACACATTGCTGTGTAAGCAAGTAGCTCATGTGATATAGGCAAAACTCACTAGCTGTGTTAGGCATGCAGATAAAGAAGAAGCAAGCAGACTGTGCAATGTGGGCAAAATATAGGTAGTGGGTATATGTTAAATATAGGTAGTGGGTAACCTGAAAGATGTGTTAAGAATGGAATGGAATATATAATGGAACAAATAAGATGAATACTTTTAGATAAAGAAGAAACAGAAAGATTAAATCATATGATTTGGTCACTTCTGGGATGACAGCTATGCCATCCCTAAATTGGCACCTAATAGGAACATCCATTATACCCACTATGGGCCCATATGTACTTGACCCCAAAAATGCAAATAAAAATCTATAGTTGCTCAGCAGGCTGTTTGGCAAGTTACAGCTATAGCCAGCTTTACTTGCCCTCAGATCTCTGTGGAGTATGAGCACATCTTAGCTCCAAGCACATTACATTTGCTGGGCCTCTTTTTTTAAACCTCATTTTGGGTCCTTATAACCACATCAGTAGCAGAGGAGGCTCATGTGGAGGAGAAAGAGACAAGGCATATGAACAATTGTGTAAGTAGGAATCAGGCAGTGTGGTCCTCCCAGTTGGCTTATATTTACCTTACCCTAAGTGTGTTAACCTAGCCTGTCTAGTTCCCCTTACATCTTGCCATGTGTTTTAAATAAATTTAATACATTGTGCAATATCAGCATCTTATTGCAAATATGTGAGTCTGTGACTCTTTCTATTCCATGACCCTGGGATAGCCTGCCCGGTAGTGTACTAGGAGGCTGCCATATGACAAGGGCTAGCAAATGAGCTAGGTAACTTGAAGGGAGGAGAAAGAGAGTTATTAGGGTTTTAAACTGGGCTTAAGGGTATAAATCAACTGAATAACATGAGACTGTACCTGGCACTCATCGGAGGCCATTTGTGCCAAAGACCCTTGGCTCTGCAAGCCAAAAAGTGCCGACTAACCAACTGTTTTTTTCCTATAATGGAGAAAGCCCAAGAGAAGGGAAAGAGGGAAGAGTTGTGTCCTAGAAGCTGTATCTTTAAAAAACAAAATGCTTCCATTAAAGTGTTGTAATTGAACATACTTCAGAATAGACAGTGTGAACCAAGCATGATTTGCTGCTTATAATAAACTAGGATAGATCAAACATTTGAAGTTACCTCCTAATCAGGGATTCATACTCTAGGGTAGTAAGTGAGCATTTGAAAGACCCTAATTTGGAATTCATACCCAGAGGCCATTACCATAAGTAGACTTTAAATAGGCCCATCTAGATCTGCCTTAGAGAATTTGTTAATTCTTATAAGGGATGCTAGAAATTTTTTATTGGGGAGCTGAATGACATTCTATTTATGTGCATTGAGTAGAAATATTCAATTGCATGAACAGAAGACAAGACTCTGGTAAGTCCAAAAGCCTAATACCCTTTGGAGTGGTGGGATACTTGGTTTAGAGCTTCAGTCTAGTCCAGTGTTCTGCCACTTGATAGATGCTTCTGTCACCTAATCCAAATAGAATATTAGCTTAATCTTGCCACTAGAATATGGCCACATCTACCTCAGGTAAACTTTTCATGGAAAGTGTTTGCTGACATGCTTAAAGGACAGAGAAGCAGGAGCTCACCCATTAAAAGAACAGATTACATGACTTTTTTGGCCTGTTTGTTAATAAATGTTTACATGTGTGCTGAAAGGTAGCTTGATACTTGTTGTTATTATAATATATTGTCAAGAACTGTGAATGGTCTGAGACTTAGCCCTACTTACAAGTTAACAAGGTGGTCTGCCATAGTTTCATGGATGTTGGTAGAAGACATGAGACTCTTCAGTCAGAGATGAAGGACAGTTTATCCCTCACAGCAAAAGCAGTAGCCAGAGTATTAGCATTTTTGTCCCAGTTCCTCAAGCCTCAATCCCCAAAGTGTGATGGGAAGGCCAGGTGACACCAATACATGGAGTGGATTATGTTACAGGAGATGACCCCTTCATTGAGGGAAACGGGATCTTATATATCTTATAATGGGAAGCAAACTCTGGAGAGAGACACTCTGTCTTCCAAGATTATTCACTATACAAACACTTTTGAAAAGGTAGTCCAGAACAAAGGCAGTCAATGTCTTGCTAACAAGACATGCAGAAAGTGAGGGAATCATGGAGAATTGTCTCTAGGTCCATTTTCTGTTGTTTATAACAGAATACCTTGAAATTGTGTAATTTATAAGGAATGAAATTTATTTCTTACTGTTCTGGAGGCTGGGAAGTCCAAGGTCAAGGAGGGACACCTGGTGAGAGCCTTCTTGCTGGTGGGGACTCTCTGCAGAGTCCTGAGGTGGTGCAGGTATCACATAGTGAGGGGGCTGAGCATCTTTGTTCAGGTTTCTCTTCCTCTTCTTACAAAGCCACCAGTCCCACTCCCATGATAAGCTATTTACCCATGAATCCATGAATGGATTCATCCACTCATAAAGGCAGGGCCCTCATGACCCAATCACCTCTTAAGGCCCTGCTTCTTAATATTGTCACATAGGGGATTAAATTTTAACATAAGTTTTGCAGGGGACAAATATGCAAACCATAGCCTAACATATAGGCTCTAGGAATGAGGTGTGAGGGAGGAGTCCTATTGCCTTCACCATCTAAAATCCCGGGAGACAACCATATTCACCAAAAAGAATACGAAAATTGTGGACAGCCAAATTGTTCCAGCCCCTCTGAGCGACGCCAGCTGAAATCTCTCAGCAGAAGTGGTGGGAAGTCCCTGGCTGGGAGCATTCTGTTTGGTCCCCCTGCCTAGTTGGAGAATCCCACCGCCTTCCAATGCAGCAAATGGCTGTGAGGAGACTCCAGAGTCAGTTAGCTTTCCCTCATATGAGGGAGCTTCAGGGCCAGGGGCAGGCCCTAAGCAAAGATGCCTTGGTTCTGTGGGCTAGGTCACTGGGCAAGAAGGCCAGCACTTAGGGAGCAGACTTCCAGGCTCTTTGTACTGGATTTTCTGGATTCTGTTTGGTAGACTCAGATACAAACATATAATTATGTCACTGAAAAAAGGTTTTACTGAAAAAGACAAAACGTATGAAAGGAGTCTCAGTAAACAGAGTGCACAGAGAGTGAACAGAAGTGTAAAGTGATGGGTTGGGGAGGTGGGGAAGGAGGCTTCGGGAGAAACTAACAAGCAAAACAAAACCATTTCTTGTCTAATCTTATGTCCCTAGCAAAGGTGCAAACGGAGCTATCAGTACTGCAAAAGATAGCAATCATATTGGTAAGCAGGGGTAAGCATGTTCTTGTTTTAAGCTTACTTTAGATATCTACCCCCTTAGGGACTGGTTTCTTGGAAGAAGCAAGCAGGGCATTTGCCAAAGCTATCAGTTTCTAGATATTCAATACCTGGCTTTGGTAAAGCATGAAGGGGAACATTCCATCAGGGCAAGACTGAGATTAAGACATAGAGACCTGATCGAGAAACAGATCAGCGTTTTAACACACCCAGTCAAGGGGAAATGAAAGGCTTCCCTAGCTGCCCCATTAACTGCAAATCCTCAGGCCAACCGGGGGGCAAATGACAGAAGGGAGAGGCTCCACAGAACACCATTAAGCAGCTGCAAATTGAAACATTAATCTCTGTGATTCGGCTTAAAGGAACACCAGTTCTCTAGTTGATGAAAATGCTGATAGGCTCCATGCTGGGAAAGTTCTGGTTAGAAGGGTGGCCCTCCCTTTGGGGAGCTCCAAGGACTGGCTTGGGGGATGGCAATTCCCATGGCAGCATCCAAGCATTTTATTACAATCGCAAAGGGGAATGCGTGGTACTCCTTTGGAAACACTCTCCTGGAATTTGCAAATATTTTCAGCTCCAGCAACTTAATGGCTTTTCTCAGAAGCACCAGATGAGGGAAAGGGATCCTCTTCTGCCATGATAGTGCCCATTCTTTGTGTTGAGCCCTAGAGAAGGGATTGGGAGTCTTGTCAAATGAAATGTGGGCTATCACACACTATCTGTACGCTGCTGCCCACGGAGCTTAAAGCAGATTGCCTGGGTCTTAAAGCAGATTGTCTTCTTCCCTCTCAGAGCTGGGACTGTTTGTGTGAGGGGTTGCTGGATATGGGGCTACTGTTGGGGCTCCAAGGCTTCTCACAAAGGACTCTGCCTCTTTGGAGTCGAAATAAATTAATGGGGTCCCAGGCCTGCTTCAGAACATTCTTGGTACATAGTAATATCTAACAATGACCACCCACTGTCTATGTTCCCGCATCTGCTCCGAGTGCTTTATATGTATTCATTCCTTTGAATCTGCAAAACCTCTCTGTTCGGTATTGGACACTGAGGCAGAGACTTTAAGTCACTTGGTCAAGGTGATCCAGCTTACAGAGGGTAGAACCAGCATTTGAACCAGGCAGCGAGGTGTTAGCCTGGGATATACCACTTCTCGTTGTGTGCACCCAACTGTTAGTCACTGACTGGTAGGCTGCTGTGGCTGGTGGGGCCTCTGCTCTGCAGAGATTGCCCAGCCACAGCTTACCTGACCATGCGGCTGTCTGCATGGCACCCACTTCTGCATCCTCTAGGCTGGGCTCTGCTCGCCAGTCCGGACACCCTGATTCTCTGTCCAGCTGCTTTACTGGACTATTCTTACTATTACAGCCTCCAGTGCCTGTGCTCTATCTGCAGGGCTGGACTCCTTCCGGTGGGGAGGGAGGACAAGCTGTGACCCCCTGGACACCACAGTTGTCCCTTTCTTCAACAGTTAGCTGGGCGCTGCCCCACTGTGTCCTCAGCTCAGCTACTGAACCTGCTGCTGGCTCATGAAGCATCAGAACTGCGCTGTGCTGGAGTGGAAAGAAGAAGGCTTTGGGGCCGGTGAAGTGAGATTGAATGCTATCTCTCCAATGGATCGGCTGTGTGACCTTCATAAGGTCATTCATCTTTCAATCGGGGCTTCCCTTGGAAGAAAAGATGAGCTAACCTTTATGAAAGCACTTGACACAGGGCTTAGCACACAGTAGGCTGTCAATAAATCTTAGCTCTCCCGCCCTGCCTTCTCCATGTGAAATACGGCTATTCAAAATAAAGAAGTGTTAGCCACAGGCCCTACGAATTTTATGTGTTTGCTCAGCCCCCCAGGGGAGGAACTGTGAGTGTATGTGGGGTCGATGTATGAGCGGGTAAAACTGGGCAGTGTATATACCAGGCTATTAATAATGATGTGGCTCATATGTTTGAAATTCAAGGATATGTTCATACAAGACCTAAGTATGTTTTTACAGCTCCACAAACCATTCATCCACCCCAGCATAACTTTTTTAGTGCCGGTTTTAGAATTGTGATGTTTTCTCTTTTCTCCTTAAAAAGCGATTTACATTGCAGAGCAGTTTCTGGCCTTGGCATGCTGTGGAGTTAGTGCCTGGACATTTCTTTTCTTTAACTGTTTATTAAGGATGAAGAATCTAGCTTGGAGATATCTTAAATCCTACGAATTTTGTCAAAAATTCAGCTCCAACCACTTTTTGAGCATAAAGAGAAAATAATTGGTTTTAAAATACGTACATAAGTTTAAACGTTGGGATCCCTGCCGAGACCTGGGGAGGAATTACGGGAATGTCAGAACCTGGAGAATTCCCAGAAAGGCTGGGATGAGGCGCTCCTGGGGCCCTTGAGGAAAGGCTGATCTGGGTGGGAGCATGAACCCAGCTTGGTTTAGGGTTTTCCAGGAAGTGAAGGCCTGCAGTGCTGTCTTTGGCAGCCCAGATAAAGGGAAATTTCATTCATAACTAACTTCTACCTGAATTTGAGTACGCCATGGGAGAAAATTATGGCTTTGGGTTTTCTTGCCAAAGTGATTTGAATTCCATCCAGTTCTGTTACAATGAAAACTGCCCTCCATGATTGGCTAGATGGTATATTTAACATTCTCATTACTTGCAGGATCAGGAGCTGCCAATTTGAGTCCTATCACTGTGATGTTGTAACTACTGATGCTCCATTTTCCAGATAAAAAATAGAAAAATATTTTGAAAAATGTGTAGAGCTATCTATAAACAAGAAGCTGACCTAGGACACATAGCTTTTGACCCCTTAATGGATTATTTAATTTATTTATTTCACTACTGTCCTCTCTAGCCCATTTGACTGCTGCTAATTTGGACATGGAAGCCAGTGACTTTACCACTGACAGCCAGCAGGACAGGCTTCATGGGCATGTGACCTGTGTAGTAACCCATGGCCCCATCCTTGAAAGCAGCCCATATCTGGTTTAATGCTTTGCTGCGGGTGTCTTGAAATTCTTAATACTTTTTGAAAAAAGGGGCTTGCATTTTCATTTTGCAATGGGCCCCCAAAATTGTGTAGCTAGTTCTGATGGCCAGACTTACCCCTGTTCATTTGCCTGGCTAGGTGGCGATTCCTTTCTTCCTTCCCTCCCTCTTTGGTCCATATATGTCACTTTGACGCCCTTTTGTTGATGTAGATGACTGTTTTACTTCTCACAGCCTCTATCTGCTATCTGGGAGGTTTGGCCAACTTGGGAAGGGTGAGGGCTGTGAGTGCACAATCCAGATTTGAGTGGGTGGCAGAACGCTCTGATACTCAGGAACACATTGCATCTCTACAGGGAACCTGTTGTGTGTCTTGGAGTGAAGACTAGAAGTGACTGTGTCGTCCACAGCTATGAAGACCTGTACATCCACTTAGGAAGGTGTCAGAGTTGTGGGGATGGCAGTGGTCAGGGGCATTATTTTGAAAGTAAAAGTAAATAGAACGGGATGTTGAGGTTGATGAAGCCCCAGAACTGCAGTGAGTAAAGATCCATCTTGATTAAGTTGCACATGCAGACAGGGGACATGAAGCCAGGCCTTTTTATTTGTTCATATTGGCATACCCTTACTTTTTAGTGAGGCCCTTGTTGTTCCTTCATGCCGACATGTAAGTAAAATTGCTCTGGGTCTCAAGATATAACTGTCTGTCATGGCTTCTTTAGAAAGGATTTTTGAGTAAAACGTCAGGGCCAGTTTGGATTTCACAGTGCCAGGAATCAAATTCCTGGTCAGTGTGTGAAGATTGAGGACTTTGGTCCCATAGTCACACACAAGTGCAAATGAACATGTAAGCACAACTGGATATCATAGAAATCTGGATCACAGAAAGATGGACAATCGGGACTAAGCTAGGACTGTGCACTCCAGAGGGGTGACTGGAGCTAAATCCAGTCTTCATCTGGGGGATGTGTCTGCCCGGAGGTATTGCCTCTTAAACATCCATGCTAATGGGCCAGGTGTAGTGCCTCATGCCTGTAATCCCAGCACTTTGGGAGGCTGAGGCAGGCAGATCACTGGAGGTCAGGAGTTTAAGACCGACCTGGCCAACATGGTTGAAACCCCGTCTCTACCAAAAATTACAAAAATTAGCCAGGCGTGGCTGGGCGCGGTGGCTCACGCCTGTAATCCCAGCACTTTGGGAGGTCGAGATGGGCAGATCACGAGGTCAGGATTTCGAAACCATCCTGGCTAACGCGGTGAAATCCCGTCTCTACTAAATATACAAAAAATTAGCCGGGCGTGGTAGCGGGCGCCTGTAGTCCCAGCTACTTGGGAGGCTGAGGCAGAAGAATGGCGTGAACCCGGGAGGCGGAGCTTGCAGTGAACCGAGATCGCGCCACTGCACTCCAGCCTGGGCGGCAGAGCAAGACTCCGTCTCAGTAAAATAAAATAAAATAAAATAAAATAATAAAATAAAATAAAATAAAATAAAATAAAATAATAAAATAAAATAAAATAAAATAAAATATAAAGTAAAATAAAAATAAATAAAAATTAGCCAGGCGTGGTGGTGTGCACTTGTAATCCCAGCTACTCACGAGGCTGAGGCGGGAGATTTGCTTGAACCCTAGGGGATGGAAGTTACATTGAGATGGCACCGCTGCACTCCAGCCTGGGTGGCAGAGTGAGACCCTGTTTAAAAAAAAAAAAAAAAAAAAAATTAACACAAAGGCTGACAGCCCTCAGAGAGATTCTTCATCTCGAATTCTACCATAAGAATTAATTATTTTTTTTTCTGATTTTAAAGGCAAAAATTGAACTTGGTATAAAAGCTTGAAAATAAGTGAAAAAGAACAATAAAAAGTACTCATAATCTCATAACCCAGAGATGATCATTGTCTTCTTTTTTTAAAGGATTTTGTAAAGGAGTAAGTCCTCTGGGGCATTAAGGGATGATTTTATATACAAATTTTATGTCACATTAGCCTGTAAAAATTCCCCTCTTGTGTATGTGAATAGTCTTGAGAGATAAGTGTCTTGTAAAAATGATTTTGTGTTTCTGCAAACTTGTTACTGGAGACCATGGAATTTCCTTTTTCTTTTCTTCACTGTGGTGGAAAAAGATGTTCGTTAGATTTGGTCTACTTAAAACTGAGAACTTACAAGTAAAAATCCACTCTCCTTTTTTTTTTTTAGGAGGGAAATGATTATGCAGGTGTTCAAATGAGGTTTTAACTGCATATGCAGAGACTCTTAAGCCAGTGGCCTTCCTGTGTTTGTCAAACTAAACTTTGGATTGTGATTGTGCCGAGTTTCCTGTGCTGCTCTTATTAATAGATCCTGTGGATAAGGATCTCACAGACCTATCTTTGAGTGGCCAGTGTATTCGTGTTAGGGGGGAGAAGTGATTTTCATATGGTATGTTTTTTCCTTCTTTAGTTAAAAAATCATTAAAGCCTTTTGTGTTCATATGACTTGAAAGGCAAGGGGACCTATAGTTAACTTGAGAGTTAAATTATAACTTCTACCTTCTGTGTAAAGATAAAGACTCCTTTTTTAAAAAAATCAATGACCAAGTTGGTTGGGTGAGGGGTGTTTTCTCATACCGTCTGCTCTTTCTACTTTCACCTGCTATCCCCTTCAGCCTTTAAAGAAAAACACTTGATGTGTGAATGTGGATGAAAATGACTATTTGGTTTTTGTTTTGTTTTGGAGTTCTAACATTTATTCAATTTAATTCAGCCACCATTTCTGCATGGATAGACACCTACCTGGTGAGCTGGAGGTGCGGGGAGGATGGAATCACAGGCAGAAGGCCCACAGTGCCTGACCTAGAGGGGTGTTGCCGCTCCAGCTGGGTAAATGGAATCTTATTCCAAGATATAAAGGATACAGTTGTTTACAATTTCCTTAACCGAGGAGCATTTGACAGGGATGATAATATTAGGGTAACTGACTTCACCTGCAGTTTTTTCTAAGGGCTAAAACTGAGCCAGAGGCCTCTGTTAATGGAACTGGATCTATTGTGAAATTACATCAGGTTTGTTGGGGCAGCAAACATGAGGTCCTCTTTGTCATTTTGGGGGTTTGAAGCCATACCAAGGGCCTTGGTCAGGATGGGCCCCAGGAACATCTAGGTTGATTCTTTCCCCACTCCTTTCACCTAAATTTCCTTAGAACTGTGCAGAGTGTGTATAGGCCTATGATTGACACCTCTGGGATGAGATGGGTCTCTAGTCCTAGCCCGTGGGTGCAGGTAGAGAGATCATAGTGACTAGCTGGGGCCAAATCTTCTACTGGGCTCCTTGAAACTGCCACAAAGGATAGGTCAGAAGTTCCTGACCATCGTTTTAAGTTCTGGTTGGTTTGACCCTTTTGGCTTTTTTGTCCATCTGATGAATGATCACCAAATTGTCACAGAACAGAAGCTAGACCTTCTTTGGAAGTATTATTTTGTTTTGCTTAACATGCCTTTGGAGTGATAGCTTTCCATTTCTGGCAGCAGAAGTGAAACACAGATTAGATAGCTTGTGCCCATTTAGATAATATGTTGTTTTGTTTTGGAGTTCTAACATTTATTCAATTTAATTCAGCCATCATTTCTGCACGGATAGACACCTACCTGGTGAGGTGGAGGTGTGGGGAGGATGGAATCACAGGCAAAAGGCCCACAGTGCCTGACCTAGTGGGGTGTTGCCACTCCAGCTGGGTAAATGGAATCTTATTCCAAGACATAAAGGATACAGTTGTTTACAATTTCCTTAACCGAGGAGCATTTGACAGGGATGATAATATTAGGGTAACTGACTTCACTTGCAGTTTTTTCTAAGGGCTAAAACTGAACCAGAGGCCTCTGTTAATGTAAGGTTCATAGGGAGTTGGTACCTAAGCCTTTTCATTTAGAGACCTCCATCCTTAGCCTCTGAACTTACAAGCCTTCTCTTAGCTCATAGGTCTTTCTTAATGTAATCGATGTGTTTCAGAAATGCTGCCTGAGATAATTTATTTTTGTACAAAGCAATTATATTTTTATAGGCAACAGAGATGCTTTTTCTTTAAAAGAATCAAGTTGTGCACTATTTTCTAAAAAGAGCTGTGAATCTCCATTTTATCCTCTACATCAAGTCTTTTAAAGTAGGAAATATATATTCATTAACAAGTAGGCTAACAATTATGCATTAAAAATGATAACAACGTATCTGATAATTATGTGTCTTTTGAAAAACAAACCTGAAGACTTCTTCTGAATGGCACATTCTCATCTTGGAAGAGGATATTCTTTGAATAGTGTTTTGTTGTCGTTGCCCTCTGCTCTTCTGACAGACGGTTTTGCCGTGATTGGTGGTATTTTCCTATCATGTTCCATTTTCAAATGTTAATCATTAGTCATTCTTCATGACCTCTCCATGCAGCCGCCAGAATATAATTATTAAGGGCTGCCTACTTGCACAATGATGGGGAGGGGATCTGAGGGTTACAAATGGCCCAGGGTCATGTCCCAGGTCAAAAAAAGATGAAACGTTAGTCTAGTGATCAGCCCCTGGGTCCTGGGAAAGATAGACCTCTAAGAGCAGTGGAAACTGAGAAGGAAGAGTGTCTGCATGCACTCAGGGCTCTCAGAGCCCCCTTTGATTTGTTGCCCATTCCACACTAAACTCTGTTTAGTAATAAACAGAGTTCAATGGCCAGAGTCTAGACAAACAAATCACGGCCTGGAAAACCCTGTGTTTTGATGACATGTTATGTCTTTACAGCGTGTGGAGGATGGAGCCAGCTTTGAAATTCTAATGCATGGTCTTTGTGAGCTTGCAGCAAATCAGAGAGGCTGAGTCAGGGAGACAGACAATCAGGCCCTGCTCTGGCCAAATTAGAAGGCATTCCCC
The DNA here is from genome assembly GCF_000001405.40 of Homo sapiens. Classification (NCBI taxonomy): domain Eukaryota; kingdom Metazoa; phylum Chordata; class Mammalia; order Primates; family Hominidae; genus Homo; species Homo sapiens. The sequence continues at coordinate 74,500,225 of NC_000005.10, read as the reverse complement.
ACTTTGTGGCTTGTGATTTTCCTGCTCTGTCTTCCTCCAGGCATTAGGAAGCTGTCGTGAACTTTAGTGAAATGTGAGAGGTTTAAATATTAATATTTCTGAAGCCCTCAGGGTAGACTCAACACCTGCTTCCCCTGCACAGCTGCCCTAAACAGTTTTCACTGGAGAGACTATTTTTCTCTTTAAACAAAATATTTTATCAAAGTTGGTTTTTAATTGAGCCAGGGCGCCTTCATGTTCACTGGCTAGATTTATCTCTGCCATTTGGAGGGGAAGAGAAATCTCAGAGCTTCCTCATTTACTTGCTCTTTCCTCCCTCGCTCCATCAATGGAAGTAGAGCATCAAACAGGGATACCTTGGCAAGCTCAGTGTTAGCAGCACAAAAGACAAACACTAAAATCTCATTTCTGTTGGGACAGAAACAGAAAAAAATGCTAAGGAAGGGCTGAGCCTGCTGAGTTCCCTGTAAAATAATCCCTGGAGTGAAAACAGCAGCTTGTTCTTCTTCTTTTTTTTTTTTTTTTTCGAACATGTGCCTCTTATACAGTCCAGGATGATCAACTGTGTATACAATAAAGAATGCTTAGAAAATGTGACTGGTAGTATTTTTCTGTTAATGTATTTGAGCTATTTTCATTTTAAAATAATTCATTTCCAGCATGTATGGAGGGAGGTTCTTTTACAATTATTCAAATACATTTTTCCTTGCAGGCATTGAATTGTTTACTCAATGTTAATGGTTCCTTACAAATATTTACTGAATCTCTCTGTAAACTCTCGTCTAAATTAGACCAGAAGGTTCAAAACTCTAACTCCCTTTTGCTATCCAGCCTTTTAAGGTAATCTTTCTGCTGGTATCTGTACAATTAACTGAGAGCATTTTAATAACAGGGAATAATAATTGCTGTTTGCTTATCATCAAGAGGAATTTCCCCCTTGTGAATTTACTTTTAGGAAGACTAGATTGTTATGTAGCACGCGGTGATGCTGATAAGGACTTTAATTACTGTGTGAGAGATTTTGGTGGACGGGGAACAGGAATTTGCAGTGTTTTTGCTCATATTTTATGGAGAATTGAGAATCCTAAATTTCTGTAATTGCTGAAAATGTGGGAACTGCTAGAGTAAAAGGTGTTTATATAGATAGCCATAAATCTACAAAATTGTTTATGTGTGCAACAAAGTGTGCAGATATGAACAAAGGATCAGGTGATAAAAACCCAAAGCTTATGTTTTTTGCTACTCTTTTCAGAGAAAAGACTTTGTCATGGACATAAATTAATTCCTCTATAGATTTTTCTTTTGTAATAGTGTATTTTAATAGAATGTCATTTCCTTATATATTTTTGTTAAGAAACAAAACATAGCCAGGTCTATATATTAATTTAAATTTTAATTGCAACATGAAAGAACAATACCTGATTCTACTCTAACATTTACACCAGAGGTGACAATGTTCGTGTTTTCAATAACTTAATGCCTTTGTTAATTAAGTTTCAGGGATCAAGAACTGTATTAAATAAGCTCAATTAATATATATGCATAAATGTGTGATGAAATAGAAACATATTAAAACTATTTCTACATTACTGCATATATTCGTCAGTTTAAACTCTGAAATTCAAGGGATTCTTTGTCATCTTTTATGTGGGAAAGTAGATGCAAGTCATGTAGCTGCAGAATGTCAAAGGTAGGAGGTTTAAGAGTTCACTAGCCTGATCATATTAATTCATTCATTTCTACATTTATTCAACAAATGAAGGCCCACTATGTGCTCAGTTCTGGCATCACCATGGTGAGCAAAGTAGACCAGTTCCCTCTCTCCAGAGATGGATGTTGGGAAAAAGTGACATGATCAGATCTGCATTTTGAAAAGCTCAGCCTCATTTTCTTTGAAGTTTTATAGATAATTATATAATTCAGGTAAACTACTGGAATAGAACCTTTTAATTCTAGGAAAATTTAAAGAGTGACATGTATTCAGTGATGAACTATAAGTTTCTGAGAAGCTTTCTAATATTACAGTGGTTTGTATTATTGTTGTGTTGCTGAAGTTAGAAAAGAATGATACTATAGATAATTCCCCCTGACCCACATTCTTTTTCTAGACCTATTTATTATTACATATAAATTCCATACATTTATTGAACATATAAATTCCAAAATTTTTGATGGCTTAATTAATAGTTAAATAATGCATCAGAATTCACAAACAGTTGAACTTAATCTTTACCGTGGCACTCCATTCTCCTTGGTAGCTGAAAATGTAATCTTCCAAACTCAAGGGAAACAGTCCACGTAGTGATGACCCAGTCATTTCCTGCCTAGATTTAGTCATTTGCAGGGTTCTGCTCTCCTCCCTTTCTTAGGGGTGGCATCTAAGTTCACAGATGGGGAGGGGTTGGTGGCACTTGCGGAATGGGTTTGGGGAATCCTCTGGTTCTCTGGCCCAGGGTTGGCACTCTGCAAGGTGTTTTCGGCCCTCTGGTCTTTAAAGGCTATTGGCCTCAATCCCTCTGGATTGTGCTACTAGGTCCACATGGTCTGTCTTAGTCTGTTGGGGCTACTGTAAGTAAGCACCCAAAGTGGATGGTTTATAAACAACAGAAATTTATTTCTTAAAGTTCTGGAAGCTGGGAAGTCTAAGACCAAAGTGCTAGCAAATTTGATATCTGTGGAGGGCCCTCTTCCTGGTTCATAGATGGTGACTTCCTGCTGGCTGTGTCCTTACATGGCAGAAGGAAGAGGGGGTCTCTCTTGGGTCTTTTTTTTTTTTTTTTGAGACAAAGTCTCGCTGTTGTCACCCAGGCTGGAGTGCAGTGGTGCAATGTTGACTCACTGCAACCTTCGCCTCCTGGGTTCAAGCAATTCTCCTGCCTCAGCCTCCCGAGTAGCTGGGATTACAGGCGCCTGCCACCACACCCGGCTAATTTTGGTATTTTTAGCAGAGACGGCATTTCACCATGTTGGCCAGGCCAGTTTTGAACTCCTGACCTGAGGTGATGTGCCTGCTTTGGCCTCCCAAAGTGCTGGGATTACAGGTGTGAGCCACTGAGCCTGGCCTTGGGTCTTTTTTTTTTTTTAAGGGACTTAATCCCTGTCATGAGAGTTATATTCTCATGACTTAATCACCTCTCAGAGGCCCTACCTTCTAATTCCATCACCTTGGGGTTAGGATTTCAACCTAGAAATTTTGAGGCAATACAAGCATTCAGATCACAGCATCACCTCCACTTACCAGACCCCCACATTCTGCATTCATCTTGTTCCAGTCAGGAGACCCCTTCACATCTGTGGCCCTTTCTCTGGCTTTCTATAATCTGGTTGTGGGGGAAGGACTCTCCACAGACACATGACTGGCTGTCTGTGCTTCTTCCCGCTGGATCCTGGGGAATAAATTTGCTGCACAGGCCATGCTGCTCTGGGAACCTGGGATCTCCTCACTGAAGTTACCTGAGGCAGGGCATGGGGGTGGGGCATGGGGAATAGAGCAGGTAACTCTACTGCTGTCCTGCTTCATTCTCAACACTCTACTCCCACTCAGAAAGATTTGTAATCTCCCCTCTCCCCAGTGGAGAGAAAATGGTTTTCTAAACCATTATTCATGGATAACCTTTATATACTGATTCCTTCAGGGCTTTGGCTCTTGATATTCAGATCCAAGCATTTAGACCTCAGAAAGCCTTTTACTGTTAAAAAGCCTGGTTTTGCAAATCAGAGGGTTTTGGTTTTCAAGATTATTGTCTTTACTATGAGTTTAAAAAATTGTTATTTTGAAATGTGGTTGCTTTATTTGTTCTCATGTCTTTTGCCCTCTTCCTGGCCATAAACTGCAGCCTCAAAGTACAGTTTTAATGGAGGAAAAATAGGAGGCAGGGGTTGTAGGGAAGGCTGTAAGAGAAGGAAAGTGAATGGGTCAGTGATTAGAAAAATTTACAGGCCAGGCGCAGTGGCTCACACCTGTAACCTCAGCAATTTGGGAGGCTAAGGTGGGAGGATCACTTAAGCCCAGCAGTTTGAGAACAGCCTGGGCATCAAAGGGAGGCCCCATCTCTACAAAAATTTTTTTTAATTTGCTGGGCATGGCTGCAGTGAGCTATGATCACACCACTGCCGTCCAGTCTGGGCAACAGAGCAAGACACTATCTCAAACCAAACCAAACCAAACCAAATGAAAAAAACCCTCAAAACCCATCAGTAGTGTTTCCCATGACCAACTCTGCTGTAATTAGAGGGGGAGCTATACTAGAACTTCTTTATTTTGTATTTATTCAGGGCTTGCCCCACTCTTCAGAACCACTGTGATGTGCCAGTTTGCTTTTGTTTACAACTTTCTTAGCAAGGTCTTTATTGAGGCCAGTTCTATATCTGACCAAAATTTATAACCTAATTTACCCTGAAAACTATTCTTGCTTCTGCTTTCTATGCCTCCACAGTGGTTTTAAAATTTGCCAAGAGTGAAATCTCACCCTAAAGCCTTTTTCTTGAAAGTGATTCCTAACCCTGAGGAGTGGATGATTTACATCACTCTTCAAAAATCATTACACATAATGTAGGATGACATGAGATGTGAACTGCCAGCCATGAAGAGGAGAACACAATGCCAGGATTTGTAAAAATGAGACTTTCTTGATTCAAACAAAATAACCATTACCAGATTACCACTGGGGGTCAAATAATCTGTTATCCCTACTACATTTCAAGCCATTGGACACTCCACTCAGCTCTCTAATAACTTGACTCTAAAGAAAAACCAAATAGCAACCCTGTCTTGAGCATGCCTGGCTCAGATTGGGTGTTGAGAAGTATCTGTTGACTGTCTGATGGCTTCTCACAGAACGAGCAGAGCTCCCGGAGCTGTGAGCATTCATTGGGCATCATCCAACCACCTCGTTTTTCAGGGAAGAACCCAGGAGGCACCTTGACATAGGAAACAGGACATGGGATCTTCTTCTGTGGGACTAGTGTTAGCCAAACCTTGGCACCTAGATAATTTTTTGGTGACTATAGGAGAGAAAGCCCTGCTCTCCTCATTCTGTGGGACAAAGTTTTTCTGGTGTCCCCAAGGATACAGAGCCCTTCCCCATTACAGAGCCCTATACAGAGCCTGTCCCCTACCCAGAGCCCTATACAGAGCCCTTCCCCATTTAGAAGAAGCATGGAGACTGAATGACAAGTTACAAAACCAGCTACAGCCCAGGCTTGTGGCACTTGCTGCCTCTTTCATTGAGAAACAATGTGGTCTAAAAGAGTAACCCTGAGTTCAAATGTTATCTCTGCTCTTTCTATAGCGTGTTTTAAATAATAATAATTTCTAAAAATATTTTCCAAATATGTAAAGTTATATGATCATATTGAATATGTTTCTTCAAACTATATGCTCCTCCTCATACATTTGTGAGTTGCCCATCCCATGAGGAATCACTGAATTAGAGTTTTTTAATGGACCCCCATGCTTATCTGGAGTGGGAGCACATACTGTGGAATAACATAATCAATCTGAATGTCATTAGCATTCATTATCTTTAAACGCATGTAGGAGACAGCTATATGCTTAGGGCACTGTCTAGATGGACCCACAGCCTTTGATTTCTGGCACCTTGCAAGTCAAGATGGTTCTGCAGTAGACAGGCATGAAGGAACTGGTATATTGGCAAGATCACATTGCAGTTGAGACATTTTCATTGTACACAAGCATAGGGAAGGAATACTTGGGATTGTATGGAACATACTGAGTAATGCAGAGAATGAGAATTGGGTGTGGAGATGGGTAGAGGTTAGTTAGTCTGGAAATTCTCAAAGGTGGTGATTGGATTTGGGAGCTGCTCCAGAGAAGGGAAGGACACAAAGAGGGCTGGTCCAGCTAATCAGGGATAAATCCAGGTTGGGATGGAATAATCAGATAAGTCATGATCATTGGATCATGACTAATTTCAAAGGTTAGAAGAGCCCTGGAGATCTTCTGATCCTACCAATGAATGAAATATTTTACACATTTTGTTCTGGTTCTAGGCTACAGGGAGAAATAAGATAATTTCTGCTCTCTAGATGCCATCAATCCAGCATTTGTGTGTCAGAGTAAGTACAGTACAGAGTGTGGTGTGTTCAGAGGAGATGCAGAGCTAGATGGAGGGGCAGGCACTTGGGGAAGCTTTACAGAGAAAGAAACATTTACAGATGAGGAAACTGAGGCCCAGAGAGGCAAAATAAATTGTCCAAAAACACACAACAGAGAATTAACAGCTGAGATCACAACCCAAAACCTCCATCCTTCCATAGGATGGATGATAGGAAGCTATCATCCTTTCAGGAGATATTGCTGGTTGCTGTGGGTCTGTCTGAGGAAGGAAAAAAATCACAAGGGAGCAGGGAGCCATGAAACACACAGGGAGTGGCTCTGGGGTTTCCTGACAACAAACCTTGAGCTTGGGGCTTGGCTTAGGACACAGAAGACCTGCATTCTTAGGATCTCTTAGATGAAGCTGAGAATGAAGCCCACACTGGAGAAAGTTGAGAGATGAAATCCTGGTGACTTCATTTGACCTTTGAATCCAGCTATGTCTGAAGCCAGTTCATGGTCTGAAGCCAGTTCTACCCATGTGTGATAAGGAATCTTACAAACTTGATGGCCTCATCCTGGGAGACATTTTTGTATAATGATGATGGACTGGACTAATTATTAATGATTGGATGGAATTATAGGAATGTGCCAGCCAGCATCTTTTGTAGTGGTGTATTGTTTTGACTTAAGAGATCTCTGTTAAAAAACCAGAGGGTAGACTATGACATTCTGAAATATATGTCTGGTCTTTGTTCAATTTCCTGACACATAGACCTTAAAATCCTTGGAATCTCCAGAATAATAGGAGTATTTTTTACATAGAGTATCTTTTGCTCTCTTATTAGAGAGCTGGTGGCTGGGAGCCGCTAGATGGCTGGTCACAGGAAAGACCAAGGCGTGGTTACAACATTGGGACTTTCAGCTCCATCCCCAACCTCCATGAAACGGAAACGGGTGGAAGGTTAAGTTGATCATCAATGGCCAATGATTTAATCAATGATGCCAGTGTAATGAAACTTCCATAAAAACCCAAAAGAACTGGGTTTGGAGAGCTTCTTGACAGTTGCATCTGTGGAGGTTCTTGGAGGATGGTGCTCTTGGAGAGGGAAAAGAAGCTCCACATCTCTTCCCCGTACCTCGCCTTATGTGTCTCTTCCATCTGGCTATTCATCTGTATCTTTTGCAATATCCTTTATCATAAAATGATAAATGTAAGTAAGTGTATCCCTGAGTTCTAAGACCTGCTGTAGCAAATTAATCAAACTCAAGAAGGGAGCCATGAAAACCCCCGATTTATAGGTGGTTGCTCAGAAGCTCAGGTAAAACAACCCAGGGCTTTTGATTGGCATCTGAAGTCGGGGGCAGTCTTGTGGGACTGAGCCCTCAACCTGGGGGATCTGACACCATCTCCAGGTAGACAGTGTCAGAATTGAGTTAAATTAGGGGATACCCAGCTGGGATCAGCTGGAGAATTGCTTGGAGGGGAGAAGTCCCCACACATTTTGGAGACCAGAGGCTACACAAGCATTCTGTGATGTGAGGGTAAAGTAAGAGAGCCTGAGTTTCTTTGTTCTTCTATCATCAGACCATGGGATTTGGCTCCATTCAGTCTGAGTTATGACATACTGCCCCAGAATCTTGATTAGTGCAATTGAGCAGATGTGGCTGCCTTGACAGTGTTGCTCTTCCTGGCCTTTTTCGTGGGCTGGCTGAAAGGACACTGCGGGAAGTTAATAGTCTCCCTGTGGAGACTGTAGATGTAAAGATGGGGAAAGGACATTCTCAAGATGCTGAAGAGGATAAGAGCAACAACAATTGTTTCAATGTGGTTTTTGAAGATTCTCTGGACCAGGGGTAGCCTCAAGGCAGTCTTCTGGCAAAGTGTACTTCAGGAAAATTTGAAAAAAAAAGTATGTCACCAAAGCAGTGGAAAATACCCACCCTGTGGTTTTAGGATTTGCTGTTCAAATTGTATGAGAGCTAAAAATTCAGAGAGGGAATTAGCTAGGAGTCAGGCTGCCCATACATGTTATTCATGTAATTAGATGATGAGAAGAGAATTCTAAAAGCTTCCAATTCAATTTCTTTCATTTAGGGTATTCTTATTTAATTATCTGTGATCCTAAGGGAGCAGCCTGAGAAAGTGTTGAAAATATGGGGAACAAAGAGAGACAAGAAAATCTGAAAGTGATTGTAGTTAATCTAATGTATGTACTTTAGGATTTTGGTCAGAGAGATTCACAGCCCATTGGGTCCCTTCACATTTCCTTGATACACTAATAGAATCTGATTTCCTAGTGTCAGAATGAGAAATTCTGCATAACATCAGAAACACATATATTTAGAGAAGCTGGAAAGTGACCAAGTGTAAGCTGACTGCCCATCTGGCAGCTGGAAAGATGAACTAATATGACTCTTGAGCCCCAAGTTTGGTATGAAATAGCAGGAAGAGCTGGACTAGAGAACATTATTGTAGAGAGTGCTCTCACTGGATGTCATGGGAGGAAATCATTGGCTCTGCTGATTCTTTCTGAACAACCCAAGAGGCTTTGTCTGGTGTATCAGATGCTTTTAATTGATTTCAGTAGTTTTATCTCATTTTCTGGGTGATCTAACTGCAGAGTGTGAGTGAGCAGAACAGGATGCCATTGCTGAGAAAAGCATTATTCATGTCATTGGAGGAGATTTTTAGACAAAGGAACACCTAGAAGTATGCTCTTGATACCGTTATCCTGATGGGTTGGTGAGGGAAGTCACCAAGTCTCTGAGTCAGAGGACTTCTCTCCTTTAGCCTGAGAAAACTCGACTTCCAGGGTTGCCAGTCTGCTAACGATATGGGAGAAGAGTCCGTAATTCCCACACCAGTGAGTGCCCTCCTTGAATCTGAGTGGAGAATTTCATTATATTGACTCATTTTTGAGCAAGAGACGCCCAAATATGTAACGTAGCACTATCCTTCTCTTATATTAGGTTGAGCTATATGAAAGTGAAGATAGTCAACCTTCTTTTTCTAACTTCAGAAATGACAATTTCATATAGTTCAATCTAATATGTTAGCAAAACTCAGTAGTGGTGTGAAATATAGGGGTGCTTTATTCTTCATGAGACCATTACGGCCTGTTATTTTCACTTCCTATTGAGCTCTCTGAAATAAGCCAAATTGAAACTCCCTCTTGATTTCACACAGATGGGGCACCAGCTCTGCCCATTCATGCAGCACCATTAGTCTTCAGTGCCTGCCACGGCCCAGGTCTGCCCGACTGGATTTTCTGCTTCTCTGTTTGGGTAGCCAATGTCAGGTTCATGGATTATGCTTTTGCTGCATGTCTGCTATTACTAACACAGAGAGCTGTCCAGTGATTCCCCACTTGTTTTTAAAGAGATCACCTTGCTTTCCTTTATCTCTTGTTTTGGCAGGGGGTGGGAGGAAGGTTCTTTTTTTTTTTTTTTTTTTTTACAAAGCTTTTGCTCAAATTTTGTCTCAGCATCATCAAAAAATTACATGTCAAATACTCATGTAGCTGAATTTTTTTTTCTTTCAAACAGACATTTTCTGGCTTTGCTGACGCATATCTTGGCTATTGTATCACGGCAACACAGCAACTCATATTATTTATTACTTATCCTGTAGCATATTAACTTTGTTCCCATATCTATGCCTCTAGGATAAACTTTAGGCAAAGTTTTTTCTCCATTAAAAAAATTTACATTTACATTTACATTAAACTTTATCTGTAACAGAGGAGGCGTTACAAATCAACATAGACAATTATCTAACCATATTGCTCCCCACCCAAAAAGAGTATACCTTTCACCAGTATAAAAATAAGGTTCAAGTGGATTGGAGAGCTAAATATGAAAATCACAACTTAGAAACTTTTAGAGAAAAAAGAGGGAAGATTAACATTTGAAGACATTGGAACAGAAAGGAATTTCTTAAATGAAACATAAGGAACATATAACAAAGAAGATTTATACACCTGACTACATAAAAATTAGTAAACTTCTGCATGACAAAGCACTGTAAATAGAACTTAAAATAAAACTCAGACTGGGAAATTTTTCCATTTCTAAAATTCAACAAACAATAGGTATCAAAAATATATGAGTGATTTCACACCAACAATTTTAAAAATGGGAAAAAGTATAAAGGGGCAGTTCCATAGAGAGGAAGGGCAAATGGTGAACAACAACTGCAAAGACGCTCAACCTCATGAACGACCAAGGAAATGCAAATGAACACACCAGTAAGACACCATTTCGTATCCACCAGACAGACAAACTTCAAAAGGCCTGCTAACACCAAGTGTTTGTCAAGGATCTAGGTAAATAGAAACTCATATTCATTGTTGGTAGAAGGCAGATTTTGCACTATTCCTTTGTAGAGCAAATTGGCGATACCCAGTAAATCCTCTATGACTTAGTTATTTCACTTCTAAGTATGGTTATGCATTGCTTAATGATGGGGATACATTCTGAGAAATGTGTGGTTAGGTTGTGTGAACATCATAGAGTGTATTCACACAAACCTAGACAGTATAGCCTCCTGCACACCTAGGCTATATGGTATAGCCTATTGCTCCTAGGCTACAAACCTGGATAGCATGTTGCTGTACTGAATACTGTAGGCAATTGTTACACAATGGTAAGTATTTGTTTACCTAGACATATCTAAACATAGAAAAGGTACAGTGTTACAGTAGAAATATAGTATTATTTTATAGGCCTAACATCCTATATGTGGTTTGTTGTTGACCAAAATGTCATTATGTAGCGCATGACTGTATTTACTCTGAGGGTCTATGACAAAAGCTAAAGGAGCACTGTTTGTTCCAGCAAAACAGTGGAACTGACCCAACTCTGGTGACTAGAGCAGGGGCTGGGCAAATTAAGCCTCCTGGGCTCAAATCCAGCCAAATCCCTCTTTGCACAGTTTGTGAATAGTTTTTATATTTTTATTGATTGATTGATTGAGACAGAGCTTTGCTGTGTCACCCAGGCTGGAGTGCAGTGGCACGATCTTGGCTCACTGCAACCTCCACCTCCTGTGTTCAAATGATTATCTTGCCTCAGCCTCCTGAGTAGCTGGGATTACAGGTGTGTGCCACCACGTCCAGCTAATTTTTGTATTTTTAATAGAGACGGGGATTCACCATGTTGGCCAGGCTGGTCTCGAACTCCTGACCTCAGGTGATCCGCCTACCTCAGCCTCCCAAAGTGCTGGGATTATAGGTGTGAGCAACTGCACCTGGCCAGTTTTTACATTTTTAATGCTTAAAAATATCAGAGACAAATATTGTTTTATATTATGTAAAAATTTTACAAAATACAAATTTTAGTATCCACAGTAACGTTTTATTGGAACACAACCACACACATTCATATAAGTATTGTACTGTGAGGGCCTTGAGGTGCTTCTGATGTATGCTAGAGTTTGAGGACCAATGGGATAGAGAAATGGATAGACTGTGGTATAGTCATAAGAATAGTATGCAGTAGTTAAATGTATTAGATCTAAATGTATTAACATGACTAAATCTTGAAGTAAAAAAATTGCAAAAGGACATGTATAGTGATACTACTTTGTACTTTAAAAATAATCATGTGGTTCAAAGATACATATATAAGTAGCAAAAGTTATAAAACCTGCCCATGAATGATACATCTTAATTACAGAATAATGGTTACCTCTAAAACCAGAGGGAGGGGGAAGAATGAAGGAGGGGTTAGATTTTAGCTGTATTTGTGTTTTATTCCTTAAAGGGACTCAAATTAAATATGACAAAACATTAATATCTGTTAAATATGAGTAGTGGATATGTGTGAAATTTGTTAGAGGCTTGAAAAATTCATGATTAAAGATAAGAAAAATTTAAGCCACACCTTCTCATTGAAAAAATTAGGAATATAAAGAATAATATCAAATACTTAAATATTAAAAGTGATCAATAATCCTACCACCTGAAGGTAATTACTAATAATATTTTGGTATTTTCCCTTCTAGTCTTTTTTTTAACCTATGCATAGTAAAATAATTTTCATCATATATTTATAATTTTGTATCTTTTCTTTTTATTTAATATTGGCTCTTAAGAATTTTCCATGTAATTATTCTAATTTTTATAATAACCACATATACTTCATATTTGTATAGCACTTTTTTCTGAATTTAAGCATAAATACACACTTGCATAAAAATTTGGAGAATAAAGTACATAGAAAAGTGAAATTATCTGTCATTGCAGCACTTTGATGTGATAGTGTTTTATGTATATTTCTCCGGTCTTGATTGTTGTTTTGTATCCTTAATTTTTTAATTTAATATATCATGAAATTTCCTCCATGATAATTGTTCTAAAACCTGACTTTATTTTTTAAAAATTTATTTATTTATTTATTTTTTTGAGACAGAGTCTCTTGCTCTGTCGCCCAGTCTGTAGTGCAGTAGTGTGATCTTGGTCCACTACAACCTCCGCCTCCCCGGTTCAAGCAATTCTCAGGAGGCCTCAGCTTCCCAAGTAGCTGAGACTACAGGTGCCCACCACCATGCCCAGCTAATTTTTTGTATTTTAGTAGAGACGGGGTTTCACCATGTTGCTCAGGGTGGTCTTGAACTCCTGAGCTCAGGCAATCTGCCCTCCTTGGTCTCCCAAAGTGCTAGGATTACAGGTGTGAGCCACCGTACCCAGCCTAAAACATGACTTGGAATGGCTCCATATAATTCTATTATATATGGATTAAGATATGCACACATTTAATGAATTTTCATCTGTTACTCTTCATGTTCACTCTGTCCACATCTGTAAACATGAGAGAGAAAACCAAATAATCTATTGGCAACATCTGTGGGACCAGAGAGGGAACAGCCAGGCTTGGAGAACATTGAAGGAAAGACCCCTGTGCTCTGGGGAAGGGGTGGGAGGGGTGTTACCCTTGATTCTCACCTAAAAAGGGCTCTATGTGAGTTGAAGGTGAATGCTTATCTTCCACCCTTACCTTCTTCTGGCCTTAGGTATGTTCCTTGCTGACTTGCAGGGTAAACTTTTTGGGGCAACATACTGTATGGTTCTCACCTTCCATATTAAGGAGACAAGTGATAACTGTTGGGTGGTATAGGAGAGAAAGAGTTTCTGGAATCCTTCAGAAATGAAGACCCAGAGAAACTGAGAAATCTGTGTATTTTTATGTACAGTCATACAGAAGTATGAATGAAGGACAAATGGGTTTGATCTAATGGCAGTAAATGGAGAGGAACTTAGCAAGGCCTGTTTCTTCAGATTCTTCTCTGCATCCCTATGTCTTTGTTCCTTTCCTCTGGGTATAGGGAGAACTTGTCTATAATGAGGGTCTTATGATCTACTTTAGGGGAAAGTCAGAGAATTCTTTTATGGCCAGCTGCAAGGGAGAATGGCTGAAGAAAGTCAGAGAGAACATGCTTCTGCTGTTTTCTCAAATCCAAGGTGCCATATTTTGGGGTTAGTGTGTTTTAAACCCCACCATTCCCTGAAACTTCCCCAAAAAGTTTTACAGTCCAGAAACTGGGTATTGGATTGTCCTACAAGTTACTGAACTTGTCTTTTATTCCTGGGGATAGGCCAGTTCAGCTAGACAGTTAATAGTTGTGTTTCATGTCAGGAGTTAGTGTGGCAGGTCGGCTTCCATTAGACTTAGACGTCTATATGGTCTGATCAATCAGGTATTTAAATGAGTCATTTCTATGAAAACAAAGAAAAACAAAAGCTAATGGTTAGAGCAAACTATAAACTCAGTTTTTGAATCCAGATGACAGATAGTCGAGAAGATTTCTAAATTTGAGCTTGAAGCATCTTCAGATGGAGTGAAGACAGGCAGGGACACTGACAGATTTTTCTGGTTTGCAGTTTGAATGTCATGAAGGTTGTCCATACATAAGCTATTGTGGTGACTTCTCTGAAGTCTATATCAAGTCATCTAGCTTCAGCTCACAGGGCTTCAGGAAAGGGGCAATTTTAATTTCAGTGACTACACGTCAGAAGGATTGGGAAATATTAGTCTGGAGAGTTGCAGCCAGATATTGGAGGAAACTATAAGAATTTAGAATCCAATCCAGTTTGCAGGTAAATAACAAAACCTCAAAAATTATGAACAAGGCTAGAATCTAATAACAAGCACACTATAAATTTTTTCTGAAACATAATTTATTTCTCTGTAGTCATCCCCAGTTTTACCAAAAATAACCAAAGTAGACAAATTCACTTCCAAATTAAGTTTAGTCTCATTAAACTTGGCCAGTTTATTTACTAAGTGTAGCAAGAGTAGTGATTGACCATGTAGGCTCTGTTAAAGTTTGCTTTGCTGGAACTTTTCATAAGGAATCTCAGACTAGATTTTTAAAAGTATTTTGAGGTTAAGAACCTCATCCAAGGACTTGGCCATCAGACTTTTGCAATACCTATAGTTTTGTTGAATTCCTCTCTTCTCAAAGTCCTCAAAATCTTCTGATGTTCCTGGGCCTGCCAGGAAGTGACATCCCTTACTCGCCTGTAACTATGTAAGGGACCCATTTATAAGAATCATGTATGCAGGGTATCAGGTCAGTTTTTTAACCCCTAAGAGGCTTTATTGGCACCATAAAGTCAACCTTAGTTCCTTAAGTTGTCTGGTCACATCTGAAAACATGACATTCCAGTCAATGCCTTCATAATATAACCAGTGTTTCCAACTGTATCTTGTACAAGGAGAATAGATTTTTATTAAACTTACATAAATATGTTATTTATATAATATAGTTATTTATATAAATGTTATTTATATAAAAATATAATCCCTGGTATCTTATAATCCCCTTTAACAATTTTCCAATGTTAACATCTCTGGGTTGTGACTTACAGTCAAAGACTTTCTAGGGTCAATAAAAATCAAAGACTTTCTAGGGTCTTGGCTGAGCTGGTATCTTAAAGCTGTAGTTTTCAACCCTGGCTAATGTTTTCAATGTTAGAATCCTCTGGAGCATTAAAAAAAATCAGATGCCTGGTCCTCACCTCAGAGATTATATTAAATTGATTGAGATGGGAGAATATGCATCTGTATTTAAAAAGCCCCCCAGAGTTGAAACCATTGTTATTTACAGCCTTTAGTGGAAGGAAAAATTATAGCAATCAAAGACCAACTAAGGGTGACTCTTAATAAAGTTACGGGACAACTTGGCTTCCAACATTTAGAGAAACTCAATAAGGTGTCCTAGTCCTACAAGAAAAAGCATTTGGCTTGGAATCAAAAGAGCTATCCTGGCTCCACCAATTTCTAGTTTTATGACCTTAGACAAGAGATGTTGTCTCTTCCAGACTTGTTTCTTCCCTTGTTTAATAGCCACATACCTACTTCACAAGGTTGTTGTGAGAAATAAACATGATAATGTAATAACATACCTACCACATTCCATGACACATTTTTGGTGCCTATAAGCAGAAGTTTTCTTCCAAATATAAATTAAATTAAAAGTAGATTTATTGAGCCTGGAAGAAAAATAATAGAGCTAAGTGTGGCTTATTTAAACCTTTTGAATATATTTCTAGTGTTTAGGTCCCCAGCTCATTTACATGATAAAAATAGAAGGAACAAAACTATAAGGGCCAGTGTCAGCTTAGTTTCTCATTTTTTTTCCAAAAAATACTTAAAGGAATTGAGTGGAAAGAACCTATGCTAAGAAATACAAGTTTACGTATCCAAAATGTTTCCAAATCCACCCAGCCACATTTATAGAAGAAAGGGCTGGTTTTCCTGACAGCCAGCGATCACAAATGCTAATATGAAATGTGGGAAAGTTTATATGATAGTACGGTAGGCCCCCCTTATCCCTAGGGTACATTCCAAGATCCCCAGAGAATGCCCGGAATCACACATAGTACCAAACATTATAGCAGCGGTCCCCGACCTTTTTGGCACCAGGGACTGGCTTTGTGGAAGACAATTTTTCCATGGACGGTGGAGGGGTTGCGGGGGAGGGGTTGGTTTCGGGATGAAACATATCATCAGGAGTTACATTCTTTGTTTTATTTTTATTTAATTTATTTATTTATTTATTTATTTATTTATTTATTTATTTATTTATTTATTTGAGACAGAGTCTCGCTCTATCGCCCAGGCTGGAGTGCACTGGTGCAATCTCGGCTGACTGCAAGCTCCGCCTCCCGGGTTCACACCATTCTCCTGCCTCAGCCTCCCGAGTAGCTGGGACTACAGGCGCCCACCACCACGCCCGGTTAATTTTTTTTTTTTTTTTGTATTTTTAGTAGAGACTGGGTTTCACTGCGTTAGCCAGTATGATCTCGATCTCCTGACCTCGTGATCTGCCCGCCTTGGCTTCCCAAAGTGCTGGGATTACAGGCGTGAGCCACCATGCCCGGCCAGGAGTTACATTCTTATAAGAAGCCTGCAACCTAGATTCCTCACGTGTGCAGTTCATAGTGAGGTTCATGCACCTATGAGAATCCAGTGCCGCCTGATCTGACAGGAGGTGGAGCTTAGGCGGTAATGCTCACTGTCCCACTGTTTACCTCCTGCTGTGCAGCCCGATTCCTAACAGGACACAGACCAGTAAGGGTCCCCAGCCTGGGAGTTGGGGACCCCTGCTATATAGGCTATATATTTTTTTCCCATACATGTATATGTATGATAAAGTTTAATTTATAAAATAGGCACAGTAAGAGATTAACAACAATAAAAGAAAACAATTAAAACAATATTTTGTAATAAAAATTATGTGGATGTGCCCTCTCAAAATATCTTATCGTACTGTAAACCTTAGCAACCTCAGCATATGATTTTTTTCTTTCCTCAAGTCAACAGCTTTCACCTTTTCATTTAAAGGAAGCGCTTTACAGTTTCTCTTTGGCATGTCAGAATTGCCAGCATCACTACTCCTGGGCTTTGGGCCATTATTAAGTAAAATAAGGGCTCTTTGAATGCAGGCACTGGGATACCACAACAGTCAATTGGACAACCAGCTGGCTACTAAGTGACTGACAGGCAGGGAGTGTCGGCAGCATGGATCTGCCGGACAAAGGGACAATTCCTGTCTCAGTCAGGATGGAGAGGCACAGCCCTGAGATTTTATCTCACTACTCAGAATAGCACACCATTTAAAACTTATAAATTAATTATTTCTGAAATTTTCCATTTAATATTTTTGGACTGTGGTTGGGCATGGGTAACTGAAACTGCAAAAAGCAAAACCATGGATGGGGGTGGTGACAAGGACTTCTGCACCAACATAGACATTATTCCCCATTTTGGCGTTTGGTAAACAGTGTGCTTTATATTGCATTAAAGTTAATTTCTTTATGTATCATAACCGTTTGCTGAAGAGATACATAATGGTCCAGCCTTTTTCCACTATGAGAAAAAATATTTTCCAGCTGCATTGCATTTCTGGAAATGGAATCAACCGTAACCACTGGCACCAAATATTTAGCAGTCTGGATGCTAGTGGAGAGAAAAAGGGAAGAGTTTGCACTGCTCTCAAATCGCCTTTGCCACAGGGTAGTTACTATAATGTGATATTTCTGTGCTCGGAATAGCCAAGCTTGCGGGGAAAGCCAACATTCCCAGTGCTCAGAGTCAAACCACAACCTGGAATTGTCATGCCCAGGTGGGCCTTTATCTTGGATGGGTGAGGAAAGCCCTTTTCCATGTATAGCCAATGCTTGATGATCTGCTTCTGTGGATAGCTCACTTTATGGATTATTCACAGCAAATTTTAGGCCAAGCCCGGATCCTTTTCTCCCAACTGTCTTGCCACCCACTATGAGGCTCTAAACTGTCTCCTCCACTCAGCTAATGTGTGCTGAGAAAATTGGTTTTAACGCCACCATGCTTGCATTGATTAAATGCCTATCATGTGCCAAACTTTTCGTTAGGTCAGATCTCTATACAATTTTGTAACATAAGTGGTATTATCTTATTTTCCAGAGAAGGAAACAAGGATTTAGAGAGTTCAACATACTTGCCTAAGGTCACACACACATTTCAAAACAGAGTTAACTTTTAGGTTAACCACTCACTTTTGATAACTTGAGTCTTAGAAACTTCTCTATGAGTGAGAGGAATCTGACAAGACTTTTACCAATTTAGTGTGGTCAATTTTAAACCAGTCTCTTTATACATGAAAAGCTAAAGGCATTAAGCAAGTAAATCAAATTCAAGCTGTGTAACAGATACTCTATGATTGTTAGTGAGGTCTTTAAAAATAAAATCAGTTTGCTTAAGTGTCTTTATTGCTAGATATTATTATTACAGGGAGGATTACAAAAGTAGTTAATTTTTTTTGGCCAGGTGTGGTGGCTCCCGCTTGTAGTCCCAGCAGTTTGGGAGGCTGAGGCGGGTGGATCACCTGAGGTCAGGAGTTCGAGACCAGCCTGGCCAAATTGGTGAAACCCCATCTCTACTAAAAATATAAAAATTAGCCAGGCATGGTGGCATGTGCCTGTAATCCCAGCTACTCGGGAGGCTGAGGCAAGAGGATCGCTTGAACCAGGGAGGCAGAGGTTGCAGTAAGCTGAGATTTCACCACTGCACTCCAGCCTGGATGACAGAGCAAGATGACTCTCTTGTTAACATTTCTGTTTAAAGCCCATTACCTTTGCTCCTTGTCTTACTGTACACCCTCATTTCCATAGCAACAAGACAGCATGCAGAGGGGGCAGCCACTGGCTCTTGAGATGATGCAAATGCAGTGGAAAGTTCCACCTTGAAAGACAATATGCAAATCACTTTAGCATATGATAAACAACAAAGAAAGTGATGCTTTTTTGGGGAGACAGCTTATTTGGTTTTTGGAATGTGCTCATTTTTCTGACAGCTTCTCTATCTTGTTTTATCTTTCTGGCCTTACTTTGTTGAGACCAAAATAAAATCATTAAAAAACAAAAATTCAACCTGACATTGCATGTGATTCCATGGCAGATGTAGTGATTTGTGCTTCCAGAGATAGATCTTGAGCAGAACATTTCCAAAGCCTTTTAATTGTGCAATGAATTTGACTCTTTATTAAGTAAAGTTGTTACTAGGATATAGCTGAATAGTGAGATATTCCTCTGAAATAAATTTTCCCGAGTTTTTTTTTTTTCTATTGAGGACCTCTGCTATTATTTTTCCTTGTATCTTGCTAAAAGATTTTTAATATACTCAAATGCTTAAGAGTATGTACTATTAGCCTATATGGCCTTAACTTAGGGAAATAAGATTTCCTTTATAGGATATTAGAAATAATGTGAATCTTTTCGGCTCCACATTACTATTTTTGAGTACTTTCAAAATTGAGTTTCCCAAGAGGGATATCACTGCTGGAATATTCTGTCTTGAGACAGTCAACTGAATAGAATGAACAACATAGGCGTTTATTTTATATTTTAAAAATCCTAGGCCTGTTTTAAGTATCCATTCTTTGTATAACACAAAGCACAAGGTAAACAGGATGTGTATCTTGTAGGAGTAAAAAGAATACAGAAATGGTGCTCCTGTAAAGTTGGGGGAAATGCCTATAACAGCTCACTTTGTGGCTAAATATAGTCACTCTTCACACCTATTCATTGCTATTATTTATAGGGATTGTTCTTAGATATCTTTCCCCTAGGTTCAAAATTTCAAGTGATCAAGGATCATAGAATCCATCTTTAAAATCTTCTAAAGGTAATAATTAGACACCGTAACACCTCCTTTTATGCATGCATATCGTGTAGCTGTCACACGCCAGCTGAATGCTCTCAAGTAACACCTTCTCTTTGAGAGTTTTTGCACACAGCTTCCCGTGGAATCATGCTTGCATACGGGATTTCCACTCATAAGGCCCTGAGCCTTCCCCTCGAAGTCACTCACTGCATGCTTTGCTCTACTGAATGAGGCCAGTGGCCAGAAGAACTCAAAGTGTGGGTCTCTGGCCACCTGCAGCAGAATAACCTGTGGTACTTGGTACCTTTTAAAAATGCAGAGCTGCAAATCCAGACCTATGGACCCATCTCTGGGGATGAGCACGATCATCTGAATTTTCAGTAGGCTCCTTGATTATCATTGTTATTCCTGATGCTGAAGAAAGTTTGAGAACTGGCTCTCAGCTAAGGAATGTCGAGGGTGGGGGCTGTCTGGGGCTAAGAAAGCCTTCAGGTCCCCATATACACAAGCAGCCATTAACACCTGCTCTTCTGTCTTCCCTGGTCACTGCACCAACCCCTCTGCGGCCCCTGCACTTGAACCCATCATCTGCCTCCTCACCAGGTCTTAACAAACCCTTCTGGTTTCTCCTTGTAAGTTTTTACCTTAAAGTGTATTGAGAAATGATGTAATGTGTGAAGCAAATTAAATTGTGCATTATAAATTAAATCATTTTTTGACTTAGGAATGGGTGTGTGTGTTGGGGGACAAGCTGATGTGAGGGAGTTGGAGAGTTTTGTGCTTTTGTCTCAGGGCTCTGCCCTCATAGAATGACCCTGATCACGCTGATTCTTCCTGGATGATGGGGGTGAAGGTGGGAGTGCAATAGCCAGGGATATTCCATGCAGGGGCTGATATGAAAACATTTCCATTTCCATTCTTGATTTCATAGCTTTCATCTTGCACAGTTTGCAGCTAGAATCACGCTTGATGAAGAGCTTTTCTGGTTATTAAAAAAAAACAGAAAAAAAGTGAGATGGACATTTAGATGGATATGATTTCGGGGCAGTATGGCTATCTCTCTAGTGGTTTGGTTCAGATCTATAAAAACCGTAGCTTGCATTTCCTGAGAATAAACCAAGTCGTGGCTATGGAAAAGTGACCCAGAAGCATTGATGGATATATGGAGAAACCTATTTGGGTTAAAAAAAAATTCACCACAAGTGGATAATTTTGAGCTGATCTGATTTCAATGTAACCAACTAATATATCTGAGGTAATATGAGATAAATAAAAGGGAAAACAATGGATATGCCGCTGGTAGGAAGTTTCAAACTGAGGCCTGTCTCTGAGAATCACAGGTGAGACATTGTTACAGAGTTCCCTGTGATCTGGGAATGTAGAGAGTCACACTGAGTGTGTGATATGGATGTATGGTAGTCATCTTTATTTTCTCTAGGACTAGGCTGGCCCTGGATTCCCAGGCCTGGTACTTAGAGTGATATCGAGTAAGTCACCACCCTCACCACCCCAGGTTTGAAAACTGACAAAAGTTCTGCCTTCACTTCTGTGCATTCCTAGCCATCCTGTGCCAGAATTGAAATTGCTCTGGAAAATTCAGGGTCTCTAATAAGTGCTTGGCAAGGCAGCACTTTTTCTGATAGCATAGGGAGTAACAGCTTCCCAGACTGACCAGTTAACACATAGCAGAGATCACACATTGTAAGAAGGGAAATTAGCAGGGAAATATTACTGATACTTAGGGGACAGGCAAGACCCAGGGTGCAGGACTGATGGCAGCTAAATCCAGGTAGGGGAGGAGACGGCTAAATCCACGTAGGGGAAGAGAAAGATGGAGAGCACCAGGTCTCTGTAGATGGGGAGGGCCATATGGAAAATGTGGAAAGTAAAAATGAGGGCAAGAAAGGATAGTAGTAATCTTGTTATTTGCAAATGATGTATGGCTTTTCATAGCCATGTGTTCTTTTGATCATTCTGATATGGGAGGGGGGCAGGGAAGTGCTGGGTAGAGAAAGGCGGTGTCCTTGGCCAGGGCTCCACCCTTGGGCCTGTGCCCACAGACCTAAGTAAGAACAGGCACTCCTGTGTTCGCGCCCAAATGTTGCATTTTCCAAGACCACTCTGACCCACCATGCTCTGCATCCTGTGTCCATATAAACCTGAGACCTTAGTGGGCAGAAAAACAAGCAGCTGGACATTGAGAGGAGAAGAGGAACAGAGAGGCAGAGAGTGGCAGAGAGCAGCGGGGCGGCACAGCAGAGAGAGAAGAGGAAGGACATCTGGACACCAAGAGGAGTTCAGCTGGGGCCGTCTGAGAAGAGTTTGGCTGCTGGGGGGCTTGACTCCAAGGGAAGATCACCTTCCCACTCTATCCCCTCCTTCCTGCTCCCCATCCATCTCGCTGAGCGCCACCTCCATTACTCAATAAGACCTTGCACTCATCCTTCCAGCCCACGTGTGATCTGATTCTTCTGATACAATGGGCAAGAACTCAGGCTGTCACACTGGTCCCCTGCCCTAGCGATAAGGCAGAGGGTCTGTTGAGCTGATTAACACAAGCCGTCTGCAGACGGCAAAGCTGAAAGAGCACACTGTAACACACACCCACTTGGACTTCGGGAGTCGCAGACACCCACCCCTAGATGCAGCCATGGGGCCAGAGCCCAAAAAACGCTCCCCACGGTCTCTGCACCTGCCGTCTGCATACTTCCCCTAGGGGTTTGAGTGGTGGGGCAGTGAGCCACACCTCCGCCTAACGTCCTGCGAGGGGGATAAGGGAACTCTTTCAATTCCAAGAGCCCTCAAAGCGTGAGGGTGGTTGTTATCCCCATTTTACAGCTGAAGATACTGAGCCCCAGAGAGGTAGTGACTAGCTAGGACTAGAACGCATATTTTTGTCGCTTGTTTCATTCTTATATCCATATCTATTTCTCCCACTCTGTGCTTTTGACTAATAGACTCAAAATAACCTCAAACTAACTCTGCCTACTTTATAATTTTGCCCATGAATAGCCTGATCAGGGAACGAGAGGTTAGAGAAGGAGGCATACTCAACAGACTGGACATTTTGCCTAGGTTGACTTCTGCTAAATGATGTTCATGACTGATGGTGTTTTGTTAGGCTAAACTGCATAATGGTTCTTTAATGTGGGTAAGACAAGACCACCCAATTCACTTTTAACTGATGAAGCTGAAACCAGATCTTTAGAAATGAAAGGCATATGCATTAGCCTTGATAATAGATTTCCAGATGGCTGGAATCATACCTCTGTCTCTGCCTTTGGCCAGTGATATTGACCAATAAACTGCTTTATGTCAATAGATCATGAGATATAGTGCGAGTGAATGTTACATGTAGATAATAGCCTTTATTCAGGATCTTTTATGAAACCATTTAATGTACAACCTTCGCTTAAAGCTCTCAGAGGGGAAATGTTCCGAGAAACCTTTCTAGGGTGAAAGTTTTTTATGTGATTTTTTTTTTTTGAGAGGATAACACATACTAAAATTAAGCAAAGTGTACTTGAAAGAAGGAAAAAGGTGACGGATTTGTGAGTGGTTTTGAACAGTGCTTGTAGCAAACGGCACTGCTTTCCAAGCGTCCTCTCCACAGATGTAATTTTGAAAGCAGTTTTATGAGTGACACGCAAAAAGGTGGAAGAATATCCTTATGTAACTGTCATTTGCTCATGGAGAAGCATGATTATTTTCTACTCTGCTTTATGTAAATGTAAATGTGTGTTTCCGAGAAGGTTATTCTCCCCTGTGAATTAACATAGTCCATCTCAGAAGGGGTGATGAGTCGCTTACAAGTAAATTTTGACATCCTGGGATGTTTCTTTGACATTGAATTTCGGGAGATTGATCTGGTTAAGGCTGGTAATTGTGCCTCCTTCCTTGTGGGCTGTGTGCATATTTGCATGGGAGGGAAATGAATGCAAAGGCAGATGCAGAGTGCTCGCAGCACTTGGGAGTTGGCAGATGAACTCTTTTAGTGGTTGTTTTTTAAAAATTGCTTTGAGTGGTCTGGGGAATACATTAATTTAATATCCTCTTCATATTCAGAATATGTAACACCATTGTGAGAAATAAAACCCCAAGGTGAACAAGATTGAAAGTGAAGGCAGCGCTCTAAGGAGGAAGCCAGCTGGCTTGAATGGTGATGTAAACAGCCTTGGAGGTAGGAAAATGAAAAGTGCATCCCAGATATTTGTGTGTCTGTCACATTGGTGCTAGCAAGGGTGTAGAGATGTAAGAGATTTTACATCTTTACTGAGTCTGCAGCAAGAATCAGAATTGAAGGGCAAATGTGAGAAATGAGACACAGTTCGTAGGTTTCCAAGAAAGATAGGGTGACAAAATTGCCTGTCACTCCGATTTCAATACTTGTCATGCTGATCTGAAGAATAACATAACTGATCTAAAATTAGGACAAAATAAAAGTTTTTGATAATGCATGGCTCTTGATTTCACAGCTTTCTCTTGCACAGTTTGTAGCTAGAATCATGCATCATGAAGAATTTTTCTGGTTATAAAATAATGGCATTGAAATATTACAAATAACTGTGTCTACTTTCTTTTACATTTTGTTATCCATATAATTTAGACATAGATAAGTTTATGTAGTCATGGATGTTCTCTTAACTTCTCTTGTTTAACGGTTTTTATTTACAATATGGACAAAGCATCATTCATTCCTTCAACTCAACAAATATTCATTGGGTGCTTACTATGTGCAATGCTCTGTTCTGAGTGCTTTTTCAGGCTTATCTCCTCTAATTCCCACAAGCCTTAGGTCAATTCTCCAGAAATCAGACACTGAGGTGGAGATATATGATGTATGTGCAGAAAGTTTCTTGGTGAATGCCTTTGTGATCAACACCTATGGGGAGCAAAGGCAGTGAGACTGGGAGGCAGTGAGAGAGGAAGGAATTGCACTGAGATGTAACTGCAGCAAGGGTGTCAGCAGATCCCACTGGGTGCTCAAGCTGGGAAGGCCTTCGAGAGATGTATCTTCTTTTAATTTTTTTTTTTTTTTTTGACTGAGTCTTGCTCTGTTGCCCAGGCTGGAGTGCAGTGGCGCAATCTTAGCTCACTGCAACATTTGCCTCCCAGGTTCAAGCAATTCTCCTGCCTCAGCCTCTGGAGTAGCTGGGATTACAGGTGCGCACCACCACGCCTGGCTAATTTTTGTATTTTTAGTAGAGACAGGGTTTCACCATGTTGGCCGGGCTGGTCTTGAAATCCTGACCTCGTGATCTGCCCACCTCAGCCTCCCAAAGTGCTGGGATTACAGGCATGAGCCACCTCACCCACCCGAGAGTTGTATATTCCTGAGGCAAAGAAAGTAGGCTTTTATACATCCCCATCCCCCACCCACACACCCCATCAATGGTCATTAGATATAGATGCCCCCAGCAGAAGGTGTTACCCTGGGGAAGACAATTTCTCATCAGCTGAGTGCCATCACCTGTCAATATTTCTAGCAGTTGGGGACAGATGCAACAGCACTGAAGTGGGGCTATCTGGGCAGCCCCCCGTAACGTTCAGTATGGTATTATCTCCATTTTTACACAAGAAAACAGAGACTCCTAGAATTTAACCACATGCCCAAGGTCACACAGGTGCTAAGTTGAGGTGTCATGATGAACCCCAGGCAGTCTGATGACTCTCATGTGTCTGTGTTATACTCATAAGAGTAGACTAATATCCTGTAACAAATACCCCCTACATAGACACACTGAAATCCAGGGGCTTAAAGAATAAGAAGTTGATTTGTAATGGCTCGCACTTTGAGCTGCTATTTTGTCTCCTCCCAATTGCTGCAAACCAGATAAATAAACTAGTAAACAAAAAAGATAATTTTGAAGAGAGAAAAGTGCTCTGAAGAAAATGAAGATGTATTAATGTTGAGTTAATATATTGATGGCACTTTTACTTTCTGCCACCACCAGCTATCACACACACCGTGTGTATGGTGGAGACCACTAGTTCTCCCATTCGCCTACCTGGGCACACAGCTGATGTCATTAACCAGTTTCACTTGTAGTGATATGGGCCATTTCCCAGCCTGGCAAACAGAGCCCGTATACATCCTTCTCCATGCTCCTTCCTTATGCTTGTGGGCTTTAGTGGCCAGAGCGGTCTTGGAAGCTGGAGCAGAGTTAGGTCTGCTGTGGTCCTGGGTCTCTCAGTGATTCCATGGAGCAGACAGCCCTTGACCTAGAGTCCTCACCCTGGACTGCTACA
Source organism: Homo sapiens (assembly GCF_000001405.40). Lineage (NCBI taxonomy): Eukaryota > Metazoa > Chordata > Mammalia > Primates > Hominidae > Homo > Homo sapiens. Next base: position 74,474,268 of record NC_000005.10, on the reverse strand, counting down.
TGAGGTAATAAACATATTCCTTAAGCCCCTGGATTTTAGTGTGTCTGTGTAGGGGTATTTGTTACAGGATCTTAGTTTAGTCTCATGAGTACTGTGTAGAAATTTATTTAAAATACTTTAGTATAAGCTGTATAAGGTATGAGTAGTTATTACTAGGGTGGCATGATAATTTTATTTGTTGTCAACTTGGCTGGGACACAGTACACAGATATTTGGTTGAACATTATTCTGGATGTTTCTGTAAAGGTGTTTCTGAATGAGATTAAAGTTTTAAAAGGTGGATTTTGAGTAAAGCAGATTAGTATACATAATGTGAATGGACTCCATCCAGTCAGTTGAAGGCCTTCATAGAACAAAGACTGATGTCTTCCAACCAAGAAGTAATTTTGCTGGCAGATTGCCTTTGAGCTGCTTCTGTAACATCAGCTCTTCCTGGTTCATCAGCAGACTGCCTTTGGACTTGAACTCTAGCTCTTTCTTGAGTCTCCAGCCTGCTGGCCTACCCCATCAGATTTTGAACTCTCCAAGCTTCTGCAATTACACGAGTCAATTCTTTAAAATAAACCTCTGTCTCTCTGTCTCTCTGTATACACAACACACATGTGCATGTGCGCACGTGCGCGTGCACACACACACACATGTGCGCACACACACACACACTCGCATCCTCTTGGTTCTGTTTCTCTGGAAATCTCTGACTAATACAGGTAGTTGCTATCTTTGAAGCACCCAAGTGAGGGCTCTCTCTACTTCAGAGATAGATACCGCATCTTCATGTTATAGAAATCTATTCAAAAAGATTTATTAATTAGCATAAATAATTTTTAAAACTGGTGATACAGAGTGTATTAAAAAATGCATGGCTGGCTAAAGAGATTTTTCAGACACTATTGCCCTTATCAGTATGACTTACGAGAATTTGTCAAGCGCAATAGCATTAGGCAGAGCTCTGTTGGGCCAGGCCACATGTCCCCTGCCCCACAGAGGACTCTACTGAGCCTGATCCAACTAGGAGTCTAGCTGATTCTTCTGTTAGAGTTTCCTTGTGCCTACCTCTGAGTGAACCTCTCATGCAAGGAGTGTGCTGGTGAGCCTGAGGACAAAGAAGAGAGACCTTACCCAGCTTTAAGGGACTGGCTGTATTGGCTATTTTTTTGTGTTTGTTTACTAATCAGTATCATATAGGTGGCCCAATTTGACGTGAAAGTTGCCTTCATTCTAACCTAATGTATCCTTTTTCACCTTTCCTCTCTGAAGGCTGTCACTGTTTACCTAAAGAACTGACCGTTGTTGAGTGACGAGCTTGACTTTGATCAGTTTCCCCAGGAAGGAATTAAGGCAGCATAGAGCAGCATGGGCAAGAACATGGACGGTGGCTTTAAAGGACCTGGACTTGAGTCCCAGATCTGCTGCTTGTTAGTTGTATGGTCTCTGTGAACACATTCTTCCTTCTCACAGTTTCTTTATCAAGTACAGTCATCCTTCAGTTTCCACAGGGGATTGGTTCCAGGACCCTCATGGATACCAAAATATGTGGATACTCAAGTCCCTTATATAAAATAGTGTAGTATTTGCATATAACCTACATATATCCTCCTGTATATTTTAAATAATCTCTAGATTATTTATGATACCTAATACAAAGTAAATAACATGTAAATTGTTGCTATATTATATTTTTATTTGTATTATGTTTACTGTTGTATTATTTTTAATTATTATTTTTTCCAAGTATTTTTGATCTGCTGTTGATTGAATCTGTAGATGTGGAGCTTAGAGATGTGAAGGGTTGATTGTATGTATCTGTTTCCAGGGGCTGTTGGGAAGATCACATGAGCTAGTGTCCATGTTGTGCTTAACATAGTGCCTAAATAAATGTCCACAATAAGTGCGAATATTACTATTGTTAAAGAGTGGTTCTGTATATTGGAGGCTTTTAGATAAATGAGGTTGAATTTTTAAGCATTGTTACAAAAAGTAAACGGTTTTGATAGATACATTTCTTACTTGGCTTCTTAATAAAGAGAGTCAACATTGAGAAAACGGTCCTATTCTATGTTTATGTAAATGTTTACATATTCTATGTAAAAGCCCAGGTGTTTACTACCTAGGTATGAAGAGAGGGCTATAAACTAATTCTTTGAATTACCCTGAACAACATTTTCTGAGCTGTTTTGAGAGTTGTCACTGGCTGGGTGCAGTGGCTCATGCCTGTAATCTTAGCACTTTGAGATGCTGAGGTGGGTGAATCACTTGAGGTCAGGAGTTTGAGACCAGCCTGGCTAATATGGTGAAACCCCATCTGTACTAAAAATATACAAATTAGCTGGGCATGGTGGTGCACACCTATAATTCCAGCTACACGGGGGGCTAAGGCTTGAGCCTGGGGGGCAGAGGTTGCAGTGAGCCAAGACTGTGCCACTGCTCTCTAGCCTGGGTGACAGAGTGAGACTGTCTCAAAAAAAAAAAAAAAAAAAAAAAAAAAAAAAAAAAAAAAAAAAAGAGAGTTGTTACTATGATTTTGGAGACCTGAGTGTTCTGTGTTCAAATAAGTTTGAGAAATACTGGTGTATTCATCTGTTTAGGCTGCCATAAGAGAAACACAGTCTGGGTGGCTTAAACAATAGAAATTTATTTTATTTATTTTTTATCTGAAAAATTCAAGATCAAGGTACAGGCAGGGTTGGTTTCTGGTGAGGCCTCTTTCCTTGGCTTGCAGACAGCCACCTTCTTGCTGTGTCCTCGCATGGCCTTTCCTCTCTGTGTGCATGTTCCTGGTGTCTCTCCTTTTTATATGGACTCCAGTCCTATCGGATTAGAGCCTTACCCTTAAGACCTTACTTAACCATTATTACCTCCTTAAGGGCCCTATGTACAAATAGTCACATTGAGGGTTAGGGCTTCAACCAATAAATTTTGGGAAGATGCAATTCAGTCCGTGACAATTGAGTATGAAACAAAGATAAATGTTTGTTATAGGAATTTATTATCCTAAAGAGACTCTCCAAGAAGACATATGCTATATAGTGTTTCCCAAATGTATTTTTTCTTTGAGATTGCATTTTAATTTTTAAGAGTCACTTATTACAGATTTGGGAAAAACTGCTGTAAACTATTGTGCTAGTCCTGAATGTGTGTCTTGGTGTGTGCTCAGAGAAGGCTGGGGCAGGCAGGACTGTTGGTTTCTGTGCAAAATATCCCAGTTTGTCCTCACCTTCTAGTATTGGTTTTGATGCTGGTTTTTATAGCCATCCCTACCAGGGCAGTGAGATACCACTTTCTTTGCAATAGTGAGTATGTTGATCACAGCCTATCTTCTGTCATCTTGGCTGTTTTGGTTGCTACTCATGGTCAGATGCCCTTTCACGGCTCCCCTGGAAGGCTGAGAGTGTACGACATCTAAATATTAATAAGCGGTATGCCATTGTATTTAGAAAGCAGTTCTTTCTCTCCCTGAAAAAAATGGTAATACTAAAATATTATGCTCTTGGATTGACATTGCTGTAATATGATGTGTGCTCATTTGTATTCATGCAGAGCTTCAAAACAACTATCCTAGCCTGCAGATTCTCCTAATTAAATAGCTGGGAAAAGCATCTACCATTATCTCATTTGAACTTTCTGTAATTGCTTATTTCCTCCGCTGCTTCTTCTTTTTAATGTATAAATAAAGCTTTCGGATTTTAATTTCCCTGTGACTCTTCTTTACCCATAAATACTACCCTTCTTGACATTTTTTTCATCAGTTCATTTAAAATAAAAGTTTATTGCATTATCTTTTAGATGCAATGTCAAAAGGCAAATTGCTGTAATTCCCCATTATTAAGGAATTATTATTAATAAATATTGTGATTCATTGCTGCAAAACATTAAAGCATATAATTTTCTCCTCTGTGAAGCTTCATTATTTAACACATGTGAAGCTTCCATATTATTTGGTGGTAATATTTAGAAACACCATTCTCTAGAGGCAGGATATGTTTTAGAAATGTGGCCTCTGGAGTTGTAGAAACCACTTATTAGCTGTCAGAACTTGCATGATTTATTGAAATCTAGAAGTATCATTTTACGAATCTATAAAATGAGGCTATCTTATCATTTTTTTTGGATCTGTGTAGTTGCAAGGATGATAAAGTCATTCAAGAGAGTCTTAAAGGGAGGTTTTCTCCAAGAACATAGTATCAATTGATCATTAATTGACTGAATGATTGATTGATTCATTCAAAAATCTTGAGCACCCAATACATATCACAAGTACTGTTCTAGACACTGGAACTAGTGTCATGAACAAAAACAGGCAAAGTGCCTGCTCTCTCAGCGCTTAGCAGAGGGGAGATGGATGGCATCTGCCAGGTGGTGATGAACACTACAAAGATAATGAGGCAGGGTATGGGCAGGGCTGCTGCTACCCTTCATAACATTTTTGTGCAAATTAGGTACTTTACTGCTGAAAGATGTCTTAATTAATACACAAATCTTTGATGGCTATGATGTGAATGGTGCCCCCTGGAGTTGTGCAGTGCATGTCTTGAAAGCCACATGGCAGCCCTTCAAGTGACAGAACCACTGCAGCAAAAGTACTATTTTGCATAATGTAGTCAGGGAAGTCTTCTCTCATACGGTGACATTTGAATAGGGATTTGAATGAATGAGGGAAAGAGCCTTACAGACATTTAGGGGACAAGCATCCGAGGTGGAAGAAACAATAAGTTCAAAGACCCTAAGGTGGGTGTGTGATTGGTGTGTTCAAGGAGCAGTGAGGGCACCCAGGGTAGCTGATGTGAGTACGCAGCAGGGACCGCTATGAAATGACAGCTGAGAGCTGAGGGTGGGATGGGGAGTGGGAGAGGGGTGGGCGGTCGAGCCACATCCTGTAGGGCCTCGTAAGCCAAGATAAGAACTTGGTATTCTGAGGGAGATCAAAAGCAATGAGATGGTTTTAAGCAGAAATGATGTGATCTGATTTATATTGGAGGCAAGTTGGGAGGCTACTTAGTAGACCATCCATGTAAATCAGGTGAGAGATACTATGGCCATGGTTTGGACTGGAGGGGTAGTAGTGCAGGTGGTGAAAAAGTAGTGGGACTTTGTATGTATTTCATAGCTAAAAGCCAACAGAGTTTGCCAACAAATAAAATAGGAGTGTGTGTGAGACAGGAGTTTGGAAAGACGCCCATGTTTTTGATCTGAGTGACTGCTAGGAAGGGTGGCCATTTACTGAATGGGGAAGACGTCACGAGGAGCAGGCTTAAGTGGAAGATCAAGAGTCTGGTTTCGAACACATAGAAACACCTGTTGGAAATCCAGATGGAGACCATGAGCAGATGGTTAGATGTACGGGTCTGGAGATCAGGGAAGAAGACATTGGAACTAATGGAAACCAAGAACAACACAATATTGAGAGGGGCTCCATGGGACTTGAGTTGAAGGTTTAGTTTAGAGTTAAATCTACTTTAGGGACTTCAGGAGCAAAGGTGTTTTTCACAATTGGGCTCCTGCACCGCTAGCATCCAGTTACGCTGATGTGTCATCTCTTTTCCCAAAGCAACTGAAGCATTCTTTTTAAACTTTTAGCTCAAATTTCTAAGAGAGGAATTCTGTGGGGCCCGGCTTGTCTTTTATCCTTAGTACACAAATTGCTGACTGGTCGGATCTGCTGCCTTTTGCTGAGGAGCCCATTCCCTGTCCAGTGAGCTGTGACTGCTGTCGCAACTGAAGTCACAGGGTAGAAATATGACTGCCTAAAAGTATGGTGTGGACTGGGCAGTAATTCTTAGGAAGAGAGTGGCTGATAGGCAGGAAATGGCTGAGATCTCCTGAGTAAATTCTGTGTTACAGAGCTGTTATGAGACTAGAAGGGAATAACATGAGAAAATGCCTTGCTGAGTTTCAGACATATTTTAACTCACAACTATAGGGAAAACAATGAAGCAAAAGAGTAACTCTTAGGAAGGGAGTGGTTGATAGGCAGGAAATGGCTGAGATCCCCTGAATAAATTCTGTGTTACAGAGCTGTTCTGAGACTAGAAGGGAATAACATGAGAAAATGCCTTGCTGAGTTTCAGACGTATTTTAATTCACAATTAGAGGGAAAACAATGAAGCAAAAGTGATACGTGTTTTCATGCTTGAGATATACAATCTATGATTAGGTTGTAATTATAGGGGAAGAAGCACTTAGAGTTCTGCCTGGCATCCCATTTGCTGTTTATCTTGCAAACATTTCATTCTTGAAATTCGGTTCAGCAGTGACCTTCCCAGGAAGGCCTTCCTGAGCACTCCATTAGTTGACACTATTTCTGGGTCATAAGTACCTCCTCCCCACACCAGAGGGTTTATAATGTTTTAAAAATTAAAAATATATTTTTCAGGCCTGGCGCAGTGGCTCATGCTTATAATGCTAGCACTTTGGGAGGCCTAGGTGGGCAGATCGCTTGAGCCCAGGCTTTCAAGACCAGCCTGTGCAACATGGTGAAACCTTGTCTCTATTTTAAAAAAGAAGCATTTTCAGCTTATAAAAGGACTCATGTTCATTGTATTAATTTGGAAAATACAGACAAATATAAAGAAGTAAAAAGAAAAAAAGGCACCCATAATCCCATTACCCAGAAATGGCCGCTGTGTAACATTGTACACTACTTCTCCCACTCTTTCCAAAAGAGAGAGAGAAATCACTCACGTCTACACAGACTTACAGGGCCACATCTTACTGCTATTCTAAACTTTATTTAACCATTTCTCTATTTTGAGTGTTTAAATTGTTTCCAATTTTTGCAATTATAAATTATGCTACAATGAACTTTTTGTATATAAATCTATTCACATTTGTGATTATTTCATTAGAGATTTCTTGATGTTAAAATTGCTGGGTTAAAGTGTATGTACTTAAATGTTTTAAGCATATATTTCAAAATTGTTTTCCAGAAAGACAACCCAATTTACCTTCTTAAGCAGGAGTTTATGAAAGTAGACATCTCTCTATACTTTTACTAGTACTTAATAGTGGTATCTCATTGTAGTTTTAATCTGCATACTTATGATTATTAGTAACTGGTAATTAGTAAGGCTATTTTCTAATGTTTATTAACCAGATGTATTTTCTTGAGAATTATCTAATTGCATATATCTGTCTTTCATTAGTTCCTAATGTTTTTCCCATTAATTTATAGCAACTCTTTACATATTAAGAATATTAAACCTTTATCACATTGTTTGAAAACTGATTTTCCTCTATCATTTGATTTTAATTTTGCTTAGAATATTTTCTGGTAGACAGATGTTTAAATCACTTTATGTGCTCAAAGGCAAATATCTATTTGTTAAATATGGGTGGTAAATATGTGAGTGTTTATGATATAATTCTTCATAAATAAAACAAATTTTAAGTCACACCTGCTCATTAAAGGTTTCTTTCATTTATACTTAGAAAGCTATTGCATTTTCCCATTATTTTGTGAAAAATTCATTTCTTTTCTCTTAGTTTGCTTCATATAGTGCTGTAATTAACGTGTCTATTTTCCTACTAGACTATGAATTAGAACTTTGTATCTCTGAGTCTGTAATGTCTAGTAGACCCCATTAAATGCTTATTGTATAAATGAAAAAATAATCTCTTGAGGAGGAAGGATCATAAGAAGGATATGTGAGGTTGCAACCTGAGTGTTGGCTACATACTCATACTGAGGCTGTGGGAATGATACAACTTAAAAATAGAACTTAGCAGGAATGACTTGACACAGATTTCATGGTAGAGACTTCCTGAATCAGTCAGAATACTTGAGACCCCATGGTGAATATATACCAATCCCGTCCTTAAATGCATCCCTTTCCCAGGGTTAAATAGCATGTGCACTTTTGTTGATGATGCTGCACAAATATATCAACAGTAAGAAAGGCAAATATCACCGTGGACACTCCCATTGCCAAACTCCCACGTTACTTAAGAATGGAAGCTAATTGTTTGACGTTACATCCTATATCTTGCATCAATAAAGACTTGTGGGATTAGACTTGTCTTCTGAAAAGAGGGTGAATTCCTTAAGGGACCTAGCCATGTTAATTTTACCCTATTATCTATAGTGGCCAGCAAATTGCTGAATGCATCATAGATGCTCCGTAAATACCAAGGGATTATAATTGTCTTTCTTTTGTAGATTGCTATTCTTAGTGATTTTGCATAAAACAGGAGGACTTTAAAAAAATGTTTTGAGTTAAAAAAAGGACATATATTTTTAGACTTGGGGTCTTGCTGTGTTGCCCAGGCTAGAGTGCATCAGCTATTCACAGTTGCAATCATAGTGTACTACAGCCCTGAACTCCTGGGCTCAAGCAATCTTCCTGCCTCAGCCTCCTGAGCAGCTGTTACTACAAGCGTGTACCACCTCACCAAGTGAAATGGGGAAACCACTGGGCCTCTCAAAGGTCATACTGAGCAGATGATAACAGCACCATGAAAAGCACCCAGCCCTTGGTTTGTTCACAAACCTTCATTCCATATCCCACGTTGAACTGCCTGCCCTGCCTACCTCTGTGCCTGGCTTTTTTTGTTTTTAACCTAATGCTTTTTTATATTTAGTCGAGAGTAAATTTTCTAAATATAATGTTAAATCTCAATGGAATACACAGACTATTTTTCGAGCCTCATTTTGAATTCTTTTTTTTTTGAGACAGAGTCTCACCCTGTCACCCAGGCTGGAGTGCAGTGGTGTGATCTTGGCTCACTGCAACCTCCACTTCCCAGGTTCAAGGGATTCTCGTGCCTCAGCCTTCTGAGTAGCTAGGATTACAGGTGTGTGCCACCACATCCGCTAATTTTTGTATTTTTAGTAGAGATGGGGTTTCACTATGTTGCTCAGACTGATCTTGAACTCCTGACCTCAGGTGATCCACCTGCCTTGGCCTCCCAAAGTGCTGGGATTATAGGCGTGAGCCACTGTACTTGGCCTCATTTTGAATTCTTATTTTTTAAATACTGTCTATAAACATTTGGAATTTTATTTTTTAAAAAACAATGATACCAAGCATGCTTACAAGGTGGCCCTGGGGGTCTCTGGACCTTTAATGCAACAGATGGGAGGAAGAAGAGGCAGACAGGAATTCATGTTTCAGCTTACCTTGCTATTTTGTGTCACAGATAAGACAGCTGTGTCTCCCTTAAATCTGTAAAACAGCTTTTTTGGGTAAGCACTGCATCTTGCTATCTTTTTCTGCTCCAGGCTGGAGACAGATAACAGAACATTAAAACAGACTGGAAAAATTAGGCAATACAGTGTGAGTAAAGCAATTTGGCAAAGCTAAGTAAAATGAGAAGGAAAGCTCTATAGTCTGACAGTGTTGAGTGACTGGCTGTTGTACGAAAGAGGTCTGAGTTCCATGGGTCAGAAAAAGTCCCGGGCAGCACTATGCAGCTGTTTGAAAAGAGATTTTGCTGTGAAATCAACAACTAGCTTTGTTGGCTGCTTATACAAAAAAAAAAAAAAAAAAAAAAAAGAAAGTAATATATGCTTAGCTTACTTACTAGCATGAGCTCCCAGTGGAGACCATTGAGATATTCCTTGCTGACATCCTGTGCAGTTATTTACTTTTCCCAACAGCTGTTGTTTTCTTGCCTTGTGTATATTCAGCCACAGGTGTAACTTTTTACGACCTTTTCTTCCATTTTTTTTTAATTGTGGTAAAATACACATGACATAAAATTTACCATTCTGACGATTTTTTTTTTTTTTGAGATAGAGTCTTGCTCCGTCACCCAGGCTGGAGCGCAGTGGCACATTCTTGGCTCACTGCAACCTCTGCCTCCCGGGTTCAAGCGACTCTCCTGCCTCAGCCTCCCAAGTAGCTGGGATCACAGGTGTCGGGCACAACACCCGGCTAATTTTTTATTTTTAGTAGAGACGGGGTTTTGCCACATTGGCCAGGCTAGTCTCGAACTCCTGACCTCAGATGATCCACCTGCCTTGTTTTAAGTGTCTTGTTCAGTGGTATTGCGTACGGTAAGTCCTCACTTAATGTTGTTGATAGGTTCTTGGAAACTATGACTTTAAGTGAAATGACCTATAATGTAGCCAGTTTAACATAAGCTAATTGATATAAACAAGAGTTAAGTTTCTAAGTCATATTTCTGGTCACAAAAACATCACCAAACTTCCAAATAAAGACTCCAAACACTTCTAATATTAAATATTGAAACAAATGTGGGCTATACATACATTTAAGAAATAAAGATTAAAAGCAAGCAAAAATTATATATCCAATTTTTGGTGAATTGGTGAGTGACAGCAGTTGTAGTGATGGTGGGTTATATCAAGGTATAAATGTTTGCAAATCAAAAATTGTCCGGAGTACCTCCTATCACCACACAGTTCAAAAACAAGAACAAATAGGGCAGGCTTGCTGAATGCTTTTGTACAGCATTGTTTATTGTAGTTCATTTGTATGATTATCATAAAATTTATAATTTTCTATTTTATAATAATTTGTAATCATTCATTCATTCATTCTTTCTCCAACCTGCTTATTTCAGTTCAGGATCATGGGTGGCTGAAGCCTATCCTGGCAGCTCAGGGCACAGGGCAGGAACTGACTCTGGACAGGACGCCCTCCCATTGTGGGGTGCACTCACACCTACACCCACTCATGCTGGGATCATTTAGACATACCAATAAACCTAACATGCATATTTTCTGGACATGGGAGGAGGCTGGAGTACCTGAGAAAACCCACACAGGCACATGTGCAGACTCCACAGACAGTGGCCCTAGCCAGGAATCAATATTTTCCTCATCAACGTTATAATGAAATGACTTTGATCAAAATGATGTTATTCAAGAACCTATTGAATTATGTTAGTCAGATTTCTCCAGAGAGACAGAACCAGTAGAATATCTGGAAGGGGACGTATTAGGGGGAGCTGACTCACACAATCACAGAGGGTGAGAAGTTCCACCACAGACCGACTGCAAACTGGAGAACCAGAGAAGCCGGCAGCATGGCTCCATCAAGTCCAAAGCCTCAGAACTGGGGAAGCTGACGGTGCAGCTCCAAGTCAGTCCTGATGGTCCTGGGGAGACTGCTGGTCAGTCCCAGAGTGCAAAGATGGAGGCACCTGAGTCTGATGTCCAAGGGCAGGAGAAAAAGTGTCTTACTCCTGAAGGGAGTGAGAAAGCAGACAGGATGACTTCCCTGTCCTCTGCCTCTGGGTTCCAGCCAGGCCCCCAGCAAAATGTATGGTGGGCAGGTCTTCCTCTCAGTCCAAAGCCTCCTACTTCAATCTCCTCTAGAAACACCCTCACAGGTGCCCAGAAGCAACACTTTGCCCCCCACCTGGGCATCCCTCAATCCAGTCAAGGTGACACCTAAAATTTACCATCATAAGTACATCCATGGTTTAGGTGGATTTTTTGACACTAGAGTTCTCTCCTCAAGATTTTTTGCCTCAGGCTCATGAGGCAACTGGAGAGTGAACAGATTGGCACTTGGCATTGTATAAATTGGCCTGAAACTTTCATTTGTGTTTAAAAAACTTGGACTAACTTAATTTGGATTTTATTTTTAAAGGGTATTGTTGGTGGTGGTGATAGTTGTGCAGCCAACAATAAAACCTGGCTTTGTTATCAAATATGATGTGAAGGGAACTTCATTCATGTGACAATTCAGTTAAAACATCTTTGGAACCTCAGGAATCAAATGTCTGTGAGACACTAAAACTGGTTTTCCAAACTGGTGTTCATTCCTGGGCTGGGAATGAACGCCTGCTCATTTGCCATGTCTCCTAAAGACAGTGAGTGAAAACACATTGTCCTCCTACACCTTCCATGTTGGTCCTAGGGAGCAGTCACAGGATTTTAGGAAAGTGATATTCTGTCCTGTACCATGGTTCCTTCTGCAGATAATAGTAGCATTTTTCACATTACTGAAGAGCTGAAAGGAATCATGAGATCTATGAGACTGGCACAATAGAATTTTTAAAATTTCATGTGTGCTAAACCTGCTCTGTTCTTATAAAGCATCTTGTACACCAAGAGTTTTCAATACGTTCTGGATGGTGTGTATGTGTGTGTGTGAGTGTGTGTGTAATGTTGCTGTGAATGCATGTCATTGCTTTAATTATCCATTTTCCCCTGCTTACCTAACTCCTAATAGGAACACAGGTATTAAAACAAATGAAGCTCATATTCTTCACTGCTCGCTTGGCAGGAATTCTGTCTTGCCCTATGTGAATGATTATTTGCAAAACAATCTTACAATTGAGAAATAAAAAGAAGAGCCAGGTAAGCCCCTGGACAGAGTTGTTTGTTGTTTCAGCAAGATATTTCAGAACGTGTAGATTTCATTTTCCTGTCTCCCATTCTTGTTACTTTCCCCTTTCCTCTCTTCCCTCTTTCCTCCTTTCTTTCTCTGGTGTGGAACATACTACTTAGTTAATGTTGTCTTTCTTTGGTAAGTATCTCTGTTTATTACATTTGCTGAGCTATAGCTAATACATGGAATTCTGCATTTTGCATCTTGTTTAAATATTGCAGTTTGTACTCCATAATATCCTGCACTTAAAGAGCATGATTACTGCTAATTATCATTTAGAAAATTGTTTTTGCTTGATTAAGATCTTAGCTATGTGTACTGAAATCTAGTGGGTCTTCATTATGTGCAGTATTTTCTATTCTATACTTGCTTAAATATTAATGTATGGAAATTTAGCTTCATCTGTCCTACCTTTTGATGTCAGAAGCATAATCAGCATAATTGGCTTAGATTGTTTTTTTCTCCTGTTTGTATTTCATATTACCTAATGTCATTAGTGAGTTGACTACTGAGTGGGTAATCTGCATTTCTGAACTGCTTCTTGAGCACATTATTACCATTGATTTTGATTATTTTAATTCCCATTCACCCCAGGCAGTCCCTCAAGCTGTGCCATATTATTCAAATAACTGCTTTCTTCCATTCTGGGAGCAAGTCTGTTTCTGAAAACCCATCGGCATTCTTATAAATACTGATGTTTTCACTTGGTCTAGGGGGCAACTTGATTTTCATAATATATGGGTGAGGATGGGTAGGTAGCTCAAGACTTGTGTGCCTTTATTCTGAATGGTAGGTAACATGGCAGTCCCTGGTGCCCATGAGGAAGCAGTGCCTGATCCTGCCTGCTTTCAGAGACTGAGCTGGATAACTGACCAGGTTCCACAGGGAGCCTTGCCCCTGGGCTCCTCATCCATAGGACTCCTGTGTAGTCTGACTGCTGGTACACAGCAACCGCACCTCTCCTTCTCTTCCTAAGGCTTGCAGGTCTGCCTTTTGCCCATGGAAAATAACGGCTGGACTGACTTAGGGATTGGGATCCAACTTCCTTTTGGTTTTTGAGTGTATTCCAAAACTAACTGTAAAAAGAACCCCACATTAAAGTCTAAGCTTGGCTATGGTCAGCCACAGATTCTGCTAACCCTCCGGCTGGGATACATACACTCAGTTTTCCTGGTGGTGGTGATTAAAGTCATTTGTAGTTGTACAGAACCTTGAATGTTATGGCTATAAGAGAATTTAACAGCACCAGTATTCTACTTCTGTCTTTTTATAGACAAGAAAACAGAGGCCTGGAGAGGTAAATAATTGGCTGAGGTCACACAGCTACCGAGTGGCAGAGCTGAGTGGTAAAGAGTCCCCTCTGTTCAGACAGGGCTCTTTACTTCTTAATGGTACCTTGTTACTGGATGACATAGTGTAACAGCATATTGTACACACCTGCTGACCACCATGGTCAATGTGGGTGATTGACAGCTTTATATGTGTATATGTAGCCCAATGTGTTTTTCAGGCCAGAGGCTTTTATGAGGGAAATGAGAATACAAAAATAATATAATTAAAAGCATTTGTATATATGTGTCTACACACAAGTATATGTTAAGGGGATCAGCAGGGTTTTAAGCCTGCTAAATTCTAATTCTGCCTGAATGTAAACTGAGTCAGAAAATTAAAATGTTGTGTTATGGTTTTCCAAAAAAGCAGAACCAATAGGAGAATATATATATATATATATATATACACACACATACACACACACACCCATAGTCATATAAAGATTTATTACGAGGGATTAGCTCATGCAATTATGGAGGCTGAGAAGATCTGCTGTCTGGAAGCTGGAGGGCCAGGAAAGCAAGTGGTATAGTTTCAGTACCAATCCAAAGGCCTCAGAATGAGGGATGACAATGCTATAACTTCCAGACCAAGTCTAAAGGCCCAGAACCCAGAGTGCCAAGGTCTACAGACAGGAGTGGATGGATGTCCCAGCCCAGGCAAAGAGAGCAAATTTGCCCATCCTCTGCCTTTTTGTTCTATTCAGACCCTCAACAGACTGGGTGATGTCCACCCACCTTGGTGAGGGCAATCTTATTTACCCAGTCTACTGGTTCAAATGCCAATCTCTTCCAAAAACACCCTCACAGACACACCCAGACATAATGTTTTACCAGCTATCTGGGCATCTCTTAGCCTTGTCAAGTTCACACATACAATTCACCATCACAAGAGTCTCTCTTCTCTTTCTCCTGTTAGGACAAGCTCTTTGCTCCTGTAGTGCTGGAGAAATACAGTAGATTGGTGCTCCTAGAAGGGACGGCATGAGTGAGACCCCAACCCCTGGTTAGCACTTTTCTTCACTGTCTAACTTGAACGAAGGATTTGGAAGTGGAGGCAGCTTTCTTGGGGAGACCGGAGGGGGAGAATTGGGTAGGACTTTTCTGTTTGAAGTTTCTGTAATAATTAGTTTAGAAACTACCAAGGTGTAATTCCTGATGAATTTCATTATTGCAGAGATTCTTAATTATCAAAGAGGTTTTAAAATGTTTTAACCAAGAAGCCTCCAGGGTGAATATTTTAGAATATGTGACATTAGTTAGTGTCCATAACCAGCAGTTCTTCTAACAGTTGCTTTAAGTTAATTTGGCCTCATCAAAGGAGGCAAATAAAATTGAACGAGACAGTATTTTACTGCACATGTCTAGAAACAAAAATCTTAATCCTAAACAATCATTTCCTGATGTTTCCTTTTTTGGGTCAGCACTCTCCTTGTTTTAATTTGTTGGTTTCTGGTATAGGGATGTGGGCTAAAATCTTCCCTTCACAATTGTGTGTGAGAACCAGGTCTGCCGGTACACCTAAAATACACCCACATCACACCACCTTCCTTTACGATTAGTTAAAAACTCAAGGCAAGTGGCTCAGTTGGCACTGAGTAAAACTTGGACCAGCTGGACATTTGGAGACTGAATTTTTGTTTGAGTTGCCAGAGAACTTTCAAATTAAGTGGACTTGGATACTTAACAGACTAATTTACTCAGATGAAAAGGTCCAAAGGATAGACTTGGCTAGCAATTTCTAGATTTTTGAATTTCACTGACCAATAAAATTTCTAAAGTGATTTTGGAGACCGATATAGGATTATCGACATTTGTTCTTTGCCAAGTAAGAGCATTTAAAAAGTACCAAAGCACCACCTACTATGAAAAACTTAATATGGTGTCCTATTTTCATTCCACCAAAGACTGATAAAAACTGGCATTTGACAACTACTGAGCCAAGTGACTTTGTAAAGTCCCCTCTAGATATAGCATTGGTTTGCATTTAACCTATAATCCACTGTGACCCAAAGATCCTTTTCTTCCTTATTCATTTTTTTCCCTTCTAAGTAACTCCTTTTTTGCTTGAATCATCTTTCTTTCCCCCTGTCACCTATCCCACCTGCTCCCACTGGCTCTTCCTCCTCTCTTGTTCTCCAGTGTTTCCCAGGGAATTTCTCAAGGGTTGTGTCTCACCACACTGGGGTATTCCTGTTTAAGGGGCTGGTTTCCCTGTTTACTGGGCAGTGTTCTCAAACCTAGTGAGCATGCATTTATGTAAAATATTTATGCCATCCATTAAAATGGAAAATATCTTTGTTTTGCTGACATTGACCTGTTCGTAGCTACTTCTTGGATATAATTCTCCAACTAGCTATGTACCTACCAATAGTTTTGTGTTCTGAATATTTTTCTTATTAGTTACTCTTGTGTTGTATGAGACTTAATCAAAAAAATCTTTTTTGAATCAAGATCTATTATGTCATTTGCTTCTCTTCAATCTGCTGGGCCTATTACTCTGTCATAGAAATAGATTAATGAGCTGAAAATTTCACCAGAGCTTGTTTTCTCATGAAATTTGCTGATCTGTCTGCTTTTGTTTGGGCCAGAATTTACAGTAACTGTAACTCTGGTTGTTTTTCAACATTTGGCTTTCCAGTTTCAAGAAAATATTTCCAAAGTATGCAAGAGTGAAAGGAAATAAAAACTATTTTCATAAATTATACAAATAAACCTGTTTCTGATACTCATAAAATCAGCTGGTTTGGCTTTTGGATAAAGTTTAAGTTAGTGCATGCCTCATTCAAATGACTTCTAGGGAACTATTTTATACAGTTAATATGAAACAAAACACACTTCTTTAATGAGTTATAGTCTTATATTCCAATCATAATGAAATATAAAGTATAGCAGGTATATAGTGGCATCGCAACTTAATTTATTTGCCCAGGTTTGAATGAGAGGACTAGATATCTTTTGGCTAATAAAAAACAACACTAGGCCAGGCACGGCGGCTCATGCCTGTAATCCAAGCAGTTTGGGAGGCCGAGGTGGGCAGATCACTTGAGTCCAGGAGTTAGAAACCATCCTAGGTAACATGGGGAAACCCTGTCTCTACAAAAAAATAAATATACACACACAAAAAATCAGCCAGGTGTGGTGGCACGCACCTGTAGTTCCAGCTAGTTGGGAGGCTGAGGTGGGAGGATAATTTGAGCCTGGCAGTAAGCCAAGATCATGCCACTACACTCCAGCCTGGGTGCAGATCATGTCTCAAGGAAAGAAAACAAACAAACAAACAAACAAACCACTATACAAATTCTTTAAACTTCAGATAGATATTTCTTTTATTCTGTCTCTAAAAAATGCAATAAAAGCCTCAGTTCATCAGGCACCATAATTTCTTAAAAACATTTTGACAGACATTTTTTCAGAGATGGCTTTGATATCTATGGAGTATTTAGGATCTTGTATGGTAGAAAATGGAGTTAAACATGGAGGAGATTCTAAGATTTTCACATAGAAACATTCTGATCCATGCCGTCTAAGAGTAAAATACCAACACGTTCATGGTAATGTTGAGCTCCTGGCTTAGCAGTTTGGATCTGAGCAGCAGAGTTCCAGGAGAGCATGTGGCTTTTTAAGTACATATGGGT
The DNA here is from genome assembly GCF_000001405.40 of Homo sapiens. Taxonomy (NCBI): domain Eukaryota; kingdom Metazoa; phylum Chordata; class Mammalia; order Primates; family Hominidae; genus Homo; species Homo sapiens. Next base: position 74,457,000 of record NC_000005.10, on the reverse strand, counting down.
TAAGCGTTTAAAGCATTGAGTGAGTATCAGCTACTGTGTAGGGCTCTGCCCTACCTCAGCAGTAGTGTAGTGGACAAAGCCCTTGTTATGGTTTGCATTTGTGTCCCCACCCAAATCTCATGTCGAGTTGTAATCCCCACATGTCGGGGGGGACCTGGTGGGAGGTGATTGGGTCATGGGGGTGGATTTCCCCATTGCTGTTTTCTGTGATAGTGAGTGGGTTCTCATGAGATCTGGTTGTTTAAAAGTGTGTGGCATTTCCCTTTCTCTCTCTTTCTCCCCCATGTAAGACATGCTTACTCAGTCTTAGTTAGTTCTCTATAGAAGTGTGAGAATGGACTGATAACAGCACTGAACTTGGAATCCCTGGGTTCAAGTCCTGGCAGCTCCTTACTAACTACTGACTTGAGAAGATTCCTCTCTGAGCTGTGGTCCCCTCATCAGGAGAATGGCAATACTCTATTCAAAGGGTTATCATGAAGATTAAATGACATAATGTGGATGAAAATATTTGATAAACTGTGGAGTTCTATACAATATCACGTATTACAGTTGTGTTAACCCTGTTAGAAGCAGGTGTGGCTAAGAATTGATAGAGTTTAACTACACACATTCCTACCCTGGACATTCTCACCTATCAATGTATGGCAAGTCTGCCCCACCCCTCCTTCTCTGCCCTGCTATGTTGATTTGATAGCAATTATGGGGCATCAGTCTTATGAAATCATATTAGGTCTTGTAACGTCACCAAAGGGACTCCAAGTCAGGATAGGTACAGGCCTAGGGTTCCAGAGGGTTGATAATTATTTTTACTCCAAATTGTGAACTGATATATTTTTCAAGAACCAGAGGTAAGAAAGTTAGATTCAAAAGTAAGAACATGTCACCTGGTTGGAGGTAGAAGAGAGAAAATTCCACCCTTGTGGCATCTGAGCATGGAGCCCTGACAGAATGGGGGGCATGTGAAGACCTATGCTTTGTTCTTGGCACTAAAGAGCCAGTCTCTTGGGCTCCTTGGCAGGAATGAACTGTAGCATTTGTTGGGGCAGAGAGAATATTTAAATGGAGTTAGTTTCAATTTCTCAATTTCTTGTCACTAGGGATGGGTAAGCCAGTAGTGCTCTATGTTTTCAGAAAGCCTTGACTTATTTTTCAAGCATTTTGGGTTTGGCTAAATTTTACATTTGTTTTGCCAGCTTTCTTTTCTTAATTATTAATATTAAACCCATGTGCATAAATCTGAATGGAAATTTAATAGCCATTTTTATATTTGTTTACACTCAGTTCATCCAAAACTGTGTTGACTAAAAGCTGTTATATCTTATAAGAATTCCTTGAAATTTATAAAAATTTCTCTTCATAATATGTCACACTTATGTCCTCACTCCCTACACACAAAAAATTGGATTTGGGGATGGTTATGATGGAATTCCAGTTCCAAATGCATGATTCTTGTGACAGGGTCCGAATAATACAAGTGAGTTTTCACCATCTTTTTCACAGTTGACTTTGAGGCAGTTGTTTTGGTAAACCCCCAAATGAATTTTCTTTCTTTTATTTTCTTTGTAAGACAAAGTCTCACTTTGTCACCCAGGCTGAGGTGCAGTGGTGTGATCACACCTCACTACAGCCTTGACCTTTCGGGCTCAAGCAATCCTCCCACCTCAGCCACCCAAATAGCTGGGACAACAGGTGCATACCATGATGTCCTGCTAATTTTTGTATTTTTTTTTTTTTTTTTTTTGAGACAGAGTCTTGCTCTGTTGCCCAGGCTTGGGGTGCAATGGCGTGATCTCAGCTCACTGCAACCTCTGCCTCCTGGGTTCAAGCGATTCTTCTGCCTCAGCCTCCTGAGTAGCTGGGATTACAGGTGTGCGCCACCACGCACCAGCTAATTCTTGTGTTTTTAGTAGAGACGGGGTTTCACCATGTTGGTCAGGCTGGTCTCGAACTCCTGACCTCATGATCTGCCCACCTCAGTCTCCCAAAGTGCTAGGATTACAGGCGTGAGCCACCATGCCTGGCTAATTTTTGTATTTTTTGTAGAGCAGGTGTTTCACCATGTTGTTCAGGCTGCTCTCAAACTCCTGGGCTCAAACGATCTGCCTGCCTCAGACTCCCAAAGTGCTAGGATTACAGGCGTGAGCCACGGCACCTGGCCTCCAAATGAACTTTTGACAAAGCACATGCTATTTTAGAATACATTATTGCCCATCCCTAGGCCTTTCACACAGTTGCCAGACCTATGGAAAAGCAATTTCTGTGACCCAGCATTTTTTCCCCCAAGTATAGCACACAAATTGGCTCTGGGGAGTAGGAGATGAGTAAAGAGTAATGGTAATTTCCAAATAATTCTTATCGTCTCATTGCCCAGTAATCCATCCGTGTCTCTCTTAGGTTTTGTATGGTACTAACTACACCAGCAATGTTGATGTAAAGGAAAACACATTATTTTGTTAATGATAGAATCATGGTGTTATTTTGTTATGGTCACAAGGTACTATTCTATTCATAACAGTTTGTTCTCAGATGACAGCTGGAGTTGGACCTGGAGTTACTAATATTAGAGGTGGGGGTGGGAGAGGAAGGAGGTTTAGTGATTGTCCAGTTCTGGGCGGAGAGATCTTTATTACCAGAAGGTCTGAAATAATAAATGAAACAAATATAAACCTGGCCATATGGTAGATATATAAATGCATTTGAATTAATAAATTTAATCTTAAAGATTAAGCATTTTTATGCCTAAAGAATTATAAGCATTAAATTGAATTACATAGCCAGAAAAATAGTACAGTTGTTTATTCTTAGGTTGTTCTCTCCTGTCCTTTGTCCACAGAACAGAGCTGTGTCTCCTTGAATTGAGAATTAATTTTGTACTTTATCTCAGTTAATACAATTTTAAATGTAAATACTGTACTTTAATGAGCATAAGATTGGAGGGTGGAAAAGGGATCCAAAATCGTTAGATAGTTGGTCATAATTTATGAAGTTGTTTGCCTTAGAAGGTGCACTGTTTACTTTTTTTTTTTCTTTTGATAGAGACAGGGTCTCACTATATTGTTCAGGCTGGTCTTGAACTCCTAGCCTTAGCAGATCCTCCCCCTTGGCCTCACAGAGTGCTGGGATTACAGGTGTGAGCCACTGCATCCAACCTGTTTTTATTTTTTAATTAAACCTTCTATTTTGAGATAATTATAGGTTTACATGCAGTTGTAATAAATAATAACAGAAAGAAAGGGCATTATCAAGATGGCTGACCAGAGGCACCCAGCACTCATCTCCTCCACAGGCAAAACAACAAATAGATAACTGCATATCAAATAGAGTGTCTAGGGGAGAACAGTGGAATTCAGCAACCAAGTGACAAACACCCTCCACGTGGCTCTTAATATCATCTATTTATTTACTATGTCTTTCTATTTTCTTGACAAAACTCTTATGTTTCATTTGTTTCAAGTGTGTTTGTAACTGCTCATTGAGGCATTTTACGATGGCTGCCTTAAAAATCTTTGTCAGATAAAGCTCTTTGACAGAGATGTTAGATATCTCCGTTCACTCAATGTTGGCATCTTTTTATTGTCTTTTTAAATTCAGTTTAAGAACTTCCTGATTCTTGGTGTCATGAGTGATTTTTGATGGAAACCCGGACATTCTGGGTCTCATGCTATGAGACTGTGAATTTTAAACCTTGTGTTTTGGCTTGCTTCCTCGGCCACCACTCAAACAAGGAGAGGGGAAGAAGCACCTCAGTACCGGCTGATGGGGAGAGAAGTTGCTATAGTTTGGATGTTTGTTTCCCCAAACCTCATGTTGAAATTTGACCTGAATGCTGGAGGTGGTTTCCCTACTGGGACGGGTTTGGGTCATGGGGGTGGATCCCTCATGAAGAGACTGATTCTCTCCCCCGGGTCGGGAGGTGAGTGAGTTCTCCTTCTGTTAGTTCCTGAGAGAGAGAGCTGGTTGTTAAAAACAGCCTGACACCTCTCTCCTCTCTTTCACTTCCTCTCTCACCATGGGATCTCTGCACATGCTGACTCTGCTTTGCCTCCCACCATGAGTGGAAGCAGCCTGAGGCTCTCATCCGAAACAGATGCTGGCATCATGCTTCTTGTACAGCCTGCAGAATCATGAGCCAAATAAACCTCTTTTCTGTATAAATTACCCAGCTTCAGGTATTCTTTTATAGAGCAACACAAACACACTAAGATAGAAGTCTGGGTTCCTCACAGGCATCTATTAAACACTTGTGGGGGGTCTCCTTGTGTTAGTCCATTTTGCATTGCTATAAAGGAATACCTGAGGCTGGGTAATTTATTAAGAAAAGGAGTTCATTTGGCTCATGGTGCTGCAGGCTGTACAAGCATGGTGCTGGTATCTGCCCAGCTTTTACTGAGGCTTCAGGAAGCTTTTACTCATGATGGAAGGTGAAAGGGGAGCAGGCATGTCACATGGAGAGAGAGGGAGTCAGAGAGAGAGGGGAGTAGATGCCAGGCTCCTTTTAACAACCAGCTCTCGAATGAACTAATAGAGGTGACAACTCACTCATATCCACGGGGGTGGCACCAAGCCATTCATGAAGGATCCACCTCCATGATCCAATACCTCCAACTAGGCTCCACCTCCAACACTGGGGATCACATTTCAACATGAGAGTTAGAGGGGGCAAACATCTAAACCATATCCCTTCTCATAACTGCTGGGCAGGCCTGGGAGCTCCAGCACTTTACCTGGCTTCTCTGACACTGCCTGGCTGGGAGGGGTAGTAGGCATGCTTTGTTATTGCTCCCTGTGTGGCTTCCACTGACAGCACAGGAGGGGAGGTCGCCTTGTTACCACTCGTGACAATGGTAATGATGAGCATCCTGACTCTCCACCAGGTTTATGGCAGTAGTCTATCAGGGAAAGAGGAATGACTTACTGTTGCTGAGTGAGGGTAGTAGTTCAAGTTCCCCATGTGGTCTCTATATTTTGGAGTAAGGGTGGGACATGTTAAAAATCAGCAGGGATGAAAGTCCTGGCTCCCTTCTTAGTGCATGCTTGTCTTAGTCTGCTTTGTGTTGCTATAACAGAAAACTACAGACTGGGTAATTTATAAAGAAAATAAATTTATTTTTCACAATTCTAGGGGCTGGGAAATCCTTATAGGGGACCTTGAGTGGCCAGTGTCTGGTGAGGGTTTCCTTATTAAGCCACCTCATGGTGGGAGGGCAAAGAGACAGCAAAGAAAAGCAAGATGAGGAACTTGCAGCTTCAAGCCCATTGATAATCAGCATTAATCTGTTTGTGAGGTTGGAGCTCTCATGATCTAAACACCTCCCATTGGGCCCCAACCCCCAAAACTGTTAGATTGGGGATTAAGTTTTCCACACCTACTTTTTGGGATGAGCGGATTCAAGCTATAGCAGCCTCCCATAACAGGCTCCAGAGGGTAAAAATCTAGGCTTTCCCTGAGCCTTTGTTGGCATGACTGAAGCTGGGGACATACTTTTTCTGTGGTTGTATCAGGGCAGTTATTGTCTAAAAGTCTTCTGTCTTACAAGGCTGTCTAATTCCTAGTCTTTTGGCTAAAGTGAGCAAGCTTTTGTTGGGGTTTTGTTTTTGCTTTTGCCTTTTTGCCTGTGATCGATGGCATTTATGGTTGCCAGCTTCTTTATCTCCAATGCTTGGATATATGAAGCAAAAAGACATCCCAGAAAACTTCCCACCATTTTGTTTTTTCAGTCTCCCAACAGTTCCTAACAGTTCTGTCTTTTTTTCACCTTTAAGAGTCTTCTATGTTTGTTTTATACATAACAGCCAGGCTTTTTTGTTGTACTTAGTGGGAGGAATAGGGAAAAGTATATCTACTCCACCTTCCCATGTTCCCATTTTAAACAGAAAGGGAGAGATGAAATTGATGTCAGGGAAAAAAGTATGTTTTTCTTCCTATTGATTGGGAAACACAAGTTTTGTTTATTTTTAACTGTCATTCTTGAGTCAAACATTTAATAAAACTGTTATTGCCTTCCACACTCCCTCTACAGCTACAAAAGCTTACATGTTTTATTTTTCACCAAGGTTGGTCATTTGTAGCTTTGCACATGTCAGCCAGCCCTAGCAGAGGAAAACACTGGAAGATAGTGTCACAGCCTTTGGGAAGGCTCATATTTTCTGATAGCTCTCATTTCTTCGGCCGTCTGTGTCTTCACCCTTCACAGACATTGTAGTTTATCAGCAATTTTGTTTTATCACCCAACACAGGAAAGGATTTTGCTTGGCAACACGTTTATCATGAATAACATTTCAGGTCCATTAAAAATGATTATTATCGCCAAAGCTCTATTTTGAAGACCGTTTTTTAACTTTGCTATTAGCTTTGCCTTGAAAAATTGCATTTACACATTCACACACACATACACAGATGTGGAGGCTCCAGCGTAAAAACTGGCTGTTAGCATTCACATTTTATTGAACCAATAAATTGTGAGTTTAACATTTTAGTCAAATTGAATGCCAAGTGTTTCATTTCAGACTCTAGTGTCCATATTGACAGGACTTTAAATCCACTACGTGTGCATCTGGAGCTTGTTAGATGTTTATAGTTTGAATGGAGCCAAATGTCAATGGCACCTTTGGTCTATGGAGAGACCCAGAGGAGCAGGCAGTTACTCTGCCTCTGTGAGGCAGGAACAGGCACCAGAGGGCCAGCTCCTCACTGATTCACAGTGTGCAAGAAAGGCCTTGGCCAATGGGAGATTGGTTGGGTTTATAGTTACATGGTTCCTCATAATTCATCCCCAAGGCACAAGAAATATGCTCACAGAGACATGCATGAGAGGTTCTACGATGGGAAGACAAGCATAGTCTCCCTGGATAATACTAATAGAATTTAATAAGATGGAGTGTTCTGTATCTGTGCTGTTCAATATGCAGCCACTAACCACGTATGGCTACTGAGTATCTGAAATGTACCTAGTGCAATTTGTACTTCGTGCAATGGAATTTTTATTTATTTAATTTTAACTAGTTAAAAATTTAATTTTAATAGGCATATGTGACTGTTGGTTGCGTTTTGAACAGCCTAGCCATAAAGCCAAGTCAGATGTGAAGAAATACTAGAATTTTTGTTTTTTTGTACCCATAATTACTCAGAGTGATGATATTTTATTTCATCCATCCATCCATCCACCTCTGAAGTGTACATTAAGCATTTCTATGGAAAGGCACCATGATAACTGTGGAAGACACACAGGCACTCACTATTCTAAGCCCTCTTCCTGTTTCAAAATGTCCTATTCAAATAAATTTCTCTAGACTCAGAACAACTCATCATGGAAACACACGACTGTGGGTTCAGACAGAACTTGGTCTCGTTTCCACTTCAGCTGTTTCGCCTCCTTCAGCAGGTTACCTAACCCCTCTGAGCCTCAGTTTCTTCATCCATAAACTAGGACTGAAACCCACCTAAGATGGCTAATTTTATGTGTCAACCTGACTGGACCACAGTGTCCAGATATTTGGTCAAACATTATTCTGGATGTTTCTGTGAGGGTGTTTTTGGATGAGATTTACATTTAAATCGATGGACTTTGAGTAAAGCAGATTGCCCTCCATAATGTTGAATAGGCCTCATGAAACCAGTTAGAGGCTTGAGTTGAACAAAAGGGTGACCCCCACCTGAGCAAGACGGAGTCCTCTAGCACAGCCTTCAGCCCGCATATTTAGCACAGGCTCTTCCTGTACTAAAGGTACAGGAGATGGTCTTTGAATTTTTTTCCAGCAGATGGTCTTTGAATTCAAACCAAACTCTTTTCCGAGCCTCCAGGTTGTGTCTTCCCCAATCAGCCTCCACAGTCTTGTAAACCAATTCCTTCAAATAAATCTCTTTCTCTGCATAATACACATCTGTTCTGGACTGAATGTTTATGTCCCCCTACAATTTATATGTTGAAGCCCTAACCCCCAATGTGATGGTGTTTGGAGATGTGGCCTTTGGGAGGCAATTAGGGTTAGATTAGATCAGGAGGCCATGGTCCTCATGATAAGATTAGTGACTTTATAAGAAGAGGAAGAGAAAAAGCTCACTCTGTGTCCACCAATGAGAAGGTGGCTGTCTACAGGCCAGAAAGAGGCCCCTCCCCAGAACCTGACCATGCACTCTGGTCTCTGACTTCCTGCCTCTAGAACTGTGAGAAAATAAATTTCTATCGATGAAGCCACTCAGTCTATGGTGTTTTGTTATGACAGCCCTAGCCGACTAACACAACATCTTATAGGTTCCGTTACCCTGGAGAGCCCTGACCAATACACCACCTCCCGAGGTTATTGAAGAACCTAAATGAGACACATGCAATGTGCCTGTCAAGTGCCTCGCATGTAGTAGGCACTTGCTGGGTATCAGTGCCTTTCTCCTTCCCATAGCACAAATATGGCCCCTATTCCTGTCTAAGCCTTCCCACTCGTGCTGTTTCTTTCACTTGGATGCCTTTCCTTCTCTTCTTCACTATTTAAATTCTAGCCATCCTTCAAGGCCAGCTCATATTTTGCTTCCACAATGCAGCTTTTCTAGATGACTCCGAGGGACAATTTCTCCTTTTTCCAAATTCTAGTATATTGAAATGATACGCCTTCAGTATTTAATACTTTTGAATATGCTTCTTTGCTTAAATTTCTAATAACAGCCACTATTTAGTGACTACTTACTGTGCATCAGGTATGTAACAAGTGCTTGCCACATATTCTCTTGTTTAATTCTCAAGATAACCTTATACTGCAGGCACTGGCATACCCATTTATATTTCACAGATGAGGGAATTAAGGTCCAGAGAGGTTAAGTGTGTGTGATGATCTTTTAACGAAGACGTATATTTGGAATACCTCATGATACATCTCTCCTTAGTATTCTGTTTCTCCTCCTTCACCCATAGCCTTTCTTCTTTTAAAGTTGAGTGTGAGTTTCGTTGGCCTGTGAGGGAGATGAAAGGGACAGCCTGGAATACGGGATTTAGTGCATCTCCTGGGTTCCTTCCTGGCAGTGGCACATTCCATGGTAAATAATGTCCACTACTCACTTTCCCAGCCTCCTTTGTAGCTTGGCATGGGCAGGACAGTCAATTCAGATCAAAGTGACCCGAGGACACATTGCTGAGAGCTTTTGTGAAATAGGTCCTTCCTGATGAAAAAAGGGTCTCATGAGCAGAAACTTCTTTTTTTTTTTTTCTATCCTTATTTGGATACTGAAAAGGGAGGCCTTGTTGCCACAGCCACCCTGTAGCCATTGATGAATCTCAGATGTATTATGCCAAGTCAAAGAAGCCAAGGCTACATAATGGATGATTCTATGTATCTGTCATTCTTGCACGGGCAGACCCTCAGAAAGCTTGAGGAGCACTGGCCTACACAACGGTTTCCTTTAACTGCTGCCCCAACTTCCATTCCCACTTAGATTTATAGCCAAGATGTCCCAGTGTCCTTCGTGGGAGCCATCACTACTCACCTTTCACTAAAAGGACTCCCAGGCTGCATTAGGAAGGCAGAATTAGCTCATACCTGATTAATCAAAGAATAGCTTTTTTAGCTCTCTCTGTATGGTAAATAAAAAGCATTCTCAGAAATTTAATACAAAGCTTTCTTTCTTTTTTTAAATCTTTGAACAATCGAGCTTGTAATTTTTCTTCCCAGTATGTTCCAAATCTCTCTGACTGCTGGAGAAATTGGATAACGATTCCCTTCTCTCCTCATTTTATCACATATTGTTTTGTTCCAAATAGTTGGAAACAGCTGGATTTTTCATTAATCTGTGGGAAACTTGGAAATTGCCAAAGGCTGGCGACCAACTTAGATGTGTGAAATGCGACATTGAGTTCCGGAAGAGACAGCATTGCAGCTCACACGGTATTGGTTCACGGCCTCCTGCAGAGGGATGTTTGGCAGGAGGGGGTATCGTGCTTATCGGGGTGGTCATGCTCTCATTTCTGGGAGAGAAAGTGAGGTCTCAGCTCCCATGCTGGCACCTGAATAATTAGGCCAATCCTCATGTTGGCGTGAGAATAACTAACCCATGTTGACATCGTAACCTAGTACTGGTGGGAAGGACTCAATATTGTTGGAAAGTACATTTCATCACAGGGAGAATAATCGGTTATTCTTGGCACTGCTGAGTTTGTTCTGAAATTGAGGCTAACTCACAAGGAAGATAAGCACGCTTCTCCACTCCCTCCTTCTGTAATGCTTTAGGCTCTATGAATTTATCAGCTCATAACACGGTGTAGTCATGATTGCTAGGTATGTTGATTTGAGAGTCTGTGTGATCCTGTTGAGTTGTCTGGAAATTCAGTAATTCTATTATCTAAGAATGTTTCCAAAAATGGCAAGAGGCTACATAATCTATTTTAAATGTAAGTGACCATTTTCCTGATCTATCAAGAAAGGATAATAGTGGTGTAAAGTTGAGAAATCAGACAGAAATGGTTAATTGAATGTTTCCCTGTCTTTGAGGTGGTATTCAAACAAACTCTAACCAAGGCCCCATACCTTTCTGTCCCTATCTTTTTTTTTTTTTTTTTTCTGAGATGCAGTCTCACTCACTCTGTTGCCCAGACTAGAGTGCAGTGGCACGATCTGGGCTTACTGCAACCTCTGCCTCCCAGGTTCAAGTGATTCTTCTGCCTCAGCTCCTGAGTAGCTGGCATTATAGGCGTGCACCATCACATCCGGCTAATTTTTGTATTTTTAGTTGAGATGGGGTTTCACCATGTTCCCTGGGCTGGTGTTGAACTCCTGACCTCAAGTGATCCTCTTGCCTTGGCCCCCTAAAGTGCTGAGATTACAGGCGTGAGCCACCGTGCCTGGCCACTATCATAGATATGAAATTCTTTCTTTTTTTTCTTTTCTGGAATTCAAGTGACTTTTAAAAAGATGGGAATTTATTAGAAAGATATGGCGTATGTCAATGGAAGCTGAGGGCAAGCATCTGGAGGGACATATACAGTTGGATAATTACTCTGTCTCACTGGGGCCACGTTTTCTCTCATCTCTGACTCTCTCTGCTGGCCTATTCCTTCTGCCTCTTACCAGAACACTCCCCTTTATTTTCTTTTGAACTTGCATGGTTGCCCCAACTGCAACTTTACATCACTTCCCAGTTTTAGCACCCAAGAGAGACTGGCAAGACCCCTGAAGCCCCCCTGCGACACCCTCTATTTCCAAGTGCAGTTTTTTTTTGGGCCTAGGCTTGACTTGGATGCTCACTTCCGATTTAAATGACACGACTTGAGGCCAGAGTCCCAGGACCTGCTGTTCAGTCAGAGGGGTGGGGGGATCACACTCTCTAAAAGAGACATGGCAGGCAGGCAAATTAACCACAAGCAAACTCGCTACACTTCCCTGTAAATATCACAGTTACAAATATAAAATACTAAATGATGAGAATATTAAACACTGTTCAGAAAGAAAAATAGATTCTAATACAGCTTTGCTTTCTACCCCAGCAGCCGAAACAGATTGAGTGAATCAAGAGGGATCTGCAGACTGTATCAGGTGACCCCAGAAAGAAGGGACCCCAGAGTCTGTTTCTATCCACATTGACTCTGCAGTCACTCACCAAGCTGAATTCATCAAATAAGCTAAACCAGTTTAGTATGGCCATGGTATTCCTGACGATCGGGGTCTGTAGTGCTTGGGAAATTATTATCACCTAAGGTCAGGTGACTAAATGGCATCCACCGTGCTGCTTTTAAGCTACCATGGACCTTCTGCAAACTAACAAGGAGAGGCTCCTTGCACAGAAAGGAAATGGAGACAGACTTAAGAAAGCTGTTTTACAACTTAGAATCTGTCCAAGTGGACTCGCCTCTTTCAATAAATGAGTTGAAATAGCCTCATCGCTCCTTCTCATTTCAAAACATTAGCCTCTTCATTCATATGTTTTCCTTTCCATTTGCACCTTTTCCCTGTTTTGAATCCATATCATGCATTTGACAGAACAGGGGCCGCCTTTCCTTAGCAGGCGTCCATATTTGTCTGTCTATCTGCTCACACAGGTTGCTGTATCACCTAAGAGGTAAATTTGATTCTCCCACCTTTCTCTAGAGACAGAATGGGGTTAAGAATCAGCCCATCCAGAGAGGCCACATCCATCCAGCTGAGTGACAGAAGTTTGACAGTGGGAGGAAAGAATGTCACTGGGCAGGAGGAGAAATTATAGTTCAAGGGTGACAACATGTGTGTAGGAAGCAGCCAGTGGTGCAGTTTTGGGGAGAATAAGTGGAAACAGAGACTGAGTGGACTCAAGGAGGAGGTTTAGAAGACAGCAATTGGAAAGAACAGGTGTTCCCTCACCAGGGAAGGGTCCCTGACCTAGAGCAGGGTGCTTCTAGGGAATGTATAGGCTGCATATAATCTCCTAAAGCAGAATCCATCCTTTTAACTTGGTTTTCCTTCTATGTGTTATGAATTTATTAAGGGAGTGTTCCCAAGAGGAACTGGTATGGGAGTGGGAGAAGTGTGATAGGGAAGAGGAATACAGGAAAGTGTGCAATTTCAGGAAAAGTTCCTTGGAGAGTGGCTTCAACCTGATCATGAAAGGAACTTTGCAGGTCAGTTTGTTCAGCCCAGATTGACCTAGAGTGTTGGGCCTAGAGTGTGCCCAACTTAAGGCCAGGAATTCAGGCATCCACACACCTAACCCCTCAGTCATTGGCTAAAGGCTTTCCTCATAGAGTTCTACTTTGTTTGTTTGTTTTTGAGACGGAGTCTCGCTCTGTTGCCCAGGCTGGAGTACAGTGGCATGATCTTGGCTGACTGCAACCTCCGCCTCCCGGGTTCAAGCGATTCTTCTGCCTCAGCCTCCCGAGTAGCTGGGACTACAGGTGCACGCCACCACGCACTGCTAATTTTTATATTTTTGGTAGAGATGGAGTTTCACCATATTGGCCAGGCTGGTCTTGAACTCCTGACCTTGTGATCCACCTGCCTGGGCCTCCCAAAGTGATGGGATTACAGACGTAAGCCACCGCGCCCGGCTTCTAGCTGGTTTTTAAGTCCACTGTAGAATCAGAGAGAACTGTCTATGAAAAAGCCACTTTGTCTAAGTAAGTGCTTTGGCCCTTAAAACCTGTTGACACAGGTTACATGGTTATTTCCTATGACTGACCAATTCATTCATTCATTCATTCAACAAACTTCCATGGAGTGCCTGCTACGCATGAGAATTGTGCCAGGCACAGGTGATGCAAAAACAAATAGATATTTCCTCTTTTCCAAGTAGCTGAGTAGACAAAGAAATCCCAGATTCTTATAATCATGGAGTTGTGAGAGCAAGATTCCCATCTTATTATAGAAGTGCAGCTTTCTTGCCCACTGATTCAATTGTCACACAAAATCATCAGAGGACTGAAGTGTCTTTTTTCTAGACTATTTTTTAAATAACACATAGTGGTATTTTCTTAGCCTTCTTAATATACTTAAATTAACCTCAGGCTTGAAGGACAAGTTCTCTAAAAAAATCAAGCTTTGGCTGGGCACGATGGCTCATGTCTGTAATCCCAGCACTTTGGGAAGCTGAGGTGGGCAGATCACTTGAGGTCAGGAGTTTGAGACCAGCCTGGGCAACATGGTGAAACCTCATCTCTACTAAAAATACAAAAATCATCTGGGCATTGTGGCACACACCTGTAGTCCCAGCTACTCAGGAGGCTGAGGCAGGAGAATCACTTGAACCCAGGAGGTGGAGGTTGCAGTGAGCCGAGATCGTACCACTGCACTCCAGCCTTGGTGATACGGTGAGACCGCCTCAAAAAAAAAAAAAAAAAAAAAAAAAATCAAGCTTTGGGGGAAAAAGGAAGATATTAACTCTATATTTTGTTTAGTATACCAATTCTCATAAAGAAATATTTTCTTTTTGATTTTTTTGAAGAGTGGAATTTTTCTGCTGGATGCTTCTGAATTGCCCTAATGTCTCATTTAAATAGGTAAATTGGTAGATCAATAGACAAAGAAATAAATACTTAGTGAGCACTTACTATACATCAGGTACTATACTGGATACCAAGGATGTATTTAACGCTACAGAAGACTCCCTGGAGGGTCCTTGTTAAGATTAGATTTGGAAAAAGCTTGTGAAAGTTTCCAGCTAATTTTTAAAAATGAAGTGTGTGTGTGTGTGTGTGTGTGTGTGTGTGTATGAAAACCTATCAACAAAGCTGCTTTGGCTCTGTGTGTGTGTCCTCTGCTATCTTATCCTCACTATAAATTCCTTTCACTTGCAAAATCACAGTTGCTAATGCTATCAGCACACCACCTGGATCCCCTCACCCTGACCACTTCTGTGCTCATCTGCCCAAATTCCAGCCTGCCAGCCTCAGGCTTTCTTTACCTAAGAGTGTTGCAGCCAAGGTCTGTGGGACGGTAAGAATGAGATGCTAGTAAGAGTCTGTATCTTATCGGTACCAAGGCACAAGGAATACCGGCATTCCTCACCACAAGACTCCAAAGCAGAAAGGATTCTTAAAGTGCAGCCAGCAGATGGTGGCTGTACATAGGGCAGGGCACTCCTTCCTGCTTCTGGGCTCCAAAAAAACATTTTCCATAATATCATGTGAAGCTCCAGGGTGGGGAAGAGAGATGACTGCTGAAAATACTGACAAATTCATTCTATACCCAATGTCATAAAAAAATAAGAGAAAGCAGAAGAAATTTTGCTTTGGACAACAGACAGAAGGTTACTAAAATCAAGACTGCACGTACTTTATTGTGTTTTTGGGGGCAAGGGGTGGTGAGAGAGATTGTGAAAAACTGGTGCTAAGCTATTTTTAAGATTGTAACCAGCCCTTTAATCTTTAAAAAATATTAATGATTATGGAAATGCCAAGAACAGCCCTAAAGAAAATGCTGACCACTAGGCACAGTGTCTTTGGGTCCCTTCCAGGCCAAACCTGAGAGCACTAAAGAGGGTTGGGGGAATGGCATCTTAATATACTTCAATTAACTATTGTCCTGAACTTGGTGTCTTCAATCAAATAAAGGTGAGTACAGCAAGGGAATAAACAACCAGATTAGTCAAGCAACCTAGATACTGTCTTTGCCGCTGACTATGAGACACAGAAACCTCTGTGTATTGTGGGTGAAATCAATCAGAGTCTGGTGGCATTGTCAGCTGGAGTCAGCTCTGTGTCCAAACTTGGACTGTATGTCTAGAATCTGTGTCTTAATGTAAATTGGCTTATGGCTCCGTCTCCCTTGGGCATAAGCTTCCATCGTCCAGATGGCAGGGTGACCCCGGTGGAAATAAACATATGGTAGGCTATATCTGTCGCTCACAGAGGAAGAATAAGTACACTGTTTGTAAGAGCCAATTAAACAGGAGTCAGTGCCACAAACAGTGGACATCTCTAACAATAGATTAACAGGAAAGTAAAACTTTGCGGTAAGGGCTATTGATAACTGGGGAGGGAAAAGCCTATCAACGGGATGCTGCATGTTGGTAGAAGGTGGGGGAAAGGAGGGATATAAGAGGAGATATTAAAGCCTGGATATGAATTGTGCTTCGAAATTCTTCTATCGGGGAATTGTGGACAATTGTTGACAATTCCGCCATAGAAGACAGAACAGCTACTTGTCTTGTGGATTCTGGTCAACTTCCGTATTCTTTGGAGAGTGATTGGCTTAGATGGGACTTCCCCAGGAGAAGATGCTAAATCAAGGATCAAAGTGCAAGCAGTTAATTTATGGAACAATGGTAGGAGAGTAGGGAAGTGAAACAGGAAAGTGAGAAGGTAAGCATTAAGGAGAGTGTCATCAAGCCAGCTACCACCCTGAGGGACTGGGAGTTAATCCCTCTGGGGAAGATCTGGCAGCCAGTGTGGAAAACACTCACTCAAAGTCATCCCACCTGAGGGGCAAGGGAGCACCAACTCTTTTTAGTCATGAGTTGAGGACTATTCATGGGGACATTAATTCCACAATACTTTGCTTGCCTCCAAAACAGCAAAGTGGGCTTAGGCAAGAAGAAAACACTCTTCGGTAAAGAAAGACTCATGCTGGGAGTTGAAATTTGGGTAGATGTGCACAGAAGTGGTCCGGGTGAGGGGATCCGGGTGGTGCGTTGATAGCATTAGCAACTGTGATTTTGCAACTGAAAGGAATTTATGGTGGGGATAGGACAGCAGAGGACATACACTCGTATATTTATATACATAAAAATGTATATATGCATTTATTTGTTGCAGAAATCATACCTGAATGGTTGGAAATTGGCACAGAGAAGAATAGGAAAAAGTTACAGTTCTGTTTAAGAAAAAATAAATACCACTTAAGACGAAATAAGTTTCCTTCTTCCTGTTTCATCTGTACTGCTTTCACCCTTTTGGAAATGGGATGTAGCAAAGGGAAGATGTTGTTCTTATGACTAAATATGATTTGAAGATAAAAATGCTAACAGGAATTATTTGGCAACATGGAACTTGCTCTAAGCCTACCTGAAACTTGTGATACATTTTGTGATAACATCATAGGCCACAAAAATCATGAAACCATGCTCATGAACTAGAGCTCATCGTGTCATGCCTATCATAGTTTTATTAGGTAACTTGCTACACTGAATTATAAAGAAGAATATTTATTTATTGGGTTTACTTTATGAGCCATTTGCTATAAAGGAAAGTCTAATGAGCATCTCCCCTTGGTGTTGATTGTATTCTTCTTTTCCCTACAACATACATGAGCGTAAAACAACGTATTTTCGAATCTCACAGGAGGGAGAAAGTGAGGCAGAGAGGGCTGCATGGAGCAGAGTATCTTCAATTGTTTTATTGGGGGCTATGGAAATATTCATTCCATTAGGAGGTGTGTTTGAGTCAATGCCTCATTTCCCTTCTGTGAGGGACAGAAATATAATGGGGCAGTGTCATAGCGTAGGGCCCTGGTTGATGGCCAGTGAGACTTTCCTTGCTACAAGGAAGATTAGCTGTGTCACAGACATATTTACTCCATTTTAAAATCCTGATGCAAATAGGAGAAAAGGAAGTGCATAGGAGATAAAAATCTAAAAAAAATGGGGGCCACATAAACTACGGTTGGCATAATAAGAACTAAAGGTATGCTTGGGTGACCAAGACTTAGGTAAAGACCAAAGCTGGTGACCAGCACTGCTCACAAAGATGAGTACTTAGCTCTGAATGGCTTCTTTCAGGTTGGTTCCATCCATTATGAAATAAGAAATATGGCATTATCTTGTAAATTTAGAATATACAGAATGCAATTTTATAATCAAGAACCAAATATTTTGAATGGGAAAGATGTTAAAAAATTTAATTTTCTGCCAGTGGAATCTTGGAAAGGCAGCCTGGGAAAGTGGCTCTGCAGCTCCCCCCCTCCCCTGCCACACTTGGGCTCAACTCTTATTTCTACTACTCATTAGCTGTGTGACTTTGGGAGGTCACATAATCTCTTTGTCCTTCAGTTTCCTTCTCTGTAAGGTGGAGATATTATAGTGTCTATCTCATAGAGCTATTTGTAAAATATTTAACAATGTCTGTCACATAGTAAACCCTACAAGTGCTTGTAGAATACAATACAAAAATCTTGATGGAAGCCCTTTTATTATGCTCCTTCTGTATCTCAGAGAGTTTTCCAAACATTTAAATTCAGCAAATATGTTTTGAGCACTCACCTGGACTGGACATGCACCAGGCACTGGTCAGAATGAATTTTCATGGTCTCTGCCCTTCTGGGTGCTCATGAGCTAGCTCACAGCCTTTTCTTTGTTAATTAGATTTTTAAAATACTTGCAACAGTGATAAACTTATGAAAAAGTATGAAGTGCAATATAAATAAAGTTTTTTTCTCGACACATGTGAGAGTAAGTGTCACAGAATGCCCATCATTCCAGAGTACTTTAGAGTGTCCTTCCTACAAATAAAAATATTCTCCTCCATAACCACAATACAATTTCCAAAATCAGGACAGTCACAGGGGCACATTATTACCATCTAATCCTCCAACTCCATTCAAGTTTCAACACTTGTCCTTGCAACGTTTTCTATAGCAAAAGGATCCAGGTTGAAATTACATGTTGAATTATGTTGTGATATCTCTTCAGTCTCATTGAGTCTAGACTACCAC
This sequence comes from Homo sapiens, assembly GCF_000001405.40. Lineage (NCBI taxonomy): Eukaryota > Metazoa > Chordata > Mammalia > Primates > Hominidae > Homo > Homo sapiens. Next base: position 74,438,901 of record NC_000005.10, on the reverse strand, counting down.
ATCCTCAGTCTTCCCTTGATTTGCATGACCTTCACACGTTTGAAATACTGGCTAGATATTTTGTAGAATGTGCTTCAATTTGGGTTTGTCCGATGTTCTTTCATGATTAGATTTAGGTTGTGCTTTTTTTGGCAGAAATAAGAGAGGAGTGATTCTGTGTTCTATTCATGGTGTCTTAACAGATAGCACAAGATTTTACATTGTTCTCAGCTAATGTTGGTCATTGTGATCACTTGATTAGGATAGTGTGTGCCAGGCTTCCCCACTGCAAAGCTATTCTTTTCTCTTTTGTAATTTATAAGCATTTTGTGGGAGAGGTATTTTGAAACTATGTAAATATTCTGTTCCTCATCAAGCTTTCAATTTGTTTGTTTATTCATTTCAGAATAGACTATTTTATTCAATGGGTTATAATCTGTTGCTATTATAATTTTTTGATGCTCAAATTATCCCTGATTTGGCCAGTGGAGACTAGTCAAGCGGGCCTCTGTGTCCTCTTGGCATTTCTACCTCATTCTTGTTTATTTATTTCTTTTTTCTTAAAAATTATACTTTAAGTTCTGGGAAACATGTGCAGAATGTGCAGGTTTGTTACATAGGTACACATGTGCCATGGTGGTTTGCTGCACCCATCAACCTGTCATCTACATTAGGTATTTCTCCTAATGCTATCCATCCCCTACCGCCCTACCCCCTGATAGGCCCTGGTGTGTGATGTTCCCCTCCCTGTGTCCATGTGTTCTCATTGTTCAACTCCCACTGATGAGTGAGAACATGTGGTGCTTGGTTTTCTGTTTCTGTGTTAGTTTACTGAGAATGATGGCTTCCAGCTTTATCCATGTCCCTGCAAAGGACATGAACTCATCCTTTTTTATGGCTGCATAGTATTCCATGATGTATATGTGTCACATTTTCTTCATCCAGTCTATCATTGATGGGCATTTGGGTTTGTTCCAAGTCTTTGCTATTGTTAACAGTGTTACAATAAACGTTCATGTACATGTGTCTTTATAGTAGAATGATTTATAATCCTTTATATATACTCAGTAATGGGATTGCTAGGTCAAATGGTATTTCTGGTTCTAGATCCTTAAGGAATTGCCACACTGTCTTCCACAGTGGTTGAACTAATTTACACTCCCACCAACAGTGTAAAAGCCTTCCTATTTTTTCACATCCTCTTCAGCATCTGTTATATCCTGACTTTTTAATGATCGCCATTCTAACTGGCGTGGGATGGTATCTCATTGTGGTTTTGATTTGCATTTCTCTGATGAACAGTGATTATGAGCTTTTTTAATGTTTGTGGGCTGCATAAATGTCTTCTTTTGAGAAGTGTCTGTTCATATCCTTCACCCACTTTTTGATGGGGCTGTTTTTTTCTTGCAAATTTGTTTAAGTTCTTGGTAGATTCTGGATATTAGCCCTTTGTCAGATGGATAGATTGCAAACATTTTCTCCCATTCAGTAGGTTCCCTGTTTGCTCTGATGATAGTTTTTTTTGCCATGCAGAAGTTCTTTAGTTTAATTAGATCCCATTGTCAATTTTGGCTTTTGTTGTCGTTGTTTTTGGTGTTTTAGTCATGGAGTCTTTGCCCATGCCTATGTCCCGAATGATATTGCCCAGATTTTCTCCTAGGGTTTTCATGGTTTTAGGTTTTACATGTAAGTTTTCAATCCATCTTGAATTAATTTTTGTATAAGGTGTAAGGAAGGGGTCCATTTTCAGTTTTCTGCATATGGCTAGCCAGTTTTCCCAGCACCATTTATTAAGCAGGGAATCCTTTCCCCATTGCTTGTTTTTGTCAGGTTTGTTGAAGATCAGATAGTTGTAGATGTGTGGCATTATTTCTGAGGCCTCTCTTCTGTTCCATTGGTCTATATATCTTTTTTGGTACCAGTACCATGCTGTTTTGGTTACTGTAGCCTTGTAGTATACTTTGAAGTCAGGTAGTGTGATGCCCCAACTTTGTTCTTTTTGCTTAAGATTGTCTTGACTATATGGGCTCTTTTTTGGTTCCATATGAAATTTAAAGCAGTTTTTTCTAGTTCTGTGAAGAAAGTCAATGGTAGCTTGTTGGGGGATAGCATTGAATCTATAAATTACTTTAGACAGTATGGCCGTTTTCACTATATTGATTCTTTCTATCCATGAGCATGACTGTTTTTCCATTTGTTTGTGTCTTTTCTTGTTTCCTTGAGCAGTGGTTTGTAGTTCCCCTTGAAGAGGCCTTCCACATCCCTTGTAAGTTGTATTCCTAGGTATTTTACTCTTTGTAGCAATTGTGAATGGGAGTTCACTCATGATTTGGCTCTTGGTTTGTCTATTATTGGTGTATAGGAATGCTTGTGATTTTTGCACATTGATTTTGTGTCCTGAGACTTTGCTGAAGTTGCTTATCAGTTTAAGGAGACTTGAGGTTGAGACGATGGTGTTTTCTAAATATACAATCATGTCATCTGCAAACAGAGACAATTTGACTTCCTCTCTTCCTATTTGAATACCCTTTATTTCTTTCTCTTGCCTGATTGCCCTGGCCAGAACTTCCAATACTATGTTGAATAGGAGTGGTGAGAGAGGGCATCCTTGTCTTGTGCCGGTTTTCAAAGGAAATGCTTCCAGCTTGTGCCCATTTAGTATGATATTGGCTGTGGGTTTGTAGTAAATGGCTCTTATTATTTTGAGATACGTTCCATCGATACCTAATTTATTGAGAGTTTTTAGCATGAAGGGGTGTTGAATTTTATCGAAGGCCTTTTCTGCATCTATTGAGATAATCATGTGGTTTTTGTCATTGGTTCTGTTTGCACCCTCCCAATACTAAACTAGGAAGACATCGAATCCCTGAATAGACCAATAACAAGTTCTGAAATTGAGGCAGTAAACAACAGCTTATCAACCAAAAAAAAGTCCAGGACCAGATGGATTCACAGTCAAATTCTACCAGAGGTACAAAGAGGGGCTGGGTATCATTCCTTCTAAAATGATTCCAAATAATAGAAAAAGAGGGACTCCTTGCAAACTCATTTTATGAGGCCAGCATTGTCCTGATACCAAAACATGGCAGAGACACAACAAAAAAAGAAAATTTCAGGCCAATATCCCTGATGAACATTGATGCGAAAATCCTCAATAAGATTCTGGCAAACCGAATCCAGCAGCACATCAAAAAGCTTATCCACCACGATCAAGTCGGCTTCACCCTGGGATGAAAGGCTGGTTCAACATACGCAAATCAATAAACGTAATTCATCACATAAACTCTTGTTTATTTCTACCTCATCTTCCTTGCTTTTTGGCATGATGAGAAGTTGTACTCATCTTACACTTTCTTCCAGGTTTGAAATCAGCTGTTTCTCTAAGTAGCCTGAATTTCCTTTAGTGGAGAAGAGTATTTAGAATACTGTGAATATCTGGGCACTAGGTGCGCTCATTGCCACTGTGATGTCATTGCTCCCAGGTCCTAGCCATGGACAGAACTATATTTATTTCTATATTTATGTATGTATATTGAAAACTATTCATTCACATCAATATCCAATTCCAATGCAACAATACACAGGGTTCATTCTAATTTTCTCCCTTTCTGTTATCCCTAAAATATCTACTTAACTGATCCATCCTCCTATATGTAACCCATCTCCCAGCTCTGTTGCTGCCCCCTACTCCTTGCAGCTCCTCTTCTATTGTAGCTGCCTGGATTCCAACACCTCATACTCCCAGCTCCTTCCTTGCTGCATTTGCACTCTGGCTTATGTCTCCCTGTGGATACCCCACTTACCTGGCTTGGGCTCCAAACCCCATGCCAGGCCACCATCCCATGTGAACCCATTTCTCACCCTGCTCAGGCTTTCTGTCAGTCATTTTCAATCTGACTCCTAGCAGATTTTTAAAAGGATCCACTTGGGTAGATACAAAATGAGTTTAAGCAACTAAACTCTGGGAAAAAAAAAAACAACCCAAGCCCAAATCTATTTAATAACATGTATTACATTTTAAAATAGGTAGATTAGAGTACTAAAATAAAGTTTGTTGATTCTCTTCTTTTCCACTTTAACCCTTTAAATTAAAACAAATACTAGGGCTTAGCTGGGATATGTAGCAGTTGGCTGATGAGGAAGGAAGTGAAGATGATGCTGCCTTCTGGGCTGGCATCTACATAGTGATTATGCAAGACTAGGGTGAAGGAGGCAATGCGGAACAAGGACAGAAGAGGCAGCCTCTTTTCTGCCTTTATTTTATGATTTTTAATCTTGACTTGAGAACCAGATGTTCTGATTAAGGAATGACTGAGGACTGGGGACATGGCCAAGGTTTCAAAAAGAGGCAATGGACAAAAGATGCTTCTGGTAGACCAGGTGACGTCAGAAAGAAAATTAATCTAATTTTATGTAAGTGAATTTCCTCCTGAACCAGGATAGCAGGAAATGTAATCTTTCAGGAAAGACAGAGTTGGAGATTTCATTTTCTACTTATCCCTTTTCCCATGCTAGAGAAACAGTTTTACTTCAAAGAAGCAGACAAGGAGGTGTTTCCTGCAGGGTGAACAGATTTGCAGAGTGGGCTGGTGCTACTCCCTTGATGAGGAACCTCTGTGTGGGGCAGCCTATCTGGGGAATTAAATTGTTCTCTGGCCCTTGCCTGCTGGGCTGCAGGGCCTCAGTGATGGGGATGGGGGGTGGGGCACTCCATAGTTCCCGTGGCTAAATGAGTGCACGTAGCAGGATTGTCCTAAGCTTTGTTTAATGGCATTTCAATGGGGGAAAATGAAGTTCCCGGAACAAAATCCCAAATTGTTCTTGCTTTATCTTCCTCCTAAATGTGTGTATTTCTGAGCCGAAAGGCAAAGGAAGTAAAACTCCACCCACCTCTTCCCCATCTGACCATGTCAGATCCCAAGTATTTGTCTGTGCTCCAATTAAAGAGACGAAGATTCTCGATTTCACCCCAGCTCTTGTCAGTACAGGGAGCTCTTAACTTTCCACACGGAAGTAGAGAAATGTAATTTTGAGGAGAAGTGCTGATTTTTATTGGGCATGACTTAACTCAAGCTGCATCCCTGTTTTTTTTTTTTTTCTTTTTAAGAATAATCACTTCAAAATGATTAATGATGCCTGAAGCCTGACCAGTCTTACTTCCTGTGGTGAAATGTGGAACTTTTGTGCATGTCTGGGTTCGTAGGAGGGTGTGCACCAAACTCTATCAAGAGATAGTTTCCCATACTGTACAAACAGTTGGGTCATTGTTCAGAAAAGCTGACTCTCTGAAGGAAACGTGCTACAGAGTGGTACCATATCCACAGCGGGGAGGGAAGGCTTTGCTTCAGTTACAGAAGGGAAGTAAACTCATTTCCTTCTTAAGGTGCCAGAACAAGAGAGTTGCTTTGTCAGCGGGTGCCTCAATCTGGCTTTTTTGTTGTTGGTGGTGGGGGTTACGAACAATGAGGATGATGTCTTTGAAAACAGGTAGGATTTTTGAAGGGTCACAATAGAGGAATAGGTAGAACAAAGAGTCACATCCTGCTGGGACGCAACCATTCTACTGGACCTCTAGGCTGATCTGGGGGAACAGACTCCTCAGGGGAGCATCCGGCCCTTCCAGCATTTCCCAGGAGCAGCCCTAGCCTGACTGCCAACCACTCTTCATTGAGGACCCAGAACTGGTCTGCAGCAAATGCATTTAGCATTTTTGTGAATCCTGTTTGGAAAAGAGCATGGATGATGCTTATTTAAGAAAGCTAAAACTAACACAGAATACTATTGATAGATTTTTTTTTTACAGGATTTTGGAAGTCTAATAATTGTGTCATGTATATGTTCTCCTACCTCCTTCCCCACTCCTCCATGCTATTCTTTGCATTAATACTCTGAGAAGGGTGATTTGGTGAAAAAGAAAAGCAGACCGTCAGCTTATCTTTTCTGGAGCTCTGAGGAAGCTCTATAGTGATCCTTCCCTTAATAAGTTGTTTTATAGAGAAGCTGAACTTTCCACTGAGGCACAGTGCATGGGATAAAAGACTGGCTTAAGAGATACAAAGTCAGAAAGGGGAAAGGGATACTAGCAGAGCTCTGAGTGCTGAGGGTGGTGCGAGAGAGTGCGTGCCTGTGAGAATGCACACGTGTGTGCAAGCCTTCTCTCTTCTGAACAAATTCATCCCAATAGGTCTCCATTTCCTCAGGACCCATAACATCACCCACTTATGGGAGGGCTATGAAGAACAATGGGTGATAGCTGCAAAGAAATATTAAGGCATGAATTATTGCTTCATGATTGTCTTCTATTAGAAAAGCCACATGTGAGACAAAACAAACAAACAATTCCTCCCCAACGCCCCCCCACCAGCATACAAAAAGTCTACACTGGCTGCTCCTGAGCTGAGCTGTTCTTAGGATACGTTGTGTAAACCAGGCTCTCAATTGCAGAACTGCATTGGCATCAACTGTGTTAGAAACCATAAGTAATTTTGGGCACACTGCCTAAGGGGTTGGAGCCAGGAGGACTGATCTTTATGTTAACAGGCAGAGCACCTGCCTGAGAAATCTGGGAACACAGGTTTTCTTCCCACGACGCCTTCTTCATGCGAATTAATCTATTAGCTGGTATGTGTGTCAGTTTATTTAGGAGCATATGTGCTGACAATTGGCTTCCGACTGTAAAATACGGTCTTGAGGGAGAAAATGATTAATTGCCTGCTTTAAAGTGTGTGTGTGTGTGTGTGTGTGTGTGTATGTGTATGTGTTTGATGACAGTCACTATTAGTATGCATGTGCCTATAAAACTAAAGGCAAACTAACGGCAAATAACCATTAAGACATTGAAATGTGTGAATAAACAAATATAAAAGAAATAGGGCTGTGAACATCTCAAATAGGTCTTTACTATCATAAACATTTTTTGGGGGGGTCTCTGCCTATATCTTACTTTTAAAATGTTATATGTGTTAGTAAACTCTTCATTCTTATCAATGTGAAAAGAATGTAGGAATGGGATTACTTGGTCCCTTGTAGAAATCCAGAGTAACAGACTAGATAATATAGTTTCCAAAATACAAAATGTAGGCCATTTATGGTTGTGAACTATTTTCCCAAATAAAGATACTGAAATAAGAAACAAAACAAAATTGCCATTGTTTCATTATAAAAAGGGCATTTTAACACAGAAAGCAGAAGTACATAGTCTCAATAAAGAGCAAAGCCTTGAGTTGAATATAAGTAATGTGATGAAAGGTCACTGCACTGTTTTTATCTTTCTCATTTTGCTGTGGATGGATATTTGGGAACCCCTCCTTTTTATTGGCACTCTGCATTAGGAATGTCATTATAGCAGTGGTGCTCAGAATTCAAGCGAAGATAAATGGGAAGAGGGATGGCCAGTTTGAAGGCCAGTTTGCCCAGGATGGAGGTATGACAACACTCAGTAAGTGTCTAAGGCACTGCTAAGTGCTTTATGCACATTGCTTCATTTAATTGCTGTCTAGTTTCCAGAAACTGGCGTAAGGATGCTGCTTTCCATTGACCAATGGTCCATCAGCCAGCTACTGAGAGCTTTTGGAGAGTGGCTGTGACTAGCACTTTTAGAAAATAACCAAATGAGGAGCTGAGAAAACAAATTATTGCTGAGACAAAGAGGGTGGATGAGATGGTGGAAGAGGAAAATGGACCAGCTCAAAACTTAAAAATAAAGCCATCAGATGCTGCAGAGGGGGAAAGGAGAGTGGGGAATGAGGAGCAGTCAGTTAGCTAAGTGATGAGGAAATAATCGAGGTCAATAAAGCAGATCCAGGGGTAGGCTGGCAACAGAAATCAGCTTGTACATGGTGCCAACTGGGTTTGGGAAGTTTGGTTAGATAGCTGTTCCAGAAGACAGCAAAGTGATCGTTTTTTCTTTTTAATTTCTTTCTTTTAATAGAAAGATTTGGACTTTCAATCACTCAACAAACATTTATTGGGTGTCTACTAGTAAGGACTGTGCTAAGTGCTGAGGATTTAGACATAAAAGGAGCAATCTCTGCTCTTAAAGAGCTCTCAGTCTGGGAACTTTTTGAGGAAGTCTGAGAGGTGAACAGACAAGGCTAATGTCATGTGTTAAAAGCTCTGGGAGAGGAAAGCCTGGGGCTCTTGCCACACAGGGCAGAGAGTATTAATGATGCAGGAATTTTTTTTGACCCCTTCATCGGACTTGCTACAGGGGTGGTCCATTTACCAGGCCCACTGTGCTCAACCTTTTGCAGGAGGGAGTGCATTAGCAAGCGAGTGCAGGATCTGGCTGGATGCTTTGGGTGCTGGCAGGAGCAGGTTCCATGTGGCCCCATGGTGGTGCCCAGATGGGGATGCCTGTGACCGCCGAAGCCCCAGAGGGTGTGTTACGATGATCTCTTAGCTCTGCCATCTGTGGACAGCAGTGTGTTATCAGCTCAGTGGGCCCCTTGCCTCATCACGTTGGGTGGCTGTCCTCTGCCAGCAAGGGCAAAGGGCCAGTGTGACAACCTTTTTTGAGTACCCACACTTGGTGGGTCCTGAGCTCTTGTCCAGTGCCCAAGAAGAATTAGGTTGCATGGAAACTTGAAGGATGGTGGAGGCAGAGAATTTTTTTTTTTTTTAGTGATGGAAGTGGCTCTCAGTAGAGAGGGGATAGCTGGAGAGGGGACAGGATGGGCAGGTAATCTTCCCTGAAGTCTGGCTGTCTCCACATGGCTCTTCTCTGAAGTTAAGCTGTCTCTCCTCTGAAGTCTAGCCGTCGCTCTGAAGTCAAGTCACCTCTCTCCAGTCAAGCCACTTCTCCCTCTCTACTACTGAGTCTGGGGTCTTTATAGGCACAGGATAGGAGGTGGGGCAGGCCATAGGTAGTTTTGGAAAAGGCAAAATTTGATTGGTAAAAAGACATTATTCAGAAAGAACCAACTGGGTGCAGTGGCTCACACCTATAATCCTAGCATTCTGGAAGGCCGAGTTGGGTGGATCACCTGAGGTCAGGAGTTCTAGGCCAGAAAGAACCAATCAGGAGAGAGTGGGCAAACAGGGATAGAAGTTCCCACTTCAGGCTGTGGGTTTCAGGCTTTTTGGCTTGATGGTGGGGTTTCGCCAGGGACCCACCCTTGTCTGCCTCTATCTATCATTAACTTTCACTGAAGATGGCCGATGGTTGGGAACAGCATCACAGAGGTCAATGCTGAGCTAGGCTTTGAGGGATGATTAGGAGTTTTCTGGCAAAAAATGGAGGAATGGCCTTCCAGGCAGAGAAAACAGTGGGTGCAAAGGAATGGGGGGATCTCAGTGAGCTTCACAGCTGGATTGGAGAACACTATAAGCGTAGCATTGACTTGGGAGGCACTTATGAGTTGCATTGCACACTATGCTGAGTAGTTGGGATTTCAACGTACCAGTAGATCAAGGGGAAGCAGCCAGCTGAGCAAAGGCACGATATCCAAAAAAGAGGGGTTGTCACTGAGGGAAAGGGAGAGGAGCTGAGTGAGGGTAAAAGTGTTTTCGAGGTGGGAAGGAGGAATGTGAAGGTAGCTGGTGAGGGACAGTGTTGGTGTCCTCTGCACAGTAGCTGCTGAGGCCATCTGGCTGTGACGAAGAGATGAAATAGGGAGGGGGTTTGGAGGAGGGTCCTGGGGAATTCTAAAGAGAAGTAAAAGGATTGCCATATTGTTATTATTTGAGATTCACAAAGACTTTCATCAGATACGTAACTGATTCTCATTGACACCATTGCCCCTACATCTGTTGTTCTGCTTTTAAATGAAGTGTGATATTTCTTTCCAATATCCATTTCCTGCAAAAATATCAAGTGACAGGCATGGTCGTTCTGAACAGGAGCCAAGGTGTGTTGATTACAAATTCTCTGTCCTCTTGTTGAAACTTGTTTATATTTCACAGAGTCAAACATCAACCAGCAGGAAGGACCCTTTATGGAACACCAGTCAGGACTAGTGGTGGGAGCTTTTTAATAAAGAGGACAATTAGGACAAGTATTTGAAGTCATTAATGTGTATCATTAATGTGTAAATTTCTACCAAATTTTTTTTTTAATCTGAAAGAGAAGAATGGCAGAATAGTGTGGCTAGGGCAAAGAGCACTTGTTCTGGAGTCCAGAGGCTGTGGGTTTTGACCAGGTCATACCATTAATAATCTGTGTAATCTTGGGTTAATCTTGGGTGAAACGACTTCTTGGTTCCAGTTTAGATTACATTTTTCCTTTTTTCCCCTCACACACCACAGTGATATAAATACAATTATGATAGAGGACTGTAGACTTTCAACACATGATTTTATAGATACCAAGAAATAATTTCTGGAAATAATTCTGAATTCTATTCCTATACCTAACTCATAAAGTGAAATTGACTACTTCGTGTTATCAGTTTGTGAAAAGTTGAGTCTGCTTATGGGATTCCACCATAAGAGAAAAAGGGACTGGAATATGAGAAGATCAGCATGTGAGAATCAGAGTCATCTGCCATGGGAACATTTTGGAGAAATTAGAAATGGTAAAAGAAGCAGAGGCGGTATAGAAGGCCTCTGATGTTTGATGTTATCCATATAATGTTAACATATAATTTAGATGATTTGTGGCTAGTTTTCAGAAGATAAAGATTTATGAGTTATTTCTTTGATAAAATAAAAGGGGGAGATGAAGAAAAAAAAACCTTTTCACAGGGATAATAATGATACAATCTATTCACGCAAAGGATTTTTTGTTTGTTTGTTTGAGACGGAGTCTCGCTCTGTCACCTCGGCTGGAATGCAGTGGTGCGATATCTGCTCCCTGCAAGCTCTGCCTCCCGGGTTCACCCCATTCTCCTGCCTCAGCCTCCCCAGTAGCTGGGACTACAGGCGCCCGCCACCACTCCCGGCTAATTTTTTGCATTTTTAGTAGAGACGGGGTTTCACTGTGTTAGCCAGGATGGTCTCAATCTCCTGACCTCGTGATCCACCCGCCTCAGCCTCCCAAAGTGCTGGGATTACAGGCGTGAGCCACCGCGCCCGGCCGCAAAGGGGTTTTTTTTTTTTTTTTAAAGGAATTAACTACATGGTAGACAGAATAATGCCACCTTCCAACTCCTTACTCCCCTTAACCCACTGCCCCTGCCAAGATGGCCATGTCCTGATCCCTGAAACCTGTGAATATTTTATCTTACAGGTCAAAGGGACTTTGCAGGTGTGATCACGTTAAAGATCTTGAGATGGGAGATTGGAGATAGATCACAGATTATTTGGGTGGGCCCAATGTAAGCATCTTATAAGGATCCTTCTAAAAGGAAGGTAGGAGTGTCAGAATCAGAAGATGATGAGAGCAGGGGAGAGAAGGAGGTGTGATGGTAGAAGCAGAGGTCAGAGTGATGCCATCACTGGAAGGAGGCCCTGAGCCAAAGCAGCAGATGGCCTCCAGAAACTGACAAAGGCACAAAATCTCTGCAGGGCCTTCCGAAGGAATGCAGTCCTGTCAGCACTGGACACCTTGGTTTTAGTCCCTTAAGATCTATTTTTGGACTTCTGACCCTCGGAAGTCTAAGATAATAAAGTCGTATTGTTTTAAGTCATTTAAGCAGCAAGAGGGAACTAACAAAAACATATTGAGTGGTCCTGATCCTCTGGGTTACATATTGCTCCTGCGTTACAAACTTCTCTGTGCCTTTAATTCACCCCAAACTTTTTTCTCTTGTAGCCCTGGTCATTCTTTTGTGTAACTGTCCCTTTAATTTTTTGTTTCCTCACTAGATGTAAGCTCCCTGAGGTTAGGGAGGGCAGGGAATTGGCCCTTTTTGTGTCTCAGTTCTGGGTGCAGAGCTGAGTATGAAGTAAGAACACAATCATGGGTTAATAATGTGAACTAATCAAATCGATGCCACATGAAGGATTTTCAAATGGATGAAAAGGATCACATGGATCAAAGGGAATCGTGTCTGCTGCTCCCGCTTGGTAAGATCTGGGTGTCACTCTTTGAAGATACCAAATGAAGGTGAAAATGGCTTATGAGAGAATGCAAGGAAATGTCCTTTTATTTCAGAACTCCTTGGTTCCAGCCATTTTCTTTTCTCCTTTTCTTCCCTTACACTGAAATCTGGCATGAACAGTTGGCTCCTGTGGGTGACTGAGCCTGGATGGGCTGTGAGGCCCTCTGAGATGACCAGCTCAGGCAAGGTCTTTGCCAAGTCTTGTTGAGTTCACACAGCCTATTTGCTGGAATGATCCCCACGTGTACTGATCCACCTTTAATGCTCTGTGCTGGGTCTCTTGGGGCTAGAGGCCTTCTGGAGACTCCATTTAACATCTGCTCTCTAGGTCTGGGCTTTGATCCAGCCTTCAGATGCTCACTGATCTCTGGGGCAAGGAGAGTCTTTTCTGTCTGGATGCTGGTTGCACCTCTTCAGTTTGTGGCCAAGTTCTTGTGAGACTTGTCCTCTCCATGGGAGATATTTTAATGGAAGCTGGGTTTTCACTAGGGATCTGCTTCCTATCTTCCCTCTATGGCCTTGGCCAAGTTTCCCTAGAGGCCGCACTGTAAATTCCACAATTTTGGCTACTCTGTATCAGCAACTCTTGGGTTCCTGTGCCTCAGGATCCTAAAGAAGGCCTGGTCCTCACTCCTACATGAATCCTGTCTGTCCTCTATTTCATTTCTTCACTTACTCTCCATCCTGGATATCTTTGTTTATCAAAGGAGCTCCCTTCAGTCTTCCCCAGCAGCCATGGGTGGTCCTGAGACTTCTTTCTCCACACAGGGTGGCCATTTTTCTCCTGCTACTGAATTGCTATTTCATCCCGTACATTCTCATGGTGAAGACAGCCTCCCTCTTTTTCAAAGAAGCCATAGACATTTAAAAATTTATAAAATAAAGAAGTATTAAAAAAAGAACACAAGTGTGTTCAGGCTGCAACTCTTGTCTTGCAACTACTGATTTGCCAGAGTTGGCTTAGTGGATGGAGATGGGGAGCTGCCCACTCTCTCTGTCACCAGGCTAACAACAGCTCTCAAAAATGCATACTAGGTTGAAAGAATGGTCATCTTGGATAGAGGAAGGCATTTCAATAAAGAAATTAGAATAACATGGGGGGCATATACCCCAAAAATTGAGAGCAGGGACTTGGCAGGTATCTGTACACCCATGTTCATAGCAGGATTATTCACAACAACCAAAGGTGGAAACAATCCAAATGTCCATCAGCAGACACAGATAACAATGTTTAAATGGAGAAACAAAATGTAATGCAATAAAATATTACTCATCCTTAAAAAGGAATCAAATTTTGATACACACTACATTGTGGATTAAACTTGAAGATATTATGCTAACTAAAGTTAGCCAGACATGAAGAGACAAATATTGTGTGAGTTTATTTATATGAGATACCCAGAAGAGTCAAATCCTTAGAGACAAGAATTAGAATGGTATTTACCAGGGGCTGGAGAAGGGGAGAATGTGAAGTTATTATTTCATAGGTGCAGACTTTTAGTTTGGGAAGACAAAAAAGTTCTGGAGATGAGTGGTGGTGATAGTTGCATAATGATGTGAATCTACTTAATGTCACTGAATTGTACACTTAAAAATGATTAAAATGGGTGGCTCATGCCTGTAATCCCAGTACTTTGGGAAGCCAGTGTGAGAGGATCACTTGAGGCCAGGAATTTGAGACCACTCTGGGCAACATAGCAAGACCTCATCTCTAGAAAAAATAAAAAATTAGCTGGCTGTGGTGGCGTGCCTCTGTGGTCCCAGCTAGTTGGGAGGCTGAAGCAGGAAGAGCACTTAAGCCCAGGAGGCCAAGGCTGCAATGAGCTGTGGTTGTGCCACTGTACTCCAGCCTGGGCAACAGAGTGAGACCCTGTCTCAAAAAAAAATGGTTAAAGTGGTAAAAATTATGCTATGTATATTTTACCACAATAAGACATATATTATAAGTATAACATGGAAATTGCAGTTTTGTGGTTTTTCCACTATTTATATTCACTTTTTGGTCAAGAATCTGCATTAAAAAAAACAAAAGATGTGCAAAAATTGTTGGAGGAGATTGTCTATTAATATAGTTTTCATTTATGTGTCTTCTTCTTTCCAAGTAATGGTGAGAAAATCTTATTTAAACAGCACTCAAGGACACACTCCTACTAAGTAATTTTTTCCTGTGACTTTTGCACACTAATATACAAAAGAAAACATGCTTAATGAGTCAAATGAGTATTTGCAAAAGTTACCCAATAAGCTTGCTGACTGTGGCAACTCCTTGTAGTTGTGCCAGGTAACCGAGATTTTGCAATTCATCCACACATATTGAATAACACTTTTTGTCTTGGGATCCTTTACTTCACATAGGAAGTATGTGACCTCCAGGTACCAAGCACTCTGAAAGAGAGCTTCGATTCAAACAAAGTAAGCAGTTGGATTCCTCTTCGTTCAGGTAATTTTTGTGGCTGATATTTGTGTTGAATTTTTGAAAAACAAACACCACCTGCTTGTCCTGAGAATAAGAGTATGGGTGAAATGAATACAGATTTGATGGGCAGATGCCCTGAGCACTTGGCGGACTTATAGGGTGATTTCTAGTGAGTCATTTTGCCTGCCTACAATGGTACAGTAAGGGTTTGAAGTGGTCCACACGATACCTTCCAGGTCTTCCCAGGTCAATTGAGGTTATCTACTTTTTTCTAATTTGGGGTGCAGGCATGCTGAGAATGGAATCACCTCCTCTAATATAATTTTAAATGAAAACAATATTAAACCATAAAAACTGTATAAGGAACTTCAACGAGATTCTAGTATTTTTGCTCTGATGACTAATTGGGAACAGTTTTGAAATATCAAATTGAAATTATTTTGAAGTGTCCAACTGATAGGGTTTGGATCTGTGTCCCCACCCAAATCTCATGTTAAATTTTAATCCTCAGTGTTGGAGGTGGGGCCTGGTGGGCAGTGATTTGATCAAGGGGGCAGATTTCTCATGAATGGTTTAGCACCATCCGTCTTGGTACTGTCCTCATGACAGTGAGTGAGTTCTCATGAAATCTGATTGTTAAAAGGTGTGTTTAAAGCATTTCCCCCCTCACTCTCTTGCTCTTGCCAAGTGATATTTCTGCATCCCCTTCGCCTTCCACCATGATTGTAAGATTCCTAAGGCCTCCCCAAAAGCCAAGCAATGCTAGCATCAGGCTTCCTGTACAGTCTGCAGAACCATGAGCCAATTAAACTTCTTTTCCTTATAGATTACCCAGTCTCAGGTATCTCTTTATAGCAATGAGAGAACAGCCTAGTACATGGACCTTCTTATTCTTCCCTTCCCCTTCCCTCCTCTTTCCTTCCCTTCCCTTCCTTTCCCCTCCACTTCCCTTCCTCTTCCCCTCTCCCTTTCCCTTTTCTTTCCTTCACTTCCCTTCCCCTCCTTTCCCCCATCCCTTCCCCTCTCTTCTCCTCCCCTTGCCTCCCTTCCTCCTCTGCCCTTACCGCCCTTTTTTCCTTCCTTCCTTCCCTCCTTCCTTTCTTCCTTATTTCCCCTTCTTTCTTTCTTTCTTTGTCTTTCTTTGCTTTTGTTTTGCAATTCATGCACCCCAGTACCGTTTATTTCACTTTTTGTGTCATCCAATGATGCAAAAAAATAAAAAGCCAAAAAAAGCCAAATAAAACCCTATCTGTCCTACCATACTGTAATGTCTTCAGACAAGGATTGTAGGTGGCTACAAGAATATATAATGGGAGATGTAGGGGGAGGTGTAGGGAGTTGGCAAGTAAATGATTGGTCAAAGTTATCTGAAAACAGAAAAGACAGGGAGGGTGTGGGGTCAACCCCCAGCCCCAGCTTTTTCTTTTTTGCCAACATTCCTCCCTAACTCCTGCACACAAAGCCTGAACTCTGGCCTCTTCTAGGAGAAAATGGATGGGAACCCAAAAGAGGAGAACAGGAAGTGATGTCATGCATATGCTTTCTCTTTGGGACAGGTGGGTGGTGTGGGTAGTGCTGGGGTCCTGTGGTTTTACGTTGGAGACACCTTGTCTCTGAAAAACCAGACAGTCGCATGAGGCTGGAAGGTGGAGATCCCATGAGTTTCCTACCCGGGGCTGTTGTTGTTAGACCCAGAACGGGGAGGAAGAGGACCCTGTGGTTTCTCTCTGGGTTGTTCATATGACTCAGATTGGCCTGATGGGATAAAGGGAAGACATGCTGTCCCTGAGCAAAGATGATGTATTTGACAGGGCCTTTTCCTGATAACATGGAAGTGGAGGTTAGCTTGGAGCAATGAAAAACTCCTCTAGTAGCATTTGAAATATTGCTAAATATCAATCATGGTACTAAGTTATATCTATTAGCCCAGCTAAGTGTTTTTATTATATCATTTCTTTTTTAACCTTCTGATACACTGCTATTTCCTTTGTTTAAAACATATGAGGTAGGTATTATTATTATTATCCCTGTTAAAAGATAAACTGAGGCATATTAAAATTTTGAAGAGTTTATTTGAACAGATTGGGATTCATGAATCAGGCAGCTCCAGGATGCAGATAGTTTGGGGCTCCAACGAAGAGGGGTTGGGCGAGGTTTTTATAAGCAAAACTAGGAGGCAAGGCAAAGAAAATATTTGACTGGTTAAAGTGGAGCAATAACCTCCAAGTCCATAGTTAGAAGATAGTTGGTGGTTTCTAATTGGTAAAGTCCATAGTTAGAGGCTAGTTGGCAGTTTCTGATTGGGAAAACATAAGTTTCACTTTCTCGGATATGGCAGTTCACATTGAATTGAGTTTGGGTTTGCTTACATGGGAACCTGGCAGTAGGGCTACCTCAGTCTAATGGTTTCCCAATTAATTATTTTAATGCTCCATCTTAGATATTGAAACTGTAATATGAAGTTATTTGCCTAAAGACAGGGTGACTAAGGGGCAGTACTTACTACCTCCTTTCTTTACTCTTTCAACACTGTTGATTCTTATATTTTACTTAGAAATAACTTGATCCACTGTGTATGCCAGGAAACAAAGTGAAGTCTTATTTGAAAACCATCTCAGGGAATTTGCTGCAGGTAGAAGAGAGAGAAAAGCGGTCTTCTCTGAGCCAAGCTCGTTGCCAGCTTAGGCAGGCAGTACTTCCCACAGCCTGGCTACTTTGATGGCTTAAAACAGGCATGCTGTAATTTAACTAGCATTAGGGAGTGACAGTAAAAAGAAACCATTTTGAGGTGTGGGCTTCTTGAGGTGACATGGAGATATATAACGTTTTTTTTTTTTCTTTTAATGGTGTTTTAGTTTGGGCAATAATACAAGTTGAGCAATTTTGCATTCTGAATAAAAGGAGAAGCAAACACTATAATGTTAACTGAGGACACAGAGCTACCAGTGCCAGTGACAATGGCAGATGAGAACCACCAGCTGAAGGGATGCCAGCTTAGGGCTCCAGGGGACCCAGACCCCAGTGGGAAGCACCCTCTGGCTGGGCTGGTTGTTCTCTGCTCCTTCCCTGACTGTATGCTCTGTGCTCTGAAGCCTGGGCCTTGAGGACTGCATCTCCTGGGCCCCCTATCTTCTGGTTAGGTTTGGCCAGTGGAAGATACCAGCAAGAGCCTGGCAGGCAGGAGTGCAGACAGCTTGGGTTATTTCTTCTGTAGTTGCTCCCTGCTCTGGTGATGTGTCTACAGAAGTTGCTGTCTCCTCTTCAAAGACAGCTTCACCAGGCTGCCCCTCCTCCAGGACTCCAGTGCAAAATGGACTCGGGTATCACAATTTCTCCTGTATATCCCTTCAGCCCCAGTGGTTGTAATGACTGCAGCTATTGCTAGTCCAAAGGTTCCTCCCATCCCTTTCTTCATCTACCTCTTGCCACACCCCACTAAGCCATCCCTTCATTGTCACCTCTCCATTCACTCCATCTGAGGTTGACATCTTTTTTTTTTTTGCCAGGACCTTGTGTGCTTCTCAAATGGAATGTGCATAGGAGTTGCATGGGGATCTGATTAGATGGAGGTTCTGATTCAGTAGGTTTGGGGTGGGGCCCAAGACACTGAATTTCCAAGAAGCACCCAGGTGATGCTGAGGCTACTGGTCTATGGACCTTACTTACTTTTCCTACTCACTGTATGGTCAGAATTGCTGGTAAATATGGCCCAAGAAATGTAAAAGTTGAGTCTCATTATAAAGCACTGTAAGTAAAAATGTAGGCTTCTTCTTATCCTGAAAGTCAGGAATGGTTTTTTGTAAAAACAACAAAAAGCAGAAGACATTCTGCTGTTCAAGTTTGGCTCTCCACTCTCACCCTCCCCCGTGTGTGTGTGTGTGTGTGTGTGTGTGTGTGTATTATAAACATAGGCAATTGAGGGATTTCCGGGTTCACTAATGGCTGAATGATTGTGGGTCATTTCAGAAAATCTGAGCCTGAACACAGGGACAGGAAGGGTGGTATGGAGATATAGAGCTTGTTTTTTTCTTTTTTTTTTTCTTTTAGACCAGGGGCAGATTAAGGCCCATAGGCCAAATCCAGCATGTCATCTGTAGTTGTAAATAAAGCTTTATTGGAACACAGGAATGATCATTTGCTTTAAGTATTATCTATGGCTGCTTTTGCCCTAAGTCGGCAGAGTTGAGTTGTTACAAGAAAGACTATGTGGCCATAAAGCTTAAAATGTTGACGACCTGGCTTTTTACAGAAGAAGATTACTGATCCCTGGCTTAGGCTATTGTGTAAAGTTTCTCAAGAATTAAGATCTTTGAGCAAAAAGGAGTCTTAGGAATCATCTTGTCTCATTTCACAGATGAGGAAATGGATACTCACATTCTCCCCGCTAGCTTTAATCTGTATTTTTAAAAGACACAAGGAAAAAATTGGAGGGAATTTGGAGGAAAAAAACCCCAAGAATTAGATGTCCTTTGAGAAAAACCAAACTCTAATGATAGAAGTTAGGAAACTAAAGATGTGACAATAATTACTTCCAAGTTATTAGAGAAGCAAGCTGAACTGTTATTCTCCATTTCCACATAGGAAAGGTTTTTCCAACTTTAAATGGGTCAGATGTTGGAATTATATTTCCAAGGGAGTCCAGGGCCTGGATATCTTTAAAACAGATATGAACAGCTGCTCAAAATGACTTAGGCTAAGATTGATGATATTTCCCAGGCAGCACCCTAACTTGCCATTCATTCCTTCACTACCAAACAGTAAGAAGAAGTGAGGGGGCCCAAGTCAGGAGTCGGGCAATTAGGCACGTGCTCACACACACACAGAGGACTCTGTTCTCTACACCCCTGGCCATGTTAAAAATCATCTCGAGGCTAATGAGACGTCAAACATTTGTGTAAGCATTCATCACCTGGGATGAAGGATGCCTCTGAGCTTAGTAATTCTGAGAATAGAATGATGGTATTAATACCTTAGGCCCTTTAAAAATAACTTTAGTAATAATTTGTAACCCTTGTAGATACAGAGAAGAAAGTGTGCAAAATTTTGATTTGTCATAGTACATGTCATGGGCTGAGGCAGTCATTGCTAATGAAAGCCAGCTACAAAATTATTGGACTTTTTTTTGTGTAAAATCTTGCTTTGGGATGCTTTAAGCTCTTGGGAGACTCAGCTCTCTAGAGACTAAATAGAGAATGCACAGTTCTCTTGTTTTAATTGTGATCTCTGAAGATGAAAGAACTATATATTAATTTCTGTATTTCCAATCTTTAGTGCAGCCTTGAACACTGTAGGTAGAGAATAAATGTTTATTTTTTTTATTGGGGTGGGGATAGGGTGTATAGCAGGTATGCATTATATTATAGTATTCAGTCTTTCAGAAAAACAAGAAATGCAATCATGGTGAGCTACCAAGTATGGATAATTAAGACAATTACATTGGCTCTGAGAAAATGTGCTTCTTGGTCTCAGGCGCTCCTGCCCTTCCCTGGGCATATCAAGGTCAGCCTGGTTTAGATCTGCTGACAGGTAGCAATTGCCTAAGCAGTACATTTCTGTTAATTCACACTGAGATCTTGACAATAATGCTTGGAATTTATATTGAGTCTTTCATCTTTGAAGTTCAATGTTCTAACTCTAATCTTTATGACTTCCTTGTGAGGTAGGAACTAGCCAGTTGCTTTTATTGTATTTTTACAGGTGGAGGTGGGGAATGTGACGGACATATAGGTTCAAGGACCTGCTTAAGGGCTCTGAATGAGTCAGGGCCAGGGTGGGAATGGAGCTGGACATTTTGTAGCCCAAATAAGGAATAAAATATTTATTTTTTTCTCCCAGGGAAAAGTTGGGTAAGTGCAGTATGCCTTTAAAAAAAATCCTTAGGAGAGATACATTTGCAATGAATCTTATGTAGCTTGTTTCAAATATGTTTAGAGTCAGAGAGATGGAAATCAAAGAAACTGCAAAGTCTATATTTTCTAAAATTTCTTCTAAAGCACTCATAAGGTCTTTGGTTTAATTGCTGGATTTAATTTGAAGCTTAGAATATATTCATCATTCCTACTTTCCCATTCAGCCCAGCTTTTCTTCCCAGATTCCCAGCTGATCTTCTTTCTTTAAAGTAACTATTAAACTGTCTCTGTTTCAACTCGCAGGCTTATTATGTCTTGGTGATTATCACTCAAACCTAAGGCTTAGGCATATGCCTTTTCTCTGATCCTAATACAGTCCCTGAAGATCAACTCAGCAATGACAGTTGAAAAATGCAAGACTTTATAATTGAAATATGATGATTATTTGGAGGACAATATAGAGTTGCAATACTGTTTAAAAACTAGTCTCTGTAAACAACAATAAAACCTAACGTAATTATACAGAGAGATGGAATAATATATGTTAGGTGAACAAATAATATCAGCTTCCTTGATGCATCTTATTAGCATTTATCAAGTAGTTAATAGTCCCAAAACACTTGACAGATAATCCATAGAACATCCTTTGTAGACAATTAAATATTCTGATTGGAGCTTTGCAGAGGAGACACACCAAGTGGCTCCATGACTCGACCAGAAGGAAAGATGGGAAGCTGCGGTTGGACTGGGCATTGGAAGACAGGAAGGTGGGGTTGGACTGGGCATTCTATAAAACCCTGTCCCTTCAGAAAGATAACGTTGAGAGCACTGCTCCTCAAACTTTATTCTCTTTCACAGTTACAAATTGAAATCCAAGCAAGAAGAACAGCTATTTTAATTTTAACAAGTTTATATTTAATCAAAATAGAAATGTAGTTAATTTACATCAGAATTAATCCTTGCCTGCTGCCAGCCTTATTTGTGAAGACCAAGCAGATTGCCACTTACACTGGGTGATTTCAGAGGTACAGGAACTTCTCTGCTCCTTTCCCTCCAGGACTCTTATGATCCTTTGACATTTAAGTGTATTTGCTTGAGGTAAGACTTTGTACCAAAGGACATCTTGTTAGATGGCCTAGAGTAACAATAAGATCTTGGAAAAATGGGACCCATCTTGTTGCTGCCAGAAAACATTGTGCAGTAGACACAGTTTCCTTCTCTGATGGCCATTATGCCATGTTGTAGATGTTAGGTGTTGCAAAATGTATTTTAAGATAAAGGGAACCATTTCTGTCTTTGGCTAACTCATTCTATGGCGTTTCTTCCCCTCAAAAAACTTATTCAATGATATTTTACATTGATAACACAGAGAGATTAAAACAGATTTTGTAGAAACAAAGCATGTATTGAATCAAGATATAGGAAATATATTAAGGTTTTAGATTAGTAACAAGAGATTATTATTTTCTATATTGAAAAAAAAAACCTGAAAACTTAAGAGACTTTCTTGTCCTTCAGCTATTTCTACCCAAAGGTTCTTTAAGTTACTATACTTTAAAAAATGTCACCAAAAAATCTTATGTGATATAAAACAACCTTGGAGACAGAATTCTGTGAAAAGATCCTGACCTAATAAATACAAGATTTCTTAAATTAGTATTTTCTGCAGAGTTGCTTTTAAAAATTCAATTCCTGCAATATGAAGAAAAATATGTTCACTTTGATCATTTCTGACCATACAATGACAGGAATAATATTGGCTAATCCTCAAAGGTCACCCATTGTTCCAAGAGCTTTACATTTCTACCACAGTTAATCTTCATGATAATCTCATAAAGAAGGTGATGTTATTATCATCCTCATTTTGCAGACAAGAAAACTGAGACTCAGATTAAAAAGTATTGACAAAGCCATATGACTACCCATGGGGAAGTCAGGATTTGAACTTGGGTAATCTAGCACCAGAGCTGTTCATACCAATCACCTAAGCATAGGCCAAGAGGGAGGCCTTTGGTCCTGGGGTGAGGTATTAAAAGCGTATCACACAATAATGGAAAGTTTTAAGGAAGGCGTTCCTAGTGAGGAAAATCAAACAGAATTTGAGTATAAATCAAACAGGCTTTGAGTATAAAGTATTTACAATAAGAATAATGACTTATGGTCAGAGATAATGCTTTGACTTAAGTCTATTATGAGGCGTAAATGATTGGTTTGAGATTCTTTCATTAAAGCTGGCTTTGACAGCCAAAAGAAGAGAGAAGAGGGAACATTAGCAGAATGACGAAGGCGGTGTTGTCATGTTTTCCCTAGACCTGGGCACCTGATGCTCTGCTTTAAAACACGTAAGATCTGTCTAAGTCAGTGCTCCTACTTTTAACATACATGCACTATATTCAACTATGTTGAAGATGGTTTCAAATTCTTGCATCCTATACCTCTCTAATGTAATAATGATCATTGTATTTGAAATGAATTATTATCACTTATTAAGAGCTTATTTTAACCATCCTTTTGTAAAACTGCAGAGATAGACTATTGAAACGAAAAAACTACCCTGAAGTAGAAGCTGGGTAGAATTTGAAAGCGAGCCCAGTCGGCGTCTTACTGTTTAAGTCTTATCTCTTAGAGCCAGGGATGAAAGGCAGAAAGACCAGTCAGTCTCTTTCCTGTTTGTTTATTTCCTGGCCCTCTTGTCCCGTCTGCAGCTTTGCCCCCAGAGCTCCTCATCTGTATTTATTTTCCATCTGCTTCCTGCTCTCTAGACAGTCTGAGACAGTCTGCTCACCAGCCAGCAGTTCAGACAGAGAGGTATAAATATTGTAAAGTGCACAAAGGCCGTGCTAGGCAGAGAGGGACAACGAGCAGACGTAAAGATGCTGGTATTGCAGAGAGATTGTTTTAGGTGGGATTAAGCAGCAATGTTCTTTGGAGTTAGTCAAGACTGCTATCCATGCTGGAAGATGAGCTCATGCTTCATAGGGGGAAGGCTACTGGGGACATGTGTTAGCTTCATTTCAGAAGGAGTTTGTGATCAAGCCTATTGTTTTCCTCTCTTCTGCAGCTATTTCTTAAGGTCCTTTACAGTAGACCGTATTATCTGAGCCAGCTCTAAAGGGATTTTTGTTGTTGTTTTGTTTTGTTTTGGTCTTTCGTCATTTTGACCAGTGGTTTTAGACTTCTGGATATCACAGACTTAGTTAAAAAAAAAAAAAAGCTAAAAATATATATAAATAAAAGCAAATCTGTGTGTGTGTAAAGGGAGGGGGCAGATCGCTTTAGGGTTGCCAGTTTTCATTTGTGCCAAGAAAGGATATTGAAAAAAAGATGATCATCTCTTCTCATTGCTTGCTCTATGAAAGGACAATGTATCCCTAAAGAGTGGGAAGCAGCACCATCCTTCCCAAGAAAGTGCTCAGCAACTTCAAACCCATACATATGTTTAGAAAGATATATTTACAATTTTTAAATGTAGAAAAATCATAAAGTAAAATTTTAGTTTATCATGCCACCTTCTAGACACTTGTTTTATCGCAAGTTTATCAGCTTAAAGATTTCTGCTCTACAATATGAAGCAGAGCCCAAATGTCCAGCTTCTGGGAGTGACATTTTAAAATCACATTCAGTGCTATAAGTCCATTCTCCCATAATTATGTTGATGCAAATGAAAACATCATTTCTGGTGTTACTTCACTGCATTTGGAATATCCTGGGCAGAGCGATACTTGCAGGTGCCCGAGCCTATGAAATAATTTGGAACTACCTTCACATTGGTAATACTTAGACTCCACATTTGTTAAGTGGGGTGGCGGGGGGTGCTGGTGGTAGTCACTGAATAGAGGAAGGGCAGAGAAGGAAAACTGGTAGAACTCAGTTTTGCTTTGACTGATGTGAGCAATTAAATGTTGCCCCCAGCCCTGAAAACCCTACTCTACAAATCCAAAATCCTTTAGTTAGCAGAATCTGTTCTCCTATGAAGACAACAGAGAGACATATGTTGTTATTTGAACATGCTCTCAGAGGGCTGTGCAGTCCCACCCATGAGGGAAAATACAGTTTTCTTGGTTATTTTGTTTTTAGTGATTTTAAGAGCTCCTGTGGTATCATATGTTGACACCAAGGAAAGGTGTTTTATTGACCCACTCTTTACCAGGGCCCACATTCTGTGTGAGCCAAGAGAAGTGGACAAACAGCGGCTTCCCCTACCCCCTACTTCCTCTGCCCCCTCCCTGGGTTGGGGGGAGCAGGAAGCAATAGACAGCATGTCTGGGCGGTGGGGAGAGGTGAAGGGATCAGGGAGGTCTGTAAGAGACAGGGTCACACAGTGTGGCCTACAGCAGAGCAGAAAAGACTTGATCTGGGAGAAATTGATCTGAGAGGGAGGTTGCAGCTCCCATCTGCTTTGGCCTTAAACCAGGATTGGGGAATGACTGATTTAGATACAATTTAGTTGCTATGGGTTGAATTGTATCCTCTTAAATATTATATACTGAAGTCCTAATGCTCAGTACTTCAGAATGTGGCCTTACTTGGGACTAGTCATTGCAGATGTAATTAGTCAAGTTGAGGCAGGTGAGGTCATGCCTTTGACCTTGTTTTCTGGGCAATCTGTGGCCGTCCTCTTCATTTCTTATTGCTTCTTCTAGGTGCTCTGCTTGCCTGGCTATAAAATGGCTCTAGACCAGAAGGATACTCAGGAATTGGCAAGAAAAAATGAGCACAACTCTCTCCAATATTCGTTAGAATTCACAGCTGTACCAAGAGACACCTTTGATTGGACTAAAGGTCACCCAGGACAAATGTAGAACACTGCAAATGAACTTTGAGTTCCCATGGTAGTTGATCCTGGGAGAATATTGCAGGCATAGTATGATTAACTGAAGTTCCCATGAGTCTAGCAATAGGTTCAAATAAATGGGAAGAAAAAACTACACTCAGAGTTCCTCCTTTTTCCTAGGAAAAGTTTTTTTATGGATGCATTAATTGGACTTCACCCAGATGCAAAGCTTATAAACTTAAGAGTATGGCAAACATTGGTTGATTTCCTGAACATGCATGGGAGAGATATCCTTGTTATCCTTGTTCTCCAGAAAGGCACGTGAGGCAGGAAGGTGCATACTGCACGAACTCAGTGTGCCATGCTGCCAGAGTCAAGTTTCCTAAGCAGATTTTCTTCTATTCTTCATGCTTTCAATTGTTCTTCTCAGTGCCTAACAGAGACACAGCAAGTGCAGAAGTGGGAGTTAAGTGGGAGGAGGAGGACAAAGTCAGAGTGGATTGTTAGACCAAGACACAGGCTTTGGAAGTATCCAGGGGTAACTGACAACGTGGCTCCATCTTTCTCTGAGGTTAGCGTCTTTAATTATTAAACACAGAAGCTTCATCAACATTTGGACTCCTTGGAGACAACCAGCAATTATCTCAAATTCTGTTCCCACTGCCACCCCTCCTCAACTTCAAAGGAAACTCATTATCAGGCCCCAAATTCTTCAAATTACTTTCCCATCATCTTAAATTATGTTTATAAGTAGTTCATAATGAGAGTCTAATCTCACCCTTCAGATTACTAAAGAAGCTCATGGTAGATAGACTGTGATAAAATTATTCCAAGTCAGGGTGATTATCATTCTTCACAAGAAGATTTTATTCACAGGTTTGTTAAAATTTTAGAAGATATTTTATGTACATATATTTACAAAAATAATTTATACAAACTTCTTCCTGACTTTTATTTGCAAATTAACATCCAAATGAGACTTCTTTTCAAAATGCAATATTTTATGTCTTGCTGATGAGTCATTAAGAAACATATTAAATTGTAATGAATATAATGAGCTTGTCTTTGAGGTTGCCAGTAAAATATAGTCTTTGTTTTCTAGAAGATTGTCAACTATGTCTTTGTTTTCTAGAAGATTGTATTTCATGTAACAGAGATCAAGACGTGCCTGAGATTTCAAGCCCATATTCATAGTCAGAAAGCCTAATTCATTAATTTGAAAAGTGTTCCTATTTTGGTTTATCCTTGACATCAACAAAAGAAAAGAAAAAAAGTAAATAGAAAATAGGCAGGTGGAAATGGATACAAAGTTGTTAGGTGTCATATTTTGTTAACCAGGATGTTTTTCAATGACTATTTCCAGTATTATTTCTTAAAAATTTAAATAGATACTA
Source organism: Homo sapiens (assembly GCF_000001405.40). NCBI lineage: Eukaryota > Metazoa > Chordata > Mammalia > Primates > Hominidae > Homo > Homo sapiens. The sequence continues at coordinate 74,412,508 of NC_000005.10, read as the reverse complement.
GATGGTTAAAGTAGATGCTAAGATTTTTTTTTTCTGGAAATCATCTTTATATTGAACAAAAGATTCAAAAGTGCATCAGGCTGCCCTTGCCCTCCTGAAGTCTTTCTTCTTCTCTACCTCTTGTTTCCCTTCCTCACAGTTGCCTGCATTCTCAGACAGGCTCTCCCCTGTGGCAGTGAGGTATTGGCAGCTATTCATTGTGTCCTTCCAGGCTGCAAAGGAGCAGATGGCCTGGGGGTGGGGGAGGTATGTGAGAGGGAAGAACAGGAGTCTGACTTTAAGAATTTCAAGATTTACAGGGACAGATAGCTACTGAGTAACAATTACAATTATGATACAAAGTGATATGATCAGTTAGGATACGCAGAGGTTGCAATGGCAGCATGAGGAAAAGGAATCTGATACAACTGGAGGAAGCCTAAGAACATTAAGTGGCATCCATCAGACAGACAAATTTGTAGAGTGGGTAGACCCCAGGGAGTTGTCAATAGCATGATGCCCACTATATGTGTAATAAAGAGTTAGGCAGTAAGTAGATGGAGTGATGGATCGGTGGATAGATAGAATCTATAGCTCAGCTTTTTGTAGATCCCATCCTCAGGAGACCCTTGGATCCTGACCCAATCTCCTTATGCTTATGGTTGTTCTCTCATGCTTTACTCCTTGTTCTAATTCTATAATAAAGTCAGAAAAGTCACTTGGGGAGGCAGAAGCAGGGAAAGGTTGTACTTTACACAACTGTGGAAAAACTGCGATTAAAAAGTTTAAAAAGATGATATAATACCCATAAATCCTTGTGCATTTCTGAATATATCTGATTACCTGTTTAGGATCAGGCAACATAATCAAAATGGAAACGTTGCTATGTGAGCACATTAATTTTTATCCCTGAACTCATGGCACTAAAGACTAAATCACTGGATACAGATAGGAAATGCAGAAGTGCTTTGGAAGCATAAAAGACTACTCCCAAGGAGGAAGTCAAAAGACATTCAAAAGGGAGAAAGACAGATACAGGCAAAAGAGGTAAAAGGCAGGTGGAGGGCTGTCATCATTTCTCCCTATTCTCTGGCTGCTCATGTGTGAGCAGCCTACTATGGTCCTGAGTAGCCCAACTAAAAGGGGCATTATAAAGAGATAAGAGGCCCAAATAGATGAAAAGAAACAGAAAGTGGAAGGAAACATAGAATGGAAAGAGGAGAGAAATCTTGTTTGGTAAATAAATTATAAAGCAGTTGATGATTCATTTCCCTAACATCAAAGTTAGTGCGTTTAACTGAGGTAATCCTACTGTGATTCTTGCTATGGGGTCCCCATTCTACAGTAGAGAACAGCAGCCGTCACAGGTCACTTCTTAGCCACTGCAGATAATTCAACCAGAAGAGCCCCAGTTACAGAGACATAGGCAAGAAGAAAGAGTAAAGTGTGTTTGCATTGTGCACAGACAGTATTATCATTAGCATGATTATTGTTTGAGGAAAACCAAACAGAGCAAGAAGAGCCTGTATTTTTTCACTATTTATGGAATGCTTTGCTAAATACAGACACAACTGTAAATCATTCTGCTTCTAGGGCATTTCATTTTGTTTGGATCCTATTGGTTTCCTGACTGGTCAGAGAAACCTCTTGCAGTCTGTCAATTAAAACACAGTATCACCTCCCTAATTGGTCCTGATGGTTGTAAAGAGCTGTTTGAATTCCCAAAAGGGCCTGAATAGCAAAAGAAATGTAATTCTATTACTTTAATGCCTACGTAGTAACTCAACTAATGGCTATAAAATGTTGCCAACAGGGGGACCGTAGGGACTTGGAATTATCATTTTATCAAAAAGCATTAATGGATGTTTGTATATAGAAGATTAAAAGAAAAATGTACTACATGGCTAAATTCTAAATAGATTAGATTAATTTGTTTGTAATAAGCATACAGGTTGAAGAGGAGAATACATCCTGCTACATGGTTGGATACAGTCTGCTCCTATATGAAATTTGAAAATTCCCTCTTCTTCCCCAATGTTTAAGACATTTATATTACTTTTGTTAAGTCCTTTTGGGGATCGTCAGGTTCTTCAAACTTCACCTTCTTTCTTATTGCAGAACCTAAAATATTACCCTGTTTCTCTTTCTTCCACCAATAATCCACTCCATGACTTTGCTGTGTTCTTCCCAATAGGGTCTGTGGAGTAGGTTTTCATCTAACCTGTTCCTCATGTTCTCTGAAGACAAACGTGCAATCTCTTGTCATGTATTGATTTTGAAACAGACAATAGCTGAAATTGCAAATGTGGGAAAATTATGAATGTTCAGACACATAAAATTATTCGAATCACAACCCCAAATACCTTATTTTCTCAAACAGCTGTCATAAGCTCTCTAATAATGTTCTTTTTTTCCTCCCTCAAGTAATCTAGGGGTCCTCAAGGAGAGGTTTACAGGTGTCCCCAGGCCCTCCTGCCTATGGATCTGAGCTGTCCCAGGCTGCAGCTCCTCTTCCCTGTTCTCCAACCTGGAGTCACTCTTGCTGAGCTTATGAGGCTTGTCAGGCAGGGCAGGCACAGTTGTAATCACTGAGTGCCAAAGTTGGCAATGGCCTCTGGCAGAGTCAGGAAGAAGGGCTCCTGTCCTTTTGTGTCACACTGTGTTAGATGTGGGACATGAGCCCAGTGGGCTAAAACATCTATTGAAACAGCTACTCAAGTTTTGTTATGGTGCCTCTCCCTAGGACCTAAGCATGTGGTCTAAGGGATTGGGCTGGGCATTGAGTAGAGACCACTTGCTCCATGTAGACCCCTCCTACACCCTCTTTGAATTCTAAGACTTCGTTACTCAGCCCTATTCCTGGCTTCTTCCTCTCTTATAATGAGCTGTCTCCTGGGGGTACCTGCGTCTTCCCTGAGAGTGGAATTTTGCCTGGTACTCCACTAGACTGTAATGTGCCCAGATCACACACTTCCCAGCAGCAGGTGCAATGCTGGCTTGTTCCCAAGAGGCTGCTCATTCCCCATGCACTAGACTTCCATCTGGCCCAAGCCACCAGCCTAAGCCAAGAGAGGCCTGGACCCTGCAAATGGATGGCAGAAAACCCAGGCTCAAGCTGAGATCCTCTGCACAGGCATGGTCTCTGGTTCCTGATTTTGAAATAGTAATTGGAAGACCTGGCTGCCGGCCCTCTGCTGTCTGTTTTCTTTCTGATTATAGGGCTCACCAAACTCTTCCGAGAGAAAAAGCATACATTTTGAAATATTGAGTTTTGACTCTCTGTGAAGGCCTGCAGAGGGATGTCAGGGATACCTGAATGGTTGCTGTCTGTTGCCTTTGGCCTCTGCTGTGTCACAGCTGTAACCCTGCTTGGGCATTACCTGAAAAATCTCAGAAGCGTAGTCTTCTACAGATTTCTGGCTATCTTCCGACAGATTCAGAATTTAGTGTGATCTGAGTTGGTAAGATTTTCCTAATTTCAACTTTCACATCAAGATGGTATGCAGCAAATTCTACGTGATAATTATTAAGGATAGAGCAGATTTCAGCTTTGTGACTAGAAAAATACAATCCAGTCTATTCATATCTTGAAAAATTTCGAGAAATTTTCTCCTGTGCAGAAGAAACCAACTTCAGAAGTCACGAATGTGTTAGACAAAGATAAGAGCCAAATCTAAGGTCAATAAAATATTTACTCTGACAGCTGTCAAGTTTGCATTTGTTTAGAACCTGAAGTTATCTGTCAGTTGTCTATGAAATTCACTGCTTTAGCTTTCAGTTTCCCAGATTCTCTTCTATTTGTTACCATTTTTTTTTCTAGCTTCCTTTCTTCAAAATTCACCCACCATCTCTCATAGCCCCACTCCCATTGTGATTTCATCTTTCCCTGTGTCCTCAGAGGTATCAGAGATGCGGCAAGGCAGGCTGTACAGTGCTTGGTGCCGTGGAGCATTTTTTACAGCAGGTTCTGCAAAGTTGACTGTAGATTTAAAGCAACCTTTACATCCTATCTGAAGTGAGTTGATTTATGAGTCAGTGTTTGGTAAGTACTCAGAGATCCTTACATTAAATGCAAGATCCAAGTGCACCGTATTATTGCTTCACTTATTTGTCTTTTGTAAAGCACCTGGTACCATGACAATATTCACTAAATAAATAACAAATGAAACACACTTCCTTCTCTATTTTAATAATATACTATTCATGCAATTTTTTTTCCCAGAACAAAGGATCATTGTACGGAGTTGCTCTGCCAATATTAGGCTGATATCTTATTGCAGGCAGAGTGAAGAGATAAAATGGCATGACACAGGAAAACTGATAAAGTTTCTTTTCAAAACAAAGGAGAACAAGGCAATAACACAAAATATGATAAGCCAAGAAATGATTCAATAGAATTAATACAAATATGAATGTAGTTCCCTTGATATTTTAATGCTTCTCTCAGTTATAAAACAATACCCACATGCCCAGAGGAAAATTCAAATTATAGTTTCTTGATCAATTCTATGTTGTTTTTCTTTAAAAAAAAAAAAAATCTGTTGTCTTCTGCTATGATTCTGTCCTTAGGAAATCATACCAGAGATGTTTAACAGAGAGCAGAACCATTGCCAAACATTTCTAGTGGGAACTGAGCTACCAGATATTTTCCTCAAATTATAGAAAATTGCCATTTGTAAAGTCCACATTATATTTAGCTTCTTAATTTAGGATTAAACATCTGTAACTTATTGTTAGGACATCCGGAGAGTTTGCAAAATTCTATAATAGGAATATTGTCTCTTTCTTTAGTCCCATGGTGTCTCCAAAGAAAGTTGTTTTGGTCCCATTTGTAAAGATTTACTGATGGTCAAAGGAACCACTATGTAATTTTAGAGTAAAAAAATTGCAATGTAATTTTGACATGTTTTCACCCCAAACTGCCACCAGTTGACCAAGGATTCTGATGGTGGTCACCCTTTAAGCTGCCTGACGTACCCAAGCTGGGATCCAGTGGAACAGAAGGGGCAACTTTATCTCTTTCCCCAAGGGCTTCAGCTGGAGACCAAGATGCCGCAATAACACAAGCCTTGGAGAAATTTAGGAATGGCCATGATTTCCCCCTGTAGGCTCCACTAACAGTCAACTAGGAAATAGTACAACTTATTCTTAAAACATTAAAGAATGGACAGTGATCTTTTAATGACTAAATTTAGCTGAGGGGCTTAGAATTTCTGAATGATCAAGGGCAATGTAATAGAACTTGAGTCTTGCATTTACAAGCTTTTCAGATTAGCTTTAGTTCAGTTTCTTCAAATATGGTCAAGGAAAGCTTCTGAGAAGACACCACATTAAAGCTGAGCTGTGAAGGATGATGAAGATGATATAGGAATAAAATTCAAGAGGAGGTTTTCTGGCTAAAGGAGTAGAGTGGGTAAAGCAAAGCAGTGGGAAAGGACATGTGCGTTTAAATATTCGTCAGAGCTCCCCAGCGGCCCTGGAGGTACACATGAGGCTGGAAACATGTTACAACACTCTGTTCTCCCAAACTATTGGCATTGATGTTATTTCCCCTGGAAAGCCTTCTCTGAAACTGGATCAAGTGCCCTTTCTCTGCTTCTGGATCCCTCTGCCCTTGTTCCAATTTAGTTCTTAGAGCAATACATGCATTTATTTATTTTTTCTTATTTGACTTCCTCTCTCTGGTTTAAGCTCTTTAGAGGAGGGTCCTTGTCTTGACCACTTCTGCCTTCTTACTGCCCTAGACAATGCTTGATAGGTGCTCAATGAATATTTTTTGAACTGAATAAACAATGCAAACTGTTCCTTAAAAGATGCTTTTAAAATGTTTTAAATTTTGTTCAAAGGCCTTAGACTAATTGTTTTAAAGGCATAAACCATGTATTAATAATGAATGTGAATATATTTTATAGTTAAACTATTAAAATAAACTTACTCTAGACCATTATAGAAAGAACAGAATGCAATACCAGATGGGTACCTTTTGGATCCACCTGAAGGATTTCAGCTGTCAAATTGCTAAAAGTACCTCTTTATAAAGGAGTTTCATCTATGTGATAAATTGCTCATACCAGGGACTATTAAGATAGCAATACAGTAAGTCCTCACTTAACACTGTTGATAGGTTCTTGGAAACTGCAACTATAAGCAAAATAGTGTATGACGAAACCAATTTTACCATAGGCTAAATGATATAAACAAGAGTTAAGTTCCTACAGCATATTTTTGGTCTCAAAACATCGAACTTCCAAATAAACACCAATATACTTTGGATATTAAGCATTGAAATAAATTTGAGTTATACATAGATTTAAGATTAATACAAACAAGCAAGATAATTGTTCAACTGCTTATTCCAGTTCAGGGTCGACAGTGGCCAGAGCCTATCCCAGCAGCTTGGGGCACAGGGCAGACACCAACCCTGAACAGGACACTTTCCCATTACAGGGTGCACTCACTCACCCACCCACACTCACTCAGGGACAATTTAGACACACCAATGAACTGAATGTGCATATCTTTGGGATATAGGAGGAAACTGCAGGACCCAGAGAGAACTCACACAGATACGGGGAGAGCATGCAAACTCCACAAAGACAGCGGCTCTGGGGAGAAATCTATTTTTTTCCTTCTCATCAATGTTATAACGAAATAATATTGAATGAAACATTATTTGAAGACCTGCTGTTGAAGTGGGTAGAACCCCTATAATCTGCCCGGGAAAGACTGTGTTGGAGAGAACTTGGACTTGGGGTCAGAAAACATGAGACAGCTCTGGAAATGGCTATGGGAACCTGAGAAGCTATTCAGGCCCTGATCTTCAATTTCATATCCACACACTCTCAAACAGAATATCAGCTCTGCTTGCTTTGCAGAGTTGGGAAGATAAATTAAGATAATGTAGATGTGAGATAATAAACTACAAAGAATTCTCCTTTTTATCATAATGGTGCAAGAAACAAGTTGAATTGATATCTCAAATCCTAGAATGTCTTTTGTTCACAAGTTCAATAACATATTCCAGACCTTAGGACTTTTGATTTGATAAGGAATCCGTTGATTGTACCCTTACCTCTTTCTAACCTGATAAGGAAAGGAATATAAATCACCAGTAAAGGAATGTAGGGTTATAAAATTTATCCTTGGCAGGACACTGTATACCCTCTGGTATTTAACACCAAATCCCAGAGTCAGATTCAGCCTCCAGGTAGTTTTTGTGTAGAGCTTATTAATAACTGCATGGAAATATCCAATGGCAGGTTCTGGCCACAGTTAAGTTGAGTGCTGGCTGGACAGATGAGCTCTGCTCTCCAGCACATTTCTCCCATTCTCTGCTCTTTTCCAGGATGTCAGGGGGTGGCTTTTGCCAACATGTTGAAAGGCCTGGCCAGTTTTCCTTCAGTGCTGCTCAGACTAGGTTACAGGGAGGGTTGGCATGTTCACCAACTCTATTTCTACACTGACTGTTCTGACAAAATTTAAACCTGATAGGGATTTGTCACTCCCTGGTGGCCCTTTGCCTTAGTTTATGACAGGCTTATTATCTTTGATCTTCCAAACCCAGGGAGTAGAGGATGGGTGTTTGATTTCATATACCAGGTACCGTCGACTTTAATTATCTTCTTGAAATCCGTCCAGCATGCAGGGATGAGGAACTGAAGTCCCAAATCACCCTGTAGTTTGGACAGTCTCTAAAACCAGAATGTGCATATATAGTTTAGTTATGCAGTATTTGTCAGGAAAATGCCATATTTTGCTGAGTTGTGATTTTCTGATATGCCCCATTTTAAATTAGACCTTTTTGTGTGTGTGGTTGATTTATAATTCTGACAGAGAAATAGCTATAAAATATAAAATATGTAACCAGCCAGGGCTGGAACACAGCCATATAATTTCTCCATTTGCTCTGCTGAAGTTGGTCATATGTAAATCCTCTTCTTTGCTTGGTGGCAGAGTCCATGGATGGGAAAACTGGAAGAACATTGTAGAGTGGGAGTTAGTCATATCATGTTTAACAGCATTAAGAGTCAAATATTTTTTCTCAATTTCAAATAATTTCTCTCTTAAATTTTGGTTAGTTACCTGGGTCCTGAACTAAATATCATTTAGTTCAGTCAACTGTGGAATTAGAGCTTGACAAAAAAATATATAGCCAGGCGGCCAGGCGCCCTGGCTCATGCCTGTAATCCCAACACTTTGGGAGGCTGAGGTGGGTGGATCACAATGTCAAGAGATTGAGACCATCCTGGCCAACGTGGTGAAACCCCATCTCTACTAAAAATACAAAAATTAGCTGGGCGTGCTGGCATGTGCCTACAGTCCCAGCTACTTGGGAGGCTGAGGCAGGAGAATTGCTTGAACCCGGGAGGCACAGGTTGCAGTGAGCCAAGATCACACCACTGCACTCTAGCCTGGTGACAGAGCAAGACTCTGTCTCAATATATATATATCTATATCTGAATCTGTAAAATTAAAATGGTGATATCTGTCCTATCAGCCTCATGGCCAGGGAGGGAATCCTATGGTGGGAGGGTGTAGTGGGTAGGGTGTATAAAACAGAAGGCTCTCCAGAGACTGTAATGTTCTATAAATGTAGTGTATTGTCATCACTTGGCCCACAAATACAGATATTTGAGAAACTGATAAAATGCGGTTGAAAAGGAGGCATTGTGTTGTGCCCAGAGACATCCTGTGGCTCATGGGGAGGGGATAGCCATCATAGGCTGCCATATGGACCTCAACTTACAGGCCCCCATGGGGACAGAAGCCATAACCTTAATTTTGGAGATTGGTTCAGTGTAGGAACCACATTCAAAAGTCTTCCATGTATAAATTCAGAGAAAGTGATGAGCAAAAAAGTTAGAAGCCGGTGGAGTGATGATTAGACATGCATTTATTTGCTGTACTCTAATGTGGGGTTTGAAAAAACTGGTAGACTCTAACAACTTTGTCAAGATGCCCTTCCCAACTTAAACCATTCATTTCCTCTTTCTTTATCCCTTACACTCCAACTGTGGAGCAGCCTGTGGCTTAGCCAGCAGCCAGGCATGGAATGGGGGTGGGGGGTTTGGGTGTGGGAATGAGTGTGCCTATTCTTGGAAGCTGGAGTCCGGGGTTTGAGTCTAGACTGCACCTCTACTGAGTAACTCGGAAACCATGGACTATCTAATCAATGCAGTTTGCCTGCTTCATTTATTGTGAAGCTCTAAGCAAAAGCTCTACAGAAACTGTAGAGTCAGCCATGTAAACTAATATTATTATTACTATGTACATCAATGTGCATGAATGTGTGTTTATCAATGAAATAAGCAGAAGGGAGAAAGGACGCCATATTACATTTTTACAAATTGGCTGCCTAATTTGCTTCTTAGTTAAGCACATGTCAGAATGCTTGGCTGCCTAGTTGTGGTTGTGAAGGATGTGTCTAGAAGTTACTGATCAAAATACACCCAAGAGCTCTGCCCTGGCTGCAGAAAGGGAGGCAATCTTCCACTGGTGATTTTCACACTTTATATTTAGCAAAAGTAACTTTTTTCAAAAGTCTGTTTGATTGTCAAGAAGCTTTTCAAAAACATCTTCTGTAGGAACAAAAAGACCAAACCTTCCTTCCTGCCCACTTCTACCCATAGGCTCTCTCTCAGTTCTTTCTTCCCCTCCTCCTACGTGCTCTTTCTACCCTATTCTTGCTCTCCTACACGCCTGCTTACTGTGTATTTGTAGTCCAGAAGTGGCAGCTGCCCACACAGATGAATTCAGTGGGTCAAGGGAGACACTGTATCCATAGGAACCTGAAAAGAGCCAGGCAGCCTCTGCTGTCCAACCCACGTGTCTGTGATGTGGCCAGACTGGCTGATGAAGGAGTTTTGCTCCAGTTATGACACTTAGGAACAGACAGGGCAGAAACTGACAGCTTTGATCCAGACCCTGGGATGTAAAATGTGCCCAGCAGGAGCCATTGCGGGCAGTTGTCAATCACTTCCTCTTAACCTGCTCCTGGGATCCTGCCTCTGGCTCCAAGCTGAACACTCCTAGCTCCTGGCCAGGCTGGCTATGGTAGGTAAACTAGAAGAGAACCTGAACTGGGAGCTTATTTTTTCATTCAACAATGATCAAACATGTACTAAACACCAGATACTGTGTAATAGTATGTAGTAGTAATAGAGGAAATATTATATAATAGTAATAGAAGAAAACCCAAATAAATAAGATATGGTTCTTCCTTTTAAGAAGTTGACAGTTGAATGGGAAAGACAGAAATGCACACAAAAAATTATAATATGTGACAAGTGCTACTTCAGAACCAAGCATTGTGGGAACCACAGGAGGAAGTCACAACCTCTGCCCAGATGCAGGGAGGCATAAGAGAGGTGTTTTTTGGCCAGGGTTGTGAAAGATGACTCAGATTCTTCCACATGGAGGAGATAAGCATGGACATTTCAGGCACAGGAATTTGCAAGAAGAAAGGCAGCGGAGCATGAGGATGTTCAAGGAATTGTGAGTGTCTAATGTGGCCGAAGCAGAGTCTTCAGTGCGGGTGGGTGGGGCAAATGAGAGGGGACAGGTTGAATGAGTCACTTTGGAAAGGGGCTTGAGAGCAGTGCTAACGGGATTGGATGAAAAAAGGAGCCAAGGCAGATACTGTAAAAATACCTTTCATTATGAAAATCTAAGCCTGCAGAAAGTCTATTGCTGGTATTTATGCTAGTGACATCATCAAATCTGTGTTTTGGATGGGAGCTCTGGGGCAGTGTGGAAATGGACTGTTGTGGGAGGATGGGGAAGCTGAGTCAGGGAGGTCCATTAGATGGCTATTGAAAAGCTATAAGAAAGAAGTTACGAGAAGCCACAGTAAGGCAGAGGCAGGAGGACTGAGGAGCAGCTTAGTGGGGTGTTAGACACAGTAAGGCCCCAGGGACTGGTTGGGGAGAATGGTTTGGGGAGTCAGCAATTTTCTAACTTAATGGATGAGGTGGAGGGATAGGAGTGTGAGTAACCCATCTGGAGAGCCAAAGCCCAGAAGGAAGCTCTTGGGGAGGATGGGAGAGCTTCTGACTCTACTTTCCACTTAAGACAGCAGTTCTTTGTTAGCTGCTGAGTTCAAGGGCTCTGAATTGGGAAAGGCCAGGGGCTGAGCTCAGCAGGCCTGTATCTTGGGACTAACCTTTAAAATATTTGAAAACAGCTATTTAGCCCTCCCTTGGCTTTCTTATCACCAAAATAAAGCCATCTCAATTCCTTTAATCTTCCTTCCAGGGCCTTCAGTAATTTGGGTTGATCTGTTTTCTTTCCTCTCACTTAAAATGCAAAGCCCCAGGTTAAAATAACACATGAATATTTCTCAAGTTATAGATGTAATTATATTTTTTATGTTTGCTGTGTACTCTTTAGTGAATATTACTTTAATTCTCAGCTTTAACACTTTATACTTATTAAATATCTTCTTTTGCTAAGAAAAGTTTAAAATTTTTAATTCATTATTTTTCACCTGCTCACTAAATATTTCCTCCCAACAATATGCTTGCCAGCCCTCCCCTTGGTAATCAATGTCTTCTCAGGAGCCCCTGTGGTGAGCCTCCTCTTTTCATGACCTATTATTACAGAATTGCTACATTGCCATTGAAAGCAATGGCAAAAACTGCAATTACTTTTACACCAACCTAATATTTGGGTAAAGTTCCAGACTCTGATTTCATTAAGGAAGGACATCCCCCTGGCCAAATGTCAAATAAAGGAACAAACACAGCCTGTCAGTACAGTGGTGGTCTGGGGAAGTCTTCCAGGAGGTCCAAAGACTGAGTTTGCACTGGAAGAAGGACTGTGCTGGTATCTTGGAGTTATTTGTCAACATGGAGAGAAAACAGCTCATATTCTTAATTATGTTACAGTTGGAAAACATTGACTGAACAGTATCTGGCCTAATCATTTTAGGCCTTCTGAATACCCTGCCTGACAGGTGAAAGAAAAAGACATGGAAATTTTAGGAAGTCCTGAGTTTCATTCAAAGGTATTCATGAAGATGTTCCCTGACCCAGAGAATTCTTAATAGTTGGTCCTGCAGGTTACAGCTTGGAGGGATCTCCTTTCAGCCAGCCTTGCTCCTTCCAGAATGGTGCTGTCACTGATTCAAAGCCTCCTGGGCCAGAAGAAAGTGCCTAAGATGCACCTCCTTGGTCAGAAGAAGGTCCCTCCCCTGGGTCTTGCTACCTCCCTGGGCTCTACCAGCTCAACAAGGCCAAGTTCCTTCGCCGCATGGCCTTGGCATTCTGCTGGCTCCCTGGCACCTTTCCCTTTGCTGTCCAGGATTCTTTGATGCTTTCACTTTCTTTTTTCCTTTCTCCTTTCCTCCAGCCAGCCTTTCTCATCTAAACCATGTAACTCAGAAATATTTTTTAAAAATTCTCCCAAGGATGATAAATAAGTATCACTCTATTATAGAAGTTAATTCATTTGATACAATGGGCATTAAGGCTTAATTCTACTGTGGCAGTTTGGTTGAGAAAGACTGTTGGGACTATGGAATATTTTTTCACCATGGGGGCGGAGAAACTCTAGTCCCCTCAGTCTCACTTCTGTCACTGATGACAGTTGTCTCAAATATTCTGATTTTGTTGGGAATTCTCTCTGATCTATTAATACCAAGGGCTTAGGTTTTTAATAAATGTTAGGGAGAAAGAGACTCTCAGTGTTCCTCCCATGCAAACTCCTTCCCTGATACAATGGGCTCAGGATTTTACATTGGGGAATTTCTTGAATTGGGGAAGGACAAAAGAGGAGAAGTACTAAGGGAGAAGAGAGTCAAGAGATTGTCTTCTTATCACCTTTAGATGAGAGCTATCTTAAAATATATCAAGTCTAGTAAGTGAGACAAGAAGTAGTAGGCTTGTCTTACTTCAAAAGATACACGCGTTAAAGTTAATAATGCTAGTTGCTGAAACTGATGCCTCTCAAATTTCAATCACTAAACAAAATAAACATTTATTTCTTGTGCACATCACAGGGAGGATGGGGGTGGGGGTGTGTCTCTGTTCCACACAGTCATTCAGGGATCTAGGTTTCCTCATCTTGGGCCTTGCCCTCCTCCCTGCCTCCAAAGTCCCTTGCATTCAACTGGCATATGAGGAAAGAGCAAGGATCACATGTGGGAGGATATTATGGACCAAGCCTGGTGAGACGCGTAACACCTGGCCTACATTCCACTGGTGAGGACGCAGTTCTCTGGCTCCAGCCAACTGCAAGAGAGCCTGGAAAAGGTAGTCCAGCTGTGTGTCCATGAAGAGGAAGAGGACATGGGTGTTGGTGGTAACCAAAGTTTGGATGTTTGAGGGTCATAGATTTTGGCTCAAAATGAGATGCTAATTACTTGTGAAAATTAGTATGCTCCATGGCAGGCAACCTCATGAAGTAATATGCTTGTTGTTACTAGAATGTTGGTTGCAGAACAAATTCCTGCCATTTCCACTTTGGAGTCATGTAATTACAGTTCCCAAACAGCATAGCAATTCTTCCTACTCTTTTGCTTCCACTTTCCCTGTGGTGCAAAATGTTTGGTTTATATTACTGACCAAAGAGTGGGCCACATGGCTTTACCTCTTCTGGGGAAGGTCTTTTTAATTTTTCTCTTTTTTCTTTTCTATGATAACAAGCCGGAGTATGGATGTTTAGGTGGCCTTGGTTGTCAGCAGGCAGGGCCCGGGGGATCTCTGTGTGTGGGGAGGCTGAGCCTGCCCATTGCTGGTATACATGCCTCTTGGGGCAAAAGTTATCATGGTCCTTTTACATCAATAGAGCATAAGTAAAGGAGAGCATAATTACTATAAGGGTAACATTCCAGGATCCTAGTATTTTAATATTGGAAGATATATTAGAATTCATAGAGTCAAACCCTTTGTGTGCTGAATATGAAGAGGAACAGAGGGGTAAAATCCTTTGTCCTCAGTGTTATACAGCTAGAATGGACAACACACAGTTAGAACCTGGGCCTCCTGACTCCTAGACTTCAGCTCCAGCTTGTTCCTCTCACCAACAAAAAGTCAGGATTTTCCTATCCTGATGATATTGGTTGATGCAAAAGTAATTGTGCTTTTAGCTGTTAAAAGTAGTGTCAAAAACTACAATTACTTTTACACCAACCTAAAAGTATTATTCAATCAACCTTGTGCAGATCCTGGTTGGAACCATATAGAGACCCGGAGCCATAGGAAGCAGGAGACAGAGGATTTGGTTCTGCTCCCAGCTCTGTGTGGCCATGGCTGTGTGGAAGGCCCTTAGGTTCCTCAGATATAAACCAAATAATTTGATTAGATCAGTGGTTTTCAAATGATTTTTATATAGGGAGGCCCAGTGTCTTCTGGAGCTCCCTTAGTAGCTATTTTGGCAAACAGGAGTGGAGTTTAGCTATTTTACTTATCAATTCCTTGTTAACTTTTGTTAGAAGTTTCCATGACTTAAAATGGTTTGAAAACCCCTGGAGGAGATAGTCTCTGAGGTTCTTCCTGTCTTTAAAATTTTATGTCTCTTCTAAGTGTACTTCGGGTTTCATTATTAAGGTACTTCATAGAGGAGCTGTTTAATTGATGAAAGAAGACATGAAGGTTTGAGTTGTTCAAGAACAAACCAAGGTTTGCTGTTTGTCACAGTTGCAGATTCAAATGCCTTTGGGATCAAGCAGGTAATCTAAAGGAGGAATGACTGTGTCATGGGCTGAGTGTGTCTCCTCCAAATTCACATGTTAAAGTCCTAAACCTAGTACCTCAGAATATGACTGCATTTGGAGATAGGGTCTTGAAAGAGGTAATTATGTTAATGGAGATTCTTTGGGTAGGCCCCAGTCTGTATAACTGATATCCTTATAAGAAGAGGGAATTTGGATGCAGGCACGCACAGAGGGAAGACCATATGAAGACACGGGGAGAAGAGGGCCATCTATAAGCCAAGGAGAGAGGCCTCAGAATGAAATCAACCCTGGCGACACCTTGATCTTGGACTTCTAGCCGCCAGAATTGTGAGGAAATAAATTTCAGCTGTTGAAGCCACAGAATCTGTGGTGCTTGGCTACAGCAGCCCTAGCAAACTAATACAGAAAGGTGTGTGCATGCACGTCAAGCAATGGGGAGTTGGGGGGACCCCGGCAGTTTTGAGTGAGCTCATCCCGGTTGAAAGGGGAAGGTGCTCTTCAGCTGGGCTGATTGTTGCCGTGTGGGAATAGTGGCTCAGAGGTGCCAGATGTTCTGAATTTTCAAGTGAAGCAAGACATTTTTTTAAATGTGAAATTTCTCAATTGTTAAGATATACGACACGGGCAAATAAAACATGTCTGTGGGCTGAATTTGACCTACAGACCACTGGTCTGTGACCCCAGGTTTGAGGAAACAATTTAGAAGTGACCTCATGAAGCAGAACATAACTAGAGAGTAAACATTAAGAGCTGGAATACTGAATTAGAAGCCAGGACACCTGGCTGGCTTTCATGGCCAGACTATTCTGCTGTCTGACCTTGAGCCAGACCTCAATTCCCATTCATGTCGGACGAGGAGGCTGAAATCCCTTCCAGCAAAGGCCATCAGAGATTTCAAGTCTGAGTGCCATATTCTGTAAACATCAGAGAATTATGGCCAAGATAATTACTCTCCACCTGGCTATTTCTAAGAATAAGTGTCTGATTTTCTAAAGTCAAAAAGAAAGAGATGGAATGTCATTAAAGATTTAAGTACATAGGAGTAGATAAAATATCCCCATGTCAAAAAAAAAAGCTACTCAAACTGGGAAAAAACAAAAAACACAGGAGGAATTGCTTCAAATGACTGTCATTAAAAATATTGGCAAAAGAGAATAAGAACTTCTGCCTTTCATTATCAAAACCTGCTATATGAAGTTGTGTTCCTTTGCTCTTGTACTGGAATTGTCACTGTAGGGTTTTCTTGGCTCATTTTTTTTTTTTTTTGTCAGCATTTCAAGGACAAGGTATGGTAGACATGAACTAATAATAATAATGACTGAGCCCTTACTATGTGCCAGGTAATTTACATATACAGGCATTTCTGCTGTAACCTAAAATTACACTTTCTAGAAAATGTTGCTGTCTGCAAAACTTGGCATAAAAAATAATAGGACTTATGGGAAAAGTTGGGCCAAGGCAGACCATTCAAATCCCATGCAACTGTGATTAAGGAAAGCAATCACTACTACCTGGGGAGATCATTTGGACCACCTTGGCAGCAGCTGAGGGGCTAGAGGCTGCCACACGGGTATTAAAATGCACAAAAGCAATAAAGATGAAAAGCTGGTAACATTTTAATTAGACTGACACTGGCAGGGGCTGGGACAGGGCGATGGAAATGTAGCTTGGAGTCACAGGGCTGTTGTTAAGGTGCACACAGGAAGCCAGACAACCTTCCACAAGCTGAGAGCTCACAAGGCTGGAGGTGCACCTACCTGAGGAGGTAGCCCTGGTGGCAGGTACTCATTTAAACATTTCCTGGAATACAGCAAAAAGATTTCTGCTGCTGGTACAGCAGCCAAACCTCAAGCCTTTTCCTTCCCATTGAACGTTATGGTTCTACTCCTGCTATCTCAGGACTTCTTGGTTAGTAAAAATTACCTACGAAATTATGGAAACCAGTGCAATTTTCACATTATACTGATGTCATTTCTCTGTGATCAATCTCTGATGGGCTAATTCATACACGGAAACGGTAGCAGAACAGAATGTATTATCTTATTTAATTCTCACAATTCTATGAGGTATTGGAGGGAGCGGTGGTTCCCACATTAACATGCATCGGAATGACCTGGAGGACTTGTCAAAACAGATCCTTCTGTTCCATACCCAGAGTTTCTGATTCAGTAGGTCTGGGGTGGAGTCCAAGAATTTGCACTTCTAAGAAGTTCTCATAAGGTACTGATGTTGCCGGCTGGGGGACCACATTTTGAGAACTACTGTATTACAGGAAACTGATAATGGGCAAGATCTTATGACTTGCCCAAGATTGCTGCGGGAATGGACCCAAGGTAGGCCTAAAACTTGGGCCTAATGAGGGTACTAAGCATGAGAAATAGACCTTTTATGACCTATAAACACTTAGGAATGTGCTGAGGTTGGTTTCAGTAGTTACTTGCACCTAGTTAGCAGGCAGGTATGCAGCTCGGGCAGCTGGGGGGATGGGTTTGTGGTCAGCAGCAGCTGTATATTTTCATGGGGACTGGGAGACATGGGGGTCTATACCTCCACCTGCTGGCATGCTGTGTGGTCTCGTTTTGCAAGACATCTCCCTCAGTTTCTGTATCACCTGCTGTTTAGGAATTTACTCCTGGTGTGTGTCTGTTAGAGTCCCACCACCCATCACATGACCTTTCCCTGGAGGCAGCTGGCAGGCACCCAGCCTCAGGATCTCTGACTCTAGCACCCAGGAACTCTGACTGTTGCACCTGTGTCCTCCCCTGCTATGGTCTGAACGTTTGTGTCCTTTCAAAATTCACATGTTGAAATCCTAACCCCCTGTGAGGAGGTGGGGCCTTGTGGGAGGTGATTAGGTCACCAAGGCCTGGCCTTATGAAGTAGGCCCAAGGGAGCGTCTTTGTTCCTTCCATCATATTAGGACACAGCTGGAAGAGGTCATGTATGAGCCAGCAAACAGGTCCTCACCAGACACTAAATCTGCCCAAGCCTTGATCTCGGACTTTCCAGCCTCCATAACTGAGAAATAGATGTTTGTTGTTTCTAAGCCACCCAGTCTATGGCACTTTGTTGCAGTAGCCCAAACAGACTAAGACTTCCCCCAGCTGGTTGCAGTGCCCCCTGGAGACTTTTGTCAGAGCTTCCCAAAAGAGAGAAGGGAGTTTCCCTCTGACTGGCTTATACCCCTGCTTAGTGTGGCTTGCTTCTGGGATACATGAGACAAGGTATTTGAGTGCGGCTGAATAAAAACCTTGAGTTTGAGCCGCTCTGTGTGCTTACCAGATCTCTCAATAATTGACTTTGCTTGCTTTGTTTTTCAGGTTGTAAAATTTGTGGGGCAAAGGCGGTATGGAGTAATGACAGGAAAAAGAATGCTGTCCATTTTTACTGTGAAAAAACTCCCTATTTCAGAAAGATATACATTAGGGTTGTGAGGTTGTAGGCTGAATGAAGATTGGAAGAAACTTGTTGATTATTATTAAATGCCTCTCAATATTTCAGAAGACATTCCCCCACCCTGAAAGTATAATGTGATAGAAAGAACTATGGAGTTAGGCAACCTGTGATTTGAGTTGTGCGAAAACGGGAAAGTTATTTGTTTAGTCAAAGCCTCTGTTTCCACTTCCATCAAGTGAGATAATAATATGTACTTCACTAGGTTATTGGGAGGATGAAATGACTACCAGTACTGCAGATACATTTCTGATACCCACAGCTTCCTGAGCAAGGTATAGATTAGCTATCTCTTTGGTTTCCCTGAGGTAGCACAACAGAACCAAGAAAGTTCTTATAAAATGTGTTGTTCTCAATTTTGCACTTGCTTCGAAAGAACTAGAAACCAAGGCATGGTGCCATCTCAAGAAGACAGAAGCAGAAGCCTGCCAGAAACTGGCTTGGTTGAAACTCTGGTTCAAAGCATCAGGAAGCTAGCCATTTTCCCTAACTTCTCACTAACATATATACAAAGAGATTTTTAAAAAAGATAAAATGTACAACACTGAAAAATGACTAACAACCAAATTCCAGCATTTTGAAGAAACTGACAATAATTCTAAGCCAGATGGAGAGAACCGAGAATAACCGGTGTAGCTTTCCTCATATGTCATACCTCTACTTTGCCTCCCCCATTTGAAGACCTGGTGCCTATATCAAACAGAAAACTGTCCAGTTCTGTGAGGAGAGCAGAGTGCCTCTCTATACGTTTCTCCCACAGCCACCTGCCCTCTGCCTCTTGTCCCCACTCAGGCTGCCACCCTGTCATATTTAGGCCAAGACCCCAAATCTCAGAAAAAAGGTGATCAGGAAGTAGTGGTGTGCTGACAATGGTCCAAGGCCTGAGTGGGGTGGATACACCCTTGAATAATCCCTTCCCCTTGAGAATGAGTGGAAATTGTGACTGGCTTCTAGCCAGTTGAGTACCGTGAAGGTGATGGATGTCACTCCTGTGATTATGTTACATTATCTAAGAATTGTCCTAGTGGGCCCTAACAAGAGATTCTTTTGCTGGCCTTGAAGAAGTAGGCTGACATATCATGAGTGGACCTGGGAGAGGGCCACATGCAAGGAACAGAGGGGGCCTGTAGATGCCGAGAGCAGCCCTGGCTGACAGCCAGCAAGAAAGCAGGGACCTGCATTCTACAGCTGCAAGAAACTGAATTCTGCCAGCAACCCCCTGAGCTTTGAAGAGGATCTCAAGACCCAGAAAGAAATGCAGCCAGCCAACATCTTGATAGCACCCTTGTGAGACTCCGAGCAGAGGACCAAGCTAGGCCATCTTCAGACTCCTGCCCCGCAGAAACTGTGAGATAATAAATGTGTGTTGTTTTAAGTTGCTAAGTCTGTGGTCATTTGTTATGCAGAAAAAAAAAAAATAAACAAACCAGTACAATGAGTTGTAGTCTTTATGATGTAAGCATTGTGGCAGGAAATAAATAAACTCCCAGGAAGCAGAGCATGCTGGAAATGAGAATGATTAAATTGTTTCTCTGGAACCAGAAACCAGATAGTGGAGGTCAGGGGAAGGTACCACCTCAAGAAAACTGAAGGAAAGTCTGTGGGAAGTGAAACTTTGCCTGAGAGCTATAGATATACAAACCTGTCCTACAACTGTAAATCTGATAAAGAGATTCCAACACACTGCATGTGACCAGACAAGGGGTGAGAAGGGCCAGAGAAAATCAACTTTTCACAAACCTACCAAGAAACATCAAGGAAGAATAGGAAGAAACTTACAAAATCCTAATGTGAGACTAAAGAGAAGGCTTCCTATTGAAAATATTAAGTTTTTTTCTATAGATTAATCTATAATTTAATGCCATCCCAATAAAAATCTTAATGGCATTTTATTTGGAATTTGACCACATAATTCTAAATTATTCAGAAGAATGATCATTTAAGAATAGCTAATATATTTTTGAAAAGAATAATAATGAGGGTGTCTTTTTGCCTTATCAGAAAATTAAAACCATCTTAAATTCATAATGATTGTAATGTATATAGTATCAGCTCAGGAATAGGCAGGTGGGCTAATGGAACTCAACAATTTAAGTCCAGAACATACCCAAGGCTATGTATGTATGTACCCTTGTGTATTTGTGTTGTTTTGGTATACAATAAGGCCGGGCGCGGTGGCTTACGCCTGTAATCCCAGCACTTTGGAAGGCCGAGGCGGGTGGATCACGAGGTCAGGAGATCGAGACCATCTTGGCTAACACGGTGAAACCCCGTCTCTACTAAAAATACAAAAAACTAGCTGGGCGCGGTGGCGGGCGCCTGTAATCCCAGCTACTCAGGAGCCTGAGGCAGGAGAATGGCGTGAACCCGGGAGGCGGAGCTTGCAGTGAGCAGTGATAGCGCCGCTGCAGCCCCGCCTGGGTTGAAAGAGCGAGACTCCGTCTCAAAAAAAAAAAAAAAAAAAAATATTATTTCTAATCAGTAAAAAAAAGACTGGATAAATCTATAAATGGTGTTGGGAAGAATGATCAACCAATTGGTACAAACCATTTATATCACTACCTCATACATGACACACACACACACAAATTCGATCAATTTAATAATTATGTTAAATTAAGTTTAGCCCAAAGCTGTCTCCTTACATATGAGACTTTTGGTCTAAAGTTTCCTCCATATATAGTGAACTGAAACCCAGCTGGATGTGTAAACAGACTGCAACCTACTCATACAAATCGCCAAGCTTTAGCCAACCAAAGGCAGCTGATAGTTCAAACCAGGTTCAAATAAGGCAAACACAGAGCTGTAACCAATCAGGCTGTTTCTAGCATCACTTTTTTTTTCTGTCTGTAAATTCTCTTTGATCACATGCAGCGCTGGAGTGTCTCTGAGTCTATTCTGGTGGTGGGGGAGGTGCCTATTTGCAAACCGTTCTTTGCTCAGTTAAACTCTGTTAAATTTAATTTATCTGTAATTTTCCTTTTAACAATTATAAAAGATAAAAATGTATAGGTTAAATAAAATATGAGTGAATAATTTTGGTGTTTTGGGGGGTAGAAAAAGCGTTTCCAAGCAAGATACCAAAGCCAAGAATCATTAAAAAAAAAAGATGACTGTTATACTTTATCACACAAACAATGAGAACTTCTATGTGTCATAAAATTTCACAAAAATCTTGAAAGGCAAACAAATAGAGGGAAAAAATGTGATGTAAATGCCAGGTGTTGTTAAGCTTTGAGCTTTTACTAATCAGTTAGAAAAAAATAACCAATAGAAAAAATGAGCCAAGGCGAAAAAGAGGCAACCACAAAATACAGCAACCCATGTGTTTGCTTTGCTCTGCATACTTTTTTTTTTTTTTTTTCCCAGAAATTGTGATTTCTTGGGCTTCCAGGAATAGCGCTGTTGGGGCACTGCCCTTCTCCCCAGCCTCACTGTATTTTTCAGGAGCTGTCCAGTACCAATCATCTTTCTGTCAAGGTTGGTTTTCCTGCACATTACCCAGGAATTTCCAGTAAATGATTAGACCTTCCTTCTATTAAAAGATATTGCTAAATGGAGATTTTATACCCCTCCACAATTTCACCCTAAAGAATGGATCAATTACTAAAGCCTATTTTATTAAAATAATTATATTTCAAAATAGATATGGCTTTATCTTTTTATGATTATGAAAGCAATTCATACTTCTTGTAAAAACATTCCTATTTTTCAGAAAGATATAAAGAAAACGGCAAAAATGCCCTTATCTTGTTGTCCAAAGATAACTTCTATTTTTCTTTGTGTGTGTGCACACATTAATGCACATACATTCATGTGAGCATGTGTTTACTTATATTTTTATAAAAATGAGATCATACTTTCTTCCCAGTTCAACAATATATCATATCTTTCCACGTCAGTAAATGTAGATGTACCTCATCATTTTAAATGAATGCTTATTATTTTTCAAAATGAATATGCTGTAATTCATTTAACCAGTCTCCTACTGATAAAATTAAGGTTATTTTTTTTTCTTAACCATTATTAAGAGCTCTGTAATTGACTCTTTAATGCATATTTTTGGCCATGTGTCTGGCTACTTCCTAAGAATAAGTTCCTAGGACAGAGGTGATTAGTCAGTTGTCCTAAGGGAAAAAGAGCCAGACAAGATGATTTGATGCAACGGCAAGCTGTGATATTTGAGGAAGAGAAGAGATACTGAGTTGATCACAGTCACTGTCACTTGAATCTGTGCCCAGCCCAGCTCTGTGGCCACATGTTTGGGTCCTAGGGAGAGAGGAGGTGCTAGCTGCACTGTTTTCAGACCCTTGTGACAGTGGGTACGTGAAGGAGAGGGAGTTGCTCCTCCAGCTCTGATCCAAGCCATTATGTAGCTCTGGGTCAAGCCAGAGCAGGGGCAACCCCAGTGGGCTTGGGACAGTTTGTGTGTACTTTTGTGGACTTCATGGGGACTCCCAGAAACACAAAGCAGGGGCTGGCACAGACATGTGCCAGGGAAGTTTGAGTCATTACTTTTGCATGATTCTATCTATACCCAGCAGCAGGTAAGGCCTGGAGAAATTTAGATTATACTGTGATTACTTGTGGGTATAAACCAACTCTGTATGCTTAATGCTATGAGAATACTGAATGTACACTCTATTTTTAAGCACATACACAAGGCTTGTCCTTTCTGTCATTTTACAGTCTGAGTACCTTGGGGCTTGTTTTGTCTCACCTATTGTGTACTCAAAGCCAAGGTAAGGCCTCTTGGATTCTGTTGACAGCCATTTGCCAACTCAGCCATATGTCACTTAAGTTCTTTCACCTCTTTGTTTAAAATTGGGTATGCAATTGGTTCTCTCAAATGAAGCCTTTCAGCAATTTATAACCATATAGAGATTATGGTTTTTGTCTTTATTCCCACTTGTTAGCACAGTGCCTTCCCACAGTTCAAGGGAATCAGGTATTGAACAATAAAGAGCAACCAAATATCCAAAGTAGGGGAGTGCAGCAGACACTGTCTATTGTCATCCAACACTCATTCCCCTTCCTGCCCACTCTCCTTTCTCACTAAAAAAAGTCTAATTTATTCAGGAGCTGGGTAGAGGCTCATTAGTTTCAGCTTCCTTTCCAAGCCCCCAAAATAAAGCATGATTAGTTAAAACCAGTAACCATCATCTCACTTTGCTTGGCCTTTCGTTGGGTGAAGAATGAGTGTGTGATCCTGTTTTGGCTAGTGAGATGTAAAGGACAGTCCAGTGAGGTGAGTGTAGTTTCCCAAATGGAAAAAGACAAAGTCCCCCAAGAAGGCGGGGGGACTACACCTTCTACCTCCCTGGAATGGGGAGGTACCATCTAGAACAGCAGGGACCATGACATTGTAGGCGTGAGGATTCTAAGATGATTGATCAGTGGAATTGAGAGTACCTGGGTCCCTGAGGGCATAGAGAGCAACTGAACCCCCAGCAGTTGCTTTTCTCCATACTTGCTGCTTAGCGAGAAAAATGAATTCCTGCTTTTTTTTTTTTTTTTTTTTTTTGAGATGGAGTCTCCCTCTGTCATCCAGGCTGGAGTGCAGTGGTGCAATCTCAGCTCACTGCAACCTCCACTTTCTGGGTTCAAGCAATTCTCCTGCCTCAGCCTCTCAAGTAGCTGGGATTACAGGCATGCACCACTATGCCTGGCTAATTTTTCTATTTTTAGTAAAGACTGGGTTTCACCATGTTGGTCAGGCTGGTCCCAACTCCTGACCTCAGGTGATCTGCCCATCTCGGCCTCCCAAAGTGCTGGGATAACAGGCGTGAGCTATGACATCTGACCACATGAATTCCTATTTTTAAGAGTCACTCTCAGTTGAGTTTTCTGTTACTTGCCACCAAAGCATTCCTAAGTGATACACAGAATAAATAAAACAAGAGTGACATGAGTATCAAGGAGCATAAACTCTGGAGACAGAGTTCCTGGTTTTGAATCTAAGCTATTTTATTTGCTAGTTAGTTTTGTAACTTTGGCTGTGTTAGCCTCTCTGTGCCTCAGTTTCTCCATCTGTAAGATAGAGACAATAATAGCACCTACTTAATAGATTGTGCCTGATAGTCCAGAATAAATCCCAAAATATCAGCTTGACTTCTTTTTGCAGCTATCACAATATACAGGTATCAAATTGGAAAATTATACCTAGATTATTTTTAATAAAAGAATGTAATGCATTTGCTAACATATCATTTGAAGTAACCTTGGATTGGGAAATGGTTTGTAAATTTTTTTAGCCCTTCTCATATTTATTATGGCCAAATGTAAAATTGTTAGTCTCTGGGATGGCCTAGAATAAATATTTATGGTTTTCCACTCACATAAAACAAGAGTAGAGTTATTCCCCATGTGTCTTAGACTTATTTGGCTCTAAAGAGTGAAACTCCACCTGCTTCATAACTATAACTCCTAACAAGTTTATATTTCTTTATGTGCCCATCTTTCCTTTCAATATATTATTCTTTCCTAAGTTTCTATTTTTTCTCAGAAAATTTTGAAATCCAATGGAATTTGCATTTCTGCTTCTTTCTTCTAGTTGTATCTTTTTAAGAAAACCAGCAAACAATGGCTTATGTTAATGAGGTGTCATGAGAAATACAAAGGAAGCAGAGACACCAGTCTTTGCTCTTCTGCTGTTTATAGTATTGTATATCATGGTATGCAGTCACCTGGTGTTCTGCTTTTACAGGAGGGTTTATTAAGTATGAGGCATTGGGCATTCATATCATGGTTGGCCCTGAAACCTGGAGGTGTTCCTCTGCCACTGCTGAAGAGCAGGTGGTTACTGAAAGAGAACAAGGTGAAGGCCCATTTAAAATCGGGCCTCAAATAAATGTGAATACCTTTGGAATTGTTTGTTTGTCCAGGCTTCTGATTTCAAGTGAGTTGTATTTGTCAGGTAACACTATGGCAATGGGAGCATTAAATTAAGAGGTAAATTGGACATTCTATCCATAGGTGCCTCCCTCTTGACTTGGAGGAGACAGGCAGGTCTGATTTTGGCACATTTGGGAATATGGGAGCAAACACATGCCAGCTCCTTCAGGCTGCTAATCATAGCTTGGATGTCGTTTGCCTCAGGCAGCAACAAGGATTTATTAAGCCCCCATGTGGGGCATGGCATTGGATTAAGAACTCAGATTCTGTTGAGGCTCTGGCTTTGGAATTCAATCTTATACTTTTGCTTGAGGTAAGAAAGCATTCACAGTAACCTCATTCTTCTGCAATGCTCAGATGATGACTAAAGAAAAAATCATTCCAGTGAGCCAACATTAGGTATCCCATCCTCTGGCACAAAGAATCAGGGAAGAGGTATTTAAATAGAGCAAAACCACATCAGTTTGAAATTCAACGACCTGAAACCAGACAGTCAGAGATGGAATCACAGAATGTGAGAATCAGAAGGTAATTTAGTGATCACCTAGGCCACTGGTTTCCAAACTTTAGCATGCATTGTGATCACCTGGTGGGCTTGTCAAAATAGAGACTGCTGGACCCTAATGCCCAGGAACTATAATTTGGTAGGTCTGGGACCTATCCGAGAATTAAGAACTTAATTGGGTTGGATCCAAGAATTTGCATTGCTAACCAGTTCCCATATAATAGCGATGTCACTGGTTTGGCTACCACATCTTGAGAGCCACTGATTTAGATGACTCCTGTACTTTACAAGTAAGGAAACTGGAATGGAAAGTTGAACTGTTCAAGGTAACAGTGCAGAAAATGAAAGGGCCAAGGCTAAATCTAGTTCTTTTGAGTTCAGGTTCATTGTTCTTATTTCTGTTCCACCATTCATGACATAAATTTACTGTGTCTACAATAACATATATTTTCTTAGGAATAATAGGAAACTCCCCAAATCTTTGCATTCCCACTTGGTATTAATCGACTTTGGGAAGTCATGTAACCACTCTACTGTTTCAGTTTCTGTAAAGTGGGAAAAATAGTAATACTTGTAATAATAGGATAACAATCCTCTCTGATATGATGGTTGTGAGGATTGACATATAATATTATAGATATATAGGTATATACATCAAATATTTATAAAGTTCTTAGAATAGTGCTTTGCAAACTGCAATTATTGTTACTAAATATTAGCTATTTCTAATTATTTTGAAAATATTTTATATTACCAAGATTTCACTCTATCTGGTCAAACTGGTTGATATAAGAATAGTAAAGGTGACTAAGAGAAAAAAAGTCAGAATATGGCTAATCCCAAAACAGATTATTTAAAATAATTGGATTTTAGAGTGAGTGTGATCTTCTAAATTATCTACTCCAGCCCTCTCTTCCTATGCAGGAAACAGAGAAGTCACAGAGAAATTAAGTGATGTGTTTAAGCTTTTGTAGCTAATTAGCCGTACTGGAGTTCTAGAACTCAGTTTAATCCTATGCTAGTCAATATTTTTGAATGTAGCATTATATTTTCTTAGTCCACTTTCTTTTGCTCATAAAAGAATATCTGAGACTGGATAATTTATAAGAAACACAATTAATTTTTTATAGTTCCGAAGATGGGGAAGTCCAAGGTTGAGGGGTTATATCTGGTGAGAGCCTTCTTGCTGAGACCCTGCAGAGTTCCAAGGTGGCACAGGGCATCACATGGTGAAGGCGCTGAGCATGCTGGCTCACGTCTCTCTTCCTCTTTCTATAAAACCACCAGTCCTACTCCCATAATAACCCATTAATCCATTAACCTGAAAATCCATTAATGCACGAATGGCTCTACCCTCATGCTCCAATCACCTTTTAAAGGGGTCACCTCTCAATACTGCCACATTCGGGATTAAGTTTTCAACATGAATTTTAGAGGGGACCTTTAAACCATAATGAATATCTTCTTACAGTGTTATCTCTATTTCCTAGTGCTATGAATTCAGCTGAATTGTAGAGTTGACAACATACCGTTGCTTCAGTATCTTGTCCTGCTTGTTCTGAATGCTTTTTCCTAAATGCTTTATTGTTGTTGCTGTTGTTGTTGTTCCTGCATAGGGCAAAATGAGATGCCTTTATTTCTATTAAGTTTCAAAAATACTCAGAAGGATATGTGAAGCTATTTCCTACCTGCTTGTTATTCTACTGTGTTTCCCCTGAAACTTTCCATGTCTTGAGATGACTCAATACCATGGAAAGCAAATTATTATTCAATTTAAAAATCAAGACTCATTTAAGGTATCTAAATTCCAATTTGGACAGCAAAAGGTTAATAGCGCATAGAAAAAATTCCAGCAGCCCACAAATCTAAGCATAATTATGTATGAACATGAGGCTTTTATTGCTGTCAAAATTAATCACTTTTCAACTTCCAGCTGTTAAAACCCTTCTGGCAGTTCTCCAAGCAATTCCCCTACAGTTACTTTTCCTTCAATTAATTTCTGGTGCAGTTCACAGGCTCCTGTTACATAAGCAGCAACTGAAAAGTTGACTTCTTGGGCTTTCTTTCTCTTTCCTTCCTTTCTTCCTTTGCTTAAAACTAGAAAACGACAGAATATGAAGCTTACTACTTTTACTCTTTCAGCTTGACTCTTAAAATCTAGAAACGAGCAGTGTGGAATTAAAGTATTAGTATTTATTATAAAGCACTTTATGTGTGTGAAGTGATTTGTAATAATTTTTATTAGCCATTTCTTTCCACCGTCCTCTGAGGTACGTGAATGTTGTTATGTTTGCACTCTACAGCCCCACCCACTTTTCTCCCCCAGAAACTTTGCAGGAAATGGAATTTACAAATCTTCAGCACTGGGTTTAACCCCGATGGTATGCACCATTTATTTCTGGGATGGTGGCTACCTTCGCCACTCCTGTAGGCATACAGGTTTGTTGTGGTGGGAATTATCTCAGAAGGAGAAGCCGTGAGGTGCCTGAAGCTGCCCAGTTGCCTCAAAGCTCTCGTGGTGGACTGCACCCCCAACCCCCATTCTAGAAGCAGCTGCCAAGAGACTGGTTGAGTTCTGAAGGGCAGAGGCCTGTGGTAAACTATGCCATTGTGTTGACTATGAATCCTCAAGGAGATTGATAAATGATCACAGTGTATGATTGTATGAAAGTCTGCATCTTTGCATTTGCTTGGCACAGACCGAGTGCTTGCACATGGGTACTGGGTCAGATGTGTTGTCTTTCCAGTCTTCCTTCCTGGGATTCCAGAAGAATAGTCCTTGCATCCTTTCTCACTGCTGTAGAGATCTGAATGAAGGCCGACGCTGCGCTTCCTAGGGACGGGGAGTTCTAATTCCTCTCACCTCACCTGCATTATCAGGGCATATGCTCTTCCACATCTGAGTGAGTTAAGCCAGTTTCATTTCCCTGGTTTGTCTCTTCCAGCTCCCTCCAAAGTTGCCTGCCCTCTTCACACCTGGGGTGGAGGGCGCCTTCCCTGGGCACCCTCCTTCTCCTCCTCATCCACCCTGCTTCATGCTGTTCCATAATTGCACGTTAAAATGCTGTAATGAACAGATGCTTCTAGTGTGTAGTCTCTTTGTAATTTCTGCTATCATCCTCCATTTTCATGCAAAATTAATGTATTTCCAGATGCTGATTCCTGAGTCTTTCTACCCGATAGTGGCAGTGCATGAGATTTGAAACTGGGCAAGGGGGTATGAAGATGTGTTTGGGGCAGAGGTAAAAGAGTAAAGAGGTCTTGCCTATTAAAAAAAATGTAAGAATGCAGCAAACACCTTGTAGTGCCTGTTTGTTTTATCATGAATATGCAGTTCTGTGCTACCCTGTATTTATGTGGTTGGGAGGAGAGACTGCAGATGCAGGGGAAATCTTCATTCCATTCTTATCATTCAGACTCTAAAGTGGCTTGTCATTGAAAATTTGGGCTTTGAAAATTCAAGGCTGTCATAATTTAGGCTATGGAGCAAGATTTCTTGTCCAAGCAGGAGTCTTGCTGGTCAGTGGGCTGGGGAGTGATTTGTGTGAATTTATCTCAGCACGAGTCCCCTGAGGCTGGTTTCTAGGCTGCCTTGGTTAAAAATAGCCTGTTGATGAAATCACATCCTAGCTCAAACCTAGCCCAAGGAAATGGCTCAAGGCCCGAGCACCTTACTGGAATATGAAGCAGAGACAGATTCACCAAGAAGTCATCAGATTGTCCCTTTACTACAATTTGCACTGCAGTGAAAAATCTGTGTCAACCTCTCCCTCCTCTTTCAAAAATTAGCTGGTTAGATTCTCACAGGACTGCGTTATTTGACTCCAGTCAGGGTAATTTGGACAAATCTTACTGAGCCCTGAATTGATGGTCTAGAGTGAATTGAGTCAGGATTAAAGTCAGGATTCTCTGAGTCTGACGACCAGAGGCCAAGACTCTTCCTTTGGGAAGCTGCCAAGACATCTAAGAGACAGGCTGGAGATCATGTTGAGAGCACCAAGGCCAGGAAGGACTGCTGATGAAGTTTTGTCCTTCTGTTCAGTATTTAACGTACTTCCTATTTGTAAGACATTCCTTAAAAATTGCTACAGGCACAGTTTTTGTTAATTGGCTTATATAACATGCATGAATATTATTTTTCACTGAAAATACCTTTTTGTACATTATGTGCTTGTTTCCTTAATTGGATACTCTGTGGGTGGTTTGGCTAGATTTGGTGTTCCCTAGACCTGTAGATTCTATCATTCGAACTCCAAACATCTCACCAAACTCTACCAAGTGTAAATTAAAAACAAATACGTATGCAGTCAACAAGTTGGGGAGAAGAAGTTCTGTTTGGCATTAGAGTCACTTTGCAATTGGCAAAATACAGTTACAGTAATTTATATTGCTCTTATTCCATCTGCTTTCTGGCTTAAAATGTCCTGGATTGCCTCAAACTCTGAATATGCAATATTTTCCATTTACAAAATTTTCCTGCATAATCCATTTTATTTTTCAGAGAACTTTTGAAAAACAACATTGGTTAGTTTCATATTTCTAGAGTCAAGTTTTATGTGATATGATTTTTAATCTTATAAATGGATGATAAAGCCTGAAGAGATAATCCAGGGAAACTTCTAGAGAGAAAATGTTTGTCCCATGGACTCAGTGCAAATTCTGCCAACAAATGAATAGTTCACAGCAGCTGGACTTTGTAGAGGCAGAGCCCACATAGTCTCAAGTAAATTCCTTCTGAGGCCTGCAGCTTTCTACCACCACCCCCTGGTTATGTTTAAATACGTTCTGCCTCCATGCCTCTTTGGAACTTCAAATTTCTTTTTGGAGCCATGGAGGCATGAGTGTTTATAAATTATCTTCTTCACTACTCAATTATGAAAGGAGGAGTAGAAATGAGTGCACATGTTGAAGATTATAGGAAAACACGCAAGTTTCAGAGTCTGTATGATTCTGGGACAGGGGAATGGAGGTGAGGGGATAGTAGCTGGTCCTGGGATTTGGCACTCCTGTCTATTCATTTGCCAGGAGTTACACTCACCCACTTCTGTGTACCGTATTAGGGAGGGAAGGTAGGGATGGAAATCATAGAGTAAACAGTCTCATCAATTCCAGCCACATCGCCTGAGTTTTCAAGTGATAAATAGGATTGTTTGGAAGGCATTGGCAGGCTCTTTTCATGGCATTAGGTACTATTTAGAAGACAAATGATTTGAAGTTGTCTTCTTAGTTGAGAAACATTTGCAAGGATTTTCTGTTTTGCCTCTTTCAACATATAACACTATTATTTAGTTTAGTTGTTTGTTTGTTTCCTAAACAGGGTCTCACTCTGTCACCCAGGCTGGAGTGCAGTGGCACAATCCTGGCTCACTGCAGCCTTGACCTCCCTGTCTCAGATGATCCTCCCACCTCACCCTCTGGAGTAGCTGGGACCACAGGCATGTGCCACCATGCTTGGCCAATTTTTTTTGTGTGTATTTTTTTTTGAGCCGGGGTTTCATCATGTTGCCCAGGCGGGTCTCAATCTCCTGGGGCCAAGCGATCCACTGGCCTTGGCCTCCTAAAGTGCTAGGATTAGAGGTGTGAGCCACTGCACCTGGTCCACTAGTTTAGCTTTTATCCTACAAAACTGTCTTCAGTTGAATTATAACAATGACTTACATTTGAATTCTACTGTCTAATTTTCACAGACATTATTTCATTCAATACTCCTGTGATCAAGACTTTTTTTTTTTTTTTTTGATACAGAGTTTCACTCTTGTTGCCCAAGCTGGAGTACAAAGGTGTGTCCACCTCCCGGGTTCAAGTGATTCTCCTGCCTCAGCCTCCCGAGAGCTGGGATTACAGGATCCCACCACCATACCCAGCTAATTTTGTATGTTTAGTAGAGACAGGGTTTTGCCATGTTGGCCAGGCTGGTCTCCAACACCTGACCTCAGGTGTTCCTCCCACCTTGGCCTCCCAAAGTGCTGGGATCATAGGCATGAACCACTGCACCCAGCCCTGTCATCAATACTTAATTGGAGCCGGAAAGGAAGGTATCATTAACTCACTGCTCGGGCATGGAAATTAAGAGAAAAGTAACTTGTCCAGGCTCACAGGGCAAGTTGGTGGCAAAGTGGGGACTGCAGCCAAAGTCTCCTGGCTCCTAGTACAGTGTTTTCTATTGGAAAAAGCAGTGTTTAGTGATGCTTATTAGCTATTGGCATCCTTCATGAAGATGGTAACATCTCTGGTCCATCAGGAGGGAGGTACATTGTGCTTTCTTCAGTAGACACTCATATGTAGGTTATTCTTCAGTTTGTAACTGCCCACAGCACCTGTTATGCCAAGTTATTCTTACCTTGCCTGCTGGATTTTCTGGACAACCCATAACCTTTGCTAGAAAGAAGCCTGCACGTGTTCTATTTCTGGAGCTTCGCTAGTCTGCCAGCAGTACTCAGGTCCCCAGGGTACCTACCTATTTCAAGTTGCTTGAAGGTGTGCTTCTGGGCACCTGGGAAGTGCGTTGGACCCCTAGAATGTACCTGCCCTGGCTGATACTTAATATGAAAGCTGCCTCGTTACTACTGTCCTTATCAGCTCAGTACCCAGGGAGGTGTCCAGGCCTGGACATTGCTCCTCAAACAATAGTTTGGTTTCATTCCAGGAGCTTTTGTTGTTGCCGTCTTATTGGCTGTTATTTGGAAAGCTTAGAGATGAGGCTAGTTTAACAAGTCAAGAGTCGCTGTGAAATATCTATTTTGCTGCCCTGTAAAAACAGAATACATTCTCTGATTTTGACTGTGGTGAGGAGCTTGATGCTGGATTGATGCTACAACAACTTCAAAGTACTGGCTTTCTTGAAGGTACAAAGAGTTGAAGCTATCACCATTTAGCTTTTAGATAATCTGCACATTTTGTTCTTCCCTGCTGCTCAATTGCCAGAGTTTAATAAGGATGCCTTAGAACACATGATCTCTCCTTGCAGTTTAAATCAATCACCCATTAATTGACACACAAACCTCTCTAGAAAGAGCTCATCTTCTTGGTTTCTGGGAATGTGACCTGGTTCTCTGTTCAGGTATAGGGTCACCTTTGTTCTCTCTGTTTGTTTCCCAAGCTTTAGGTAAAACTTCTAACCAGGCATGGTTTGTCTTCAGCTCTATTTAATTTGTTTCAGAGGCTTCTAATCTACTTTAGATCTTTCCCTTTCTCCCTCCAAACTTCAATTTGAGAATGAATTCCTACTGCAATAATATTAAGGGTGGGGCCTTTAGGAGGTGATTAGATCATGAAGACTCTGCCCTCATGAATGGGATTCGTGCCCTTATACAAGGGCTTAAGGGAATCTGTTTGTCCCTTTTCGTCCTTCCATCATGTGAGAACACAGCATTTGCTCTTTCTGCCACGTGAGTTTGCAGCAAAAAGGCACTTACCAGACAGCAAATGCTGGTGTTTTTATCTTGGACTCCCCAGCCTCCAGAACTGTAAGAAACAAATTTCTGTTTTTTATAAATTACCAAGTCTAAGGTATTTTGTTGTAGTAGCAGAAATAGACTAAGTCTCATTCATAGACCCGGTGCTTTCCAGCTGCTCAAAATTATTTGCTGTGCAGTCCTAACTGGGTCCGCATTTGATGGCATCTGTGGGTCATTACAAGGTTTCTTTCCCTCTCAAAATTCTCCTAACTTCTCTTGGAAGCCCTGCCCTTTCTGTTTATAATAAACAACTTCTCTTTTAAAAAAAGATAGCCATTATGATGATTACTATCAACACTATTATACCACCACCATTACCCCCTACTCTTTGCCAAGCCCTGAGAACACACAAAAATATAAAAAGACTCTCTGCCCTGGGAGAGTTTCTAATCTGGGTGCAGGAATATAAACACTATTGATCACAAGTCAATTCCTGTCTTACTTCTAGGATAAAATGCTTATGCATTCCAATAGGAAATATAAGAGCATGATGCCTTAGCCCATGGTACTTTTGAGAGGCCAATGAAGAGATATTCAGAAAAGGCAGGGACCCTGAAAAAATCATATCACATCAATGGGTATCTACAAAAGCCTACCTTTAAAATCTTCTCTACCACCTGTTTCCAGCTGATGGCCCTGTGATTGTCCATAGTAAAACCACACAGGGTGTATTTGGGGGTGGCCTTTTTTGTTGTGGGGGTGATTCTGTGAGTGTTGCTGTAGCTCACCCTAAATTACTCATGTCCATCCTAAAGCACAGCGGAAGAGATGTACATGACTGTCAGACCAGAGCTTCTGCCAAGCAGAGGCAGG
This sequence comes from Homo sapiens, assembly GCF_000001405.40. Classification (NCBI taxonomy): domain Eukaryota; kingdom Metazoa; phylum Chordata; class Mammalia; order Primates; family Hominidae; genus Homo; species Homo sapiens. Next base: position 74,378,733 of record NC_000005.10, on the reverse strand, counting down.
ATGCAACAAGACACTTGAAAGCAGAAATCTTCCTGTTTCTGTAACATTTCCAGCTGGAAAACCAATCAGAGCCACACATTCCAGCTACACTTGGGAAACACTGAAATATCCAAGTAGTAATCACCTAGGTATGCTGCTAACTGCAGCTCAAAATAATTCTGGGGTTGCCAGTGCCATGTACCTTGTAGGCTTCCAATTACCTGTGCTCACTTCTCTCTTTTCTCCAAGGACCAATTATTGGGGGAATTTGGCATTTCTCCTCCTCTCTGCTTCAGCCATTCAAAGAAAGATTGTTATACACCAGAATGTCTGACCATTTTAATTAAGCCAGTCAAAGGTAGGTGCTGAAACAGTTTAGCCCCCGAAGCAAGGATTAAACACTTAAGGTTGAGGAACATAGAGGTTAGTTAGTGTCAAAGAGTTGGAAGAGACCCTAGAGTAGGATGACCATACATTTCAGTTTAACCTGAAAGCCCCTGTCTCGGTGTAATTATTATCACTTCTTTTCTCTCAAAAGTGCTCAGTTGGGACAAAAATGATATAGCTACTTTGCCTTAAAGATTATCTAGTCTGCCTTTCAGTTTGGTTCAAATTTAATGTAGAAATTATCTTTCTGTGAATGATGGAGACTTGGGAGATGTAAAAAAATAAAAAAAAGCTTTTATTTTATTTAAACCTTAAATAAACCTATTTATTTTTATTAAAATCTTTCTGTTTTCTCTTCCTTTCAAACACATGGTCATCTGTTTGCTATTAACCACCAGTAATGGGGGACTCATACTTTGCAAGGAATCTCTAATTAATGAGTTCTCAGTTCTGCATCAAAATCTTCCTTCCTCTGGCTTCACCCTTTGATTCTAGTTCCTTCTTCTGAAACAATCTAGAGTAAATTTCTTCTCTCTTCCACAAAATATTTTCCATTTTGGTATATTTGTGGTGTCTTTTTCAAGAAAATAATCATGTTTACTTCACTTCCTTTTTTGAAATTCGAAGGAAACTGATCTGATTTTGGACTGAGATACCTTATTTTATTTTTTATTTTTTTGAGACAAGGTCTCGCTGTGTCACCCAGGCTGGAGGGCAGTGGTGTGATCAGAGCTCTCTGCAGCCTTGCCCTCCCGGACTTAAGTGATCCTCCTACCTCAGCCTCCCGAGTACCTGGGACTACAGGAGCATGCCACCATGCCCAGTTGATTTTAAAAATTTTAGTTAGCAAATAGCTCTTGCTATGTTGCCTGGGCTGGGCTGGTCCTGAACTCCTGAGCTCAAGCAATCCTCCCAACTCAGCTTCCTAAAGTGTTGGGATTGCAGGCATGAGCCATCTCGCCCAACTGGACTGATATGTCTTAAAGACAAAAGCAAGAATTTTGCTAAGCTCTATTATAGAACTCCTAGGTACATGCCCAATTGTTTGGAGATTGTAGGTAAGATCATGCAGGAGTTACCAACAAAATAACAATGCCAGCATCCTGTAGTGAAAACTTCTTTATGACATTGTTTTATGAATGCAGGTGAATGACCTAGATAATGTCTCTAAAACTTTACAGGCAGGACATAAGCATAACATGAAGAAACAAGGCTCTCTTTAAAGACTATTCCAAGCTAATGATGGAAGCAAGATTCATAGGTTTTGTTTAAAAAGAAAATGTATTTTATTATTGTAAAAATAACACAGGATGATTGTTGAAGATTTACTACACCTCAAAAAAAAGAAAAAAAGAAAAAGACTACCATCAGAGATAATATTCCATGTCCAGTTGATTTTTAAAAATTTTTTGATGTACGTCCTTTTTTTCTTTTCTCTATGTGGATATACTTGATAAATAATTTAACAAAATAAGAATCATATTGATATAGAGTTTGCTCTACTTTTGTATTAATATTAGATAACAATTATTCCACTGCACCATTAAATAAGCCTTAACATTTGATTTTATGGTTTCAAAAGACTCAACAATATATATTTTGTACTTTTCCAAACATCTATTGTTAGAGATTGAGGTTATTTTTAACTACTCCTCTAATGCTGCAGGCTACATCCTCAATCCTTGCCTGCTTCACTGATTATTTCCTTAGGATAGACTCCTAGAAGAGATTCTGGTTAAATAATTTTATTAGTTGTTTGGGGTGTCATAACAAAATACTGCAGATCTGGTGGCTTAAACAACAGAAATTTATTTTCTCACAGGTCTTGAGGTTGGAAGTCCCAGAACAAGGTGCCAGTCCTGGTGAGGGCTCTCTTCCTGGTTTGCAGATGGCAGCCTTCTTGCTGTATTCTCACACGGTGGAGGGAGAGCTCTGGTATCTCTTCCTCTTCTTATATGACCACCAGTCCTATCAGTTAATCAGTTATAGCCCCACCCTTATGACCTCATTTAACCTTTATCACCTCCTCCCAGACTCTCTCCAAATACAGTCACATTGGGGGTTAGGGCTTTAACATGTGAATTTTTGGGAGACACAAGCCTTCAGTCCATAACAAAAATATAAATCTCTTTAATCTTTTTGATCTATAAATATCAACTGTAAGGTTGAACAAATTTAGAGTCCCACCAGCAAAGCAGTGGGATTTCAGCACACTTTTCTCAATGTAGAGCATCACCATTAAAGAAAAAGAACCGTAATTAATTTGTTATTGGAAAAGTTGTAACTCATGGCTTTAATTTGGATTTCTTTGATTCCTAATGAGGGGAACATTTTTCATATGCTTATATGCTATTCATAGTTTTATTTCATGAATGAACTCATCACGCTTTTGGTACTTTTATTTTTTTTCGGCTTACTAATTTGTATGAGCTATTATAGAGTAATAATAAATTACAACTGATGTTACTTAGCATTTACTATCTACCAATATTGAAGGCAAGCAAATAACATATAGATGCTCCTTCAAATGTTCATAAAACTCTCTGCATTATGCTTTAAACCCCCGTTTTAAAGACAACAATCCTGAGACAGAAAAATTAAGTAGATTTCTTATAGAAGTTTATGTCTACTGCATTCAAATTATATCTGTGATCATTGCTCTGGTCCTACTGTGTTTTGGTTCTGTCTTTGGTAACACCTATTATTTGCAGATTGAATTTCCTTTCTTTGTGCTCTACATATATCATCTTCCCATTTGCCTTAAAAAATAACACATTTTTTTGGACCTCCCTCCCCCTTTTATCTTCTGTTCAACTCCATTCTGCACATTACTGGTTAGATTTCCCAAGGTCTGTTTTACTGCCCTCAGGGCTGACTTCATTTCTCATATTGTAATTTCAGCCTCCTTATCTCACCCAGCTTCCTTTTCACCTGGGTTTATTGTCTTTACATTCCATGGCGTTGTCTTTTCATCTCATTGCGTTCTTTCAGTTCAGCTTTTTGGCTTTCTGCTCCTGTTTCAGAGAGGCCATATCTTCTTAGATCCTACTGAAAATAATAAAAATATTTCATACCATTTTCTCTTTTTTTTGATAGCAAATCATTTTCAAAGGTGTGTTCATCTTCTTGATCTCTGGGATATTGTTCCCTTTCCCCTGAGGTTTCATACTTTTTTCATAGGCCCTCTATTTAGTTTGGTGTTTACTAATCCTTAGATTAGACAAGTTCCCTCTGCATTCAGTGTTTGCCAACACACAGATTTTGTGGCTCTGCTGTAGAGAAATAAGATCTCACTCTCTTGCTTGATTCTTTGACACTTTGAACTGAGGGAGTTGGTGGAAATTTAGAAGCCCGGCACACACTGCTGTTGGATATCTTAGAGTCTTTTTTCTTGCTTATGTAGCTTCAATATGAGGGCTACATCCACTAGGATGTAGAGCATGATTCTAGACCCCGACAACTTCCTGCTCGTTGCTTTCAGTTCACAGATGCAATAGAAAATGTGAGTGGGGTGGGGTTAGTGGGAGAGGATGCGGTGGAGAACAGGTGATTGGTGTTTTACTCTGGTACCTTAGAAATAAGCACTTGCACAATAGAACTTACTGTTCAGCACTGACCTAGGCCTTTGAGACAGGGCAGACAGGGGAAGGACCAGAGGCCATCTCACTTTCTTTGCCATGTGTGGGTTTCCCTGCTTCAGGAGAACACCTGTAGCTTGGCCACTCACTGTTTCTCTGAATCCACCTTCTGCTGTCTTGGAGTTGGTGAAAATGTTTCTCCACATTTTGGCAATTTGTATTCACGCTAATTTTGAATTTCATTCTTTAAAACATGTAGTGGGGAATGTATGTATATTTACTGGGAAATTGAGAGAGGTTGAGTCATGGACTGCTAGCCAGGTGTCATTGTAAACTGGAAGTTCTTCACACTGATATTTTTTTGTTTGACAGTTTACTCCCAGACACTGAGCTTTGTCTGGATGTGCATTAGTGGCACCATCAGCATCTGATCATTTCTTGACACCTCATTCACCCACTTATCCATTGCCAGGTCTTTTTGCCATGGGTCTTGTGTCCGTGGTCTTCTTTCCATCCCCACCACTTCCACCGTGGCTCAGGCCTTCACTGTTTGCCATGGTGTCATGTGGTTGCTGGCTGCCTGGACTGGCAATCACCAGCCTTGCCTCCTTTTCCATGCTTCGTATTACTGTTAAACACACTCTTTTTACTGCCGTGGGACAGTATCATGGGTTCCTAAAACTGCTCAGTGGCTCCTCTTTGTGATTCTAATAAGTTCCAGGTTAACATAGACATTCTAGGTACCTCATGACCTGTACCCAACCTACGTTACCAGTCCTAACACCTTTACTCTATTCCTGTACCCTTTGCTCTTACTCAACTGGCTTATCCTCCATTCACAAGCATGTTCTACATTTCCCTGCCACCACCCTTCTACTTACGTCATTCCTTCTACTGTGCTGGGATCTGCTTCTCTTTTATTTCTCTTTGCAGTAATCTTAATCATCTTCTAGAACCCCATTAAATGCAATCTTTTCCGTGAGGCCTGAATGCAATATCTTCTTTCTCTGAGCTCTGAAACTGGATCATCTATTGAATACATTCTGCTTTGTGTTGGAGTTTGTGTGTGTGTGTGTGTGTGTGTGTGTGTGTGTGTACTACCTGCTACCTCCCCTTCTAGATTGTAAGTTTTTTGAAGTCCCCCATCACATTTTACATTGGTTAAGCTATTCTATTTTGCTAAGCCCTAATTTCCTGATTAAACTGAGTGCAATAGTAGTGCTTAACTTCTAAGTTTGCAGCATTGTTAAATGGAATAAATCATCTAGAGTGCTGAGCAGAGAGCTTGACATACAACAGGTCCTCAACATTTATTGGTGGAACAAATAAATGAATGAGTCTTCTCGTTTTCTCTTGAATCCTATATTATTGCAAATGCAAAATGTTTTCCTATCCTAAACTTTGCTAAATTTGCAGGGCCCTCAGTACTAGTTGCATTCCACATTTTTCTTGAGCATTGCCAGAAAGTTTAGGGGCAAGAAGGGAATGATCAAATGTAACTACCATTAGTGAAAACCACAGGCACTGAACAGCTGGATAATGTGAACAGACAAGTTCAGCTGAATCTCCAGAAATGCATCAATCATAGGATGATGGCAGCTTTTGGGGAGAGTTAAGAGATGCTTGAAAAGGAGCCAGAGTGTGGAAGAAAAAAGATGTTTAGAGTTGGGTTTTCAAAACCAAAGTCTTCATCATGGCCAACAAACTATGGGAAGGTGGCAAATGTGTGTAAAAAGACCTTTTCATTTTCTTGAGTTCTTTAGAAAATTGGAGAGTTTTGTTTGGTTTATTTATTTATTTATTTTTGAGCAGCTTAATAATAGAAATTGCCTCAGGGATGGCGTCTGCCATTGCTTTTCAAATGCAATACTGTTCTCCCTCCGGGGATTGTGCTGCAGAGGCTCCTGGAGTGAATATTGCAAAAGCCACTAATAATACTCCTTCTCAGGTAACATTTTCTGGTATAAAATATCTTGGCTTAATATAGTCTAAAAACATTGAAGTGTAATGTGGCCAACACGATAACTTTCTGAAATACAATACTATTGTCCTTACTTCTGTCTTGGTTTCTGTGGTGTCAGAGGCCCAAAATGAATCAAGATGACAAATCCTTAGCTAAGGCAATGTAGAAGCCACCATGGTACTGTACAGGAATTATAGTCTCTTATTTTTCCCGGGAGAGAAAGCATGGAGTAATGTAAAGAACACTGGATGAGTGTCAGGATTCAGCTTCAGGAGGGGAAAGCCAATAGACTTGGGCCCAGCACTTAACCACTGTGCGCCTTATCTCTTAATTGGAAGGAATTGGGCTACAGGGTCTTAGGGGTCCTTCTAAATAAGAAGTTTTCAATTCTAAGGTTTCTTCTGTCTGGAGAGGAGCATATCATGATGGATTGGTCTCTGGAATCAACAGGCTTGGTTTTGAACTAAGAGATCTTCGACCAGTTGCTTACCCACCCGTGGCCTCATTTTTCTTATATAAAAGATGGGGATAGTGATATTACTTGTATCAGTTTGGATATGCAGCTGCTGTTGATTTGTTGATTCAGCTGCTCCACAGGAACCCACGCTCTTTTTGATGACTTCACCATCTTTAATTTCATCTTCATGTTTGTTGCCTCATCTTATAAAAAGGCACCAGCCTCTCCAGGTATTAAGTCTTCATTCCCATCAGAAAGCAGGGGGTGGGAGTGGGAGGTGATAGCAGGATTTTTTTTCAAGTATATGCATGGGGAAAGGGTCTATGTTCTAGGGCTGCTTCTTCCTTTTCTCTGAAAAGGAACAACTTTTCCCAAACTCCCACATGACTTCCCATTGTATTTTATTGGCCAGAACAGGACCACAAGACTCCTCACCTGTGGGAAGTTGGAAAAGTCTTTTTCAGCTTCTGTGATAGTGGTTAAGGGAGAATGGGTTGGAAGTCCTTTGAAGTCAGCCAACAAACAGGTTTGCCAGTCCGCCCCAGGTGACGTCAGAATGTCATGAGGTACGTGTAGTGGTTAATGCTGGTTGAGTGCTTAACTCCCGGGTCACGGCCTGACCCAGAGCCAGCACTGGATAACTGTTAGTTACCCTTCTCTAACAGTCTATTCTTCCCTTTGCACCTGATTCAACCTCACTGCAGTAATTTTCAACTTTATCATATGAGAATCCAGAATCCTTGATATTTGGCACTAGAAGCCCCTTGACTTCTTTCTCTTCTAGTAATGCACTGCTTTCCTGTGCACTGCTCATGATAGCTTTAGTGTCTTGTCCAGGAGTGTGCATGTCTTAAACTCACAAAAGGAAAGCTGGGTCACACAGCAAGGGAGGCTGAGATTGTCCTGTACAAGGTGTTTTGCCTGAACAAAGCCACGGGCCATTCCTTATGCATGGGGTACCATGCTTTTCACGATGACCCTGTTCTATTCTGACCTTAGCAGTCTGGACCAGAGGATGGTGCCTGACTCAAAAGGCAGCCAGTGAGAGGCTGCAGTGAGATTTCTGTCCAATAAGAGAGGTCCATAGAGAGTAGTAATTAATGGAACTAATCAGTCTCTCTGTCTTAGTGTCACTAAGTGTCATTCAAATATGCCAGATTTTAGAGATGTGCATAAGCTAAGAGGCACGTAGAGAGGAGACAAGCAAGTAGATGGCACAAGAAACGGAAGCTGTGAGAAGGCAGAAGCCATGAGATGGATGCATTTGTTGAAGAGGCCTTAGCATCTGAACAGAGAATGGCTGACTTGCCATTATGGGAGGAACAGCACATGCTGTTGAGGGACAAGATCAGATCTCTGGAGCTGCTGCTTTGCCTAGGGTGTTGCTATGGCCATCCTGTATCCTGGAGCATGCCCCAGTTCTCCCCTGGCTGGGCTGCCATCTTTCTTGCTCCTCCGGGCCCCCTCTATGAACCCCTTATTCTGAAGGAATGTGCAAAGATCTCTGATCTTGGTAACTATGGAGCCCCATTTACAAAGGAATTCAAATAATTTAGGCACAACTGAGTTGTCCTGTTACTAATTAGAGTAAGAGAGGGTGGCTGATGTGCAGACTTCTTCCACCTGGCTGCCCCTCATGGAGCAGCCACCCTCATGGTAGGAGAAACCTACTCAGCAAAGATGAGCTGCGATTCTATTCTGTGCAGGCCCAGGGCCCACCAGCTGGGCACCAGGGCCCTGGCCCCCCATTTGCTGGCCAGAGAGTCTCTTCAGAGGGGAATTCAGGGGAGGCTGCCTTGCCACCAGACAATGGCTCCGTTTACATAATCCTCACTAGGCTGTGGCTGGTGTAATTCAGTTATTTGATTGATTTTATATTGTGTGATGCTGGAAGAAGTGAGGAAACAACAGGTTTTTGGCTGTACCCTCTGGCCTGTTCTGATCTGTCTTGTTGGCTTCAAGGATTTCACGAAGCTTTGTGCTGCTGCCAACTGTCTCCCTGGGTGTTGTTCACAGGCAGCATCCTGCTTCCCATGTGCATATCTCCACAGAATCCGTAGGAAGTGGGACCTAACCCTTAAGTTGCCGGCTCGTGGGTGGGGCATGCGGGCAGCAGAGGTTTGCGTGGAGTCTTCAGTGGCCCCACATGTTGCAGAGTTTCTCAAATGTTTAGTGCTCAAGCTCCATCTTGTCCCTTTATCCCCAGGAGAAATGGCTGTGTATTGGTTTGATTGGAATGATCTCCCTATGTCTGGCAGCTCTAACACAAGTTAACACAGCTTTAAAAACCAGTTTTCTTGATGTCTTGACACAGCAGATTTCCTAGTATGGAATTGTTAAGCCACATTTCAACTTCATTTCCAGGCATGTGTCTTCCTGTTTGTTTGTTTGTTTGTTTGTTTTTTGAGACGGAGTCTTGCTCTATCTCCATGGAGGCTGGAGTGCAGTGGTGCCATTTCGGCTCACTGCAACCTCCGTCTCCCGGGTTCAAGTGATTCTCCTGCCTCAGCCTCCCGAGTAGCTGGGACTACCGGATTATCGGCACGCGCCACCGTGCCTGGCTAATTTTTGTAGTTTCAGTAGAGACGAGGTTTCACCATGTTGGCCAGAATGGTCTTGATTTCTTGATCTCATGATCCGCTCACTTCAGCCTCCCAAAGTGTTGGGATTACAGGCGTGAGCCACAGTGCCCGGCCCTGTTTGTTAACTTGAAGGTTCTGCCATTTCTTATAGAGCCTCCATCTCTGGCATTTATTGTTGATACGTTGTTTCTTTTACTTTTTGTATGTTTATTTTTTATTCAAGTGAGACTCATGTTGACACATTTTGTTTTTCTCTTTTCTTTCAGCTTTAACCAAACTTGAGTAAGAACTCCCTGACTTGGAAACACTCAAGTTTCCCACACATGACTGGATGGCCCTGGCCACACTGGGAACGGAATGGGGGCCTCCCATTGGAACTCAGGGTGGAGGGGGAAGCTCGACCAGCTATTGTGGCCCCCACTTCCATTGACAAAGTAAGTGTTGCAGACGTGGGTGGGTGGGATACAGGGTGTGGGGGCTGGTTAGTGCCTGGCATCTGGAATTAAAACCTAAACACATTTCCCTTTAGAAACAATATTATTCACGAGGGCCAAAAGCCCACTAACCCCCCCAAGAGCTGAACGCTACGGTGTAAGTTCTATTAGTGATTTTTAATTCTGGCTGTGCATTAAAATCACCTGGATGTGCTTTAAAACCCTGCATGTGTTCCTCCAGCAGAGGTTCTGATTAAACTAATCTAAGCAAGAACCCAGGCATGCGTACTTTTTAAGTTTCCCTTGGCCATGCGCGGCGGCTCATGTCTGTAATCCTAGCGCTTTGACAGGACGAGGCAGGTGGATGGCCTGAGGTCAGGAGTTCGAGACCGGCCTGGGCAACATGGTGAAACCCTGTCTCTACTAAAAATACAAAAATTAGCTTGGCACAGTGGCACACACCTGTAGTCCCAGCTGCTTGGGAGGCTGAGGCAGGAGAATTGCTTCAACCCATGAGGAAGAGATTGCAGTGAGCCGTTATCATGCCACTACACTCCAGCCTGGGTGACAGAGTGAGACTCTGTCTGGAAAAAAACAAACAAACCAAAAACAAAACCAGTTTCCCTGGAAATCCTAATGTGCAGGCAGGGTTGAGAGCCCTGAGATTTTATATCTGGGTCAGGACTAGGCTGAGGCCAGAGAGGTGCCTAGGTACAAAGTGTCAGGAGGTGCTCGCTCTTGGAGCCGTGCAAGTTGGCCCACTTTGCAGGTCACATTAGGAACTTCGTCAGCATGGGAGTCAGTGTCTTGGATGGAGATGGGTTTTAGTTTTAAACTTACCTATTGTGAAAAAAGTCTTTAGGGCACAACCCATTTATAATTTGGTGATTTCTCCCTTCCTTTCTTCCTGCTTCTTTTACTGTCACACTCTTTTAACTCCTCTCATTCCAAACCTCTCTGCCTTGTTTTTACTCTCTCCTCATTTCTAGCACTTTCTTCTCCCCCTGCCTCCTCCTCCTCCTTTTCCTCCATCTTCTTTTCCTTCTCTGTTCTCTTTCCTCTGAGGGCGGCTCTTCCCTTTCTCTCTTCTTGTGTACTTTGGCTATTTTTGTTAGCCACATTCCCTTCTCATTATTCCAGGCCCGTTCATGTGTCCTGGATCGCTTTCTGTTTTTCTCCCTCCCCCAGTCCCTCCACTCCAGCACGCCCACCATTGCCCCACCATTGGCCAGTCTAGGACAATTCTCCCAAGGCTCCTCCCAAGCCCACACTGGCTACATCAGCCTCCAACAGTTGTTCATGGACCTTGCTTGGCCCTTGGTGACACCAGATGGATTTTTTATGTTGGGAGTGTGGGTGAGGGGGTAGTTCAGGAGGAGGAAATAAAAATTGGTGAGGATAGAGAGATTAAACTGTCACTCTTTTTCGCCCTGAAGCTACTTTGAGGAGTAAAGAGAAATGCCTGTAAAAGTTTTAGGCCTTGATTCATGGCAGAATTGGGAGGCAGGTTCCCATCGTGCCACCCATCCCTGGCAGTAAAGCTACCCAGGCTAATCTTTTGACTGTTTGTACCCTCTAGGTTTCCTTGAAAGATAAACAATTCTATCATCCTTTTCCTCAGTCAGCCCCCTCCAGCACTATTGGCACTTCTGCAGTTAGAAATAAGCTGCTTTGCATCACAAATGGGCCAGATCTTCAGAGCTGGGCCAGCAGCTCCTTTTTCTTGTGTGGGAAAGATCAGAGTAAGGAAAAAAGCCCAGAGCCCAGAAACATCAAGCTGGAACCGTTGAAAGGTTTTCTTCCTGCCAGACTTTGTCCAGACAGGCGGATAATGCAACATCCTTGGGAATTTGTCCTGGAATGGTCTGAGTCTTGTGGGAGAGGAATGAGGTGCTTGTCCAGGACTGTGCTCTTTTATCCACAGCTGATTGCTGTCACTTTGGTGCCTTGGCCTGTCCTCATGCACCCGGTTCCCTCCTGTATCCCAGGAATGCAGGACAGGGTGAACACACAGTGCTAGGGGAGGCCCAGCTGTAGGCCTCTCTGCTCACTCAAGGAGCACAGCCTGGGTGTGTCCACGCATGTGGGACTGGTCTTTGGGACCAACCACTTAGATCATCCAATTTTAGGGTGGCATTAACAGGGTATCTGGAAAGAGGCTGAGATTGCCCACAGCATGCCTGTGAGAGTGAGGGCAGAGGAGGTGGGACCAGGATGGCATTCACTGCACCAATCTCCTGCTGCACGAGTGTGATAGAGAAAAATGAACAGACAGCCTGTTGGGCTTTGAGCAGGCTGGCCAAGAGGGAATGGACATATTTTAGCTGAAGGGTACACTGTCTTTCCCTGTAGACAGGGCAAGAGAATAGAGAAGCAATGTTAGGTGGCAATTGTAATAATAATTACATGGTCTTCATGATACATGTCTTCAACTCATTTTCATATGCACCTTGCTGGAGCCTGCAGATAAATACCACACAGCAAAGTACTCTTATCTCTTATCCTCATATCACAAGAATTCAGAGTGTCATGTGACTTGTCTAAAATTTATATTGCTAGTAAATTGCAGAGCTGAGTCCTGTCTTGGCCCATACCTTGAAGTGTCCTGCTTAAGTGTCATGATATTGCACACTCTGGAGTTTCAGCCAGCTGCTTTGGTGAAACCCACATTGGATGTCATCAATGGAGTCATACAAATGGGTAAAATAAATAGGCAACTTAGTGAATTTGAATTCAGTGTGGGTTGGGATGGTCATTGCAGGAGGGTACTAGAGGGGCAGAAGTGGGAGTGGCAGGTGTTCTTCTCAGTGGCATTTGCCAGGTATAGATTAGGGCCACAATGTGTCCACTGTGGTCAGTCGGCAATCCTCAGGAATGGGGTCCAGCTAGGATGGGAAGAGCTGCCATGGTCTAGGGGAGGAAGCCTGAATTTTCAAAGGCTAGGGCTAGGGTTTCAATGAGAAACTGAAAAGATGATGGGAAACCAAGGCCCACATGAGAAGACGGTGAAAAATCTAAGCCCTCCTCATGGGGGCAGAGTGTGAACATTAGGATCAGATGCTTTTGTGGCATCTAGGGGCTGAGTCTGTCTTATTTCCCAGTAGACCCTCTTCTCTAGTAGCTATGACAGATTGTACTTTCCAAAGATGGCTGCAGTAATATCTCCCATCTCACATGCTTATTTTACACTGTAACTTTAACACTCCTCTCATGGAGAGGTGGAATCTATGTTCCTTCCCTTTGCATCTTGACATGTTTGTGACTGTGGAAGAAGTCATGCTATATGTCTTCTAAGACTGGGTCAAAAATGGTACCATGGTTTCTACCTTACTCACTGGAATGTTCATGCCAAAGCCCTGAGATGCCATGTATGCAGCTCGACTTCTCTGAGATTGCCATGCTGGGAGGAAGCCCAACTAGTCCATATGGAACAGCCACATGGAGAAGCCCTGAGACTGCATGAAGAGAGATATCTGGCCAGTCCCCAGTTTGTCAGCTTCCCCACTGTTTCAGCTCCCACCACCAACTGACTTCAACTGCATGACAGACCCCCAAGCCACAGCCACCCAGTAGCTTCCCAAATTCCTGATCCAAACAAAATATGAAAGATAATAAAATGATTGCTGTGGTTTGAAGCCACTATCACTAGGCTGGTAGTTACCAAGATTTGTTATTCATCAATAACTGGAACCATGCAGAACCCAGTTCTTATGGCCCACTTGGTGCTGGGATCACTGGGAACAGGTATGAACACCTGGGCTGCATTGGGATGAATAAACCCAAGGTCAGACCCTAGTGCTTGCTTATGTTTGGAGAAAGCCCCATCCAGCAGGGCATCTTGTGAGTATGTAAAAATTCAAGAAGGTCCAGTTGGCTAACATTGAGAAGGTTCCAAATGAGAGTGCAAGGTATCCCAACAGGAGGTGGAATGTATTAGTATTCAGATATCCAGGCTCATTCAGCCCATGCATCAGGCTGGTATGCAGGGACAGAGACCAGGTGTGATAGTGATTCTCATGAGGTGTGGTTAAGTATTAAGTGAGGCAAATCTGAGCACGCAGCCTAGTTCTAGCACATAGAAGCTTCTCAACAAATACTGAGCTATTCTGATTATATTATTTTAGACTTTTTCTTCTTCAAGAGGTTGTTGTTGCCATTATTGTTACTATTTGGCCTACCAGTGTAGGCAGAGCCATGGTTCTAGAGAGTCGACATTAATAAACCATAAACAAAGACCACAGTGTTCCTATTCAAAGCCAAGACTCATAACTCTAACAATTCAGAATTCACAGCTTCCAAATGATACCGTAGTAGTTCATTCCATTCCTCACTGAGGTGGGAAAGCAGATGTTCTTAATGTCTCCAATTTCCAGATGAAGAAACTCCAATTTCCAGATAAAGCCCAGAAAATCCACTGATGTCTGAAAAGCTTACAACTAAGAAGCAGCTGAATCAGAACTTAAATTCAGAGCTTCCAATTCCAAATTAGGTCCTGTTTTCTCTATGCACTCCTCTGTGTTGATGCATAAGACCTAAGTTCCTCAACTCCCTCTTGGCCAGAGACCAGAGCAGGGCTTAGCCCACTCATAGCTTCAGGCCAGGTGGTCCCCAACATGCTGAGTGGAGGCGGGAGAGGTTGGGCGCCTGGCAGGTGACAGTGCTTCCTCACGCCTCACAACTGCTAAGACAAAAGGAAGGCACTCTGGGTGGGGACAGTAGCTGCTGCCAACCCAGAAGTAGTTCAGTGGTATAAGGGAAGTGGCCTCCTGCCATCAGGGCCTTGGATGGCACCGTGCTGTCCAAGTCCAAGCCATTTCACAAAATGGCCAAGTTTGAGAAAGAGCAGGTTCCTGTGAGTGTAAAAGTGGATCCAGATGAACATTCTCTTCCAAAGTCTTCGTGGAGCTTCCCCAGTGGGAATTTGGTGTCTTCTCCCTGTGTCACTGCAGACACGTTTCCCTAAGTTTAGTCTTGTCACACGATAGTGCCTGCTTTTAAAGTTGCCCATATGTGAACCGCACGCTCACTCTCTCCCTCCTCATGGTGTTAAAATGTGGGCGTGTGAAACACTCCTCCCCGGTTGAAATCCTTGTCGTGTTAGAACTATGTGTCCATTCTGTCCCCCGAGGGAAATGGAGGTCTCTGGATTTTGGCTAAAGCCCCAAAGCAGAATGCGGTGGGCAGTAAGTGTCTGCATATTATAAAGAAATCAGCCCCTCCAGAGGGAGGCCAAACAGGCCCTTTGCCCTTCACCCTGCCCACTATCCCATGAAGTCCACATTAGCAGGAGACACAGACTCATAGCAAGGGGAATCACTGACTGGTGAGCTGAGGGCTTTTGGGGACGGGGCTGTGGCATTTGCCCTCCCCTTCCCATGTTGCCCCCTTCAGGCAGGTGAAGGAGGGCTGAGGAGAACCCTCATCAGAACTGCCCTCGGGTGTGGCCCCTGCCGTGCCCTCTTCCTGGGAGAGAGGCCCTCTCTGGAATTCTTCAGCACACTCCTCCCCATGAAGCAGGAGCCAGAGCCTGTGGGATTAAGGGGACGTGTCCTCCTGGAGACCATGCCTCCGCCTCCCCATCACGTTCCAAGTGTCCAGGCCTTCAGAATGTGTCTCTTTCCAGGGCCTGCTCTGATCTGCTTTGGGTCCTTCCCCCAAGGTGGACTGTGCTCAGCTCTGGGCAGCAGTTTGGGAAGGATATGGGTGGATCTTGGATGTACAGTCTGGGTGGCTCACTGCCCTTATGGTGTGGAAAGGATTTGGGAGTGGGAAGAAAAGCAGAGCAGCTTGTCGGCCAGTGACAGGGTCTGAGGATGGGAGGAAAAGCTCAGATTCAAATTCCAAGAAGACCGAACATTCTAAATGCAAACTGACCTTTTAGGCCATTGAGGAGCTATATTTGTCAAGGTGGGAAGCTAGAACTTATTTTATTTAATAGTAATTTTGACTTGACTTGTAACTTTGAAACATTTCAATATTTGGCATTTTGGTCTCCATTTGGCTCTTGCCTTCATTGGCTTTTGCAATGTAAGGGGGACCTGCATGAAGGAAAGCTGCTCTCTGCTCCCTGGCTGGCTGAACATGATGTACGGAAGAGCAGGGGTTCACCCACTGCCTTGGGAGAGGTTTGCATGCATCCCTGAGAGTTTGGGGGTGGATGCAAATCTCAAGCCTGGAGCTTGCCTGGCGCACTCTGAACTCAGGGCTAGCTGGGGTGTGAGCTTCCTATGTGTGAGGTCCAGTGGTCCAGTCTTTAACTGAACTCTTGTCCTGGGAAGTGAGGCACTGATGGAAGGTGCTTGGTATTTCTTGGCCACGGCCAGAGATGGGGATGTGTCTTCTCAGCAGTCACTATCTAGAGGATGCAATCAAACGGATGCCTGGGTGTCTCAGGGGACCCTGAGTGACAGGGCTTCCTGTGAAGGCAAGGCATGTGGAACGGTCTTCCCCTTCTTCTTCCTAATCACCATTCCTCCTTCCCACTTCTGAACAAGCAGAATCAGCCTTCAGTTTCAGGAAGAAGGAAGCTTCAACATGAAGTGAGAGAGAAGTATTCTCTTGGAGGAGACTTGTTAATACCTGAAAGGCTCTTAACTACCAAAGGAGACCAGGTCTTGTTAGTGGAAGCAGCCCAGAAAGCTATGGAGTGAAGCCAAGACATTGGAGGGGCCTGGGGCTGAGAGTGGGGGAGGTGAAATCTCTCAGAGCTTGGGATGGGGGAAGGATAAACTTGTTTCCTTTTGTTCCCTAACAAGTTCATTAACCAGGTTATACTGTCAAAGATTCTGTGCTCACAAATAACCTAACACCAAACTTGGTATGTTCTTCCTTGGCCTTAATTCAGAGTGGAACATCTTTTTGCAAGAAAAATGAATATTGATTTGATAACTGGTCCTTAGGTAGGAATTACTTATCTCCTCTTAGTCTCTTCTGTAGGACGAGAATGATGGTACCTACCCAGGGAGTTAGGAAGATCACAGCGAGTGAGGAAGTGCATGTGGACAGATGCTCAGCAAGTCTCCATTTTCTCCCCGTCTCTTCCAAGCAATAAATGTATTAATATGGTTCACGATGAGAAATGTGAAACTCACAGGAGTGAGGCTCGTAACACCATTTCCCAGCCCCTCCGGCGTGGATCCTTTGTTGGTGGCTGCTGCCTGCCCTGTGCTCTCGGGTCTTGGTCTGGAGGGTGAGCCCTGCCCTTTCTTATGTGTCTCCAGTGAAGCCTTCTGCTCATGCTGAAAACAGCAAAGGTGGCTGGCTCAGCCTATCCCTTCACTCTCAATGTCTGGACAATTAATATGTCATTTCCTAATCAGTGTATGTTGATGCGTTATTTATTCTAGCATGATGATTGTGGCCAAAGATCACCTCTGGCATTGGCTCTCTATTGTTTTGTACATATTATTTCTCAGCACAGGCTTGAGAACAATGGGCTCATTGATTCCACCTGACTCTTGGGAAGGATGGACTTTGCCAGACTAAGGCTCTCTGAATGCCAGCCTGGAAGTTCATGAATCCCCTTTTAGGAGTAAGCTGAGCCTTTGCGGTTGGGAGTGGTGAGGAAGGGAATGTGCCTCTATTTTCCTTGCTATTTATTGCTCTGCATTAAAAAAAAAATCTCTTTGCTTCTCTGACCAGAAAGATGGTGTTTCATTGAGGTAGAGCCCATAGTAATTAGGCCAGCAATCAGCTTGTCCACACCAAAGTGCATCACTTGCATTCTCTGTGCACACTCTCTCTGCCTGCTCCACCCCGCCACATCCCTCCTCTGCCTCCCTGTTTACGCGTTTGGTTCAGAATGCAGAAACAATGAAGGTGTTTAGGGATCCTAGCCTCACGGGGTAGCAATTGGTACAGAGAGGCTGTGACACAGAGTGACCTGGAATTCCAAGTGGAAGATTGAGGTACGAGGACAGCTGAGATTGTGCTGTGGTCCTTTCTTAGCTGTATTCTTGTCCTGTGAGGGTCCAGTGGTCCAGTCTTTAACTGAACTGTTGTCCTGGGATGTGAAGATTACTATTGGGTGGCATTGAAAGGCCCCTTATAGAGGGTCTTTGATATTTCTTGGCCACTGCCAGACTTGAAACGTTAGTTTTGGGGATGTGTCTCCTTAGCAGTCACTACCGAGGGGATACAATCAACCCAGTGCTCTCTTTTGGTGGCCAGATGGCAACAAAACTGGTGTATCAGATATGTAATCCTCCTCTCCCTCAGCTCAGAAGGGCTGGAGGAAATCCACTCTCGGGGAGTTAAGGCTGCTCTGATATTATAAGGGTGTATGTTGGCCAAGGCTCAGAGTGAGTCCTCTGGGAACCAAAAGTCCTGAATGATGGTATTGTTGCACTTGATTGCCTCTGAGGAGTGGTCTGAAAGAAAAGAAGAGATAAAGTAGAAATGTTAAATGTTTCCAACAAAAGCTATTAGGGGAGAATTTCCTGACTCAGTACTTGTTGGCATTTTTTGAGGTTTTTTACAGACAACATAAGGTTACTCTTTTTTATGTGTGTGGTTTATTTTGTTGTTTAGTTTTTCTTTCAGCTTATTGGTTTTCATTGATGAGAGTGTTGTGCAATCCAGGGGCCCAGGCGTTGCCAGGAAAAGAGGGGAGCCATTCGGTGACCACTCATGCTAGGTGCCAGCAGAAGCCTGAGTGTGGCCTTGCTACCCTGGCTTCTGCTGAAGTTTGACCCACCCTCATCTAAACACATCGGAGCCGTTCTCTTGGCAGCCTCCAGTCTTGGGAGTGTTTTCCTTCCCACTCCTGTGGAGCACTGGCTTATTAACCTACCCACCATGTGACCCCGACTTCTGCGGAGGGGTGAATTGTGTCTTCCTCAAATCCATATGTTGAAGTCCTACCCCTAGTACCTCAGAATGTGATGTATTTGGAGAGAGGATCTTTACAGAGGCGATCAAGTTAAAATGAGGTCGCTAGGGTGGGCTCTAATCCAATATGACTGGTGTTCTTATGAAAAGGGGAAATTTGGGGACAAACCCACACACAGGAAGAACACCATGAGGAAGACAAAAGCAGAGGTTGGGGAGATGCTTCTATGTGCTAAGGAAAGTCAAAGACTGCACACATCTTTGAACATCAAATATGACACTTTGGCATTTGAGAAAACAGCAAAAGCAGGAAGGCCACTATCACCTTCCCTTAGCCCTTTTCTCCAGAAGTAGGTCATAAAATCTAGAAAGAATTTTCTGACCTTCCCCTGCAGCAGGTCATAAGACTTGATGGGAGAGCTGCCCTCCCTATAGCTGGAGGAAAGAAACATCCTTATCTCTGAGGACAGGGACACAGACGAATCTGAACAAACAGGCCTTGCTAAATTTCCCCCCCATTTATTACTATTAGGTCACACCTCCTTTGTCCAATCATACTTCTTCACAATTATCCACTTCTTCACCAAGCTTAGGATAACTTTACAGATGTTTCCCTCTTTTTTTGGGTCTTCATTTCCAAAGGTTATGCTGTGTAAAACTTATATTAAATAAATTTGCCACGCTTTTCTCCTGTTAATCTGTCTTTTGTTATAGGGGCCACCACAGTCATGAACCCAAGAGGGGAAGAAAAGATATTTCTTGTCCCCTAAAGACTTCTAGCCTCCAGGACAGTGAGATAATGAATTCCTGTTTTTTTACCCACCCTGTCTATGATGCTTAATTACAGCAGTGCTACCAAACTGATACTATACTAGTTAAATAACTTGGAATTCTCAAGTTGACTTTGTCTTCCTCTTTATGGTTTTTCCTCTCCCCTTCCCCTCACCCTCCACTGTACTACATTGGATTAGGTCATGCTATGGAGCCAGATTGGTCAACTCAAAGCTCTGCCATTTACTAGTCGTGTGTCCATAAGCAATTTGTGCCTTTGTTTCTCCATCTATAAAATGGGAATAATAAGAGTAACACCTTCTTCTTAGAATAAAGGTAATAATTGATGTAAGTCACCTAAAACAGTGCCTGCCTTGAATGGCAGAAGTTCCCAATCACTGTGCACAATCCAAGTATGTAGATGTCAAGTTTACTGAGTGCCTACTCTGGACAAATCCAGTGGTGTCAGTACTGAAGGAATAGATTCCAGATTAATAGAAGACATTGTTTCTGTTTAGCTTTTCACTCCTGGGATTTATGATGTAATTGGAGACATGAGACACTTAGAGGAAACAGTTCACAATGCAAGGCATGATGTGATCACAGGATCGCAGGATCAGCGTGCTGGCTCCCGAAAGCGTTTCTGACCCTAACAGCACCTGAGAACCACTGAGGGTGCTTTGAAAACAGACCACTGCCTGGGCCCTTTCCCTAGACCAGTTAAACAGAATTTCTGAAACTTGAATTAATTGGTGAACCCCTCTGTGCCTCCATTTCCTCATCTGCAAAATTAGGGCAATACTTTACCTCAAATCTATTGCTGTGAAAATAAAAAGAGTGAATGCACGTAAATGCTTGTAATAGTGCCTGCCACACAATAAACACTCAATAAATGTGAGCTCTCATTGGTGAATAAATATTCAAACATGAATACCTAGTAGACTCTGCTGAAGCTTTTCAGAATGTTGATGCCTATTCACTTGGAAAACTCTAAGAACGACTTTCTCTGCTGTCCTTGTTGTGTGAAGGCTATGGCAGTTTTAGAGTGCTTGAAACTAGCGCTCCTTGTTGGGCAGCATAGGAGGACTAGGTCCTTCAGTTATTTACTTAAGTTGGTGCACACAATTTAGAGACATTTTAAAGGAATATTGCAGTCAACAGCTCCACAAATAATGCTGCAGAAACACAAAGATGAGCTGGCTGGGCCAGTGGAGGAAAGGCAAATGGGTTCTCTGGTAGATTCAGGAGGAAAAGTGATCCCAGAGCATGAAGGTTTAGGATATTAAAGATAACGGGCCTTTGCTAAGTGCTAGGCCTTCTCCAATGGGCTATACATGCATGATTTTATTTAATTCTTACACCAAATGGATGGTGGCTATTATCCATTCCCACATTACAGATAAGGGATGAAGGCCCAGAGGGGTTAAGTAACTTGCCTGAAGGTGGTAGAGAAATGATTTAAATCCAGGCTGTCTCCAGATCTGCTCTCTTAACCACAGCATCACAGCCTCTGGACCCACATGGAAGACCCTGTGGCTGAATCTGCAGGTGGGTCACCTCAGATTCATCCTTCATCCTTTCCTCTTTAACTATTTTTCTTCTGTTTTGATCACCTCCTCTTGAAGAGTGAGGGATTCCCATCCTAGGGATGCAGGCATGGCTGAATGAAACATGATACCTGACACTGGACAGATGGTATGAACGGTGGTTTATTGGTACATATGTCTGCTCAAAGCCCCGGGAGGAGGACACCTCATGCCGTGCAAGGCCACATGGCTGCTGCGCTTGGAAACGGAGGGAACAAGCAGAGAGAGGCAAGCTTTGTAGCATCAGGAGAGTGGTGTGCCCCCTGGTTTGTGAGGGAGAATGTATTTACCTTGTTTGAATAATTCCTTGGTCTGGCAGGGAACTGAAGCCACTGCTCAGGGGTAAGCAGGAACTGTGTCTGGCTGCTGCTTTTTTTTTTTTTTTTTTTGAGATGGAGTCTTGCTCTTATCACCCAGGCTGGAGTGCAATGGCACGATCTCAGCTCACTGCAACCTCTGCCTCCCGGGTTCAAGTGATTCTCCTGCCTCAGCCTCCCAAGTAGCTGGGACTACAGGTGCCCACCAGTACGCCTGGCTAATTTTTGTATTTTTGGTAGAGATGGGGTTTTGCCATGTTGGCTAGGCTGATCTCGAACTCCTGACCTTGTGATCTGCCTGCCTCAGCCTCCCAAAGTGCTGGATTACAGGTGTGAGCCACCACGCCTGGTCTCTGTCTCTCTCTCTTTTTTTTTTTTAGAGATGATGTCACCCAGGCTGGAGTGCAGTGGTACAATCATAGCTCATAGCTCACTGCAGCCTTGAACTCCTGGGCTCAAGTGATCCTACCATCTCAACCTCCTGAGTAGCTGGGACTACAGGTGCAAGCCACCGTGCCCAGCCCTATTTGACCTCTGATAAAGAGTGTTGTTTGGCTAGAAAACCTTATCCTCAGAAGCAGAGTGAGGAGGGGAACTTGCATCTAGGCCATTTGGGGCCTGCCATACTTTGCCAGATGTCAAGACAGCACGTAATATTGGGTGTTGACTTTAGGTCTTATATCACACCTTCTTCTTTTGTCTTCATCCTTTCCCCCACTTCCTGTGCTTTCCTTTTGTCTCCTCTCATTCTTAGGCAATGGGTTTAAGGTCAAAGACACAGGCCTGGGCTCAGATTCTTGCCCTATCACTGACCAGCTGTGCAGTTATAGGTGAGGTTCTCAAGATCTCTTGGCTTCTGCCTTCTTATTCCTAGAAATCAGAAAATATAAGTCTCTTTAAAATGCATCTGTTTTGAGATCTAAATGAAAGCCTGAAAAGCCTTTTATCACAGTGAAAAGTGCTCAATAAATGTCAGCCATGCTCATTTAAATGGCCTAACTCTGGTAGTGACATTTGGGGCCAAAGGATAGCTCTTGATGGCTGGGTCTGAAAGCCCGTTTCAGGATGAGGTAGTGTCAGCTCTGTTAAGGTAACAGGATTGGGCCTGAGCTGTTAGAAACTTGGCCTCAATAAGACTCTAGCTGAGGTATCTTTTCTTTCTCAAGAATCTCAAGGGCTTAGGCCAGCACAGCCTGTGCACTCATGCTTTTAAAAAAACCAAAAACCCAAAACCAAACAGAAAAATGCAGCAACAATAGCTGCTTGGGCCCACATGTCACTCTATTATCTCCCACCGTTGGCCTGTGCCAGTACAATCAATTGTTCCACGGTCCCATTTGGTAACTTGGAAACTGTTTGCGCTGAGGATCTATGATAAGCACTTTGGCTGGAACTAACGTCCCTTTGGAGGTGAGGAGGGAGAAAAGGAAAGCAAGATGACCTGGCTGGGGACAGGCAATTCTCTAAATGCTGGCCTAAAGGGACTGAGTTCTTGAAAGCAGGTGACTAGAAAGAGAATATTGTTCTACTTCCTTCTTTTTTCTTTATTCTCTGGGCTCACATTTCTAAGATCTTTAATTTTCAAAACTTAAACAAGAAAGTGTATTAATCTTAAATGTCTCCCATTAATCATCAAGTCCAGCCCAGCGACGAGAGATAGATGACTCACTTCCACAGGTGATTTCTTGGTAATGGTGGGTCAAGGTTTGCCCCTCCATTTCCCCTACTGTCTCACTAATGGAGAAAGCGTCCCCTTAGGAAGTACCTGTCTTGGAGCAATTTGTCAAGGGAAAATTGCAGGTGGGAATAGCCACTGACAAGAAAATATTTCTCTTAGGGAAACAAGGTGAGTAGCATAGCATGGTGATTATAAGCATAGGCCCTACCTTTGAGAGTTGTTGTAGGATTAAATTACAGAATTAAATAAAGCACATAATTCAGTGTGTGACATAGTAAGTAGGTCTGCGATAAATAGTGAATATTTACTACACCCCTTTACATGCCAGACACTGTACTGAGGACTTTTGCCATCATTTGAGCCACATCATATTTCATTGACTGAGCTATTATTTCCCTCTGGTTTACAGACGGGGAAACCAAGATGCTACGTGACTTGCTCAAGATCACACAGGTAGTAAGAGACAGAACCAGGATTTGTACCCATGTAATCTGACTCTGAAGTGCATGTTCCAATCACTACACATGCTGCTCTCGGTGAACAGTGACTCTTACTATGAAACAGGAGGCAAAATGAGCTTGCTGCCATGAGGATAGAGCCCAGGATGTTGTCCTGTGTGTTGTAGAGTGATGTATCCTCTTCTACCTCAACGACCACTAGGTTCCTGTAGGCAAATTAGGAGTGATTGAGCCATGAGGAATAAATCCAGCCACTCCACTGCTTTTGCTGACTGATACTCAAGTTCTTTTGTAGAAACTTGAAATTCCACAATATCAGTAGGGAAGAATAAGAGGTTACTTTTAGTTCCCCAGGCAGTGTGCCAAAGGTTGAGATGCTCTTTAAAAAATTTTAAAGAGTTGCCCTTTCTGACCGTGACAAATCTCATCCCATAAATGTCAGATAAGTTGCTCTGCCACACAGCAGGTGGTCTGTCCCCAACTCCCTGTTAGTGCTGGGCCCTGGCAAAGTCAGGAGGTTGTGCGGTGGGTTCTACAGAGGGCCCTGTCCAGACATGGATGCCCTGGGGCTTGGGAGAGGGCTTCCAGAATGTGGGGCAGGAGGTAGTGCTGAAGGACAGCTTCAAATTCTGGGAATACTTGGAAGAGTGAAAAGGCAAGTCTATTTTCATATGGTTGAAGACAGCCCTACCCTCTAAGACCATTTGCAGATGTGAGTCTAGCAGTTTCTATGAAATGTCTTTGTCCCCAACTGGCAGAATCTAGAAAAACCTCGTGGGGTTGGAATGACCCAATTTGCTGACTCCAAAGCCAGGCTTTGGTCATCATGCAGGCAATTCTGTCTTCATGCGGTTGCATGCAGGTGAGGCTGGAGCAGACAGCATGTTCTGGAACACCTTAATGATGTCAGGACGCTTTTCATTGCTCATCTATCACGTAACAGCTCAGATTTGCAATGTGCTACCTGCGTTCTCCCTTTAGCACAGACAATGCGTTCTTTCAACAGTGTGCGGCTCCATGGGAAAGGCTCTGCTGAAAGTGAAGTGGTGGGGTCCACAGCTGCCCCTCTGGGAAGGAGTGGTATGGGGGCAGGTGGGGACCAGATGCCTGGCCACAGCCGAGCTGGGGATGAGCACATGGAACAACCGCTTCTGGTTACACTTACTCGTTTCTCTGTGCTGAAAGGTGTCATATAAATGCTAAGAACAGAGAGAGATGGGGCCTATTTATTTGCATTTTGTCTAATGTGAGCAGATGCAGATAGAAAAGAGGCTTAGCCACAGCCGTTCACCTGCCCCGCTAGGCCTTCCATCTTCAGTTCATTTCAATGCCTCCCGCGTCAGTTCCGCTCCAGTGCTGCAGCAGACATGGCATGGGGTGCAAAAGGGGCACATGCCCTCTGTCTTCAGTGGGTTTGCAAAACTTGTGAAAGAGACAGGTTTAACCACAGGAACCATCTGAGGACAATACAACCCAGCATATGGCTCAGTGGTAAGTCATGGGGAACAATTGAAATGCTGGAGGAGGTTGTGGAAGAGAGGACCACGCGTGGATGGGCAGGAAGGCTTCTTAGGGGAAATGAACTGGACTTGCCCTGTGAAGCTGGCCAGCAGGTAGGTGGGCAAAGATGGTGAGCATCGATTGTCTACGCCCTTTGCCAGACCCTCACATCTGCTATTCTACTGACATACTCCCCTCCTCTCTTTCAGTGGTTGGGTCTCCCTTATCAATTAGGACTTGGCTTAAAAGACTTCCACGAGGCTTTCCTCAACTGTTCTAAGTAGCAGTGCTCTGCACTGCATTATTCTCTATCACAGTATTCTGTTTTTTCCTCCCTCAATGTAATACAATGTATAATTAGATGTTTGCTTGTTTCAGTCTTCCCCATTGCATTTCAGCCACCACACAGTCAGGGGCCATATGTCTGCTTCATTCACTTTTATATTCACAGACATGCACAATGCCTGGAGCCTAAGAGGTGCTCAGTAAATACTTGCTGAATGAATGAGTGACCTTTGAGGAAAGCCTCATTAGCAAATATATTTCTTGGCCAGTTGAATCCAAGCTCTTGTTTTATATTCCAGAAAGAAAACCTGCAGATTCCATTGATCTGGCATGGAGCTGGATGTCTTTCAGGATGAAGAGTTTTCATTAAAACACAGCCACAACAAAGCAAGAAAAAAGAGCAATTGATGTAAGCATGCCAGTCAGGTTCACATGTTAAGAAACAGAATAAGGCCGGGCGCGGTGGCTCACGCCTGTAATCCCAGCACTTTGGGAGGCCGAGGCGGGCAGATCACGAGGTCAGGAGATCGAGACCATCCCGGCTAAAACGGTGAAACCCCGTCTCTACTAAAAATACAAAAAATTAGCCGGGCGTGGTGGTGGGCGCCTGTAGTCCCAGCTACTTGGGAGGCTGAGGCAGGAGAATGGCGTGAACCCGGGAGGCGGAGCTTGCAGTGAGCCGAGATTGCGCCACTGCACTCCAGCCTGGGCGACAGAGCGAGACTCCGTCTCAAAAAAAAAAAAAAACAAAAAAAAAAAAACAGAATAAAAAGAAATAAAAATTGATAAACAATTGTAAATCATACCAAGGCCCTGCATAAATATGACTTGCTATTATGCATAATACAATACATGGCATTTTTGTCTTGGAACCTGTCCAATGTGGTTTATTATTGGAAGAATTGGGTGAATCTTGTTAAAACACAGCTTTACCTGAAATTTGATCCCTAGGTGTGAACCCAGAGGACAATCTTATGGGGATTTTCCAATTATGGTTTTAAGTAAGGAGTTGTGGAATTCTCATTTCATCCTCTTCAAAATTTCTTGCTTTAAATGAATGAGTAGACTGAATTATTCTCCTTTTAAAAAACAATTGTTTTGCTTGGTGAAGACCAGAAGAATCATGCCAGTTCTAATGCAGGAGAGAAATACATTTTAAAAAAGAAATATCCTTGGCTATACAGTTGATTGCCTTTCTATTCAAATTTAATCTGAGCAATATATAATTTTAATTACAGAAATTAGAGGCTACAAATCAGAAATATCCTTACATTTCTTGAGTTAACAAAAATGATCTTCCTTTACTTGTGTAAAATTTCATTTGGAAAAAGGGAAAAGAGAGTAAAGAGATGGAGTAAAAAGATGTGCATCTGTAATGTTGGCTCTGTGCAATCAGTATCTTGATAATCATATTTTATACAAACTCTCCGGCAAAACCAGAGTCAAGATGTTTTAGGAATTACTCCTCCTCACTCCTCCACCCCCACATTCCACCACTGGGAGTCAAATTGTCTGTGGAAAAATACATCCTAATATTAAAAACGGCTTTCTGATTGAACTGTGGCATATTCTTGAAGCTGCCGTGCAAGAGTCTCTTGCAAGAGTTTAAAAATTCTATAGATCAGGTACTTAATGATTTACAGAATAGGAAAAATAACGCTGGTGGTTTGAGCTGAAAAGCACTTTGTCAGGACTGCCTATGATCTTCTTAATACTGACAAAGAATAATGATACATATTTCTATCCATTATGGTTGGGTTGAGGTGAGGGTCAAAAGCTGGGTTCTATGAGATACTGATTCCTAGACGGTCCCCATCCTCCTCATCCCCACTGGTCTCTGGGCTGAGTCTATACTCAGGCAGAGGAGAGATAACTGCTATAGTCAAACTCAGGACTGCTGTGAGGGATCTATTTCTTTCTTTCTTTCTTTTTATTTATTTTTTTGAGATAAGGTCTCACTCTTTCACTCAGACTGGAGTGCAGTGGCGCAATCACGGCTCACTGCAGCATTGACCTCCTGAGCTTCGGCGATCCTCCCATTTCAGCCTCCCCAGTAGCTAGGACTACAGGTGTACACCACCACAACCAACTAATTTTTTGTGTGTATATTTTTTGTAGAGACAGGGTTTCTCCATGTTGCCCAGGCTGTTCTGGAACTCCTGGGCTCAAGTGATCCACCTGCCTTGATCTCCCAAAGTGCTTGGATTATAGATGTGAGGCACCATTCTGGGCCAGGATCTATTTCTTTTGTGCCCTGGTTTATTTCAGGGTGTTGTATGCAGGACACTGATCAACCCTCACATTCTCTGCCTACAGTGTATATAACTGTGCTGAAGGGGCTTTTCCCAGAGCCAGACTCTAAACCTTGGATATACACAGATGCCCAAATGCTGTAAAGTACTATAGAGTGCAGATCATTATATAGTATGAATATGATCATTTCCAAAAAGCAATGTGATTTTAAAACTTGCTTTATTGCCTAAGCTCTGGAATTGATTATTTTTCAATCTTTTTTGGATACCTGTGTTATCTTGGTCAATGTAAATTAATAAGAATGATGGTTATGAATAATGTGCTGTCATTGACATTTACTTGGATGTCAGAGAATGGATGTTAGCAGTGGGGATATCTGTGTGGATGCAGAACCTGGGACTCATTCCTTCTTACTCACTACCTTTAGAATTTATTCTTCCTGGGGGCAGTTCCAAGATGGCTGAATAAGAACAGCTCCAGTCTATAGCTCCCAGCATGAGAGATGCAGAAGACGGGTGATTTCTGCATTTCCAACTGAGATACAGGGTTCATCTCACTAGGGCTTGTCAGACAGTGGGTGCAGGACAGTGGGTGCAGCACACCAAGAGTGAGCCGAAGCAGGGTGAGGCATCACCTCACCCAGGAAGCACAAGGGGTCAGGGAATTCCCTTTCCTATCCAAGCAAAGCTGTGACAGACAGCACCTGGAAAATCAGGTCACTCCCACCCTAATACCGCACTTTTCCAATGGTCTTAGCAAACGGCACACCAGGAGATTATATCCCATGCCTGGCTCAGAGGGTCCCACGCCAACGGAGCCTCACTCATTGCTAGCACAGCAGTCTGAGATCGAACTGCAAGGCAGCAGCAAGGCTGGGGGTGGGGGGGTGCCCGCCATTGCTGAGGCTTGAGTAGGTAAACAAAGTGGCCGGGAAGCTTGAACAGGGTGGAGCCCACCACAGCTCAAGGAGGCCTGCCTGTCTCTGTAGACTCCACCTCTGGGGGTAGGGCATAGCCAAACAAAAGGCAGCAGAAACCTCTGCAGACTTAAGTGTCCCTGTCTGACAGCTTTGAAGAGAGTAGTGGTTCTCCCAGCATGGAGTTTGAGATCTGAGAACGGACAGACTGCCTCCTCAAGTGGGTCCCTGACCCCCGAGTAGCCTAACTGGGAGGCACCCCCCAGTAGGGGCAGACTGACACCTCACACGGCTGGGTACCCCTCTGAGATGAAACTTCCAGAGGAAGGATCAGGCAGCAACATTTGCTGTTCAGTAATATTCGCTGTTCTGTAGCCTCTGCTGCTGATACCCAGGCAAACAGGGTCCGGAGTGGATCTCCAGGAAACTCCAACAGACCTGCAGCTGAGGGTCCTGACTGTTAGAAGGAAAACTAACAAACAGAAAGGACAATCTGTACGTCACCATCATCAAAGACCAAAGGTAGATAAAACCACAAAGATGGGGAAAAAACAGAGCAGAAAAGCTGAAAATTCTAAAAATCAGAGTGCTTCTCCCCCTCCAAAGGAACGTAGCTCTTCACCAGCAACGGAACAAAGCTGGATGGAGAATGAGTTTGACGAGTTGAGAGAAGAAGGCTTCAGAAGATCAAACTTCTCCAAGCTAAAAGAGGAACTTCAAACCCATCACAAAGAAGCTAAAAACCTTGAAAAAAGATTAGACGAAAGGCTAACTAGAGTAACCAGTGTAGAGAAGTCCTTAAATGACCTGATGGAGCTGAAAATCATGGCACGAGAACTACATGATGAATGCACAAGCTTCAGTAGCCGATTTGATCAACTGGAAGAAAAGGTATCAGTGATTGAAGATCAAATGAATGAAATGAAGCGAGAAGAGAAGTTTAGAGAAAAAAGAATAAAAAGAAACAAACAAAGCCTCCAAGAAATATGGGACTATGTGAAAAGACCAAATCTACGTCTGATTGGCGTATCTGAAAGTGACGGGGAGAATGGAACCAAGTTGGAAAACACTCTGCAGGATATTATCCAGGAGAACTTCCCTAACCTAGCAGGGCAGGCCAACATTCAAATTCAGGAATTACAGAGAACGCCACAAAGATACTCCTCGAGTAGAGCAACTCCAAGAAACATAATTGTCAGATTCACCAAAGTTGAAATGAAGGAAAAAATGTTAAGGGCAGCCAGAGAGAAAGGTCGGGTTACCCACAAAGGGAAGCCCATCAGACTAGCAGCAGATGTCTCAGCAGAAACTCTACAAGCCAGAAAGGAGTGGGGGCCAATATTTAACATTCTTAAAGAAAAGAATTTTCAACCCAGAATTTCATATCCAGCCAAACTAAGCTTCATAAGTGAAGGAGAAATAAAATCCTTTACAGACAAGCAAATGCTGAGAGATTTTGTCTCCACCAGGCCTGCCCTAAAAGAGCTCCTGAAGGAAGCACTAAACATGGAAAGGAACAACTGATATCAGCCACTGCAAAAACAGGCTAAATTGTAAAGACCATTGATGCTAGGAAGAAACTGCATAACTAATGAGCAAAACAACCAGCTAACATCATAATGACAGGATCAAATTCACACATAACAATATTAACCTTAAATGTAAATGGGCTAAATGCTCCAATTAAAAGACACAGACTGGCAAATTGGATAAAGAGTCAAGACCCATCAGTGTGCCATATTCAGGAGACCCATCTCACGTGCAGAGACACACATAGGCTCAAAATAAAAGGATGGAGGAAGATCTACCAAGCAAATGGAAAACAAAATAGGCAGGGGTTGCAGTCCTAGTCTCGGATAAAACAGACTTTAAACCAACAAAGATCAAAAGAGACAAAGAAGGCCATTACATAATGATAAAGGGATCAATTCAACAAGAAGAGCAAACTATCCTAAATATACATGCACCCAATACAGGAGCACCCAGATTCATAAAGCAAGTCCGGAGTGACCTACAAAGAGACTTAGACTCCCACACAATAATAATGGGAGACTTTAACACACCACTGTCAACATTAGACAGATCAACGAGACAGAAAGTTAACAAGGATATCCAGGAATTGAACTCAGCTCTACACCAAGCAGACCTAATAGACATCTACAGAACTCTCCACCCCAAATCAACAGAATATACATTCTTCTCAGCACCACATTGCACTTATTCCAAAATTGACCACATAGTTGGAAGTAAAGCACTCCTCAGCAAATGTAAAAGAACAGAAATTATAACAAACTATCTGTCAGACCACAGTGCAATCAAACTAGAACTCACGATTAAGAAACTCACTCAAAACCATGCAACTACATGGAAACTGAACAACCTGCTCCTGAATGACTACTGGGTACATAACAAAATGAAGGCAGAAATAAAGATGTTCTTTGAAACAAATGAGAACAAAGACACAACATATCAGAATCTCTGGGACACATTCAAAGCAGTGTGTAGAGGGAAATTTATAGTACTAAATGCCCACAAGAGAAAGCAGGAAAGATCTAAAACTGACACCCTCACATCATAATTAAAAGAACTAGAGAAGCAAGAGCAAACACATTCAAAAGCTAGCAGAAGGCAAGAAATAACTAAAATCAGAGCAGAACGGAAGGAGATAGAGACACAAAAAATCCTTCAAAAAAATCAATGAATCTAGGAGCTGGTTTTTTGAAAAGATCAACAAAATTGATAGACCGCTAGCAAGACTAATAAAGAAGAAAAGAGAGAAGAATCAAATAGACACAATACAAAATGATAAAGGGGATATCAACACCGATCCCACAGAAATACAAACTACCATCAGAGAATAGTATAAACACCTCTACACAAATAAACTAGAAGATCTAGAAGAAATAGATAAATTCCTGGACAAATACACCCTCCCAAGACTAAACCAGGAAGAAGTTGAATCTCTGAATAGACCAATAATAGGCTCTGAAATTGAGGCAAGAATTAATAGCTTACCAACCAAAAAAAGTCCAAGACCAGACGTATTCACAGCTGAATTCTACCAGAGGTACAAGGAGGAGCTGGTACCATTCCTTCTGAAACTATTCCAATCAATAGAAAAAGAGGGAATCCTCCCTAACTCATTTTATGAGGCCAGCATCATCTTGATACCAAAGCCTGGCAGAGTCACAACAAAAAAAGAGAATTTTAGACCAATATCCTTGATGAACATCAATGCAAAAATCCTCAATAAAATACTGGCAAACTGAATCCAGCAGCACATCAAAAAGCTTATCCACCATGATCAAGTGGGCTTCATCCCTGGGATGCAAGGCTGGTTCAACATACGCAAATCAATAAATGTAATCCAGCATATAAACAGAACCAATGACAAAAACCACATGATTATCTCAATAGATGCAGAAAAGGCATTTGACAAAATTCAACAGCCCTTCATGCTAAAAACTCTCAATAAATTAGGTATTGATGCAACGTATCTCAAAATAATAAGAGCTATTTATGACAAACCCACAGCCAATATCATACTGAATGGGCAAAAACTGGAAGCATTCCCTTTGAAAACTGGCACAAGACAGGGATGCCCTTTCTCACCACTTCTAGGCCAGGGCAATCAGGCAGGAGAAAGAAACAAATGGTATTCAATTAGGAAAAGAGGAAGTCAAATTGTCACTGTTTCCAGATGCCATGATTGTATATCTAGAAAACCCCATCGTCTCAGCCCAAAATCTCCTTAAGCTGATAAGCAACTTCAGCAAAGTCTCAGGATACAAAATCAATGGGCAAAAATCACAAGCATTCTTATACACCAATAACAGACAAACAGAGAGCCAAATCATGAGTGAACTCCCATTCACGATTGCTTCAAAGAGAATAAAATACATAGGAATCCAACTTACAAGGGATGTGAAGGATCTCTTCAAGGAGAACTACAAACCACTGCTCAGTGAAATAAAAGAGGACACAATCAAATGGAAGAACATTCCATGCTCATGGATAGGAAGAATCAATATCGTAGAAATGGCCATACTGCCCAAGGTAATTTATAGATTCAATGCCATCCCCATCAAGCTACCAATGACTTTCTTCACAGAATTGGAAAAAACTACTTTAAAGTTCATATGGAACCAAAAAAGAGCCCGCATTGCCAAGTCAATCCTAAGCCAAAAGAACAAAGGTGGAGGTATCACGCTACCTGACTTCAAACTATACTACAAGGCTACAGTAACCAAAACAGCATGGTACTGGTACCAAAACAGAGATACAGACCAATGGAACAGAACAGAGCCCTCAGAAATAATACCACACATCTACAACCATCTGATTTTTGACAAACCTGACAAAAACAAGAAACGGGGAAAGGATTCCCTATTTAATAAATGGTGCTGGGAAAACTGGCTAGCCATATGTAGAAAGCTGAAACTGGATCCCTTTTACACCTTATACGAAAATTAATTCAAGATGGATTAAAGACTTAAATATTAGACCTAAAACCATAAAAACCCTACAAGAAAACCTAGGCAATACCATTCAGGACATAGGCATGGTCAAGGACTTCATGTCTAAAACACCAAAAGCCATGGCAACAAAAGCCAAAATTGGCAAATGAGATCTAATTAAAGAGCTTCTGCACAGCAAAAGAAACTACCGTCAGAGTGAACAGGCAACTTACAGAATGGTAGAAAAGTTTTGCAATCTACTCATCTGACAAAGGGCTAATATCCAGAATCTACAAAGAACTCAAACAAACTTACAAGAAAAAAACAACCCCAACCCCATCACAAAGTGGGCGAAGGATATGAACAGACACTTTTCAAAAGAAGACATTTATGCAGCCAACAGACACATGAAAAAATGCTCATCATCACTGGCCATCAGAGAAATGCAAATCAAAACCACAGTGAGATACCATCTCACACCGGTTAGAATGGTGATCATTAAAAAGTCAGGAAACAACAGGTGCTGGAGAGGATGTGGAGAAATAGGAACACTTTTACACTGTTGGTGGGACTGTAAACTAGTTCAACCATTGTGGAAGTCAGGTGGCAATTCCTCAGGGATCTAGAACTAGAAATACCATTTGACCCAGCCATCCCATTACTGGGTATATACCCAAAAGACTATAAATCATGCTGCTATAAAGACACATGCACACGTATGTTTATTGCGGCACTATTCACAATAGCAAAGACTTGGAACCAAGCCAAATGTGCAACAACGATAGACTGGATTAAGAAAATGTGGCATATATACACCATGGAATACTATGTAGCCATAAAAAATGATGAGTTCATGTCCTTTGTAGGGACATGGATGAAATTGGAAATCATCCTTCTCAGTAAACTATCGCAAGGACAAAAAACCAAACACCGCATGTTCTCACTCATAGGTGGGAATTGAACAATGAGAACACATGGACACAGGAAGGGGAACATCAGACTGTGGGGACTGTTGTTGGGTGGGGGGAGTAGGGAGGGATAGCATTAGGAGATATACCTAATGCTAAATGATGAGTTAATGGGTGCAGCACACCAGCATGGCACATGTATACATAAGTAACTAACCTGCACATTGTGCACATGTACCCTAAAACTTAAAGTATAATAATAATAAAATAAAACAAAAAAAGAAAATGTGGCACGTATACACCGTGGAATACTATGCAGCCGTAAAAAAGGATGAGTTCATGTCATTTGTAGGGACGTGGATGAAGCTGGAAACCATCATTCTCAGCAAACTATCACAAGGACGAAAAACCAAGCACCGCATGTTCTCAGTCATAGGTGGAAATTGAACAATGAGAATACTTGGCCACAGGAAGGGGAACATCACACACTGGGGCCTGTTGTGGGGTGGGGGGAGGGGGGAGGGATAGCATTAGGAGATATACCTAATGTAAATGATGAGTTAATGGGTGCAGCACACCAACATGGCACATGTATACATATGTAAGAAACCTGCATGTTGTGCACATGTACCCTAGAACTTAAAGTATAATAATAAAAAAAAAATCTTAGAAAAAAAAGAATTTATTCTTCCTTCTACTGCAGAGGAATGCACTCTAAACAGGTAGATCTCTCAGTCACGCAAGTGGAATCTCCGATGTGGAAATCAAAGAGACCATATGCCTTCTAGCTTCCCTTCCTGAAGAACTGTCAGACACTTAACAAACTTTTAGGCTTGTGTGCAGCATCAGGGCAACAGGAATTGTATGAGTAGATAGAAGGCATCAGGCTCTAGCATGCATTATTTTTAAGCCAGAGAATTAAACTGAAAGAATACCGAGAAGAGAAAAACAAATTGATGAAATAGCATAGAAGACTGAGAAACAGATCAGTACACATAGGTTACTTGGATATGTGTGTTCAAAGTGGTACTAAAAATCAGTGGGGAAAAGATGACTTACTAAATTAATGATGTTGGAACAATTTCCAGGGAGAAGAAAATTGCTGGATTCCTTTCTCATACCACACACAAAAATAAACATAAGAAACAAAGTTATAAAATAATAAGAACAAAATACCGGATTTCTTCACTATTTCTAGAGTGAGAAAACTCTTTAAAATACCAATAAGTGTATCCTATAAAGAAAAATATTTATCCATTTGAGTATATAAAGTTTAAAATTAAAACAGGAAAGATGAGGCAGGGGGAGAATTTGTACCAGGTATTATAGGCAAAGGATTAATGTCCAAACCATATAAAGGAAGAGGTTGGTGGGAGGGGGAGGGCAGGTAAACTACTTACTGGGTACTATGATGACTACCTGGGTGACAAAATTATCTGTATACCAAACCCCTGTGACACACAATATACCCATGTAAGAAACCTGCACATTTACCCCTTGACCCTAAAAGTTGGAAAGAAAAAAAACAAAGGAAAATATACACATTCGAAAAAAAAGAGATAATACATAAAAGAAGAAGCCACTTTAAAAAAAAGCAAAGAGCAGAGAAAGACAATTCAAACCAGAATAAATCCAAATGGCAAATAAACACATTAAAAAAACTTTCTACCTTATTAGTAATCAGCAAAATGCAAATAAAGACAAGGAGATACACTTTTATTCCCAACAAACTGGCAAAATCAAAATGGTTAATGACATAAAATACTGGTGAGAAATGGGAGTTTACATTAGCTTATTAGTATATTTCATGAATGTAGTCAACTTTCGAGAGCAATCAGCAGTTTTTAGTAAAATCTTTGATAGGTATAATGTATGACTCAGCATTTCTACCCCTAGGTCTTCTTGTTTGTAGAGGCGAAGAATTGGAAACAACCCAAGTGTCTAGTCAGTACAGAATAGGAGTGGTTTTCAAAATATTTAGCAATAAAATAGGTACAGGCAGGCACCAGCCAATCAGAACATATGCTGGTCATAGAGTGGGGCAGGGTCCTGCCAGATCCGGGCAGAGTGTTTTGGGCAATATTTTAATAACAGGAATGGCTGTACTGGTGAGGATGCCTGAGTTTGCCTGGGTTATTTAGAGTAGAAGTCAAGGGACGGGATTCTGGATTCAGATCTTCTGGTGTTGAATTCTAGCTCTGTGGCTTAAGAGCTGTGAAACCTTGGGCTGATTCCTATTTCTGTCTTGCTTTAGTTTCTTCCTTATATACACCAGGGATTATAACAATCTCTTCCTCGTGGACTTGTTATGATGATTGAGATAATACACAAAAAGCTTTTAGAATACTTCCTGGCACATAATAAGCTCTCAATATATGTAGAAGGAAAATAGAAATGGACAAATAAAATGTACTGTATATTTATGGATAGAACATCCCATAGCAATTAGAATGAATGAACTGTATGCAATAACCTGGATAAAGTTCAAAAACAATTGTTGAGTGAAAAAGAAAGGCTTCAAAAAGATCAATTTATATTATTTATGAATGCATGTGAGAAATTAAAAGAGAAATATGGACCAGGGAGATACACATCAAATTCATGATATTGATTATTTCTGGAGAGGAAGGGGAATGTGATTGATGAGGAATACAAAATGGATTTCAGTCTTCTCAGTAATTTTTTTAAATCTAAAAGTAAAAAGTTCTGAAGCAAAATGACAAAAACATCAGCATTTGTTGATAGTGGTTTGACATTTATAATAATCTCTGAACTTTTCTGTATCTTTCATCTCTAAGAAAAAAAGAAGGAAGGAAGGAAAGAAAGGGAAAGAAAAAGAAAGAAAGGAAGGAAGGAAGGAAAGAAAGAAGCAAGGAATGAAGGAAGGAAGGAGAAAGAAAGGAAGGAAGATGGGCTAGGTATCAGGAGATCTGAGTGCTAGTACCAGTTTTGCCTCTAATTAGCTATGTGACTTTGAGCCAACCACTGAAATCTTTCTAGATTTCAACTTCCTGCACGGGAAAATCAAGTTAAGATAATATTTACCTTAAGGGAGTGTTTTTGAGAATTCAGTGAGATCTGGGGCATAGTTCTGTAAATGCTAAAGCTCTACTCAAACGTTAGTTAAAATAAAATTGGGTTGGTGGATTAATAATTCCTGAGACTTCTGTAGCTCTGATGGCCTGTGGCTAGTGGAGGTATTTTGAGGAAGAAGCAGGGCTATGTATATAAAGTTCTTAGCTCAGGGGCTGGCACCTCGCTTGGAGCAGAGACTGCTGGATGCCTACATAGTATTGATTCTCTCCTTCCTCACTCACAGGTTCTGATTGTATTCTGGTTGGTGATGGGCCTAGATACAGAGACATATTTCCTAGCCTCCTGTAAGTAGGAGTTGTTTGTTGGGTTTCCAGAAATCTTCAAGAATGCTGCCTCAACCGGGAGAGCTACATGTTTTGCCTTTCCGTTTTTCCTGGTTCTCTCCTAGAAAGCAGAAATGATGGCTGGCATTCCAACAGCTATCTTGGACCATGAGGTGACCTTGAGGATGAAAGCCATATGTTAAGTATATGGCAAAGAAAGATAAAAAAGCACCTGGTTTTCAGTAACTGTGGAACTTCCATTACACCTCGGGGCTGCCCACCTCAAGACCTCTTTTATGTGGGGAAAAATAAATTTGTATATCATTAAGTCACTTATGTAAGCTACTGTTATATGCAGAGGAACCTAACCCTAACTAATACATTTTTGTTATTCTGAAGATGCTTATTCTCTTCCTATGTGTTTTGACTAGGTAAATGGATAAAAATGAAAATAATAGTAAGGATGCCTGTTGCTCTGCTAGCTATGGAAGGAGAGGAAGCCTTCAGTTGCTCTCTCCCTTCCTCACTGACCTGTTTTGTTGCTATGAAGATTGTCAAGGACATGCCTCCAGAGGAGACAAACTCAAGGAAGGCTCTGCTGTGTAGCAGTCCCATGGCCCCGGGCTATCCTTAGCTCTCATTATGCCACTCACATTGGTGACTGGGGAGGAGCCCTTCCCCCGGTAGTCTGAGATGGCAAGCATTTAACTTGTTGCCCCTGGTCATACTCAAAGGCAAGACCACAAAAAACACAAAATAGCTCTGCCTAAAGTGGAGAGGAGAAGAAAGAACATGATTCATGTTTGTCAAATCTTGCATTTATTATGTGGTCCAAAGCTTTCTAAGGTCTGATACTGCAAATTGCAATTTGTACTCTGTAGGAAAAATATTATACCAGTTATGAATAAGTACTAATCAATACTAACCAGTAAGCAAGACCTCAAACTTTGGCCATATGGAGAGCTAGATGATCATTTTTAATGTAGCAGAGAAAAGAGAGAGACGCAAGATGTTCCCTATAAACTTTAGTAGTAAAGAGGACATAAAAGGAATCCATCAGCCCCTTGGAGCCATGTGTGATATGCAAGGTCCCAAATGAGAAATTCTCTGGAACTTAATGTGACAGTTCCAGCAATTTCACCCGAGATACAGATGTTGTTAAGGAAGTGGGTTAAAAAGGGAATAAAAAAGAACAAAAAAGAGACATAAAAATTCAGAGAAAGCGAAAGAGGGGAATATAAAGAAATGAAAGAAAAAAGCCAAGAAAAATAAAGAAAGGAAAGGCGAATGAATGGACAAGGGAAAGAAAGAGAAAGAAAAAAAGAAAGAAAAATGAAAGAGAATGAACAAAAGAAAGAAAAGAGAAAGGAAGGAAAGAAGGAAGAAAGAAAAGGAAGGAAGAAAGAAAGAGAACAAATTTAGAAATCCTTCAGTGAAACTTTCTCTACCTCCTGAGTCAAATAAAAGCTCTTTCTTGGCAGTGGGTTGGTGTGCGAGGTGTGATTACTTGAATTCAGGAAAGAGCCCGAGAGAAGTGTGCTTGCTCTACTGAGAGCGGTGGTACCCTTAGCATGTCTTCCTGCACTTACATGCAGCCAGGAAACTCCAGGCCATTCTCCATGGTGCGCACCTTCGGGGGGTAACACAAACCTCAGTCCTGGGCAGCCTCATCTGGGTTTTAATTCTGATACTACCATTTATGAGCAGCGGGTCATTGGGGAGGTCACTTAACTTCTTGTAGTCTGCTTTTCCTTGTTTCCATATCCTGGGATTATCACCCTCCCTTGAAGAATTTTTGGGGAGAATGAAAGGGCCATTATGCATGAAAATTATTGGCAGAGGGCTTGACCCAGAGGAGCACTTCCATAAATGAGATGCCTGCCTCGTGCGTTTCTTCTCCTTCACTCTGCTCAGATGTTATCAGAAGTGCCCTGGGCTGCACTGGTGAGATTCTCCCTGGCTCTGGGGTCATGGACGAGAATAACCGGCAGAAGAGCACCAAGGGCAGAGCGTTTGGGGAGGTCCACCCAGTGCCAGCAATAGGGGTGCAAATCTGTAAAGAATTAAAAAACAATGACAAATCAACTAAAATGGGATCTGTTTTTTGCTTTTTTGTTTTTGTTTTCCTGAGACACGGTCTCACTCCCTTTGCCCAGGCTGGAGTGCAGTGGCACAATCTCAGATCACTGTAGGCTTCATCTCCAAGGCTCAAGTGATCCTCCCACCTAAGCCTCCCGAGTAGCTGGAACTACAGGCATGCACCACCATGCACAGCATATTTTTGTATTTTCTGTAGAGATGTGGGCTCACTATGTTGTTCAGGCTGGTCTTGAACTCCTGGGCTCAAGCAATCCACCCCCCTCAGCCTCCCAATGTGTTAGGATACAGGCTTGAGCCACCACGCCCAGCTGCTTGAAATACTGCATACAATCCCTGAGATCCATTTTCTAATAGCACCATGTACCCCCACTTCTAAATAATGTCATAATAAAAACTCTTCCCTGACAAAATTTTCAATGATCTAAATGTTAAACAATAGTTGTGGTTACTGTTGAGTTTTAATGCTATATAGGCTTCAAATCAGCACATTTTAATTATTTACCTTTTTTTTTTTTTTTTTTTGAGACGGAGTCTCGCTCTGTCGCCCAGGCTGGAGTGCAGTGGCGCAATCTCAGCTCACTGCAACCTCCACTTCCCAGGTTTAAGCGATTCTCCTGCCTCAGCCTCCCCAGTAGCTGAGATTACACGCACGTGCCACCACACCCAGCTATTTTTGTATTTTTATAGAGACGGGGTTTCACCGTGTTAGCCAGGATGGTCTTAATCTCCTGACCTTGTGATCCGCCTGCCTCAGCCTCCCAAAGTGCTGGGATTATAGGCATGAGCCACCGCGCCCGGCCAAATTATTTACCTTTTAATAAATATGTCTTATATGGAAGTTAATCCAGAAACTCCCTGGTTATGTGAAAATAAGCACTTATTTGAAGAGTCAGTTCATAATGGCTTGGAATTCTTTAAGCTTGCGTTGCCATTTGTTTCTTCAATGCTTATTGTGCTGGATATTCCTACAGTAGATTTGAAAAAGAACAAGGATTGCAAAAGACAAAGAAACAAGTTGAATTACCTCATTTCTGACACTCAAACATTTTGAGTGTTTGTGTTTAAAATTTGAAACGGTGAAACACTGAAAATTGGTGCGGTATGAAATTTTTGTTAAGTGCATATTCTAGTTCATACATAAACTGTTTTACTGAATGTAAATAATAGCTTTAAAATGGAAATGCACTCTTCTTTTAAAATTATAATTATTCCTTTTAAAACTAAATAATGAATCCAGTAAATAAAATAGTACCACAATTGTATGATTTCATAGCTGCCTGACTTGTATTTTTTGTAGACATTTTGGTTTTATTAAAATTTATTTAGATGTCGCTGGACAATTCTTTATATAAAATAATATATTGTAAAGAAAGGATCAAAGCTCATGCTGTAAGGTGGATATAAAACCCTTGAATAAATAGTTGTGCCTTTCCCTTTTATGTATGTATAATAAACTTTCCCTCTCTCCCTTCCTTTCTTCCTTTCTTTCTTGCAGGGCTATATTGTATAAAAATATAGTAAAGAAAAATTTTCACTGCCTTTCCTGGCCACATTATTTTTAAAATTTCCAATTATTGATAGAAATAATTTTGCTGAATAGAGGAGGAGGTATTAATGATGATCTGCCGTGGCTGTGAAATGTGGAAGATAGGCCACTGACAATAGGTTTCCCTGTCCTGAGCACAGAACACCCAAAAAGGCATGTAGCTGCCAAAGCACAGGGCCTCCCAGCTGTTTGAAGAAAATACTTTTACTCAGCTCAGGGTGCTGATTTTCCAGTCCTGTGAGCTCCAACCTTCAGGAAAATAGCAGCAGCAGTAGTCAAAACAAATAGCTTCTCCAGGCATCAGACAGCTATTTCCATCATTTTCTCTCCCAAATGGCCCAGACTTAGACTTCCTTCAGTCTACTTCAGATGATCCAATAGTTGCACTTTAAAGTCAGCCCACTCTGCAAACTGTGCAGGAAGGAGCAGCCACGTTGTAATCTTTTCTCCGTAAAGTTCATTGATTTCTTCCTGTTGTACTGTGCAGTGCTTTTTTCCTAATGCCCTTTTGAGACTGAATTAAACTTTAATTCTAGCTGAAGAGGAAGGGCTGGGAGGGTTGGACAGCACCGCTACACCATCAGTGAGACCATGGGGGAGTTAATTATGCTCTAACTCTTTCGTGGCTTGGAGCTCATTACTTCCCCTTCCCCTTAGCCCCCGTTCCCTTTAGAGCTGTTTAGTTATTTCCAGCTGAAGTTGCTCATCGCCTGGAAGAGTCTCCTAGGACTCAACTGCTTACCAAACAATAACTGGAGCTCTTTCTGTCCTGCTATAAATGCTCTCCTTCACTGGAGATGTTTCTTTTCACAATAAAAGCCTGGATTTATATACAGTCAGGGCAGTGCCCTCTGTCCCGCTGGACTGGGCCAGACCAGGTCAGTGGTAAAATGCATGATGCAGTGTCATGGGCAGACAGCAGCTAATCTGTTTCCCCAGCAGGTCATTAACACAGGTGAACACAATCCACATCAAACATGGTTTCCTTTTTAAAGGCCCTATTTATAGCCCATTAGTAGTTAGGGCGAGTGAGAACAAGGTTTTTGGTGGTAAGAATGCAATCCATCACAGTAATTAAATGGGTTTAAGTACGGTACTAACCTGGAGAGTGCAAAGAGTTCTAACTTGACATATTTACCCTCCAGAATGAACAAAGGCAAGGGAAGTTCCTGTCCACTGTCAGGACAGAAACCTCTGTCTTTCAGCATGTTTCTGCTTTTAGGAACTCTATCCATCTCTGTATTCCTTCGTGTTCTGTCTCTCTTTAAATCTCTTTCCCTGTATATCCCTGTCTTTCTTTGTTTTCCTAGCAGATTTCTTTTTTTTTTTTTTTAACAAAACCCTTCTTCACTTTAACACTACAATATCTAATAGCATAAGTAAATTCTTCCAGAAATTAAACCAAAAAACAAAACAAAACAGAAAAACCTTTACCATACTGCCCCTACTTTCAGCATTTTACCCTTTAGGCCTCTTGCCAACTCCAGCCAGAGTAACGCACTTGGCTATGCAATTAGGTTTTTCCTCAAGATTTCAGAGTGGTCCTGGTACTGCCTTGTATCTCCCTTGCTACCTGCTTTGGTTCAAGGGCAAAAATTCAAGCCACTCAGCTGATTAGATACCCCCCTCAGCCCCCACCCCTGCTGAGAATGTGAGCTTCCCCATAAAATGCTGATCTTTGGTGCTTACAAAATAAGCAGCCAAAAGCAAATCTCAAGCTTTGAGCACGTAATTTTTACCTGTACACTGAAGCATATCACGGACCCTAGAGCTAAGGTGCTGAGGCGCCAGGGATATCAGACTCATTTCGCACAACCTCCAGAAGCAGCTGCCTGCGGAGGGCCCCGGCAGCTGTTTCATACACAGAGCAGCAGTGCACACTGGTTTAGGATGGGAAATGAAGAAGGGGCACCATATCCAGTTGCAGCCACAGGAGGCACCGAAGCAGGCAGGATGTAATTATCCTTGATGCATCTCTTTGCCTCCCAACTTCAAGAAGTTTATAATTCCTCCTTACTTAAAAAATATAAAAAATTATATATGGTCATAATACCAGCCAATGCTGGCTTCCAGAAACAGCTTTCAAATTTGCCTCTGTGGAAGAGGTGACCCAGGAGGGAGAATGCAAACACTAGCAACCACGTTTTTGAGGGCCTGGCTCCAGGCAGACAAGATAATGTGAGAATTTAGGGTCATCAAAAAAACACCAGGTCAATTTATTTTTCATAAACATATATTTTATGCTACAGTAGTCATGGTATACCAGAAGAAGATTATATATATTTTTTTACCTTTCTACTATAGCAGCAGGCTTTACATTGATAAAGGGAGGTTATGTACCTAATAAATGACATTTAATGACTATAAATTACATTTTTTCTTTTACCCCTTTAAAAATCATTAAACATAGCATACATACAGAAAAGTCTAGTATAACAAATAATGAACACCATTATTTCAAAGGATGCAACATCATCAGTACCCCAGGAACCCTCATCTTACTTTCCCCCCACAACCCTTCATCTCCCAGGGGAAAGCACTCTATTCTGACTTTTAAGGTGATCACAACTTTCTTTACAGTTTGACCACCTCTGTATCCCTAAGCACTATAGTTTAGTTTTGCCTGCTTTGGAACTTTAGATAAGGAAAATCATATACAAGATATTATTTTGTATCTTCGCCTCTTTCACTCTGTATTGTTTATGAGCTTCATTAATGTTAAGCGCATCTCTAGTTGATCTGTTTTTATTGCCATTTGGCATCCCAGGGTATGGATATGCTACAGTTTACCCACTCCCGTTGGGTATTTATTTACCCACTGGTATTAACGTTTGGGTATGTTCCCTGGTGCATGCATTTTTTCTAGGGTTTTTATGTAGGAATAGAATCTCTGGATCATAGAGATGTATATCTTCAACTTGACTAGTGTTCTGTGTGTGTCTATTTGGCATCCACTCATCACAGGGCCAAGTATATTAACTGTTTTTTCTCATTTTCTGTATTCTTGATTCTCTGGCATTTGGGGGCCTTGCAGACCCAGGGAGATACTGCCCCTCCCAGGGTGAGCCAATTCCTAGAGATTGCAAAGGGCTTGGCCAAGAGCATACTTTTCATATACAAGCCAACAAATCCAGGATCTATAGTCCCAACCGCCTTCCTTATCTAACTCTCACATACCAAGCCAATACTTCTTCTGCCCTAAATTATCCCAGGGCCAAGTTCCAGGCAACTTGAGATCAACCCTGTAACCCAAGGGCTGATAGAGGCTATTCAAACTAGCTCATCCTAAACTGTTTACTCTGCCCTGCCTTCCCTTTTCAAGGAAACCGTCATAACGGCTGTGCCCCCAGCTTTCCCCTACCTCCTGTCTTCTGCCTCCTGATCATACCGGTGCTTCCCACGTGGCCCTGCATGGTAAGCATGCCCCCTTCTCTTGGGAAATGAAGTAATAAATTCTACAGTGGCATTAGCTTCTCTGTGTTGTCACTCAGTCATGCCTCTATAAATTAAGTCCTGGGTATAATTTCAGAACAACTAGAAAATGTCAAACTGCTTTTCAAAATGCTGGTGTCAGTTTACACTCCCACCAGCAGTGTATCAGCACCTTTCCAGAGATGCTCCTTGAATGAACAGGATATTTCATTGTTGTAATATCATAAAATCAGAATTTGAGTACATCTGGGCGAGCTTCCTGTTTCAGAGATCTGTGCTGAATGCATAGTGAAGTCATTGCTGCAAAGCCATGGCCTTAGCCTTAGTCCTGGCAGTGGAGCAGTCAGGAGGGCACCTGAAGTCATGTTCATTGGGTCTTAAAGGAGAAACCTTAAGATTCACAGTGAGTGGTGAATGTTGATTCTTTTGCATTCTGATGTAATCTTTTATTTTTAAAGTGCTGAGCTATTTTCTGAATCCGCATATGCTTTAGTTGTCTGCTCAATATCTAGTTCTCCTGTCTTTCTTACCAAGAGAACTATGATTTGGTTTAGGAGACAATGTGCCCAGCCCTAGTGATGGATCATGCCTGGCCCAAGTCAGTCAGGATAATTTCCTTCCAGCTTACCAGCCTCCCTCACCTTTGGGGGTGAGACATATCCCCTGATCATGTGACTTGGTTTTGGCCGATGAGATATGAGCAGAAGTCTGGGGAGGAGGCAGATGTAGCTGGAACCCCCTTATCATTTCTTCCTGTTCTGACTGTTGGAGTTATCTCCAGAGATTTAGGAAACATCTTGAGGGGATAATTGAATAGAATTTTCGAGTCCTGATAATGGCAAACCATTGAATCAACATCAGCAGCCACTTTGTTCCAGACTTCTTATGTGAGAAAATAAACCCTTGCTTGTTTAAACTGATTGTTCAGGTTTTTTTGTTGTGCAGCTACATGCACTCTTAACTAATACACTGAAGGAAGCCCAAGTGTCTTCGTGCAGAAATTTGTAATTTAAAGGGGAGTAGAGTGGGAAGTGTTGCCTCTGAATGATGCAAACATGAACACATGGAGGATTGCCTTTGCCTTTTATTACGTACCCACTTCTTTAATTTTTCACAAATGAATCCATGTATTTTTCTG
The DNA here is from genome assembly GCF_000001405.40 of Homo sapiens. Classification (NCBI taxonomy): domain Eukaryota; kingdom Metazoa; phylum Chordata; class Mammalia; order Primates; family Hominidae; genus Homo; species Homo sapiens. The sequence goes on along the minus strand of NC_000005.10, from coordinate 74,333,820 downwards.
TCACACATCTGAGCATTTACTGTGTGCTAGGCATTGACTTTGGTGCTGGGGATAAGTAAGAGAGTGTTGTTATCCTCAAGGGCCTTGTACTTTATTAGGGAGACAGACACAGAAGTAGCACTATGAATACTAATAATGTCAGTGAGATAAGTGAATGACAGAGGAATGTCCAAAGTACATGGTTAGCACAGAAGAGGAGTGCATCACTTAGCCTAGGGTTGGCAGGGGTTGGGAAAGGGTAGCAGATAACCCAGGAAGGAAGTGAGTTATGGATAGTTGCTATTATTTAATCTTGAAGTCTTGAAATGTCAAGAGGATTTATAAGTCACCTAGAAGGGAAAGGACATTCCAGGCAGAAGGAACAGGGTATGTAAGGGCACAGAGGTTTGGAACCATGTGATATGTTGGGGAGCCACTGTCCAGTATTATTGGAGTGTGGCCCTTGAATCAGTGTAAATGTAGTTCCCAATACGAATGGGGCAGTAAGTGTCAAGTGCACTTTTACGACATAAGGTGACATATTTGAGTTGTCACCTTTACAGCAAGGGCCATGGGGTTCATTTGTAGTAGGACCAGGTCATGGGGTCCATTAGTCATGGGACCAAGATCAATCCTTGGCAGTCTTGTTTGCTAGGGATCGTCTAATTTTTAAATGGCAAATAAGTTTCGTCTTGTAGTCAGATCTGATTGGTAAGTAAGCACCCAGAATTCTATATTTTAAAGAATCAGAAGCTATATCTATTATCAGCAAGAAAGCCTTGATTGATGGTGTGGAACCCATGGCCATGAATTTGCCACCTTTTTTCTAAATGCCTTGCTCTGCAGTAGTTCAGACCCTGTGGAGGAGCCCTCCAGAATCCAGCTCATGCTGTTTGCATATTGCTTGCTTTATTATGTGCGCAATGCTGCTCTAATCACCAGAGTTACCATTATAAACTGCATCAGCCATCTGCGTGCCTGGGAAGAACAGATACTAGGGTGAACACAATTTAAACTCTCCTGGCTTTCAAATGACAGGAAGAGGAGGTACTGAATGTCAAGGTCTTATTTAAGGAATGATAAAACAACCCGCTTCATGTGCTATCATTAGAGCAACCACATTTGTTATAGATAAAAATGAAGAACAATTTATATTTTGAGTCTTTCTCTTTCTCTCTCAAGCTAAAATGATCTCAACATTCCATCCTACAAGCTGTAATGGTACAATGTGTGTATAGCAGGCTGGTTTGATTCGCAACTCTGAAAGAATCAGTTTCCTTGTACTGAAAAATAAAAGCCCTCTGTATTCAAGTGAAGCCCTGCCTCAGGTAGCTGGGTTCTGGAACACATTTATATTAAATTAAGGGACTGGAGAGAAACAGTTCTAAGTGCTAAATTAATATGATCAATGTATTTTTAGTGCACCTATGGAAGACAAAGGTGATTTTCTTGTTAAATGGCTACTCCCAGATCATGTGGGCAGACCCCAGTCACATAAATGGTGCATGCTAAACCTAAAGGACCATTGACTTAATGAAGACAAGAAACGAGACACACTCCAATGCCACGGGAACACAGCGAAGAGAAGCTCCTGGGTGTCTGTGGCAGAAAGAAAAACTACAGAGCATTTTAGCACCGAAGTGACAGCCGGGAGAAATCATTCTTTGTTGTGTGGACTTGCATGGGTTGTCATCCCTGAACCCAGTTTTCTCATCCGTAAAATGAGAAAAACACCCCACAGCTTCATTAAATGGATCTGGCCAAATGAGATTCTGTGTGTGAAATGGTCTTCAAATTATATAACACCACGTAAATATTAGGTATTATAATTACTATTGTTACATCATAAGTCTATTACAAGATTCAGAAGAGATAATGCAGGTGAAATTGCCTGGAAAAGTACTACGGAAAAATCTGTCAGGAAAAGTACAAATGTAAAATGGTAATTGAAGTAATAGTATCAGTACTTTTAGTTATGAGAGGCTAGAGACAGTATGAGAAGTACATGAGAGGGTACAAAGGCATTATGTAAATAGAAGGTTTAGAGCATTTGAAAAACAGGCAAGTGGTCAATTCAATGGAAACAGAAGACAAACCCTGGAATTTCCCAGAACAGAAGCATCCATGTTAGTGGAGTTGTGAGCAGGTTAGGAGTCATCGTTCAGACAGTAAGTCCATACAGCATTTTATACTTAATAGGCCTTTTGATGATCAGCATGAGAGACTGACTCAGGTTACAATGAAGAAATTGAGATTCATTGGTGGATATATGTAGGCAGAAATCTGTACCAGACCTCATGGGGGAATTGCAAAGAGCCAAAACTCATGGAGAATGGTATGTCCATCAGGAACTAGGAGGTTACACAGAATCAGAAGCAACTCTGGGAGCTGGATTGCCTTGTGGTCCTAGAGCAGCAGGAGTTTTCTAATTTTCTACTATTTGTGCCACTGCACAACCGAGTATCTCATTGCTCTTCTGCATGTCATTCAGTTTTAGCTGTCTAGGACTGCAGGCTTTCCCCTAGCTTTTGCCTGCCCAGGCTTCCTCTTGCCTGTGGCTTCTGCTACTCTAGGTTTCTGCTGAAGGCCTCTGGGCTTCGGTTTCTTTCCTACCTTTCCACTCATGAATAGCTCTATGATTCTCATTTAGACGCTTCTAGAGAGGGACTCTGAGTGCTTCCATTGATCCCCCTTGTCTTTGTTAGGCTCAGCTTTTGTGTCAGGGCGACTCAGAGAGGAGCTGCTCTGAGGTGAGACTTCTACACCTAGATTGTGATGGTTAATACTGAGTGTCAACTTGATTGGATTGAAGGATACAAAGTATTGATCCTGGGTGTGTCTGTGAGAGTGTTGCCAAAGGAGATTAAAACTGGAGTCAGTGGGCTGGGAAAGGCAGACCCACCCTTAATCTGGTATCTTATCAGCTGCCAGCACAGCTAGAATATAAGCAGGCAGGAAAATGTGAAAAGAGAAACTGGCCTAGCCTCCCAGCCTACATCTTTCTCCCATGCTGGATGCTTTCTGCCCTCAAACATCAAACTCCAAGTTCTTCAGTTTTGGAACTCGGACTGGCTCTCCTTGCTCCTCAGCCTGCAGATGGCCTGTTGTGGGACCTTGTGATCATATGGGTTAATACTTAATAAACATATATATATTCCTTTAATTCTGTCCTTCTAGAGAACCCTGACTGATACAGGGTTCAGACCAATCACCTGCGAATGAGGATCTGAACCTGATCTGAACCTAGCAATTTATGCTCGAAGAACCCCTTCCCTTGGGGCTGTTGGTGGGCACCCCTTGGGGTGGCGTGGGGCAGGTGGCTTGGAGTGGGCAGGCACTCCACAGTTTTCTTGTTCAGTGCACATGTGAGGATGCTTGGAGTTCTGTGACACTCAGTTTACCTTCCACTACTAGGTCAGTAGGAGCAGTGGCTTGCAAAAGGCACTTTCTGTAAAAACAAACACATTAAACAAATACCCTAAGTACAATCATGATGATAATGATGGCAAACAAGATGAAGGAGGAGAAGAGGGAGAAGAAAAAGAAGAAAAATGTAGGGATTTTGAAATGTGTTCCTTTTAAGACACTGTGAAAGAAAATACACACTGTAGAGCAGGTGTGTCCAATCTTTTGGCTACCCTGGGCCACACTGGAAGAACAATTGTCTTGGGCCACACATAAAATGCACTAACACTAACGATAGTTGATGAGCTAAAAAAAAAAAAAAAAAAAAAAAAATCTCATAATGTTTTAAGGAAGTGTATGGGCCAAATTCAAAGCTGTCCTGGGCTGCATGCGGCCCACCGGCCACGGGTTGGACAAGCTTGGTGTAAAGTGTCAGGAATATTATGCTCAGCTGAAGCCGAACTTTATTTTGGATTCTGGTTATTTTATCTAAAGCAGCTTCGAAGTGGCTTCCTCGACATAATTAAGAATCTCAGAATTTTGGAACAGAAAGAAACCTCAAAGAAATCTACTCTTTGGTTAGACCATTTTGCATGATCTAGTCCCTACATCTTAGAGAAGTGGAAATGAGGCTCTGTGAGGCTGAGTGGCTCGGCAAGCTTGGGAGGCCTCTGTTCTGTGATTTCAGAACACAGCGGTGATTTCAGAGATTCTCTGCCACAGAACTGCTAACTCTGGTTGGCTGGTTTCCACTTGAGCACTTGTGTAGATGGAAACCTTATTGGCTTAAATAGTTACCTCTTTCTTGGGGGCAGCTGGCCTGGAACTCCTGCCAATCTTTCCCTTATAAAACAGAAATCTACTTTTTCTATAAAGGTGTGGTGTATTTTCTAAGCTTTATTCAGACCCTGGGTGTTCCCAAGCCGTCTTTCACTGTCACATTCTCACGTCCAATTTATTCAGCCTCAGAGCTGTTACCGAATGGCTAGAACCAGAAGCCACACTAGTTTCCAGGTGTTTGTGAAGGATCTGGCCACTAACAACACAAAACAAAAATAATACCACAATGTCACTGCCGTTTTAATCAATCTCCCAACTTTATCACACAACAATGGCTATCCTGGGTGAAGCTTTTTATGAGTTTTGTGTTCTGCCAACAAACAACCAAAAAATAAAATTGGCACTGGATTAAAAAAATTCATGTTATAGTGGTAGCTGAGGTGTTCTCGTGGTTCTAAAATGATAAACAAAATAGCCAAAATATGTATAAGATATCTGCCATGTTTAACTGTGTGGCTCTGGGCAAGTTACTGTCTCCACCCTTTACAATTCCTATCTGAACACTGGGATATTTGTGTTCTTAGCACTGTCATTGGCTTACAGGAAATGCTTAATAAACTACCTATTAATATTGAATACCTTTTTATTTAGTCTTCATAAGAACTGCATAAAGCTCAGAAAAAATCAAGTAATTTGCTCAAGTTCTAAAAAGCAGAAAGTGGTAGAGTTAGCATAATTAGAACTAATTATCTGAATTCAATTTGGTGGTCTTTTTGCTTCACCAGAGCTAACCACAACTGCCATGTTTTAGGGCTAGGCAATGGGAACCCCAGTGTGTATCCTGGATCTGACTCTCAGCTCCCAGGATTTAGAAACCCCAGTGCAACCCCTGTCTCAGTGCCTCTCTCCTTGGAGGCATCTTGTGGGCCATGCCAACACCCACTGCCCCTCTGCTCTGACAGGTGGCAGGATCCTGGGCTCTGGAGGTGTTGAAGGAGAGGTGTAATTTTCCTCCTCCCCTGCCTATGGGTTGGACTGTTTGACACTCCCTGAGGGGCCTCAAGAACTTCTTGCCATAGACTCTAGGCTCCTTATCTTGGTAAATCAACATAATGCTCACCAAGTTGGCTTTCCTCAAGTTAAGGTGGCTGATGTGTATGGAAATACTCAGTAAGATTTATTGAGGGCCTCACAGAAAACTTGGCAGGTTTTCTTTCTTAAGTGATGACAAAGGTGGCCCTTGCCAGTGAAAGGCCACACTGTTGGCCACCCCTTCTGAAATAGTCTTGTTGACTAAAGTTCTGTGCAGGATTTTATTGGCACCTATAAATAGACAAATTGGCAGCTCCTTGTTTTCTTTTTTATTGACAGATGTGGTGGTGAGACTTGCTCTTGGATGCTGTCAGGAAGTATCATCTGACTGCGTTTGCTACCCTGGGGGAGACAAACAAAACTTGAGTGAAGGAAAATGAGAACTCACCTGAAACCAAGAAGAGTCTTTGGAAAAGGATTTTTGTGTAGGTCATCTGGAAAGTGTTTACTCTTAGCAGTTATGCATAACTATAGTCTTAAGAACAAAGTGAGGTGGGGGTGCGGGTAAGGGTGGGAATGGGGTAGGGGTAAACGAGTGGGTGGAGACGTGTCTGTGTGTCCAAAAAACTGCCCCAAAGCAAACATGGCCACGTGCACACATCTAAACCAATGTGTCTCTTAAGACTTTAGCCTCCAGTATACTATGTAGTCGCTGCATTCGTTGACTTTCTTGTCTTACTCAGCAAAAGATGTAGACGATTTCCACTATCTTTCCATAGACCCTCGCTAAATGACCAGATGGGAAAAGTCTATTGCCTGACCAAATTGCCAGTCAGCCCATGAGCAGTCCAGACAGTGCAGGATTTATAGAAAAGGAATTTTTATGATTTCTTCCTGCCCAACCCCCACTAAGAAGCAAAGGCCCTACTCTTGACCTTGGCATCCCCTTGTTGCTTTCTTCTCGTCCATGACACCTAGGCTTGATATTCTTTACCTTGGGTATTCTTGTGAATATTTGCTGAATTTTCATTTACACCAAATACAATTCAGAAGACAGAGGCTTTCCAAGGTATGAGTGTGTAAGTATGTTAAAGAAAAGCTCTCAGCTTGTCTCATGGTTTAAAGTCCTCCTAAGATATCTGAGCTGAATCTAAGGAATAAAGTAGATTGGTTCCTCCCTGTCTGATGAGTTTTATCAAAATGTGATAAAATGTGGTAAAGAAAAATGGTGGGCCAACTTCGTTATAGTTCTACTGAGGGACACTGTACAGGTAAACCAGGCCATAACTCATTTGTCCTGTGACAGTTTTTATTATTCTGTTTTTATGCAGTTTTGAAGAGTGAGGGGAATTGCCCTAGACAACAGATGTGAGAGACTTTTTTCTTTCTTTCTGTCCTGTGGACAGGCCTCAGGCTCCAGCCCAGTGACTCATTGTTGTGGTATTATATACCTCAAGATGAAGTGTGTGCGGTGGAAAGTGTGGGCAGGATTTATCAGTGCGACTTCTTCCTTTGAAGTATCAAGGCAGGCTACTTTGCTGATGGTTTCTGGAACCTGGCCAAGCCCCAATATACTGTGAAAATAGCTGTCTTAGGTTTTCCTGGCACATGAGAACATTTGCACTTGATTCTCAGACCTCCATTGCTTTCTGATGTTTTTGAGGCCAGTGTTCTTGGGATTTAGGGCTCAGGGCCAGATTGTAACCCTGCCTGTTTGTACTCCTTCAAATGCCCCATCCCAACATGGTTTTGATGGCTCCAGATACAGACTGTAACACCAACTTGAGTTCCAAAGTGCAGGCTGGCTTTAGGTTGCTTTTAAGCATTCATGCATAAATTTCTCTATAGCCCACATTTCCTGCTACCCTGCCCCCACTAACAAAATGCTGACTCTTAAGGCGTTTTACTGTGACAATGCTTTCTACGGCAAAGCATCTTCACATTTTCAGCTTGAAAGCAAGGCAATGTGTACGCGGAGAAAAACATAGGAATACCATGATAACTCTATCAGTAAATTGAAAAAATAGGGCTGGGCATGATGGTTTTACACCTGTAATCCCAGCACTTTGGAGGCCAAGGCCAGTGGATTACTTGAGGCCAGGAGCTTGAGACCAGCCTGGCCAACACGGTGAAACCCCGTCTCTACTAAAAATACAAAAATTAGCTGAGTGTGGTGGCACGCGCCTGTTATCCCAGCTACTTGGGAAGCTGAGGCAGGAGAATCTCTTGAACCTGGGAGGTGAAGGTTGCAGTGAGCCAAGATCATGCCACTGCACTCCAGCCTGGGTGAAAGAGTGAGATTCTGTCTCAAAATTTAAAAAAAGAAAGAAAGAAAGAAAAAGAAAGAAAAAGAAAGAAAGAAAAGTTCTCCTTTTCTAGTTAAAAAAAAAATCTATCATCTATTTGCCTGTACCTTCCTCCTCCCACCTTTATTCATTGTCATACTGTTATTAATTTTGGGAACAAACGACATAAGAGCCTAATTATGTTAGACTCCCAGACACCCTTCCAGAGGTGAATGATCAGCCACATTTCTCATCACCCAGCTATGTGTAATAAATAGTTTCCTTGTAAATGCGTATTTCCCAATAGATGCCCCATTTCAGGTTTCCCTCTAGCCTGGGAACCAGACTCTGTCATTCCTGATTAAAATATTGCCAGCCTGTGCTGGGGAACCCATAACTAACCTTGCTGAGCATCTTTTGCACTTTCTCCTTTTGAGTGGGCAGACCCTTTAATAAGGCAACTTGATGTGACTGGACTTGAATCTGGGGAAAGTCTTAGAAAGCTGGCAGATCCATGTCAATGTCCTCCTAGTTGAAAAGACAATTGATATGTTTGCAGGTTGGGTTCTGTTATGGGCTGAATTGTTCCCCCCAACCCTCTCAAATTCATGTGGTGAAGTCCTAACCCCCAGGACCTCAACGGGCCCTTGTTTGGAGATAAGGTATTACAGAAGCAATCAAGTTAAAATGAGGTCATTAGGGTGGGCCCTAATCCAATATGACTGATGTCCTTACCAAAAGGGGAAATTTGGGCTGGGCACGGTGGTTCATGCCTGTAATCCCAGCACTTTGGAAGGGCGAGGGGGCAGATCACGAGGTCAAGAGATCGAGACCATCCTGGCCAACATGGTGAAACGCCATCTCTACTAAAAATACAAAAATTAGCTGGGTGTGGTGGCGCATGCCTGTAGTCCCAGCTACTCGGGAGACTGAGGCAGGAGAACAGCTTGAACCCAAAAGGTGGAGGTTGCAGTGAGCTGAGATTGTACCACTGCACTCCAGCCTGTGTGACAGAGCAAGACTCTGTCTCAAAAAAAAAAAAAAAAAAAAAAAAAAAGTTGGGGGGGAAATTTGGAGACAGATCTATACACATGGAGACTGCCATGTGAACATAAAGACAGTTCTCTACAAGCCAAGGGGAGAGGCCTGGAGCAAGTCCTTCCTTCACGGCCCTCAGAAGGAACCAATGCTGCGGACGCCTTGATCATGGATTTCCAGCCTGCAGAACTGTAAGCCAATAAGTCGGTGTTGTTTAGGCCACCTCATCAGTGGCACTTTGTTGCGGCAGCTCCAGCACATATATATGTCTCTTTGGCAGCAGGTTCTGAGGCAGAGATGAGTATGTAGGGCTTATTAGGGAGTGCTCTTGGGATAAACTCCCATGGAAGAAAAGGGAAGGGGGCAGATTGGGACAAGGGATAATTTGAGCTGTGATGTAGTCCCAGCAAAGGTCTCAGCTGACTTCATGGGAAGCTCTGGAGCTGGTATGGCGCTTCGTTGTTGGAATATGAGCTTGGGCCTTTATAACTCCCTGCTGATCAGTCACTGGGTGGGGGCTGCCTCTGCCTAGTTTTCATAAGCCTAGACAAATCCCGAAGAGGATTGACAGTTGGGGATTGTATTTTGGGAGCAATTCCAGCTTCTGCGGGATAAATCCTTCAATCCTCATGGGGGATCTCAGTGGCACATCACAGCACCACCATGAATACATGTCACCAGGGGTTGGCTGACTTAGGAAATTTGATAAGCCACCCTTAATTTTCAAAATGGGGTTGAACTTTGTAAGGTGTGGTACTGTTCAGTTCTCTTTTTCTTTCTTACTTTCTAGGTGAAGCAGGTTGTGGCTCCCCCAACACTTCGATCCTGTCCTGGGTGAGAGGTGGGGCATGGGAGGTGTATCAATCATTATCTAGACAGAAAAACAGAAACTACTCTGGATGTTTCAAACAGAAGGAATTAATGGAGAAAGAATGTTACCAAGGTGTTAGATGGGCTGGGGAAGCACACAGAGAGGGAAATGTGCCCCAGAGATCAGGAAGCTGGGGTTTTTCAACCTGGGTTGAAACCTGCAAGCCCACACTGTCTGCTGAGTTTCTAAAGATGCTGCTGCTGTTACCATTGCCACAGTCGGATCTATGCTGTTCTGACTAGGAACCCCGGACACTACATTTTGATGCTGGTGAAACCAGGACTGACACCGCTAAAGCTCAGTGTCACCGATGGAGCTGCCAGAGCCCATAGTTGCTGACCTCGGTACTACTGCTATTGGTGGCTCTACCAGTAGCAGACAAAAAAGCCTTCTTCCTCCTATATTCTAGCCTTCCTCTAGCAAGTGGACTGCAGTACAGAGGAAGGCATGGAAGAATGCATGGATCTGGGACCAGCAGACAATAGTCCACTCTCTTTCAGACTAGCTCTTTGCTCTGTCTCTTCTCAGTGTACTGTCCTGAGAGGGAGGTCACATAGCAATGGCCAGGAAGCCCCTCCCCAAGACTGAGGAGAAACCAGGTCTACTAGCTCTCATCCAATATTCTCTGAACCACATCATGGCATAGCTAAAGCCCTGCCTCCCTTTTTCCTTTCCTTCTGGTTTCTGAGAGGAATACTGGGTCACCACTAAAATGTGGACCACAAAAGGGCCAATAAGATCAACTATGCTACCCAGCCACTTCAGTCAATACCTGTCAAACTGATGTTTCAACTGAATTTCTGGTTGGTTGATTGAATTGGTCAAATAAATGTTCTCTGGACACATGTATTTCTCTGGGACATTGACAAAGTAGCAGCATCTACTTATCATGGATAAAACTTCTTTTATTTATTATCTATTGGCTTTTTACAAATAAAACTTCTTGCATTTATTATCTATTAACTTTTCAGGTGATTTTACATTTTTCCCCATTCTTTCAGCAACCATGGACATATCATAAATCATCCTTCTTTCATCCATTTGTTCTTTCAGAAATTTACTGGGGAATCAGCTATAAACAAGGGTTTGTATTTTGTATAGTGGAAGGAATACAAAGAAGTAAAAGAAATAACCCTACCAAGAAGGAGTTGATAGCTACTAAGAAGGAGTACACTTTTACAAACAAAGTAACTGACCTGCAGAAAGAGAACCTGCAGAAAGTGCTAGAATCAGCCAAGAAAGTGCTAGAATCAGCCAAGACTTCTAATTGGCAAGCCGAAGCCCTCCCCATAAACAACCCCCTACTGGTTGAATACTGAGGTGACACACTCAGTTGCATCAGCTCTAAGATTCAGGTCAATGTCTCTTATTATTTTGAATGGCATCTGATTATAGATTAATACGTGTTTTGTCTAAGGTTACCTTGAAGTGTCTTCGTTTGTCCTCATGGAAGTGACTGAGCATGCTTGATTTTTTTCCATGTTGCTTAGCTTTCAGATACAAATTAAGCAATATATTGTATTCCTTCTGTCTAACCATGTGGTTGGTATAATTTCTCCACAGACAGCTGAATTCAACAGCCTGTGTGTAGTGATTCAACATAAGTAAGGACAAAACGGTAGGTGGTAAAGGTTGTCAGAAGGACACCTGGGCCTTCACTAGGTGCTGCCACTAAAGCCAGGCCATCAGATATGGCAAACCTCAGGGTGCTGCCAAATCTTACAGACCAAATTCTTTTCACCTGGGAATTTTACCCATTCATCAGACCCAATATTTCTCCTAAGTCAGGAGACACGATGAGAATTTTATCAAATCAATTCTGCAGTTAGTAACTTGACTACCATCTAGCATGTTATTCTAGCCATCTATCCATTTCTTCAAATCATAGACTATTTCAGGATATTTCCCCAATCATACTCGGATCTCAAATGATAGGCTGAACTCACTCTGCCTCTTTTGAGTGACCACTGTGCTCAACAGAAGCACTGATGTTACCATGGTTTCCTTAGTGACAGAGATATTACAAAGGGGAGAGTATGGTTGAGGAGGCAAAGCATGAAAGGGAAAAGGGGCCTTGATATTCCTGTGTGCAGAGTGCTAGCCAGACTTCACTGCCTCACACTGGGGACAGTTGTCCAGCTCATGAAAGATTGCTGTCAGGGGATAAAAGCCTCGTTTGGCTCACTTAAGATTTGTGAAGTATGTTCTGTGCATCAGGCATTTTACCATTTTAATTTCCAGAAAAGACAGCTAATTTTTCCTGTGCATCTGGGATGTTCCCCCAGGATAGCAGAGATGAGAAGGCAGTTTTGTGGTGCCACAGTTGTATATGGGCTTAATTTGAAATGATTAGTTTCATTAGCCTTGATATTCTAATTGTATCTCTACATTTCACCATCTTGCATAGAGAATATGCAAAACAAAGGGCTATTGAGCCAGGGTTGGAAGGAGCCCTGATTTCGATTGTTTCTCATTTTCCTTTTGGTTTTCAATAGAAATCAATCCCTAGTGTTCAGTAAGGCCTCCGAGCCATTGGAGCCATTTAGCAGAGCCCTGCTAGGGTGTGCGCTTACCTGGACAGGTTCCTGACTAGTCATCCACTGCTGTCAGGACTTAAGGATGATGCTTATCAAGGTTCTTCTTATGCTGCTAGAGAAACTGCCACCTATTTCTCAGAGATTCTTTCCTGGGTAGAGGTACCTAAATGTTGCCCCAAGTTCCATGGAGTGTGATAGCCACCAGATTTGACTTCAATAATATTCTTCATCTCAGAAGCCGGGGTGACTGGGCAACTTGTAACATTTTGTGTTTGTAAGGTGGTGGGATTTTATAGAATAATGAATCTTCACAGAGCCCTGGGTTGCTAGGGAACCTCGATTTAGTTCCACTTTGGAATGAGGAAAATATGAAAAGAAAAAGAGAAGTAAATTTCTTAGAATTTCCCCACTCATGTTTCAGTGCTGATACAGAATTCCAGAATGACTGAGTATCCTAAGCCCATGTCAGTTATCTCTCAAGGTTGAAAGGAGAAACCCGGCGAAAGGATAGGGCAGTAAAAGAGAACTGAGGTGGCTGTTTGAAAGGGGCCATGTCTCCTCGGAGACACGTGTCTCTCTAGGAGGATCACTATACCGCATTGTTTCTCCATGGCTCTCATGTACTCTTTTGAGACCTTAGTGTGCTGTTTCTAGATCAACAATTTATGATATTTATTGAGCACCTGCAATGTGTCCAGCTTTGTGCTTGGTGATGTGAAGGCAAGAGATGTAAGGACCTGGTTTCTAATCTTCAAAAAAGTCTACACTGTGGTTGAAGTGGTGAGGTTTATTCAACTAAATTAATTTAGAAACTATATCAGATAGATAACATATAGAAGCTTATGCTACCTGTTTGCGGGTCAGAGGTTCCTTTCTTGCCATTGGAAAAGAGAAAGGAGAGAAAACACCAAGTGTCAGAGTCACTGGGAAAGGCTTCTAGAAGGAGGAAAAGCTTAAATTGTGGAAAAGAATAAGAAAGTCTGATAGGTCCCTGATATTTGTGAGCTTCTAATTACACCAATATCATGATAATTTCTTCCACAACAGAAACACAAAGAGAGTTTTTGCCTCCGAAATGACAAGCAGAGAACCACAAGGCAATGTTGAGATGCAGAGGGTGGCAGTTTCCCTCCTAGCAGAGTGACTCACTCATGCCTCCACTCCAGGGTGCAGGGCTTAGATTCATGACAGGTAAGAACAGGCCATAGGCCTTACAGGTGGCTTTCGAATACATGAAACCAGGGATCTACTGTATTTCAAGATGGGGAGATTTAGCATGAGGCACAGAGGTGAGACTGGTGAAGAATCTGTTCCAGCTAGGATGAAAGTTCGTGGAAGGAAGCAACAGGAACAGGGTCTGCTCGTAAAGGGTATTGAGGTTAGACCCGGTGCAATGATTCAAGAGGAATTCTTATATCTTATTGGACAAGCTAAAGATACGGGATAAGGGCTGTTTTAGAAACACTTCAATGGGAGTGGCATAGGAAAGAATTGGAGGGGAAGGAAAAACTAGAATCAAGGAGATGAGTTAGAATGTAGATTTTATGAGAGGATGGAGATTGCACTGGCAGAAAAGAAAGGGCAAGTCAGCAAGATTCTGCAAATAATAGGCTTTGGTGATAAATTTTCATAGACTATGAGGAAGGAGATGAAGAAAAAGGAGGGTAAGAAAAGACGGTCTTAGCGATACTCCACAACTTCCCGATACTCCGTTGTCTAAAGTAGTTTCTCCACTGTGCATGTGTGCTGGGTGATGCTTCACATGCAAAACACTCCGTGGGCCCATGGTTGTAGTTCTCTTTTTTGAAAAATTACAAACATTTAAAATTGTGGTAAAATGTACATAGCATTAAATTGATCATATTAGCCATTTTTGAGTTATACAGTGCGGTAGTGTCAAATACATTCATATTGTTGTGTAGCCAGTCTCCAGAACCGTTTTCATCTTGCAAAACAGAAACTCGGTACCCATTAAACAACAACTTCACATTATCAACCACCCCTCTCCTTTCTGTCTGTAACTCTCATACAGTATTTTTCCTTTTATGACTGGCTTATCTTACTTAACATCATGTCCTCAAGCTTCATCCATATTGTTGTGTGTGTCAGAATTTCCTCCTTTTTTAAGGCCGAATAATATTCTGTTGTACATATGTACCACATTTTGTTTATTCATTCATCCACGGGTGGACATTTGGGTTACTTCCACCAATTGGCTATTGTGAATAATACTGCTATAAATGTGGGTGTTCAAATATTTCTTCAAGACCTTGCTTTCAATTCTTTTGGGTATATACCCAGAAATGGAATTGTTACATCATATGGTGATTCTATTTTCAATTTTTTGAGGAGCCACCATATTGCTTTTCAGAGTGGCTGCAGCATTTAACATTCCCACCAGCAGTGCACAGGCATTTCGAATTTCTCCATATTCTCACTTTATTTTCTGTTTTGTTGTTTTTCGTATTTTTTGCTTGTTGTTGTAGTCATCCTGATAGTTGTGAGGTGGCCCGTGGTTGGATTTTGAAGGTATGTCATTCCACTCACTGGGTGTAATTCTGTCTCTTTTTCTGTCATTTAAGAAAACACACTGGAATACATGAGTTTATGAATGACTTTGAAATGGTGAGAATATTGAGTCAGCTCTAGTTTGTCTTTTGTAATGGAACTCATTCTGACACCTTGGTATTCTATCATGAGTAACAACTTATTTGTGACACTCCCTATGACTTACTGAGACTCATCAGTGAGTCCTGACGTCACAGTTGAGAACCACTCCTCACTGAATTGAGTTTACAATACAAAATATTTCTTCATAAACACCCAATGAAAACAGCACGTTCCCCCCGGAATCAGTGCTACCAAAAGTAAGGAAAAAGCAAAAGTAAAAAGGAAAGCCAGTCATGTAACAAGATTTTATTTCCTCCCAAGTGGCTTTATCAGAGACACTTATCAGAAACAATGCCTCTCTCCATTTACAGAAACTCTGAAATCCAAGGTTTGAAACCTGAGGCCGAAGTACCTATCACTCCTCTCTTAGGTAGATGGTTAGTGGTTCCCACCTGTCCGACTTGGTCATGTGGCAGCATCTAGAAAGGCAAAGCTATAACAATGAACAAGAGTGTTTTCTTTTTTTTTTTCTGAGGTTTCATTTACACCAACAGGCTTTGTTCAGTTTAAGGAAAAAAAAAATTTTTCCAGCAAGGAACTTACATCTGTAGAACTGCTGTAGACACTTAATAAGTAATCTAAGTACACAGTAGCTTCTAAGGCCCCTCAAAGATGATGAAAAGCTGAGGATGCCAAATGCTATACCCCTAGACTACTGTGGAATAGAAAAAAGATAGATCTTTGGCCAGAGATTCTGGTGGCAACTTTCTCCCAGCAATTTCTCCTCAAGGCCAGGGGGAAGAAAAAAATATACATAGAGGGTGTGATATCAGAAAGGCCAAGAAAAATACCCCAGTGTATTTTGTGTCTGGATGATTCCTGATATTGTTCTACTTGAGTGCTTTATCCCTAGTCAACAACTCTTTAAGTAGTTACAATAGAGTGGGTTTTTTTTTTTTTTTTGTCTTCAGCTCCAGTTTGAGTGTTTTGTTTTATTAAGAGACCAGAGTC
The DNA here is from genome assembly GCF_000001405.40 of Homo sapiens. Classification (NCBI taxonomy): domain Eukaryota; kingdom Metazoa; phylum Chordata; class Mammalia; order Primates; family Hominidae; genus Homo; species Homo sapiens. Next base: position 74,318,272 of record NC_000005.10, on the reverse strand, counting down.
TCGCTATGTTGCCCAGGCTTGAGTGCAGTGGTTATTCATAGGCACAATCCTGTTACTGATCAGCATAGAAGTTTTGACCTGCTCCATTTTCGACCGTGACCAGTTCACCCATCTTTAGGCAACCTCGTGGTCCCTTGCTCCCAGGAGGTCACCATATTGATGCCAAACTGAGTGCGGACAGCCGATCCACATAGTGCACTACAGCCCAGAACTCTAGGGCTCAAGCGATCCTCCTGCCTTAGCCTCCTGAATAGCTGGGATTACAGGCACATGCTATCACATCTGGCTCTAGTTTAAGTCTTTAAAAAAGACTGAAGGACACTTAGAAACTCAAGGCTGAGGCTTTTTAAGCAGCAGTGGGGCTATGAGATAATGATATCCTTAGGAGACCTTTCCTCCACCTACTCAATGCTCAGAACCAACTGAAGAACAAAGGAAAGTCAGAGGTTCTAAGCCAGGGATTTCTCTGAGACTCCTGCTCATTCTTGCGCATGGTGGAGCATCATTAATTATCCAGCCCTCTCACACTTAGAGGTTGCTTTCCTAAAACCTGCTTGAAATTTGTCTCCACCCATTTCTTTCTTTTTTTAAACTTGTAACTTTGCTTTTGGGAAACTATTACTGAGAGTAACTATGAACACACACTAGTGGGTAGTGGTAAAGAGGGCTGGGTTCAGGGTCAGACCACCTGTGTTCAAATCTTGGGTGCCCCACTTACTAGCTGTGCGACCTTGGGCAAGCTGTTTGCCCTCTCTGGGCCCAGGTTTCACAACTATAGTTGGGGAGAGTGATATTGCCTTATCAGAGAGTTGCTGTGAACATTAAGGGGATTAAAACATGGGATGCGCTCAGAAGAGTGCCTACATATAGTATGCACCATATAAATATCAGTCATTATCGCCATCCTGGGCTCCGAGTTCCAGTTCCTCTGCCCAGCTCACAGAGGAGAACATTCAAAACCCAATTGTTTCTTCTATACTCAACTCGCACTTCAGATTCTGTTGTGGGCAAAGTCTGAAGGTATTTTTGTTCCAAAATCACTCAAAATATTTTCTCTCTGACTATGAAGTGACCTTGCTTTCCCCTGCTCTTGAGTTAGTCTCCTTTTTCCTTTTTTCTCTGTTCCTTTTTCTGTTGCCTCTCTTTCCTTTTTTTGGATTTTTGTCCTCATATCAGAAGATATTGCAACCTTCCATACCCCAGTATTCTGGAGGGAACAGAGGTTCCCCTCCCATGCAGATGCTCTCCTCCTTTACTTGAAAATCATAGAAATTGTTTTTCACTTAATTCTTTTTAGATTCACTGTTTTACTCTGTTTTGATTTTTTTCTTTCCAGGTCTGGCTTGCTGCTCACAACTAAAACACCTTACACACATGTACACACATCTATTTTATCCTTGTATGGAAATGAGAGCAATCGTGAGGGTGTCAGGGAATATTCCAGGATCTCTAGAGAATATTCCTAGAGTAGGTTTTGAAAGCAGAAAGGAGAAGATGTGATGGGTGGTATAGTGGTGAGGCCAGAGGGGAAGACAGGCTTGGAGGCCATGGCAAATGCCCTTGTGCCAGACAAGGGTAAACATGTGGCCCCAGGTGAGAGCCCAAGGCAGCCATGATGGCCCAAGGAGGTCTGGTGAGGGAAGGAGACTTGTGGCTCTTTCTGAGGGAGCTTTAAGGAGCAGCACTATCTCTGACATAATCTCACAGAACTTCTAGCACCTTCCTTACCCCTCCCTGCACTGCCTCCTCGCTTTCTGTTACTCACCCCAGGGTTATTCAGGCTCTGAATTCCCTTCCAGCACCTCTCTCACTGCCCACAGGCTGGTGCCATGGCAACTGTCCTCACAGATATGCACAGATGGCCAGATAAGGCCTGGTGGCAACAGCCTGAAGCGTGTGTAACAGGACCTCACCATGGCAGCCACTTCTACTACACTCTGGGGCCCATTCCCTATGAAGACTCCAATCAGGGGGAAGACTGGCCTGTCAAGCTAAGGGCAGCTGAGACATGGTGCCTGAGAACCCTGGGAGGAGGCTCATCTCCCCACCTCACTGCTGAGGAGGGAACGAGAGACAGGGAAGGTTCTGTGGGGATTTCCAGGCTGGGTCAGTGCAGAAACATTCCCATGAGTCAGCCCCCTGGTTGCAGGGAAATGAGCCATTCAGTAGCTCTGTTACAAGTGATCCTTGCTGTGAAATGGTGCTTATACTGCCCGTGTAACTGGGAGACAATGCACACACATTTGCACAGTCTTCTTTAAAATAGAGCAGGCTAGGGTTTGTTCTTATTATCAATTTGCAATAAATTTAGCTCTGTCATTCAGTTGACCAGACGGCTTCTTTTCATCCATTTTCTCTCTCTCCTACCCTTTGCTCTGATTTTTAAGAACTGAGGACATTAGATTCCATATTTCTACCCTCAGAATGTAAGGTGGCACTTGAAATACTAGATTCATGGAGGCATTCTTAAAGCTTCAACTCTAAGTACATAAGTAATAAAAACGATTATTTTTATATTGAAATATGTGGACTTATGGGCAAAAATGAAAGATTATCACAAGCATGAGACTTTGAAGAAGCCATTCACTTGTTGAAGGCATTTGGGCTCACCCTTCAAGTGATGTATTGGCTCCCTCTGCCCTTGAGAGATTTTGGTGGAAAAGTTTGAGAACTGCCCTATGACTTGGTGACCCTTGGTGACCTTTGACTGTCTCTATACCAATTCTTGGAAGAGCAGTGATTTCTTGTGGACCACATGCCTCGCAAAATTGGGAGATATGGATTTGGGGAAAGGCTGAGCAGATTCTAACCTGGCAAAATTTCAGATACATAGTTATGTAATCATAATTATTCCCACTATAGTGGGCCATATTGATTAGCTGCAATAAGAGAAATATAGGTGACCAGAGGTGGTGATGAGATCAGCTTGTCTTCACGTTGAGGACTAATATTCTTCAATATGGTTCTTTTCATATTCTAATTCTCTGCATTAACCAGACCATATATGTTCATAATCAAAAAAGTGTATTAATTTATGATTGTATTCTCCCTGAATTTAACTATCTCATACCTAGAACTTTCTAAGGTGTGGTAAAATTGTTTACTTTGATCATTATCTCTTTCCCAAGAGGCCAAGTAGGAAAGTCAGCACTGGGTTGACCAGAGAGCTGGTAACACTGGATGGTTCACATACCATTTGCATGTTTCTTATTTGGTAGGCTCCAGGTACTTCTTTTGACCACTTTACTAGCCATGGGTTATGCACTGAGGTTGAGTTGTAGATTTTCACATGCAGAGGAAGAAATAAATGCTCCTGCTGTCCTTGGGCTCCCAGTGACTGGGAAGAATGGCAGGTACCTTATTAAGAAGTTGGGCAAATGCTGACACATTCACATTTTGTGTAGGTAGGAATATTGCACACATGTTTGTGTGGCTACAGTTCACAGACACAGTGTCAGCTTCTTCCTGGTTCTGATGGTTGGGCAAAGCTACAGTCCTGGGGAGGGGGCTCTGAGATAGTCAATAGATGTATATTTAGCTTCCAATTTTAAAATCATTACTATTTCTTTTAGCTAGGCTAAGAAATTTAACTTCTTGACATATCAGTTTGCATAATGGAGAGATATGATATCCATCTCAAGAGACAATTGTTGAGATAATGCATGTGCATGAACTAAGCACAGGGTCTGGTATGTAGTAGGTGCTCAATAAATGATAGATGTGCCAGAAGTTCTAAAACCTCCAAGGTATGTAGCGTCAAGGTAATAATAATATTCCCTCCCTCCCTAAACAAACATCAAAAGACCCCAAAACTAAAAATTCCAGCCAAGCAGAAGGCTGAATGCCAGCATATTCTGGAGACAGGGGAGAGCATCCTCTGTGCAGATACCATGTCACTAGTCATCCCTGTGTGCTAAGCCAATGAGACACAAGGATGAGTTATTAGCATAATCTCACTTTGAAACTTCTGCTCACAGAGAATAGCACTATCTTCAAGATGGTAAATAAGCTCAAAGGGATTTAATTTACCAAATGAAATGTGGATAATACTGTTTTATCTTTCAGAGAAGACATGTTGCTGCCTTTATAACCTCAGTAATGAGGCTATTACCATCTTAGAGCGACTCGCTCCTGAGTTCTGATTGAGTTCTGAGGGAGCAGTAGGCCACACATCTGCTGATTCATCTGCAGAAGTCATGCCCTCCGTTTAGCCATCTCGGGCAACTCCCTCAGTTGTGCATTGCTGTCTCAGGCGGAAGGAAAAGGCAGAGAGGAAGGGGACTGAGGGGAGGGTAATGGGATGCTGGGCTCACTGCTGTATTTTGTAAAACCATTATTATTCTTCATTGCCATGAGAGTGTCCTCATTTCTACACAATATTTTATACTCAATTAATTCCTGGATGTATCATCAGAGACTAATGTGTTTTGTGTGTATACTGACTAACCTGGGATGTGTTTTATGTTGTTATCTGTTTATATCATATTCTTTCAGCCAGCAGTAACATATTAATTGCTCATTTGGAGAATAGAATGGCTATACTGGAACCATCTTTCTTTGCTTAATTTAGTTCCTCTGTTCTTATTGAAAATGCCATTGGCAATGGGGATCAAGAGCCAAGGATTCTACTGTGATGTATTTGTGTATGTTAGATATTGAGTTATTTATTCATCTTCAAGTTCCTAGTTCTGTTGATAAAATAGGTGTCGACAAAAAAAGTCAAACTCTGTAAAATATTTGAGGAGATTTATTCTGAGCCAAATGTAAGTGACCAATGGCCTGTGACACAGCCCCAGGAGATCCTGAGAATATGTGTCCAAAGGTGGTTGGGCTACAGCTTGGTTTTATACATTTTAGGGAGACATAAGACATCAAATCAATACATGTAGGATGTACATTGGTTTGGTCTGGAAAGGCGGGAGAACTGGAAGTGGAGGGCAGGGGGATTGGGAGTTGAGGTGGTGGTGTTTCCAGGTCATAGATGGATTCAAAGATTTTTTTTTTTTCTGAGACAGAGGCTTGCTCTGTCACCCAGGCTGGAATGCAGTGGCACAATCTCAGCTCACTGCAACCTCCATCTCCTGGGTTCAGGCAATTCTCTGGTTTCAGCCTCCTGGGTAACAGGGACTACAGGTGCACTCCACCACACCCGGCTAATTTTTTGTAGTTTTAGCAGAGATGGGGTTTTGTAGTGTTGCCCAGGCTTGCCTTGAACTCCTGAGCTCAGGCAACCTGCCTGCCTTGGCTTCCCAAAGTGTTAGGATTACAGGCATGAGCCACCATGCCTGGCCAGATTCAAAGATTTTTTCATAGGCAATTGGTTGAAAGAGTTATTATCTAAGGACCTGGAATGTCTGGTTTATAGAAAGAATGTCTGGGTTACGAAGAGGTTCTGAAGACCAAGGTTTTGTCATGCAGAGGAAGCCTCCAGCAGCAGGCTTCAGAGAGAATAGATTGTAAATATTACTTATCAGGCTTAAGAGTCTGTTCTATCAATCTTAAGGTCTCTGTATTGATGTTAAAGCTGGTCAGCTGTGCTTGAATTCCAACAGGAAGGAAGGTATAATGAGGCATGTCCAGCTCCCTCTTCCCATCATGGCCTGAGCTAGTTTTTAGGTAAAATTTGGAATGCCCCCGGCTGAGAGGATGGGTCCCTTCAGATGGTTGAGGAACTTAGAATTTTAGTTTTGGTTTATATTCACAGGATTGAGAAATGATTATCAGAAGCCCAGAATCTGTGAGCTCCTCTGATGTAGAGAGGCACTGTGGCTGTGTAAAACATCACGATAGGGACCCATGTCCCCAAGTCCTGATTGATTCAGATGGCATCCGGTTTTTTTAGTCCTTACTTGGTTTCACTGCCTAGTAATGTAAGATTTCATAGGTTTGATAAATTCCTATTAGACAGTCATTGATTGCATGAGGCAAATAACTGGGTCAGAGATCTGTTGTGGGTTTTGAGCTCTCCCTGGAGGGTTAATGGGCCTGCCTGTTGAGGACAGGACATTCTTCCACATCCCTTGGCCACAGTCCCCTCACTGTCTTCCTGGCGGACCTCTGCAAGAGCTGTTGGAAGGATTGAACTGACAGACATCAGAGGTTTGCAGAGGCCAAATAGCCTTCTTTCCAACAGTGATTTGGTAATAGGCTTCTGCTCTTTTGTTTCTTGCTCAATTGCTAAAGTTTTGGGTACAGTTCTTGAAGGATTCATAGGTGCCTGAAAAGCCAATACATTCTTCCACATTGCCCTGTGCTTAGTGGTTATGCTTTTCCTCTTTATCAGCAGGAGTTAGAAAACAAGCAGATTTTCCCTCTGAGATTCTCAGTATTGTTCTGGGTTCTATTAAAATGCTGGGTTAGTTTTCAGAGGGATTGCTTCATCCTTTGAGCAATTAGTACCTTTTAAAAATTCTGACATCTTTCAGACCCTGTCCTGCAGACCCCACTAAAGTGCTTTTGTCAGAACAGTTTTAGCAGTCCTAGATCATGTTTTGCCAGCTGCTCCAGCCAGCGGTACAGAGAAAACACTTAAGCATATGGTTCAGATGCTTGCATTTTTATCTGGGTAAAATCTGTGTGAAAAGGCCCCAGAGTTTAAAAAGCCAATCAGTGTATATGATGTCAGAATGCTCACTGTTTGTCTCATTTTCTTAACATCCTGGTGTGATCTTCTAGGTGTGTCTAATTGTTCCAAAGGCACAGCTGTGTGGATTTGATTTCCCTACAAAAAAAAAAAAAAAAAAAAAAAAAAAGCCATATCCTCCAATGTCAGGGAACAGTCTATGACTTCCCTTCTGGTTCTCACCTTGGAATTTCTATGAAGCCCCCAGACTTCAAACTCTTTTGGCGGCAAAGTAGAAAGCATTTTTCCTTCAGCCTTAAAGGCTGACTTTTGATACCTTTGAACTTATCCTGAAGAACAAGGACCATTCAGAATTGATCTCATCACTCGGACTTTTAAGCATGTTCATAGCTCAGCGCTAAAAGGAAAAAAAACGGAGGGAGAAGAAAGGAAATCTTCACTGATCTTTCCTTTGTACATACTTGTGTGACCCTTTCATGCAGGCTTTTGTGGGGGCGTTGCAGCAAAAGATTGTTTTGCCTCAGAGAACAATTCTTTTGAGACACAACAGACTTATTTTCCTGGAGCTGAAATGAGTAGTTCAGCATTGACGTTTAAGGCACCCTCTGAGTCTGATCCTGGGGAAGCGGGAAGCTACTATTTGTAGTTGGAAAAAATATCAACCTCAGATGAAGCAAATCATAGACTCTACTGTTTCCTCAAGTTACTCAAGGTCAATAATGTCAAAGATACTCGCTAAGCAGTGGGCATATTCCTCTAGGTAACGTTCTGACACGATCCATTATTCAAGTCAGGCAACAAAGCTGCCAAAATCCAGAGAGGACAGACATTTGTGATGAACTTTCATCCTGAGAACTACCTTCTTGAATGAGTAGGCTATGGCCTCTCCCCATTACCTCTTTGTCCTCTATGGAAAGGATCAAAGTGTCTGAGACTGGAGTGCCTGCTCTGTGCCTAGATTGGAAAACTAGGCTGGTTTGATTTACCTACAGAAAAAGCCTGTGGCTAGAAACCAACTTTTCCCACAGCTGCCCGGTCCAGCTCCACCTCTCCTTGGGAAGGCGTCTCTCCTTGATTTGGAGATTTCCTGCAACACACTATCCTGACAGGTGACTCAGCTGCCAAACTTCCCTTCCTGGACCAATTGCACTGCTGTTGAAGCACTTATAAAGTATATGACCTAGTCTCAATTATTAGTACTCACAGAAGAGAGCAATGATGTAAAGCAAAAAACAGACCCAGCTAGCAGTCACTTCCCAGAACATGTGCTTTTGAATTGCTATGTTTTCTACTGCCGGGGTATGAGCTTTCCTAACACCAGCATAAATATCACCCACACAGCCATTTCTTATGTTTTTTATTAGATATTGTTTTTGCAGTTGATAGGAGTCAAAGAAGGTCCTTATAAAGCTTTGTCTCAGGGAGTCTGTGTCAGTAATAAGTGACAGGAAACTCAAAAAGGCTTAAGCAGAAAAGGGAATGTATTAATGAAAGGTATTCAGGGCTTCAGAATGATAGATTTGGGGGCTTAGGTTAGTTAATCACAACTGTTATTATCATCATATTTTGACTTGGTCATTTTTTTTTTGTAAGCTTAAAAGTGTCAACTCCATGTGACAGCAAGATAGTTCTTAGTTTCAAATCCAGCAAGCAATAAGAGTGACTCTTTCCCTCACAAACACCTCAGAAGAAAACTCTAAGGTATCTCATTGTCCCTGTTGGGTTAAATGTCCTTTCTAAGCCAGTTATTGAAAAATGTAATAATCATGTTGGGTGGTCTGAATCACATGTCACAATGAGCTTGTGTTATGGTCATCTCCCTGGAACCATGTAGACTGAAAATAGGAGATGAATGGATTTCTAAATGAAGATGGGGACTGTTTCCACAAGAAGTGGAAGTAGAAACTGGGTGTGACTAAGAGTACACATGTTCACTTTAGGCACAGATACAGCTAAGCAACCATACCTTCTCTAATGGTGCCAACTTCATAGCAGGCTATATCTGCCATGACTTAGTAAAAGGGGAAGAGAGGAAGATGTGTAGAGATGAATAAAACAGAATCTTTGCCTTTGAGAATGTTGGGGCCCAGAAAGTGATGCCCCAAAGACTGTTGCTGTGATGTGCTGAGGAGCCCTAGAAGCTGCCTAAGAATGAAGGTTCCTCTACCTTTGTCTTGTCTCTTAAGCACAAGGAAGGACTCTTCCTGGAATTTCTTTATGTGACCAAGAAAGCTCCTTTCCAAAATAAATGCAATTATCTTAAATGCTTTCCTTAGGGACCTCATCAAATAACCAGGAAAGATTAATCACCTGAGAAGAGAAGAGACTGGGAATCTTCACCCTGCCCAGACAGACTTTTCATCTATTCTCCTGAGAGCAGCTCCAAGAGATTACCTGTGGGACTCAATTTGCATAATAAGATGACCTTTGTTCCTGTGCAGTTCCACCCCTCACCTTCCCATAATGTCTGCCTCCCACCTCCCAGGTGCATTATTTTTCCCTAATTACTTACTGCTCCTTAAAAGAAATGTCTACACTTCCCATCTCCTTCCTCCCCTATGGAAAAGGGCATATCACTTCTATCATTCTCCTGTGATCCCCTGTGCTATGCACATTACAATAAAATTTTGTGTGCCTTTTCTCCTATTAACCTTTTTGTCAGCTGAGTTTTCAGCAAAACCTCAGAGGGCAAAGGGGTAGTTTCACTTTGGTCCCTACAAGAAACTCCACATTGTAAGTTTTGCTTTGGCTGGAGATTGCAAATTCATGGTTCAAGTGCCAACACATCTTGTCTTGTGCTCATAGCAGACTCACTAATAGGCCTTTCCTGATGAATCTGGATATAGCTTTAGAATTCTTTGCATCACTGCAATCCAGGCAGCTGGTACAAATCAACGGAGATTGGCATATAAGATACTTATTTTTCAACCTGTGTTAGATTGATGTTAGTATGTTGGACCAAGTGAACATTTATTTTCAGTGTGGTTGGGTAAAGTAGGTTGGGTGTGAGCTGGAGGAAGAAGAGAGCTGGTTGGCAACAGACCACAGATCACTAGTCATAAGGTAAAGCCTGGATCTGTATGAGGATAATTGCTAGTTGACTGTATTTCACAATTTGCGGATATCTAGCTTCTTACAAATAGGTCAATGAACATATCACATTCATTTATTTTCAAAACACTTGAATATTTAAATTAATACTAGATGAAAATAACAGTGAGTAATCAAGCCCACATTTTTAAAAACAATTTTATTGAGTAAGATCTGTGTGGGGTAGGGGGAAGAAAATTCTTATTTCACATTACTACAGCATAACTAATCTAGCTGTCTATTCTCTATGTTTAGAAATCATACTCAGTTGGTTTAATGGTAGAGTTAAAGGCCAAATCTGCCATATAGTTAAAGGCCAAATCTGCCGTGAAGCCAGGAGAAAGGATCCAGCATACAAACCATGACAGAATACACACACATTTTGGAGATGCATGCTTTCTCAAAGCTCTGAGGACCATCATGAAGACATATTAACTGAAAGAATACAAAGCGATGTGAATAGTTCCTAACTATTGGAGGTAAACATTTCTAAAATTATTTGGACAAAAAGTTAATACATTGTACAAGTTACTCTTAAATGCTTTGTGAGATACAAAGAGGATAGGCTTGCCCCTTTTAAAAGAAGAGGTAAACAATCAAGTTGGAGAGACAAGATTTACAAATATGAAAACTTAAATAACAATAAAGCACTTAATAGTAGCAAGCAATAATGGAAAAGATGTCAGTAGGCAGTAAGTGGTTAATTACCAAATGTATTATCTGAATACGAATTGTGGAAACTTTTTTGAAAGGAGCGATTAGTTCAACTTAGAGAATGAGGAACATCATTACTAAAGAAGTGAGATCTGACCTTGGTCCCATTTGGGAGTTAGGATTAGGTTAGGAAGGCAGTTTTGGTGGGGAAAGTAGTCTAAGAAAAAGGAAGATGAATGGAAGGATAAAAGTATATTTGGAAGAGAGTAAGGAAATAAGTTTATCTGGAGTTGTTATTTTATGTAGACAAGTTGAGGGAAGGGGAGGTAGTAAAAGTATATTGAGGCCCATTATGGAGGCTCTTGAACTCTGAGCTGAAGGTTTTAGATACAGTCCAGTAAGCAATGAGGAGTCCTGGAAGGCTTCTGATTGGCAGAGTGGCATGGTCTGACAGTGTTTTGGGGAGAGGTAGTTTGACATAGATGTGGGGTATAGAATGGAGGTAACTGATGTTGAAATTGAGGAAACCATTAAGGAGCCTTTTCAGCAATCCTAGGAAAGGTAAAAGAGTCCGATTTAGCTTGTTGTCAGTAGGAATATAACCAGCACTGTGAAATAAGAATCAACAAGGCTTGGTCACTATCTTAGTCTATTTTGTGTTGCTATAGAGGAATACCTGAGGCTGGGTAATTTATAAAGGAAAAGAGTTTATTTAGCTCATTGTTTTGCAGACTATACAAGAAGCATGACACCAAACTGTGGTTGTCTTCTGGTGAAGATCTCAGAAGTTTCCACTCATGGCAAAAGGTGAAGGGGAGCCAGCTCCTGTAAAGATTACATGGCAAGAGGAAGTGAGAGGGAGAGAGGAGGTGCCAGCTCCTTTTTAACAACCAATTCTTGTGGAAACTAATAGAGTGGAAACTCATTCACCACCCCCAACCCCCGCCAACCCCAGGGAAGGCATTAATCTATTCATGAGGGATCCACCCCTATGACTGAAACACCTCTCATTATGCCTCACCTCCTAACACTGCTACACTGGGAATGAAATTTAATCATGAGGGTTGGTGGGGACAAACGAACCATATCCAAACTCTAGTGGTCACTACTTAGATACTTTCCATAGAGGAAAGGGAAGATATAAAGTTGAGATTTCAGTCCTAAAAGACTGGAATAATGGAGGAATCTGTAGAGAAAGACAGTTTTGAGCTCAGATGAGAAACTTATACCTAGAGATGTTGAGGTATTGGTGAAGGTTCAGTGATCAAGTAAAATGTTCATTGCTTTGCTGTGTTGATTGCCAATGAGGTTTTGGGTGGAGTTTCAGGAGTCATCTGCATGGAGGAGATGTTGGAAATAAGAGGAGAGGGTATATCCTAGGAAAGCCAGAGCCAAGGATTGAACTAAATAATTTCTCATTTTTAAAAGGTAGATAAAGAAGGAGCTAATGAAGAAAAAGAAACAAGCTGTCAAGCGGTGGGAAGGGAACCAGGAAAACACAGCATCATGTCAGACAATAAAATAGTGTAATTTCAAGAATGAACAGTGGCCAATAGCCCATTGGCTGCAGAAGAATCAAAGAGCAGGAGAAACAGGAAAAGGCCTTTAACTTTGTGATTAGGATGTCAAAGGTGACCTTCCAGGCATTAGAACATATCAACTGAAAGAAAGTGAATGTGATCTAGAGAGAGAATTCTACAATATGACCCAATTAGCTTAATGGCTCAAATCACTAAAATCATACAGATTCTTGGTAAATCTTAAGCTGATAAATGTTACTACTATCAGAGATCATGGAAGGGAATGCTAATACCTCAGGAAAACAACAGATTACGCGTCCGTGTAATTTATACCATATGCATAGTCTTTGTTTCAACGATGTTGGTAATATTAATGCAACGCTGATAAAAGTAAACACCCTCTATATTCTAGGCACTGTACTTAGCACTTTAACACATTTGGTTCACAGCACAATTCTGTGTTTTGGAGTTGAGGAAACTGAGTTTTGGAAAGTTAAATATTGCTTCTGAGATTATATAGCCAGTAAACAACGGAGTTAGTATTCAAACCAACATCAACCTGACTCCAAAGCCCATGTATTGTCTACTGCACCAGGTGGAATAGCTTTACAAAATGAGCACTTGACATGAGAAAAATCCCTCACCTCTAGGACTTCCTGTTTAATGCCAAACTCTGTTGATAATGAGAAGGACTCCTCCTCAATGAAAAGACAGTTTCTTTTATAACATGAACATTTGTCTTCATTTGTGAATTTGATCATATTAGATTTAATCATCCACACTGGCCATCTGGCACTCACCTTAAATGTCTTGTTGTCTTGTTAAAACTTTTAGAATTATGGAAAATTTCAAAACTACGTAAATTAGAAAGAAGAGTATTATAAATCCCCATGTACCTATGCTCCAGCTTCAATATTGATTGATCAATATCTGATCAATCTTATTTCATTTGCCAGACCACTTCCATCCCCTTCACCACTTACATTCTTGGAAGGGGCAGTGGGCTGGTTAACTTTTCCTGTGTCTCACTGAGTGTCAACCTGTTTCTTTCTAGCACAAAGCATTTTGTCTAATATAAATTTGTGAGGAGTTTGGTGAACCAGAGATTTGAGGAAGAAAAAAATATTTTTTATCTTTGGAAACAATTTTTAGGTGTTAAAAGAAAAACCTTAGACAAATTCGATTTGATAGAGTTTAATTGAACAAAGAACGATTTGTGAATTGTGCAGCCCCCAAACCGGAACAGGTTCAGAGAGACTCCAGCACTGCCACATGGTCTAAGAAAATTTGTGGACAGAAAATGGAAGCAAGGTACAGAAACAGCTGGACTTGTTACAGCCCGGTGTTTGTCTTGTTTGAACGTGGTTTGAACACTTGGCCACATGTGATTGGCCGAAACTCAATGATTTGTACAAAAGTCGTTTACAGCCTGTTTATACATCCAGTTAGGTTTCAGTTCACTATCTATGGAGAAATCTTTAGGCCAAACTTAAAATATGTAAGGGGGCAGGTTTAGGTCAAACTTAATTTAACATAGGGTACTTGTTTATAACTACTACAAAATAAATTGGTAAATATACCCTATTCCTAGGCTTTCTCTAGCTAAAACTCAGGAGATCCTGAGCTTAAGAAGACATGTGCATGTGGTATGAAGTGCCTCTTGGGAATCCCTCTGCTGAGGGCAGACAGCCATCTAGTCTTTTCTGTTAGGCCAGGCAGGCATCTGTGATAGGCATGTTAGTGCTGACAGTCACTAAAATCAGAAATGAAGTGTGGAAAATGAGCAGGAACCAACAGTCTGGTCTCTGTGGGAGGTCGGAGTCAGAGTGAATTGACCTCTGCTCTGCCTCCTTTCCTCTTTCTCCACTGGAGGTGTCCAAAGCCTTAAAGAGAGATCTGCTCACAGGGGGTCACCAAAAGGAACCCACGACAGTGGCCATTGCTAAGGTCTTTAGCAGAGCCACAAATACCTGGGTCTGCATCACAGGAAAGTTTTAACTTATGCTTCTTGCAAAGTTTTGTGCTCCAGATTAAAAGAGGGTGAAGTTCTTAATTGGTCATCTTCATTTGCAATGTTTCTTCTTTTACTTTTTATGGAGGCATAATATACATACAGACAAGTGTATATGTCATAGGTATACAGCTCCATGAAGTTTCAAACTGAACATACCAGTTCAGTTTCAAACTGAACATAACCTGTGCACCCAGGTTAGGAGACAGAACATTAGTGCACCTAGGTATGCAACTGTGCTTCCGTCCAGTTGGGACCCCTCCCAGCAGTAACTACTCTCCTGATTTCCTTACAGCATGGATTACTAACAATGGATCTTACAATAAAAGTTAGAGATAGTTCTTAGAGAAATCCTTTCCTTTTAGGTCCTCTCCTTCTTGTTATATTTTTAATATCTTTTTAAAAATAAGCCAACAATCCCAGTGGTATGGGAAGTACCTAGGTAAGAGGCAAAAGCCATCTGTCAAGAGCAGTACCACCATCTCTTCCTGAGTCCACTGTGGGTTTTGACCTTAGTCATTGCCTTTCTATCTTGACTAGCTCCATGAAAACTCCTTGGAATTGATTGTCTTAACTAAAAGCTAAGAACTTGTTGCCAATGCATTGCAACACTCCCATAGCACATGTTGCAATTATTGAATCCTCCATAAATATCCATAAATAATGCAAGAAGGGGCAACTTGGTGGGTTGAGCTGCTGTGTGATGACAACTCCCGGAAGAAAGTTGTGCTTGCAAACATCCTTGAGTCCTCCGTCCGTAGATACATAGCCAGCTTCTGTGAGGCTCAGGTTTCTACTCAAAAAGAGACACAGGCAGGGTAGAAACTTGGGTCTCTTAACCATCTGACTCTCCTCAGTCTGGTTTCAAAGGGAAAGTCAGGAAGGAGAAGAGGTAAAGAGCAAGGGCTTTGGAGTCAGACAGTCGCTGGCTTCAGCCATGCCTTTACCATGGGTACCTTAAAAAATTTTTTTAAACTCAATTTCTGTGCCTGCAAATTTAGGATAATAGTATGAAACTCATATGTGACAATGTATGTGAAGTGCTAGGCAAATTATGTGCTACCTGGTAAATACTCAATAAACATGAGATCTTACAATTTTTGAAGAGTTGTTTTCCCAGAAAAAGAACAAAGGCATTTTAGATTGACAGAATGACACAAAACTTGACTAATTTTTAAATACTTAAATCAATGAATCTGGACTTAATTAGACAATTTTGATCCACTCAAACCTCTTGGTTTTGTCTATAGGACCAAAATGGCATCTTCTGGCCTTGGCACCTCAGAGACACTGCTCCTCGCACAGAGTGGCAGGACAAGAGGACTTCATCCTGCCATGGGTCCAGATTTTGTGGGAGGGGACAAAATAAAGCTTTGACAGGAGTTATGAGGAAGAAAATAATCATCTTAAAGCTCATAATGAGATAAGGGAAAACTGGAATACTTTCCCCCTTAGTCTATTTTAGAAGAAAATAAAGTGCTTTCTAACACCCTTTAACAACAGAATAGTGGAAGCTGAAGTACTTTTGGCCACAAAAGTTGGATGTACTATGGTTCTCTAATGATTTCTGTGGCTATCATGTTGCCCCCTTCACCCAACCTCAACACTGTTGCCTCTCCTCAGCTTGTACTACTTGTACAAAATTGGGGAGGATTCCTGAACTCTTTACGTTTTAGTTTTCTCCTGAATCAAGCAGGGCTATCAACAGTACCTCATTCACATGGCTATTGTGAAGAATAAATAAGATAATGTATGTAAATGGCTCAATACAGAGCCTGATACTTAGTAAGCACTCAAGAAATAATTGCTGCTGCAATTGTTATCAATCACCATCATCATCACCATCATCATCAAATTCTGAGGCATGAAAGTCTCATTGACAATCTCCCTCATGTCTCCATGGTGTAGTTTTACCTCCTGACTTGCTTTGAATGTGAAATTTTGGCTTTACATCTTTGGGTCATGCAGTTGTCCAATTTACTTCCAGCTGCCTTGGAAATCTGCCCATCCACTTCATCATTCTTACGTTCATTCTGCATCTGAACACCTGGATGAAAAATGAAAAACTCAATCAAATCTTCAGCTATTTACTCCATGTTGTACCAAACATTTAAGTTGTTCTAAATATTTGGAGCATTGACAAATTTTTAGTCTGCTTTTGGATATTTGGCAGATTAAAAATCAGAAGACACAACTTTATCCTGGGCAAGGCCAGGAAGAAACAAATCTCTTTCACGTGATCAATTTGAAACAGCCTGTTGATGTGGACAACATTTTTGTTTGACGGATCAGAACAATTTTAAAAATTGTTTTTACCAAAAAATGGGTGTCCCCTTGCAAGATGTTGGATGGGATGAAGATTAAGATTGGGGTAAGGCTATCTCTTGCAAACATTATAGTTTATAATTCCATGATTTATTTAAATTAAGATATAATTTACATTCAATGCAATTCACCAGTTTTAAGTATACAATTTGATGAGTTTTGAAACATATACACTATCACCACATCAAACTATGGACTATTTCCATCACTCTAGGAATGTCCCTCATCCCTTTACAGTCAGTTCCCATCCCTTTCAAGCACTGATCTGCTTTCTCTCACTATAATTCTGCCTTTTGTAGAACTTCATATAAATGAAATCATAGGATATGTGTTCTTACATCTGGCTTTTTTCACTGAGCATAATTCTTTTGAGATACTGCATGTCATTGTATGTATCTGTAGTTCATACCTTTTTATTATTGAGTAGTAGTTCATCATACCACAATTTGTTTATCTATTCACCAGTTGATGGATATTTGGCTATTATGAATAATGCTGCTATGAACATTCAAGTACAAGTTGTTGCACAGATGTAAATTTTCATTTCACTTGGATAAATACCTAGGAATGGGAATGCTAAGTTGTAAGTATACGTTTGACTTTTGACAAAACTGTTAAACTGTTTGCCAAAGTGGCTGAACATTTCACATGTCCACCAGCAAAGTGTGGGAATTCCCACACCCCAGTTTCAGCAACACTTTGTATGGTAATTGATATGGTTTGGCTCTGTGTCCCCACCCAAATCTCATCTCGAATTATAATCCCCATGTGTTGAGGGAGGGACCTGGTAGGAGTGATTGGATCATGGGGGCGGTTTCCCCCATGCTGTTCTTGTGTTAGTGAGCAATGATTTAAAAGTGGCAGTTTCCCCTGTACACGCTGTCTCTCCTGCCGCCATGTAAGACGTGCCTTGCTTCTCCTTCACCTTCTACTGTGACTGTAAGCTTCCTGAGGCCTCCCCTGCCATGCAGAACAGTGAGTCAATTAAACCTCTTTCATTTATAAACTACCCAGTCTCAGGTAGTCTCTTTATAGCAGTGTGAGAATGGACTAATACAGTCATCTTTCTTATTTTAGCTATCCTAGTGGATTTGTAGTGGTATTTCATTATGATTTCAGTTCTCATTTCCCTAATGACTATGATGTTGAGCGTCTTTTCATGGGTGTATAGGTCATTTACACATCTTTGGTGACCTTTCACCAAAGGTCTCCACATCTTTGGAGACCTTCTTTTCAAATTATTTGCCCATTTATTTTTAATAGATTATCTTATTGTTATTGTGTTATAAGAATTCTTTACATATTCTTGATCGCCTTTATTGAACTTATCTTCTGCTATTATTTTTCCCGGTTTGTGGTTTGCCTTTTATTTTTTTAGTGGTGTCTTTTGAAGGGGAGACATTTTAAATTTTAATAAAATTCAATTTATCAGTTTTTAAAATGGTTTGCATGTTTTGCATCCTACCAAAGAAATCTGCTTATTCCAAGGTCGTAAAGATTTTGTCATGTTGTCTTGTAGAATTTTATATTATTCTAGGCTCTAGAATTTAGATCTAGAACTCATTTTGAGTTGATTATTTTATAGGGTAAAGTGAAGATTGAGGTTCATTTATTTGTACGTAGACATCCATTTTCTCCCCAGCACTATTTGCTGAAGACTATCCTTGAATTACTTTGACATACTTTGTAACTTTTAAAGAATTGAAAGTTCTCTTTTTTTTCTTTTTTCAGTTATGCCAAAAAGTTTCCTTCAAAAAGATGTGCCAAATTATTGGGTACCATTTTAAAAAATTAAAAAGTTATTAAGAAGGTACTCAAAGATCTGTATATAAGGATGCTTATTATAACATTGCTTGTAATGATAAAAGCTGGAAACAGTTGTAGGGGATGAAAGATTTCTTTTCCTCACTTATCACTAGGTTCAAGGCTGAGGCACTATAATATAGATAAACAAGAGAAAACCATACAGTTTTATTTAATGTGTTTTATACAGTACAGGAGGCTTCAGACAAAGAAACCTGTATAATTTTATGGTAAGTTTGATGAAGGAGTCGATTGTTGTGGAGAAATGTGATTGGACAAAGGAGGTATGATCCAATGGTAATAAACTGGGGGGAACGTAGAAAGGCCTGTTTGTTTAGATTCTTCCCTGTGTTTCTATGTCTTCAGAAATGAGAATGTTCCTTTTCTGTGGGTTTAGAGTGGGCACCTTTCACATGAGCCTGTTATGACCTACTTCAGGAGAAGGTCAGAAAATTTTTTCTAGGTTTTATGGCCTACTCCAGGGCAGAAGGACAGGAGAAAGACAGAGAGACCCTCCTTTCTTTGCAGTTTTCTCAAATGCCAAGGTGTCATATCTTAAGGTAGTCTGTCCTGAACCCCATCACAATCTAAATATCTACCACCAGGAGGCAAGTTGAATAAATCATGGCATATTCATATAGTGTAATATTGCAGCCAATAAGAATCTGGATGATAATCTACATATGTGACCAGGAAAAGATATTCACAACATGCTTTAAGGGAACATGCAGAGATCACAAATAGGAAATCTGGTATTTCATTTTTGCAAGTACAAAAACAATAAAAATTATAATTGCTTATGCATATATAGAAACAGATGTAGAATATACAGTGGTTATCTTTGGATGCTAAGATTCCAGACAATCTATTTTTTTTAATATTTCCTTTTCAAAGAGTGTAAACTACCTTTAAAATTAGGGAAAACATTTCTGTTTTCTCTTTTTTGTTTTTTTGTTTTGAGACAGTGTCTTACTGTGTTGTCCAGGCTGGAGTGCAGTGGTGCGAACATGGCTCAGGCTTAAGGGATCCTGTCTTAGCCTCCTGTGTAGCTGGGATCATAGGTGCACATCACCATGCCCAGCTAATTTTTAAAATTTTTTAGAGACACATCTCACTTTGTTGACAAGGCTGGTCTCGAACTCCTGGCTTCAAACGATCCTCCTGCCTTTGCCTCCCAAAGTGCTGGGATTATAGGCATGAGCCACTGCTCCTGGCCAGAAAACATTTTTTTAACAAAAAAAATTATGTACTCTTGGCAGCAGTGTTTAAGGATTCCCAGAGACGTGGTTTAACAAATCAATATGCAACATTTTCACCTTAAATGCTTTTAGGTGGTATGAACTCTCTGGAAAGCCAGTTAGCTGCTGAAATCTGGTTTGCTTAAGCTAGAGAGACCCACAAAAGGCTTACTGTCTCAAAGATTTTGAAGAGAATGAGGCATTTAAAGCTTCATTTCCATTAAAATGCAAATTAGAATTAAGGTTAGCCATATGGTGATATTCTAATTTTCCCCCAATACTCCTTCTAACTCAAATAAGAGACAATTTCTATTTCTAAATTCTTTAATGATGTAATTCCTCACAATTAAAAGTATATGTAATATACTCTATTTTTCTATCAACAGCACATAGAAGTGCATCTGATCACTTGTAGGGCCATATGGTATGATGAGAAACTAATCTACTTTAAAAAGTTTTATTTTCCCAGAATATGTTCTCTCATTAGTTATATGTGTACCATCACTCAGCTTTTTAGAGGGTGGCACTCGGAACTTTGACAAAGCCTTAAATAAGCCTAAGAACTCAGAACACCTGGAAAATAAGGAATATTAGAAGATTAAGCATATACCACCAACTAAAGCCAGAGCAGGGCCAGACTGAAAGGCTCTGTGAGGACAAAGTATTTACAACACTGTGTCTGACTCCCAGAAGCCCCTAGAAAATTAGCTGGAGAAGAACATGGCTGCTCATTTAAGAACCACAGTCGTGTTTATATTAATACTTCCATGATCAAAGAAAACAATGTTTTAACTTCAGGGGTTCTTATATCTTTTATGATATGAAAATAATTAGAATCCTTAGCATTATCTTATTCATCATATAACCTTTTTATTACTCCTTTTTTTTTAATGTGAGAAAATTGAAGCTTCGGTAGAAAGTGTCAGAGTCTAGATTCGATCCCAGGTCTTCTGATCAAAGTCCTGTGTGTACACTCTTCCCCCACCTGCTTCCAGACCCCTTCTAGTCGCAGCCCCAGGAGCTCAAGCTCCTCATCTCCCGCTTGAGCCTTTCTCCAAGAAAATAGTCAAGGAGCCCCAGAAGCCTCTCAGGGGATAGAGGAGAAACTAAGTGAGCCAAGCAGAATGTGAATAAAACGCTTTACTCCATAGCATCAGACCCTCTGCTGGTTGCCCCGTTGTTTTTTGTAAACTATGTAGAAAGAACCTTGGAACTAGGGAGTATGAATCTGGCCACTGTGTAACCACAGGCACATCAGAAAAAGCTTATGAGACTAAGCAATTAACTAATTCAATGAGTATCTACTGCATCCTACCATGTATCCGTCACATGGCAAAATATAGCACATTCTCATTCATACTTACACTGAAATTTAGTGGTGCTGGGCAGCGGGGGACTATGTAATTGGCACAGATACCTAATATTTAAAGGCAGGAAACTTTTAGATGTAGATAAGAAAGCTAAGCATTGTTACTTATAAAATATATGCAAAATAAGTAATATATTTTTGTGGTGTATTACAATTTTCAAATCACATATTTACCAGTTGGATTCAAACAATACTGATGGTGAGAGAAATAGGTGTTATACCATTTTGCAGACAGGACAACTGAGGCTCAGAGGGCAGAGACTGTGTCTGACTAATGAGTATGTGAGCTTACACATTCTGAGTCTCAGGTATTCCTGCAGTTTATTTTAAGGCTTTGTTTGGACAAGCTCATTTTTTGTTTTGTTTTGTTTTAAGAGAGATAGGACTATATCTCTGTTTGCCAAAATAGACGAGCAAATTAGGAACTAGCTTGGCAGAATCTCCCTTTCCTAGAACGGATGTAGCAAGTTATAACACATGAGGGCCATGGCAAAGCAGCCGCCTCATAATTACCCCTGATCAGCCCTGTTGTGATTGCCCCTGACAGTCAGTCACTGGCACAGAATATGGGGATTCATTCATTCTCAATTTAAAAACCATATAAAATGACCCAAAGAGTTGTGTCTAATCTGATTCTTAAACATGCGTGTTCTGCTGATCAGTAGAAAGAGAACCCAGATGCATCAGCCTCCTTTGAGAATGCCTTTGGGAAAGTACCAGAGCGCTATAATGCTTTGAGCCTGAGCAGTGGCTGCCAGCAGCGAGCAGTCAGAACAGCTTCCACGGTGCACATCATTGACCTGGCTCCATGCCACTTGTGTTCTATAGTGGATGTTTCATCATCATGGGAAGGGGAGGCAAGGGGAGGAAGCAGGGGTCGGGCGATCATTTGGGAAGCTAGAAAGGTCAGATATGATGGCATCTGGTGGAAAATGCTTCTTACAGATTGAACAGTTTGGGGTGGGTATGAGGATAGCTCTCTAAGTGTCATTAATAAAGATGAAAATTGTTCCTGGAGAATTGTTAAGGCCCAATTATGATGGCTGAATATTAATGACATCACAACTGGGTCCTCTGCCTCTCACCATTTTCTTTTTGAAAATCTTTGGCTATTTGCCTTATCTTTAGTGCTTAAATTCCAGAAAATAACTATAGATGAGTGATTTACTTTGGTTATCTGAGCAAACAACCTAACTTACTAGAGGGAAATCAGACATAGCAGCTCTTTTTTGAGATGGCTTATTTAGGGTGTCAAGGCCATTTGTCTTCACGACCTTGCAATCAGCATTGTTCGTTTGCTCATTCCATCAACACTGTGGAAGAGACATGTGCCAGGGGCACATGCTGGGCACCATGGAGGATAAAGGGTGAACGAGAGGTAGCCTGAGTGGGTTTACAGTTGAGAAGGAGAAATGAGAGGATACACATGTGTCACAGGCTGTCCTTATGAACTGTCATGGGGGCTGAGCCCAGTGCAAAGATCCCTTCCTCTAGGAAATAAGGGAAGAAAGCCTTGGTGGTGTGGAATGGAAACAAGGAATGGTGAGGTATTTTAGTTCAGGGAGTGGTTAAAAAGGTAGAGTCCTTTTTCAGGAGTAGTACGTTTTCCTGTTTGGTTAGAATAAAGGTCTGAGGAAGGATATAGCAAGACCCCAGGCCGATGGGTAAGCTAGAGCCAAACTGTGGACGGTTTCAGTGTCAGGCTGAGGAACTCCTACTAGGCAGTGGGAGTAATGAAGGACTTTTTTGTTGAAGGCAGATGCAAACAAGCCTGTGCTTTAGAATGATTAATCTAACTGGTATACTGGAAGGATTGAAATGGAGAAATGCTATGGTGAGAGAGACAAATTGAGTGGGAGAGCTATTGCAATAGACCAGATGAAAGATCATGCAGGCCAGAGCTAAGAAAGATGGTGCATAGACTATGAGCTATTCAGAAATTAAAACTATCAAGTTTTGGAGACTGATTAGATGTGGGTCATTAGGGAGAAGAAAGAGATACAGATAAGTTCAAAGAGGGGCTGCAGTAGGAGGAGGAGCATGTTTTAAGGAAGACCTAGCAATTTCAGCCTAAGCCATGTATTCATTTGCTAGGGCTGCCAGAACAAAATACTGCACACTGGGTGGCTCATGTAACAGAAATTAATTTTCTCACTGTTCGGGAACTGAGAAGTCCAAGATCAAGGTACTGAATAAGTTTGGTGTCTCCTGAGGCCTCTTTCCTTGGCTTGTGGATGGCCACCCTCTTGCTGTCTCCTCCCATGGTCTCTCTTCTGTGTGCACATATCCTTCGTGTCTCTCTGCATGTCTGGTTTTCCTCTTCTTAAAAGATCACCAGTCGGATTGAATTAGGACCTACCATAATGGCCCCATTTAACTTAATTACTACATAAAGGCCCTATCTTCAAATTATAGCTGCATTCTGAGGTGAGACTTCAACACATGAATTTTATGGGGACACAATTCAGGCTCTAAGAGGACATGCAGAGTTTGAGGTACCAGTGGACCTTCCAGAGAACCTGCCTAGTAGATAGGTGGTTTGAAGCATACACTGGAGCTCAGGGGACAGGAGAGGGTTGGGGATGGAGAGGTGAATGTCAAAAATTGTGCATAAACTGAGATCTGGGGAGAAGATGAGAAGAGATCACTCTGGGGGTCATGGTGATGAAGATAATAATAAAATAGCAATAGCTGCTGTGCATCAAGTTTTCTGTATATTAGCACTGGGCTAAGCCCTGTGCATGCTTGGAATGACAGATCTGTGAAAGAACAATTATTACTGTTATTTTGATCATTTACCTTGATTTTATAGAAGAGAAACCTGAAGCTTGGAGTGGCAAAGTGATTTTCTAAGGCCTAATAGTTTTTAAGCAGCAGAACCAGAATGTGAAGTTCAAGTAAATCTGACTTCAAAGATCCATGCCCAAGCACAGGGCCACACTGCCTCCAAGGAAAGCAAGTAGAAGAGAAAGAAGAAAGTCAGAGGCAGCATCAGTATTTCGTAGGGGAAGCAAAGGAGGAAGAATAGGGAAGAGGAACTGAGAGGGGATAGTCAGAAAAGAGAAACATCAGAAAGAAAGGATGGGCCAGGAGCCAGAGGTGGTTTTGGGGCACAGCCAACAAGGCCAAATACAGCACAAGATGAGTAGGAAAGACTTACCAGTGGGCTGGGTGGCTGGTAACCTTCGTGAGAGCTGGCTTTCTGGAACATTGGAGGTAGATGACAGATGGCCATGTGTTGAGGAGAGATTGGGAAGTGAGAAGAGGAGGTGGCAAGCTTCGTCATCATAGGAAGAAGGCGAGAAAGCTATGGTGGGAGGGGAACAGAGAGAGTCAAGGGGAATTTATTTTTAAAACAGGACAGAAAGATTTTAAAAGATGGGTAGGTCGAAGGGGTGGGGGAGGATGTAATTTCTGAAGATAGCAGAGAGGAAACGATTTAATGAGTAAGACCTTGGCAGAGGTGGGTGGCAGGGTGAGGCTTCAGGTTGAAACCAACTTTAAAAAGAAGCAGGGACCCTTTCTCTGAGACTAGAGGGGATTAATGAAAGATGGGTGGTGAGATGAATGAGCTAGGAGGTTGACTGGGTTGGAACAAGAGACGAATGGAATTATACTAAATAGAATAGATGTGTCTGAAGAAAGGTAGCAACAAGAATGATAAGTTCCTGAACCACAAGCCACATTAAGCCAGATATGGTTCTGTTTTCTCAATCTAAGGCTTGAGCTGGTCTTAAAACTCAGCTGGGCCTGAGACTAGACCCAAATAGTTTCGGTTGGCAGGATTATTAGGCTGCCCAGGATCAATAAATATTAGAATGTACACATTGAGAAACATTCTCAATCAGCTGATATTTATGGAATGACCTCTATGTTTAAAAGCATTATAAATTCTTGGGAAACCGATTTTCCCAACTTGCCTTCATGTGTAAATTTAATCCCACCCTTAGCCTGTGGCATAAACTGGTGCAAATACAGAAACGTGGATTAGAAATGGTTACATGCTAGTCCCTGGCCTTCTCAAGATTGTGTTTATAGATGTTTATACTTTGTTAGAGTTGGCTTTGGTAATAAGCACATCATATAACAAAGGGACTCAGCCTCTAGCAATCTGGCTTGGCAACACTGAGAGCCAATTAATTAGAAGTTAATTTAATAACACTGCTTTTAAATCATCCACGTGATATGACAGGATTCTGGAATTTTTGAAGCAATAGGCATTGTCTAGTGAAAATGCAGGTATGCGTGTATTTAACAGTGTGGGTGTGACGGCATGGGTATTCAAGTGTTCTATAAACCTTTCCCAGTGGTTGGAGCACTCCTCTGTGTTTGGGAACTGAGAATGGCTGATTTCTTCCCAGGGAGTCTTGTTGGTGTGAGAACTGCTTGGCTTACGTGGCTGGATCTCATATGAGGTGGATGTTGAGGTGGTGGGAAACAGAGGAAGAAGGTTTGTACGAATGCTGCAAAGCCATGTGTCCCACATCAAATCTAAAAGGCACTGGACCAAGGCTGCCCTCATTTGCCCCAGGAGCTAGCAATAGCTCACTGGTATTTGCCTCCTTGGAGGCATCTGAGAGTTGGCTTCTTAAATATTTAGAAGCAAATACTTGGAACTTGGCTAAAGTATTTCTGGGTCTTGTGTTCCAGCCTGCACCACGGTTTATACAGGAGGGTCTTTGCAGCCAAAATCTGAGCTTGCAGAGGCAGCGTCAAAACATACTTTCACATCTTCAGACTCCACACACCTTTGGCATCTTAAAGTAGGCATTTGTTTTAAAATGGCAAATGACATATCATGAACTTCAAAAAAATTCATCATGTAACTAATAAAAATTTGGCATAGTTCCTCTGGGAAGCAGAGTACGGAATGCAGGTGCCTGGGGACACATACTCCACAATAAGATCCTCTAAGTCTGTAAGCTCCATTTTTTTTTTCTTAAGGAAAGAAAATAGAAACATTGAGCTAGAGGAGATCGTTAGAGGCCATTTAGTTTACCCTAGTGAAAAGTAAGAAGAAACAGCTTGCACATTACAAGTGCCCCTCTTTCCAGACTAGCCCAGGACCTGGATGGAGAAGGAGCTCTGTCAGTGTTTTCTGAATGATATATCAGAAATGTAGACTGCTGAATGCTACTAATATTGGATGAAAATATCTCCAAGTTTCCTATCAGTTAAAGCAAACAAAACAAAACAAAACAAAAATGCTATATTCACGAGTTCTTGTTTTTAAAAAGCATGCTGTTTCACAAAGAGAAATGTCCTGAGTGCTGAGAGCAATTTATTGCATGGGTTATTCTATGATGGGCATGGTAACAACTAGCTATAAATGTGGCTGTTTCTCACAGTGGCTCTTAATAAAAACACTGAACATGATCTGAAGTCATAATGATGTGAAGGGATTCTAAAGAGAATTTAGTAGTACAGTTTGGCTATGTAGGTCTTTGGTGGTTTGATTCGAAGGATTAACTGGCTGACTGGTGGCATTTCTTCCTGAGTACCTAGCCTGGATGCCAGGGAGGACCCAAAGCCACATGATCAACATAGGGCACAATCAAGGATGCTCATCTTGCTCAAATATAAGAAACGAAGGAGAGAAAATGTTGAGCATTTTAACTGGTATTTTAAAATTCTACATGTTAAAATAAACATGGATAGATTATGATGTATGGTATATAACAAACAATCAAGAGGAGATATGTATATATATATACACACACAAATATATATATATCTATATATATAAATTTATTATTATTATTTTGAGATGGAGTCTTGCCCTGTCACCCAGGCTGAAGTGCAGTGGCACGATCTTGGCTCACTGCAACCTTCGCCTCCCAGGTTCAGGCAATCCTCCTGCCTCAGACTCCTGAGTAGCTGGGACTACAGGTGCATGCTGCTGCACTCAGCTAATTTTTATATTTTTAGTAGAGCTGGGGTTTCATCATGTTGGCCGTTTTGGTCTGGAACTCTTGACCTCAGGTGATCTGCCTGCCTTGGCCTCCCAAAGTGTTGGGATTACAGGCAGGAGCCACCGTGCCCAGCCAAGAATATTTTTATGATGAAATCTCTTTGAAAAAATTTCTTTTTTCATCAGGTCACTTCAGGCTATACCTATAGATGTTGTGATAAATATATTCTCTGCTGACCCTGGGAACGATTTGATGGAAAACGCTGAAAACCCTCTTAAATATATTCTTTTATGTGAGCTTTTAATAGGAGTTATATGGCTGACAATTCAAATTTGGGGTCCCCAATCAGACCTTAAAGAGTAGACTTTGTAGATTAAGAAAGGAACCCCAGATCTTTGTCCTAAGCAGGCAGGCAGAAAAAAATGAGATTTTGTTGTTAAATGAACACATCCCCCGTCTTTTTTCTGAGCAAAAAAAGCTTTATTCCAGCCAACACACAAATGCTAGCATACCTAGGCACGCCTGGATGGAGAAATAGGTGAGCTGTGAGTTATAGATCCTATTCTAGTTTAAAAATCTATGTGATTTAGTGAAGGGTTTTGCATTTGCCTGCAATAGTCTTTGCTGTCATTTTAACCTTTACACTAAAAATGGGTCTTCCATTGAATTACTTTGAGTTATTGCCAGGGTTAAAGAGCAGCACTAGAGTTTCAAGCATGGTAGAGGCTTCTGTTTAAAATGGGGAACAAGTTTCATTCCAATCCAGGGACACAAAGACAGCAGAGTTTGCTGATTTTTATTACTGTGGCAGCTCCTTTGTAAAACTTCCCATCCCTTCTCCAGCGGTTTCCTGTCACATACTTGGAATAAAACTCACAGTCTTGCCCATAGTCCACAAGGACCTATGGGATCTGTGCCCTTAGTCCCTCACTCACTGTCTGGCTTGCTCCTCTCTAGCCATGGTGGCTAATGGCTCCTCATGTCCACCTCTGGCTCAATGCTCCACCTGGTGCCTCTTCCCCAGACACCAATAACATTGATCTCTCACCCTCAAGTACCTGCTCAGTTTTAACCTTCTCTCTGCAGCCTTTCCTGATGCATCATCCCTGTTCCCTTAGCCAGCCTGTTTTTTCCTTCAGAGCACTTATCACTACCTTTATATATTTCTTTGATGATTTGGTTTATTGTCTATCTTTCCCTAGTAGAATACAAACTCCACAAGGGCAGAGAATTTGTCTGTTTTGTTCACTGCTATATTCCATTATCTAGAACAAGACCTTGCCCAGAGTATAGACTCCATAATTATTTTGGAAAGAATAAGTTAATATTTAATATTCTGTTCATCTTAGACGATCAATGGCCAGAAAGAGGCCACTGTATGAAGATTGGCGGCCTGTGGTCAGTGTCACATGACTAGTAACAGCATTTGTGTGGTGAGAAGAGGCAGGGGAATAATGAGTTGAAACATTTTTAAATCTCCTCTTACGGGAGAAAATTCTGGAGAATCAGGATCTTTAAGGAGGATGCTAGAAATAGAATATGGTAGAGCCAATTAGTACCTTGGGAGATGGTTCTGAGACTTTGCATCACCAGGGATCTCTTTTTAAAATCTCTCCCATATATTTTGTCAGATCTTTCTATTAAAACCCTAAACTTTTTCAGTAGTTCATTGATAATTTTCACTTTTGTTAGGTAAAGTCATATGCAGCTGCCAATTAGAATGCCAGACAGATTGAAGTAAAATAATCAGAATATCATGAGACTATGAGATAATTTCTTCCAAAAGCAAGGGCAGAGCTGGTGCAGCCTCAGCTCCAATAATTAGGTGCTCCCCACTGGACTCTCCAAGATTTTAAAAATAGCTCAAGGGCCCCCTTGAGCTATTTAGCTCAACGGAAATGCTGTGACTTGCCCAAGATGACATAGCAATTTATTGGCAACATTAGGCCAGAATCCTGGTCCTGTGACTCCCATGTTAGTGCTCTGGTGTATTAAAGGTATAATTTCCCATGGAGCCTACTCATATGGTAGCTCTGTTTGAGTTATGTACTTAGAGGCCAAGGCAACAATAGCTCTTATGTTGATTAAAGATATACTATATCTGTGCCAGATGATTTTCCTAAATTTGATCCAATTCTCAGAATAACCTTTATAATAGGTGTCACTACCCTCATTTTACTACAGAAGAGTCACAGAGGCCGAGTGATGTGTTCAAGGGTTCACAGCTAGAAAGTAGCAGAGTCAGAACCTGAACCTGGGTTTTTCTGCTTTGAAGCCCGTATGTTCTTCCTTACACCTTGCTGTCAACATACCCAGAGCCAGGTTCCTGTCCATGATTCATCTGTTAAGAGGTTATGCCCTGGAGCTATGATAATTTTCGATTATTTGGATAATGGAACCCTTCTCCCAAGTTGGTAGCTTCCCCAGAACACTGACTTTGTAATTCACTGCTTTCTGCACCACTGGGAGAAAAGAAGACAGTTCGTAGGAAAAATGTTGAGGAAGGTGGGTGGAGGAGCCTTCAGAGAAGGATGATCTCTCAAACTTAGGTTATTTCTATCATCACCCAAATCCTTACAATATTCCACAGCTTTTCTATCTCCTTCTATAGTTCATCCTCATCCTGTATACACATAGTGTATTATTTGTGTCACCATGACCTGGAAATCTTTCTGTCTGGGAATCACATTTCCTGGCTATTTTTAAAGATTACAGAATTTTCTCTCTCCTATGAGCTGCCTCTGTGAGCATTGGCAGATGGGGAGCATCTTGAGCCGTGGTCACAAATGTTTAGAAGCTCTAAAGGTCATGTCTATTGCCTAATGAATATTTGGTTTCTGATAATGGACTTGTGACAAACACCTATCATTTGAATACTAATTACAGTGATTTATATTGAATTCTCATTGGCTGTCTTATGAGATGATGTTCCGGAAAGTCCCTGGTGGGTGAAAGACATGGAATCATGTCTGGCATTGAGATGTTAAAAGGAAAACAGTACACTTTGTTCTTTTGGCGAGCTCCCATTTAACTGACAAATCTGTTGAGCTGGAGAAGCTTTGTTTAAGTAAGAAATAAGGAATGATTTAATTCATGTAACAGTCTAAATATGATATTTCCAAGACAGGCTGGGGGATGTCTGACCTCTTTTCTCTAAAGAAGAAAGTGTAGTCTGGTGGGAAAAGCATGAACTTTACAAACAGAGAGACCTGGATTTTTAATTCCAGGGTCACTGTTCATTATTATTATTGCTGTTGTAAGTTATAATAATAACAATAGTAATATGTCTGTCTTAGCTGATTTTCCTAAATTTGATCTGATTCTCAGAATAATCTTTATAATAGGTATCATTACCCTCATTTTACTAAAGAAGAGACACGGAGAGTTTACATTGCACATATAGGTAGTATACTAAATGCTTGCCTGAATTATCTTAATTATTACAACAATCCTATGACTTATTATCAAATAGTATTAGTCATCTCTATTTTACAAGTGAGGGGACTGAGGCTTAGTGTATCGGTCAGGGTACTGGGAGGAAATAATTGAATTCAGATGATTCCAATAAGGAAACTTTAAAGAGATGACTCCTTGTAGAGGTGGGGCAGGGATAAGGGAACCAGCAATGGATGTTGAGGCACCCAGAGACTGCAGCCTTGGCACACTGTTACCACCCCTAGTGCTGGAGGGACAACCGAAGGGAAGAGTGAGTGGTGGCATGTTGCGGGGGGTCAGGGGGCTGCCTGGTGGGAGCTGACATACAGGGATGCTGCAACAGCCGGAAACGTGTACCAAGTCAGGGAGAAGCGCAGAAGAAATGCCTCAACCTTTGTCTCCTCCTCCCTCTGATCTATCTGTGCTTCTTGTTGACTAAACCCAATGGGAAGCCAGAGGGCAAGAGAGAGTGATGATGCTTTGCAGATCAATCCCAGGGCATAGGCAGATTAGAGGATCAATGCGTTCAGAGTGTCTTTATCCTGAAGAAACAGGATGGACCCCATTTGGTTTGGATATTGAAACTGATGATGCCACACATATGCCAAGAGGGTATGAAAGGCTTAACTCACATAACGAGGCTTTCTGGGAAGAGCATGGCAGCCCCTAAGCAGGTTCAATAATAGCTTAAGAGAGCAAGGAAAGGAGACTAATATGGCAGGGTGAGGGTTCTCATACATGGTTTAAAATTCCAGCCCATACCAAAGAGAAAGTACCCAGGCTTTCTAATCAGCTTGTCAAGATGGGGGCTGGGGGTGGAAGAAGAGGGAGGAGTGAGTCTTACAGGCTGTCAGCAGTCAAACATCAAAACTGGTGTTAGATCCATTCTAACAAGGTGGCAGATGGAGATTAAGCAGCAGAGAGAGATTCGATGGAGATTAAGCAGCAGAGAGATTCATTAATTAATGATTAATAACTTTATCATTAAGTGATTAATAGTTAATCATTTGGTTTTCAACCCAAGTCAGTCTTTGGCCAAAACTTGTGCTTTTAACTATCACAGTAACTGACTTTGTGACCTTGAGCAAATTACTTAATCTCTCTGAGCCTTGACTTTCTCATCTACAAAATGGAGATAGTATCTGCATGCCTGACACACAGCTGGTGTTCCGTTTATGGCAGTTACGATTGTTACCCTTTTGCTTCTGCTGCAGTTGTTACTGTTCTGGAAAGCCTGGTGTTCTAGTGTCTCTGAGAAAAGTCTGGCACAGATTTGACTCCTATTTCTCTAAGCAGCATACCCTGTGACACCAAGCTATTACCTTTTTCTTAAGACCAGGTTGAGAGACTCATCTTACCAAGTCAATCAACAGACAAGTTTAACATCTGTCTCCCTGGCATATGTCAGAAAAGAAGGCTGCACAGCCTTCAATCATTCAGATGCCACCATGATGTAATGGAGTTGCTGAGAAGTGAAAGGGGCCTCTCTTACTTCATCCTTGGCTATTAACTCTGGAAGATTGTCTTTCTAAGATGCCAGGAAAAGAAGGATGTGAGATGGGCAGATTTGTTGTCCAGTGTTCCTTTAATGTCATGTGGTTCTAGAATCTTCCATTTATTTAACACTACTCCAGTTCATCTACCTCATGGACTAGGAGGTGCTTTGCACGTAGTATCTCCTTGATCAATCTTTGCTGAATTAAAGACTGATTTTTTGAACCAATGGCATGCCAACTAAGCTACTGATGGCTTATGTGTTTTTTTTTTAAATGCACCTAACAAAATAAATTATAGTGAAAGTTTCAGATAGAATTTTGCTGGCAGCTACCTTTTCACATGTGGGAACTGAAATCACTTGTGAAAAATCCCAGGTCCCCAGACTTCATGCAAACAATTGATCAATTAGTTGATGACACCAACCCACAGCGTGGGGATAGGTATGTACCAAGCCTGCAAATGCCAATTCTTCCAGCCAGGGGACTGGGGCTGTTAGTTAAAGATAATCTGTCAAAAGGCTGTAATAGGAACTTTTTGGGGGATTTCAAAAAATCATCACTGAAAAAAAGAAAAATCCTGGCATATGTCCTTTAGCCAGCAGTCCTGTTGTGGATAAGAACAGATGCTACCCTGGCTAAATAAAAAGCACAACATGAGTCTTTTTCTTCCTGCTTTTTAAACCAGAAAACACCATCCATTGCAGGCCAAAACAAGACAGGTGGCATCCATTCGAATTGGAAATGAGGTGCTGAGATAATAGACTGTGGGATCCACCGTGGCCAGCCTTGAGGGAGTGGCTCCCTGTCAGAGGCTCATTGTTTTTCTCTTTTAGTGAGCAGGCTGTATAAAATGTACAGCTCCTGATGCCACTTTGATTCCATAAATTGTATTAATTGTTCTTTTGTGTGCCCTCCTTTGCACAATTTGCTTTTGATGAACCACGAGTGCTCATTGTGACTGTGCAGGGCTGCCTCGAATGGAGACCCTGGGCTTCCTGTGAAGCAACATGGGAACAAGTGGTTCTATGTGGGATGATTCCCAAAGCGTCTGGAGAGTTCTGGAAGTGCCTGTGCCACCTCCCTGGCACAGCCCCCTGTGTATGGGAAGCATTAGGGCCAGGGAGTGTAGAGTTATAGTTTATGGGTGAAGACAGCTATAGAAGCTTCAACCACCACTTGTCTGGAAAAGGCAGAATTGTGGGGGGGTGGTGGTGGGGTTCAGGTGGGCTATGGGCCTCTCTGTCCTCCTCATTATAGGATGACACTCTCAGCTGTCCCTGGCTACTCTGTTCTCCCAGTCCCTTGCTTCCTACAAAGTAGGGTGGGGAGGTTTGGGGGCTGGGGGACAAGACCTATGTTTCACATTTTCCCCCTTTCATACTGTTTCTCATCTTTATATCCTCAACCCCCCCCCCCAAAAAAAAACAATAAAGTGCCATGCTTTCTGGCACTCAGGGCTCAGTGAGGGGTTCCTAAATTGAAGGAAAGCTCTGAGTTAAAGCATTAATGTCTCTCCGTGGATTAGTCTATTTACCAACCTGGCTAACGGTAGCTTTTGTATTTTTACAACATAGCTGTGCTTATAACCAAGGTAGGGTAGGGTCAATTTCAGTCATCATGAAAGAGCTGGTTTGGGAGCTATTTGGGAGCAGGAAGTATCTTTCCATTTTCAAAGCCTCTCAAATTAAGCCACGAAGAGCCCGTATTAGGCAGTGTGGCCTCATGGGAAAAGAATGGAAAGATGATGGGTATAAAGAGGTCCAGTGTTTCCGTATCTTTTGATCCAGGAGTTGCAGCTCTAGGAATCTGTCTTAAAGAAGAAATATTCAGATGCAGACAATGCTTATGCATGAAAATGTTTATTGCAGTGGTATTTTTTCCTGCTGGAAGATTAATTAGTCTAAGAGCTAGTCACATAATCCTTTTGAGTGAGAAAGCTGCCTTGAGTCAGGTGACAACTTCTGGGGTAAAGCTAAGGCTTCATGAATATGCCTGATGAAGCCTATGAAGATGAGTGTCTGGTGAGGGACAGGAACTGGACAAAAAGATAACAAAAGTATTCTGTCCATGATGCTTACGGTTATCGAGGGTTTAGGAAGAGACGATAGAACAGACAGAGGGGAGAGGATGAGGAACAGAGCATCAGGAAGCAGGGTGGCATAGGAGCTATTTAGAAATGTCAGGGTTTGCTGGGCAAATTGAAGGAGTGTGTGGCCTGCTGGCATCTATCTGTATAAGTTTATTTGAATGAGGGAAAGATAAAGGAAAAAGGAGAAAACCTGGGTGGGGAAGACAAAGTGGTACCCACCTGGTCCATGGGCAGACCTCATGGGCCTAAGAAGAGAGGTGATTTTCCCGGAGGAAGTTTAGGGCTTTGTTACTCAATGTGCGTTGCTGGGACCACCAGCACAAGCATCACCTGGGAGTGAGTAGACCCACCCAGGACTTCATGATTCTGGATCTGCATTTTAACATGATCCCAGATGACTTGTGTGCACATTGATGTTTGAGGAGTGCTATCCTAGGAGACACATGGTATCTGAATACATCTGAGAGAGTGCAAAAGAGCAACCTCTCCTCATGTCTGCTTAAAGCTTTCCCCAGGGTGGGACACAGAGTATGGAAGAGAACCAGTCAGGACCTTGAGGTCTCAGGGAGGGAGGAGTGGCAGTTAGAACACAATCCTCAAGAGGTTTTTCAGGTGGTGGAAACCAGGTGACAGCAGCTGAGAGAGAAAAGTGGGTGAGGATTGAGAACAAGCATGAGATATGGTGGGAGGTCTCAAAAATATCATTGGGGTTTGAAGAAGGCAGGGATCTCGTGTCACACACGAGCACTCTTTGGGTTGGTGCTGTCAATACCACTTTAGATCCAGAGGCTGGAAAGGCCTTAGGAAGCCTTGCTGGTCTGTGTAGTTAGTAGAATCTTTTCATAAACAAAGAATATAGGCAGGGGAATACTATATAATCATTTATATTGGTTTTAAAACATGATTAGGAAAAAATAATGGAAAGAAATGTACATTTATTTCTGTGTGACTCAGATTTCACCTTCATACATACTTGTACTTTGCAATTTTTTTTCCGATGAAGATAGGTAAATATAAGTATCAAAAACGCAGCAAAATGTAAATAGTGCCTGCTTCTGAATGGTAATGGTGTGAAATTCTCCCCTTTTCTTCATATTGTTCTGTGCTTTCCAAAGTTTCTCTGTGAACTGGTAATACTTCAGAAGGGAAACAAAAAGCAGCACAGATGTGGAATCAGAAGACCTGTGATCCAGGTGGACACCTGCCCCCAATAGCTAATAGCCTAATCACATGTGTTCTACAGCCACTGTGACCTCCTTCAACCTCTCCTTGCTCATGTGTAGACAGACACAGTCACAGACCCTAGCAGCTGCAAAGATAGTGTATGCGGAGGACTTCGTGAACTGGTAAATACTACACAAATGTTAATGCTAAGGCTGGCTTGGTGAGCCATGAGGTCCATTCCTTGGAGCTCTTCCAACTCCTCCCTTGGTCCATCCACCCTGTGGGAGGTCAGTAGAGGGTGTCTACCTCAGACTGGCTTCAGGGAAAGCATCACAAGGGGTCTTTCTTTTCTACAAATTAGTGGAATATGTGAGCCCAAAGTTCCTCTTCCCCTTTAGCCAATTTGACCGAGGTAGAATTCCTGAACTTCTCTTAACAAATGCCACCTGCTGTCTGTCAGGCAGGAGTAGCATCTCTCATTAACATTGTTAGGATCTGGTCATAATGCTTTTCTATGGAGTTCTTACCATCTGAATGCCAATGTGACAGTGGCATTCTTTAGGCCTGTTCTCTGGTTTACTTTATGAAGAATTATTATCCAAATCTCAGAGTAACAATAACAACAATAAAATCAATAAAGATATATATCTGAAATCTTGAAAAGGTCTTTGAAATAGCACTATATGTAACTGACAAGCAAAATTTTCTATGAGGTCAATTCAGTATACATGGAAGAATCATCTTCCGATACCCACTGAAATGTTCTGCTAGGGCTCTTCACCCATAAAGCCACTTTGGTCCTACAAGCCAAATGCGTATGTTCTGTAGGGTTGCTGAGTCAGAAGCATTTTTAACTTTCAGTCTGGGGTGCTGCAATTCAGGGCAACCACGAACTGATGAGATAGCCCACATGTCCTTTGCTTTCTTCAAATACTAGTGCAGATGTGATACGGAAACCTGTGGGTGATGGCTCACATGGAAGCTTGGCAATCCAACGCCTGATGACAATGCAAGAAACCTTGTGAGACCAAAGTTCCAACTGACTCTACTTTTAAATTTTGCCAAACTAAGAAGAATTAGGGTTCAGATCTTCCGTGTGGTTTTAGAAAGATTTCTTACCTTGCAGAGGTGCAAATCTTAAGGTAATACTATAACCCAGTTCTCTGATTTCTCTTTTTCTTACATTTATCTTATGTGTTTTTGTTTACATTTATCATATGACATATAAAATACAAAGCATAACAAAGATTTTAAAGTTAAAAAATTGGCACATACAAATATAAAATGACCAAATGTCAATGATTTTATTCAACTCTTAAATAATGAAAGAAAATCAGTAAGGTATTAAGACTGATTTAGAGGAACAGGGATAAATATAATCAGTAAAAAGAATTCTGAGATAAATATGTGAACAGATATAAACATGTTTGAAATGCTAAAGGGCAACAATATTCAAGGCTGTCTTTTCCGTCAGAGAGAAATCAAGCACATCCAATTGCATCAATTGTATCTTATCCCTTCGCATTGTTACACATGGGAGTTCTTTGACTCAAAAAATAATCTTTGCAATGATATCAGTTTTCTAATAAGTTAACCTCTACCTCTACAAATTTCAAAAATAGCCTATTCAATGAAAAATTGTTCAAAGGTACACACCCCGGTAGAAGAATAGAATCCCAGGAAGATCTACTAGATTATGTCAAGCAGTCCACTGAAAGGATACCCAGTAATCTTTTTAACTTAGTTCCAGATTTTGGATAATTTTCTTCCCAATTGTTTGATAGAATGTTGCTTTTCCAAATATAATTTTAATTTAAAACAGTTACAATGCATGTATCGTGCTTTTGTTTGGGGTAGTGTTTTATTTTGTTTTGTTTTACCTTTGAAAGGAATAAATCCTTTTTATCTATAAAATAGAGATTATCTTACATGTTGACAAGAATTGCTTATGTTACAATTATTTATTATTAGCATCTCTGACTTACTTCTTATTGGCTTTGATCTCATCAGATACAAGCTAGGCCATTTGTTGACTTATTTGCCCTTGTTCGTGTCATCGCCTTGACAGACGGCGAGCAATGTGGTGGTCAACAAATATTTACAGGGCCAGCTCCCCCTGGGGTCGGCCAGGCAGCCTCTCTTCCCCATTCTGTCTCTGCTGCTTTTTCATGGGGCTCAGCTGGGCAGTGACTCAGAGAGGCAGCTGGGGAGAAAAGACTGCCAGGTGGTGGGAAAGAGACCAGAGTCCCTTGTTGGCACACAAGCAGCCCATTAACTCCCTGGGCCATCAAGGTGAGGAGGGGTACAGTTTTCCTTTCTTTCCCACATGCTTGTTCTTCTGGCTGTCTCCCGCCCTGCCACCACTTGTCTTCCCTTCCAGGCTGTATGTGATGTCAATTTTCTCTAGAGTCCAACTGGATTTTTTTTAAGAAGTGGGTTCAAGGTAGAGGAGACATGGTGTATTTGCCTTGAAGATTAGATTCTGGCTTTCTGCAATTTGGGAACAAAGTCTGATGCGCATAATGACTCTCATTATTTTCCAGACATTGAGATGGGTGCTTTATATGTAAATTTTAAAGAATTTAATGCAGCAGAATATGCAAATATAACTACATTATTTATTTATGCTACTTGGAAGAAGTGAGCTCTTTGCTCCTGGAGGAAAGAAAGCTGCTACTGCTTTTCTGAGGGCTGAGCCCCCTTTCCCTTAAGAAAGACAAAACAGCTCTTTGGTGGTGATGGGCTATTGGCTTCATAAATCATCTACCAATTCTCTGTAGCAGTCTAATATCTGTCATTTTTAAAAATGTTTTCTTACTCCTTAACCTTGTAATCCAGGAACCCAATCAAGGAAATCTGGGAAGAGGCCTCAGTTTCTCAGTCTACTGAAATAATCTCTGAAGATGCTATCCCCATCATGAAACCAAGGAGTAGAAAGACATGTTTTTTTTTTTTCTTCTAAGTGTTGAAAAAGAAGTGTTCAAGGCAGAAAGGAGTGGAATTCCCCATAAGTCAGGACAAGGAAAGGGGGGTGGTGGGCAGATCCAAGAGTGGTAAAACTTGAGCCATATGTTCCCACACTCTAGAGGGTGCTGGTGGTTGGAAGGAAACAGCTCAGAGTTGCATGTGGGCACTGGGAACCAAAAGCAATGGGTCCCCAAGGTCAGCTGGGCATAGAGGGATTGCAGCCATCAGTGGGTGTCTTTGACAAGGGTGTGTGAGTGTGGCACGAAGCACCTTTGGAGGTGATCTCAGTAGATTGACAATCTGAAGCCTCACCCCAAAGGTCTTTGATTGGGTTCCTGGATTACCAGGTTTAGCAGTAGGGAATTGTAAAGAAAAATGACAGCTACTGGACTGCTTATGACATTGGTTAGTGGAGACCTGTGCATGGACTTGCCATACTTCAGAAAAAAATAATTGGAAAAAATCCATGACAGTCCAACACAGGAAGAACTAAACTCTACACTTTGGAATCAATACATAGATGGTAAAACTAAAGAAAAGCAAAAGAATAATTATCAGAAAATTTAGGTGGGAGGAAAGGTAATATAATGGGGATCAGCCACCTAAGTAGGGCCTCAAGACAAAATACAGGGCCCCCAATTGAATTTGAATTTTAGGTAAATAATAAATGATAT
Organism: Homo sapiens; assembly: GCF_000001405.40. Classification (NCBI taxonomy): domain Eukaryota; kingdom Metazoa; phylum Chordata; class Mammalia; order Primates; family Hominidae; genus Homo; species Homo sapiens. The sequence continues at coordinate 74,279,942 of NC_000005.10, read as the reverse complement.
TTTAGTAAGTGATTTTCCAAATATTGCATGGAACAAACTTATACTAAAAAAATCATTAATTGTTTATCTGAAATTCAATTTCCACATTTTTAATTTACTAATCTAGCAACACTGCTTTTAAGGCACCAACCATGATGTATTTCTTGACCATGGCTATGCTATTACTTGACTGAGAGCATTCACTTTATTTTTTAAAAATGTACATACATATTTTATGAGCTTTTCTGTATATACACTATCTTTCATGATAAATTTGTGTTGAAATGTTCTCACTTCTTAAATACAATGGAACAATTTGTACCAATTACAAAAACATTATCTTATTTACCCCATCTCTCTCCCCACCCAAATGCTGAATGAAATCCATTCATATCCCATTACAGTGAAGAAACTGAGTCTTAAAAGTTAAATAACATGTCCATAGCCACAGAGCTGGTAAACAGTAGAATCAAGTTTCAACCTGAGTCTATCAGACCCCAAAGTCTGTACTCCTAACCACTGGAAAATGCCTGTGTTATGCAACAAAAAATAACATGGACCAAAGTCTCTGGAGGCCCTTAGGAAACTTGCATCTGTGCTTGTCCTTGGAGCAAGGGATTGTCAAATCTCTCTGACAATGGGGTCAAGAGTAAAAAATTTTATAAAAGAATAGAGGGAATCAACAAACACCCACACTGAGATGTCGCATATATTGGAATTATCTGGCAAGTATTTTAAAGCAGCCATCATAAAAATGTTTTCACAAGCAGTTATGAATGTGCTTGGAGCAAATGAAAAAATAGAAATTCTCAGCAAAAAAAAAATGTAAAGAAGAATCACGTGAAAATTTTAGAATTGAAAATACAATAACAAAATTTTTAAAAAAACATAATGAATGGACTCAATAGCAGGAGAGGCCAGAGGCAAGAATCTATGAACTTAAAGATATAACAATAGAAATTACTCAATTTGAGCAACAGAGAAAAAAAATAGACTAAAAAAAGAAATGAACAGACTCTTTCAGGAACCTGAGCAAAAATGACAAAAGACCTAACATTTGTGTCATTAGTTTCAGAAAGAGAGGAGAAAGAAGATGGAGGTGGAAAAGTACTCAAATAAATGAAGGCTGAAAGCTTTCCAAATTTGGCAAAAACTGGAAAACCTACAGTTTCAAGAACCTGGGAGAATCCCAAAGAGAATAAACCCAAAGATATACACACCAAGACATCTTATAATCAAACTTCAGAAAACGAAAGACAAAAATAAAACATCTTAAAAGCAGCGAGAGAGAAATGCCATTTTACCTATAGAGGAAATGACAGTGGATTCCTCATCAGAAACTGCAGGGGCCAGAAAGAAGTGGCACAGGATTTTTTAAGAGCTGAAAGAAAATAACTGTCAGCTTTGAATTCTATGTCCCATGAAATTATCCTTCAAGAAGTAAAATCAAGACATTCTCAGAGGAAGGAAAACTAAGAGTTTGTCACTAATAGACCTACCCTAAAAGCATGGCCAAAGGAAGATCTTGAAACAGAAGGAAAATGATAAAAGAAGGAGTCTTGGAACATCTGAAAGCAAGCAAGAACAATGGAGGGGTAAAAATAGGATACATACAATAGTCTCTCCTTCTATTCTTAAGTTTTCTAAATTAGATTTGACAGTCAAGGCAAAAAAGCATGATATTGTCTAATATGAATTTCAATGTACATAGAGGAATATTTTAGACAATTGTGTTGTAAATAGCCAGGGCAGGAAAAGTGAAGGGACTAAGAGGAAATAAGCTTTCTACCCTTTACTCAAACTAGTAAAATATTGATAATAGTAGATCTTTGTGGTGATCTCTATCTTGGTTGTGATGGTGGTTAAAAGAATCTATCTACATATGTGATAAAATGAAATAGAACTATACACACACATTATACCAATGCCAATTTCCTGGTTTTAATATTGTATTATAGTTATACAAGTGTAATATTGAGAAGATTGAGTAAAGGGTAAATGGGAACTCTCTGCTCTGGGTACATGGGAACTCTTCGTCTTATCTTTGCAATTTCCTCTAAATCTGCAATTATTTCAAGATAGGAGAGAGAGTGAGAAGAGAGTGAGAGAGCAAGAGTGAGAGTGAGTGGGAGAACACAGAGTGCTGCAATTTTCATGTTTTTCCTGGTATACTTGTTTGATTTTATGGTATCCAGAAAAAGCCCAAGTGGCTTTAAGATGTCTAAGTTCTGGCTAGATGGAGACTACACTAATTGAACTGAGGCGTCTGTGGGTCAGCCTGAAACAAGATGATCTTGTGCCTGAAACACATCTTGGTTTCCCGTGTCCTTTCAAGGGAATCAATATATTGATTTTCATTTACCTAGCCATATGTGGCCAGGACATGGTTTATTCAGAGATGTCCCCTTTCCCTATGCATCAAAAGACATGGAGTAGGCTAATTGAGAGCTCTAAAAACACAGTTTCCCTAGAGAGGTATAGGCCACAAAACAGAAAGGCTCCTTCTTTGGAATTTCCTCCTTTTCCATCCGGTTTGGCCTTCTGTGCTCATGGTCTGGTCTTTCTGAATAATGTGTATACCGTGTATACCCAGACCCTTATCTGAGCTCTGCCTCCAAACTATATTTTTACTTTCCCACTCCTTTCTTTATCCATCACCATCTTCCTTGCCCAAATCACTTTCATCGCCCATGTGGATTACTTCAATATTTTCTTCTTGGTCCTCATTTTTCCATCTTTTCCCCTTAAAATCCATGCTTCATAGAGCAGCCCACGTAGTATTCTAATAATGTACATCTGATTGCCTACTTAGCACCTTTAATAGCTCCCCTTGCACTTGGAGTAAAATGTAAACTTGGTGCTATGGCCTGCAGGATTCTGCATGTCCTGGCCCCTGCCCATTTCCCTGGCCTCAATTTTCCTCAGGTACACTGGCTGCTTTTCTGTTCCTTCACCATCTAAGCTGTTCCATGCATCAAGGCCTCACCCCTCTCCTTGGAAGGGAGCTCTTACTGCTCTTTGTGCAGCTGGTTCTCTTTCTTATCCATTGTGTTGCAGTTGAAATGCCCCATATCCAGGTGGCCTTCCTTGATCCTTTTCTAAAGCAGCTCCCACTTCATTGACTCCCTGTTATATCAGTCTATTAATTTTCTCCATCATGTTTATTATACTTTCTAATTATCCTATTTGTTTTCTTATTTATTGTCTGTCATTCCCCTAGAACATAAGCTTCATGAGGGCAGGGATTTTGCCTTCCTGTTGACTGTAGTAGCCTGAGCTCAATAGGTACTTGCTGAACAAGTAAATGAATAGAAGAATGAGAGATGAATTATAAACCATTAGAACTGGCAGGAATGTTTTTGCCCCAAGACAAGTCCTCTGGGAACATTTGGAGGGTCTTGAGGAGAGAGGTAATGACAGTAACCTGCTATGTTCATAGAGCACCTTAACAAGTGTGTAGAGCATTTTGAACTGTAGCATCTACAGCTGCATGAAGTGGACAGGATATCATTATTTTCATTCAACAAATAAAAAGAAGTGAGGTTCCTTAGGGTCACACAGATAGGAGCAGGCGGGAGCCTGGAATCCAGATAAGACAGTTCAGCTTCTCAGCACACAGGCATCTGGTGGAGTGCTTTGGAACAAGATGCCCCTGTCACCCCCAGCAGCTGTGCAGCCTTCACTGTTTACCCAGCAGCAGGGGCTTCTGGTGGTCTGCATCAGGTCCTGTCACCTGAATATATAGCAAAGCTAAGAAGAATTCCCCAAGGAGGGCAAAGATTTCAAGAAGCAATGGAGGCATGCCAACGTGATGCACAGGGAAGAGAGACAGAAGCAAGAAGAGAGTTGGAAAATAAATCAATGGCAACATTTTTTAAATGAACTGGGGTCTTGGAGGCTTTAGTTGATCCAACCTTAAGCACCTGTTCATCCATTCCAGAGAATGATCAGAGCAGGACCTGGTCTCTCTTTTCCAAGAGCCTCATGGTGCCTCTGCAGTCCCAGAGCCGAGAACACAGAGGGGAGACATCCACTCTGAAATCTGACAGTGTCGCTGCTAGATTGTAGTCTTGCATAACGTCCTCTGTTTTTTAAGAAACATTGAGATAATGATGAAAGAATCTCAAAAGTGACTCTTTGTTGTTCCCCTTCTATTGCTTCAAAAGATTATAGTATTTAAGTGACTAACAATCCCAGTTTCCAAAGAGCCTCCATTTGAGCAATAATGTTACCGCAGAAATTCAACTTGCATATACATACCTTTAATCATGTGGCAAATTACCTTATTAACCACCAGGGAGTCTAGTCTTATTACTTAATTAAACCATCTCTTTCTTTTCTTCTTATTAAAACCACATGGGTTTTAACTTCTGTGTGGTTTTAGATTCTTTCCCTGCTCTTTGGATGTCTGTGTAGTAATAGCTGCATAAAAGAATTTCTGTGATTTTGTGTTGATGTCTAAAGGGTTAGCAACATTAAATAAAGTGTGGGTGGGGGAGGGGGGTGGGCAGAGATAGTCTGGATAGGCTCACATTGGCCAGTGATGTAACAGCCACTTGGGTGGTATGAAGGCCTGAGATGTGTACCGTCGCTTACTGCTTTCTCTCGCCAAAACATCTGGAATACAAAATCCTGTCATTAGACAGCCCACATGTTAGAAAAACAAAAGGACAGAAAAAAGGAAACCCAGTTCCCCCAGAATGGCTGGAGAAAGCCTCATTATTGCTGGTAGGAAATTAGACATTTAAGGTTATACATCAAAGCAACTATTTTTATTACAAGAGGCTCAACATTTTGATTTATTGGGCAGCAGAACAAGATTGTGACAAATATTTCCACCTCAAAGAAAAGGCAGATCAGGCCTCTAAAAAGTCATATATTAAGTAGTTTAAAAATAAAGTCTGTTGCAACAATAGTTGTAATGATGAAAATTGTATGCTTCCATTCACAGCCCCAAAGAGATAGCTGCTTTAGTTCACAGGCCTACAAGAAGAAATGATTTAATCTTGTGGGAATTTTATTCTAATCAAAGGAAAGTGCTAAAATTTTGTAAAATGAAAGAACTAAAATTGGTAATAAGCCTGTGCTACCTTTCTGCAATGGACAGCTCTGAGCAGGGCCTGTGTACAACCCTGCATTTCAACTGAGCTGCACCATTGAATCAAGAGGAATGGGAAGAATGGATGCTAAAATAGGATGGCTTTGGAGAAGTCCATCAAAATAATTAAAGAATAAAACACAGGGGTTTGAGACAACGCTAAGGAATTTAGAATACTCAGTCTTGGTTAAAAAAAAATTATAGAGGGTTAGGTTAGTATAACCATTTTGGGTAGAAACAGTATGTTGTATTAAATGGTGACCACCTCCACCCATCTCCATCTGGATGTGACCTTTTTTCTATACCATGGACAATTCCGATCAGATTAAATCAGCTTCAGTGAGAGTGTACATGATTAAATGTGGAAAATGAGTTTCTCAGGCAGACTGCAAAGTTGTTGTCTGAGTAGGTCTCTGGAAAAAGAGGCGTATCTTTCCAAGGGAGTTGTGGGAAGAGAATTTAGTGGGAAGAGCAGATGCTGTGATGTGAGGCTCATGGCTTGGTTTCTAGTCCCAGCTCTGCCACTAACAAACTCTGTGACTTCAGCTAAGTGCTTTAACTTCTCTGGGCCATGGGTTCTCATCTAGAAAATGAGATCAGACTAGGTGATCTAGAAGACCTCACTGCAGCATATTGACTCTAGGAGGAAGGCAGAATGGCCATGGGAGAGCAACGAGATTCTTTTTCATCTTATTCTTAGGGACTACTACTTGGGAGGGAAGTTCGTCAGACAAATTAGAGTATCTGTATAGGGATATGCATGTGTGAGTGTGTGGTTATGCTGGAGGGAGACAAAAGGAACTCCGTGAACCAGAAGTATGTTCATAAAGCTATAGGTGTAGTTGGAAATCTAAATGCCATGCAAAGGAATTCTAAAGGTGAATGCTTTGTAAATTGAATAATTACTGCCATATGCATCTGTCTTGCAAGCATACATTTTCATTAGTTAGGGGCCTGCTGCAATTCTGAATGCTACGTTGTGCTACATAAATATGTGTATGAAATAACTTTCAGGATAATCTAACATAACCTAGCACTGAATGCCAACAACAGGGATAATGGAGTTTCAGCAAAATGAGCCTGAAATGCTGCAGAATCCTGAGGTACTTTTTGAATCATCAAAAGATAAATCAGTCTTGCCTAGTATTCCTTTATTTTTAAATTTAAAAGTGCTTTACTGAATACTAACTGTGAACAGTTAGGAATTCCTCAATAAATTTTTATTTATCAATTGGATAGTATATAAGATAAATTTCTATTAGCTAGAAAATTGAACTTATATAGAACAACCCAGGTCTCTCAAGCTTGGTGCCAAAGGCCTATCCTCTTTTGTTATTGTGGGACTCAAAGAGAGAGCAAGTGGGAAAGCACTCTGGAAACCACTAGGCTGATGGCCACACAAACAACTTATTTGAAAACATTGCCCTATGAGAACTTCATAAATCAAAGCAGGTCTCCAAAACTAGCCAAGGTCACCGTGAGTCTGTGAGAGACAGTCCCGGTGAGTGGGAGGGAAAGACAAAAGCCGCCGGTGCAAACATACCCTCTAACTCATCCATTGACAATTACTGGGCTCCCAACCCTGGACTTCAAAACATTTGGAAAATGTTCATAAACATGTTCGGAATCCCATGGTGTAAGTAAAACATTTTTATAAGATTATAAAATAAAGAAAACTGGCGTGGGTTTTGTTTGAACAAGTGTGCTGGTGATTTCTTTTCCTAAGGTGAGGGACTCTTACACAAGTCTTGGTAATTGCTCTGAGGGAATTTGCCTCTTAATTTTTGAAAACACGATAAAATGCATGCAAATCTCTAAATCTTGTAGATGACAGCCCCTAAACCTCAGAAATGTGTGGGGAGAATTTGAATGAAAGATGACTCTACTCAGGCTATAGTCTGAGGAACAGAATTTAACAGGAGACAATGGAATTCTTACTTTGATCCTCACTTATGTGGAAACATGAGGATTTTGGAGAGTTTCTTCATATAAAGAACGCCCACAGATTTCTCTGGGAGGTAAGTAGGCCTAACCACTAACAAACTAGCTGTTTCCAGAAGAATGAAGCATACAATGTCATTGGCTAATTTATATTAATTGCCACTGCTAACAGTTAAAAGCCTAAAGGGAAAGAAAGGGTGGGTAACAGACCACCTTCTTGTGGCTAGATACAGTGGAAGTTGTACATAATTTCCCCCTCCCCTGTTTTTGAGGAATTTCCTAAAGCCGCTGGAAACCCCATCTCTGGTGGGATTTGAGGATGGGTTGGAGAAGACAGAAGGGAATTCTTACTTGAGGAAGTTGTGGCTGGCAGATTCTCATTTTCCTTCCCTGGCCTTTGCTTACCAGTTTCAAAGGCATGCTTTTTTAGTTAGGGCATCAGCTGGGGTAAATAGTTTTGAAAACGAGAAGTTGAAGCCCCTCTCAGGGGAGAGGATTGGTATTTTTTCTTCCAGGAAAAGAGTACAGTAAGAGGAGATGTATTTATGCAGTAAGCAGTGACTCTTTGAGAAGTCAAAGAGTGGAGCTGGTCTCCATGTTCCCAGTTAATGACCAAGCAAGGGGAGGAGCAACAAGATCAAAGTTGCTTTAGGGCAAAATTGCTAACATTCCTGAAATAGCCCCAGATTCCTCACATCCCAATAAGCAAGAATCAAGTTCACTCATTTGTGAAGAGGACCCAGTGCAGCCCTCAGTTCTTTTGTTACCTTGACTTTCAGCTCATTGTCCTGGCTGACCTCCTCTTAAACCAAAGAGTAATGACTGCTGATTTGACTATTGTTCTTTGTGCATAAAGATGTCAGGGGTCAAGATCTGTACCTACACAGAATCCAACCCTCAAGAAAAAAACTAGAAGAAGGCTCCATTCATGCGGTTAAATATTTAGACACGTAAAGACAGCCTACATGTAAAAGTAACCTGAAGGAAAAAGTTAAAGGAAATGACACTTATAATTGCTCCATTAAGATTTTGAGGAGTTCCAGAGGTAGCAACACACACACACACACACACACACACACACACACACACACACACACACACACACAGAATCTAAAAACCTAGAACCTTTTCAGGTGGCCGGATATACACATAACAATAATATTAGGTTGGTGCAAAAGTAATTGCGGTCTTTGCCATTAAAGTAATGGCAAACTGCAATTACTATTGCACCAGCTTAATATGTACCAGTTTGGGTCTGAAGTCCTTTTTCTATTCCATCAAAAATCATAACATCCTTTTAAGAGTCCATGATAAGGTTGATAAAAGAGTTCTAGTTTATGTGTTCTAAGTTTCAAGTAAAGGAGAGAAAGAACCAAGATATTCAGTCACTCAAAATATTAAAAAGGAAATTATTTATAGAGAAATGTTAGCTTTTAAAAAATGGCAAACCAAGTATTAGGAAGATATCATAATTACAGTGGAAAATAATTGTTATATGTCTTTGTATAGATACATATTTTCACTTCCCTTTGGTGAATACCTAGAAATAGGATTTCTGAGTTACACGTACATGTATATTTAACATTATAATAAACTGTCAAATTGTTTTCCAAAGTAGCACTATCATTTTGCATTCCTAACAGTGATATATGACAATTCTAGTTGCCCTACATCCTCCACAACATTTGGTCTTGTTAGTCTTTAGTGTTAGCCATTCTAGTGGATGTGTAGTAGTAGCTTACCATAGTTTCAATTTGCATTATTTTAATGACTAATGATATTGAGCATCTTTGCATGCACTCTTTTGCTGTTCCTAGGTCTTATTTGGGATTAATGTCCAACTTACTATTTATTTTATTTTATTGCGTTGTTTGTTGTCTTATTATTTAGTTCTAAGAGTTTTTTTTATCAGATACATGGTTTACAAATATTTTCCGACAGTCTGTAGCTTGCCTTTTCATTTTCTCTAGTGTCTTAGAGTAAAAGTTTTTATTTTGATAAAGTACAATTATTGATTAGTTCTTTTATGGTTTCTGCTTTTTATGTCTTAAGAATTATTCCCCTAACCCAAGGCTGCAAAGACATTCTCCTATGTTTTCTTCTTATAATCCATTTCAAGTTAATTTTTGTATATGATAAGGTAAGAATGGAGGGTTTTTATTTTTCTCTTGTGTAAGTCTATTCAATTTTTTCAGCAACACTTGTTGCAAAGATGGTGCTTTGTTCATTGAGTTACTTTGGCACCTTTGTCAAATTCAATCCAAATCCCATCAGGCACTTTTTCTATTTTATAAATTGGCTAGCTTTTTAAAAATTTATATGGAAATGCAAGGGAACTAGAATAGTCTAAACAATTGTGGGGGGAAAAACCAACAATTTTTGAGGTTTTATTTGACCTGATATTTAGACTTACTTACCTATAATAAACTACATGGTGAGGTATTGGCATAAATCTAAACATATAAAAAATAGAACACAAGGGAATCCAGAATAGAGACACACACATTCATGATTATTTTTATTTTTTAAGTATTTAAAGCAATTTTTATTTCTTATTTTCTGCAGATACAAGTGAAATCACAATGACATCAATAATCCTGAATTTCTTCTTCACACTCACTCATGAAAAGTCTCCGATTTTCCCACCTTGCTCAGCCACCTTAAGTGCCTTCCTTCAAGATATTTCCTACTGCTTCTAAAGAGGATCTCCCATTGGCTTGGGAGCAGCGTGTGAGTCACACTCCTTCCCTTCAGTCCAAGCCGTGGACTCCCTCTCTTTCTCGCTACACCTTAGCCCGCTGTCCTACCATTGACTCCACAGTGCTGTGGGAGAATGCCCATGTTCATTGCACAGTCTAGCCTTCCTGTCTTCAATGTTGCTGGCAACTTTGGAGGTGTCAGGGGGAGCTAATTTCCACATAACAATGGGGAAACTGTCTTTTGTCTCAACTCAAAGTCTCCAGGCCTAAAAGTAGCACTGTTTTTGTCCAGAGTCTCACAAAGTTTCTAAAAAATTCAACTTCTCTAATTGCTATTCAAACCTAACTTTTTAGTGAACTCGAGACTAGCTTAAGATGTGGAATAGGGAACAGATAACAGTCTCTGCTTCATACAAAATGTCTCTTTATACTTTCTCAGGGATGCGGGCATTAGGCATTAAAAAATCCAAATAAATGTGCAACCACCCCCGACTTTCATCCTCCTCTTTAGCCCCTAAAACAAAACATTCCTTCCATGCTTACCAACTCAAGGCAAATGAATGCTGGAAATGATAGTTGTTATCATTATTAATATTGTTGAGTACTACTTAATAATAGTTATCCCAGCCTACCAGTTATGAATGTTGACTGGCAATTTGCGGGCTTAAATGGAACTCTCAGCTTATCCTTAACAGTCATGAAAACTGAGACAGAATGATTTTTTCTGTGGTCACATAACAAGGATTTGGTTGCTGAATTCAGATACTATGCCCCAGAGGTCACCACTATACAAGCTCAAATAATTTGTTGATTCAGTGTTCTCCCATTTAGTCAAAGGAGAAATCACTTCAGGAAGGCAAGCTTCAGTCTGTCCTGGTATTTAAATAAAGCAAATAATTGGTTCAATCAAAATGGTCACACCGGGGTCCTTAATAGGTCCTACGTTAGAAGAGAAGTGTCCCAAGGTCTCTAGAGAGTATTTCATACTAGTAATTTTGTGGCTTTGAGTTAAGATTTTAGAAACAGACTCTGTCATGAAACACTGGAGAAACTTCTGAAAAGGTATTTCTGGAAAGTCACTGGGTAGGTTAATGAAAATACATCTATTTAGTTTTGTCAGAAGGATCCTGGTGTGTACAGTAGGGGATATGCAATCCATCAAATCAAAACATAATCAAAGGCACAATGTGAAGAAATATAATTATAACTTATGCTTACTCTTGGAGCCCAGACCTTACCCTTCCAACCTCCCACTTCAAATTCAAATAAAAATGAAAGCAAATCTGCCATATTTCAGACAAAGCAGTGTTGGATTTATGAGTGAAAAAGTTGACGGGAGGGTGGGTCTATGGGGAGGACGTAATTGTAGGACTGAAGGACTCCACTGAGTAAACTACCCTCCACCTTATAGAATCCAGACGCAGGCCCTGTTAGCATAAAGGTCTGACTGATTTCCAGAAACGCCGTCATCCATCAGGGGAGAAAAGATTGTTCCATTCATAAGGGCTGGACTACTTGTTGATGACAATTCAATAACATTCCCACATATGTGGAGATAAATGACACTTTTACCCTCTCTCCTCTAATAAACACTGTACTCCTAAAAGAACAAAGCTCTAGGGACTGAATCTCAGGAGTGTACATTCGGCCTGGATTATTATTTCTCTATTCTGGGAAAGACGCTGGGGCTGTGAGGGGTATGATTTTTCACAGTCCAGGAGCCAGGCACAAAACAACGAAGCTCTCAGAAACAAGCTGCAGGGACAAGGGAGAGGAGTTGTGGGCAGTGAGAGAACTCGCCCCCACCATCACACACTAGGGTGATGGAGGAAGATTCACTGGGCTCCACACGGAGCTGTCATCAAAGCTGCCACCATCAGCAGCTTTGGACCTACTGGACCAATCCCAGTAGGTCCCAGCCTTCCACCTAAGGAAGGACAAAATGATTCTGACATCCAAAGACCCATATCCCATGCCATGGAAAGGTAAAGGAGCCATCTGAATGTCCACCCAGGGCCTGGGTAGAGAACATGTCTCAGGTGGAAGACTATGTCCTGTGAACCATGAGAGCTAGGAATCATGAAATCGAGGGTTGAAAAAGCCAGAGAAGGGCCCTGAACACACTAGCTGCAACTCTAATTCCATGGCTAGAGTGTTCAAGCACACAGTCAGACCTTTGGCCAAGCAGTCCGTCAGTGTAGTCAGGCCTGCGATCAGACAGGAGAGACCGAGTCAGCCTCTGGCTAGTTCTGTTACCTCCACAAGTGGAGAAGCCAAAGCTAAAGGCCCCTATAGGCTCTAGACTCCTTCTTGCTTGTCTCTTTCTAAGACTGATTTTTCCAGCTTGCGCTATGCCCTTTTGACTTTCTTTCCCATCAGTAATTTTTATTTGACTGGCCTAGCAGAGATTTCTACAATGACTTTTCCAGAAATGATCAAGATGACATTAGAGAGTCTGTGATCACTAGGAAAATTTTAAAAGAAAGTTTTCTAAGTCAGTCTCTACTCCCTACTCCCTATTCAGCCTCCTGCCCCACACCACATACACACACACACACACAAAAACCCATACAGTGTTTACCAATTAATAAGAAAAGAGAAAACCTTCCTTTTTAAATTTTTTATTTAAACATTTTATCTTATATATATATATAAAAGGCCGTGTCTCACTATGTTGCCTGGCTGGTCTCAAACTCCTGGCCTCAAGCAATCCTCATGCCTCAGCCTCCCCAAGTGCTGGGATTACAGATGTGAGCCTCTGCACCTGGCTGGGAAAATCTTATTGAAGCCAATCCTATTTGTCACCTATATTCCTCACACCCAAGCTCTTCTCCTTTGCCAAGTGTTGCTTCCATAAGTTTTAAACACGGCACCAGGTTACCATCTCAGAGTTTTAAGGAGCCAGATTGTTTGAATCAGAGCTATGAACAAAAGAAAGAAGGATCAAATGAGACGCAGAGGAAATCCCTGACCCATGCAGTCAGAGTGGGCTAGCCTGCAATTTTCTCCTCAAAAATGTATAACACTAATTGCTTTCACCCAAAGTAATTTTCTAAGCAGCAAATTAAGAAGCTTAAGAAGAAATAACCCACAGTCACTGTGGATTAGAAAATGAGCAACTTTGTAGTGTGGGATCCTGATGGATGTGATACAGAGCTAAATGCGAGAGCCAGAGTCTGAGCTGCTGCTTTCGCGATGATGAGCTGCCCCTCTTCCTCCTGAACGGAAAAGGAGCAATCTGGGGGTTTTATGTCAGCTTCACTAAGGAGGAGATTTCTCTAGGTCAGAGGATTTTCCAGGCAGCCCAATCAATGCCACTTGAAAAGCTCCAGGGGCTGATCCTAAAGACATTGTCATTCAGCAGATTTAGGTCAACTCCATTTAAACGAAAAGTTTGGGATTTTGCCCATTGATCCTAAAGGAGTTGATCAAGTTCTCAGAACATCATTCTTCCTAACCCTGATGCAGTGTAGCAGAGATAGAGACAGAGAAGTCCTCAAGGACAATCTCACCGGGCAAATTCCTTTGTGCCTTTGAGGCCTTCTTTTCCTGGGGCTTCCCTAGTCTCTAGTTTCCTTAAAGGTAGTCACAAGAATAACAAAGGATACACATTTATGGAAGACTCATTTTGTGATAGGCTCTGTTTGGGCCTCACCTTTACTTTTTAAACCATGACAGCTACTCCATATAGTAAGTACTATGGTTACACCATTTTACAGATGGCAGAACTAAGGTATAGAGAGCTTAAGTAACTCACCTTCCCAAGGGTTCATAGCTACTAAGAGAGACAGAAGAGATTTCACTAGAGTCTGAGCTCTTGACCACAATGTGTGCTTTTATACTTTAATCTTTGACCTTCTGGCCTTCTTTTCCACTCCTATGAAATGAAGTTGCTCACTATGGGAACACACACTCACAATGCTAGGACTTCCGCCTTTCAGAGCGTTTATTCTTAGTGTTCTGTTTGCTGCCCAGGGTCAGCTGAAAACCATTTAAAGCCAGATAACATTTTTTCCCTTAAACTTGCTTTCTATCTTTAACATTTTTACTTTATTATATTATTTTAAAGATTATATATATATTTTTGAGGTAGAGGCTCACTCTGTCACCCAGGCTGGAGTACAGGTATGCAGCCAAGGCTCGCTACAGCCTCAAATTCCCAGGCTCAAGTGCTCTTCCCACCTCAGCCTCCTGAGTGGCTAGGACTATAGGCACACACTGCCATGCCCAGCTAATGTATTTTATTTTTTAATTTTTTGTAGAGACAGGGTTTTGCCACGTTGCCCATGCTGGTCTTGAAGTCCTGGTCCCAAGTGATCATCCCGCCTCGGCTGTCCAAAGTGCTGGGATTACAGGTGTGAACCACTGTGTCCAGCCCTATTTTGTTATTTTTAAAAAGACACTATACAATTAACAATAAAAGCTAGCACCTGCAGTGCGCATGCTATGTGCCAGGCACTGTTCTAAGCATTTTGTATGAATTATAATAACTTCATGAAATAGATGCTATTATTAATCCCATTTTGCAGAGGAGGAAACAGAGAGATTACAGTTTGTAAAACAGGAAGCCAGGCTTTAGATTCAGGCCTTTTGGCTCCAGTACCCATGCCCTAAATATTGATCTCTAATGTCTCTCAACCATTTTATCATCAAACTCTTCACCCTGTCTCCCATGCTGAAAATCCTGGCGCTAGGCACCGAGTCTTCTTTCTTTCTCTCTCACCAGTCACCAAATCTTTTTCTTACCTCTTCCTAATATCCTCTTGCATATGCCCCATCTCTTTCACCACACTCTCTCTGTCATCACCAGGTGACAGATCCTTACCAACCCTTACTAGGTCTACCCATGCTGCCCCCTAACTGGTCATCCAACCTCCAATCTCTCCCTCCCCAATTCATCCTAAATACCGCAATCAGCTCAGAGTCCCTGAAACACTGCTTTGTATACATCATACCATTCCCCCCAGAATGCTAAATGTTTTGTTTATCAAATAAGTTGAGATTATTTAGACCTCCACCATCTACGAAAAGGGTCAGCAAACTATGGCCCATGGGCCGAGCCCAGCCCACTGCCCGTTTGTGTTTACCCCACAAGATAAGAATGTTCCTTATAAATTTTTAATGGTTGGACAAAATCAAAAGAAGAGTAATACTTTGTGACAACATTAAAATGATATAAAATACAAATTTTAGTGTCCTTAATTAAGGTTTATTGGGATATACCCACTCTCATTTTTTTGCTTATTTTTTGTGACTGCTTTTGAGCTACAATGGCAGAGTTGAATGTTGCAACAGAGACCATAAGGCCTGCAAAGCCTAAATTCACAATCTGGCCCTTTATAGAAAAAGTTTGCTGATCTCTGATCCAAACTGTATTTCTACCTAGTCTTATCTACCTAAACAAACTGGTGTTCTTACCCTTGCTTGAAGATATATCAGGTGTTTTTCTGCCTTAATACTTGTGCTCCTCTCATTCTTTGGCTTAGTTCAGGGATTGGCCAACCTTTTCTATAAAGGGCCAGATAGCAAATCCAATGGGAAGTCTCATGCTCTTCTAATTGGAGTATAAAGTGGTAAGATAATTTGAATACTCCTCAGCAATATTCACTACATCCGAACATAAATATACCTTATATAACACGATTATACCTCTAGGCATATGCCCAACAGAAATTCTTATTTATAAGCACCAAAAGATAGGTACACAAATGTTTATTGCAGTATTATTCATAATAACCAAAAATTAGAAAATACTTAAAAGGCCATAAACAGAAAAATTATAACTATGCTGTGGCACATTTATTTAAAGAATATCATAAATGATACTACAATAAAGAGCAAACTACTGTTATGTACAACATGTATGAATCTCACAGAATGTTAAACAAAAGAAACCAGGCACATAAAAGCACACACTGTGTAATTTATTATAAAGTTCAAAGTCATGTGAAGCAATCTATGTTAGCAGTTAGTCTGTGGTATCACATCTTAGATTCCCCAGGAAGCAGAGATTTGTGTGCAGTAAGTCAATTGGGGTGTGACCTGAGGGTCAGCCCATGAGAGTGAATGAAGGATGCTGTGAAGGTCAGAAGGAAAAGGTGAACTGTGATGAAGTCACAACCAGGGCCTCAGCTAACCTAAAGGGGAGCTTTCTAATGATGATGGCAGCTGGGCATGATGACTCACACCTATAATCCCAGTGTTTTGGGAGGCCAAAGTGGGAGTATCACTTGAGCCCAGGAGGTTGAGGCTGCAATGATCATACCACTGCACTCCAGCCTGGGCAACAGAGTGAAGTGAGACCTTGTCTTTAAACACACACACACACACACACACACACACACACACACACAAACAGCCTTTACATCCCAGTCGTTTACGATCAACTGGTCACTGGATGTGAGACACCTTGAGGAATGGTGCAGGACCCTGGGTAAGGCTCTCTTTACCCAGGGAAGTCTTCGAGTGAGACTAGGCTAAGAGCAGCTAGTAGCCAACACTCCTAGTAGGGGAATAAATGCTTGAGTCGTGGAGGGGGCCTGGGGGGCACACCACAGCATCCACTGTTTGTGGTTACCTCTCAGTAGGAGTAGTGACTGGAAAGTGACACCAGGACAGGGGTTTCTAGGGGTCTGGCGATACCCTATTTATCCAAATGGTGGTTACAAAGGTATGTTCATTTTGTAAACATTTATGTTCATGATTTTTGCACTTTATAATATTATATTCTATGCCATAAAAGAGCTTATTTAAGAATGAAAGGGGCCGAGTGAGGTGGCTCATGCCTGTAATTCTCAGCAGTTTGGGAGGCCAAGGCAGGCAGATCATTTGAGGTCAGGAGTTCGAGACCAGGCTGACCAACATGGTGAAACTCCATCTCTATTAAAAGTACAAAAAAATTAGCTGGGCATGGTGGTGTGCACCTGTAGTCCCAGCTGCTCAGGAGACTGAGGCAGGAGGATCACTTGAACCCAGGAGACAGAGGTTGCAGTGAGCCGAGATAGTGCCACTGAACTCCAGCCTGGGCGACAGAGTGAGACTCTGTCAAAAAGAAAAAAAAAAGAATGAAAGGTGGAAGTGATTAGGATTGCTGAGAAGTCAAGAAGAATGAAGACTGTAGAGTGTCCCTGGGATTTCATAGCAGGCTGGTGACTGGTAACCCTAAGGACAGCTGTTTCAGGGTGGCAGTCAGGTTGCAAACAGTTGTGGAGTAAGTGAGAAGGGAGGAAATGGGGAGAGTGAGGGTGATGACACTTGAGATGCTAGCCTCAGGATAGTAGCAGTTAGTCAGAAGGGGCCTGGTGAGAATTTTGTTTTGAATAGAAAATGCTTGAGCCTTTTAAAATCTTATAAGAAGTATCCAGTGGAGAACTGGTTGTAAATATTAAAAAGAGAAGGAATGGTTGTTGAGGGTTAGTGCAAATCACAGGATATTAGCCTGCTTTACCAGAAGGGCTTTTCTAACCTTTGATGGCATCAGCTATTCAGGCCACTTATCTTGTCTTTATCACATGATACCTCATGATGTTATATCTCTATTTATACATGTAAGTTTTAACTTTCAATAAAATCCTCTTGAGAACTGTGACTATTGGGCCTTGAATCCCCATTGATTACTTAGCACAATGCTTTGTGCACTGTAGGCACTCAGTAAGTGTGCTGGTATGGGAGTAGATGATAACAATGGTGATAAAAATAAGCATAAAAAGAGAGCATATCCATTTTTTCAGATCTTGTATGGAGCTTAAAGCAAGATGATTATGAAAAGCAAGACAGAGAGTCCCATTTTAATAAGCCCTGATACTTTTTTCCAATATCTGGTTTCATTTGTAGTTTATGCATCTGAAAATTGGATAGAAAGGTCAAGGCAGTGACCAGTGGGGCATCGCAAATTATGCAACTAAGAAGATGCAATTCTCTGTTTGATCCTTTATCCAGGACTAGGACATAGCCCTTTCTTACCCTTC
Organism: Homo sapiens; assembly: GCF_000001405.40. Taxonomy (NCBI): domain Eukaryota; kingdom Metazoa; phylum Chordata; class Mammalia; order Primates; family Hominidae; genus Homo; species Homo sapiens. The sequence goes on along the minus strand of NC_000005.10, from coordinate 74,262,258 downwards.
AAAGTGCTTTCTTGATTCAGAAAAACTGGGTTCAGAGAACTTGTCCAAGGCAACAAGCTACAGGCAGAAGTGAGCCAAGCATCCAGGCCTCTTTCCCCAGCAGCTCCAGAGCCTGTCCGCCTCCCCTGTCCATATGTTCCAGATGGACTGCACATGCTGGGGTGTAAACATGCCAGGCTTGGGAAATTTGAAATGTGTGTTCAATCAATGAACAGGAGGACCTAGTCCTTGGTGAAAATGCAGTCTTCCATTGGACTTGTCTATCCAGACATATTTGTAGTATGATGACAATTTGTAGTTATATGGAGTCTTTCAACCTTACGGGCTTCGAAGTTTTTTTAGATAATAAATATGTGAGTGCCTTCTGTTTGGCTTCCTGGATCACTCTACAGGCCCAAGTATCACAGAGGTGCCTAGCTGTTGGACATCCAGATATGTGGGTAGAAAACCAAAAATAGATGACAAAAATCTGCAGTCAAAATCTTTATATCATTAAGGTCTGGATTTATAGTCACAGACATTTCAGATCATAACATTTCAAGCAGCAATATTCTACACAGTTTGATTACAGAATGCAGTTAATTTTCTCCTGGCCTTTTCTTTAAGTCAGCAATATTACAATGAAGTGAAAAACGAGAAGGGAGTGTTTGGTATGTTTCCTGGATTGACTGACTCTAACAGCATCTCTCATTTTGTTAACCCTTTCTTTTCTACTTACATGGCACTTTTTGGCTTTTTCCTTTTTTCCTTTTTTTTTTTTTTTTTGAGATAGAGTTTCACTCTTGTTGTACAGGCTGGAGTGCAATGGCTCAACCTCGGCTCACCGCAACCTCTGCCTCCTGGGTTCAAGTGATTCTCCTGCATAGCTGGGATTACAGGCATGCGCCACTACGCCTAATTTTGCATTTTTAGTAGAGACGGGGTTTCTCCATGTTGGTCAGGCTGGTCTCAAACTCCCAACCTCGGGTGATCTGCCCACCTCAGCCTCCCAAAGTGCTGGGATTACAGGCGTGAGCCACCGTGCTCTGTCGGCTTTTTCCTTTTGAAACCAAGTAAGGATGCTTTACAGGAGGGCACAGCAGCCTCAGACAACATGGTATTTTCTGCAGCAGCTGCTGTTAACACACCTCCAGGTCCCTTTCCCGCCACCCTGAGTTCACCTGCAGCAGAAGTGGATGGCTTCTGCAGCTGACAGCTTCCCGCCCCAAACACCTAGACCCTCTGCTTTTCTCTGCTTCTCTCTGCCTGAGGGCTTTCTGTGGCCTCACTCCCAGAGCAGTGCAGCAGTTTTATGGATTTAATATTCCCAGTGAAAATCCTCAACATAAGGCTATGAAGTCCATGGATAAGTACCTGGGGTCCCCCAACCATGGTGGGATAATTTCAGGGTGCATGCTAAACAGTTTCTTAGAGGGTCCTCGTGGGATTGAGGCTCAGTTTACCTACACAAGTGGCCTGTGGCTTTTCTCTTTTCCCATCTTATTTTTCTCACCCCCACTTTGGTGTTTCCTGGACTCACCTGCCGAGTAAAGTCCTTGTCTCATCTGCTCTTGTGTGGTTCCCACATAAAGACACTTCCCAAGTCAATGTTTTCTAAATTGTCTGTCCTGAATTCAATTTAGTGGGCCTAACCAATATTTCCCAGCAATAGAAAAATACCATTATGCATCACAGTTAGGAAGGATAAGTACTGAATCACAAACCCTTTCATTCAGTTATATATGCTGGCTAATGAAAAAAATTTATTTGTTGCTGTGGGTCATGGTCAAAAGAGTTTGAAGATCATATTTCTAAATGCTTTTGACATTCTACTCATTAAAACTCAGTATAATTTCAATATGGGAAATGAGACCAGAGAGAAGAAAACAACAGCATCTGAATTGGAAGGGGTTTTCCCACAGGTTAAAGGAATGAAAGGAGCCTTAGCTTTGCAGCAAAGTTGCTGTGTGACATGCAGCAGGTCGTGTGTCTTTGAGCCTCCTTTCCACATTTCTAAAATGAGGGGCTCAACCGGATGATCTTTGGTGTTCTCACTAACACGGATACTCAGGATCTAGTCCCTTCCTGAAGTGTTGGCACACGCGCATACCCACCTGCTTTGATATCTTTGAGTCCTAGCCTCATGAGTGGTTCAGAGCACAGGGAACCTCCCCAATTGGGTACAGAGGGAGAGCACGCAAGAGGCCACCCATGGGAGCTCATTCTTTCTGCTGGCATGGGAGAGAACATCTGCCTGGCACCAAGGGTATCCCACAGGGAAGCTGCACTGCCTGGCAGGGGTTGGGGGAGGGCAAGGTTGGCAGGGAGAATCCAGCAGGGCTCAGGACTAGGAGTGGCTCCGAGTGGAGCTGAGGGTAGGGAATGGAGGTGGAGGAGGGCAGCAGGTGTCATTGAGAGAGTGCGAGTGGGCAGCACAGAGGTCCATGGGTTTGTTTTCCTCTGCCCTTGGCAAAAGTGGAGGTGCTTTGGAAGGAACTGGGCAGGGTGAAAAGCAGCGCCCCCTGGAAAGACACAGAAGCCGTGGTTACTTGGATGCCAAAGGAAGCTGTTGGTTTTTTTTTTCTAAAAAATCACAGTGGTCCCTTAGGTTAGAGTCTTGGTAAAAATTTTTTCCACCATTCCCTCAATCCCTCACCCTACACACGCCCGACCCGGTGGTACCCTGCCTTTCCACACATTTTTCTTTGAACCCTGCAATCTTTCTCTCTCGTCATTTCATGCCCTTCTTTCCTTATATACTCTGCTCACAACTCAAGTCTTCTGTGATACTTCCTTTAATTTTGCCTCTCTGTACCTCGATTCCAGATGTCAAGGAGGCTGTGTGGCCTAACACACCATTTTTATTTGCTCTCGAGCTTGGTAGTCAATCCATCTTTTCTACCAGATGACTTTAAGGAAAACAGAATGGAGCCCCAAATTTTCCCTTAAGAGATGGAAGATAAAATATGGTTTCAAATAAGAATACAGGCAAAATATCTTACAAAAATGGGTGCCAATAGAAAGCATTCAGATACTCCCATGAGAAATAAAAAAGGTAATAGAGTATTAATAGTAGCTAATACTTGAGTGATTACTATAGGTAAGGCACTCTTGAAAGTGTTTCAAGTATATCAAAACACTTAATTTTAGAACTGTGAAGTGGATTCTACTTGTGTCTTTATTTTGTAGGAGAAGAGACTTGTACACAGAGAGGCTGGGCAACTTGTACATGGTTGCACAGATGTCCAGAGGCAGTGCTGAGATGTGAACACAGGAAGACTGGATTCAGCATCTGTGCTACTAACCAGGACACTATGAAGTCTCTCATACCTGTGGTACTAGGAAAATCAGAGAAAATTTCAAGGAGGGTGGGGCATTAGAAGCTGACTATGGAGGAACCGGTAGGAGTTGGATGTTTGGAAATAGAGGGCAGGGCATTGCAGGTAGAGAATGGGAGTGTATTCTGGATGCCAACACATCTGTGGCGGTCCTAAGATCAGGAATAGATGGTCTGTATCTTCAGTATGACTTAATGTTTCTGAGTGTAAGACTTAATCTCCATTTGAAAAAGGATAAAAAGAAGGAAAAAAAATAAAAGCTATTACGTTTCTGATTTGATTTTCAATTTGACAATATAATCTATACATTATGTTTACATTTGATTTTCCTAGTTTTTCTTTTTCTTTTTTTCCCCTCAAGATGCTCAGCTGCAAAATGCAAGAATTTGGGAAGATTTGAGCAAAGGACAGGAAAGAACAATATATTCTGGGAATGCAGGATTTCTTCCTTTGGACCTGCTTCCAGTGGAAATCCCCATGAAGATCCTCTCTTCCATCTGTCTGCTGAAACACAAAGAGAAATGCCATGAAATGAGAGTGAGGGAGAGGTTTTTTAAACATTGAAGATGCCTGAAAGCAGAGAGTCTTGTAGGGCTTAAGAGAGACTTTCATCTCCCTGATTTATTTCTCAAGGGAGTGTTAACTGCCCCCAGATTTAATATCACCCCTGAGTGACTGGGAGGCAGCAACTGGTAAAACTATTTTCACTGTCTCAAAAGCCTCCCTGAAGCACCAAGAGGCCAATTCCTCAAAAGAAGACATGCAAATGGCTTTAGAAACTGCAGAGCAGCCAGGAGGCAGCAGCTTATTTGCCTAAAAAAGAAAAAAAAAATCATGCTAGAATCACAGGTGTATTTTACAAGCTTTAAGTTGATTCCTCATAAGGGCAAAGTCTGACTGCTTCTCAGATATCAAAGTTGTGTTCCATGCAGAGTGGCCCCTTAAAAACTTATGTTGTGTTTATCAGTGACTGCAGGTTCAGAGCTGTGGTCAGCAATTGCCTAATTACTCTTGCGTGGCTCCTTTTGCTCCCTCCCTTCCGGGTGCTGCAGCCAGGAGTTACAACCCTGATGGTTCCAGGCTGTTTCTTGAGCATTTATGTGTTTCCCTTAACTGGAAATATTACACGGTGCGGCCGCCTCCCTTCTGGGGCTGGAATAGAAGCTATTTTATAAGCTTGTCTCATCCTCTGAAGTACCCTTTCCCCTGACCCTTCCCACACTCAGTCCCCCGCCCTGGAAGGCACAATCCCTTCCTCTGAGTCTTCCTCTCACACCCAGAGTCATACAGGATGAATACCTAGCCCCCAGGTGAGCTTTCTTCTTCTAAAGAATCTCTTGAACTTTAAGTATAAGACCTATTTAATTCAATCCTCAAGTTTAATAGAAGTGGCCAGCCCCCAGCTCCAGGTTTACACGAATCCCGAGACAGTAGAAATGTATCTTTTAATTGACCAAGAGTAAAATTCTGAGCTCCTGTAAGGCAATTCCTTTCAAAAAGCACATGGTGGGCTGGGACCTGGGCACCACAGCTTTGCCATTCCAGGAGACAGGCAACTAGCAGCCAAGCCTTCCAGGAAAGCATCAGGGGCTCTGACCCAGAGCTGGGACCCCGGCTGAGAAGTGGCCAAGAGCTGCTTTCTGGGAATTCTTTGCAAATCTTCCCTGCCATTCCCCCTGCAGCTGTTGGGACACAAGCATCTGCCTGGGCACTGGGGGGCCTTGTTTTGTGCTTGGTTGACATTTATCTTCCTGCTTACATGGCAGAGGTTAAATGGAGTGAAGCCAGGAACAGCTTCACCCTGGTAACTGCCAACCAATGACTTCAGTCTCTCTATGGTCAAATCATCGCCCCACCCAGCAAAGAAGCTCGTGGAAACCTCTGCTCCCTTCCAAGACACTTTTAATTTTTCTTCTTCTTTTTCATGCAGATGAGCAGTGGTGAAAAATAATTCTTCCTCATGAAAGTAACTTTATGTGGCTGCGTTCTGGAAAACTTGGGTGGAAGTTTGGCTCTGACCATCTTATCTATCTATGTTTCTCTTCTACCCCCACCCTGTTTTTTAAAATAATAATCTTTACTTTTATTTTTCTTGTCACTTTATTTTTAAATGGGCATTATGCAAACAGTACAAAAGCATTAACAAAATTATAAGTAAAAGGCAGGAAGAAAACATCCACAATCCTACCGCAAACCAGCCAAGTTGCTTTCAGTTTTTTTCATCCTATTCTACTGAGTGCCACATGAATATGTAACTTTACCAGCACAATTATAGCAGACATATATCTTTGCATCTACGTTTAACTGAACATTATATGGTAAATTCTTTTCCATGTTGTCACATAGAATTTACATTCATCTTTCTATTCTCTGCTAATCCAGTCCATTGGCTAAATAGAATTGGTTTAATCACTTTTCTACGCTTAATCAAGGCAAGTGGCTTTTGGCTTCTTGCTGGTATATAAAAGCACTATGGTTTTTTCCCCCTTTTGGATAATTTCCTTATGATAACTTTCTGAGAGGTTCACCTCGATTTTTGCTTTGGACACAGAGGTAAATGCTATTTTCCTATTTACAACATCTTCCATGGCCTGAGTGCTAGAAGTCTTAGTGGGAACCTTCTCCCCACATGTTGGGGGCCATGGGAGATGGAGCCAGGTGGAGGAGGGGGCACAGGCCTTTATAAAGAAGTGGAGAAAACTCACTGCACAGTTAATTAGAAAGTGCCATGAAGCAAGTCCAAACTTTATGGCTTTCCTAGAGTTGATGACGGTTCCTAACCAGGCCTGCCTGTTCTCTCGCAGGTGTGTGCAGCCTCCCAGACCATATGGTTTTTGGCTGTACCGGGCCTCATTCTTTGTTCAGCCCATGATCCTGTAACTGAATATCAGTTAATAACTTTTCATAATAATGTAGCTTGGATCAGCTTCTAGGTCCAAAAAGGGGCCCCATACGAAGCTCTGTCTTTTTCAGACTCCTGCTGCCTTGCTGGCACACCTGTAGGGAGACTTAGCCTCATGACTGGTCCCAGGGCGATAGCAACAGCCTAGGCTCACAGAGGGCTAGCCGAGGGTTCAACAGGTGGGAGGCCAGGGCACAGAGCTTATTCTTCAGCAATTTGTCTCTCTTGGGATCTGCCAGGAGGCATGGGGTCTTGTAACTTAACAAAAGGGGCCAGAGCTGCTTCTTTTTCTTTAACTAAAAAATATTTTATGGCAATTTACAACAGGCAGTCTCTGGCTTGTGTGAATTGATTTATAGGCATCCCTGAGAGGACCCAAGACTGCTTGGGATCTCAAGACTGGCTGGGCCAGCCCTGTGACCAAAGGAATTCTCTACCCTCCCTAAAAGTTGTGGGATTTCCCACAACCGTCTCCACCCCTACTACTTCCACCTGCTTCACCTCCTGCTTATTAAGGAACTGTCATCTTTATATATATTATTGATACATAATATTCCTATATATTTATAAGGTACATGTGATATTTTGTTACATGCATAGAACATGTAATGATCAAGAGTCACGGTATTTAGGGAATCCATCACCTCAAGCACTTATCATTTCTATGTATTGGGAACATTTCAAGTCCTCTCTTCTGGCTATGTTGAAATATGCAATACATTGCTATTAATTATAGTCATCCTACGTTGCTATCAAACATTAGAACCTGTTTATACCCATTAGCCAACCTCTTTTTATTCCCCTCTTCACCCTTCCCAGCATCTGGTATCTATCAATCATTCTACTTTACTTCCATAAGATCAACTTTATTATCTCCCAAATACGAGTGAGAACATGCAAAATTTGTCTTTCTGTGCCTGGCTTATTTCACTTATCGTAATGACATCCAGTTCCACCCATGTTTCAGCAAATGACAATATTTCATTCTTTTTTATGCCCAAATAATAATCCATTGTGTATATATACCACATATTCTTTATTCATTCGTCTGTTGATGGACACTTAGGTTGATTCCTTATCTTGGTTATTGTGGATAGTGCTGCAATAAACATGGGCCTGTAGGTATCCCTTTGATATACCGATTTTATTTCCTTTGGATCAACATCCAGTAGTGGTATGGCTGGATCTTATGGTAGTTCTATTTTTAGTTATTTGAGGAACCTCCATACTGTTTTCCATAATGGCTGCACTAATTTATATTCCCACCAACAGTGTCTAAGAGATCCTTTTTCTTGGCTGTCTTGCCAGCACCTGCTATTTTTGTCTTTTTGATAGTAGCCATTCCAACTGGGGTGAGATGATATCTCATGTGGCTCTGGTTGGCATTTTCCTGATTAGTGATGTTGAGCATTCTTTTCATGTGCCTGTTTGCCTTTTGTATGTCTTCCTGTGAGAAATGTCTACTCAGATCCTTTGTCCATTTTCTAATGGGATTATTTGATTTTTGCTATTGTGTTGTTTGAGTTCCTTGTGTATTCTGGATACTAGTCCCTTGTCAAAAAAACAGTTTGCAAATATTTCTTCCCATTCAACAGGTTGTCTCTTCCCTCTGTTGATTGTTTCCTTTGTTGTGCAGATGCTTTTTAGTTTAATACAGTCCCATTTGTCTATTTTTGTTTTTGTTACCTATATTTTTGAGCTATTGGTCATAAAACCTTTGCCTAGATCAATGTCCTGGAGAATTTTCCCTACGTTTTCTTCCAGATTTGTAATTTGGGGTTTATGTTTAAATTTTTAATCCATTTTGAGTTTTTCTTTTATGTGGTGAGAGGTAGGGCTCTAGATTCATTCTTCTACTTATAGATATTCAGTTTCCCCATCACTGTTTATTGTAGAGGGTGCCCTTTCCCTAAGTATGCCCTTGGCACCTTTTGTCAAAAATCTCTTGGCTATAAATATGTGGATTTGTTTCTGAGTTCTCTATACTCTTCCACTGGTCCTTGTGTCTGCTTTTATACCAACACCATGATGTTTTAGTTACTACAGCCTTGTAATATATTTTAAAGTCACGTAGTATGACGCCTGCAGCTTTGCTCTTTTTGCTCAGCATTGCTTTGGCTATTTTGGTTCTTTTGAAATTTTATTTGAATTTTATGATTTTTTTTCTTTTTCTGTGAAAAATGTCATTGGTATTTTGATAGGGATTGCTTTGAATCTGTAGATTGCTTTGGGTAGTATGGTCTTTTTAAAAGTATTAATTCTTCCAATCATGAACACGGGATGTTTTTCCATTTATTTGTGTCTGCTTCAATTTCTTCCATCAGTGTTCTGTAGCTTTCCTTAAAGAGTTCTTTTACCTCCTTCATTTAATTTATTCCTAGGTACTTTATTATTTTTTGTAGCTATTGTAGATGAGATTGTCTGCTTGATTTCTTTTTCAATGAGTTCATTATTGGTATATAGAAATGCTACTGATTTTTGTATGTTGATTTTGTATCCTGCAACTTTAGTGATTTTGTTTATCAGGGCTAACAGTTTCTTGGTAGAGTCTAGGTTTTTCTAAATATAAAATTATGTCATCTGCCAAGAAGGGCAATTTGATTTTCTCCTTTCCAATTTGGATGCCTTTATTTTTTTCTCCTGCCTAATTGCTCTGGTTAAGACTTCCTGTACTATGTTGAATAGGAGTGGTAAAAGTGGACATCCTTGTCTTGTTTCAGTTTTTAGAGGAAAGGCTTTCAGTTTTTCTCCATTCAGTATGATGTTACCTGTGGGTTTGCCATATATGACCTTTATTATAGGTAAAGGTATGTTCCTTCTATTGCCCAGTTCATTGAGAGTTTTTATCATGAAGGGATGTTGAATTTTATGAAATGATTTTCTTCATCTATTGAGATAATCATACGGTTTTTGTCCTTCATTCTGTTGATGTGATATATCATGTTTATTGATTTGTGTATGTTGAATCATTTTTGCATCCCTAGGATAAATTCCACCTGATCATAATGTATTATCGCTTTGATGTGCTGGTGGGTTTCATTTGTGAGTATTTTGTTGAGGATTTTTGTGTCTGTGTTCATCAGGGATATTCCTGCCACTTTTTCTGCTTGTTCTTTTTCCCTGGTGGCAATGGCCAAGGGTATGGGTGGGAGGGAGACCCTCGTGGCTATTGCCTTCCACAATCACCCTATGAGGCTTCAGACTCAGCCCAGCTATTGGAACGTGCTCATGTACCGGAGTGGCCAGGAGTCCTGGGGAGCTGGGTGTCCCTTTGATCCTATTGGAATCTGATCATCAGAATCACCAGGGAACTTTGAAAAAATACTCATGCCTCACTGCAGACCTACTGAATAGAAATGGCCGGAAATGTCCTTCAATCATTCATATAAGCAGTTATTGACAAGTGACAGTCTTCATGAACTTGTGTTTTGATCCTTCATATATGGAAAGACTCATCACATGACATGAATCAGTGTCTTTTTCTCTGCAGTTTGGCCAGGCGGTGAGGGGTGAGAAGACTTGAGCCTAGGGGTGCGCCCTTCCCAGTGTCACCAAACAAAAAAACACCTCTTGAAACTGTCTGCCAGCCAGAAAGATGAGGGGAGGCAGAAAGCATTTCAACTTGGCAGTCACCTGGGAAGGGAGGGATGGGTCTCAGCAGCAAGGGGGAAATGGGAAAAGGCACCTTGGAGCCCTGAGCAGGGAGCACAGTGACAAGAACCAAGTCCAGGGCCTGCAGGTGCCCTGGAGCTTGCCCTGGCAGGAGATCTTCACCCCTTACATGTCCTTGTCCACTCAGCTGGACCCCTGCCAACCAGACGTCTCCACACCCAAGGCCTGAATGAGGGAGGGGAGTTTGGGATTTTTCTTTTTTACTCATGCTGTGTCCCAGCATCCAGTACAGAGCTTGGCCCCGGTGAGTCAGCCTTTCTTGAATATTAAAAGCTAATATTAATTTATTTGTAATAACTTAGGAGCTGTGCTATCTTCCTATATGATCTCATTTAATCTACACAACAACCCTAGGAGGAAGACCTCTTAGTCTCCCCATCTTAACTGTGAAGCTGAGGCAGTGAGAGATCAGGGGATTTGCCCCAGGTCTCACTGCTGGTAAGAGGAGAGTTTGAATTAGAACCAAGGCCGGAGCCTGAGCTGCTCTGCTCGGTGGTCCTGCGTTCACTCAGCCGTGGCCCAGGTGGCTGGCAGGTTTTGCTGCAAGAGCCAGCCTCTAAGTCTAAAAACATCATGTATCACACAAGCATTTGTAAGTGTCCTCAGAGCCTGAATCTGATGTACGGCATTATCCCCATGGAAAAATGTCCTCATCATTTCAAACATGAAGCTTAGGGAAATTCTACTGAAGCCTGGCCAAATGGATCAAAGCTACAGCACAAGTTGAGGTTCTCAGTATTGCTTCACTCCATTCCTTTGGATGACATTCCCAAGAAATAAAGCCAAAAGAAAGCTTCGATTAGATACTGTGCTGATTCCAATAGGGACTTGGGAGACACTCAAAGCCCTCCATGATTTTTGTGCACATAGGAAAAGTTCACAGGCAGATGCCAGAGTGAGAAGATCACCCACTTCGCTCCTTTCCACATCAGGTCAAATGCATCCATTTTCCTCAGTCTCCTCTGGGCTGTGGGAGGAGACATCCTGGAGAAACCACGAACAAAGCATTGCTTAATGTAAGCCTGCTTGATGGACATGTTACGAGGGAGGGATGGCTCAGCCTTCAGAAATATTTACAGCAGGATGTGAGGGGGAGTGGCTCTGAAAGTGTGTGTGGCTGGGGGAGTAGTGATTCAGGAAGGCACTGAGCCATTCCACTGTTGGAAGGGGCAGGCTTTTGCTCCCTAAGCAACACAAGCAGAGGCAACAATGACTTCCTGGCAATACAATTTTCCTTGTATACTCACCTAAACCTCTTTCTTTATCCTACTTAACAAACACGAGTGCCTATTACTCAGTCCCTGAGTTATACACTAGCCTAAAAATGTTGAAAGAGCCATTAGTTTATGTTATGGACAAACAGAATCTTAAAATAAGAAGAGTGAGTGTGTGAGAGTGTGTGTGTGTGTCTGTGTGTGTAGGTGTGGCATGCTGGTGGGGATAATGCAGAGGGAGTGGTGATGATGTTGGGGTGTGTGTGTGTGTGTGTGTGTGTGTGAGTGCTCATGTGTGCTGTGTATGTGGTGTGATGGTGAATATTGCGAATGCCCTGGAGAAAAGATTTTTTGCTTCCACTTTGTTAAGTGAAACAGCACATTATGGTGAACAGCAAACTTCCCTCAATATGCTTCTCCTGGTACACATTCCCTGCCATAGATAAAGTCAAGCAGACATCCTAAGCTGGGGAGAGAAAATGCTAGAGGATGCAGGTTCTTGGAACTTATCGGTAGAAAGATAAGGATTGTGTTTGTGGTTGGCTCCCTATTTTATACGCAGACAGAAACAGATAGTGTCCCACTAGGGAAGTTGGTGAGGAGATATTCCTGGGAGCTGGCCAGCACATGGGCACCTGCTCTGCCCAGGTTCACCCACCAGCTTATGACTTGGCCACAGCGCTACCCCATCACCTCCAACTGGCCTAGTTGGCACTCAGCTGAGGCTGATGTTTTCTTGCCCTACTGGAGTAATAAGGTCAGCAATGACCTGCCCAGTGCAAGGTGGGGTTGTAAGGAGGGCAAACACGAGAAAGGACTAACCAATCCCATCCCCCATTGGTGGTGCCCACTCTTCTTCTGTACAGCTTTCAGTCAAGACCCAGCACCCTTGTGTCTCCCCATGGATTTCTTTTGTTTTTTTGTTAGGCTCCTGGGTCCTCAATTTCCCTCTCACTTGTTGGAATTTTTCAGAATTGAGTTTACTTTGCCACATTGTTAGGAGCAGGAAAGATTTTTACTTTTGATTATTTATTTTGTAACCAGCCACATTATCAAGTTACCTCATTTGTTCTAATTATTTGTCAGGATTCGGAGGAATTATTTGACTCTTAGCTTTTGTGATGTAATATTATGGGAAATTCTGATAATCTAGTTTATTTCCATTTTCAATGTAATTTTATATACCAAAATGTTTGTGGGTTTCCATAGTCTCTAAATTTGGAGTTGAATTTGAATTTTTATAACTTCACCAGAGTATGCCATGTGTGGAAACTTTTTCCCCAAACCATTTGTAAACCTTTGATTAGAAATCTCAAGTCTTTCTTCAGGCATCCTGTTGCTGTTCTCTCCTGGAAAAAAAAAAAAAGTTTTATTGGATTTGTCCATTCTGTCTTTGATAGGCTGGCTCATTGTGTAATTTTCTTTATCTTTTCCTGGTGAATAGTAGGCAAATATCTTGTCTTAAAATTCTCATTTATTAGTTTAGTATCTAGCTTACTGTTTATTATCTCTGTCGTCTCCATTGTTTCTTTAATTTGCTAATTTTTTAACATCTGAAAGCAATCCTTGTTCACCACAGATTGTGTTTTCTCAGATCTCAATTTTTTTGTTTTTGAGGGGGAGTCTCGCTCTGCCACCCAGGCTGGAGTGCAGTGGCATGATCTCGGCTCACGGCACCTCCGCTTGCCGGGTTCAAGGGAATTCTCCTGCCTCAGCCTGCCGAGTAGCTGGGACTACAGGCACCCGCCATCATGCCGAGTAGCTGGGACTACAGGCACCCGCCATCATGCCGAGTAGCTGGGACTACAGGCACCCGCCATCATGCCCGGCTAATTTTTGTATTTTTGTAGAGACTGGGTTTCACCATGTTGACCAGGCTGGTCTCAAACTCCTGACCTCAGTTGATCCACCCACCTTGGCCTCCCAAAGTGCTGGGATTACAGGTATGAGCCACCACACCTAGCCTCATATTTTTTAAAACGTGTTTCACTGTTTCTTAGAGGCAGAGCATGTATTTGCTCTGAATTTTAAAATTGGCCCTTGTTTTAAACAATTTTATCTTTGTGTATGTCCAGTGACTGACCTTCCTTCCTTCCTCACTCCCTTCCTTCCTCCTTCCCTCCCTTCCTTCCTTTGTTCCTTCCTCCTTCCCTTCCTTCTTCCTTCCCTCCCTCCCTTCTTCCCTCCCTCCATTCCTTCCTCCCTTCCTTTGTTCCTTGCTTTCTTCTCCACTACAGAGAAAAGTCTATGCATGTCCAATACTAAGTGTTGAGGTAGATTTTATTAGAGTTTATGTAGGTACTTGTCTGCATATTTTAGTCCCCAACTAAAGGTGAACATTCAAAGTTTATCTTTTCTCTAGTCCAATTTAATTAAACTGAGGTTCTCATTGTCTGTGAAGCCCAGCCCTGGGGCAGGGAAGTTCCTGCTCTGAGAAGCATTTCCTATGTATACCTGTTGTGACAAAACCAAGTTAACTGCTCCTATTTTCTGATTGAGGTGGATGCCCTCTTTTAATAAACAACCAAAAGAAAGCTTTGTTTTACCTGGTCCTCCAGCCCACATCAGGTGACACTGCAGCGAGGTACCCATGGTGAGCTGCCACATGTGTGGGATTTCCCAGACCTGTTTGTCCCCCAGCCCACCTTCAGTTTCTAGCTCCTTTCCCATTGACCTTGAAGGTGTATTTCAGCTTTGTTAGTGACCACAATCAGTTCCTCCTAGTTGTGTTTTTCTGTCACATACTTAACAGATCATATTTTGTAAATGGCCACATGCCATTCATTTCTGCAGCCCCTATCACAAAGGGTGTATGGTTCTCTTCCCCTTGCAAATGATCTGGCCTTTATGAACAGAATACAGTGGAAATGGCATTCATGACTTCCAGTGCCAAAACAAGAAATGCAATCTGGCTTTAGCCTGATTCTCCCTTTCTGTCTGTTTCTCCTCTGTCTTCTCTTCTTTCTTTTTTCTCTCCTTTCTGGGTGTATGCACCTTGGGAGCCCTCAGCCAACATGCAAGACCTTTGCTGCCCCAAACCACCATGCTGCAGAGACACTGGGGGAGAGACCACATAGAGAGAGGTGGAAATGCCCCAGAAGCCCCGTGGGTCTTCTCTCATGAACCATGAGACATGTGAATAGCAAGCCTCCAGATGAGTCCATACTCCAGCCTTTGAGCTTCTCCAGTGGAGCAGAGATAAGCTGATCCTGCCGAGTCTTGCCCAAATTAAGATTCATGACCAAAATAAATGATCTTGCTTGAAGTCACTAAGTTCAGGGGTGCTTGGTTGCACAGCAGTAGATAAGTGGAACACACATGGTAACTTGCAGGTGGAGGTGTCCTCAGTCTCATTCTGCTTTTATATGTGGCAAATATTTTTCACAATGTCTGGCCTTTCATGTTATCTTCCCCATTTCGTGTTGATAAAGATATTTTCTTATTTTTGTGCTTTCTTCTTCATTTTAGTAGAATTGTGGGTGAAGAGAAAATAAAAATGTGGTCTCAAATTGCCACCTTCAACAGAAACTTGTGATTTAGTTTCCAATTCACATACCATGTTATTCCATAAAACCTCATTCTTTATTTGCACGTCAGTGTCAATTAGTTTATTGGTCAGCTGTTGTCACTTAGTAAGGCCCCGCTCTGCTGGACTCTTCCTCTGACCTTGTCTGTGTGCACAGATGACATTAATTTATAATTTAGGGGGATTTCTAGGTGTTCATCTCTTTGATCAGTAAGATAAACTACTTCTAAATGTCATTAATCTATCAAGGCAGGTTGGCACAAAATAACCAGAGCAGAGTGTCGCCCAAAGAAAAGTAAAAATAATAATGCCCTCCTAATTTCATGTGGACTCAACAATTCTAAAATCATCAGGATCTGTAAACAGAATGTCAGAACCTAAAAGATTAAAATTCCTAAACAATTAGTTTTGTTAAATGGGGAATAAATCATTGATTATCTTCCACCTGGGTTGACATGATTTCAAGTGTTTAAAGTATTTCTGAACATGATGCATGCTCACAAGTGATTTTCATTGCCATCTCGTCTTGGTTGGTTTTCAGAAGTTGAACTTGGAACATTCCTCTTTCCATCTGATCCACTCTTCTTTCTTGTGTTCCCCCCCCCCCGCCCGCCAACGCCTCCTTCTAATGAAACATCTGAACAGACTGTGGACCAGTTAAGTCTTTGGGGGAAATAAACTCTTAACCATTAAGAGGAGGGTTGGGTGCGAATCATCTGGCAGGATGGAAGGGCACAGACTTTGAGGCTGGACTTGGGAATCTTGGCACTGCCACTTGCTGGCTTGTGATCTTGAGTAAGTTGCCTTTTTGGCGTGTTAGTCTCTTTATCTGAAAAACAGGCATAATTTCATGAGTTTGTTTGATAAGGCTGCCATAACAGAATACTACAGACTGCGTAGCTTAAACAACAGGAATTTATTCTTTCATGGTTTTGGGGGCTAGAAGTCCAAGGCCAAAATGTTGGTGGGGTTGTTTGCTTCTGTGGTTTCTCTCCCTGACTTGTAGATGGCTGTCTTCTCTGCGTCTTCACATGGTTTTCTCTTTGTGTTTCTGCATGCTAATCTCCTCCTCTCATAAAGACATCAGTTATGTTGGATTAGGCCCAGTGTAATAACCTAATTTTAAATAAGTACTTCTTTAAAGACCCTATATCCAAATGTAGTCACATTCTGAGGTACTGAAGGTTAGAGCTTCAATGTATTAATTTGTTGGGGGGTGGGGGAGACACACTTCAGCCCATAGCACTCATCTTTCCTAAAGGGGTGCTCTGAAATACTGCAGATAAAGTGCCTGGTACATAATAAAGATGTTAAAATATTAGCTCTCCTTCCTTTTCTCAATTTTCATTCCTTGTCCCTGGCATAGAAGGGAATGTATTTCCTTTACCTTCAATGTAATTGTTCCTCCTTTCCTTTGTGAGAAATCATGGAAAGGCAATCTGTCTTTATATTTCCCCTTTGCAAAGATCCTACATCATTAGTTTCAAATGGAATTCCAACAATTTTTCTCCTCTCTTCCGGAATGTGGACATTTTGGTTGGAACTCCAATAGTCCCCCTGAGACCAGGAGGTGACCTTGAGGTTGGAAACCCCATATAAGGTGGAGGAGTGAAAATATAGAACAAACTCAGGACATAGTTGACAGTGAATAGGTGCCTGTCAGCCTTGGATGGCCTACCTCAGAACTTTATGTTCCAAGAAAGAAGAAAAACCCTCGATATAATTTGTGCCATTGCAGTTTTAGCCAAAAGCAACTCATAATTAATGTGGAATTTGAGTTCAGTTGCCAGTTCAGTTGCCAAATTTAAGGTGCATATTAATAAACTTGTTTAATGTGTTTAAAAATAAATTAACTTCATGTCCTTCAAAGCTTAAATTCTGTGTCTTATGGATGACCACTGTGTGGGTACATGTGCATAAATCCGTGTTCCAGGAAGCAGCAGACGGAGGAGTGGGCAGAGCTGGAGTGAGCTTGCAGACAGTTGCTATGAGATAAAGTCAGACCACCAAGCAGGAGATGAAGCATGCACGGCCTAGCCGTCCATTGTAATAATTCAGTAATTATTCTAAGTGAAATGGACAGCCATTCTCTGATTTGCATTTTAAAAATTTTGGTTTTTCTTAAAGAAAGGATTGTGGGGGTAGGGGCAAGCATAGAGGTAGAAAGACCATTTAGAAGACAATCAACTTAGTTAAGGCAGAAGGAAGTGGTGACTTGGACTAAGAGGGTGGCAGTGGCAGTGCAGAAGGAAGAAAGTGGTCAAATGTAAGACATATTCTGGAAGTAGCACCAATGAAATTTCTTGATTGTTTGGATGTAGAATTTGAAGAGTGGGAGGAGTCAAGGATGACATACAATTATCTCATTTTAATAACTGAGCAGATAGGGATATTTAAGGAGATGGGGAAGGTAGGGGGAGATCTGGGTATTTGGGGAGAGGCAGATGGGATTAAGCAGTCTGCTTTGGATATCTAAAGTTTAAAATGCCTGAGATATACAAGTGTTAACATCAGGTAGGCAGGTGGCTATATGAGTCCAGGTTCCAGAGGAGAGGTTCAATCCAGAGATATAAATTTTGGAGTCATTGGTATAAGATGGCACCAGAAACCATGGGATTGGATGAGATCACTTAAGGAAATAGATATGGATGGAGAAGATGTTTTCACTGAACCCTGAAGGAGTTCTCTTCTTTAAAAGCTGGACGAAGAAGGGAGATTCAGCAAAGTAGCCCAATAAAGAGTGGCCACTGAGGTAACAGGAAAACAGGGCTGGTGTACTGGAAGCCAAAGAAAACTACAGAAGACATAGGTTAAACATTGCATTACTGTTCATTGGATTTGCAAAGAGGGAGGTCACCTGCGATGTTGACAAGGGAATGCAATTCAGTGAGTGGGATGCAAGGACGTGAAGGGAATATGTGGGGATAGCTCTTAAGTTTCCCATAAAGGGAAGCAGAGTAGTCTAGTGGAAGCCTGACAGAGATGTGGGGTCAAGAAAGGATTTAAACATTAGTGAGATACCAAGCATATTTGTGTTTAGTGGAAAGCGAGATTGATGATATATAAGAGAATAACTGAATGAATGAAATCCCCAAAGAGCTGAGCCAAACTATAAGATCCAGAGCATGAGTGAACTCTGACAGAGCAGAGATAGTGTTTTTTTAAAAAATTCTATTTCAGAGAAACCTGCAAAGATCACTTCTTTATGAATATTTTCCCATATTTTTAATATGTCCTTAGGAAAAAATTGCCCAGGTCAAGGCCATGGACATTTTTTAAGGCTGTTGACATATTTGTAAAGCTACATCCAGAAATGAGATATCAATTAACATAACCTAATTTTATCTTACATCATTTTGAATATCTTAAAATATTTTTTAGTCATAATTTTTCCTTTGTGAATGGTCTGCTATTATGTTTTTAAAATTGGAGCATTGATGATTTTAAAAAATATGTGTGCACAAGTTTTTATATAAAGTGTTTATAATTATTGGTTTTGTCATATTTGTAACATATCTGTTTCTAAGTTTGACTTATTTTACATTTTTTCATGATGTTTTACATTTTATCATAATGTTTTTCTATCATTTTTTTCTTTGTGATTCTTTCTGTTGATTTTATCCTTAGAAAGTAATTTTTTCCCAGGAAACAATTAAAATAATTATTCTGAAAGCCTGAGAATGCTGTGATCTGGATTGCCCTGTACTTCAACACTATAACATATGGCTCAGAAATGGAGCAGTTTACCTAACCGCACTGCATTTCCAGCTCCAGGAAATGAAACATTCCCAGAGAAAATGGATCATATTTCATGTCTGCTAAACAGCAAACAACAAAACTCAAGTAATCTACATCAAAACAATTGGCCATAGAAACCTTCACAAATGAAATTTTTACAACATCAGAAGCTAAGCCAAGTAACAACCAACCCACATGATCAAGCCCAAAATGCCGCATCAAGTTACCAATTTTCTGTGTAAACTTGCTTTTCAGTTGTTTGTCTCATGAAATATTCTTTTGTTTCAACCAGAGAAACTTCTGGTCTCTGATCATTGACTGACTAACTTCCATCCTCTCTCCCTCCCTCTTTTCCTTCCCTTTAATGTGTAGCAAGAAAGTTATAATAGATCTATGGTTATTATAACAGGAAAATTAGATGTCTCTAGTCTCTGCACTGTAATTTATGCAGAAGAATAAAACATGAAGCAGGCACGAACATTCACTTCTCCCCACCATTCGGGGATAAGGCTAATTCAGAGGAAGAATCGTTCCCATTCCCTCGATGCCCAGAGAAACATCAGGTCCCTCAACGTACATAGGTAACAGTAAAAGCCACTTTATGAAGAATTTCTTCTAAGGTCTTTTTCACCTGTTATTTCCTTTCCTCTCTCTTATGTCTTTGATGTTTCCTCCTCTTTTCTATCTGGTCTATCCTTAGACCTGGGCAAGATGGTCCTTGTCCTGGACCCATGCTTCAGAGAATCTGCTCCTGTTTTTCTTACCCTTCCCGTGGGTTGAAGAATCCACAGGCCAAGGAATTGTGACTATCTAGAGTCTGCTCCCCTGCAAGACCATGCTCCAAGAAACTGGGACCCTAGAATTCTGTATCCAAAAGGCATGATCCTATTTCCAGAGCCCACATGGATATCTTCCCCTATACCAGCCTCTGGTGCTAAGGTACTCCTCCTAGGTCTGAGGGGTCACCAAGAGAAGCTGTTTGCAAGAGGTGTGGATGGAGCTTGAATGTATGGGCTCGTGTATTTATGCATTTCAATGAAGCCCTTCATGGTATGGGGACAGAGCCAGAGTGGAAAGAGAATGAGAGCAGGTCGTGGGCCAGAGACTGAGCTAGGTGACCACCCTCCTTGCATTATTGCATTCTGTAACTCTCAGGAGTCCAGGAATTCTAAATTGACCAAGCCTGCTCTTCCAGTTTGCTATGAAGATATATTTGTCAAGATAAGAAAATATTACATAATTTACTTAATAGTCTGTTCACTTGATGTTCACTGATTTATACATTTTAAATGTTTAGATACGTGGTACATGGGTCTCCATTTATCATTTTGCCCCTGGTTCTGCAAATATTGGAGTGGGTCTGCCCATGCCCACTCCTTCATCCATTCTCTCTTTTCTGCTTCCCTTCCCTTTATATATCCAGTCTTCTTTTCTCCTCTGAGCCGTGGACTAGTGGGGATGTTTTGAGGTCTGGTTCTGACCTTCAGGACTGGTGCTGCTTCTCTCTCTCTCCCCTGCCCATCCTGGATCATCTCCCCACCTTGCTAGTTGGAGAATCCTGTATGTAATGATGGCTATTTATGGAGGACAAACAGAAACCTCCATATGGGAATGACAAAATTAATTAATAAGTGAGCAAATGAAGACAGATGCTGAACACCACTCAGGTAGGCTCAAGTGTGTTCCTGTCATGTATTTGCTCTGTCCAACACATCACCTGCCTCAATGAGCTTTTGCTTTCTTAGATCATGGTGGTGGGGGCTGGGGGTAGGTGGGAAATGGGGACAGGCATATCTGTTTAGCCACACCTGGGTTTTCTTAAGAACCCTGCAATGATTTTCTTCATTCCCACTGCCAGAGTTCCTTAGGCCAGTGGTTCTCAAACTTTAGCCTGCATCTGAATCGCCTGGAGGGCTTTTAAAACCACTTCCTGGGCTCAACCCTCAGAGTTTCTGAATCAGTAGGTAGGAATGGGGTGGAGCCCAAGCATTTGCATTTCTAACCATTTCCCAGGTAATGCTGCTGCTACTGGTCCACAGCACACTGAGAACCACTGCTGCAAGTCACCAGGATTTGTTGGATGTTCCTTGTTTGAATCTCTGTTGCTAATGTAAAATCACTTTCAACTTGTGGCCCGTGAGCAGATGCTGGCAGAGCTCAAAACATTTCCCAGTGGCAGAAAAATGACCTGGGACTCGAGCTTCCAGTCCCATGTACCCACTGCTCCCATCGACAGACAGGCTGCTTAGTTAGCAATGGCAGGAGAGTTCTCCCACAGAGGCAACTTGAGCCTTGACTTGGCAGACTATGAAACAGCCTTGGCCATACCCTTCCCTGCAAGTTCCTCTTTAATTGCAAAAGTCTGGGTGGCCTTCACACACGTTGTTTGTATAGCAAGGGAAAAGAGATAAGTTCAGTAACCTTGGAAGACCAATCTTTTTTTTTTCCCAGCCTCCTGAGAAGCAATGCCCAGAGGAACAAACACTGTGTGTGGGAAACCAGAGAGGGGCTCTGGAAGGTGGCCTGGAACGGCCAAAGAGGGGTGGCTTTTCTAAAGAATAAATGTCTCATGATGTGCCTCAAACCATGTCCTGCTGTGTGAGAGTTCATTAGCTGGGATTCCATAAGTGACAACAGTCTAAATCTCCTTAGCTAGACTCAGGCCATGATTCTTCCAACCAGGCTATAATCACACAGAAGATAATCTTGGCTCTAACTGCTGGGTTATATTAGCCAGTCCAAGAAATGGCTCTTAAATTGAACCTCTTGGGGATTTGCATCTGATAAAGACAAGGAATTCTCTTCTTTGTCAACAACTAACCACATGGGCTTCAGGGCATTGACTCAAGCAATGTAAGCTCAGCCACCAAACGGGTGCCCAGGATCTAGTCTTTACTTGCTTACTTTCTCTTGTGCAAATCCATAGGCCAATTGTTGGTTTCATTTTCCAACCTCACTTTTTCCAAATGACTTTGATTGTCTGTTGCTCTGAGTCTACCTTGGATCTGTCATGCTGTGGGAGCCTCCCCTGAAATGAGACAGTTTCAGTTTCATAATAACAATAATAGTCATAATAGGTGCTACTTGTTGACATGAATTCTACATCAGGACTTTTGCCAAGCATTCTTCATACATGATCTAATAAAATCTTCACAATAATCCTAGGAAATGAGGTTATCTTCAATCTATAGGTGAGGGAACCAAGGCTCAGGAATTAAAAAAGTATTCCAAAATCATGCAGCCAACGAGATGCAAAGTCTTGATGCATACTCAAGCTTGTGCCAAAGCCTATGCTGTCATATTCTGTACCTGATGTTTATTAATTTAAGTCGATCAATATATCTACACATGCATAAAATAAAATTTCAGAGGTAGGTTCCAACCTCCTAAATTATTTAGAAACAGGAAACTCACTTAACCAAGTACTCCATTTCCCAGGCAAGTCAGTTAACTGAATTGTTATAGTATAGTCAATACTCAATCAATACTCAATTACTTGCATTATAGAAGGTAGCATTAGTGGAAATGGAAAAAAATGAATAATCAATATAGCTGTGTTTTTGATGAGATTTTGCTGTCTAGTGCATGGCAACTTGGTACAAAGAATGTGGCAGCCTCCCTGAGGTTGTAGTAGCTGGGGACAAATGCCATCTTTTTTAAGGAGTATCTATGTTTCTCATATTTCTTCTGCCTGTCCCCCAAGAGATACCAGGTTGCATGACTTCTTCACATCTCAAAGCACAGCCCATGCTCTTAACCTCATCTCATTGGGTTTGCATCGAGATGTATGTGCACAGGCAGATGAATATGTGAGTGATGAGAAGAGCATCTGCAATGATTCCTTCTGACTACAGCCAAGAAGGGTATAGAAATTACCAGGTGGAGTTAGACCCCTGTTCACATAGGAGAGTGTTGTGAGAGGCAAGCTGCCTTCTGCCATATTCAGAAGGTCAGACAGTCTTTAGAATATCATAACTCATGACAGACCTTCATTTTTTGCCATTTTCTGAAAACTTCCCAAATATTTTAGCCCGTAATAGCTTTTGGGGGTAATCATTCCATGAGTTTGCCTCTATCTATTCTTTGTTAAAAGTCACTTTGGATAGTCTTTCAGCCTTACTGAGATTCCTTGGAAGATACACGTTATCATAAAAAATTAACCTTGGCTTTAGAGTCAGAATATCTAGATTTGAAACTCAGCTCTGCCACTTATTAGCTAAAAAGGAATTTCAGCCAAGATAGTAGGCTGAGCTTCCATGGACACCCCCCCCACCCCAGTTTTAATGCATAAATATGCTTTTAAAAATTAAAAAAATTAAAATACCTAGTTGAATTCAAAAACAAGAAAGGGAAGCTTCAAGGAGCAGAGATAAAGAGGGAACTGTAGTGGTTAGGGGAAGTGGGGGCCACATGGCCTGTGGTGACAGAGAGTGCGTTGCTTAAAGGAAAAGGTTTTATAGCCAATGTGGGAGTGGAAGTCATCTGGCCTCATGCATCAGAGGAAGCCAGAACTGGGTTCTCAGGACAAAGCTGAGAATCAAAAAGGTTCTCATGAATGGGGCGAAGAAAATTTCCATCCCATCCATAGAGTGGCATAGACTTGGCTCCCTGCCCTAGACCATGTTGAAACAGAGTTGATTGAGAGTCAGTCAGACCCCAGTTCTGTGGCACAGGATGGGGCCAAGGGGCTTGAATTCTTGTTTCACGTGCAGTATGGAAAACTTGTAGTGCAGGAATGGAGAGACCAACCTAAAAGCCTGTCCTGGACTGGTGAGCCCTGTAGATTCCAGGCTGAGGCAACTATGTGGACACTTCCAAATAATCTCCTAATTAGTTCACTGACCAATGGAAGAGCGTCCCCTCACAGTCTTGCACACATAACCTCAAAAGGCACAGGAGCTTTAGGGGAAGGCTGCAAGGACTATAGAGATGCATGGCATCTGCTTGTTTTCATTTTCAGCTCACTCTCCCTTTTCCCCCTCTGCACACCCTAATCCCCAGGAAAACTGCCACAGCCAGTCAGTCATCACCTTTTTTTCCTGATAGTAATGCTCTTCTTAATTTCTTTCCTAGATGTGTTGCACTGATATTTAGATATTCAACCCTGGATCCCCATAGTAGATATGGCCACAGAGATATATTGTGGGATGAGGAAGTCAACTTTCTTCTGGTGGTAGTCATTTGAAGCATTGTGTTCCAAATACTCCTATCAAAGCTTTGTGGTCCAGACAATGTCTATTCCATGATCCCGCTAGTTTGCCTAAAAGTATTCCTTTGATTCTGCCTTTTACCATCAAATCCTCCACGTTCATTTCCATGTGGAAGTAATATCTCCCTTTCTCCAAAGCTCCACACCTCTTTGTGTCCTTCTCTCATGATATTTGTTGATTTATTGTTGCCTGGTTCTATTTTTGCACTTGTCTCATGTTTCTTCCTAAAATAAGTTCCTTGATTCCAAGTCCAAGGATCTTTCCAATGAACCACACTATTTCAATCATTGAGTCTCCATTTTCAATAGAATTATAAAAACCACACAAACAAAAACAACTTTTTTCTCTATTTTGAAATCACTCTTCTCTTTTATACTAGGTCCCTTCTAAGATAATCATGAGCAATTCTGTTTCCTCTTCAGGTAAGACTTTCTTATGAATTACTTACAATAGTTAGTTTAAATGTTGTAGAGATTTATTATCTATTAGGACAGATAATATTGTTTATATGTGTGTGTATCTGTATTGGGGTCAATTTATATCAATCTTCCTCTTGGAATAAAAGGATGAGGCTGAGCTGCAAGGACTCCTTTAGTTCTTGCTCCAAATGTTACTGAAAGAACCAAAGACCTACCTGAGGCAGATGAGAAAGGACAACCTGTTTCAAAGGTAGTAGTGGTGCCCCACCTTGTTTAGGGCAGGACAGAACTTTGATCTTCTCTTTGGTGTTACTCACTGTTTACTTCTCACCAGTTTCTGTGTCTGCCTCTTTCCCATTTCTCATCAGCAATGAAGGTAGTTACCAGTTAGGCACTCCCTAACGTAGAAGGTGACTGCAGCCTCTGGAGACTAGGGCAAGGAGAGGGTGAGTTCAAAATAAAATGCCAGCGTGGCTAAAGGATGTTTTAGCTAAGGAACTGTTGGTTTTGGGGAACAGAAACCCTTTCAAGGAAGCTCAAGTCAATAGGGAGTTTATAAGGATGCAAAGAGATCCCATAGAAACACACAGGAAAGATAGCAAAGTCTTCTGGTAACTGGAAAGTCTCTGGAAAAGTCCATCTCTTGTCCATTTTCCCACATGCTCACTTCATCTTTCTTTACCCGAAGACTTTCTTCTTGACTCTAACTACAGGAGGTTTTCATAGCCCCCTGTGAATAGCCATTCTAGTCCCAGGGTCTTCATGATCTTCTATCTCCCCTCCCGAGAGGTAACTGACCCAATTTCTGGGTCTTAATTCCATGTCCCTGGGAGACTAAATCTGACTGGCCTTGCTCGGATCAAGCATCTACCTTTGGTCTGATATTGTGCCCCAGATTAAGGACAGGAGCTGGGAAAATTTAGAGTGGGGAGGATAAATTTCTGAGGTGTCTGTGGGTTTGAAATCTCTTTAAAGAGACACGGATGGGAAGAAAATTTCAAGTATAGCTAGAAAGATGCAAGGCCAGTACGCACTCTGGACCAACTTCAGTATGAATCAAAGTCATGCCTGCATTCCAACCCAATATGGCCAAACTTTCATTAACCCCAGCTGGCCCAGGAGTCTACTTTTCAGGTAAGTTTCTGTATTGAGTGATGAACCACTGAGAACAGACTGAAAAGGACAAAGTCTTTGGAATGACTCTATCAGTAGTCTATTGTCAAATGGTCACCACATCAAGGGCCTTTGCCTTCAAAGAAGGCAATTTATTCTTCTGCATAATTCATAGATCTTCCACTTGGAAATGTTCTGAATTACAGTTTCTTATTCAAATTAGGTTTAAGAAAACAGTTTTTATTTCTGAGACACTTGCCTCTCAAAGCATATTTCTTGAGGTTTAGCAACTATTCTCTTAGTTTTTCAGGGACTGGTAACTCAAGAATAGAATTGGGAAGGTTTTGACCTCCCCAATATAAGAAGGGAAGAGTGGCAGTGTTTGTGCTTTCCTTAGTAGTTTTCTGGACTGTGGCCTCTTTTAAGTCACATAGGGTGACTGTCTTGCTGCACGTCACTGTATGCATCCTACTGATTGATCCACTAGGGTGACTGAATGAAGGCCGTGTTGTAATAATAGTAGTAGAAATAGCAATAACAACAGTAATTACAGCCACCTCAGGTGGCTACTTATTAGAACTTCCTAACACTTTATATCTATTGCAATATTTAATCCTCACTACAAAAATATGAATGTGGCATTCTCCCTATTATATACAGAAAAACTTAGATGACTTGAATATCTTTGCTTTTTTCATTCTGACAAGACAGTGGACCTAAGCTGTGTCTATACAATGTCCAACAGCTAGTCAAGTCAAGGGTTGTACATATGCAAAACTCTTTGATTTGCATATGTTTTTGCATATAGTTTTTACTTGTGTTAGCATGTCTGATAAATAGTCCAGTGGCTATTTCTCACTATCACTATTTACATATTAGCATCTTCCTATATCTGCACAAAATAAAATGGAGACTTTCAATTCAAGGCGTGTTTTAGGCCACATACTCTACCAACCAATGCAAAGGAATATATCACATTTATTCCATTAAATGACAGGCATAATCAATATCTTATAAAATTAAGAAAAGAAAAAAAGGAGTCTGTGGCCAGTTATGCACAAGTAGCATAAAAATAATAATAGTGAGGTCATGTTTTCTCCCATATAACGTAAAACAAACCTTTAAGACCTGCATTCCAAAGTGTTGAAATCATTCTTTAATGGATTTAAATAAAGAGAAAGAAATTTCTCACCAATAATAAAAATATTATTATTTTAATGCACCCATAAAAGCTGCATTATTGATCACTGTTTTCTAGTGAGTATTTTACATTTCATTAATATTTACAGTGGCATTAATCATGGTCTGGATGTGAGATTTGAGTGACAGCACTTTCATTGAGGTTCCCACTCATTTTTAAGTTTGCAGTCTGTTGCTCATCTCAGATGTCTCCAAAATGTCTAAATCAATGTGATCTACTGGACAAAAAATGTGAGTTGGGAACTTGAGAGTTTTGAGTTTCTATTGGTGTCACTAGTGACTTCCAATGGAACCTTAAAATTCTTGCCTTTCATTATCTATAACTTTGAAATAGGACTAATACTTGTTTTCTAAATAATGGATTTGATCTATACCTTCCCTCCTAGCACAAGTATTGTGGTCATCTAATATGTTTAGGACATTTTTTTCCCTTTATTTCATCAGAGGCAGTGTTGTGCTAGAGAAAGCACAGAGAGTTGGGGGTTGGATTTTAAATCTAGAGTCATTTACTAGTTTGTGACATGGATCAAAACACATAACCTTTTTGAGTTTCAATTTTCTCATCTGTAAAATAGGGATAACAATGATCTTCCAGAAAGGAGATGAGAATTAAGTGAAATAATCTAAGTAAGATGCCCAGCATATTAGGCATTCAGGAAAGTTTTTCTCCCTTATTATATTATGTAAAATGTTATAATTAACAGTTTCTGAAGGCTTGGAGAAAAAAAAGTCCTCCCTTTTTATGGAGATTTTTCAAGAATCTTTTCAAGAAGGATTACTGTTTCCTTGGTTTATGCATAGTGAATAATTTTTTTCCTTTTTTCTTGTATTTCTTCTATTTGCCCTTTTATTCACTTTTCACCAGAGATATGCAGGATTGCCCATTAAGTTTTAGGAATATTTTTAAAAAACTGATGCGAGGGGATAGGTGGAGGTGGGGTATCTCTTGATGCTGTAATAACAATAGGGAATTTAGCTCTTTTATGAAATAAATGTGAAAATAAATATAAAGTTAAAATGTCTAGGAGGCACTGGCACAAATCTGGGTAAGTTCCCTGGGTTGGGGGAGGGGTACATTAGCTTAAATTCCTCCTTTTTGAGAATGAGTTTTGTTACCTTTGGTCAGTTGCCCTTTTCCTTTGACTTCCTGGCTGGTGGGAGATTTTTGGTGCTGAGAGTCCAGTTTTTAAAAATGGCTGGAGCAGAGTCAGAGAAGGAGATTCCTGTTTATTTTCACTACAGTAGCTGCCAAAGGTCATCACCAGGATAGTCACTTTCACATAGTCCTTAAGTCATCATTAGAATAGATATGATTCTTCCCCTAACCCCCATATAGTTCCATGGCATTTTATGTACTAATTAATACTTTTGAATGCTGTTGAGCCGTTTTGAAGATGACCCCACTGAAATTAAGATTTGTTTTGGGAGAATGGCTGACATGGCCAACAGGGAATGAAAGATGTCACCACATTGTGCCTAGGTGATATGGTTTGGCTCTGTGTCCCCACCCAAATCTCACGTCAAATTGTAATCCCCAGAGTTGGAAGAGGGGCGTGGTGAGAGGTGATTAGCTCGTGGGGGCAGACGTCCCCCTTGCTGTTCTCATGATAATGAGTTCTTGCCGACCATGTGAGGATGTGCTTGCTTCTCCTTCACCTTCTGCCACAATTGTAAGTTTCTCCCTAGAAGCAGAAGCCTATACAGCCCACAGAACCATGAGCCAATTAAACCTCTTTTCTTTATAAATTACCCAGTCTCAGGTATCTCTTTATAGCAACATGAGAATAGATGAATACACCAGGTAAGATTTGTCCTCTGCTGCACATCTATAGCCACTGTTCCTGATTGCTGGCAATGGTCTAGCAGTTAGAACAGACCCTTGGGCCTAGGAGAACTTTGTTATTCATTGCTGTTCTATCAAACTGGGCCATTTGCTGTTGTGGTCCCAGGTCAGAGAAGTGCCAGCAGTGCCTTTGCTTAAGCCTTTGAGAATGTTCTGCCATCCCTCTTCTGCATTTTGAAGAAACAGCTTCAAGGCACCTATTTTTAAAAGGACAGATAAATTGTTATATAATGGAGAACACTTTTCAGACCATTCAAGTCTTGGGGCCTGTTTTGGCTGAGACATGAGACAAAACTGTCCTCTTTGTGGGAACTAGTTCTCTTGTCCCTCTTGCCTTTTAAAGTCATTAACAGCACGCTAAGCAATTTGGAATGTCCAACCACTGACTCAGCTAGGTTTCATTGCTTTGTTTACTTTGCTTTACATCTTCAGCCTCTTCATATTGGCATTATGTAAAAGGCTTCTTCCTAAAAATATAGACATTTCAGTTGGATTTGAGCAACCCAGAAAAAGTTGTTTTCTTAATTTGGGAAAGATCCATTTGTCAGTGTTTTTGCCTATCTGTAGATGTACATGTTACTATACATTGGGTGATACACACACACAGTTCATTGGAGTTGGGGTTCATCATTCCACAAGCATAGATTGAGTTTAGAAACTACAGGAAGCCTTGGAAAGTATTCACCACTTTTAAGGTTTTGATACCTTGGTTCAGTTCCTAAGTGTTGGGAAGTTTCAAAGGGTAGGACAAACTGGGTGGGGGTGAGCAGTGGTGAGAATACAAGTCAAAAATAGAACAGGCAAGACTTAAGGACTAGAGTGGTGGAAAGGACAGAGGACCAAGGGTCAGGAGCCCTGGGGCTTCAGCCTGGTACTTCCATTAATTACTGGAATGAACTGGAACACATCCCCTCTGGGCTTCAGTGCCCTCATCTGTATAATGAGATAGTTGGTCTAGATTGGGGGTTGTTGGCCAACTATGGTCTGTGGGCCCAATTAGCCCCCAGCTTGCTACTGTAAGTGACATTGTGCTGGGACACGGCCATGGCCATTTGTTTAGATACTGGCAATGACTATTTTCTTGCTACAAAGGCAGAGTTGTGATAGAAACGTTATGACCCACAAAGTCTAAATATTCATCATCTGGTCCTTTAAGGAAAATGTTTGTTCAGTCTTGGTCTAAAGGATTTCCATCATTCGAGCTCTAAACTCTAATTTCTCTTTATCTTGAACTGATCTTTTTCTCTAAGCACTCTATGGGGAGACTATCTTTCTCACCAATTGGGTAAGTTCTTCTTTTCACTCTGAGGCCAGATACACATACTTGACAATAAATGGGACTTGAAGGCAAAAAATCAGATTCTCTAGGAAAAGGAAAACAAGATGGAAGATGATGCGAAAGATGAGGATTTGGAGGAGTTTGGCCAAATGAGAGAGGCGTGCTTAGCCACACTGGGCTGTACTCCCAAAAGCCCTCCTTCAGAATTCTTCAGGGGCAGCATCTGAGTCTCATACATAATGAAATTGGTCATGTAGCGGGGAAGTTCACACTCAGCAATGTTAATGGAATGAGGCTGGACCAGCTGGTTGGCAGGGGGGTTTCCCCTTTGGGAGATGCTACTGTGATTCATATGTGTGGGTTGACTACAAAGAAGTTCTGAGTAGGGAAAGGAGGGGACAGGAGAAGAAAAAAGAGAGAGAGAGGGAGGACAGGGATGGGCAAGTTAAGACACCACAAAGCAGCAAGCATTGAACAGGACAAGGGCTGTCTTTGTCCTAGGCATTCTGGGGGCACAAAGGAGAATGGGACATAGCCCCCATTGAGAAGCTAAGCTTTAGGCCAAAGGCTTAAAGACAAAGGCACAGCTTCCCGTGGGATGAGAAAAAGTACCCCCAGGAAGGGCAAACCAAGACAGATGGAATCACTTTTACAAAAAAAAAAAAAAAAAAAGAAAAATACCCAGACTGTCCAAGTCCCACATTTTATATCTAAATCCTAGCAAGGCCTGGAAATGCTAATGATAAAAATTTCGCTGAAAATACACACATTTCTATCTACTTCTCAACCTGGTAAACAGGGTCCTTCGTCATCTATTCCTTTCTTATCTCTCCAGCTTCATCACTCATCTCTGTACCATTTCTGCTCCATTCTTAGCCACACTGAACTGTTTCCTTTTCTTTTAATAGACCGAATCACCCCTGCCTCCCGGCCTTAGTCACTCCTGCTGCCACCTCTGGCTGGAGTTCCCTCCATGCTAAGTCTGCCCCACATCCCCTGCTGCTACTTGTCCTTCAGATCTCACTCAGTCCCTGCATCAGCTCCCCCAGGAAGCCTCCTCTGATCCCCAAGGCTAGGTCGGGTCTCTTCTTATATGTTATCACAATATTAGGTATATTTCCTATCACACTACTTGATAATTTCTTGTCCATCTTTCCCAGTTAGTTCAGGTTCCCTCTGTGGGGTCTCTCCTTGTGGGCTAGTTTGCACTTACTCACTGTGGCTTCAGAGCCGTCAGACTCTTACCTGGAGGACCAGGGATTCAAAGGCAAGTGTACCAAGAGGACCAGGAAGAAGCTTGGTGCCTTCTGATAACCCATCCTCTGAAGTCACACAGTGTCACCTCCTCTGTAATGCCAAGAATGCCCAGATTCAAGGGGAGAGAGCACAGACCCCACTTCTCCATGGGACTAGGGTCAAAGTCACATGGTAAGAAGAACATGTGGGACGGAAGATATTGATTATCTCTAGAATATACCCATGTGCCACACCGATGTTTCAGTGACATTTATGAGATACATTATAAAGCTTTTATTCCCTGTAAACACCTATGTGTTCTGGATACCTGTGAGTACATCTGAGGCTCTTAACACTCAGGATCTCTGTCACAATTCTAGCAGAAATCTCATCATTCTTTCAAAGCTATTTAGCACACACAGCGCTCAGTCTGGAATCTGAACTGACTCAGGGTATGTACTAGCCTATATTCCATCTATGAAATATACCACAAAACATGCAATCAATAGTGTAGCAAATGTCATGAGTGGTAGAAACCATAAAGAAAAAGACTGACAAGTTTAACTACAGACAAATTAAAATCTTTAGAAGTAAACCAAATTGAGAAAAATTAAAACTGAGAAACTTTTGTAACATTATGAAAGACAAATAATTGGTATTCTTAACACGAAGAAATTCTGCAACTAAATTAGAAAGGATAAACAGTCCAACAGGAAAAATATGAGGATATAATTTCTTTAACAAAAGTAATAATGCACCATTTTATATTTGCCTATCAAATAAAAACAATGAGTCACCATTTCATTTTTGCCTATCAAATTGGTAAAGAGTAAAAAGAATTCTAATGCCCACATTGTCTGGAGCCTGGGGAAATGGACTCTCACACACCGCTGGAGGAAGAAACAGTACTTTTCTGGAGAGCAATTTGGCAATAGGTGTGGAAAGCCTTTGAAAAGATATGCCCTTTGATCCAGCAATTTTTTATATGGGGGTTTATCCCATGATGGTAACAGGGCATGAGCACAAAAATGTTTGGACAGAAATATTATTTTCAGTATTGTTTATATTAGAAAAATCTGGGATTAACAGGGTCAAGTAACAATGAAATACTTTGCCACTTTAAAATTTATTTCATATTTCATATATTAGGTTGGTGCATGTATGTATATGCATATATATATATATTTATATATAAATTTTTTTCCACAAATGCAAAGGCATTTATAATATATTTTTAGGTGAAAGAGCATAGGATAGTTTCAAAACAGCAAATATGTAATTCTATATATGTGTATATGTGTATATCTTTAGGAGAACAATAAAAGGATGAAATGCCATACATCTAAGTATCATCAGAGGCTACCTCTGCAAAGTATGATTATGGATGGTCTGCTATAAAGTCTTCTTAATCAGTGCATCTCACACGGTTTGGCTGTGTCCCCACCCAAACCTCATCTTGAATTGTAGCTCCTATAATTCCCGCATGTTGTGGGAGGAACCCAGTGGGAGATAATTGAATCATAGGGGCTGTTTCCCCCATACTGTTCTCATGTAGTGAATAAGTCTCACAAGATCTGATGGTTTTTATAAGGGGTTTCCCCTTTCACTTCGTTCTCATTCTCTCTCTTGCCTGCCTCCATGTAAGATGTGCCTTTCGCCTTCCGCCATGATTGTAAGCCACGTGGAACTGTGAGTCCATTAAACCTCTTTCTTTTGAAATTACCCAGTCTTGGGTATGTCTTTATTAGTGGCAAAAAAAGGGACTAATACAGTATCCAGAGCTTTCTTTGAAATGAACCTATCCATGCTATTTTTAAAAACTCTGAACATTAATGTGACCTTCACCTTTTTCCAAATGTCTGTTAAATTACACAATGGATATATTCTAATTGTAAAAGTTCAAGCAATATAGTAAATATAATAGCATAAATACATAATTTATATTAATGTGTATTATATAATATATAGTATAAATATAAATATGCACTATAAAGGAAAATCCTCCTTTACCGTTATTTTTCAAAGAAAAAAATTAGGCCAGCTTCCATCCCTCACCATTTATAAACACAACCCAGACTTAGTTAAATGCACACCAATGGATTTAGTATCTGAACACAATTTAATAACTGACTATTATTTCAGTTTAATGGGCCCAAGTCGGGAAACCACACAGTCACGGAAGAGGCAGGGCCCAGCTAACTCCGACTAGTGTGCCCATGATGAAATGCCTTTGCCCAGGAGAAGCACTGAGAAACTGGGCTGGTCATATTTTAATATTCCACCCAAGGAGTGCAAGAAGGTAACCTGAGGCATGGAGAGCTCCACCCAGGGCCCAACCCTGGTTTTTAAAGGTGGGCTGTGGTTCTGAAGGCCAGACCAAGGGGCATTGCTTAAATGTCAACTTTAGGAGTGAAATGTGTTCTCCTAAGGCTGTTGATGCTGTAAAAGTCCAGCCAAATTGCACTTTTGATTAGACCTGAGCTGTTTTTATAAAGCTGTGACAAAAACCATTAGTAAGTAAGACTTAAAGAAAGCTTTTATTTCTTCTCATTTATCCCCCTTGCCTTCACATTTACAAAGCTTACAAGGAAAAAAGCCTGCCAGCGTGAATTTCCTCTGTTTCACTATTGCCTGTGAAAAGCATTTTAGGTCCACCGGTAAGAATCTGTTTGTGTAGGTAATTTCTTCTGAGGAAACTTGGATTTTTTTCTG
The DNA here is from genome assembly GCF_000001405.40 of Homo sapiens. NCBI lineage: Eukaryota > Metazoa > Chordata > Mammalia > Primates > Hominidae > Homo > Homo sapiens. The sequence goes on along the minus strand of NC_000005.10, from coordinate 74,228,877 downwards.
CCTACTGATTGCAAAGGAATGACTTGCATCTCATAAAAGATACAGGTTTGATCATTAGAATCCCTGCACGACTTCTCCCCTTTCTGTGCCCCGATCCCTTAGTGCGTATACAGGGCATAGTCAATTTCTCTGTGCTTCATTTTCCTTGAAATGAGATAAATACAGAATACTCTGGTGATAGTATTGGGAAGAAAGAAACATTTTCTAGAGGTTTCTATTACATTACACATTACCCAGAGACAATGGGGCAACTTAAAAGAATGAAGACATAGAGAGGTTTACAAGAATTTTGGGGAAACACTAAGCAATTAAGCAGAAAAACCTGTAGAACTACAAAGCATTTTACTGTGTTCTGCTAGTATCAAAAGTCTATTTTTGCTTATACTATTAAGTACTTTGATTTGTTGCTTTAGCTGATATTTTCTAGTGCTACCTGTCAAATTATAATGATTATTTTCAAGAATCCACTACCTCTCTGCATTTTAAGCAATACCTATTGTAGATATATGTAAGCTCTAACATAGTCAAATAAGACCATAGGCTCTTCCCAGACCTATCCACCAGTTCTGAATCCACATAGATCAGATAATATTTTTAAATGCTGGACTGACTGACTGGCCCCCTCTGCTACTGGAAAGATTATAGGGTGGTGCTAAAGAGCGTGAGTTTGGAGCAGAGGCTGGAGTTTGGGTGCCAGCTCTGGCGCTCATTCACTTTTTCCTTTTAGCAAGTTCCCTAGCCTGAGTCTGTTTTCTCATCTATAAAATGGGATGATAACACCTATCTCACAGAACTGTAGGAGGTTAAAATAAAATCATGCATAGTAAGCTCTTAGTCCAGTGCCAGGTAGGGAGTACCCATCTTATAAGTGTATTGGAACCTCTTTCCCATACCACAATACAGACGTCGTTGGTCTCCTGTGGTTTGCAAAGCCATCTTCCACTCATCTCTGCTTCTTGCCATCTTTCTGCAGCTCTACGAGATATTCCCTCAGGACACGGACCAGTCAGTACATGTCCCCTCTTTTTCCTACGCTTTCCTACTATTTTGTCTTTTTCCTACTATTTTGTCTTGGATCCATTCTCCCTCCCAGATAGTTAACCTCATGAGGGCAGAGAATTGTTTGCTATTTTGCGTACAGAAATATCGGAGAGCATGTCCTTGGACTTCTGACAGGACATAGAATGGAGGGGTGTGGAATCGATTTGCTATAATTCACAAAGGGCAGGGTTTCAAACACAGATGGAAATGGAGGCCCAGAGAGGGAAAATAACCTTCCCCAAAACATAGAGCCTCCTTTTGCTGAAGCTGGAACAGGCGTCCCTCTGTATGGCAGTGGGATCCCCATGTTGCCTCTCTGGGCACCTTCCTCAGCTGCTCTCTCTGAACCCATTACTCATTGTTCACCCATTCAGTCCACAGAATGGTTAGTTCTTAGATGTGTTTGCACTCATCTCTGCTTTGCGGTTTAATCTAGGAGAACTGGTCTCTTTAAGGGGGCTGGCCTCATCCCAGGATACCAACAGAAGGTTCTGTCTTGTCATTTGGCACCTGCAAGCTTCCAGTGATGCAAGAAGCTAGATGCGCTGCATGTTCTGCATCCAAGTCGCTCAGCCACGTTGATTCTGGGATGCAGTCAGTCCCTGGCAAACCTTTGGCTTGGCCTGCAGCTTGATTCCATGTTGGTGCCATGTAATGTTTGCCAGTCTCCTGAATAAAGAAAGATTCAGGACAGCTTCTGGTACTGCCAATCAAGGCTTAAACTTTCCATCCTATGTGAGTGAGCCTTGGTTGGTCTTACAGCTCCCTTTAAATTAAAATAGCCAAGTGATTAAATATTCATGCTTTGCTTATTTCAGTATATTTAATTTATTATGTATCACTTTTCTTGGGTTTTATATAAACTTGCCTGAGGACTTTCTTTTTTTCAGCTTAAATTCTGGCAGAATGTTCCCTTTTCCTTGGCAGGGTGTTGATTAGTTAAAGTCTGCTTAGCTCAGAAGCTTTTTTTTTTTTTTTTTTTTTACAGATTGCTCTTGCACTTTAATAAAAATGATATTATGGTCATTATCACCAACATTAATCAATCTTTAGTGATCATTAATGTGGCACCTAAGATGAGGTGCCATTAAAACATCTACTTCATTTTATTCCAAGCCTGGAATCATTGCCTTCAGTTTTTCTACCCAACATTTTCTATTCACTTAGGATGGGAAAAATGAAGGAGAGACTGGTTTCTTTTATTCTGCCCATTTCTGTCATGGATAAAAATGAAATCATATCTTTCTTCTATCTTTTTACAGAGTAGGTCTTCACCAAATTCTGTCTTGTAACTGTCTTAGTTTGGCAGATGTGATCAGAGGGCTATTTCTCAGACCTGATGAGTAGGCTACCTCTTCTTCTAAAGCTTTCCTAATGCCTAGATTTATAATGTAAAGCATGATTGAGGCTGGAGTGGGGCTCAGAGATCATACTGATGCATAGAAGTTTTCCTCCCTCATCTAAAGCAAGGAGGTAAAAAAACACACACACACAATTGATTGGATTTCACAAAGCTTCTAATTGCTGCTTTTTGAGAGCTATTTTTCTCTTTTTAAAAAGTCATAAGGTCCTGCTGGATGCAATTTCAAAATATATGAATAATGATCCCTTGATTATAAAGAGCTAATTAAAAATTTCAGGCTTTGTCCCCACCATCTTAAACTTGCACTACCTCTTGCCACCACCCACACAGCATCTGCTGGAGCCTAAAAATGAGTTTCAGTATTAGCCTATGAAAATAACAAAACAAAGTTAGAAATTAAAATTAGCTGCCAAAGAAGAAATCATATGTCACTCCTCTGCTCAAAAACACTGTATAAACACCAAGAAAAGAAAGAAAAAAGGAAGGAGGAAGGCAGAGAGGGAGGGAGAGAGAATGGAGAAGAAGGCACAGAGGAAGGGAGGAAAAAAGGGAGGGAGGAAGGAAAGAGGGAGGGAGGGAAGGGAGGAAGGGAGGAAGGGAAGAGGGAGGGAAGGAAGGAAGGAGGGAAGGAGGGAGAGAGAAAGGGAGGGAGAAAGGGAGGGAGGGAGAAAGGGAGGGAAGGGAAGGGAGGAAGGAAGAGAGGAAGGGAGGGAGGAAGGGGAGGGAGGGAAGAAGGTAGGAAGGAAGGAAAGGAAGGACAGGAGGGAAAGGAAGGAAAGGAAGGACAGGAGGGAGATCAGACACACTAGATAGAAACTTAAGAAATGTGCAGGAAGTGTATGAAGGAAATTTTAAGAGTTCCTGTGGGACATAAAACAAGGTTTAATAATAGACATCTAATTTTGAATTGAAACAAATAATCTTTTGAAAAGATAATTTTTTTCCAAATTAATTTGTAAACTTCATGTATTCATAAACGAAATTTTTAAAAAGAACTTTAAAAAAGCCATTCTAAATCTTCTATTATCTGGAAGACTAGTTAAGAATAATAAATTTTGTTAAAAAAATTAGGGAATACTGGTTTTGCCAGATATGAAATTTAAAAGATAAAATAATTAAAATGATGCTTACTGATATAAGAATAGACTGATGGGTTAAAAAAAACAGGAACAAACACATGTATATATGAATATACACTTTTTATAAAAGGAAATTTATTAAAAGATATATAAGTTCCTGTTGGGCAGGTTGGCAAGGGACAATGCCAGGAAACTCAATAATTTAATAAATGATACCAAATGTGCCTGTCCCAGAAAAAAGTTGCCAGAGACATCTCTCAGCTCTATTGAGAAGAATGGCCTCCTTGATGCACCAGGCGAGCATGTTTCTGCAATAAATGTTGAAGCCGTTGAGGATTCAGAGTCCGTATTGATGATGGCTCATGTCTGTGGGACTGACACTCTTCTGGGTGTGTTGCCACCTCTTGGGCTGAGCTGCTGCTGCCAGGTGTAAAATCCTGCAGTGGCGCTCAGTTCTCAAAACCCCAGTGCTCCTGGCTCGCATGCTCAGCTGCTGGTGATCATGAGCTGGTGATTCTCCGTGAATTTGCAACCTGGATGAATATAGCAATTAGGTTTTAGTTCAGACAAATTTACGCCCAGTAACCAGCAGCTGGTGGGGACTTGTTGACTGCTACCCATAAATATTTTATATGTGAAAGAGGTGACATTTCAGACAAGTAAGAGAAGGATTCTTTATGGTTTTAGGAAAACTATTTGATGAGGTGTTATATTCATTTCTTGTGGCTGATGTAACAAATTAACACAAATTTGGTGGCTTAAAGTGACAGAAATTTGTTCTCCCACAAATCTGGAGGCCAGAAGTCCCAAATCAGTTTCACTAAGCCAAAATCAGTGTTCACAAGGCTAAGCTCCCTCTGGAGGCACTAGGCAAGAATCTGTTCCTTGCCTCTCCCAGTTTCTGGTGGCAGCTGGTGTTCCTTGGCTTGTGGCCACATCACTCCAATCTCTGCCCCCATTTTCACATTGCCTTCCCCTCTTCTGTGTGTGTCAAACCTCCCTCTGTCTCTCTATTACAAGGACACCTGTGATTGGATTAATGGACACCTGAATAGTCCAGGATACTCTGCTAGGTCAAGATCCTTAATACACTGTCAAGGTCTTCTTTCACTTATATGGTAACATTTACAGGTTCCACTGATTAGGACCTGAAATCTTTGGGTGGTCATTATTCAGCCTGTGACGGGGTGAACTAGGTTCTTATTTCACCCATACAGTGAATAAATGTATGATGTGTCAAATAATTAAAAGATATTAAGGCAAATAGTTACTGGATCTCAGAGATTACCTTTTTAAACATAAAAGATTGATGGTCTTGCTCATGTAGAAATTAAACACTTGTTTATGCCTGCAATTACCATAAACAAAATTACAAATAATTAACAAGCTGGAAAAAGTATTTGTGAGACAAAAGTTCATATCATTAATATATGAGGAGCTTTTATAAATCAGAAAAATATATATATATATCCTAATAGAAAAATGATCCTAGAACGGGGACAGGCATTTCACAAAAGAAGAAAATCAAAAGGTCAATGAACATAAAAAAAAAATGCTCTTGTAGTAACAAAGAGCATGTGAAATATTGATAATGTATTAGTTTTGGAGAACACATTGGCAAAAATTATAAAAATTGCAATAACCAATAATGGCAAGGGAATGAGGAAATCAATGCTTTTATGCCCTATTAAGTGGTATCTTAATGGGTACGGGCTTTCTCAAGAGCAATTTTGCCATACATGTGAAAGACTTTAACATCTGTATTCTCTTTGAATCAGAAATTGTGATTTTAAATTATGGTAAAAAGTGAGCAACTATGCAAAATGAATTCATCACCTATATTCTTTATAGCTTCATTAAAATGTGGAAAAATTACAAGTAGTCTAATATCTCACAGTAGAAGATTGGTTAAAAAATTTTGATATAGCTATAGGATGAGATACATGCAGGCTTTATAAATTCTAATGAGATGGAAAATGTTCACAACATGCAGTTAAATGAGAACAGCAAGTATCAAGACCATCTGCATATCTGGGCCTGTAAGTGTGTGTGTATATGTGTATGTGTATCTGAAATGATGACTGAAAATGTTCACAGTGGTCCTCATTGGAGGTAGGATTATGGGTGATTCCCTCCTCCATTTAACACTTTTAAAATTTTCATAGTGAGTATGTATTACTTTTATAATTTGGAAAGAAAAAAAAAGTCAATGTATATATTTTAAAATGATCTCCAGAATAAAGTCAAATCCTCTAAATGTGGCAAATACAGACCCTTTATAATCTGTTTCTGTCTACCTTTCAATTTTCACCTCCCTTGAGTACCCACTACCAGCTCAATGTTTCTATAGCAACAATGAATTTCTTGGCCTTTTCTGAACTGGATCCTGTGTTTTCATAAATCTATGTCTTTACACATGTTGTTCCTTCTGGCCTGGATCTCTAGAGAACCCCTGCCACTCATTCAAAATGCATCCCCCTAAGGTGGGCAGAGAGTTTTCATGATGCCCTCTGGCAGAATAAGCCACTTCCTCTTTGCTGCCACAGCACAGCACACGTCAACACATTGTGATTGTATTTCCACCCTGTTTGTATGCCATGGTACCAATTCCCTCCAAGCACTGTGAGTTCAGTGCACACAAGAACCCAGCCCAGACGGGTGGTTCCAAGATGGCCGAATAGGAACAGCTCCAGTCTACAGCTCCTAGCGTGAGTGACTCAGAAGACAGGTGATTTCTGCATTTCCAACTGAGCAAACGGCACACCAGGAGATTATATCCAGCGCACGGCTTGGAGGGTCCCACACCCACGGAGCCTCACTCATTGCTAGCACAGCAGTCTGAGATCGATCTGCAAGGTGACAGTGAGGATGGGGGAGGGGCGCCCACCATTGCTGAGGCTTGAGTAGGTAAACAAAGTGGCCAGGAAGCTCAAACTGGGTGGAGCCCACTGCAGCTCAAGGAGGCCTGCCTGCCTCTATAGACTCCACGTTGCGGGGCAGGGCATAGCCAAACAAAAGGCAGCAGAAACCTCTGCAGACTTAAATGTCCCTGTCTGACAGCTTTGAAGTGAGTAGTGGTTCTCCCAGCATGGAGTTTGAGATCTGAGAACGGACAGACTGCCTCCTCAAGTGGGTCCCTGACCCCCGAGTAGCCTAACTGGGAGGCACCCCCCAGTAGGGGCAGACTGACACCTCACATGGCCAGGTACCCCGCTGAGATGAAGCTTCCAGAGGAACGATCAGACAGCAACATTTGCGGTTCAGCAATATTCGCTGTTCTGCAGCCTCCGCTGCTGATACCCAGGAAAACAGGGTCTGGAGTGGACCTCCAGCAAACTCCAACAAACCTGCAGCTGAGGGTCCTGACTGTTAGAAGGAAAACTAACAAACAGAAAGGACATCCACACCAAAACCCCATCTGTATGTCACCATCATCAAAGACCAAACACCGCATGTTCTCACTCATAGGTGGGAATTGAACAATGAGAACACTTGGATACAGGAAGGTGAACATCACACACCGGGGCCTGTCATGGGGTGGGGGGAGGGGGAGGGATAGCATCAGGAGATATACCTAATGTAAATGACGAGTTAATGGGTGCAGCACACCAACATGGCGCATGGATACATATGTAAAAAACCTGCACGTTGTGCACGTTTTCCCTAGAACTTAAAGTGTAATTTAAAAAAAAAAAGAAAAAGAGAAAGAAGGAAATAATTCGGTGAAATCCAGCACAATAACAGCATAATGGAGAAGTGGATCTTGAGCTGTTTCTTGATGACTAAGCAGTTTGGGAGGTGAAGGGGATTCAAAGAACACTTCAGGCTGAAGGAAGCAACCTATGCAAAGGTGCAAAGACATGAAACATTTTATTTGTATCAAATGGGGATCTGTAGCTTATGCCTCAATATGGACTTCAGTACTTTTATATTTACCCAAATGTGTGTTATATATATTTTTTTCTTTGATAGATGCACACATATTTAACTACATACATATACTTTATGTCAATGTTATGTATGCCATATGTTTGCATGTAAATATACACAGACATTATACATACTGTATGCACACTATGTATGTAAATAGACATAAATATCTTTTGTGTTTTTTCCCCTTTTGCCATTATATTAACCTAACTCACGGAATAAAAGCATAAAGACAAACAGAAGAATTAATGTACATAAAAAAAAAAAAAAAAAAAAAAAAAAACTCAGCCCAGTACCTGAGGAGGGGGTTAGATTGGCCCACATGGAGCCCAAAGGAAAAAAGCTCCTCCAGGCCATACTGCCATACTGCTCATAAGGAAGGTAAAGGATGAGGTGGCCAAAGATGAGGACCAGACATAATTTTTTTATTGGTGAAATGTGAATTTCTAAATTAGACATGATATTTAAACCCACTGACTTGTGTTGGTTGAAATTAAATCAATACATTTGAAATTTGATTGGAGTTGCTTATTTTGGATTTTTCAGTGTGAGGAAAGCTGTTTTGTTGTTGCTGCACTTTAACTTATAATTGGTGTGTTAAATGGTACAATTTTCTTTAGCATATGCTGGTTGTGTTTCAAAACATTCTCACCTTTTTACAAAAATCAGATTCCTGAGTTGTACAGAGTCATTTGCTCTAAGTAAGTCTTTAAAGATAATTAGGAAGAGTTGGGAAGCAGGTATGGTCCCAACATCCACCTTTCCATAAAATGCAGAGAACAGGTGAGAAATAGGAGTCCTGTGTTAGGGGATTAATGGGCCCTGGGCTGGTCAGGTCACCTCTCAGAGTCATAACTCTGTTTTTTTATTTTTTATTATACTTTTATTCTAGGGTACATGTGGACCATGTGCAGGTTTGATACATAGGTATACATGTGCCATGTTGGTTTGCTGCACCCATTAACTCATCATTTACATTAGGTATATCTCCTAATGCTATCCCTCCCCCAGCCCCCCATCCAACGACAGACCCCGGTGTGTGATGTTCCCCACCATGTCCAAGTGTTCTCATTGTTCAATTCCCACCTATGAGTGAGAACATGCAGTGTTTGGTTTTCTGTCCTTGCAATAGTTTGCTCAGAACGATGGTTTCCAGCATCATCCATGTCCCTACAAAGGACATGAACTCATGCTTTTTTATGGCTGCATAGTATTCCATGATGTATATGTGCCACATTTTCTTAACCCAGTCTATCATTGATGGACATTTGGGTTGGTTCCAAGTCTTTGCTATTGTGTATACTGCCACAATAAACATACATGTGCATGTGTCTTTATAGCAGCATGATTTATAATCCTTTTGGTATATACCCAGTATGGGATGGCTGGGTCAAATGGTATTTCTAGTTCTAGATCCTTGAGGAATCGCCACACTGTCTTCCACAAAGGTTGAACTAATTTATGCGCCCACCAACAGTGTAAAAGCATTCCTATTTCTCCACATCCTCTCCAGCATCTGTTGTTTCCTGACTTTTTAATGATCACCATTGTAACTGGCATTAGATGGTATCTCATTGTGGTTTTGATTTGCATTTCTCTGATGGCCAGTGATGATGAGCATTTTTTTCACGTGTTTGTTGGCTGCATAGATGTCTTCTTTTGAAAAGTGTCTGTTCATATCCTTCGCCCACTTTGTGATGGGGTTGGGGTTGTTTTTTTCTTGTAAATTTGTTTGAGTTCTTTGTAGATTCTGGATATTAGCCCTTTGTCAGATGGGTAGATTGCAAAAATTTTCTCCCATTCTTTAGGTTGCCTGTTCACTCTGACAGTAGTTTCTTTTGCTGTGCAGAAGCTCTTTAGTTTAATTAGATCCCATTTGTCAATTTTGGCTTTTGTTGCCATTGCTTTGGTGTTTTAGACATGAAGTCCTTGTCCATGCCTATGTCCTGAATGGTATTACCTAGGTTTTCTTCTAGGGTTGTTTTGGTTTTAGGTCTAACATTTAAGTCTATAATCCATCTTGAATTAATTTTTGTATAAGATGTAAGGAAAGGATCCAGTTTCAGCTTTCTGCATATGGCTAGCCAGTTTTCCCAGCACCATTTATTAAATAGGGAATCCTTTCCCCATTTCTGGTTTTTGTCAGGTTTGTCAAAAATCAGATGGTTGTAGATGTGTGGTGTTATTTCTGAGGGCTCTGATCTGTTCCATTGGTCTATATATCTGTTTTGGTACCAGTACCATGCTGTTTGGGTTACTATAGCCTTGTAGTATAGTTTGAAGTCAGGTAGCGTGATGCCTCCAGCTTTGTTCTTTTGGCTTAGGATTATCTTGGCAATGCGGGCTCTTTTTTGGTTCCATATGAATGTTAAAGTAGTTTTTTTCTAATTCTGTGAAGAAAGTCATTGGCAGCTTGATGGGGATGGCATTGAATCTCTAAATTACCTTGGGCATTATGGCCATTTTCACGATATTGATTCTTCCTATCCATGAGCATGGAATACTTTTCCATTTGTTTCTGTCCTCTTTTATTTCGTTGAGCAGTGGTTTGTAGTTCTCCTTGAAGAGGTCTTTCACACATCCCTTGTAAGTTGGATTCCTAGGTATTTTATTCTCTTTGAAGCAATAGTGAATGGGAGTTCACTCATGATTGGCTGTTTGTCTGTTATTGGCATGTAGGAATGCTTGTGATTTTTGCACATTGATTTTATATCCTGAGACTTTGCTGAAGTTGCTTATCAGCCTAAGGAGATTTTGGGCTGAGAAGATGGGGTTTTCTAAATATACAATCACATCATCTGCAAACAGGGACAGTTAGACTTCCTTTTTTCCTAATTGAATACCCTTTATTTCTTTCTGCTGCCTGATTGCCCTGGCCAGAACTTCCAACACTACATTGAATAGGAGTAGTGAGAGAGGGCATCCCTGTCTTGTGCCGGTTTTCAAAGGGAATGCTTCCAGTTTTTGTCCATTCAGTGTGATATTGGCTGTGGGTTTGTCATAAATAGCTCTTATTACTTTGAGATACATTCCATCAATACCCAGTTTATTTGGAGTTTTTAGCATGAAGGCTGTTGAATTTTGTCGAAGGCCTTTTCTGCATCTAACGAGATAATCATGTGGATTTTGTCTTTGGTTCTGTTTATGTTGTGGATTATATTTATTGATTTGCCTATGTTGAACCAGCCTTGCATCCCAGGGATGAAGCCAGCTTGATAGTGGTGGATAAGCTTTTTGATGTGCTGCTGGATTCAGTTTGCCAGTATTTTGTTAAGGATTTTCACATTGATGTTCATCAGGGATATTGGTCTAAAATTCTCTTTTTTTGTTGTGTCTCTGCCAGGCTTTGGTATCAGGATAATATTGGCCTCATAAAATGAGTTAGGAGGATTCCCTGTTTTTCTATTGATTGGAATAGTTTCATAAGGAATGCTACCAGCTGTTCTTTGTACCTCCAGTAGAATTCAGCTGTGAATCCGTCTGGGTCCTGGACTTTTTTTGGTTGGTAGGCTATTAATTATTGCCTCAATTTCAGAGCCTGTTATTGGTCTATTCGGAGATTCAACTTCTTCCTAATTTAGTCTTGGGAAGGTATATGTGTCCAGGAATTTATCCATTTCTTCTAGATTTTCTAGTTTATTTGTGTAGAGGTGTTTATAGTATTCTCTGATGGTAGTTTGTATTCCTGTGGGATCAGTGGTGATATCCCCTTTATCATTTTTTATTGCATCTATTTGATTCTTCTCTCTTTTCTTATTAGTCTTGCTAGCAGTCTATCAGCTTTGCCGATCTTTTCAAAACAAAACAAAACAAAACAAAAAAACCCAGCTCCTGGATTCATTGATTTTTTGGAGGGTTTTTTTTGTGTCTCTATTTCCTTCAGTTCTGCTCTGATCTTAGTTATTTCTTACCTTCTGCTAGCTTTTGAATGTGTTTGCTCTTGCTTCTCTAGTTCTTTTAATTGTGATGTTAGGGTGTCGGTTTTAGATCTTTCCTGCTTTCTCTTGTGGGCATTTAGTGCTATAAATTTCCCTCTACACACTGCTTTAAATGTGTCCCAGAGATTCTGGTACATTGTGTCTTTGTTCTTATTGGTTTCAAAGAACATCTTTATTTCTGCCTTCATTTCGTTATTTACCCAGTAGTCATTCAGGGACAGGTTGTTCAGTTTCCATGTAGTCGTGCAGTTTTGAGTGAGTTTCTTAATCCTGAGTTCTAATTTGATCGCACTGTTGTCTGAGAGACAGTTTGTTGTGATTTCTGTTCTTTTACATTTGCTGAGGAGTGCTTTACTTCCAATTATGTGGTCAGTTTTAGAATAAGTGTGATGTGGAGCTGAGAAGAATGTATATTCTGTTGATTTGGGGTGGAGAGTTCTGTAGATGTCTATTAGGCCTGCTTGGTGCAGAGCTGAGTTCAAGTCCTGGATATCCTTGTTACCCTTCTGTGTCGTTGATCTGTCTGATATTGACAGTGGGGTGTTAAAGTCTCCTGTTATTATTGTTTGGGAGTCTAAGTCTCTTTATAGGTCTCTGAGGACTTGCTTTATGAATCTGGGTGCTCTTGTATTGGGTGCATATATGTTTAGGATAGTTAGCTCTTCTTGTTGAGTTTGTCCCTTTACCATTATACAATGGCCTTCTTTGTCTCTTTTGATCTTTGTTGGTTTAAAGTCTGTTTTATCAACTCTCTGTTTTTGTTGTTTGTTTTCAATAAGGAAAGAAAAGGAAATGAAAGTAGCTTCCATGAAATTTGGTTGATACCAGTTGCTGGATCTGAGACATTAGAAAGGAGACTGTAGGTGCCTTTAAAGTGCTGGTGGAAATGGATGGAGGCAAAGCTGAGCACTTAACCAGGGAGCACAGCAAGTCCACCATTTACTTTCAGGATGTTGCTACACAGGGTGCTGGCAGGGAATTGTCTGAAGAAAATTGTGGTTGAGTTTAGAATTAAAGCAAAAAGACATAGAACCAAAACTATACTGCTCTAGGAGTAAAGGCAAGGTGCTGGGTAGCCGTGCACATTTTGTTTCTAGCAGCTGGTGTTCTAGCTGGCATGGTGGGATTTGTATTTATTATAATGCAATATTTGGGGAATAGTTTCTCTCTAGGCTTTAGGATTTTGTTGCTTTTTTTCATATTCCCTAAATTGTCTGCTCCCAGATGAGGAGCAGAGCACAGTGATGGGTTTGAAATATGTGTGTGCCCAGAAGCAGGAGAATGTGTAGTGGAAAGACAGGTGGGTGGCAAGTCTGGCCTGGAATTGGTGCTGGCTCGAGAACTGAACAGCCAGAGCTTGAGCAAGCCACAAACTCCAGGGCTCAGTTTACTTCTTGATAAGTGAGATGAACTTGTTTTTTGAATTTAGCAGAGGAATCTTCTTTTTCTCAAAGAAAATCTTACACTGCATTCCATTTTATCTTTAAAATAGATGTTAAAAATTGAGCTATTCCAGTTGAAATAGAGAAGGGGAGGCTCCCTCTGTGCCTGCTGGCCTTCCCTGGCCCCTCTCTATTTGGATACCCCAAGGAACACTAGATCTCTGGGAACTAACTGTGAAACCAGACTTAACCTTGGCTCTCACCCCCTCATCTCTAAGGTCACGTATTTTAAAAAGAAATGAAACCCTAATAAAATTGCTTTGTGGCTTCATCTCAGTTCAATCAATCCAATATGGAAACTAATTGAAAAGCAATTTAAATGTTTGCTGAAGTTTTTAAACAACGAAAACAAAACAAAACGCTTATGTCTTCACCTCAAAAAAATCCTTCCAAAGGATATTAGTTTCATCACCAAAGCATAACTTCTCCTCTGTCTCCTGCACCTTCACCCCCTTCACACATGCCGTAGCTCCTTCCAAAGTCCTTTCCTCTGCCCCTTCCACTGGAGTCCTTAACTCAGCTGGCAGAGGTAGGATCTTCTTCCTTCTCTTTCCCTTCCACTGGAGTCCTTAACTCAGCTGGCAGAGGTAGGATCTTCTTCCTTCTCTTTCCCTTTCCCCCCTCTCTCCTTATCAGATGTCTTTTTCTTGTTCATTTCCTCTCTATCCAATCAATGGGAATCTGCCAGCTCTCATTCTTCTCCAGTTTGGCTTCACTGTGGCCATTTTAACCCCATCAGCTCTGTAACACTCCCAGGCAGAACAGTTGCTGGGAAGATCCCTGGGTATCTTCCTTTTAGAGTGTAGCCAGGCAGGGTTGGAGAAGATTGCAAACACTTAGAGGTCAGTATCTTCTTTACAACTTCCCTCTTCACTAGCAATCCAAGCGTCCCATTCCTAGAACTCCTTCCTTACCTCTTGCTTTAAGTGAAACATTAAAAACATGCAGTATCTGACTGGGACGCCTGGGTTGGAAGTAAAAGTCACATTTTGGGAGGTGTTTCCATGCTCATGTGGTCTTCATTGTGTGTGTCTCTCATTCTTGTCCTTTCCCTGAATCACTAGTGTTTCTGAGATCATTCCCCAATGCCCCAGCATTTCTGTGCCACGGCAGATGGTCAAGAAGGACCATCTTCCGGTTCTCTTGAGGCAAATGGGGTTATTTAAGGAAGCCTTTGGATCTTTTTAAGTGAGTTGCCCAATAGGATTCATCAGGCTTTGAGTGGGCTCAGTGGGGATCTATGGAGGTGGTAGCTTCCCAAGGAGAGGCAGATTCTAGCTGAGGTTCCAGGCCTATTATATGGGTGTAAATGGGGTTCTGAGGCCAGAAATACAGCATTTCCTGCTGCTGTGTTCACACTTACCTGAGTCCCGTGTGACTGTGGCTGTTTTTCAGGCACAATCAACACAGTCTTAAGTTCTTTTTGGCTTCACATGAAAGAGCAACATGATCTCTACTCCCACTTCAGAATGACTGTTTTCCTAAATAGTGTACTCATATTTCTTGTCTTTGATATGTGTGGATTCATTTCCTTATGTGTTACTCTTCTGGTGGCATAGCCCCTGCTGCCCACAACCGTCTCCCCCTACAAACACACACACACAGTCTCTCGCGTGCACACACACACACACTCACACACACCCCTCAGGAGAGAACAATTGTGTGGCCCAGCACTCGATAATGCCAGGATCCCAGAGTGTGCCATCTATTCAATGCTTGCCAAAAAACCTGACCCTTTGACAGCTGCAAACCAACCACAGATCCTTGCTCTAAGAAAAAAAAATTCTCCAATGGCAGGTCCATTGGTAAAAGTGGGTGACAAAGGAAATTCTAATGTGCAGCAGGCGAGTGTGAATGTGTATGTGTGTATGAATGTGTGTGTGTGTGTGTGTGAGAGAGAGAGAGAGAGAGTGCAAATCTCACAGGCATCACTTGACAGAGTCTGTGTTTGTGTAACTCATTAGTTGCTTATGGAGTCATTAGGGCTGGGGAACCAGTTCTACCTCATTGTAGAACTGTGTACCTGCCACAAATTGCCTTCACCCAGCGTACTTTCTCTTCATATACTTGTCCTCTTGGGTTGAAACCCAGGCTTTGTACTGGCTAAAAAAGACATGGAGGGAGCCCAGGACATAGATTAGATGGTCTTGTCCAAATCTGGCACTGCCAGGAGAGGCAGCGGAAATGACAAATGGCATAAATCATGAATGGAGTCAGGTTTTCTGGAGGTAAATCCTGAAACTGCTGCTTTCCAGCCATGTGACCTTGGACAAGCTACTTAATATTTGTGAACCTCATTCTCTTTATTTGTAAAATGCGAATGGCAATACTAGTACCCACCTCATGGGGTTGATGTGAGGGCTGAATTTGTTAGCACAAGTCTTGTTCACAGTAGGCTCCATATAAGCACTTGCTATTTGTTATTTATGGCACAATGGGGATGGCCTTTTATTCTAACCATTTCCAGAGTTACTACCCTGATCTGAGCCATTGCTATCTCTCACCTGGGTTATTACACAGAATTTCCTAACTGATCTCCCTTCTCCCTACCCTACTGAAGCCAGAGCATGTCACTTCTCTGTTCGGAATCATCTGCTGACTCCCCAAGTCACTCAGAGTGAAAAAACAAAGTCAGTATATTGGCCTAAAAATCCAATCCAGCAACCTGCAACCTTCTGTCTCTGACGCCGTCTCCTGATCCCCCTTCCCTTCCTCAATCTACCTGCCCCACTGGCCCCCTTATCTTCCTCCAACAGATTGCTGTTGCCTAGAATTCAAGATCATTCTCTCTTTAAACCCTACTCAATAATTTTCATCTTCCTGGGCACACAGGCCCTAAAACTTAGAGAACAATTTTTTAATAATTCCGCAGACTCTGCTCTTCCAGCTCACACTTTTATTCCAGGAATCCTGCCTTTTGATGATTGCTTTATACTCTGTTGGACTGAACCTTTCCCATTACATGTGTGCCTGCCCCTCACTCCAAAAAGGTGATTTCCTCCTTGAAAACTGGAACCAAGCTTTTTCATTAATTTGCATTCTTCCCAGAGCCTTGCACATCACCAAGTCCTGATAGGTTAACTTGGGTAGTGCAGAGGCAGGACCTTAGGTCCTGGGTGGGCTATTCCCATGTTTCAATGTGAGTAATTACTTCATTCACGACATGTAAACTGAGCACCTACCAAGTGCCAGGACCTGATGTGGGTACAAGAGTAAATGTGACATGATCCCAGCTCTCCACACTTCTCATAGAAGGGATTTTCAGTCATATGCATTAGAATCATCTGAAGGGTTTAAAAAATAAAGCTATAGCTATAGGCATCCATTTGATATAGCTATACATTGGATATAGATATAGATGGCACATACAGGTACAGATAAACATATGTGGAGCCCCATCCCAGGCCAGCTGAATCACAATCTTCAGAAGTAGGGTCCTGATAGACACGTATTTTCAGAGCTCCACCACCGAAGGTGGCTCCTGTGAGACTCTGGTCCTGTCTCAGGCTAGTGGAGCTGGTGAGACCACACTAGAAGATGATCCAAAGGCAGAGGGGTGTTGGGCGACCCCTACAGGAGCAGAGCTGATATGGGACAGATGAGGGCAACTAGTCAATTTTGTTTAAGAACTGAAACTGGTATCAAGCACCGGTCACCCTGCTGGGGACCCTTGGAAAGGAGGGCAGCTATGTCTCTTTCCGGATTTCAGTGCATGATTTCTGAAAAAGGCTCAAATACTTAAATGATTGGGCTGATCTTTACTAGATATTAATTCAGATCACATCACCTCTCTGTTTAAAACCCTCCAATGGGCTGGGTGTGGTGGCTCATGCCTGTAATCTCAGCTCTTTAGGAGGCCGAGGCGGGCAGATCACTTGAGGTCAGGAGTTTCAGACCAGCCTGATCAACATGCTGAAACCCCATCTCTACTAAAAATACAAAAATTAGCCAGGCGTGGTGGCGGGCGCCTGTAATCCCAGCTACTCAGGAGGCTGAGGCATGAGAATCTCCTGAACCTGGGAGGTGGAGGTTGCAGTGAGCCGAGATCACACCACTGCACTCCAGCCTGGGCAATAGGTTGAGACTCAGTCTCAGAAAAAATAAAACAAAACCTTCCAATGGCTGCCCGTTTCACTCAGGGTGAGGGTCAAAGTCATTTCAATGCTCACAAGGTCCCCATCGTGTCTCTGACTGCATCGCCTCCCAGTCTCCCTCTCGGATATTCCTGGCCACCTTACTGCTCATTGTACCCACCAGGTGTGTTCCTTCCTGGGGCCTTTGCACCAGCTGTTTCCCCTGCCTGTAACACCTTTCCCCTGACAACCACATAGCTAATTTCCTCTCCTCCTTTAAAGTTTCTTTTAGATGCCAGCTTCATAATGAGGCCCACCCTGCATATGCTGCATAAAGAATTATCCTGAAACTTAGTGGATTAAAGCAACAAACATTTATTATCCCATAGTTAATGTGGATCAGGAAATTTGGAAGGAGCGGATGAGTAGCTGTGCCTCAAGGTCTCTCAGGAAGCCACAGTCCAGGTGCCATCCAGGCTGCAGTCATTGAAGTGTTCCCTGGGCAGGAGGGTCCTCTAAGCTCCTGGCACTGGCTGTTAGCAGGAGGCCTCGGTGCCTCCCCATTTGGGCACTTCTCACAATATGGTGGCTGGCTTTTTCTAGATTTAGTGACCCAAGAGAAAGGCAGAGGCCATTATATTTTATGACCTAGATTCAGAAATGATGTATCAGTATTTCTGCCCTATTCTATTGGCCACACAGACCAACTGTGGCACGGTGGTGCAAGGGGCTACCCCAGTGTGTGAAGACCAGAAAGTGGGGGTCATTAGAGCCTACTCTGAAGGCCAGCCCTGACCAACCATCTTATTCTAAGTGGAAATTCATCACCTACTGCCGGCATTCCCGATTCCCTTTACCTAATGCTCAGTTTGTCCTTTCTTTGGCACTTTCACCTTCCTACACATGAAATGATTTAGTCGTTTATCGTGTATTAGCTTAATACCCATCTCCCACACAGCTGGAGTCACAAGGGAAGGGACTTTTGTCTTTTACTTCTTGCAATATCCCAGGTCCTAACACAGTGGGTGGCATATGGTAAGTTCTCAGTAGCTGTTTATTAAGTGAATGAATGAATGTCTCCTTAACACAGGGCGCAACATTTATAGAAACATTGAGATGATCTCCAGTTCTCTTCTGTGACAGCCCCTGGACTCTGAACCTTCACTATTACTTCTAAGGTATCATTTTAAGGATGCAGTATAACAGATGGCAAAGAGCTTCTTTTCTGCTACCCATGGGCCCGATATTCAGTCTGTGGACAGTTCTGTAATTCATTCTTTCACTCACTTTACACATATTTATTGAGTGCTTATTATTTGCCAGGCACTATGCTAGACACTGGATATATGATGGTTATTACTTAATGAATACTTACATTTTTAACTTACACTGTCTCAATTTTCATTGAATTTATAGCCTAGTAGGGGAACCAAAAATTAATGAACCATGACAACAAATGCACAATTGTATCCATAAGAAATGATTTGGTGGAGAAGTACGTGGTATTAGGAGGACGTATAAAAAGGAGTCATTGACGTGTTCAGGGAGATGGGGCTGAAATGATCATTCGGAGACACATTGTGCAGGGTCTTGTAGGCTAAGATACTTTAAAAAAATAATAACAGCTTTACTGAGACAGAATTCACATGCCATAAAGTTTACCCATTAAAATATACAACTCAATGGCTTTTAGTATATTCACAGGGTTGGGCAACCATCACTACAATCAATTATAGGACACTTTCATCACCCCCAAAAGAAATCCTATTTCCATTAAAAGTCACTCCCCATTCCCCTAAACCCATGTCTTCCCTAACCTTAAGCAAACACTAATTTACTTTCAGTCTCAATAGATTTGCTTATTCTGGACATTTCATATAAATGAAATCACATAATATATGGTATTTTTCATCTGGCTTATTTCACTTGAGGTAATTTTTTCAAGATTCATCCATGTTGTAGCATGTATTAAGTACTTCATTTCTTTTATTTCTGAATAATATTCCTTTGCATGGATATACTACATTTTATTTATTCATTCATCATTTCAGTTGCTTCCACCTTTTGGCTACTATGAATAATGTTTCTGTGAACATTCATGCATTCATTTTTGTGTGGACAGATATTTTCACTTCTTTTGGGTATGGACCTAGCAGTGGAATTGCTGGGTCACATAGTTACTCTATGTTTAAACTTTCAAGGAACTGCCAGATTGTTTTCCAAAGTGGCTGTATGATTTTACATTCCCATGAGTCGTATATGAGGTTTCAGATTTCTCCATCTTCTTATGAACACTTGTGGTTTTTCATCATTTTTAAAAATATGCATCCTAGTGGAAGACATCACCTTATGCCTGTTAGGATGGCTATTATCAAAAAGTCAAAAAATAAATGTTAGTGAAGTGGTATCTTATTACGGATTTGGATTTCCCTGATGGTTGATGTTGAATATTTTTTATATTCTTATTGGCTATTTGTTTATAATATTTGTAGAAATGTCTATTCAAGTCCTTTGATCATTTTTTAATTGATTTTTTTAAATTGTTGAATTGTAAGAGTTCTTACATATTCTAGACACAAGTTCTTTATCAGACATATGATTTGCAAATATTTTCTTCAATTCTGTGGATTTCTTTTAACTTTCATAATGGTACCCTTTGAAGTACAAAAGTTTTTTAATTTTGAAGAGGTCAAATTTTTTCTTTTTGTCACCTGTGCTTTTTCTTTTGTCACTTGTGCTTTTAGTGTCATATCTAAGAAGCCTTTACCTAACTCAAAGTCATAGAGATTTACTCCTATACTTTCTTCTACTAATTTTGTAGTTTTAGCTTTTACACTTAGGTCTATGATCTATTTGATTTAATTTTTGTATATTTATGAGAATGGGGTCCAACATCTTTCTTTTACATGTGTATATTATTGTCTCAGCACTGTTTGTTGAAAAGATTATTCTTTCTCCATTATAATTGTCTTGGCACCTTTGTTAAAAATCAACTGACCATAAATGCGAGAGTCAATTTCTGGACTCTCAATCCTATTCTATTAACACATATACCTATCTTTATGCCATTACCAAACGGTCTTGATTATGGTAGCTTTGTGGTAAGTCTTGAAATCAGAAAGTGTGTAAGTCCTACTTTATTCCTCTTTTGCGAGATTATTTTGGCTATTTTGAGTTTCTTGAGTTTTCATATGAATTTTGAGGTCAGCTTGTCAGTTTCTATAGAAAAGCCAGCTAGGATTTTGAGAGGAATTGCATTAAATTTATAGATCAATTTGGAAAGTATTTCCATTTAACAATATAGCATCTTTGATTCATGAACATAGGCTATCTCTCCATTTACAGAGGTCTTAGTTTCTTTCAATGTTTTGTAGTTTGCAGAGGATAAGTTTTATGTTTCTCTCATTAAATTTATTGCTAAGTATTTTGTTCTTTTTTATGCTATATCAAATGGGCTAAGATTTTGTTTATGTTTTAGAAGCAATGGAAAGTCATTGAAGGATTTTAAACAGGAATGGCCATGACTATGATTGTATTTTTAAAGAACCCTCTTGGGTCTGTGTTGGGAATTCATTTAAACGCATAAGAATGGGTGAGGGAAGGCCAATCTAGAGGTTACTTCAGTGGTCCAAATGAGAGACATTGATACTTAGACAAAGACAATAAACAAAAGATGGCAAAAAGTGGACAGATTTAAGATGCCTTGAGAAGGTAACTCAATAAGATTTAGTGATGGTTTGGATTTGAGAATGAGAGAAAGGGAAGTATCAAGGTTTTTATCTTGTATAACAGAATGGATGGTGGTGCCATTCATTGTGATAAGGAAAACTATAAAAGAACCAGCACATTGCCTTTAAATACCTCTCTAGAGATAATTCAATCCAATCCACATATTGTCTTTGATTTTTCCAAGACTTTTATGAAGTAGGTAGAATAAGCATTAATGTTTCCATGTGAGGGGTGATAAAATCGAGGCCACAGTGAGAAAGATCACTGATTAGAAGTCAGAATGGGATTTGGCCAGTGCTATGCTAAAAATTGCTGAGTTCCCTTGGCTATGTCAGTTAACCTCTCTTGTGGCCAGTTTATCTAATAAATGTGGTACTTGGTGAAGTTCCTAAAGTCTCTTTCTGTCTGCCTTTTTTCACTAATACTATTCATTAAAAAATACATGTGTATTAAATGACATGTGAAAGGACACAAGTGCTGATGGAGGTGGGATATGAACTCTGATCTTTTGAGTCCATTGCTCATTATAGTATGTGGCCTCTAATTTACTTTTTCCCATTTGTATTTTATGAGAAAAATAAATGTTGCCATCTTGCTCACAGACATTGGGCAGTATGGCTCATACTTGGGCCTACATGTATAATTGTTTTTAAGTTTTAGAAATAGGAATACATGAATCAGCAATCCCTTAAAGCCATAATTGTGCTCACAATTGAGTATCTTTACTATGTTTAAAATGCCCTTGAGTATCTTACTATGTTTAAAATGCCATTGAGTGTTTTACTATGTTTAAAATGCTGGTGCTTCTTGCATTAACACTCTTTCTATTCCTGCTGTGACTTTAAGTTCTCGCCAGATTTAGAAAGCTCTTATTTTCTGAGGTGGCCACTCAGAAACTTTCTCAAGAATGACTCACAGGTTGCGGCCCACAGACTAAATTTTATATAGTTAATCTCCAGTGAACCAGGAGTTCTCCATCTTTTACGAAATATGGTCTATGGGAACAGAAGGCCAGGTCTGGAATGGGAAAAGTAAATACCAAAAAAAGTGTTATTGTACATGAAAGGAGGGCAGTGCGTTCTCCCAGGAGATAGAGTAAAATAATTATGCTGAAGCATTGGCAAACCAGGCACCCAATGCCAGGCAGGAGCTGCACATGCTGAGACTGGGCGCTTGTGCTCAGCTGGTAGGTGGCACATGCTTCCTCATCTGTGGCCTCTGTAACCTGAATAAGGAAAAGGGAGGGATTCGCTTTAAGACCAGCCTTTGAATCCACGGCCTGATTGAAGGACCAGGACACACCTGATCTATTCAGTCTCTAGCAGCTTCTTTCAAATAACAAACAAGCTCAGCATTTACACTGTGTATGTAAATTTCCATCACAATAGCTGCCCTGCTTTTATGGAACTAGGAACAATTTGATAGTTCAGATAAAGGGAGAACCCTTTGAAAGAAGACACCCTGCTGAAATAACATCTCTGTCAAAGGGGCACGTTTTCTCCACACATGATCCCGTCAGAGGAGTGTCACATTGCAGAGAAATATGATAGCAACTCCAAATGATCATTTCTGCACATTTGGATAATGAATTTTAAAGAGATGACTGAAGAGCTGTTGGGCAGCCAGAACGTGCTCACCAGCTGGGCAATGTGCCATGAGCTTGGCTGTGAACAGAGGAGGAGGGAGGCGACTGTGTGTGCGGTGGAGTGGGGGCCAATGTGTCATTCCGTTTCGAGGGAAAACACAGGCTTTCAGAGAGTCTGAATGTTCACGACTTGAGGAAAACTAGATAATTTCTAAATTGGGAAGAAAAGCAATTCCAACTTATATTCTCTGGAGCAATGAGTTCCAAATGTCAATTAGGAAAAAAAAAAATTACCTTCATTCACCTACTCTGCCCTGACAGGGGAGGGTAGGACAAGAATCTGAATAGTTCATACCCCAAGGAATTCTGATTATGTGATAGGGAAACCCAGTCTGAGAACCACTAATTGGCAGAACTACCTCGAAACATAGCTCCTGCCAGAGTCAGAATGGAGGTAATAGTTAGCAGTTCTTTGCTCCATAGTTTGTACTTTCTCTGTGTGGCAAATATGTAACAGTATAATAAGGAGTCATTTTTCAAGTTAATTGAAAGATGTTCTAAATGAGAGAGGATTTTGAAAAATAAAATGAGTAAAAAACTGCATAATGTTTTAGCCATTTTAACCTGTGTTTGGACAGCTTGGGCTGCTATAACAAAATACGATAGACTGGGTGACTTAAACAACAGATGTTTATTTCTCACAGTTCTGAAGGTTGAGAAGTCCAAGATCAGAGTACCAGCATGGTTGGGCTCTTGGTGACAGCCTTCTTCCTGGCTTATACACAGCTGTTTTTTCATTGTTGCCTCACATGGCAGAGAGAGAGAGAGGAAGAGAAAGAAAGAAGAGAGAGAGAAAAGGAGAGGTGGGAGAATAGAGTGAGCAAGCTCTGGTTTCTCTTCCTCTTCTTCTAAGGACACAAATCCCATCGTGGGATTCCCACTCTTGTGATTTCATCTATACCTAATTACCTTCCAAAGGCCCCGCCTCCAAATACCATCATATTGGGGGTTAGGCTTCAACATATGAATTTTGGGGGACATAGATATTCAGTCCATTACTTGGAAGCTGTTTACCACCTCCTCAAAGCTGAGCCAAACTAAGCCTCCCCAGTTGAAGTGGCCAGCACTCATGGGACTGAGTTTCTGAGAAGTGATGGGACTATCTTTGCATCTTCTGCTTCCAACGCTTTTGGATGTTTCTGTCTTAGTCTATTTGGGTGACTATAAAATAATATTATAAACTAGGTGGCTTATAAACAACATAAATTAGTTTTTTACAGTTTTGGAAGCTGAGAAGTCCACAATCAAGGTGCCAGCAGATACAGTGTCTGGTGAAAGCCTGCTTCCTTATACGTGATGCCTTCTTGCTGTGTCCTCACATGGTAAAAGAGGCACAATAGCTCCCTGGGACCTCTTTTATAAGGGTACTAGTCCCATTCACGAGGGCTGCAGCCTTATGACCTGATCATAGACCCCACCTAGTAGTATCATCACATTGTGATTACATTTCACCATTTGAATTTTGGGGGACATAACATTCAGCTATAGCAGTTTTCTTGCAGGGAAGGGGCATGAAAAAGAGGCTGAATGGGCAGTTACAGGCAGGAGCTGAGACGATAGCAACACCCATAAAACTAGAGGACACAAGCTTGGGTAAGGAAACAGAGAGAGCAGGGTTGGGGTGGTGGAAGGGAAAAAGAAAAAAAGGCTTACTGAAGATCAATTCACCAAGAAGGAAAAAATAGTTGGTGACTTAACTCTTTGTTTCTGGACTTATTATTATTATTATTTTTAATTGACATAATTGTCCATATTTTGGGAGTACAGTGTGATACTTTGATACATGTATAAAATGGGTAATGATGAAGTCAGGGTAATTAGCATATATCACCCCAAACATGTGTCATTTTTCTGTGTGAGGAACATTCAAAATCCCCTCTTCTAGCTATCTGAAAATACATAATACATTGTTGTTAATTATAGTTATCCTACATTGTTATGGAACCCTATAACTTATTCCTTCTACCTGGCTGTAATTTTGCACCTGTTTACCAGCTTCTGGCTATCTCTTTTTCTGAAAGTTCTGTTCAGAGGGTCAAAGGCATAGCTCACCTACCAAGGGGGTAGATGCACACTACCTCCCTATCTCTGTCTCCTAACCCTGTGAGCTTTACATCAGATTTTAGAAACTGGAATGTTGTCTCCAGAGAGTATGGCTCAGGATTTGCCTCCCTTGGGTCTCTGCAGAGAATGGTATGAATTCCCACTTCCATCCAAGTCTCCCACCCAAGCCAGAGCTCCTTGCTTCAAGTCTAAAAATACATTCCTATTGCACTTAAAATAAGATTTTGCCTTCACACTCTGATATTCCCACTTCCGTTAGTACATTCGGTAGTTGGGATGATAATTATATTCAATCTTCTTAAAGATAGATGAATTGAGCTTCACTCCAGCCTAAGGTTCCCATGTGACCTAGCATTAAACCCTGGCTTTACTCCCTGATTTATGCCCTTACCTTATAGATATGGGCTATTTTCCCCACAGGATCATAAGCTTCTCCAAGACAAGGAATAGGTCTTATTCGACTTTGGATCCCAGAACACAGCACAGTGCTTGGCACTCAGTAAGGGGCCAGTGACATGCTGAACAGAACTGAAATCAAGTTATTCTGATATAGCCCCTCTGGAGACCATTACACATATATCATCATGGGTTAAGAATTCAATGAGCTAGGTCACAATTCTGTCTTGCCAATATTGGGAATGTGTATATATATATATTATATATAATATATATATATATATTATATATTATATATTTTATATATATATATATATATATATATATTTTTACCCGATACAGATACTGAGAAAAAGTTTGGAGACCAGCTGTAAATAGAGTCAAGAGCATGCATATTCCTTCAGACTGCTGGGCTCCTCCAACTTCCAAGGGTCCAAGGCAGAGCCTGGGTATCCCAGGCAGCTACCCCTGAGGTGGGTATGAAGAGTCAGAGGTCAATCCCTTTGGAACCCAGGCCATGAAGCTGGGGAAGGTGCCCAGGTTGGAGTCCTTTCACACTGCTGTGAGCCAGGCTTTCTGCTGTCTTTAAACCTAGATGATTCAGGCTGCTGGCCTAGCCCCTCCAGATTCAAAGGCCCTTTGCCTGGGCTGGAACTGTCCTCACCGTCCATGGGTCATTAGGACGCTTCATCCTTTCATCTAGCCAACCAACATTTCCTGGACGTATGTTGCCTTCCTGCACTTCTGGGCCCAGCTCCTGAAGAGCTTGTGGCCGTGGTGGCCAGGAGGTGCAGGACCTCCTGCTTCTGAGACTGACCTCTTCCCGGGCTTTCTTCTCTGTCCAGGAAGGTGCCTATGCCCCTGCTGTGTGTCAACTCTGCTGTCTCTGCAGCCATCTCAGGAGTTCAGAGAGCTCATTTTCCCTCTTCTTATATCAAAGTTTCCTGTGTGTTAACAATGAAAGATACCAAAACTAGCTAATGAAAATTGTGGCCTAATATTTATATTTAAGAAAATGATTCATTTAATAAGAAATGTCACACTTTGCTGATGTTTATACACAAAACGCTATTAAAAATATTGGTCTGAAACAAGACATCAAAAATTTTGTAGCAAAATAATATAATTTAAAAATTGATAAAACAGAATATCATAACTATTATGATTTAAATCATTGTTACATTCTGTTCATAATCTATTAATTCTAAAAATAAACCAAAAATGGCCCATCACAGAAGGAAGTGTCACACAATATAAATGGGCTAATTACAAGATAATTTTAGGAAATGTAGAAAATATTAATTTATAGTGCCTTAGAGACAGTCTGGGTCTGGGAATTTAAAATTGAATGGTGACATCTTTCCATCCTCTAATTTTATCTCTGCTATACCCACAAGCTTAAAAGTTGAGGCTTTCTGTGACTGTGCGGCATAAGAACAATGGGTTTTTGCCCCTTCTTTGTCCCCTGAGATGGCATTATAAATAGGCCCTGCCCCCACCAACCCTGCCTCCAGGATGGCAGCCTGTGAATGCAGAACGCCTATAGCCTTCTAGCCGTGTCTGTGGCAAGGGCATGTGCCAGTGGGGAAGCACGAGCTTTGGACCTGAGGACATCTGGGACAGCTCTTGGTGTCAGTGCTCCACCCATGCCTGGGTCCCTCTACCATTGGCAAGCACCTGTCTAGTCTCATCCCAACAACCAGCTTCTGTTTCTCTTAGCCAGAGAATTTCCATGCTGTAAATGACATCAATGACTGCTGGAACCAATATGTTAGCAGAGTAGGAACATACCTGGAAGTTTACATTTTGCTGGGAGGTGTCCTCAACTAAGGACCTACTGTTGCAGGGGTATAAATATCCCCGCTGTCCTGCCTCCTGACTGGATCACTCTAAAGACTGACATTGTCTTCAGAGCCTACTTTCAGGCCTTTCCCTGACATTGCCTGTTTACTTGGTCTATTTCCCTTCCTGGCACCATGATTTGTGATGTGAGTGCTAGAAGAGGATTCAGAATTTGATTTTAATTACTCTTAGTGTCATCTCCTGACCATGGACATCTTAAGTGGTTTTTGTCAGTGTTTACTTTGAAAAGAGAAGTCCTGTCTCTCCCAGGGCCACTGTCTTCAGAGCCTCTGGGTTGGTGACAGGCTGCTGGGGCTGGGGTTCCCATGGGGGAGATGAGGCTGAGCCCAGAATGAGAATCAAATGGCCCTGCATTCAGGAAACTCTCAGAATTTGTCACCTTATATACAATATCTGTAGTCAAATCCAAGTGATTCATTTCCTTTTTCTGAAGCCACAGAGCTATAGGGATCCACTCTCATGCTTCCTCCCTAGCCGTCTTCATTTTCCTAGCCTCCTTCATTTCACTCACTTCATTCTTCCTAAACACAGTGAGATTCTTTTAGGTCAGCTGCCCTCAGCCTCTATTCTCTGGGGTCTTTAACATCTGCTTTGGGTTGCTACTTCAACTCCTGAAGAACTCCCCTTTGCTGTTAATTATAAATGCAGGTGGTATAAATAACCATTTGAAATGAGTCAGAGATGACCTGATAAAGTCCTCTGCATTGAGCAGGCTAGATGGCGCTGGAAAGAGAGGCTGGGCTGAGCAGGTGGTAGGAGAAGGTTCCCTTGGGTACAGGAAGTGGGAGTGGGAGGGCCGTGTGCCCAAGTGGAAAGAGCATTTCAAGAACAGCTTTGGCTCAATTGTGGCCGCAGAATCTGGCAAGCACACCACAGGCTTTGTTGCCTTCAGTGCCAAAAGCCAAGAAAACCAGCCCTTGCTGGCCTTGGAGCGAGCAGGGAGAAGAAAAATCCGAGGAATACATTGTCTGACTGTCGCCGTGGACAAGTGTTCCCGTGCAAGCAGATGACCTCTTT
This sequence comes from Homo sapiens, assembly GCF_000001405.40. Classification (NCBI taxonomy): domain Eukaryota; kingdom Metazoa; phylum Chordata; class Mammalia; order Primates; family Hominidae; genus Homo; species Homo sapiens. The sequence continues at coordinate 74,201,297 of NC_000005.10, read as the reverse complement.
CCCGGAACAAAGCTCCATGTTTTAATAGCAGAAATCTCCCAGAAGGAAATGTCAAGGTAAACAAGTGTTGGGGCAGATTATACAGCGGACTCCTCCCGTCTAGAATTCTCTTTTTGGAAAGTGCTCTCTGAAGGGTTGTAGCCTCTATAGCATGAGCCCCCACAAAGATGGGTTTCTGTCCTCCAAGGAAAAGCATGTCAGGTAATCCCTGATGGAAAGGGGAACTTCAGAGGAACATAGGGATAGAGCTTTATTCCCAAGGGCAAAGCAGGCGGTGGCACGGAACAAATGCATGGGACCTCAGGGAGCCCTTTGTTTAGAGTAGCACTGAGGTGCCTCTGTCCCCCTAGCCATTGACATAAAGGTCACAAACCCGCAGCATGACTTTCCTTCCCCTCTTTCCACCAGGATTAAGTTTAGTCTCAGGTCATGACTTCTAAAGTGCATCTGAGATACACACCACCTTGCCAGGACCAGATGCAGGTCAAAGAAGGGTCAATGAAGCAAAATCAAAACCAGAAGGTTTTCTATTTCCTTCAAGGACATTAACAAAGGGAGCACTGTTGCCAAAGGATATAATAGCAAATGTCAATTAGTCCTGGAAGCACATCTTACATGACTAAACCTGATGCTGTGTGGAGGCCACTCTTAACCCTCGCCACCACTGTATGTACAGAGCACATGCTGCACCTGTCAAGTCACCCTGTTTGCCCAAAACATTAACTGGCCCTTCCTTTGTTCCTACTAATCACTCCTAATTCTGTGTGTTGCAGCTGTATTGTCAGGCCCTTCCCTGCTTTATTTCTTAGGGCATCTATTGTTATTATTAAATGATTGTTTTTTTGTTTTTTTTTTTGAGACGGAGTCTCGCTCTGTCGCCCAGGCTGGAGTGCAGTGGTGCGATCTCAGTTCACTGCAAGCTCCACCTTCCAGGTTCACGCAATTCTCCTGCCTCAGCCTCCCCAGTAGCTGGGACTACGGTGCCCGTCACTACGCCCGGCTAATTTTTTGTATTTTTAGTAGAGAGGGGGTTTCGCCGTGTTAGCCAGGATGGTCTCGATCTCCTGACCTCGTGATCCACCTGCCTCGGTCTCCCAAAGTGCTGGGATTACAGGCACGAGCCACCGTGCCTAGCCTAAATGATGTTTTTTATGGAAACCCAGCACATGGTAGGCAGGGATTCCTTCCTGCTTCCTAGACTTCAAGCATCCACCCTGACAGTGCTGGTTCTGCTCTGAGCCTTCTTTTCCTCACTCGCATGAAGATGCCTGTCTGGTTGACAGCATGTCTGGGCAAATACTTCTTATCCATTAACTAAGCATTAACAGACTTGCCCCGTGTGGTCCTCAGACTGGGGTACTGATTACTCTGATGAGAGATGTATGGCTGCCAACAACAGGGGTCTGGAAAAAGAGGCCACATTGTTTATTTTATGCCCAGGTCCAGAGTGGTCCAGAGCGCCTGTACAAGGCACAGTACAGTTCTATAAAGTCAGTGTCATCTCCTTTAGTTAAGATGGGGTGGAGGCAGCTCACAGGTGAAATTCCTCCCTTTGGCATCCTCTGGAGAAAGCCCATGCTCTCTCTGACACTCACTGGAATGTGGGCCCCAGGGCAGAGATGGATTTTTCTGCTCCAGCCTCCACTCTGAGCACTCATGCTAAAGCTGCTGGTGGCAGGCTGAGGCTGTTTCATGGATTACTTGGAATGTTGCATAAGGAAAATCTTCAGAGATGAGCTGGAATTCTGAGGTATCAGTGTGATCTCAGTTTTGTGCAAACATTGTCCTCCCCATAGTTTCTAAACTATCCATCCTCCCTCTCCAAGTCTCTTCGTGATGGCTCTGCTGCTGCTGCCACCCTAGTGTCTCAATGGATTGAGTGGCTGTGTGGCATTTGCCCAACTCTGTTCTGCTGGCTATTGACCATCACCATGGGGTGAGCTTGAGGAGGAGCCCCAGGCTTCTGTGGCCACATTGTGACAGCCCTATGCTGGGTTTACAGAAACCAGGCAGGGACAGATGAAGGAGCCCACTGAGTGAGGACCCAGAGCTCAGGACTATGTGGCTGTGGCTGCTGCTTCCTCAGAACTCAGAATTCTGTGGGGTTTCAGCTCTGGCAATGATGTCAGCAAGAGGGTGGGCCCAGCAACCACGACAGGATGTTAAGCAGAAACATACTAAAGTCTTTCCATGGTATGACTTACTAAGTGGGAAAAATGGTGGGAAACATGTACAGTGTGTGCTTTATATCTGAATAAACATGCTGTCACTAACCGATCAAAAGGAAATTTATTTTCCTCACAGAACAATTTTGTATTTGAAAGGAACATCACTGAATAAAGGCTTGGATAAACTTCAACTCTAGTGTCCTCTGTATCTGGCAGCTTCCTTTGCAATCAGCACTCGTTGATTCCTAGTGCCATATTCCTACTCTGTTCCACTGCTCCTGATGTCAGCAGTTGACCTGCCTACACTTCTGTCTCCTAGCTCCTGCTTACTCGTGACTTTGGTGTACTCTGGTGTTTCTTTCATAGGGCTCTTATTATCTCAGGACTTCTGACTGCTCTCTCTGTGTTGCCTTTACATATCTACTTTCTGCTATCAATTTCCAAATGTCTTCTGTGTGTGTGTGTGTGTCTGTATGCGCCTCTCTTTGTCTCTTGAGTCCAGAGACTTACAGAGAAAGACTCCCATTAGACCAGTTAGTTATCATCATTCCTCTTGGCCAGCTCTAGCTTACACACTGTCAGCCAATTGAGGCGTGCTGTCAACTATTCTTAGGTTAGGTGCTTGTTCCTAATTTAATCATTATTGGTCAAAATAATGGGGCTCATGTAGGGATTATTTTTGCTGAGTTAATCTCTTAGAAGGATGTTATGGCCATGTCAGGCTTTCTGAGGTTTGGTCTGACCAATACACTAATTCCTCCCTTCAACATGCTGACATGACACTTCATTAACATGCTTTTAGCACAGTACACACTTCACTGGAAATTGATGCAAACAGATTGTATGCCCTTAGCAGGATTATTACATGAGACAATGGCTAAGATAGTCATATTGTACTGGGGCTTGAATCAGTCACTCACTATAAGAGAATGTGAACCATGGGAAACTAGGGAATGGCAGGTAGTTAAATCGCATTTATAACCCAAGTGTTCCTGTTATATATTGCTGCCTAAGAAATCATCCCAAAAGTCAGTGGCATGAAGCAATGATCATTTTATGGTGCTCACAGATTCTGTGGGACAGGAATTTGAACAGAGCTCAGTGGGCATGACTTGTGTCTGCTCAGCAATGTCTGTGGCCTCATCTGGGGCTAACCTAGGACAGCTGGAACAGAAATCATCTGGAGATGTGTTCACTGCAAAGCCTGCTATCTGGGCTGGCAGGACTGAAAGGGTAGGCTTAGCTGGGACTGTCCATTAGAGCATCTATGCATGGTCTCTCCGTGTGGATCAAAATTCCATGAGTAAATATTCCAGTGAGCAAGACAGAAGATACATGGTCTGTTTGACCTAACCTTGGAAGTCATATAACATCGGTTCCACCATAATCCACTGGTCCAAGCAGGCACAGACTCACCCAGCTTCATGGGGAGGGGATGTCAATGCCACTTCTCAATGGGAAAAAGGTCAAGAAGTTTGTGGCCTTGTCTTAAAAAGGCCACATCAAGGATAAATTCTCTTTTTCCCTTAAGGATCACCTCATGACATGTTTTGGAAAGGGAGGCTATTTCAATTCACCTTCCAAATTGTCCACATAACAGCCAGCTGCTCCTCCATAGAGTGTATCCTTCCGAGCTCCACTGCAGGCCACTGCCCCTTGATGATGATCTTGGCCTCCAATAATAAATAAGGTATCCAGGATACATTTATACTACCTCCACGTGGTCTCCATTGAGGAGGCAGGCAGCACAGGGTGGGGCCTATTTCTCATTTCCCTTGACAAAAGCATAATCCACATTTGTGTGGATTCATCAGATTTTGTGAAGTCCTGAGGGAACCAAAGGGAATAACAATATGTGAAGAAATAACACTACATTATGGGCATGACTCTGCCCAGATTACAAATGAAATGTCTTGAAGGAGCTAACAGGGAGTCGAGCTCTTGTATCTGCCTTCATGTCTCCCCTCATCTCTTGGAGAACCTCTTTTTGTAATCTGCATGACAATCTTCATAGACTTTTTGAGAAATCCCAAACCTACCCATGAAGTTGTTTTTGTCTTTAGGATTAATCTATTTTTCGAACTGTATTTCCTTAAGTTTGAGTTATTCAGCTCATAGTGATACCCAAGGGGGCTCCAGCAGGAGAATCTATGGTGGAAGGTTTGGGCATTCCATATTCCTTAGATCTTTCCAGAAGGAAGCTTTGGTGTTCTAAGTCTCATAGAATCATCAGGAATCATTCATCTAATCTACATGGAGGTCTTCCCACCAATAAAATTTAGATATCTATCTTCTTATTTTCTTATTGTCTAACTGGTAATGGTTCAAACGCATACAAATAGACCTTTCAAAAACATGTATTAATTCTTAAATGCAGTAGAGGCTAAAAGCATAAGGAGAAAGTGGAAATATCTTTCTAATTGCCTCAGAATTTGCATGACCTTCTCTCTGAGAATAGAAATTAGATTTTATTTCCAATCTCTTCCTTGCTCTCTCTTCAAAGTGCATTATTTGAACCTGCAGGGAATAAGAAATTGACCTGCTGCTGAGCCATGTACAACACACAAGACCTGGCTGCAACTTAGAAATTATGCTTTTAAAGGCTCATTTAAACTTTTAGAAAAGGACAATCTTCTCACTTAGTTTCTGTCAAGAATGAGGAACAGAGTGGGTTAGAGGTGGGTGCAGCTTCATTCTTTAAGTCTGAAACAGTTTCGTTTTCCACACTGCCAAAGAACTGGTGGCCTAATCTCTGTAGCATGAACCCAGACAGTGACAACAGTATTCTGCCCTGATTCCTAAGACGGCCTGAAAAGCCACCTCTGGTCTAGGCATGGAGGTCACTCATCAGCAGATCCAACAACAATAATCTTCCAGAAATACTGACATTGCATATCACCAAAACTACAGCGTAGCCCTACAGACTACTGGGTCCTCCTAACCTTGTACTTTGATCCCTTTGGGTACAGTAGACCCCAGCCTCTCAATTAAGAACTCTTCTGTATCAGTGGTTTTATTTCTCTTTGTCTGCCCAATGACACTCACTGGTCGAACCAGCTTGGTGTCAGTATTCTTCCTTCCTGTCCCTTCTACTTCACCTCCCTTCAAAACCTTCATGATCTTCTCAGTTCTGTGTTATTTCCCACTGGTTTCCACCATTTCCATTTTCTTAAACACAACGTCTGTATTTTCTCATTGTGTCAACTCCATTCTTCCAGTAATTAACCCAATACTTATTTGATTTCTAATTATCCAAACTTCTCTCCTTCCATCCACATCTTCAGGACCACAAGTCCTTCGGCTTTTAGTATGTTCTTATCATGTAAATGACCAACAATCTATCATTCGATTATTAGATTTTGAACATTTTATTTTCCTGCTAGACCAGCATGAACATTCATGGTCAAAAGTAACTGTATAAATACTGAGATGCCCATAATGACCCTAGCAAGAAGTCTTAAGTGGCTAGTTTGTTAAGACCCATAGTGATTTTGTAATGAAACTTTCTCTTTTCAAGGTCCTATAGTATGGTCAAGGTAAATACCCTGAGATAATTAACTCATTAACTTATTTCCATTTTGTGCTTAAAATATGAATAATGTCAATTTTAGAGAACCACACTTTTATAGTTAGAGCTTTTGTTTGAAATAAAGTAGCTTTCATCTTCAGTGAGTTAGACTTTCATGTGAGTTAGAAATATGAAAATTATTATATTTATAGATTTTTTTGACATAACACTCTCAATCATTTTTATCAGTTTGGGTATAGGGGAAATAAACATCCTAAAATAACCCTGGACAAATATTCTTCAGTAAATCTCTTTTGAAGCCTGAACTACTGTGTGGTTTCCAGGTCCTGGCAGAGTCCTTTTTCCTCTGGAGACTGCTCTTGCTTTGCCTCTCTGCCTGGCAAACTCCTGGTGATCTCCCAGAACTCAGAGTATGTCTTATATTCTCAGGATAGATTTCTCACCCCTACCCCTTTCCTTAGGTTTGATCTTGTTCTTAGACATTCTCACAACACCCTGCACTTGATGACACTGATTACAATTGTAATCAAAGCTGAGGACAGGGACCATGGCTGCTTTCGCCCACCACTGAATCCTCAGTGCCTAGACCAGAGCCTTGCCGAAGTTTAAATGATTTAACTTCAATGATTGAGTTGAATGATTAAGTGATCAATTGACAGCTGAATGAATGAATGCATAGATAACAACATGTAAGAGATGATTATAAGAAATGTCAGGGTTTAAACCAGCTCTCATTGAAAACATGTCTATCTAATTTGCTGCACATAAACATTATAACAAACATTATTTTGTTTCCTTTTTTAACGTGTATGGTCTATAATGTCTAACTTTTAGTTTGTAATTCTGACATAGTTATTATTATCATATTAGACTGCATAGTTTAGTGTCCTATACAATAATACAGATATAGTAATGAGCTTTGCCATTGATCTTTAAAAGTCCAGATTTCTACTTATATTTCTATGGTGTATGAATCTCTACAACCCATGTGGGCAGTAGCAGGGGTCCTGAGTGAGGCTCTACCCTTTATTGTTCAGAGCTGACTGCTGTTCTTCCTTGAGTCTCTGGCATTCCTGCTAATGGATTGTTGTGGTATAAACATTTGTTTCTCTCGTAATGCTTCTCTCCTGACTCGACATCAATTCCTAAGACGCTTTTCTCCTACCCATCTCCACTCTAAAGAATGGAAAATCTAAATACTTGCTTTCTCAGTCTCCCCCAAAGTTAGACTTTGCCAGAAGGCTGAGTTGAGGCTAATGAGATACAAACTGAAGTTGTTAGCATTCTTGATAAAAGGAACAGATGTTGCTAATGTCAACGTGTTCTACTTTTTGCTTGAATGTGGACATGATGATTGGAGATGCAGCAGCCATCTTGCAACTGTGGAGCAATGAGCTGGTGTGACAAGGATGATGAAGCAGACAGTAAAAATAACCTGGCTTTTGTTAGCATAATGACCAGTTCTGGACACTGCCTACCTGAGAGTTTTTTGTTATGGAGGTAAATTTCTGCTTGTTTAAGGCTGCATTCGTTGGCTTGCTATTAATTGCAGCCCAAAGCATTCCTAACTGATAAAGCTAGGTAGGCTCTTTTTACCCAGCTTCTTACTCTAAATCTAAATATACCCTTAATCTAATTTAATCTTAATCTGAACATAAACCTAATCTTCATATAAAGCTAAACTTATCTAATATGAATCTAATATTAATCTAAATATAAATATTTTAAGGTGCCTAGACTTGAGAAGGGATAACAGCCTCTCTTTTGTATATCTTGTTTTTCTGATGAGACCACAAATAGCAGCTTATAATGATGCTAATCTAGATGACTCTATATCTAAGGATGATTTGGCTCTTCCGTCTTAATTCATAGCAAAAATAAATACATCTCATACTACATTTCTCAGATTTTATCCCATAAAAAACTTTTAAGAATGTGACTCATTTTTAAGAAAAGTAGAAATATCCTTTTTCCCAACTTCTAGTAGGGTCTAAGACCTAGACACTACCCTCAAATTAGTTTCAAAGCTATTCTGGAATTAAATAAATAATCTGCTATATCAGCAAACAGTTTTTAACTTTCAAACTTCTATGTTGTGATTCCATGTCTGTAACAAATGAGATGTGTAGAACAATAGGCCTTTTGGCCCATCATCCAACTTTAAATGAAATCTTTTAGACTATGGTCACTAAATGCTAAATGAAAATGCAGAAATATTTCCAAATTCACTTTACGCAAAGTCTCTAAAATGGTTAGCTCTTTTCGTCTCTAAAAATTAGGGGAGCCTAAAGCTTTGACTAAAACCATGAATTTAGCCCTTCCACCTCTGTCTCTCCTTTCTCCTTGCCTTTTCCCTTGAAACCCAAAGCTAATAGATTACACATGCTGTTAACGGAACCCCCGTTCCTCTACAAAGTCAACACTGCCAAGACACCCTGACTTTCAGCGTGTCTCACCAGTTCCTGGCTTTGGTTTCATGTGATCTGAAGCACTCACACGAAACCAGGAAGATCTGCAGTGCAGCACTGTGGAAAATGTGAAACATCAGGCGTATGATGTATTTTTAAAATCTGGATTCTGTAACCGAAACTTGGCTTGTCTGCTGTCTGGCTGATAAGGATGGATGAGAGATGAAGACTTTGCTTTGCTGTCTTATGGCAGAAGCATTGATCTTAACAGGGACCTTTTAGGTAGAAGGGGTGATTAAACTGGACAGTCTCTTACTTTATACCTATTGTAATCACTGCTAAAGTTGGAGCTGCCTCGACATTTAGATGGGTCACGAGCTGGAAATGGAGTTGGGGGAGGCACAGAGTGATGGGATCTCAGGCTTCAAATAGGTTGAGGCCTTGAGAAAAGCACTGACAGCATTCTATCTGTGGCTGGGAAATTTGATTGTCTGGTGGCCACCTCCCTAGAGAGGGAAGAGGGCGCTCCAGTTGAAAAATGGCATCATTTGTCTTAAGAAGGTCTACTGTTTTTTGTTGTTGTTGTCAAAAAAAATCTTGCTTCTCACCCTTCAAGATGGGTAGGATTGTGCAGGGTATTTTCATTAGGTTGTGGTATGTCTGCTTTGCCTCTGCAGAGGCAAGATGTCATATATGTCATGTCTGTTCAGGGTTTCATCGTCTTTTATTGATCATTCTTTACAGGACCCACGAGGGAATGGATAAGAAGCATGAACTGGCAAACTCATGTTTGTGTTAGTTCATTTCTTTTCTTCTGATTGCATTTCTTTTCTTCTGATATTCATTCCTTTATGTAGTTTGGGGGTAGATCTTTCTGCCGAATATGTTTTGGTGGCATTTCTTTTCTTCTGATATTCATTCCTTTATGTAGTTTGGGGGTAGCTGTTTCTGCCGACTATGTTTTGGTGGCACACTCATACTTAACAGTATTATGGAAATCACTAATTTTGACCATGACTCTTAAAAAGAAATAGAATTTACTTCACAATGTAGTACATCTTCTAAGCCTTTGTATATGCAATGTATAGTAGCTTCTGCTTTATTTATGTTTTTTTTAATGCTGGACATGCCCACTAAATTTATTTTATGATGCACTAAGGAGTTACAAACTTGAAGTATTAAAAAATTGGGATTTCAAAGGACAAAATATTTTTGAGTTAAAGATGCATCTAACTGCCTAGTAATAATGGCATAAATCTAAATGTATTGATGTTAAAAATTACCGCTGCTCTCAGCAAATCAGGAGAAGAGACCTTCCTCAACTTGACCAAGAACATCTATAAAAAGTCTACATCATAATTAATGGTGAGAAACTCAAAGCTTTCTCATCAAGATCAGGAATAAGGCAAGATGTTCCCTCTCGCCACTGCTTTTCAACATCACACTGGACGTCTTACCTAATGCAAGAAGACAAGAAAAGGAAATAGAAGTATACAGGCTGAGAAGAAATAAAAGTGTCTTTTTTTGCAATCCATGATTGCCTGTAAAGAGAATCTGAAAGAATCAACAAAAAATAAAACAAAACTCCTGAAACTAATAAGTGGCTGTAGCAAGATTGCAGGATACAATGTTAATATACAAAAGTCAATCACTTATCTATACACCAGCAATGAACAAGTCGAATTTGAAGTTAAAAATATATTATAATTTAATAAAATGTAATTATATGTAATATAATATAACATGTATATGATGTATATGTACATTGTATATAATGTAACATATATTACATTATAATGTAAATATATTAACATCCTCCAAGTCTGAATACTTACAAATCTAACAAAATATGTACAAAATCTATTAGAGGTAAACTATAAAACTCTGATGAAAGTATCAACGAAGAGCTAAATAAATGGAGAGATATTCCATGTTTATAGATACAAAGACTCCATATGGTAAGGATATCAGCTTTTCCCAACTTGACTTATAGATTCAATGCAATCCCAACCAAAATTCCAACAGTTATTTTGTGGATATTGACAAATTCATTATAAAGTTTGTATGGAGAGGCAAAAGGCCCAGAATAATCAAGTCAATATTGAAGAAGAATAACAAAGTTGAAAGACTAACACTACTCAACTTCAGTACTTATTATAAAGCTACAGTAATTAAGGGAGTGTGGTGATGGTAAAAGCATAGGCAAATAGATCAATGGAACAGAACAGAGAGCCCAGAAATAGACCTACACCCACATAAATATAGTCAACTGATCTTTGACAATGGCTATTGTTGGATAGGTTTTCAAAGAAATAGTTAAAACAACTGGATATCCATATGCAAAAAAGAAATCTAGACACAGAACGCCGACTCTTACACTGTCATAAAATTTAACTCAAGATGGATCATGAACCTAAATGCAAAATCCAAACCTATAAAACTCCTAGAAGGTAACATAAGGGAAAACCTAGATGACTTTGGGTATGGCAAGGACTTTTTAGATACAATGCCAAAGGCACAAACCATGAAAGAAACAATTGATCAGCTGTACTTCATTAAAATTAAAAATTCCTCCTATGCAAAAGACAGCATCAAGAGAATGAGAAGACAAGCCACAGATTGGGAGGAAATATTTGAAAAAGACACAGCTGATAAAGGACTATTATCCAAAATATGCAAAGAACTCTTTAAACTCAAAAATTTTAAAAATCAACTAATAAAAAAATTTAAAAAGGCCCGAATAGACATCCCATCAATGAAGATATACAGATGGCAAGGAAGCATATTAAAAGATATTCATCATCATATGTTATTAGAGAATTTCAAATTAAAACAGTGAGGTATCCCTACATACTTGTTAGAGTGGTCAAAATCCAAAACAGTGGTAACAACAAATGCTGGTGAGGATATAGAGCAATGGGAAAACTGTACAGCCACTTTGGAAGACAGTTTGGTGGTTTCTTACAAAACTAAACATACTCTTAAATACGATCTGGCAATCACACTTCCTGGTATTTACCCAAATAAATAGAAAACTTATGTCTACACAAAAACCTGTACACAGATATTTATAGCAACCTTATTCATAATTGCTCAATCTTAGAAGCAACCAAAACACCTTTCAGTAGGTGGGTGAATAAATAATCTGTCCATCTGGACAATGGAATATTATTCAGCACTAAAAAGAAAGGAGCTGTGAAGCCATGAAAATGCATACATGAAACTTAAATGCATATTACTAAGTGAAAGAAGCCAATCAGAAAAGTTACATATTTAATAATTCCAACTCTATGACATTCTGGAAAGGGTAAAACTATGGACACTAAAAAGATCAGTGGTTGCCAGGGGTTGAGGGGAGTAAGGGATGAATAGGCAAAGCACAGATCATTTTTAGGGCAGTGAAACTACTTTTTATGATACTACAATGATGAATACACTTTGTTATATGTCAAAATCCATAGAATATGGATATGTTATCCATGTATAACAAAAAGAATGATTCTATAGACTTTGGGTGATAATGATGTGTCAATGTAGGTTCATTGATTATAACAAATATATTACTATGATGAAGGAATGTTGATAATGGGGGGAGGTTATGTGTCTGAGGGGGCAAGGAGTATATGGGAATCTTTGTACCCTCTTCTCAACTTTCCTGTGAACCTAAAATTGTCCTAAAAATAGTTTATTAATTATAAAGAATAATTACCCATGCTCTCTGTGGTAGGCAAACTTCTAAGACAGTCTCTAATAATTCCTGCCTCCTGGTATTCACACTCTGATGTAGTCTCTTTCTCTTGTGTGTAGTCTGGGCCTACTCGCCTGCTTCAAATTAATAGAATACAGTAAAAGCGATGGGATGCCATTTTTATGTTTGGTTTACAAAAGACTGTGACTGTCATCTTGCTTTCATTCACTCTCTTGCTAGCACTGTCTTTCTGGCCCTTCTCACATGCTTTCTCTCATGAATTAAGCTGGAGAGGCCCATGTGGCAAGGAACTGGGGGGTTGCCTCTGATCAACTGCAGATTATTCCCCCAGTTGAATCTTCAGATGAGACCACAGTCCCAACTAACAGCCTTATTGCAGCCTCATGAGAGACCCTAAGCCAAAGAATCCAGCTAAACCATGCCTGGATTCCCAACCTACAGGAACTGTGAGATAATAAATGCTTGTTTCAAGCCACTAAAATTTTGGGGGGTAATTTATTATGCAGTAATAGATAACAAATACATTCTTTCTTAGTAAAACATAATATTTGAGTTTGCACTTTTGATTTTGGGATAGTATCACTTGATTTAATGTAAGCAATACAAAAAGGCTTTTGGATATCTGTCTTTGCTTGGATTTATAGCACTAGCCTAGTCATTGACAAAGAAGCTTTCAAAAATTATTTATGAAGGTTGATGACTAAGAATTCCTTCAGCACAAAAAAGATTTTAGAGTTTCTATAATCATAGCATTAAGTATTACTGTATTATAGGAGCACTCCAGTTGAGAAAATTTGAAAGATATTAAATTGCTTGATTTAACAAAATGAGGTTTTCTGAACAAAGCAGGATTAGGACATTTATGAATAATGCAATTGTCCAGAGTTGCGCCAGATATATACTTTCAAATACTGGAATACCACAGGGTTTGGTCCTTGGATGTTTTCTCTTTTCCACCTACGTTCACCATGTGAGTGACCTTAGCCAGTCACATGTCTCTAAGTATCATCCAAAGGCTGATAAAACCTAAAAATATGTCTCAAGTCTAGACTTTTTCCTTGAATTCCATATTTTTCACTCCAGCTACCTACTCAACATCTCTATTTTGATGTCTAATAAGCATCTCAAACTTAACACATCAATATTCAAATCCTCACCACCAACCCCGCCCCCACTCTTTTCTTAAAATATAACAATTCCATCTTTTGGTGTTCAAGCAAAAAAATCTTGGAGTTACTCTTGACTCATGTCTTTCTTTCAAACCTATATCTAATCCCATTAGCAAATCCTATTAGCTCTTCCTTTGAAATAATTCAGGATCTGGCCACTTCTTAGACCTCTGGTCCAAGTCTTCAACATTCTTCCTAATTGGCTTGTTTCTGCCTTCCCCCCATACCACCCATTCTTAATACTGCATCCAGGGGGTTCTTATAAAGCAAAAGGCACATCTGGTCACCCCTACTCATGACACTACAATGACTGTATCTCACTCAGAGTAAAAGCCCAAGTCTTTATAAATGGCCCACAATGTGCTACTTCAACAGCCCCTCCCCCTCTTCTCTCAGCTTGACTCCTGCCACTCCCACTCCCTTTCTCCAGTCATGCTGGCCTCTTCCTTGCACAAGGCTAAAGTAGCGCCCTTTCTGCTGAGAATGTGTTTTTCTTTAGACATCCACATGAATCCCTGATTCAGTTCTTTCAGGTCTTTGCTCAGATATTAGTGGGGATTCCATGGCCACCTTTGTAACTATAAATTGTAGTTACTTGTGCCCTGCCCTCAGAACTCTTTATTCCTCTTCCCCATGTTATTTTTATACATATCACTTCTTCCCAATGTGCCACACATTTTACACTGAAGTACCATACATACCACACATTTATTGTATGTTTCCCAACACTGCAATCTGAGCATTTTTGTGTGTATCCTCTGTGCCCAGAACAGCACTTGGTTCAAACTAGACATTGCTAATTTTTTTTTTCCTGAATGAATGGATGAAGCTCTTTTGTCAACAGCCTTTCTTTGCTTTTCCACTTCCATTACGGGTATTCATCTGGTAGTTCTATGAGCACCAAAACTTCAAGAGAATCCAGCACAGAGAGTAGTCATAGAGAATAGTTACACATTTTGTCTTTAGTTGCAAGACACAATTGTATGAAGTCTGATTTCCTTTAGGCATGGCTTTCTTTCAGCTTCTACCTTATAGACTGGTGATCATTTAAGCAATAGCAGGAAAGAAAAACATCTGAGGTCTCAGTGGTCTGAAAGAATTAGAATATTGGATTCAACAGCGATCTAGTCCATGATGAGTAAAAGCAACATTTCTGCATGCACAAGGCATGACTACCCCTATTAGAAGTGAGTTAGTAAAAAGAAGGTATCACAAACCCTCGGGAACTCGGTTTCAGAATGCTTTTGTAGACTTGACTCATATAGACTTTGAAAAACCTCACAATGCCCTGTCATTAGCATGTAGTGCCTGTCTTAAGATATGTATGTGCCTTTCCTCCCTAGATAAGACTATTTATAAATAATACTAGAATTGATTAATATCAAAAGACCTGCCCAAATAATGGAAAGGAATGCTACAGAGAGAAGCCAAAAGCCATAGACACTACAGCTCACATTCTTTTCTGACAGCATTATGCTTTCGGGGAGGAACAAAGGCCCACTTGCTGAATTAGAGATGGGCTGGCAATCAGAACATTGAATTTCTTGGCATTTGCTAGTTTGAGGCTTAACCTTCTGAATACTTGAATGTAATTACATGTGGTTTCTTAAAAGAGCCCCAAACAAAGCAAATCACTTAAGGAATGTCCTAAAAGACATATCATTTAGAGAAACTGCTTTGGTCCTTCCAGACTTGAATATACCTTTTAAGAGACTTCCTCATGAATTGTTGGAATTTTCAATCTCACGAGACAATAATCCTGTGAACTCAAATTTCTCTTGACTCATGGTATCCAAACTACCCAAAATGATCCTCCTTGCCAAAAATTCTTTTAAATGCATAATTTCAACACAAAAATCAGCTTTGACCAAAACCATACCTCATTTACTATGGATCCTGAAGGAAAGCAAGGGAGACCAGTGGGCACCGGGTGGCAACTATATTTTGGAAAAGATGTTTGAATGAAAGGAGATACATAATAGTACAGTGTTTCATTTATTGATCACTTGGAAAGGAGCTAACCTGTGTAGTTAGAAATGTACAGATTTTCTTTTCTAACATTTGCTTCATTCTTAATACTAATATCTAATATTAATTATTTTCTAAGTGCAAGGCAAAGTGCTTTACATGAGGCCAGGCATGGTGGCCTCATGAATTACTTCGCTAATTTGTATGGCAGCTCTATGAGATATCATTATCATGTCTATTTTACATGAGGAAGAGAGGATCGTAAGTTTAACTGATTTGCTGAGTTAGTCTACCTGTAAATTGTGGAGCCCAGTCCCTATGCTGGTCTATATGACCAGACTCCCTGCTCTTAAACCCGACAAGCCCTGTCCTCTCCACTCTCCCCAGTCATCCATGGTAATTGCATGAAACTACTAATGGCACGTCTGCTGCCTCCTGTCTCCCAGGAGGATCTGGATGGAGCCAATTCCCTGAGGTTCCACTGTCTGGAAATAGTCTGTGGCCTGTGTCCAAGTGCATTTGTTTTCCCATGCCTTTAACCTAATGACACAGTGCACAGAATGGATTTGTCCTTCCTTAAATGGCCAGTGGATGGCTTTAATAAGTGGGAGTGGAGCTAACACATGTCAGAGGCCTGTATGGTTTTAGAAAAGTGTTTCCAAGGATGAGATTAGATCCTTAAGGATTTATTCTAATACTTTTCATTCCCAAAGCATAGTAATGTGGTTTCATATCCCTTTTAACTTCTCCAGAGGCCATTCTCTTTTCCTCTGTTTGTGGTCTGAAAGGGCTATTGGCTGACTCTGAGGTTTGGGCAGTAGTGGAGCCAGGTGGGTAAGGGCTGTCTGGTTTCCAGGCACAGTGTCCCCAAGGCATTGGCTAGGGCTCCATTGATGACCCATACTCACCCACGAGAGAGAGATCAGTGCTCTCAAACCTATAAGGGGAAATGGTGTATGTTTGGATGGGAGAGGGCAGTGTCAATGTATATTATAGTTGCCACACCTGTTATTTTTAAGGGATAATGCATTCATAAAGTAAACACATGCACACAAATCTTCTTGTAGGCAGAAAATTGGTTACATGTTAAGTTTCTACTATGTTATATACTGTGGAAGGTGATGGGAATAAAACCATAATCAGGAACAGACACTGCTCCTGGCTTCCCGGGGTTTGCAGTCTACTGAAGGAGATGAGTAGTAAAACTATAACTCTGGTTAGTGCTGTGAAGGAGAGGTGCCTGGTGCTATGAGGACATCAGTAAGGCAACTGAGCCTAATCAGAGAGGTCAAGACAGGTTTCTGAAGGACCTAAGGTAGATTGACCATGAATCTGAAGGAGGAGGAGAAGAAATGACCTAGACAAAGGGAGCAGGAGATGTCTCCAAGCCAGGTTCCAGTGCATGTCTGGGCCACATGGCCAGATGGAGTGTGGCACGAATCCTACTGCAGGGAAGCAGTAGGAGAGGAAGATAGTGGCTCTCTGCCCTGGTGACACCCTCTTGGCTCACACCCTTCCCAAAGCTGTCATTTACACTGTCCTTTCTCTCTCCTCTGAGGTTGTGGCTACTATGAGTAGTAGGTGACAGCAGCCAACCAGAGCCCATCAATTTAGCAAAGCCAATTTTGTCTCCTTCACAAAATGAGCTACTGGCAGTTTCAAACCTACACCCCTCCTCTTATGTAGTTTTTATGTGTTCCTGAGTGTCTCTTCCAACCAGCGAGAGCAAATGCCTCTGGAAAGTCTTCCTCTGCTCTAAGATTGTACTTGCTGGATGGAGAACCTGCAATGCGGCAGCTGCAGCCGGGCTCCAGCTAGGTGTGTGTCACACGTACATTCTAGCCTTAGCCCAGCGGCAGATAGGATAGGGGCCACTGATGCCCTCTAGAAGGAGGGCTCCAGTGGGGTGATAGTCGGCCTCTCCCCCCGTGACAGCGATGGACATCAGGAGACACGCACACAATTGTTTGTGGTGACTCCATCTGAGGTAGACTACCTGGGCAAGGCAGATGGCAAAAGCATTTCTCACTTCAGGAAATTTTCCATCTAGATAAGGTAAAAGGAACTATCCCCAGAAGCAAAATGTAAGCAGGTGAGAGAACACAATTCCTTCTTTCAGTCTAGCCCAGGTGAATTACTGTCCCGGTCCCACCCCACAGCCAGGGATTGAAGGACACCTCTCTCACTCACTAGGCCAGAGAAGCACAAGGATTAAATGCCCAGGTTATAAATGGCCTCCTTTGTAAGTAAGTCCATTGAGTAAACAGGAAAAATAGGGTCTCTGTATTTATTCTCAAGAAAGAGAAGAAAACCACCATTGCAGTCCCCTTGTGATTTGTGACCCACCCTCGTCGAGTTGGGTGCTGTGGAGCTGGGGCTTGAGGGCAGGTTCGAGGGCAGTGCCTCTCTCCCTCAGGCTCTGGTGAGGACCGCACGCCCTCTTGCCTCTGTGCAGTTTCCTGGCTTCAGATTCAGGCTCCCTAACACCCACTTCTACCTTCTTCCTTTTGGCAGAAACCCCTGGGCCTCTCTTTTCTTGCTTAACAAATGCCATGCTCCCCTTTCCACCCAAATGCCTGCCTGCCTGGGAAGGCAGTCTCCACAGACTTCGTGATTCCAGTGGCCTCATGCATGACTTTGATGGAGGGACATTCCCGCAGCAGATTCAGGGTCCCAGGGTTTCCCTCACCTTGACTGGCTCCCTTCATTTCTGGAAGCTACTCCATCAGTGAGGGCAGTGGGCTGGGCTGCACTCAGGGGTGGAGGAACGGACTTTCTGGGTTGCTACTCTATTGCCGGAGGTGCCTGAGGTGACCTCACTTGTGTCCAACTCAGGCTGTGCATTAGAATTACCTGGGGAGCCTTACAAGCTACCGTTGCCAGAGCCCCAGCCCAGCCCTTTTAAATCAGAATATCTGGAGGCACAACTGGGAAAAATATTTGCTAATGTTCACCAGGTGATTCCGACGTGCAGCCGGCATTGAGAACCAATGATTTACTCTCTCCTTGTCCACACCCTCTGCCCTAGATCTGTTAGGACACAGGGTTGGAGCTTCTTACTCATCTACTCTCTGGCTTCGATGATATAAGAAGTGATAAATTTAGCAACGTGCATCCCCGCCAGGAGAGACAGAAAGGTGGGAGGGGAGAAGGAAAGAGTTACATTCCCACAGGCTTCACCCTTCCCCTGGCAAAACCTACTTAACTGAGAGATACTGCTCCTGTAGGCATTTTCTTTTATCTGGAAATATCCAACGTTTGCAGGATGCTCTCTAACCTCATGCATTCGGTGCTACCTGTGAACCCTTTGAAAACCCTTTTTTTTTTTTTTAAAAAAAAAAAAAAAAAAAGGAGAACCTCATTTGGACCAGCCTCTGACCCCAGGATCCCTCTGGGGTGGCAAGTGCTTGTCAATTCAAGAGGCCCGGCATGAGCTGCAGTTGGTAAGATGCTATCAGCTCCTCAACCCCAGAACCACATAACCCTTTACTCACAAGATGTTTGAACCTAACAGACGCTCCCCGAGCCATGCAACCCAGCCAAAGGGAGGGGCAGGCAACAGCCCGTGGAGGTGGTTCTTGCTCTGCCCTCAGTTATGATGTCTCTGGTACTGTCTCAAGTCTAACATAGGTAGCGATGAGTCCTTGTGAGGCAGTTAGAAACTGATTCCATTTAGATAACGGAAAGAATTGAATTGGTTGAAACTCAGATCAAAGCTCATTAAACTTGCATTGACTCTTGGGCAACCACAGATAACATCAGAAAAATTTGACTTTTTTTCTTTTTCTCCTTTTTGTCCCTCCCCCGCCACCCCACCCTCCCTACCTCTTTGCTGAGGCAATTGTTCACATGAAATAAGATCGTATTACAGTTCAGATGGAGAAATTAGACTCTGGATGGGTTTTTTAAAGTTCTCTCAATTCTCTTGACTGAATTTATTTGACCACTGTTTTTCAGGATAAGCTCACATGAAATCTCAGTAAACTTCCTCTTGAATTTTGTAATTCACTCTGCACAGGACATCCACTTTGAATAAGGCACGGTGGTTTCAACCTCTAGCTATGATGGTCACAGATCATGGCAATTATGGGCAAATGTCTGTTTCCAAGTCTGCCACTGTCAGTTAAAGTGTACCTGATCTAAAATAACAGCAAGGCACCGGTTCTGGCCCTAGGGTTGGGACTCACACACAGAGGGCATGTGCCGCCACAGAGGAAAAGGCACTGCCTGGTGGGCTCTGACACTGGACATGTTTGTCAGCTGCAGTGTTGAAGGAGGCTGTAGTGCTTTTGGGCCAGGGGCCAATGCACCCACTTCCAGCCAGTATTCTCATTCAAAACTTTCTTTGACAGGACCAGAGCTTCAAAATTCAAGAATGAACCATGTATTGGTTTTCTAGGGCTGTCATAACAAAACTATTCCAGACTGGGTGGCTCATAATTCTGGAGGCTGAAAGTCCAAGATCAAGGTGTAGGCAGGGTTGGTTATTTCTGAGGGCTGTGAGGGGAGGATCTGCTCCAGGCATCTCTCCTTGGCTTGTAGAGGGCCTTCCTTTCTCCCTGTCTCTTTACAATGTCTTCCCTCTGTGTGTCTGTCTCTGTTCAGATTTCCCTTTATAAAGATGCTGGTCACACTGAATTAGGGACCACCCTTGTAACTCCATTTTAACTCGATTGTCTCTGTAAAGGCCCAGTCTCCAAGTACAGTCACATTCTGAGGTACTGAGGGTTAGGACTCCAATGTATCTTTTTGAGGGGACACAATTTAACCCTAATAGACCACAATTAAAATGGAATGCAATAATAAAAACTAACTTTTATTGAGCATTCGTAGTCTGAGTTTGGCATTGCTCAAGAGTGCCTTACATTAATTAATGTAATCTTCACAATCCTATGAACTCAGTATCATTATTACCCACATCTTACAAATGAGTGGTTGGAGTCCATGGCAAGAGTAACTTGCCCAAGGTCACGCTGCTGGTAAGATCAGAACCAGACTCAAAAACAGTAGTCTAATTCCACAGCAGATTCCGTCAACAACTATTCTACACAGTCTCTACTTTATGGGGTTCAACATAGAGACTATTTTGATGTCTGCGGTAGCTGTGAGAATGTGGCTCAGAGACTTCCATCTATGGGGAACTCAATCAACCAAAGGCCCCAGCTCCTGCACTTTGAGACCTGTCACTATGTTATCACCGAGCCCACATTTCCCATGGGCTGCTTCCAGCCAATGCCCAAACAATGGCAGGGAGACTAAGGCATCCTGTTCCTGGGAGATGTGGGACTTTCCTGGTGGTCCCTTTTGGCTGAGGGACTCCCTGACAGCCTGCCAAGCCTCCGTTACTCTGCAGGCGGTATAGGAAGCTTCATCCACCTTCTTCCCTTTCCTTTCCTCTCACCTCCACTGCAGGTCAAGCCTGCATCCCAGTCTCCTAATAAATCATTGCATGTTTAATGGCATCTTGATGTCTATGTCTTGGAGGTCTTGGACTAACACAATGCTCTATTTAAACAGAAGCATCAGAAAATAATATGTAGGTTTAATTCTAATTCAAATTGACTTAGTTTATCAATGTTTTAAAATTCGTAAAATAAAAAAGTGTACTTTTCACTAGGTATGGTTAGTGATGCCATAGATGTCTTTTATTTAGTGTTCTAGAAAGTAATGTAGTTTATGCTAGTTTTAATGTTGCTTCTGTCTGTCCTTACTCAAACATGCAGAGCTCCCAGAGTCTAGCACATAGCAGGCCCCAGCAACTGACAGACAGGCAGACTGACTGACTGAAAGAATGGAAAATCTTTTCTCCTCCCATGTTCTCTAAGGTTAGGCTGGCTGGAAGAGGGAGGTGGGTTCTCCAGGCATGAGGGGGCGGGAGAAGGCAGACCAGGCTAACGATGAGGTCTTGGTTATAAAAGCATTACCTGGACAAGTGCATGACCTTATGGAAGCCAAGTGCAATCACAATGAACCTGGTTGCTGTGAGACACTGCATTCAGACAGATGGGACAGACCCTCATGAATTCATAATGTGACCGGTTATGTGATGGAGGCAAGAGCAATGGTCTCTGGGTGACTTTTTAACTGGTTGGTATTATTAAAATAAACAATTACACCCCTTCTTTTATCTTTTATCTTCTTATCTTTTATCAATTTCTTTTATCAATTTACCCTGGTAGTAACCTCCTAAAGCTAGATCAGGGACTTTAATCCTAGGCTTTAATCACCACCACTAGTTAACTAGTTAGCTGACTAGTGCGCATTTAACCTTGCTGGGCCTCAAACTTGTCTTTTGTAGTTAAATGAACTGAATTACAACATGAGGTGGTTTGGATAAATGATCTCTAAGGTCCTTCTCTATGCTAAGATTCTGTGAAATGCCCATCTTGGTGTAAACACGGATCAGCCCAGATAAATGTGCAGGATGTCATGACAGGATAGAAAATTCCTTCTAGCAGTGAACCATTTCTGCTATTTTCTCCCCCACGAAAAGCTATACAGTGACTCCCACACTCTCTGGAGTATTCTAACCACAGTTAGTCTGGGGCATTTGACCAAGGCAAGAGAAGGAGTATCTGACTCTTTACAAACTTGGTGGCTCTCACCTGCCAGTTGGCTATGCCAATCCATGTGCTTACTATAAATATTGGTTTATTTTAGTTTTGGGAAGAACAACTTGACCCATGGTATATTCAAATCTCTATAATAATATCTCTGTTATCATGGTATCCTGCTGAATCTTCCTCCATGGTTAAAAAGTAATACTAGCAGTGACTTTTTCAGTTCACTTTTCCATTCCTGACCATCTTGGGAATGTTTAAACCAGGGCGTAGAGCTGATAGAAACTGGCTCCCCTGACCAGCATGAACATATGTGGGGCAGCTTTGATGTGATGGATGGGATAGAGGTTGCTCATAGGGCTTGCTAATAATCCAGTGAGGTGATGTCATTCTTGGCAGAGCCCAGAAAGAGAAACAAGATGCCAAAGCTCTCCTTGGCTGATAAAGTCCCTTCAGGCTTCCTTGACTCCGCTGTTGCTAAGCAGATGAGATTGGAAAGTTCTGTGAGCCCAGCTGAGCCATCTTACCTCCTGGGGACAGGAGTTTTTGTCAAGAAACCTTGGGTCACTAGCTGGTTTACATAAATCCCTCAGAAAGGTTTGCACTGCCTTTGAAAATACTCCCTGGAATAGACATTTATAATAGAGTTAGGAGATAATTAATTCCTGGGGATACAGTGCTTTGTGCTAGAATTGCTTCACTCCATAGGGGAGAGGATTGAAGCTCTTCTAGCCCTTGAGTCTCTCCTGATTTCGGATGGTCAAGGAAGGGAAAAGGAACAGGACTCAAGGAAGAGAAGAGGAAACTTGATGGGACTTTTGATTCAGAAATTATGAAACAAAACCCATGCTATTTAATATAATGGATCTCTTTGTTTTTCTTTTGATTTCCTGAATTTTTCTTAAACCAAGGACCCATGGAACCCTCATGTTTCCAGTGACTATCTGGTGGTTTTCCCCCAGTACAGCCTGGTCCTGGTGGCATGTGCCTCCATAGCCAGTGCAGTTGGACTACCTCTTCCTCAGTGCCTGCACCTCTGACCCTTTGACACTTTAGGACATATGCTCATCCTGATATAGGAGCCACATAGAGCCTTATCTGTACTCGTTAGGGAAGCCCTGAGAAATATTCACTGCCTTGAGGAAAAGCATCCACTATAAAAATGCAGGACCTAGTCTGCAAGGAACTCCATGAAACCCAGGACACTTGATCATGATATTCCAAGCTGTTGAACTTTCTTCAAGGGGTGGAAGTTTCTACGTTGGCTTACAAATGTGCATTATTTGCCAAATTGCCTAGGAATACAGGCCTTTGTACAAAGGAAAAACACATTCTTTTTAGAATCATTGAGAATAACAGGCTTGTATGTGTCTGGTGATATTTTCAGTGATCATTCTGCAGAAATTTCGCAAATAAATATATTTCTTGATTTATAGAACAGATACCACCTAGCAGGCTTGGAAAAAGAACAAATGCTGGTAAAGCAGATGATATTTTCCAGTTGACTTTTATGATAATCAGGGCTCTGTTGCTATGGAAAAAATCCATCAGTATGCTGAGTTGAAAACACTTGGGAAGAAGGCTGATGGTTATTTCCAATCCCATAGAGTGCAACACTCACCCATTCCACAAATACTTACTGAAAGACTACTATGTGCCACACGGTGTTCTAGGAGCAAGGGATGGCAGTGAACAAAGCAGACACAAATCTCTACTCTCGAGAGTACATTCTGGAAGGACAAGACAGGCAATAAAAAAACAGCTAAAATGTAGACTACGTCAAATGGCAATAAATGCTATGGAAAAAATGAAAGCAGAGAAGGCAGATAGGGAGAGCCAAGGTGGAAGTGGGAATGGACAGGGAAGGCTTTGCTGAGATGACGATATTCAAATGAGGACCTGAAGGAAGGGAGGGAGTATGCTATGAGGCTACTGGGGATGATCTTTCAGGAAGAGGTGCAGCAAGTGCAGAGGCCCTGTGGCAGGAGCCTGGCATGCAGAGAAACAGTATAAAGCCCAGTGTGGCTGTGCTGTGGTGAACAAGCAGGAGAGTAGGAGGAAGAGGTCAGAGGCAGCAGGACACCAGGTTGTACAGGCCTCATAGGACCTGCCATCATCGGTTTGTAGGACTTCTTCTCTGCAGCTGGCCCTTCTCTTAGCACATATATCCATAGCTCACCATCCTAGAGGCTTAGCTCCTCTTCTGAGCCATTGTTGTCTTCTCTGGCCACCACCATTGCTGAAGCCCTCGCTGGCAACCAGAGCACTCATTATCTCCTAGGTCTTCCTGTACTGCTACAATGGTTGATTTATGTGTCAGTTTCATTGGGCTAAGGGATGCCCAGATAACTGGTAAAACATATTTCTGAGTGTGTCTGTGAGAGTGTTTCTGGAAGAGATTAGCTTTTGAATCAGTAGACTAAGTACAGAAGATCTGCCATCACCAGTTTGGACAGGCACCCTCTAATCCACTGGTGGCCTGAATAGAATAGAAAGGCAGAGGAAGGGAAAATTCTCTCCTCTCTTCTTGAGCTGGGGCATCTGTCTTTACTGCCCCCAGACATCAGAGTTCCTGGTTCTTTGGTCTTTGGACTCCAGGACTTAAACTAGCAGCTTTCCTGGCTCTCTAGCTTATAGACAGTATATCATGACACTTTCTCTGCTTGTGTAATCACGTGAGCCAATTCCCGTAATAGATCTCCTTGTATAGATCTACATATTTTCTATTGGTTCTGTTTCTCTGGAGGACCCTAATAAAACCACTATGTCAAATTGCATAATTTCCTGTGTATGTATGTCTTCACTTTCCATCAAGATTCTTGCTCAGTTGGGGTAAAGCCATGTGTAGCCTTTTTCCTTATTTCCTACAACAGTTGGCACAGTGTTAGGCACTCAGCAAACACAAGGAAAATGCCTGCTGCATAGAAACTTCAACTCTACAGTTAAGGCTTCAAGAACTTTATTAGTTCTTTCTCCTTTTGTCTGAGTCTGAGGGAGAATACTGTTAGAGATAGTCTAATCTTGTCTACTAATCAATATTCTTCTTTTAAGTACAATGATCTAATACAAGAAATGTTTCGACCCCAAACCCCAGGGTTAGAGTTTCAAAGTTTGCTACATTTGCCCTACTTTATTTATACTTGGAAAATAGTGCAAGTTTTAAAAATAATTCTGAATTTGCTCTTTGCTTAAAATAAAAAATAGATTATTTTTTCTTTTTTAACCTTATAAGCAGCTTTCACATATATCAGGTGAAACCACGAAGATACAATATTCTAAAATTCTTAGATGCTGACTCTTAGTTTAGCGCAAGAATGGGCAACTTTTCTGAAAGGGGTGCCGTACTATGTACTTAGATCTGTGGAGCTTCCTGAAGGTAGGCACGTCACTGTGTTCCTGTGGGTTTCCCATTGTCTAGAAACCAGGGGACCGGGGTCAATAAATGCTGCTGTGTAAAAACTATCATCATCCCCATTGCACCGATGAGAAAGTTATAATTCAAGGAGGTTGTAATTTGCTGAAGGTCACACAGAAAGTTAGTGGCAAATCTGGGACTAAAATTCTTTTTTTTCTGACAAAGTTGGTTCGAGTCAGGGCTCACAGATTTGTTGGTAGCAATCAGCATTTTGGAATGCATAATAGGAGATACAGGGGCTATTTTCTATTTTGTAAACTTGACGTACAACTTCTGAGGGGACAAATGAGGCAGCTTCTTGGATTCCTATCTGGTGGAAGCAGGAAGATGTGAGGATTCTGAGCAGAGAGCAGGAGAGCGGATCCAGGATCAGAGCTGGCACCTGGAGAGCACGTTAATGGCAGCTAAAGAAGGAGCCTAGGAAGAAGATGGTGACAGGGGCACTTGCTATTTTCTTCTGTTATCAGTTGTCTCATATTTCCTTCCATGAGTGCTGTGGTTTACAAGTATTTGGATGAACCCTGTTAGATGGTGGGATAATATCTGGATACAAATAAAGTATTTTGCTACCAGGTATGGTGGCACACACCTGTAGTCCCAGCTACTCAGAAGGCCAAGGTAGGAGGATCACTTGGGGCCAAGAGTTCAAAACCAGCCAGGCAACATAGCAAGACTCCATCTCTAGTAAAATTTTTTAAAAATAAATAAGACATTGTGGCACACCTCTAGTCCCAGCCACTTGGGAGGCTAAGGTGGGAGGATCACTTGAGCCCTGGAGTTCTGGGCTGTAGAAAGCTCTGCTGATGGGATGTCCACACTAAGTTTGGCATCAATATGGTGACTTTCTGGGAGCAGAGGACCACTAGGTTGCCTAAAAAGGGGTGAACGAACCTGCCCAGATCAGAAATGGAGCAGATTAAATAAGCCATTTTGGTAGAAACACAAGTGATTTCTGGTTACTAGGCACTAACTAGGAGAGCAGAGAAACTGTAAGAGACATGAGCAAGGAGAAATGTTCCAAAAACTCTGAATCCTGGAGAGAAAAATCTGTAAACTGGTCTTTAACTGAAGATGGATAGGTGATTTGGGGAGGAGGAAGTTATCATCTTGGCAGGGCTTCCTTCTTTCTCAGGAATGGTGAATGGGAAGATGAGGGTCTAATGTCAGCAAGGTGGGATAAGCCTGACACTTCCAGCTCCCACCTTCTCAAACCAATGCCTCATCTTTTGCTGTGTCCTCTTGGGTAGATGTGAGGAAGGCCACTGATCTGGAGAGCTGAATTCTAGCCCTAACACTGACACTCTGTATATGGCCTTAGATGAGCTTCCTACCTCTCTTGCCATCCATTGTGTAAAAGGAGGTTCCTTAACAAATGATCTCTAAAATTTTTCAGCTGAACACTTTATGATTTTCTGACATACTTCCCTCAGGTCACCAATATTGGTTTGCTGAAGATAGAGTTTAATAGAGAAGAGTAGGGAAGGATGGGTCATTTTGGAAAAGTTGGCTGGGAGCCTAAGGAGTGGGTCTTTGTGCAGCGTTGGCATCTGTCTGAGATAGCATAGGTTTGGTCAAGTAATTCCTTTGGCATCTCTTTCTTTAGATCTAGTACCACTGGGGAAAGAAATATGGAAAGGAGATCCAGGCCATGCTGTGAAATGAAGTTCTCTTCACTTTTTTGGCTACTAACTGAAAACTACATCCAGGTACCATTTAGCTGTACTTGCACAGCTGACTCAGGCCTCCAACTCACACATTCCTGTCCAGTGCACAGTTTCCCAACCTATCATTCCCATTTCAAGGATAAGTGATCTACATACTTGGCTGAAGTTATTTTCACCAAGCTTACAAATAGTGCCCACCCTTTTACCCAGAAACCACAATCAAACCAAAGCAAACCAGAAGGATCGAAAGGCAAACATACTGGTGGAAAAAGTAGTGATGCCCTCCTTAAATAGCCTTTTTGAACCTCTTCAGTTTATAAATAGCAACTAATTTAACTCCATAAAAATAAACTGGCTCTGGGTCAGATCATTTGGGTCTGTTTGTGAGAAGATGAATTATGTAACAGATCCAGCCAAATATTGTAGCCTAAATATTGGCCCTATTCGAACTGTTGAGCTGAATTTTTCAGAACAAAATTCATAACATTCCTCCCCTCCCAGTTCTATTACTGCCTCAAACATGCCTTTTTTTTCCTGTTTCTTAAGCTTCAGATGGGAGCCCCCAGAGCGACCTAACCCTCGTTGACATATTCAGTTTCCTGATTTATGGGAATCATGAAAGATTATTGTACTTTGTCTGAACGAAGGTCCTCACTGTGAAAACCTCTCAAAGACCACAAACGTGGACACTTACCTGCCGCAGCCAGGCCTCATGGCCTTTGAAAGGAGCCATTCAGCGTGCAGGCTACAGCCTGGGCATACATTGAATTCTGTGGGCTTGCTTCTGCTGGAAGACTTCTATGGATTAGGGAGCTTCTCTGGGTTCTGTGTAAAAGTTCACTGTAAACATTTGCTCAGTCTGTGCATGGTAAATATCTATACGCCTCTTAGAGTAGAGTTCATGGGACAAAGTGGCGGGATTAATGTGACCGGTGCCGGTGGCTGCCAATGCTACAACTTTAAAGGCTCAGCTGGAGATGTCTGGGCTCTGAATAGTTCACACAAGAAAGTCCAGAAGTAGACCTAGTCTGAACCCTCAGTTTGACGATGGCTGGAGTCAGGGCAAATAAAGACCCAGACAGTGACCTAACGAGTGTGTATAGGCTTAAGTATGTTTCCTTGGTCGAAATGCTAGTTCTCACTGGCGACTTCTGCCTTATGGAGAGAGATGGGGAAAGAGGGAATTTCCTCCCCTAACATTCCTTTGTTGTCTTGCCATTTTCCTGCTGAGCCTGGAAAGTGCGGGGAAGGAAAGAAAGCAGTATGCGGCAGTGGTTAAGAGCTCACACTGTGAGTCTGGCAAGACAAGCACTGACACTCCAGGTCCACCACAGCTTAATGAGCCTTTGTGGTTATGGGTAATGAACAGCCTAGCTCTCCTTGACTAGAGCTTAGATCCAACTTGAATGAGAGCGCTTAATTGTTTTTCTCACTAAAGTAACAGAACCTCGGCTTTTTCAGGTGGCAGCCTAAGTGAGTGAGCTGAGGGGTCTGGGAAGGTGACAAAGCAAAACAGAGAAAGAAGTTTCTTGGAGGAAAAGGGCTTTAGGACAAGCTAAAACATGGCATGGTTCACAGGGAAGCCCTTGTGTGACTCTTTTCTCCATCTTGAATTTTTCTGCTTTATAATTCTCTTTGTTACCCCCTGACCCTCTACAACTTTAGTATGTGTCTGCTTTTCATAATACTTTATTTAATGTTTAGTGGGGTCTTGTCAGGGAGGAAGGAAGAGGAGTGTCCACAGTTGGCAAAAGTGGTACCAAATTGAGGCAGCAGCTGCAGGAACTGAAAATGGTGCCTGAGATCCGGGAGACAGCAGAGAACCAGGTCATGGTGTGAACCATCTTGGGGCTAAGCAGGACACCAATCCCCTTCTGTTAATAGAAAGAATACTGGCACAAAGAAGGAAGGGGCTGTGGGGTAGTCTGGGCTGCCGTAGTATGTTAGACGGGGAAAGATAAAGCCATTTTATTTGAACATTAAGGGTGTGACCTCAGAAGACAAAAAGACTTGGAAGTTATCCAGAAGGGAGACATCAGGCATAGAACCTGGGAGATTAGGTATCCTTAGAGCTTTTTCACTCAGATGTTGGGCAAAGGGTTATGAAACTTTCTTGAATCTCCTTAGTGCCTGTTTGGGTAAAGACAAGGGTCTCTGAGATACAGGTAGCCTTGAAAGGTTCTCCAGGACAGTCACACTGTCAGAAGTCCTTTGTCAGCTGGCTCTGGTCATCCTCTCTTCAGCCACCTCCAACTACTCAACCACCATCATCTCTTTCTCAAGTCACTGTGGTCAAACATGGTTCCAGAACATGACTGTGGAACCAACCCTGATTCCCTGTCAGCAGCACATGGCACATCCCAGAGAGCCACTGTTCCCATATCCAGCTTCATCTCCCAAGGGTGTCCCATGACATTTTGAAGCTCCGTCATTTCCCAATCCATGTCTGCACTTCCTAAGACAAAGCACAAAATGGATCAGGGGAAAGGGGCTTGTGGCCAAAATACTAAGCTCTCTTGGGGACAGCCTCTGCAACCTTACCTTTGTTTTTCTGTTCACTTGGGGAGGCAGCAAAGTCCAGCCCCTGGGACCTCTGGAACCTGTTTCTCAGGTTCTATTCACAGTCATCTTTGGAAGGTATGGACAGTGAGAAACTGCAGGGCAAGGGACCTTCTCATCCCTGATCCTCAGCAGCAGGGGTCAGCTGGAGTGAGGGAAGGCTCGGTGGTTGCCAGGCACTTCTTTCTTCTCTCTATATTCCTGGTGTCTAGATCTGCACTAAAAACATGTGGTAACCACCTAGAGGAGAAGGGTGTGGAGGGGTGTATGCAGTCACCCACCGGGAAAATCAAGGCCACCTAGAACAACTGTTTGCTCTGAATAATGATGATACAGTCCCCACCTTTAAGGAGCTCAAGGTTTCTTGAGTTAAAATGAACAAGCCTCAAAGCTGCAGACTCACTTAAGGCATAGACAAGCACTGGCAAAGGTCTTCACCTCTTCTTCCTTCTGCTCCTTTTTGCACATCAAAAAATAGTGCTATTTTCTAGAGAAACAAAAGCAGCTTCTCTGTAATGCTTAGCTTGCCTGATTGACACTCAAACTGGCAATTTTGCAAATTTCTTTGAAAATTTACTTTTCCTTCCCTGACTTTTCTATAGGAACAGTGTTACAACAGGGCCATTCAAGGCAGAGTCACTCCTTTAAAATGGCTCCAGGAAAGAGCCACCCATTTTTATTTTTAATAATTACTTGATGGAAACTTGAAAGGGACATGTCTCCTAGGAAAGTTCTAGAACAACCTGATGAGAGAGCCTTGTTACGTCATGCTCTGGGATTCATTCATCCTATTAGTGTATTGAAATATGTTTGCACAAAATATGACACAAAAAGAGTCTTCAGCTGGAGGGTGCATATCTTTTTGTCATAGACAATATATTTTTTTCCAAGTTTATAACCAAAGTTCCCCCCAAAATGTGAAATTATCTTAACTTTTCTCACATTCAATCTCTCATCCATCAGCAACTATGTAGTCCTTGTGTTCAAAACAGCCCAGTTTCTGTCATTGTTAGGGGGACTTTGCAGAAGCCTTTCTGCCTCCACCCTGGCTGCCCTCAGTCAAGTCTCCAACAAGGAGCTAGAATAAACTTTGAAAATATGTCAAGCCATTTCACTCTTCCGTTCAACAATCTAATAGCTTCCCATCTCACTCAGAATGAAATCCAAAGTCTTTATCAGGGCCCACACAGCCCAGCTAACTCTCAGAGCTTACCTCCCACTACCCTCTCATCTTGCACTCTGTTCTTACCTCAATGGCTTCCTTGCTAGTCTTTGAACAAAAACAAGCCTGGACCCCAGGGTCTTTGCACTTGCCATGCTCTCTAGGGAGAACACTGAATCTTCTCTCACAGTGTGCTCCCTTCTTTCCTCATAGTCTCATGATGCAATGCCATCTTGTCACTGAGGCCTTTCACACCCCAATCGCTGTCTGTCCTGCCCTGCTTTAGTTGTTATATTATTGATCACTACCTGACATGCATCCAGTTGAAATTTGTTCATTTGATTGTTGTCAGCATTTTTATTATGTGAGCAGGGATTTTATTTTCTTCTTCTTTTTTTTTTTTTTTTGAGACAGGTCTCACTGTGTACCCCAGGCTGGAGTGCTGTGGTGTAACCATAGCTCACTGCAGGCTTGAACTCTTTGCTTCAGCCTCCTGAGTCATTGGGACTACAGGTGGATGCCACCATGCCTGCATAATTCTTAAACTTTTTGTAGAGATGTGGGTCTCACTGTGTGGCCCAGGCTGGTCTTGAACTCCTGGCCTCAAGCCATCCTCCTGCCTTGGCCTCCCAAAGTACTGTGATTACAAGTGTGAGCCACTGCACCTGGCCTATGAACAGGGACTTTTGTTCACTACAGTATCCCCAGTGCCTAAGACAACTCTGAGCATATAGCTGGAGCTCACTAAATATTGAATGGATGAATGAATTCCTGGTTCTAATGCCCTGTATCCTCAGCTGGAACTTGCCCCATAAGGCTTTAGGTGGTGATGGGGATGCCAATAAAAAGAAACTATTGAGATGGTCAAGGCTTTTTAGAGAAGAAGTGAACGTAGGAGAAGTATTATTTAAAAACTAAAGGAAAAGAAAATAAGCAGAAAGTGATCCTGGATAGCACTCACCCATTCATTCACTGAACCGAAGCCAGGCCAGATCTGTTCTCTGCAGTTGCTGAAATCTGGTTCTTGTCACAAACTGACCTAGACATCTATTTTGATACACATATTATATGTCTCTTGGCATGCAGAGTACTCATATCATTTACTAGATTTATTGAAATGATGGAAAGTGGTGTGAAATGCCTCCTGCCATATGGGAAAAGAGGTGAAAATGCTGACATTTGGCTTTTAGCCAATTTCACAAAAGTTTAGAGTTTCAGACTTTTTTTCTCCTCCTGGGTGTGGTGACTCTGTCTTATCAAACTTCTATTCTCTGAGTAGCCATAAAGACACGTCTGTGCATCTGGTGGTATTTTAATATTCAAAGAACCATATTCTTATGAGCATAGAAACTGACATTTTGGCCCAGCTGTTACAAGAAGAATTGAAAAGACTTTTTAAAATTTTTTTAAATTTTTTAATTTTTAATTTTTTATTTTTTTTTGAGACGGAGTCTCGAAAGACTTTCTTTGCCCTGCTAAGTGCCTGCATTCCCATATTTCACTTTAATTAGCTTTGGTGAGTAGGAATATGCTTGGAGAAAATGGACCCATTTGATATACTAACCATTGAGCCCCACCATGTGCCCAGCCTGGGCCCGGCATGGGGAGTATGGTCAGAGCAGTCTCTGCCTCCACCACTCACCTGTCCTTTAACTTTAGACAAGTCACTGACCTCTCTAAGCCTCACCGCCCTATCTGCTAGCCCCTCTTCCAGCCACCATCATCTGTCACCTCCCTTGTAGGAGCCTCCTAGCTAATCTCCTGGTCTTCCAGTTTCCTCAACTGTAAGTCAAGACTGAATAGGACCTTCCACATGGGGTTGTAAAGGTTAGATGAGCTGCTCCATGAATGTGCTTTAGTGTGGTGATAGCACAGAAATCCTCTGTAAAATTTTACTGGAGATTATCATTACCTTTCATTATGATTATAGCTCATGGTTCAGTGGGCCTCTTTTATTGGGAGTTGAAAGATCTTTTCCCCTTAATTGTACTTCTTTTCTAGATTCTATTTTTGATTTAAGTGAGTCTTTTTGGCTAGAGAACTAGTCATTCTAAACTGCACATTATGCATGTTTTTAGATGGTGCTTGCACCTAAAAGCCAGCCTGGCAGGGATGTGGTCAAAATACATCCCAATGTCGTGTAATTGCCCTGTAATATACAAACATGGCTTTTGCTGTTACTGAATCAAAAACATACAAATTATCTTACAAATACTGTCATGAGGTCAGATCAACAGAAATAAACAACTCCTCCTCAAACCCATACATATCTCACCTCACAGCGCCTGTATACAGCTCCCATATTCATGGAGAAGACATGGTCCCAGCCCCCAGGGAATTTAGGTTCAAATAGAGATGACAGCCAATAAACAAGGAAGTGTGCGTTGTATGTGCATGTGTGTGATTAATGCAATGAAGGAAAAGAACATAGTGAACAAATGCTATCTTTCAAGAAGACTCAACATATTTCAGTTGTGTGCTACCCTGGGAGTTTAGACAATCTTCCAAAACTCATCACACACCTTTCCATAATGTCCGGTAAAGTTTTAAGTAGTTTCTTCAGAGATAACCTCCTTTAAATACCCACTCTGATCCCTTAAATACAATAAGGCTCACAAGACTGGAGCTGTCTGAGACTCCAACTATAATCTTCACCCTTCCAAGGGAAATGGGAAAGAAATATATATGCTCTTTTCTCAAAAACATGCTTATTGAACACCTATGATAGGTACAGCATACATGGTATTGCTCCCATGCTGGGAGCATCTACGTGAACACAGCCTCTGCTCCAGAGGGTTCTGAGAATCAGTCCACTGCCAACAGGCTTTCCAGAAGATAATCACACACGTGGCTTTCATTCCTTTGCTTACCTGTCCTCATGTGGTGTTTCACGTTTGTTTACTATCTGGCAGATACTTTCAGCATTCTGTTTGCAGAGGTAACTCTGTACGGCAGGAAAATGTCCTAGTTAGCATGTAACAAGAGTCTGTAATTCTTCCAGAAAAAAATTCTGGTAATGTTCAGATGAATATTATAGGTAATTAGAAGCATATACTCATCACAAAATGAAACTGACTGTAGATTGCAGACAGTAATCATTTGTGAAGAATAATGCAGTTTTGCCTCATTTGTGCAGATAGCATCGATGGGTGATGAGATTTTCCATGTATGTGTTCTAGGATTATCCTAAGACTTCAGGTCCAAAATATTCATCTTGACCACTTTAGATGAAATGATTTTAAAGATGTGATTTTGTATTTCTTGCCATTTTTACATCTAGTGACTAAACATATTTTATCTTCTTTTTGGTGACTCAGAGTCCTCACCGTGAGCATGAATAATTTTATTGTGCTACAGATAAACAATGACATCAGGGCCTGTTGAGTTATGAGCTGCACTGGGAAAATTCCTAAGTAAATGGTCTCAGGGCCTTAGATTTATTGAGCCTTTACAACTTTTCTAATTCTTCCCTAAATGTCAGGTTTTTACTTGTGACTATCTTGTGTTTGTCTCTAGGAACCATTTCCCACCCTCAGCCTTTTATTCAGGGAGTACGTTGTGAGCATTCACTGTGTGGCAGGGCTTGCTTCTATATACAGAAAAGACAATTAGATGGAGACCACAGTACAGAGGGCCTACTCGCATGGAGCATACCTGCTGGCGGGAGAGTCAAACAGCAAACAAGCCACAGTTAAGCAAAATAATTCTCCTTTGCTTTGGTCTGGGGCAGTGAATAATCACACTTACGAGGGCTAAACCTAAATTAAGAATAAATAGGATCTAGGCCAGGTGTGGTGGCTCATGCCTGTAATCCCAGCACTTTGGGAGGCTGAGGCGGGCGTATCAGTTGAGGCCAGGAGTTCGAGAGCAACCTGGTCAAGGTGGTGAAACCCCGTCTCTACTAAAAACACAAAAATTAGCGGGGCGTGGTGGCATGTACCTGTAGTCCCAGCTACTTGGGAGGCTGAGGCAAGAAGATCACTTGAACCTGGGAGACAGAGGTTGCAGTGAGCCGAGATGGTGCCACCGCACTCCAGCCTGGGTGATGGAGCAAGACTCTATCTCAATTTTTAAAAATAAATAAATAAGAATAGCTAGGATCCAAGAACCTTGTATGCTCAGAGTCCATTTCTGTTCACTTCTTAGCAACTCCCAAGCAATGGGACTATCAACTTCATGGCTCTTCAGAAATGCAGAGCTTTGGTATTTCCACAGAATACTGAACATAATATTGAAAATGGCTCAATGTCACTAGAAACAAATGGCCCTTTGCCTGCAACTTAAAGTTGAGGACAACATGGCATCTGAGAGGCTACAGAATTCAAATTCTAGCCATGATTTTCCTTCATCTCCAGATTTTGGTATCTAACTGCCAAGCCCACCTCTTTATGTACATGTCTCATGGCATCTGACACATAACATTTGATTCCACCCCCAATATTGCTTTTACCTTCCCAACCTTGGCAATAGCACTATAATCTTCCAAAAATCAAGAAATTATTCTCAAGTTCTATTTCTCAGCCCCTGCTCACCCAGCCCTATCCTACATCCAGTTAATGAGTGAAGCCTATGGATTAAAACAACAACAACAACAACAACAACATATATCCTGAGTCTGAATCAGATAATGACTCCCCCTGCTTGAGATCTATCAGGGCCTTGTTGTGCTCTTAGAGAAGAATACCAGCTTCCCACAGTGGTTTCAAGGCCTGATATGATCCATTTCCTGTTGAAGGTTTTATTCCCCTCTCCCCATGATTACTTTCATCATTCCTTAAAGCAAAACTTTCCAAATACAGCACTGAACGAGATGGAAAGGAACAATAGCTTCCCAGCCTAGTATAGTCCTTATTTACCGTTGATAACTTCCTTATAAAACAATGAGGAACAAACTCTCAGAACAGGGGGACTATGCCAATGAGAGTTCAGATGCTGCAATTTTAGATTATTCCCCAGCTTTCTGCTTTGTAAATTTGTAAATTTAAAACAGTGTTTTGTAAATTTGTAAATTTAAAACAGTGTTTTGTAAATTTAAAAATAAGCACAGACCACAACTGGTGATACACCTTTCTTTATGAATGAAACAGGGACCATCCCTTCATTTTATGAGATATTTTTGGAATATTTTCACAACCAACCAATCAACCAATGAATATTTGATATGTGCCTACTATATGCAGGATATTTTGTGCAAGAATTTTAAGACGTGGCCACTGCCTTTTGAGGTTATTACAATTTAGGTGAAAGACACAGATATCCATAGAAAGTTAATAAAAAGCAATATAGAATTAATAACGTATCATTTTGTAGGCAATGACCTAAAGCACTTGAACTCCTAAGGGTCCCTCCAAGTCCATGATTTGCTGCTCTGTTTTAGACAGTGAATGAGTGATATAGATTTGTGTGCCTCAATCTTTAAAGTGCAAAGAATGCCTGTTAAGATATAGATTCAGATTTAATGGGTCTAAGTGGGGTCCTAGTACTTATAGTTCCAAGAGATTCCCAGGTGATGGCAATGCTGTTGGGATGAGGACCACACTTTGCATTGCAACAGGATAGAAAAATGCTACTTAAAGTACGGTCACCAAATTCCCAGGCCCCTCTCCAGACCCCACTGAATCTGAATCCATGGGCTTGGGCTCATGAATGGTGTTTTAACAAATTCTCCAGGTAATTTTTACACATTCTAAAGACTGAGAAGCACTAATACAGAGATTAAGTGCTGTGAGGGCCAGATGCATTGAGTTC
This sequence comes from Homo sapiens, assembly GCF_000001405.40. Taxonomy (NCBI): domain Eukaryota; kingdom Metazoa; phylum Chordata; class Mammalia; order Primates; family Hominidae; genus Homo; species Homo sapiens. Next base: position 74,165,238 of record NC_000005.10, on the reverse strand, counting down.
TGGATACATGTACTTTTCCCCAGCAAATAGTCCCCAGGGTGACATCAGGTCTTGGCCTTTTTCAGGGACTGTCAATTCAGTACCAAGTGGCCTGGCTCGACTCTTCCAGCATAAGCAGCCAGAAGACTGGCCAGGAGCTGTAACTAGAGACTAACACACCCCAACATGTTTTTAGGAACAGATTGGATCATGCCAGAAAGGAACCGTGATTTAGCCAGATTAATGGCTATTCTTATTGTAATACTCATGAAGAACAGAGACTTTGTAATGGGTTTAGCAGATGTGGACATCTTAATGCCAGAGAGTCTCCCGGCCTAAAAGGGAATTGCAATCATCCAATATGTTTTCCCATCCTCTGGCCTGAGATTGAGTTGTCACAGGCTCCCAGACACTGCTCCAGGCACCCCAGATGGTACTGGCTGACACACTCAGAGCATGTCATTATGAATACATGCAAACCACATGAGGGTCACTAGCTTCTGGATTAAATGCATGGTACTAGCTCTACTCTCAAGGTCCCTAGGACACTGCTGGGAAAAGGAGGGGTAAGTGGGACCCCAGGTGCTGGGAGGTGTTGGGAAATTGAGGACCCGTGGGAAACCCTTAGGGAGAGGAAGCCAAGCAGACATTGGAGGATTCCTCTAATAATGAGTTAAATGTGACAGAAAATATATTCAAGTTCTGGCACTTTCTTCCTCTTTCTCTTTTAATTTCAATACTGTTTGACTATTTGGCTTAGGAAGCATATTTTTGGGATCAGGGTAGTACCACTAACTTTTCATTCTATCAGATAATTTAAAAATGATTTTATTTAGTTATTTTGCCAGTAGCATAATGACTTTGTCCAGCTAGCAATAAAACAAAGGCAAATGCTAACTTGGAATTGACAAATTCCTTGGATAATCAGTTTTCTTTATTTCACAAATCTAAGAACTTTATTAATCAAGACTTGTCACTGACTCTGGTTTTAGAAGTTGAGCCCACCGGAATCCAGTTCTAAAAGATAGAAAATCAGTATGTCTGCCCCAGGCCAGCATTATCCTGATGCCTTGCATTGAAGAGAAGCCCTTTCTGTTGTTCCCAAACTCAAAACACAATCAAAAACAACAAACAAAAAGAAAAAGAAACCAAAAGCCCCCACCAACGTGATTTCAGTGGAGTCAGAAGACTTTGTTCTCACCATTTCCTCTTCTACTTACTGGCTGGCTGTGAATCCTACAGTGGGAGCTTCATTCTGAAGCTCTGAATTCCAGCAAGACACAAATGGCAGTTAAGATGGGCAACACTTTTAAATGTGCCCATTTAAATGTCCCAAAAAGTGAAGCATTTTGCCAGGAAAAGGGAGAACTCACAAAGGCCCTGGGAGCCCACAGTGGGTGCACCATTAGAGAAAATAGGGCACAGAAGTCTTGAGACAGTTTTTCTATTTCCAGCCTGTTGCTGGGAAGATGTATTAGGAAAGTTGATGTCTCATAAGAGTGAAGTTTCTCCATCTGACAGATCATGATCATTCTTACCCTACATCTTATCATTTCCTCCAAGGCTACTGAGAGAATAGAATGAAATGATAGTTTGAAATGATTTTGAAAATCTGAGAGTCTTCTACAAATATGAACTATTGCTTTCTAAGGCAATTTCCTGGTCTTGTATAAAGTAGAGCTGACCTTCCAGGGATACCGGGTACCAACAAATACACTGGAAGTGAGCTGAAATTCTTTTAAAAAGAAGAGTGATTTTTAGCAAGGCATGGTGGTGTGCCCCTGTAGTCCCAGCTACTCCAGAGGCTAAAGAGGGAGAATTACTTAAACCCAGGAGTTTGAGGCTGCAGTGAGCTATGATTTCACCACTGCACTCTAGCCTGGGCATCAGAGCAAGAACCCATCTCTAATAAAAATAAATAAATAAATAAATAGAAGAGTTGTCTATAAACAGTGCATGCATTTTTAGGAAGTCTCATCTTTTTTATGATACAAGAAAACAGTGATGAAACTGCTAGACAGTGATCCAGGAAGTTTAGTGACTGTGTATGTTTGCAGTATCAGATGCTTAAGATAGGAGACACTTTATGGCTCAACCATAGAAACCCAACCTCTTGAGTTATTTTGATTTATTTGAACCTTCACTTTTATGCTCTCTGAACTAGCTAACCTTTCCAGAACTTCACTACATGCAAAAAGATTCTGTTTTAAATTGTTCATTAAATTATTTCAGGTGTTAGAGTCAGAGGGCGACAGCCTTGGAAATAATAAAGATTAGAAAGAAAAGTCTTTGAATATGTCAGTCATTGATCCCCAGAGTTTGTGAAGATGAATTTATTAGACTCCAAATCCCCCCAATCAGGCCGTGGATTATCTGGACAATCAGAGGACCGGGGATGAATAGTACAAGAAGCATGTCTAACAGAAAGATGTTTCCACCTGGAAAAATGGCTCAGTTCCAACCCTATTCCTTGTGGACTTATTAATTGGATTTGTTCTTGCAGTTAAGGCAAATCAGCATATATTCTAGTTAGTGGTTCCAGGCACTGCAAAATTGGAATTCTGCTCAAGGAAAGGTGGCCAAGAAATAAAGGCACTTTCTCAAGAGGTTTAGTCCTAATGGACTGAAAGAATATTTACATGTTAAACAGAGCCAGAAAGGAAAGTGAAAGTTCTATATGTCTAAATTTCACTTCTTGGGATGGGAGATTTAGATGCAATGTATTTAAGCATTTCATGTACCAAAAAGCCATTGGGTTAGGTAGTCCTTTGGAGAAAGCGCATGCATACAAAGTTGTGTGGCCGCAAATCCAGCAGCTCATGTCCCATCTGAACACTATAGTAATATAATAGTCTTCATAGATAAATCATAATGCTGTCTGACTTATTAGAAGATGGTGCTACTGGCATTGCCATTAGTGAGTGCAGGTGTGCTAAAAGATCCCTGTAATGAAGAGTTCTGTCCACACTGGATGTGTGAAGACTGTTCTTCAATTTGCAGCTGCAGCTATTATTGCACAGCCAGTGCAGCTGTTGAATTAAAGTGTGTCTGGGGTTGCATACTGCTTGAGAGGAATCACCTCCTCCTGATGAGCCTGACAGGACCTGGGGAAGGTTAAAAAAAAAAAAAGGCAGGGACATGAAGTAGCCAGCTTAGGTCTGCTGCTCTTCACCAGCAATCAAACTCAAAAGGCTACGGAGCTAAATGCAACATGGAATCTTAGATTGGATGCTAGAATAGAAAAGGTGCTTTTAAGGTAGAAATGGTAAAATCAGAATAAAGTCTGTAGTTTAGTTAATAGTATTATACTGGTGTTAATTGCTTAGTTTTGGCAAATACACTATGGCTATGTAAGATGTTAACATTAGGGGAGCTGAGTAAAGAGTATATGGGAAATATCTGAATTATCTTTGCAATTTTTCTGTAAATCTAAAATTCCTGTAAAAATGTTTAAAATATTTGGAACAGTCTATGGCAGCTAGCCTGCAATATGGAGGAGTGAAGTGGGCCAGGTTGGGCCCATCACAAACTGGTCAGCTCTTGTTCTATCTAGAGAATGCCCAACTGCTCACCTCTAGCCCATTGTTGCCATGTGGGAAATGCAGGCACTAGCTTTATAGATTTTCTGACTTTTTTGAGCTGATTTAAAAGTGTGTGTGTATGATCCTGATTTTAAAACAGCAACTCAAACATTTAAAAACCCCATTAAGGATGAAGAAAATACAGCTACTCTGTGAATAGCAAATGGCCCATGTTCATGATTTCTCTTCTAGACATTAGAGTGGTGAGTGTGCAAGAGAATTATCCTAGAAAACTCAGATTCCTAAGTCCCAACCTCAGAGGTTATAATTAGGTAGAGGTAGGGTCAAACACAGAATTATGCATTTTTAACATACCTCTCGGGTGATTTTGACACATGAGGTTCATAGATTTCACTCTGAGTAACACTCCTTTTAAAGAGATGGATTCCTCTTTCCCCAGCTTCATCATTCTCTTTAATTCAACATCTTATTCTTTCTCTCATCATCAGTGATGCAACCTCAAGGCCAGTGTTAAAATCTAGGTCCAGGGCTAGGCTGTTCAATATATGGATAATGGGAAGTCGAAATGTGGGGCTCTAACTGTAAAATATACACAGGATTTCAAAGACTTAGTACCAACTTAAAAATGTAAAATCTCAGGATAAATGTTTACTATCACTTAAATGTTGAAATGGTAATATTTGACATATTATGTTAAACAAAATATACTACTAAAATTCATTTCACTTGCTACTAGAAAATATAGCTCACATTTGTGACTCATATTTCTATTGGATGGCACTTGTCTAAGAACTTTTGGTGAAGTGTTGTTTTCCCCTCAGGACTCAGTGTACAGTAGCAAAAGGGGTGCTTGATATTTAAAGTCCCTAGTTCTGCCCAGATCACCAGGACCAGAAATTTCACATGGCATTTGGGGAAAATGAACACTAAGTCTCGGCACCCCCTTCTCAGCAGCAGGCTGAGATGTGCAGCTCTCAGGTTCTTGGGCATCTCTGTCTCTGCCATCAGAAGCATGACTCAAAGACATTCACGTAATTAATATGTCACAGAAGGATTGGACAAGAGCAGTTTATCAAAGGTGCTGTTTCCAAGAGATACAAGGAAAGCTACAAATTTTTAGATATTAAATGGGCACCGATTAAGGCAATGCACTTGTTCTAATCTCAGATTAAGAAATAGTATTTTTAGTAGACACCTATAATGAAAGGTTTTGGGGAACTTTTCAGACTGACGTTGGAGTCATTTAGTTAAGAGGAGACACCAAAACTGGACACAGAGACAGGATAGAAATCCTACCATGAAAATAACAAGGGAGGACTGTGAGATCCCAACTAGTCATTTGGGTTGAGCAGAACATCTCAAACTCCGTTTTCCACCTCATCCATTTATCAGATTTCCAAATGTATTATATGAGCACTTTCACTTATTTCTTTTTCATTTGTAAAAGTATTTGTTATATATATTTAAGGTGTACAATGTGCTTTGATATAAGTATACTTATAAGACTGTAGCGATTACTACAGTCAAGCAAATCAACACACCTATCATCTCATATAGTTATCTTTCTTTTTTCTGTTGTTATTTGTGGTAAGTACCTAAAATCTACTCTCTTGGCAAATTCCAAGACTACAATACAATATTATTAACTGTAACCTTCATGCTGTACATTAAATCTCTAGATTCATTTACCTTTCATAACTGCCACTTTGCACATTTTGATCTACATGTTCCCATTTCCCTTCAACTCTGGTAACTCCTGTTTCACTCCTTGTTTCTATGCCTTTAGTGGCTTAAGATTCCATATATGAGTGACATCATACAGTATTTTTTTTGTTTTGGGTCTAGCTTACTTCACTTGGCATAATGTCCTGTAGTTTCATCCATGTTATTGCAAATGGCAAGATCTCCTTTTTAAAGGCTGAAAAATATTCTCTCTCTGTCTCTCTCTCTCTCTCTCTCTCTCTCTCTCTCTCTCACACACACACACACACACACACACACACACACACACACCAGAATTTTTTTTATCCATTCATCCATCGATGGACACTTAGGTTGCTTCCATTTCTTGGCTATTGTGAATAGTGCTGCAGTGAACATGGGAGTGCAGGTATCTTTATTTGGTGGTGATTTCATTTCCTTTGGGTATGTACCCAGAAGAATTGCTGGGTCATATGGTAGTTCTATTAATTTTTTTAGGAACCTGCATACTATTTGCCACAACAGCTACACCAACCTACATCTCCACCAACAGTGTACTAGGGTTTCCCTTCTCTCCACATCCTCATCAACACTTGCTATTTCTTGTGTTTTTGATAAAGCCATCCTTACAGATATGAGATGATATCTCACTGCAGTTTTGATTTGTATTTCTCTGATAATTAGTGATGCTGAGCACCTTTCCACATACCTTTTGGCCATTTTTATGCCTTCTTTGGAGAAATACCTATTCAGGTCCTTTGCTCATGTTTAAAAATAGGGTTATTCGGGGGTTTTTCTTGCTGTTGAGCTGTGTAAGTTTCTTACATATTTTGGATATTAACCTCTTACAAGCTATATGCTTCACAAATATTTTCTCCCAATTCACAGGCTGCCTTTTTATTTTGTTGATAGTTTCCTTTGTTGTACAGAAACTTTTTACACAACAGCTTTACAGAAGTTCTTTAAAAATGTGTACATGTTTCAAGAGAAATTTTGTTCATGTGTTTGATTCATTTATACTTAACTAATCAAAATGCCATTTTGTAAGAACCATTTGATGTCCAAAAATATGCCTGATCTCCATTTATAATTTCATTTTCTTTCAACCTGAAGGTCCTCTTGTGTCTGTACAGAAACCTTGTATTCAGGCCAGAACCCACACAGTTCAAGTAGTTTTACAGCTTGGCAAGATGAACTTTACTGATTCCGTTTTAACAGCTGCCCCAGAATCTACATCTACCTGCTCATTCTTTTGGAGATCCTTCTTTTGGTTTCACCTGCCTGAGTCATGTGTATTGATCTTTGTTGATTTTTTTAAAGAAATGTCTGCATTCAGCATCTCCTTTCCTTTGGCAATTATTTATCTCTTCTCTGTTTCAACCCTTTGTCTGCAGGTCCCCAATCCCCAACCTCTGCTTTGGGTTTCCAAAGATGTTGCCATTCTCTGCTCCCATACACTATCCACCTGTCATCAAGTTCAGCCTTCCTTTCAAGTAAAACCCCCCACTTGCAAATGTCTGCCGTTAGTCCAGGGTAAAGGCTTTCCTACCGCCTTGCTTTGATTCCCAAGGTTTTGCAAGTGCCTTTCAGATTGTTCTTCCTTCTTTCCCCTCCATTCTATCTGTGAGTAGTTCAGGTATGGAAAATCTACAGAGGCATCATCTTTCCGATCAGTAATATCACACTCCTGTAGCCATTAACACCCCTGTAGAAAGGGTTGCATGTTATTAAAACAGAGATGGGCTAGGACATTCACCCACTTGGCCCCAATTCAGAAGATTATTTAGGGCTATTCAAAACCAATGGACCTGGCAGCACATTCTAGTAGAACTATCCACTGCTCTACCTCTTACTTTTGATTTGTTAATGAGCAGGAAATAAACAATATGCCAATAAGTAAGGCTTTAATGACTTTGCAACATATGAACTTTTCAGCAAATGTCATTTTTATAAGATAGAATTATGTGCAGTTTATTTGGAAAGTAGGACTACCCTACCTTTCCCAGGTTCTAGGCTAAAAATCTCATATACTTATATACTTAGGGCCAGAATTTACTGTGAGTAAATAATTACCTGAATGGTTATTAAAGTTTGAAATTTCCCACAAAGTTGAGGCAACTTTGGTCCAGAAACTTTTAAAGGTAAGTATTATCTGTGGGCATAAAATAATCTACCTATGGCACACTCTAAGGTAGTATTTTGAATTGCTCTTCTTCTGAGAGGCTACAAAATGTAGCCTCATTTATTTTTTGTGTCTGTCAGATGGAGACCTCTTTAGCAACAGAAATGGTTAATAGTTGCCTGAAGAAAGCTATTCTGCATGGTCCAACAGAGACTCAATGACAAAACATTATGCCAAATCATGTCTTTCCTTTGAAATCATGGCCCAGAAAAAGGGGTTAGCATCAAAGAGGAGCTTTCTAGCTGTTACTTTAACTTGTAAAGATTCTAATCCCTAGGTGGCACTGGTTGGTATTAACCTGATACAGGGTGTTGGTCACTAGCAACCTCCACTGCTTGAGCATGGATGTGTTGGGGAGCTTGTCACTACCCATCAGCAAGCAGGCTGCACCCCAGGAGCCAGCCTCTGACAATGGCAACAATCACCAAGGCTCAGGAGTGAGGTGGCCTCATAACCACAGGGTTCCAGTGTGAGGCCTTGAATCTGGTTACTTCACTACACAGGTTAAGCCAGGTGCCAAATAAGTTGCCTATACCTAGAATAGGCAAGTGAATATATTTATAGAGTAAATAAATGGATGAATGCCACTGAGTATAAGGTCAGCAAAAAACTCTGGGTCTGGAGCCAGCCATCTCAGCTTGATAAACATGCCGAGAGGAAACAGGGCATGTCCCATGACTACAGCAGGCTTGGATGCACATAATACAATTGGACTCTTGATTCTTGGCATCTGAGAACCTTGAGATCCTCATGACAAAATAAGAGATAATGGGAGGCCCAAACCAGTTGGTAGGACTGTGTACGGGTCAGATTAGGTCGAGGCCCTTCTGTTTGTAGGACTAGAAAAAGGCAATAGCACTTTCCCACCCACTTTCTTTTCCCAGAGTGCTCTCCTTGCCCTATTTTGGGCATTTCCCCACCTACACTTTCAGTCATAGGTCACATAAACAAAGGGAGGTGAGTGAGAATCTTCCAGGCCAGTGGTTCTCTGAGCTTTAAAAATATACCAATGCTGAGCCCACCCCAGAGATTCAGATGTAATTGGGTGGAGGAACCCCAGGGAGTGGTATTTTTCACAGCTTCCCTAGATGATTTTCAAGTGCAGCTGGGGTCGATAGCACCATCCTGGCCAGATATTAATCCCTCTCCCCTCCAGCACATACTTACTTCTTAATGTGAATAGTTAAGATGTATAAGAGCCATCTCCTTTCCTTCCTTTAAAGAATCGGAAGGGTTATTTTCTCACATATTCACTTTTAAGTACAGTCGTCCCTCGATATCTTCAGAGGATTGGTTCCACGATGCCCATGCAGATACCAAAATCTGAGGATGCTCAAGTCCCTTATATAAAATGGTATATGATGGGCATATCACCTATGCACCTTTTCCCATATGCTTTAAGTCATCTCTAGATTACATATAATACCTAATACAATGTAAAAGCTACACAAATAGCTGCCTTTACTTGTATTTTTTTATTTTTATTTATTTAAGATGGAGTCTTGCTCTGTTACCCAGGCTGGAGTGCAGTGGCGTGATCTCGGCTCACTCCAACCTCCACCCCCTGGGTTCGAGTGATTCTCCTGTCCCAGCCTCCTAAGTAGCTGGGATTACAGGCATGCGCCACCATGCCCAGTTAATTTTTGTATTATTAGTAGAGACAGGGTTTTGCCATGTTGACCAGGCTGGTCTTGAACTCCCGACCTAAGGTGATCCACCTGCCTCGGCCTCCCAAAGTGCTGGGATTACAGGCATGAGCCATTGCACCTGGCCTATTTTTAAAAAATATTTTTGATCTGTGGTTGAACCTGTGGATGCAGAACCTACGGATATGGCTGGCAGACTGTGTTGCAGAAGACTGCTTATTCAAAATGATGAGGTCTGAATTAATTGTTATTAAGGATATTCCTTGTGTTTAGGGAGCATAAGATCAAAAACACACTATGATTTTATAAAGATGTTTTTATGTAAGATTTTTGCACAATGATATAAATTAGTACTTTAAACCAATTATTACTCCATCCCCAAGCAAAAACAGCTGCAACTAATAAGCAACCAATGACTAAAAAATTAAAAAGAAAAGCAACGAAAGTTCATGAGCAATCAGTAAGATTGCTATGACATCACCATGGATTCAACCATGACCCTGCTAACCCCACTGACTTGGCCTGTGGATCACACTATCACCCCATAGCAGGCATGGCATGGAATCATCCCTAATTATTTCAAAATGGCAAGATTACTTTTTTAAAAGGATTGAGCCTTTTAAAACTTTTTAGAACCTTTCTGTGATTTGCATGCTTTTTGAGATCAGACTCCCAGATTTTATATTGTTTTTCAAGGCAAATTGAAGTGGGGAGTGGGCTACTTCTCCTGAGCAGTGGTGAAAAGGGGAATTGGGACACTAATTAAGATATTTCCCTATTTTTTATGTGATTATATTCCCACTCTGTCTTCATTTTCCCCAAAGTGAATAGTCTTCAGTCTTTTCATTTGTTGAAAACCTTTCATGTGCAATTGTGTTATCATTGAAGATCTTCTCTAAATGTGTTAAAGAGAGGAAAATTGGCAGTAATGTTTCTCAATTGATATTTCCAAACAATACAATTTTAAAAATACATTCAAAGCAAGAAATGTGTACCTGCACTAGTAACATGAACTCTATTCCATGATATTTTGGATGGATTCATTCAAAAGATGTAAGATGGAAAAAACACACATCTTCTTTTATAGCTGTAGGACATTATTGAGTTCCTCAATGTGTTATTTTTAGATGAGAGGTTTTCAGAGAAAGAATGCAACCTTCTTCAAGCATATTCAGGAAAAGCTGTTAATCCATGTCTGGTCCTTGTCTTGCAGCCCTGCAACCCTCTTTGCTCCCCACCTACAGGATCCATGCAATGATGAGCTAACATCCCCAGCTAGCGCATCCAGTGCATCACTGGTTGGTGGGCAAAACTTCCTCTTGTGATCAATTTTAGTAACTATAATTCCACCTTACTGCTCTTATCTGAATGTGGCAGAGATTTGCTAGCTGGCCAGCAAACCTGTTTCTTCTTCCTCCTGGACACTTAGCTGGTGGACACAAGTAGATTTGCTGAGTAAATGTGGTCACGTGGTCAATTCCTGATCAGTGGATTTTAGGCAGAAGTGATAAGAGTCCCTTCCAGCCCTGGTCCATTAAAAACCTCCTACATGTGATCCTCCATGCTTTCCTCTTGTAAGTTACACTTGATGATGGGAGAGCCACAAGATGAAAGGAGCCTCGGTCACTGGGTAACTGAGTCACCCCTTAAAAAGAGGTGCTTATTAATCAAGAATACTTGGTTTGAAATGTATGTGAGCAAGAGATAAACTCAGTCATTGTGACTTGGGGGTTCTCTTGCATCTGTTGCAGCAGCAAGAGTTACCTTAACAGACACATTGAATACCTGTTGCCATCTTCTTGGTTTCTCCAAGTCCTTTTGAGGACTAGGGCCCCACAATACTCTTATCAGTTGTCACCACAGGTTTGGAGCCATCCCTGAACCCCAGCTGAGTGAAGTGAACCTTGACAGCTACTATCTTAATGCTAAATATCCATCTGGCCTGTGGAGAATCTTACCTCTGTATTCTCTCATCACTGGACTGAGGTGCTTTGGCAGATGTGATATCCCAGTGCCAACTTCTTGTTTGCTTCTTTTCAAGGTTCTCTGCTCAATCTCACTATAAGCCTGACCTCCCTGCCTCAATTTGTGTCCCCTCATTCCCTTGGTACATTTAATTCTATGTTCTGACACCTCCCAGTCTGTTTTATTTGAACCACTGATGAACATCTCCTGCCCAAACTTTAGGCCAGTGGTTCTCAAAGTGTGGCCCCTGAGTCAACAGCATTAGCAGAAATTCAATTCTCAGGATGCATTCAAAATCTACTGAATCAGAAACTCCAGGGGTAGCTCAGCAATCTGTGTTTTAATAGCCTCCCCCCTCCCACAGGTGATTTTGAAGCATCCTCAAGTTTCAGAACCATTGCTCTAGAATTCAACATTCTGGAACATGGCCTTCGGCCTTATCCACCAGGACAAGCATTAGAAAGCAGTTGTGCTGTGATTTCCTCCAGCAGAAGAACATGTCTGGAATTTACCCAGATAATCCTGGCTTTTCCATTTGGTGGTGATCTTTAGATATCCCTTTGAAATGAAACTTAGAGTTCCTAACACTAAGATAAAGCATTTTGATTAAGTACATGACTATAAATTACAGTGCTTTTCCAACATGAAACAAGCAGAGCTCTTCAAATCCTTTTATTGTGTGTTTTCTTTTTAACATAGCCATGAAAATTAGATCACCACTAGAAAGCCAAGAGCAAGATCCATATTTTCTGGAAAAATATGCTGAGCTTAAATCTCAGTGTGCTGCTGATGAGGTCACCTTTCATCTCTAGAGGGTATTTGATGCTGACTACATCATGTTTAAGGTTGCAGAATTGACTCTGAAAACACCGATTTTCCTTTTAAAAATGTCTTGTCAAACAGTGGTCCCTGGGGATAATTAAATGATGAATATCCTTGTTCCTTCAAAAAGTCAACATACTAAAATATGTAGTGGGTCACTTTGAGACTGGTTTCCTTAAGAAAGTGACAACTTGGTGAAGATGATGAGACACTACAAGTGTTGTTTTTTTCCTCTGACAGCCTTAATGACCATGGAATGTTTCTTCAGAGTGTTTGGAATATTAAAGACTCCCTGGAGAAAATGATATTTGAAAGCCAGGTACTCTTTGAAAAGCAGACGAAAAGAAACTAAAAATAAACATTTTTAAGTACACGGAAAAATGGACAGTGTCAACATTGCGAAAACGATTCCACACTCTCACGCTAATGATATGCAGGAATAGTTGAGAGTTTTCTATTTGTGTCTTAAATATTTTATGGTAACTTTGAAAGATTTCCAAAACTCAACAAGACACAAAGAAAAGTATCACTTTGTGGGTTACAGTCAAAGTTCAAAGCATAACCAGTGCAACCTCATGGAGGTTACAGCCTAAACGAGCCTCCACCATCCTGAGTCCCAGACTTGGTCATTGTCAAGCCCATGTAGATGGGGAAGCATTTTGCATGCAGGAATTTATGTTTGGCATTCATTTTCCAGCTCTAACTGTAATACAAGCTCTGAGAAGTAAATATGTTTAGACCTGAAGGCTATTTTTTTACCCATGTTGGAGCAATGATGCAGACTCCTATGAAAAAAAAAATCAAATAAACAATAAAGGTAAGAGAAAGGAAAGGCTGAGGATATTCAACTTATTTAAGACAAGTGCAACAAATCTCAACCAACCCCTTCAGATTTCTTTTCAGACAGGAGCAATAGAGGCTAGTTCTTATTTATACGGTTGGCTTCTAGTCCAGATATGTTTATTTCCAAAAACGTTTAAGATTCCTTAAAGTAAAAGGTTGAGATCATTGTCATCGGCACCAGCATCGCCAATCTGTGTGAGATGTTTATGCTTTTTTAGTTCAGTTAATCCCTTGGAAAGTGTGACCAAATGCTTTTTATACTGTGCTTCCATCTGGTTTTAAAATGCCTACATCTTTTGAAGGAAGACACTCCAGCAGTGGGGCTATACCAAAACCTCAACCTTGTTCAAAGGCATATCAGTATCATTCTCTAAAGTTTTTGATAAATTATCATCATCAAAATTGATTTTTAACACCATGTTTACATGGAGCTCTGTGCTATATAATAGTCAAATTAGCAGGGAGTTATATTTCTAAAAACTTAAGACTTGAGATAGCACTCACTAGGATGGACATTAGAGAAATATGCACTACCAGCCAAACCATGTTTAGTCAAATATAAACAAAGCAAGCATCTACAGAAAACATTAATATCATGAACAGGGAAAAGGGTCATACATGATGTGGTATAAGGAGCAGTGGTGGCTATTGCAAGCTTAAATGGAACAACGGTTATAACATACACAAAACACACACCACACACACCACACACACACACACAACACACACTTTCCTGGTTTTGGCACTACATGGAGATCTTCCTTATGGGTGGGTTAAAAGGCTGCTCATGTTTTCTACACCTTTGCCCACCAGGTTGGATCTCAGGAATGCATTTCTCCCTTTTTGTTTTAAAGTTCAATCAGAAAGAACCTCTTTCCAACCAATGAGTATTTAAAGAACTCCTCCCACGAGCTTGCAAATGGTACCGGGACAGAGGATGCTGATTTTTGCAAAGATAATCATCATAAGCCTTCGAGTTAGAGAAACAGAGAGCTACCTTATCCCAGAGTGACAGACAATATTTTGCAGAAGATATTAGAGGAAAGCAGGATCTTCCATAGAAATCAATTCATAAAGACATCATCTTCGAAACCTGCATTTGGGCAAATTATAAGCCAAAAAGTAAAATTTAATAATGAATACATTGAAGCAAGCAGCAGACACCTAAACATGGATAACAGTGTTTGAGGCAAGATTACCATGGAACATTCAACAGGCTCTAGACTGGACCAATAGAGGGATGGCTCCCTTAGCCCCACAGGTTAAAGGCTGTCTCTGGGGCCTCCATGAGAAGGGAATCAGGAATGCTATAAAGCTTAGGGTATACCTTCTTATTAATTGCATGCAGTTAATATTTGAAAGTTGCATTAGCTCTTACTTCAGAATATGGGCGTAATCATTCTCATCAAGCCCTTTTATCATCTTCATAAAGTCTTCAGTTAAAAATTAAAGCAGAGGTAAGGGACTGTCACTTTTATTATTTGGATTATGTTAAATATGTACCTTCATAATTCAAATAATTGAAATAAAATGGTTTAATTGTAAACAAGAAAAAAAAATCTATAGGAATAAATATAAGAGATACCAAGGTTGAGAACCTACTTTGCTACTACAACGAAGTTATGTGAGAAGAATGGAAAATACCAGGTGAATGGCCCCACTAGAGATGCCTACCTAGGTGGGCCCTAGATCCCATGGTACCCAAGTTTTCTTGCTTTTCAGCTTAAACCTCCATAGAGAAGCTGCCACTTGATTTCCTGCTTTATGGGAACTACCTCCCCATGGCCTTGTCTCCTCAACGTCAAGGCTGAGAGATGCCTCTTCCCCTGAGTAGTCATCTCTTCAGTCACTTCTATTCCTTATTTCCCCATCCCTGTCCTGACTAAAATCACGTACTCATCTCTGCTTTTATTAGGAGAGTGACTGGTTTGCAATGAATGATCCCTCCTCTTCTAGTGGGACTCTGTTCCTTCCTCTTACAGAACCCAAGTAAAGCAATGTCTTAAACATGAAACAAACACACCATCTACTTGGCAAGTATTGCTCATGGGTACTAATGGGAGTTTGGTTACCAAGCTTATCTGGCTCAGTCCTGGGCTTGGTGAACATAAGCTATACAGCCAAAATAGAAATGTGGTAGTGAACAGGAAAGGTAAAAGGCATTCTAGATTCTGTGCATAGACACAGGGAAGATAAGTTTGTTCATTCATTTAACAACTATTTATTAAACTTACACTGTGTCAGGTGCTATGTTAGTCAATGCGGATACACAAGAAAAAAACAAATGAAAGAGTGCAGATAAGAAAGATCTTTAGGAAATGGATGGGAAGCCCTTGAGACAAAGAACAGCATCATTATAGTCCAAGCAGAACAATACTTCCTCAATCCATTAAGGATTGACAAGAGGGCTGATGAACACAGAGATTGAGAGAGAGTCCCGGTGAAAATTCTCCACAGCCTTGACCATTGGTTCTTAACCATTTTTTCTGCTGCAATATTCACAGCAATGGAATTCACAATAGGCTATATATCCTCATGGGTATGACCAAGTACAGAAGATAGGGTTGATTATAACAGGAAATCCAAAATAATGGCTTAAACAAAAAGAACCTCTCTATGTCCACCTTGATCTTGATCTCTATTTCTAGAGTCCAGGGTTGGAACAAAGCTCCATGGTCATTACTAATCCATCTATCTCTATACCTACCATCTTTGAGTCTGATTTCTAACCTAAAGTCACTTTGTGATCCCAAATGGCTGCTGGTGAACCAATCATTACATCCATAGTACAGGCAACAGGAGGAAGAAATCCAAAGTGAGCCACAAAGGCTCCCTTCCCAGTTAAGTCTGCTTTCTTTAAGCAACCTTTCTAGAAGTCTCAGACACTATTTCCTCTATTTCATTAGCCAGAACTTAGTCATATTGCCATACTTAGATGGAGAGGAGGCTGGGCACATTGCCACCACAAATCAAACAGAAGTTTTGCTAGAGGGAAGAGGAGATTGGGGAAGCAGCCAGGTCTGCCTCTGCCATACCAGGGTTACACACCGATTTCCAAAGCACTATCACCAACTCCACCCCTCTCTCTACTCCTCGGGTAAATACATAAATCAAAGAGGAATATTATTACAGGGCTAACCTCGTACCTATATTAGTTGGCTTTTTAAGAATAAACTACTTGCAAACTTTAGGGATTTATGTGCTATTATCTTGACACACCTCAAAATCCACTGTAATTTACCAAGGTGTTGTGACATTATGACTGAGAACGCTGCCTATGTAAAGTAGGTAGCTGTGTTGATGAAAAAAAAATGGAGTGAGAAAATGTGAAGGAAAAAGTGACAGGATGGATTCTGCAGAAAGATGACTTACTTTTAGACATGAAAAGATGTGAGAAGTAAATTATTTAGAGGCTTTTTCTAGGAACGTTAGCAATCTGGTTGTGGTGGTCATAATGGAAATACTCTTAACAAAATACTCTTGGCCTCAGGGCCTCTCACAGAACACCAAAAACGGTATGTGTTGGCTTGGTGGCCCCTACTGGACCATGCCTCCTGGAATTCATGCTTTTGTGAAGCCCCTTCCCGTGAATCTGGGCTGTCCTGGGACCACTGAAACCAGAAGTGAAACTGTGCCAGTGGTCAGCCTACCTTTACAGAGTCCTAGAAGTTTATTTTTGCTTCTTTGCTCTCTTGAGTTGCCATGTAAGAAGTCTGGCTACTCCACTGGAGAGGCCATATAGAGAAGTCCCATGACTACATGAAGAGAGAACCCAGTAGTCCCGGCATTCCACAAAAATACAGACCCCCAAACTCTCCACCAGCTGATTGCAGCCACACAATGGCCACTGGCAAGCCCACATTACACAATCATTAGCAAATAAAATGGTTGCTTTTTTAAGCCACTACATTTTAGAGTGGTTTGTTACCCAGCAATTAATAACTAAAATGCCACTACCCCAAAACATATCTGCAGGCTTATGATGGGACCCCAGCCAATGTGGCCATTACAGCTTGTGCTGCCACTGCTGTGACTGCCAAGACAGCCCCAGCTGGTCTCTGCAACTGCAGCCAAGAGAGTTTGTGCCCTCTGGATCCCTTCAGTCTCCCACCAGTACCACTTCCCCACTTAAATCCCTGGTATGTGCTTTCTTCCAGACCCTTTGCCCTGACTCTGGCAGGAGCACACCTTGCCCTGTATCCCTGTCCAGTCTCCCAACAGGAACTTGTGCCACCCCTTCCCCAACTTTGGAACATGCACCTCAAGACAGCCAGTCTAATATATGTATGTGTGTGTGTGTGTGGAGGCAGGAGGACAGTTCTAACTATACATGGGTCAAGGCCTGTCCTGGAACCAAGGTCAGAAAAATGATCTCCTGGCATCTTCAGTTGGAATCTGCAATGCATTTCCCCATAAAAGCACTATTGTAGATGATTTCAGGTCTTGTAGTACTACTCAGCTATGTTGCCAATTAAATAGACATTTGGGGGCTGGTCTGGGAACATAACTACACTTTATAACGTTGTCCTAATGAGAAACAAAATCCAAATAACTGGCTGAAAAATGAACCTTTGAAAGTAACCTGATTATAAGTCAGAAACTGTCATCCTATGTTGAATACCAATTTTGTAGTAGATGCTGTAGGGGAAATAAGAGAAAAGTTTGAGGCTTCTTCCCAAGAAGTTACATTTTATTTGGAAGATGAAGACACACAAGAACAAACAGACCAGGCAGTATATAAGCAAGTCTTAAACTGTGTGAGACTGACAATCAAGTGTTTCAGAGTTGCAAAAGCAAGCCCAAATGTTTCTTTTCCATTATTTATTTACATTGGCTTCTAGATGCCTGTTTTGAGATGTCTTGTGGACTCAATGTTATTCACAATTGCCCAAGTGCTATTTCACTGTTAATGGAAAATAGGTGGGCAGGTACAGGAGGCGTCTGGATTCACCTGGCTGTAGAGAATAGCTGAGTTCTGGGGCTTAGGGATTAGCTACAGGAGGGGAATAGCCAGGTGGCTTCATAGAAACCCAGGCATCTTTATAGCTGGCGTCATGAAGAGCCACCAAAGAGGTCCCACCCACTGTGCTTCTCAGCTTGTGATCTGGGAACATTTGTATCAGAATCACATTGGGGAACTTACTAAAAATGCTAATTATTGGACCCCAATCCAGATACAAGAAACCAGACTATCTTGAGGGGGAGAGGCTTGAAAATCTGCATTATTGATAAACTCCCTAGCTGATTAAAGTTTGAAAGCTGCTGTTCCAAACAAAGCTGTCCACCGTCCCAGAGATGGAAGAGTCCTGCTAAGATCCCCAGGAGTATCTTCCACTGGGAAGCTATCATGAGTCCAGATTGCTAGCCTTAGCTCCTTACAGGCTTAACTTTTGTAGCCTTTGCTACCTCCAGCCAATTTTCTTGGAGAAAACAAATATGTTCAAAGAGCCAGGCAGGAGAAGGGGGAGGCTTTCATACACTCTCCCACCACTTTTTGGCTCTATTTCCATCCCAGCCCCAGCACTGCATATACATTAAAAACATGTCTAAGGCATCTGGACTGAAACCCAGCATCTGCTGTAAGAAAAATGAGATTTTCAAGTAAGGCCTCTTTGGAGTGGGATGGTGCCAAGTGAGATGGGGCCTCCAAGGTAGACTCCATCACATGGCAACTTAAAAACAAATTTCCCCAGGACTGGAAAATTTGCTTTGAGCAGGATTCCAGAATTCATGCGAGAATATGTTCCACTCTTTGCTTGGGGCTCTTGCCTCAAACGCCTGTCATCAGCACCATCCTACTGTCCTAGAGGGCATCTGGGCCCTTCACCATCGATGTGCAGGCATCCCAGTGCCAGCATCACAGCCTGCTGAGCATTGTGTTGGTTTTACCATTCAGGGTGAAACAATTTTAGAATGAGGCATCCATGCCCATGTAGTGGGGCAACCGTGCAGTAACAACCTTGGGGTAGTTGCTCCCTGCTCCCCCACACTCACCCCCACCTCAGCAACAATTTGAACACCTGGGAATTTCGTCTCTATCACCCCCAGGAAGGGATACTGCTACCCAAGCATGGATGACAAGAGAATCAAACTCTTGGCATCTCCCGTCCAGAAGCCTAGGCCTAAGACAAATAAAATATTTGCATAACTATGTAATTCGTTAGAATTATTTTCCCTTCCCTCTGACACCATCCCTTACCCTGGACTAGGGAAAGTTATCCAGACTGAGGGAAAGGACAGTCAGAAGGGAAGGAAGATGGTAGTCCAGTGGGTCACTGTGGCGGGGCCTTCCCCACCACTGGGCAGGTCCCAGCCAAGTCTGAGAATCTCAGGGAGGTGGGGCCCCTGCCCTTGTCCCTGGGCTGTTTGCCTGGATGTCAGATGTTTGGATGGAACAATATACATCTCGGAATGTCAGCCGGCAAAGGCGGCAGGCAGGGCTCGGACTCATTTCTCCCCTCCCCAACACCTTAGAATTACGTCATCAGCTGGGACTTAGCCGCAATCCTGGGAAAGGGGATGGGGGATCGAAATGCAAATGAAGTTCAGATAGGTTCAGAAAGGTCGCAGAAATTCACCTTCCCTGCATGTCCACATTTCTAGCATACTTATTACTAGCTTTAGAAAATTTCTAAACAGCACACAGGTCATGGTAAAAAGCATATGAGGCAAAGTGCTGAGGTTGGAAAAACCTTCGTCCTGGCTCCCTTAGGGCTCCATCAGTTAAAAGCACAAACCTGCCCATTCGGTTCTGAAAGGAGTTCCAAAACAAAGCCGGCACAGCCCCCTCAGATTCCTCCTAATTTGACATCTAGG
This sequence comes from Homo sapiens, assembly GCF_000001405.40. Taxonomy (NCBI): domain Eukaryota; kingdom Metazoa; phylum Chordata; class Mammalia; order Primates; family Hominidae; genus Homo; species Homo sapiens. The sequence goes on along the minus strand of NC_000005.10, from coordinate 74,145,742 downwards.
GCGTGGCTGATTTTCTGGAGCACCGCACGTGAGGTGAATGTTCCAAACCTTTTCCTCTTCTGAAAAGGACTAACAGAACCTTGCTAATGTGAATGGGCCTCATCCTACACTCAGGGTGTTTTGATCATTGCCCAAGAAATTGCATAAAAGGCCTTTAAAAATAGAAAACATTATAAACATGCCATCAAATGACTTACTGGACCCTGATGTGGTCATCTTAGAATGCCAAAACTATCAATCAAAACCTGGAATTTCCTAAAATTCAATGTTTTGCTAATGATATTTACATTGCCTGGTATTCAAATCTGTACATTATTGAAACATTCTGAAAAGACACGATGCTCTAAGAACCTTCATGTTTTATCAAAAATATGATTGGGTTTATATTTTGAGATTATAAAGTTGTGTACTGCATTTGCACCTTCCATTTCTCCTTTCTCTGTTTTCCTATTTGTGTGTTTCTCAGTCTCATTGTCCACATAATTCTTTTTCTGTTTTGTTTTTTTGGAGACTGAGTCTCGCCCTGTAGCCCAGGCTGGAGTGCAATGGCGTGATCTCGGCTCACTGCAACCTCCGCCTCCCGGGTTCAAATGATTCTCCTGCCTCAGCCCCCCTAGTAGCTGTGATTACAGGTGCCTGCCGCCATGCCCAGCTAATTTTTGTGTTTTTAGTAGAGACGGGGCTTTACCGTGTTTGGCCAGGCTGATCCCGAACTGACCTCATGATCTACTTGCCTCGGCCTCCCAAAGTGCTGGAATTACAGGCGTGAGCCACCACGCCTGGCCCACCGTCCATATAATTCTTTTTCTCTCCTCCTTACTTTTTCATTTTGTCTTCTATTTTACTTTTCCTCCTCACCTTAATAATTATCTGCTTTATCCTTCTTTTTCCTTCAGCTTGTCATTTTTAACTCTTCTTGGTTCCCTTATTTATCCTTAGTTCTATTGCTTCAAATAGTATTAATAGCTTTTTCTGAGTACTTACTGTATGCTATGCTCTCTGATGTGATATTTTAGAGGGATATGAGACTCAGAAACCGAGTGAGCTGACCAAGGACACACAGCTGGGAATTGGAGAACGGGCTCAGGTGGAAACATCTGCGTCTACAGCCCAGCCCTGCTTCATCTCCTCCAGTCATGCCCCATTCTACTTCTCGACCTCTCCTTTACCTCGGTTACCCCTGCCTGTGTCTCCACCTCCTTCTTCTTACCGACCCTTACTCCCCAAACCACACATGCTGAGATCTACTCCTTGCCCAAGTCCATTGTGTAGCTGACAGGCAGTATATACATATCCTGCCTTTGTCTCCTTTCTCGCGCCCATCTGGGGAACATGCTCAAATGTCACCTTTCAGGTCATGCTTTCAACCAAAAGCCTTCCTTTCTTCCCATGCTACGGCAATTCAGAGCCCACGTTTGCTTCAGGATAGTTTTTTCACAGTGGCTTTCTGATGTTTCTTCTCTTCTGCATATGAGTGTGTGTGTGTGTATGTGAGAGAGTGAGAGAGAGAGACAGTGCATCTAATTTTTTTTTGAAAGGCTTCTTTGAGAAAAAGAAAAAAAAAATCACTACTTTGATTGATGCTTGCTAAATCTCAAAACTGAATGCCCTTAGAGGGCCCTTCTGCTGCTTGGCAGTCGTCCGATTCCCCTATGGTCCTTGCATGCTCCTCACCCTCAGTTGGTGACCTTGCTTCCTAGACAACCCAGCAAAGGAAAGAAAGCCGAGTATAACTCCCTAATTTGCTTCTCATCTCAGCGTCGAACGCACCCACCAGCCTCTGCCTACTGCTTCCGGCGCTCCTAATCCTCCTTCCGGCTTATGAAGGGGGAAGAAGCCCACGCATGCTCCATAGAGCTGGCCCCGCCCTGGGCGACTCCTATTTATAGGCGCCCTGCTCAGCAATATTGCTCTTCGTGCACCCTCCCTTCTCTCTTGAGCTCTTGCCTTTGCCTTCTGCAGCAGATCAGCTCCAACGTCATGAAGATATACTGTTGTAGCTCTCTTCTTTTTTTTTTCTTTTTTTTTTTAAAGTGGCGGGTGGGGGAGGGAGGAGGGAGAAATAAAGAAAAGAAGAAAGGAGAGGGGATAAAGGAAGGGAGGGAGGAAAGGGCAGGGAGGAAAAAAAGTTTTTTTCTTAACTCCTTTTACCTCTCTAGCTCTTATTCATTTCTTTACCTTTGAGGCAAAACTCCAACAAGACTTATTTTTGTGATCTCTAACTTCTCTCCACCCTACCACTTCTCTCAAACTCACCTCATCAGGCTTGGTCCACAAACAACTCTACCAAGGTTCAACTACAAGTGACAGAAGCGACTTCCAGGCTGTAGACAATGTGTAACTCTAATGGACAGTTTTCAGGAGCATGTGACACAGCAGATCAACTCTCCTCTGCTTTGAACACTTTTCTGGCTTGGTTTCCAATATGCCACACCCTCTGGTTTTCCTCTTCCCTCCTGGCTGATCCTTATCAGATTCTTCCTATCACCGTAATTTCTATACCAGTGGTTCTCAAAATTTAGTAAAAGAAACACCTGGAGGGCTTATTACAACAAGGGTCAGGGCGTCACTCCAGGTGTTTCTGATTCAGTAGGTGTAGAGGGCCCAAGAATTGCATATCTAACAAGTTCTCAGGCCATGCTGATGTTGATCAGTGGTTTGTATTTTGAGTAGCACTACCTAAACTTTCCTAACGTTGTTCAATTCAGTGACATTATGCACTTTCACTGTTTTAAATACTTGTACATGCTGAAAACTGTATCTTACATCTCTAGGCAAGTCCTGTCCTCTCACCTCCAGAATCTAATTGACCTCCCTGCTTAGATGGCTAATAGGAATTCAGTGTTAATATGCTCAACCCTGAGCTCCCGAGAGTCTCCCGCAAAGCCTACCTCTTCCATGATTTTCCCCTTTCCAATCCATGGCAACTTCAACCTTTTAATTGCTCAGATCAAAAACCTGGGAGTCATCCAAGATTTCTCTAGTTTTACACCCAACTTCAATCTTAGTAATTTGAATGGGCCAGGCGTGGTGGCTCACACCTGTAATCCCAGCACTTTGGGAGGCCGTGGCGGGCGGATCACAAGATCAGGAGATTGAGACTATCCTGGCTAACACAGTGAAACCCTGTCTCTACTAAAGATACAAAAAATTAGCTGGGCGTGGTGGCGGGTGCCTGTAGTCCCAGCTACTCTGGAGGCTGAGGCAGGAGAATGGCGTGAACCCGGGAGGCAGAGTTTACAGTGAGCTGAGACTGCGCCACTGCACTCCTTAAAAATGCAGCAGCTCCAATAACTTCTTGTTCAATATCGTTTCCTTAGGTTGATGAGAAAAAATAATTGATTCCCAGCTAGGGCCACTGTCTGTGGAGTTTGCATGTTCTCCCCATGTCTGAGTTTTCTCTGGGTACTCTGGTTTCCATCCACATCCTAAAGCTGAGCCCATGAGGCGAATTGGTGTCTAAATTATCCCCATCTGTGTGCTGTGGGTGTGAGTGTGCCCTGAGATAGGATGGTAGTGGTTTTTCCAGGTTAGTTCCCACCTTGCACCTTCAGCTGCCAGGATAGGGTCCTGCCACCTGTGACCCAAACTGAAATAATTAGGTAACTATTTTGTTTTATTAATTTTTCTTATATGTATAAGTCACCTTTATCTCAAAATTTAAAATTAGAAGTGCTTTGGTCTCTATTTCAAAGTTCGATGTTTTTGTGACCAGAAATATATCACAGGAATTTAACTCTTGTTTATTATCAATTAACCTATGGTAAAATTGATTTCCTTATGTTGTTTTGCATAAAGTCCCAGTTTCTAAGAACCAGTCAACAACATTGAAGACTTACTGTACCTCCTTTAGGCTGAGTCTTTAAATGAAACCCTTTCACTATCATTGACTTAAACTTAAGCCTCATAGTTGTGTACTCTAAGACAGACTGGAGGGCTCAAATCTTTGCTACGACATTACCTTGGGCGAGTTACTCAAAGCTATAATAACTTCCGTATCTGGTTATGAGATTGTGGATTAATTCCTATAAAGGGCTTAAGACAGTACCTGACATATAGCAGATATCACTCAACTATAGTTATGGTGGTTAGTTATTCAGTTCAGAAAACTACAGAATTACTTGTGTGCAACCTTTTGCATTTGCAGACCAGAATCTTTTTTTTTTTTTTTGAGATGGAGTCTCCCTCTGTCTCCCAGGCATCATCTTGGCTCACTGCAACCTCCGCCTCCCTGATTCAAGTGATTCTCTTGCCTCAGCCTCCCAGTAGCTGGGACTACAGGCATGTGCCACCAAGCCTGGCTATTTTTTTTGGTATTTTTAGTAGATACGGGGTTTCACCGTGTTAGCCAGGATGGTCTCCATCTCCTCACCTTGTGATCTGCCTGCCTCAGCCTCCCGAAGTTCTGAGATTACAGGCATATGAGCCACCGTGCCTGGCCTAGAATATTTTTGACCTCTTAGTCATAAGGGAAATTTTAACTGAACTTAAGCATGAAAAAGTCAGCTCTCTGAAGAGTGTTTATAGGGACAGTTATTTTTAATGAATCATTCAGTGGGGAAACAATAGGCCTTCCCTCCCATTAGATACCCTTTCCTATGTATTTTCAAAGGGAAATTCCTGATGTTTCAAGGTTTTCTTCTCTGGCAGCTTCTTTTATGCCTATCCTGACTTCTGGATGTGAAAGATCCTTCTGTCAAACTGAGGCAATCACTTGATACCCTAGGTTTCCTGGGCCAAATATTTAAAAAGCCTGTGCAAACAGAACCAGAATAGTTGTGATGGTGTGTGTCTGCGTGTAGCAAGGAGTGATCAAGCTTTTAAAGTGAACATTGTTTAGACAGCATCTAAGGAGTTGTGCTTAGAAAGTGTGTAAACTCATTTTCACGGGCTTATGGAAAACATGACTCCTCCAAAGCAGGCCCTCGAAGTTAGGGGCTTTGGTGCATAGCTGGCACCTCACCTGGGCTCACTTAGCTTCCAGCAAATTTTGACATTTACTCCCAAGATGATTCTTTACCCAAAGGATGTTTGTCTTGGAGACTGGCAATTCAAAGTCAATTTGCCTAGCAACACAGAAGAAAAGTTGCAGACATGAACGAGATGAGATAGAAAAGGCTTTGCGCAATCCCATGATTTACTAGATCTTCTTCCTATCACTGTTTTTTTAATGGTGAGCTGAGCTGGAACTGCCTTTAGCTGCTGACTTGGAAAAACTCACTTTTCTCTACCTAACATATACGTGTGTGTGTGTGTGTGTGTGTGTGTGTGTGTGGCTTCTTTGGCATTTCCAAGTCATGCCAAAGCAATTGCTGGTACCTCAGTTGACTTGTTGCTAAGTCCGCATGGGGCTACACACAGTTCTAGAATTGGTCAAGAGTCCTCTTGGAAGTTGAGTCACAACCCTCCTAGGACTGAGGATTGTTATAATTGCTTGCTCAGACACCAACATATCCACATCCATACACATGACTGGAACATGTTATGTTCTATTCCATGCAGATCGTCTAGTTAATAACAATGCTAGCAGTATGTATTTATTGACTACTGACTGCCTCTGGCATTGTATAAAGAGATTTTTATGTATTATTCCTTTTCAGGGCTGGCTTCATGGGTGAGTGACCAGTGTAGTTATGCAGTATCCATCCTCAGAAGAGCCTTGCACTTGAAGTTTAATGCTCGCATTTCTTTAAAATCCCCAATTTTATATCTGAATTTGCGTTAAAGTGCCATCCAATGGGACGAAGCAGCATGCATGCACTAGGGTCTAAGAGACTTAGCTCAAACATCGTTCAGTCTCCCACTCTTTCTCTGCACCAAACCCTGCTCCTTCTGAGCTCCCATACAGCAAACACTGAGGCCCTCTGCCCCTTGACGAGGGACTTAGCACAAGGAGGGTGGGGATCAGGCACAGGTGCCCCATGGTGTCTTGGGGGCATGGTAGCAATTGTCCCCATACTGGACTGGCAAACCAATGAGCAACAGGTGGCTCTGCTGGGGAGAGTTTCTTACCCACCCCGATCCATGTACTGAGTCGCTTTCAAGAGGTTGCAATCCCTAGGGGATCACGTATCTGCCATGGGTTGGACAGAAGGATCATGAGAAGAGGAGCTGCGTGACCCAGTTTCCCTATCTCCAGCTAGTGCCTTGCAGGAGGGAGAGCTCAGCAGCCCGTGGTCCACATGCATGCACCAAGTCACAAGGAGGGGTCCTCAGGGAACCTGTGAGAGTGTAAGAGTCTGTGGTCACCCAGCACCAGCAGTATCCCATGCTCAGAACAGCAGAAGAAAAAAATTTCTATCTTAGTACCTTTTTTAGTGACACTTTCTCCTGTTTTTTGAGCAAAGTCCACATTTTCATTTTGGCTTGAGCCCTGTAAATTGTAGGCAGTACTGTGTTTTTTGAATTTAATACAAATCCTGTTTTGATGGAAAGGTCACAAAGCCACAATGATGGAGGTGGTATTCAAATCCAAACAGACCCACTACGAACCAGTTGGTAACAACCCTCCTACACTGTTCTCAAGTCATGGCCCCATTGGATTATACGTTACTCCCTTCAGTTGTCTAACCCTGTCTCTTTGCACAGCCTGGAATGTCTTCTCACTTATGCACACTGTAAAATCTATTCATGTCTAACTTTTAAATGGAGACTGATAGAAGTAAGCATTTGGCAATATGGGAAAAGAAATAAGACTGCATTTAAACCATAGGAATAGATGGGAGAATAATCAAAAAGGCACCATGATGTTTGGAAGGCTGCTTGGAACTTTTGTAGGTCTTTCAAATTGCACCCAAGTGCGTTGCCAACTGCCAGAAGTACTGCCTGAGCAGATGAGCAGGTGCAAAATTGTGATGGTGAGGGATGTAATGACAGTCCTATGCCAGCCGTGTTTTTCTCACAAGGTGTCCTATTCATTTGTTAATATAGCTAAGCACTTTTATTATGCATTTCAGAGATTTTCTAATCTTTTTAAAGCATTTGGATTTTACATCTTTGCACAGATGGGTAAAAATGGAGTGAATGTGTATGTTGAGTATACGTGGGGAGGGGAGGGTGTGGTGATCAAGGCAGAGGAGACTTTACAAAATCGAAAGCAAGAATGAGAAGGTGCAGCAATGGATGACCAGCTCTTTTGCTCTTGGTCTGCAATCCTCCCTTACTGGCAATGATTGCATCTACCACAATCCACCAAGTCACTGGACTAATTACAGGTTTTCCTTACATGTGTGGGTTCCTAACCTTGAAAATACAGTCATAAACTGAGGTGTGCCATAACGTTTCTTAACAGAAGACTCTTGTCCATAAGCCAACCTAGAATCTGCTTTCCGCGCTTGCTTTTTTCAGTGCTAGGAAGGGACTGAAGCTCCGAAATTCTCAGTTCTAGCATTGGAAGGTTAAAAGGTTTTGATATTTTGGTTGGCAAAACTTTATTTACACTATCACTCTAATAATTATCTAATTTATCTGTTCTAGAAAGCTCATTATATAACAGATTCCAAACAAAACTTTGATCTAGAATTGGGTTTGGCTTCAACCAGTGCTCAAAGAAATTAGATTCTTTAGTACATACCCTCTTCACTTCTTCCTCAGTAGAAACAATTGCCAAATTCCTGCCAAATGATTTGGTTTCAGAAATATCACTGTTAGGTTATGCCAAGAGAATCAATAAGCAGCACATGGGGATCATGTTAGAGATTCTATTTGAGTTAGACATGCACCTATAGGGTAAAACAATTTTAAAAGAAGGCTTTAGCATTTACCTTGTGCTTAGAAACAAAATTCATACTCCAAAGGGGAAGAAAATTTAAATATGAATTCTCTCTACAATTAGGAACCTTTTAGCATTGTATCTTTCTGAAAAACATGTATTTGAAGCCATAAAGAGTTCCAACATCTTGGAAATATGAAACATACAATTAACATAGTGAAAGCCGAGATATTCAAAGGCAACAATAACTAAAACTGAGACAACTATCAGTACTCATTAATCACATAAATAGAAATACAATTTCTTGATAAGACATTACTTCAAGTCACATAAGAATTTTTATGTGTAAATTTTAGTATTCTATGTAATTACAATGTGACTTAGCAAAGCTGTATTTTAACCTGCTTCAGGAAAATCACATTTCGAAACCTGAGAGTAAAGTTTTTCCACCTCACCCTAACCTATGTGCTCCTGTAAGGCAAGCGGGGACTCCCATCTATCTCACTGACCTCACTTTGGACCTAAGAACTTAAGGTGAGCACCCCATGCGCAAAGACTACTGGACCGTCCTCAAACTGTTAGTTGGGTAGGAGACCCCTTTCCTGCCATGCTATGTATGGTAGACCTAGATGAAAGATTTGTTGTCTTAACTCAGAACTGATGCTTGTCTTTGGCAACTTAATTGTGTTTGCAGAGAAGTTTATGAAACATGGGTCCCTTTCTCTTCCTAAGCCCTCATGGAAAAGCTTCATATATTGCGCTACCAAGAAGTCTTATGGATTCAAAAGCTAGCTTGGGGGGTCTTTGCATCCCTCTTGACTGAAGTAGTTGAGTGCCTCTCAGTAGCTTAGGTGCTGAGGGAGGAAAATAGAATCCTATGATCCCCTTCCCTACATTTATCTTCCCATAATTAAAGCCTCAAATTCCTCATATTGTAGGATTCAACTGCATACTTTCTTGGGGGAGATTTTTAAAAGTTACTTACAGGTAAATGGTTTGGAGACATAGAATGTCATGTATGACTTCAAAAAATATTTTTAAGAGGCTTTTATTTTTTGACTTTGTCACTGACGGTATATGGGCTGCTTTACTTTTGACTCACTTCTTAGAAGTTCTGCTCACTTCTGGGTCCTTAGATTGCAGTCTAGCTTCTGTCTGAAGTCAACAATGTCTCTTTTAAAACAACCATAATAAGTCAAATTTTTTCCATGGATGTGGAGTTGGCAGGGGGGTGCCTAAAAAGCAGAGGGCAGTTCTCTGAAAAGCAAGGCACATCCAGATTTTCCTGGTTGGAGTCCTTCTTTGGAAATTCTGGCTCCACTCTGTGCATGCTGGAGGACAATTTACAGCAGTCAGTAAGGCAGCCAGAAAAAGTTCAGGTTTTCTTTCCTATGTATGTACACAGCATGATCACTTGGATAACTGAAGACTATTTTTTCCTTTTGGCCAAACTTGAACATATAAGAAAAACAAGTGGAATTTAAAAAAATCAGTGACCAAGTCAGCAATGAAAAACAGCTCTCAGGTGGCAGGTTGGCAGGCTGCCTTGTTCCAGGCGCCAAATATGGAGGGATTGACCAGGTGGCAGCTGCCAGGCTGTTCCCCAAAATGGGACAATCTAAAGAGTACAGTTTGATCTTGGGGCCTGATTCTCTTCTCTAAGCTGCAGCACAAGCATAGTCGGGGTGGGCTGCAAGATAGCTGTTGGGGACATTATGATTCCACCTTGGAATCTGCTCAATGCCAAACCAACTGAGTGCACCAGCAAAGCCAGCCCCAATTTGCACTTCTTATCATATATTCTACAAAGTTCTTCTGAATATTAAGCAAAAATTCATAAGACCCTTTTATGTCACGTGCCACTGTCTTTTCCATTGGGCCAGAAAGGGAAGTGTCTGTTTCAAAGTATTATGTGAATCAAATTAAATGACACTACTTATCCAAAGGCTAGTGTCCCACAAATTGAACCATCCAGCACACTAATGAGAAACCAGAAAGAACTGAAGAGTTCTCAGTACCTAAAAATTCATATTACATGCTGCATGCACTGAAATTTATAAAAAATGAATCGTGGATGAGACCCTGTGCCCTTGTTCAGAGCTTATGCTGTAAACATAATTCTACTTGTTTCATTGGTTTGGAATATGAGGACAAGGAAAAGAGAGGAGCTAAAGAAGATAAGTAGGCATCAACTGCCAGAATGTAAACTCCATAAGGGCAAAGACTTGCTCTCTTTGTCCACTGCCAAAGTCCCAGGACTTACATTAGTGTTGGTCACAGAGTGGGTGCTAAGTACTATCTGCTGTTAGTTAATGAGAGCAAAGGAAAACATTGGCTTTTAGGGACAGTCAGCTAGAGAACCATAGAAAAAAGAGGGAGAGGAAGCAGAAAGAGGGGGACCTCACAGAGCACAGTAGTCTAACAGCTTAAGGGAACATGAAACAACTCTACTTTGAAAGTGCTTGATAACATCATTCTTATAGCTTAGATAATGGTGGTGATGATGGCTATTTATCAAAACCCTAAATCAAGACATCAAACTGAATAAGTCAAAATGCTTTCACCATCCTCTTTCCAAGGCACAGAAAAATGCAAAATATTTGAAGTATTTTCCAAAAATGTTTGTAAATGTTTTAAAACCTAAGTTTAAATTTTTACATTCACAATGTAAAATACAACTTGCCCAAAGACAGCAGATATAGCTAATTAAAAAGTTATATTACCAAAGGCACATATAGTACCTGTTACATCATTGACTTGTATATAGTGAAAAGGGTCACACCCCCTGACACACCCTTAGTATTTTGTACAGTGTGGCCCTATGTAATATGGCTGACCTCTAAGAGGTGTGAACAGTGCTGTGTCCTACAAGGGACTGAAGGTTTCTCTGAACATCGCATGTATGGAGCAAGTTCCTGAATTTCTTTGAACCAATGTGGGATATCATGTGCTATCAAAAGCCAGAGGTCTGGAAATGGAGGAAATTTCTCAATGTTAAATTATAGGTTGAGCTGGTTTTGATTTTTTGCTTTGGGCTTTGCTTTCTCTGATGAATGCTAATGATACTTGAAAGAAAATTTTAATAGAAAAATTTTTATGTTAAAAAAATCTGGTTGGGCGCAGTGGCTCACGCCTGTAATCCCAACACTTCGGGAGGCCGAGGCAGGCAGATCATGAGGTCAGGAGATCGAGACCATCCTGCTCTACTAAAAACACAAAAATTAGCCAGACATGGTGGCGGGCACCTGCAGTCCCAGCTAGTCAGGAGGCTGAGGCAGGAGCTTGCAGTGAGCCGAGATTGCGCCACTGCACTCCAGCCTGGATGACAGAGCGAGACTGTCTCAAAAATAAAAATATGAATTATTTTGAATCCCTGGAATGAATTATTTTGAATCCCTGGAAAGAACAAGCAGACATTAACATCTAAAAACCCCCCTAGGTTCTGTTACAGAACACAGAGGGGCAAATATGTGAGTATTGTCCTCAGTTTACCAATAAGTCTTGGTTTACTAACAGTTTAGGAATATCTCAAAGAGTCAGTCGCAGGGCAATGTGAGGGGAAGCACAGTACTAAGAAACACATTTCCTAAATAGCAGTTTGATATGAGTTTTGCCTATATATATCCTAAAAATATCCCTTGGAAAATCTGAAAAATCAAGCATTTATTTGTCCGAAATTGGAGTGAAAGAATGGGTGAGCCTAGAGGACCCCCGTGGGTGAGTGGAGCAGCCTCTCCAGGCTTCAGTATTTCCGTGGTAGGGAGGGGAGAGTGGGGACTGATTGGAAGCCATTTGTCTAGGAACCTGGAATACTGGAAAATAAAAGTGATTGTGGGCATCTTGGAAGTGGGATCCTGTCCCCTAACTGAAAGCGGGAGAGAGAGAGAAGGGCCTTGGTGCCAGGACCATAAGGATGGCTGCAGAGATTGTAGGCCTCTGTTCCCTTACTCTGCCCAGTGCCTTCTTTCCTCAAGGGAAGTGCCTCACACCACTCCATATGGCCCTGGAGGGGCTGAACTTGGGTTCTTTCTCGTCTAGTTTGAGATTTCCCAGAAGCAAACCCTGAGACAAGGATTTGAGTGCAAGCAGACACTGGGAAGAGTGGAGACCTGACGGGAGTAGGAAGAAATCCAGTAAAGGCTGTGTCTTGAAGCTGGTTACCACTGTGAGCAAGGAGCTCAAACCTGCTGGGGAAGCCAGGGGAGCAATGTAAAGCATGAGGCTATCGCTAGCCCAGACGAGGGCCAAGAAAGTTGGGGTCTTTATACACCAACTCCCTGGTGGAGGGCTGATCCCAGGCACTTCTGGCCAATCTTGCAAACAGGCCAGACAGCAGAGCCCTTAGGCAAAGAGACATGGGGCTGACACTTGGATGTGTGGCAGGTGAGCACGAAAACAGGAAAGAGTAAGGGGATGATGTTGGAGTACTGACAGCATCTTGCTCCACCCACTCTCTTCCCCTGCTAGACCCTGGGTCCACTAGAGCACAGGCGATTGGGCTGGCTTGGGCACATGACCCATGCAGTGCCAGAGCAAGTCCTCTGGTTTCTGTGCATGGAAAGATAGATGCTGTCTCACCACTGTGGTTGCTGAGTGAGACCATGTCAGCCTAGAGTTGCTGCTTATGCACCTTCCTTGGTCCCATTGGAAAGCTCAGTTGCAGGAGGAAAGAACGAGGCCAACAGACAAAAGAAAGATGGAAAACGAGAGAAAGAGAAGACAAATCACTACATGATTTTCATCTGAACCCTTGAATCCAGCTTTACCTGAAGCCATCTTCACTTCGGAGTATCCTAAATATGAACCAATACATCCCTTTTGTCTTTTTGCTTAAGCCAGTTATTTGTAACCAAAAGAGTTTGGCCTAATATAGGGATGAGTGTCTCCTGCCTTTTTCTTCCTCTGCAACACACACAGAGAAGGGAGTCTTTGGTATATCGCTGAATTACATACCTGGAAGAAAACTGAGCCAGCTACCTCTAATCATGTCATCTGAAAGTGGTTAAGTAGTGTGTCCTGAATTGAAAACAGGGGGCAGGGGGGACAGGGACACTGCACTGTGACAATGAGTCCCCCAAGGAAGTTAAAGGATGCCCTGGAAAGGAATTGAGAAAACACCAGATTCCATTCTGAGCCAAAGCAGAAAAAATAATTAGGGATTATATTCAATTCCCTGATTGTTGAGAGGACAGAGCTGACATAGCCAGTAGGAAGGAATTAAGGAAGAGTAGAGCAAGGCCTTGAATCAGGCAGAAGGGGCAGGGCGGGAAGAACTGGGGTGCACATTGCATGGGGAGCAGCACTTTTGCAGGACGTGGAGATTCACGCATAGGACAGCTGAGAGGCTACCCAGGGCCACAGCCCCAAAGGCCGGCTGGGCATTCAAGGTACATGGCACAGAGTAGGTGGCTGATTCCCTGTAGGTGTTGCTGTGCTTATTGGTGGAGGACACCAGAGTGCAAGGTGGCAGAGGATACCAACAGTATGAGCAGCTTTGGCAGAGCCCTGGACACAGGCTTCAGCAGAGGTAAACACAGGAAGGGTCAGGGTGCACTGGTGAGATAAAGCCTGTTCTTACCACCTCCCAAAAGCCAATTTTTAAATTTTCAGAAATTCTGTGAGAACGTCTGAAAATTTCTGTAACACAGTAATTACTATAATTAAACAGTTAAGTCATACTAAGAACAAAGCTCAAATACTTAAAACTCATCTTCTAATTATTTTACTATTCTCTATATTCTTGAGGTTATTTCTTTTGTATCTGCATGGCAAAAATACTATATAACTGTGTGCTACTGCTCACCTCTTAACTCTGTTTAGTGGTGTTATTGGTGGCTTGCCAAGATGAGACTAGAGATTTTATAAGACATTAATAAGGGCTTAATTTATTGTTGATTGTTTAACATTTTTCATCACGTCCTTAATTCTAATGTGAGTGAAGCTTAAAAGCAAGTTATGTCTGTAGTCGTTAACATTGTGGATGGCACAAAACACTGGCAGAATATGCTTCCAGTATTGGAAAGCCATAATCGGATTCATTCAGCAAAGAGAGCACTCTCAAATCTAGTGGTGTGCTGGTAAATGGTTTACAATCGGCTCTCCCAAGAAAAAAATATGTGCATATGTATATAACTTTAAATTTTACTGGTGTAAAGGATATGTAGCTCACAGTTTAAGAAAAACAATAAAATACTCAATATTCTTCTAAATTCCATAAAGCCAATTCTCAGATTGCATTTTGCTTTTTATGAACGCATATCTTTCTATATTCAACCTACAATATAACTGTGTAACAATGCAAGTATGGTTTCTACATGAATATTGACCATATTCTTCTCTTAGGGTTGAGTATGATGAAAGTAAAACAACAAAGACATGTTTCAATACCACTAGATTTGGGATACAATACTCATCTCTATCTAGTGCTCCCAGAGAGGGTAGCCAAAAAAAAAAAAAAAAAAAAAAAATCGGCTCAAAAAAGAGCTTCACTTCTGCCCAGCAAGGAGTGAGTGTCTTTGCAGAGTAGGAATAGTTACTTACAACAAGTATATGAAGACCATGATAGTGACAGACCCCAACAGCTGCAAGAACTGCAGTGAAGGTTTGCGTCCCACCCCACACCTTAAATTTGCACATTCCCCTCCCTTGGATTTTTCTTTTGTGCTTTTAATTCAAGTCACATGTGTAATTTAAGAACCTATAAATTACAAAGGGTCTTTCAAACAAAGTCAGTATGTAAATATAAAATATAACATTAAATCCCCATCATTAATATTGAAGAGTAAGTCAATATTTGATAAAAATCGCCTCAGGGGAATGTGCCTTTCTGCCTGGTTTTATGCTTTGCAGACTTATTCAATTATTATTTAATTACCTGGTTAAATGTCATGGCTTACAAAGCAGGGATTATATTAATAATAGCATGAGGTTTATTTTAAACTAGCCCAACATTGGATAGAGCTGATTTTGTTTTACCCTCTCACAGAACACAGAATTCACATTAGTCTTCTGCACCTGGTTCGAAGTGAATTGATTCTATTTAAGCTTTTTTCCCCCTCCTGCTCCCTCTTTAAAAATCTTCCTTCTGTATTTGTCATATTTTTCCAGTCTTTCAGCTATTCTCCACCCCACCTCTTCTTCTGCCCTCTGGGAGTCTTAATTCCACAGTAAATCAAATAACTTAACAAAGGATTGTGTCTGAAACCCAGAAATAGAAAATAGATGCCAGGTCACAGAGAACAATCTAGTTTCAAAAGAAGGTGCTGCACCACGCGGGGCCGCTTTCCAGCCAGCACCTTCTGACTGAATGGTTTGCTGTTGAATTCATCGCTATAAAGTTGCTATAGCAACCGCTCTATCAGAAGGATTTGTTGGCACCTAGATGGACTTTATTTCTGACATTCGAAGAGGGAGGGTGAAGACAACATTTAATGAGAGGGACTGAGTGACATTAAATTGCTCTCCTTTCAGCTTTGTCATATTGGACCAATATTTGGGGATATTTTGAGCATGGCCTTTTGTCAGCCCAAGAGCAGCAGAGGTGCTCTCCGGAGGGGAGTGAAGATGGGGACAGGGAGCAGACCCGGGAGGGTTGGATGAGTCTGGGAGAACAGCTGAAACGTGGTGGACCACGCTGGCCTTTTGTTCTCCACCATCTGTGTGCTGTAGTTTTGGGAGTGGAGCCAAAGCTACGTTACCTGTATTGTGCTCCACGGAGCTGGGGCGCCGCCGTGGTCCTGCCTCAGATGCAGGGGCCTCTCATACAATGACAAGGCCATAATAGCCTGGCAAATAAACTATTTGAACATTTGGCTTTATGAATATTGAGCAAAATTCTTCAAATAAATTATGAAAATGACTCTAAGTGAACAGACATCTGAATCCCATCGCAAGCCTAGGGCCACTGATTTGTAATGCTAAGTATGATAATAGTTATATAAATGGGGAATACTTTTCAAAATGACTGAGCTTCAAAAATGCTGCACTAAAAGGGATACTACTCCTAGAGAAGAAATAGTCTGAGTTAAATTAAAAAAAATGGATAAAAATGTTCGCTTTTAAGAACATTAATGCCTAGGATGTCTAACTGCATGGCTGAATAGAATATATGCAAAACACGTACATATAGTGCCTTTTCAGATATGGAAAATAAAAATCAAATTATGTAGCCTTGAAAAATTATAATTTACAAAGCATCATATAGCCAGCCTTTCAGAAGGTCAGTTTGGCAATTTATCAAAACCTTTGAAATTTTGAATCTTTGACTAAGCAGTTTCACCTCTGGTAATTTGTCTTAAGGTAATAATTGATATATGCAAAGTCTTAGCAATAAGAAAGTTAATCACTATGTGGATAATTAGCCTTCAGAAAAGCTCTAAATGTAAACCATTAGGGGAACTATTTAAAATTATGGCATATCCATGTAACAGAGTACTTTGTAGTCATTAAAATGATGGCAGAAGTATATTTGATAAAATGGAAATAATATTAACAGTACTGAAGGGAAAAAAAGCAGATTTCTATAGAAAACACATGGCTAATTCCATTTTTAAAGAGTATATATACATTTAAAAACCAGTTGAGATTCAATAAAATAGTAAAGGCCATTATCTGCATGGAGTGGGATTATAGATAATTTTATTTTCTTTATGCTTATATCTTCTGGGTTATCAACAACATTTTCCTGCTGTATCGAAATGTTGTAAAAGTATTGTACAAAGGAAACACTCTTTTCACATTTCTATTAATCACTTATGTAATTCTTATCCAACTTATTTCAGAAAGAGAAGGAAAATCCTGGCCAGACACTCCAGTTTCATGTGTCCTGATAAGCTCACATCTACTCTGGAAATTAATGGATGCAGATGTCCAGGTTTTCTCAAATGCAGAGACTTGTGGTATCAAACCCCTACAATGGCAAGTCTTGGTTCTGAGATCCATAGTTCAACAACCACCCTGTTTTCTGGGAGAACCAAATTGCTAGAATCTGTGACACAGGATGGCAAGAATAAGGAGAAATGAAGGTAGTTCTGTAAACAAAGCAGAAAGTGTTATAAAGGTAATGAAATCATGAAATAAGACTGGTTTTATAGCCGTCCTATGGAAAACAGCCTCTCCATTTTATAGTCCTATCCAATACAGTACAGAAATAGCCCAGTGAAGCTCTGCAGAGCCTCACCTTTGGGCAGGAAGACTACCTGGGGATGATACCCCTTACCCTCTTTCTGGCTGTCCCCAGGAGTCAGGAATATTAGGACTCTGGTCCTCTTCTCTCATCTGTCTCCCACCCCAGCTTAGGCAGTCATTGGCAATCAATCCATCAACTGGAGTTCGTCATGACACTGGGTCCCAGTTTAAATGCAAAGGACCATACTCTCAATCTTCCTCCATTGCTCTGCACTATGACAATACAAGAACCTGGAACACCTTTATAAATCAGGTATTTTAGAACTCAAAAGGCAGTGCATTTATTGCATTTATTGTGAATAAAAACTCGTGTAATAGATTTATCCTAACTTGCCATAACCCCTGAAAAAGGAATATATAGGAAGCATTTTTAGTGGTTCCTATACTTTGTTACATGTGCTTATATTAACCTTGGCAACATTTGAATAAACTTATTACATTAATAGTTATATGAATTTGATTTTAGAAAAATAACCTATCCTTGGAAGGGAAGTGTCATCACCTCCATGTAAACAATATTCCTCTGCACACAATGCCCTTTATTTTGGCAACGTGTCTTTCCTGCCATCTGCCTCGGGAAGCACTTGCCAGAGTTGCAATAATAATTGAGTTACAGAGGGAATTAGGTGTAATGGAGGGGAAGGAAATTGATTGCTTAATTTTTATTAACAGAAAGAGAAAATTGTGGCGTTCTGCCGTGAACAGAAATGAAACAAAGAGGAAAGATACAGAGAGATGACTCCAGGTGGCAGGAATGTTCCTGCACAAACAGGAGCAATCCTGCAGGGAGGGTAAGAAGAGGCCAATGCTAACCTAGCTGAAAGAGGCAACTGGAAGGGAAGCAAGGGGGGAAAAGTAGCCCTGGCTGAGCTGATGTGGCTTTGTGCACTGAGGAAAGGACACAGACACCTGGAGACTATTCACTTCTGCTGGGAGGAGTAGTCGAGCTCTTACTGCATTCTGCCTGTCTGAAGGTCAAGGACCACATCTTTGCCAGGCTGGGGCATGTGTGCGTGAGTGTATACAATGAGTGACTTCTGAGTCTTGCCCTCCCTGAATGTGACAGTGTCTCTGAGGGAACTGAACAACTATAAAGCCCTAGATGGATTAATGGAGGTCATTCAGACTTCACCAGGACTAGGCTGTATCCTCTAGGCAATTGTGTCCTGGCCCGTGAATAGCACAGGCTGCTGGAGCCGAGTTGGACCCCCCTCTCTGATCCTGGAGGGAGCCCCACTCCACCTTCCTATGAAGTCAGTTTCCTTCCTCTCTCAGGGTAGCTGCTGGCTCCGATAACCTGCCTGTGCCTCCCTGGAACTCACTGTAAGCTGGATATCAGTTTCACATGTTTGGTCTGTGGGATGTAGGAAGGAAGTGGACTCCCTGGATATTGGGTGAGAGGGGCAATTGGCTTGGGGAAAGAGGCTCAGATGGTTAATATTGCAGGATCATTCAGTGCACTTAAGGCTATGCCACACTGTCAATTGCACACAGAATGTGGCTGTGTTTGGTCTTCTGTGAGAGATGCACAGGCTTGAGTGTGGAGAGGAGAACTGAGGCAGTGCCTCCAGCCCCTAAGGATTCCAGTCCCCTGAGCTCCCTCCTGGCAGACATGATTCTGGGTAGTAAATTCCTAGGCTTCTCGACTGAGAACATTAACACAATTGTGAACAGACATGTTTGCTAAAGAAAAGGCCATAAATCACAATTTGCCTCCCACAGGAGAAAAACAGGAAAGAAGCATATAGCTGTACTCTGTATTTACTAATGAGGATAATTTGCATATGTTTAAATTATAACTTGGGGGAGAATCTAACTGATAAGGTAGAGCCCAGCAATGCAGCAAGGTAGATAATATCTATAAAATGGGGTAGGAGGAAGTTAAACAAATTGGACACATGCATCTGATACACTAATAGATAAAAGTAAAGTAATGCTTTCGAAGTCTATTTAAACATGTGAAAATCTTCACGACATAAAACTTAAGAGGATTTGAACTGCTGGCATACAGTATGAACCCAGTTAGGCTAAGTGAAACAAAGATAAATATAGGTAGAAAAAACATACAAAATGTTAACACGGGCTAAGTGTGAATGATGGGATTCTGGGTGTTTATTTTCCTCCATGAACTTCTGATAATCCAATTTTTCTAAAATGATCATGTGTTACTTAAGAATCAGCAAATCTTTAATGCCATTAGGTCAGAAATTTTTTATTACCAATTTTTGGAAAGAGGTAAAGAGCAATGAAAGAGGAAACTTATTAGATTGCAATAGTTTTGAATCTGTAGTTCTGTTTCACATAGTTACCTGTATGATTCAGATATGATTAGGCTTCCTGGGGCCTGGGTGTTTATAGTGCTCTTCCTGATACTCTGTTACTATCAGGTTCTCCAGTTCAGTCGGTTTCCTTTGGTTTTCTGAACATGACCAGGTATGCAACTGGATATTTTCCAGACTAATGACCTTTAGAACATCATTTGTACATGGTTCTTACTTACAAACCATGCCATGACTTAAAACATATAGTTTAAAATGCTGGCCATTCAAGGTTGCCTTCAGCCAAGACTTCCCTGAAATGTTTACTGTAGAGAACAACATTGAATTTGTGGTTATAGAGTTTTACCTCAAAATGTAATCTACAGACCCCAAGATTCCCGTCTTCCGACTGTGTCATGAAATTTGAGTGATCTAGGCCATTAATTATACTGTTCCTAATTGTCTCGAAGACTTCTGGTTGTAATGTAGACTTCCCTGTGGGGCAGAGACCAACACGATTCTTGGCCCCCAGAAGACACAGTGCTCCCATGAGTTTTTAGTAGCATCTCATGGCATGAGCTGACCCATATTCCTTCCCACCTAGGCTTCTCAATGCGGACAGTAGTTATGTGAAATAAAGTTGGCATCATAGGCTTCCTAGGACTCACTGACTTTACCTGCTAACTCGAAGCATCCAGGAATGTCCCCTAGCTAAGTCCAACTTAATCCAGGACAGAGGCAATCATTCTCAAGTCCTAATTACTCAGCACCTAGGGTGACACTTCATCAAAAACATTTTTAAAATGAAGGTATATGACTACTCATAGTACCACAAAATGGAAACCCTTGTGTGCATCAGCTGAAGAATGGATAAATAAAAATTTCTATTTTCACACAAACAGCAAGGAGACTGATAGCAAGGAGAATGAATGATATACAGCTCGGTGCAATACCTTGGATGCCTTCCACAAATACGATAGTGTGTACAGAAATCAGAAGCACACATAGGTATTAGCTTACTTTATTACAGTGTACTTAGAAAGCATAAGAACAACCAAAGCTAATTATGGTGATGGAAGTCAAGATAGTGATCATTTTTGTGGATGGGGAGCACAGAGGGGCTTCTGAGTAGTGTTAATGTTTTGTTTCTCAGGCTGGATGCTGGTTAGTACAAGTGTGTTCAATTTGTGGGGAAAAAAAGTCCTCAAGCTCCATACTTAGAATATACACACTTTATTATATATACACATGTATATGGAATATATACAATATATGCAATAATCTAACATTGGGAAGTGGAGGTTGGACCAGAGTGGGTGCCACAAATCTGGTACTTCTGTAGAACATTTGGCTCCAGCTCTGCAGGGTTTCCCTGCAGCTTGTGGTGGGGACCACTTTGGATGATGAAGGAGCACTTCCTACCGAAGAGCAGAAGCTTTATTTGCAGGCCTCTTTCATTCTCCAGCACTGGGCAGGGCTCACCACCCTCAGATCACCTCAAACAGGAGCTTGGTGAGCGCTTTCAGAGACAACTGCCTGAGTAAGTGGACAGACGCAGGAGAGGGCACTGCGGCAATCTCTGTAAGAGCACTGATAGTTTATACAACAAGAGTCCCTGTGGTTTCCTGGGCTACAGAGGCTTGCTGCCCTGTAAGCATCAGCCCCTGTCATTGGTAGCTTCCTCCTTGGCTTTGGAGCTAGACTCAGCCTAATTTAAATTCCAGTTTTCCTACTTACAAGCTTTGTGGCCCCAAGGTCATTTCTCCAGGCCCAATATCTCTAAGATGGCGATAACATTATTAGGAGTGCTTGACCCATAAAGTGCTCAATCTACACGATGCTCAAACAAATAGTAGCTCTTAGTACTATTATCCCCATTCTCTTTCCCCATCAGAAACGGATCTTTCTGGCCTGAAGAGCCAAGTATATGGTCTCACAGAAAAGATGGCTGTCAGGAGGTCAGGGAAATTAGAATGTACCTTCCTTTTGCAATGAGCTATGAGGGAAAAGGACCCAGGTTCTAAAATCTAAAATCTAAAGAATGATCCCAGGACTTCTCCCCAGAAACCCAAAGCCAAAGCCCAGGGAAAGTAGCATTTTGGGACAATGGATACAGACTTGCGAATCACTGGCTTCCTTGGGCTTCTCCCTTATATGATAGACTCATGAGAGACAGTGGCATATTACCATGAGCAACTCAGAGACAACCACAGACATTGTCAGGGTGCACCTATCTATGCTGAGGAGGGTAGCACTGAGCCCCTGACATTTTCGGAGAAAAGTTGAGTGATCATACTACAGTTAGATGCAACCAAAGCCAGCTGTACATTTGCCTGGGAGGAGAACGGAGAGGGGCCTTCGCAGAAAGGAGATCCTGGAGCCGAATGCTGGGCCAGACAGCCATGCCATGAGCTCACTGTCTTTGGCAACCCATAGAAACAGGTTCCAAAAACAGCAGCTGCCAGGAAGCTCTGCATGAAGCAGCCCCACCCACAGCATCAGGAAAAAGCCAAGAGGGTCAGGGTGGGCCCAGGGCAGGATCCTCAGCCTTGGTGCAGTCAGGACACCCTCTGATCACTTGCCTTGTGCTTCCTTTGGGTCCGAAGATGCCCAGAGCAGAGCTTGACTAACTTGCTGAAGGGGCAAAACTTGCTACATGTTACTTAGTTATAAAGCAGAAAGTGCTAACATTAAAATCTCTTCTACTTTAATAAGATACTAGGGTCATTAATAGTAGTCTCCCTTCTCCGAAATCTTGAATACATGCAGCGTTTGCACTGGAAGGGGACTTGAGGATTGCTCACATCTGATCTTGCATTGTATAGATGTGGGAATGAAATGTGATTAATTGCACCCAGTTGAATAGCAGAGAGGGCAGGAAAGGGACTCAAATCCAAAGTGATTACTGGTCAAGTTTATACTCTATAATCCCCCACTGCCTCTTTCTCACTTAGCAAATAAAACACCTACAATTAAGTCATCAATTTTAGGGATTAAAAAGTCCTCAGTGCAAATGGGACCTCCAACCATGGTGGGCTGAGGGAGAAACAGAGCTGGTTCAACCAGTCTCTTTCCGTCCCAGTTGGGGCACATTATTTTACCTCCTGGTGCCTCCACTGGAAAGCAAATATGCCCTTCAACCATAGAGGAATAACCCGAGGATTAATAAGCTAATGCAGAGGGCGATGAACGCTACTTCATGGTGTGTGGCTTTGTAAGTGAGCTAAATCAACATCAGCAGGCACTGCAACCACAGAACATGAACCCTGATGAGATAATTTCCTTCTTCACTGAGAAGGCCCTCCAACCTAATGAAAAGCTATAGATCCCTCCTGGAGACAGCACAGTCCGCAAAAAAATGCTATAGCGCTTATAAAATTCATAGTGACTCTGTACACATTTACTAAGAACATTCCTTCTCCCCACCCTACCCCATTCTTCAGAATAACATGGCATATTTATTAAGCCCTATTATGGGTCAGACACTGTCCTAAGGGATTTACAAGCATTTTCTCATCTAATCCTCCCAAAAGTCCTGTTAGGGAGGTAGTATTTTTATTGCCATTATACAAATAATAAAATGGAGGTGCAGGAAGTGTAAGCAACTTCCCCAGGTAACAGAGCTGCTAAGTGGTGGCACCTGAATGTGAGCTCAGGTTAAGCCTGAGCTCCCAACCAGGACATTCTACTGCTTGCTGTCCCATCCCCTTTCAGCACCATCAATTATTCTCCTTATCAGGGTAACGACCACAAGCCAGAAAAGCAAAGGCCTCAGATCCAACAGCAGGGCTTTGAAGATGGCCTTCACATTTTTATATTTTTTAAAAGCTGAATGGAAGGGCAAGAGGGAAGATAAACTTAACAAAATATTGACAACACAAGTACAAGGGAGGACAGTGCAAAGGGATAGCTCAGGAGTTTTGAAATTCATATCCTGTTTAGAACCAATATACTTCAAGCATATTTCATGGTATTAAAGTTATAGAACACAAAATTCAATCACTCTTGTGGACAATTGGATGAAATGAACACAAACACAGCATATTCCCTGAACAAACATTCCCCGCATGGTGTGGTTCCTGTGGAAACAATAAATATAATCCAATTTAGTTATGCACAGTTCACCTTCCCCTGCCTGTAATTAGTGCTTCTACAATGAGGGAAGTGGGGAAAGGAAACTATAAACTGCCAACATAGAACCACATCTGGTCCCCTGTGAGGACCAATTCTCTCTCTCATCTACAATTTCCAACTCTATCTCTTATTACAGATATTTAACCTCCCTTAATCTACTGAGGTCCCTCACCACTAATCCTGTGATTCATTTCCATTTCCATTCCATAGCCTAGTGCATAAAATAGTTGCTTAAAATATATTTGCTGATTGATCTGGCCTGTTCAGTGTTTGTGAATTCATAAAAGGACTCTTGGTCCAGGAAAAGTGGCAGAAGCTTAAAGCTGAAAACTAGAGGTTCTAAGTGAATGTCGTACATTCTAGTGAGAGATAGGCATCTCCCTGCAGGTTTTACCAATAGCTGGCAGGGCAAGTCCTATTAACACCAGTCAAGAATCCCTCCCTGGCCCATAAAACAGACTGGGAAGAGAGAGTTTGCTGGGAACCTACATTTTATAAGGCATGAGTGTTTAACAGGGGGAATGAATTTCTTAAGTGGGGAGTAGGAGAGAGCCCCAAGAGAATCATTTTTAGAGTCTTTGGTGTACCTACAGGAAGGGGTAGCTGGCATTTCATATCCCAGATGGGACATTTACTTACTGAGGGGGCTGGATACCCCACCTTCATGCCATCATAACAGGACAAAAAGACTTGGAGAGCGATGCCAGGTGGGAGGAGGGGGCATTGGTGAAGCTCTTTACCCTCCCCCTGTCATGTGAGGTTCCTGGGGGTCTCAGGGACACACAGCAGAAGGGAGCTGGACTTGACCCGTATTTTCAGTCTCCTATCTAAGAGGATTGCCTGCTGTCCAGGGCATTCCAGCAGCAAAGTGCTAATGAGACCAGTCGTGCTGAGAGCTGAAAGTGGCCAGGCTGGAGCTAGGCCTTTCATGTCACAAAAAGTCCTCCCAGTCTTCTGTAGAATTCACTGTGCAACTCCACGACAGAGCCAGCCTCTAGACACTGACCATGGAGACAACTGTGACAAACCTGTTCTTCCATTTCTACCCCAACTGGGATGCACTGCAATTCAGTTCCGATGCTAACCACCTGGAGTTAGTATCAGAATCCACAGGTTTGAGGATACGGTCCCCAAGAAGACTTACTTCAGATGTCAGCTGCACATGGGGTCCCCAGGCCACTCACATTTTTTATCAACTAGTTACATATTAGGTTCTCACAACACTCTCAGGTTTGATAACTTACTAGAATGTCTCACAGAACTAAAGGGTCGTACTTACCATTACAGTCTTATTAGAAAGGATACACACAGGGTAAATTCTGAGAGAAAGTATAGTCAGGACATATCACCCTCCAGGCACATGATGATACCCTAGCTATACCTATTTATGTTGGGCACATTAATGTGTGTTTACCAATTAGGAAGCTCCACTATGCATCGGTGTCCAGATTTCTTATTGGAGTTTCATTACTAGACATAATTGCTTAAGTCATTGGCCAAGTGATTTAACTCAATCTCTAGCTCCTCTCACCTTCCCTGGAGGTCAGGTGGTCTAAAGTTCCATTTCCGTAGCCATGCGGTTGGTCTCTCTGGTGACCAGATCTCTTATCCCAAAGCTATCTAGGGATCCATCAGTGTCACCTCATTAGCATAACAGATATCCTATCACTCAGGAAATTCCAAGGATTTGTGAAACTGCCAGGAACTGGGGACAAAGAAAAGAAATATTCCCCATTATACCACACCAGTTGTAGCCAGAGAAACAGCCACACCAACCGGAGATGACTGTGACCTTACACAACTAATTAGCAAGACTTTTCAAAAAAACTCCTTCCCTGCCCCCAAACTAGAACTAGAACCAGACAAGGGAGAAGAGGGTGGTCTGTAAATGGGTGCCTCTCCATTCTAAGGCTCTTAAAGCCACAGGTCTAGTCTGGACTGGAAGAGGGAATGAGCCCTGAATCAGAGACTGATATTATAAACTGAGCCCAAATACACTTTAATAATGGAAAAACCCAAAAATTGAGATTTTTTTCCCCCACCATATTATTAAGTGATGGGAAAATAGGATTTGACAGCGTGGTTGAGAGCAGGGGCTAGAAAGATAAAACGGTTTCACATTTAAAGCATACTGAGTTTAACACTCACTAATAGCTGTTTATAGCTGCTAGGATGGCTAATATAAAAAAGATGGAAAACATCAAGTGTTGACAAGGATGTGGAACTGCCAGAACTCTCATACACTTCTGCGGAGCGCAAATTGCTACAATCACTTTGAAAATAGTTTTGGCAGCATCTGTAAAAGCTGAAGATACGCATACCACATGACCCAGCCATTCCACCTGTATGGATGGACTTCAACAGATACTCACTCACATGTTTATCAGAAGACGTGTACTACAATACTCATAGCAACACTATCAATAACCCCCAGTTGAAGAGTATCCAAATGACCATCCAGTAGTAGAATGGATAAAGAATAAACTGTGGCATGTTCATAAATGGAATGCTACACAGCAATTAGAACAAATAATCCAAGGCTACATGCGACAATGTGAATGCATCCCACAAACTTAATATTGAGACAGAGAAATCTAGTAACCGAAGAGTACGTGCTAATAGGCAAAACATATCTATGTTGCTGGAGACAGGATAGTGACCTGAAAGGTGGGAGTTAGCAAAAAGGAAAGGAATAGGATAGAGGATTCTGGAGGGTTGGGTGCTGGATACAGGGGTGAGTTCCATCTGTGAAAGTGATTTTTACACTTTTCTGTACATAAACTATAATAAAAATTGTTTATAATAAATTGTTTTTAAAAGGAAAGAAAGTAAACGGGGAAGTTGCTGAGAAGACATTCTTTACTGGATCTGAAGCAAGAGATCTGTGGGTGTCTGCAGTAGCTCCACGGACTTGCTACTCCCTTCATTTCTTTCACATGTACTACACGGCCTTCCTCATAAAAGCCTTTTGAGTATCTGCATCTTTCTCCTTTCACTTCTCCCCAGCCTATTTCTTGAGCACTTGGTAGCCCCAATTTTGTAGGGGGTCTTAGTTGATTTCTCTTGGCTAATTGCCAATGTTTCTAGAAAGAGTTTCTTGTTGGTCGTTATGGATCAGGACACTGCTTATCAAAGGCAGGGGCTAAGGATGAGTCAGTTTCAGCTTAAAAGGGGATGTTGGGTATGGCAAGCCTTACAAAGCAGTCACTAGTGTGCCCAATACACTTGCCCACCTCACAGGGTGACATAAGTTTCTAAGAATATCATGGATGGAAATAAAAGTTAGCAGTTGTACTTTTCTATATTCACTGATGGAAAAATTAGACTTATGAAAAATTTCTATGTAGTCAGTGAATCCATATATATATATATATATATATATATATATATATATATATATATATATATATATATATATATATATATATATAAAATCTGTTGAGAGACCATCATTGGTCTGTTGTGTTCCTGAACATCTTGTAGGTAAAAGAATTGGCAACTTTTTTTAGGGAC
The DNA here is from genome assembly GCF_000001405.40 of Homo sapiens. Lineage (NCBI taxonomy): Eukaryota > Metazoa > Chordata > Mammalia > Primates > Hominidae > Homo > Homo sapiens. Next base: position 74,118,940 of record NC_000005.10, on the reverse strand, counting down.
TATTTCAAGAGTGATGGTATAACAATCAAGCCCTGAAGATACAGTGTTCCCTCTGGAGCAAGGTGCAGATTTGTTTGTAGACCACTATGAGGACTCAAGTTTCCTTCCTTCAAGAGGAATCTTGACAATTCCTCTCCTGAAAAACAATTTACTGCATGTGCACGTGTCACCTGGCCCTCATTACCTCACCCCTGTGGGACTTAGGGCTTAGGGAACTGACGCAGGAAAATGATACTCAAGCTATAGCTATTTATAGAAGTAACAAAATGTCTTTTGTCTCTGAACCAGGAGTCTCATGTCCTCGGGCAGCATCCATGAAACTGTGGCAGGCTAAATTATCATTTTGCAAGTTGGGTAAAATCTCAGATCCTTTATCATTCTTGATATCATCATGCTTCCATGTGCATACATTGGAAAAATAATGCATCTATCTATAGATAATATTGACAGGGTGGGGGGAATTGCAAAAACCCACTTACATAATTCTTTCCTCTGGCCCGGATATAACCATATATTTCATATTTTCTCTGTGCCTCAGTACTTTAAACTTTTTCAGTGTCAATTACTTTCATCAGCTTACCCTCAGGTGAGACCTGCACAACCATGCTACAATCCACCCCACTGTATCTTTCGTACAGCATCTGCCAGGGCAGCCAACATTGTTCATATATCTTCAGCTGATCATTCACCATAAATCTCTAATCTTTCTTCAGAGCTCCACCAACTGCTGCTCTGCTGTAACTTTGATTCTTTTTCATTAACATTGTGCAATTTGTCTTTTTGTCATCTCAATTTACTGGTTTGTCCCTTTCTCTAATCTGTCAAATGTAAGCTATATTTAACCTTACCTTTCAGTGCCCAGGCTTCTCTCTTTACAGCATCTCTGTAGAGGGGCTTATTGGGTTCTTTTCCCAGCTAATGTAATGTTATTTGGAATGACACCTATGGGGCTTCTATAGGCTGCCACTTAATTCTCCACTCCCGTTGACAAGAGATCTCTGATTTCTTGCTGATCAGTTTTAACATTGTGGTCATGTATTCTTACTTCCTTATGAGAACCAAGAGCCATCCTCACTTTTCATGTGATAACCAGTGTGCAGTTGTAACAATGGAGAGTACTTGCTGTTTTTCCCAAACCCCTAACTCCTACTTTGTTGCGAACCCTTTAGTATTTCCTAATAATGTCTCAGGTTATTTTTAAGGTGCCTCATTTGTTACTGAGGTTCTCATCCATATCATTTTTTTCTGTTCCAGCTATAATTCTCCTAAATTTCTCACTAAGCAAAAAAGATGACAATATCAGAATGGTGTTTTAGCTTCCTCTCAAAATGAATAATCTAATTATACTCAGCATGGGCTGGCCTAATGCTTCTGAAGTAGTTTTAGGTTGAATATTTTTTACTGAATCAAAATGTTTTTATATGACAGCCTTTTCCAACAAAAGATAAAGCTTTAATGTAACTTCCGTGTCTTAGACTTGCCTTACAGTCCTGTAGGAATTACTAATAGATTTATAAAATTAGAAATGATATGAGATTTCAAGAGTTGATATGGCCCTTTCCTTGCCTACCACCTCAGTAGTATTTAACTGATGTCAACTCCCATACATTTGAAATTCTCCCTTCAGGAAGTTAGCTTAATTAGCTGGTGGGCTTAAGAGACCTGGCTGCAGTGCATGGTGGGGCTCAGGCAAGCTGAGTCTGAGCTAAGCTCTGGAGTCCCGCAGGTCTGGAGTCCTGTGCTGGACTAATTTATACTCAAGGGTAAAAATTAAGTTTAGTCCTTGGTAGCTGGCCAGCCTGTTGCACAGGGTTAAGCTGGGGATGCAGACTGCAAAGCTCCAGTATGCTCATGATGTGCTTCCTATTTATGCTGTGTGGTATGGAAATTACTGCTGGGGTTTCTTACTTGAACATTCGTCTCAAGTGTACTTATGTGACTTCTAGCAGAAGATACGTTCATGAAAATAGGTATAAATGACTATTAATTTGGGGCCCAAATTAAAAAACACATTTCTCCACTCATGTTTCAACATCTTTGAGTATTCCATGTCTCTGTGAGATCTTTAAGTATTCCATGTCTCTGTGAGGTTCATCTTTAACTAAAATCATTAGCAATTGGCTTTCACTATGATCTCATAGTACACTGGATCCCATTACAATGTACTGATTCTCAAAGTCACCAAGCATTCATCCTGAGAGAAAAGTGGAAGAATTTTCTTCTCTCATGTTCTCTTGGGTTTTCTTGTGTCTAAATTTCCAGTGTCCAAGACTTCTTATAATTTTCTCTTTCCATTGTGCAGCTGAGTTATAGTGGGGCCCTGAAAGACATCTTTGTTGGGAAGTCCTATGGATACACAAAGAGCCTCATTAAAGTCAGGCCCTAGAAAACTGAATTACTGAAGAGTGTGAGTCACCTAGAGCAGCATGATGCTGTGATATCTCCATGCTGGGGATACCATTACAGTGGCATAGCACTTTCTTATCTGACTCCTCAGCTGGTAGGAACCTCTTGTCTTCCATAGATCCTTCTGCAACTCTGCGTAACTGTGGTGATTACTGAGATAGTCTGGGAGAGCTGGCAATGAAAATGCCATTCTTGAAATACAGGCCCTGATGACACATCACAAATTGGTAGTGACAAATTGGTAGCAAATTTGCATTTCAAAATGGAACCAAGTGTTTGTGACCCTTAGCAGAAGATACATGTTTTAATGTTAATTTTTTTCACGTGGAAAATAACAAAAAACGACCTTTTTTTCTCCATTTTGGGGACAAAATACCCATCAAAAATATTCTACTAAATTGATTCAACTCATTTGAAAGCAAATAAAGGAGCATCCAAGAGTTATTTGATTACTATCTATGATATGCTCTTGTGAAATAGCTTCAGAAACAGAAAAAAATTAGTACTGTTAAGTCAATAAATAAGATAAATAAGTGCAAACATTTCTTACTAGACATGAGAAACTATATAATGTGGAAGATAATATGCTAGCAAGAGTTGCAGAGTGAAGATTCCATTTTCCATCACTGTAGATATTGAAAAAGAACTGAATCATTTAAGTGTCTTCTCTTGGGAATTATATCTGGTCTGGAGTACATAGTCAATAAATGTTTGTTGAATAAACCTAGAATGGGAAGCAAATAGATGTCCTCCTCAACTATGACAGCAAGTCACAACTTCTGATCTTCTCAAAGACTAACTTCCATGCCAATCTCTTTGCCATGCCCCTAAGACTGTCATTGAGAAGGAACACCAAGGACTGCCCCATAGCTGAGCTCGGCACAATGGAGAGGAAGGGGCTATTATAGGGAATTTTTTGAGGAGAAATAGTGGCAAGATTTGAACCCAAGAAAGGTCAAAGATAAGTACAAGTAGAATAGATAATTTTATCCTCGCATAGTTGTGGTGACAGTGAGTTTTGTCTGCATCGGTTTAAATTAGAAAGGAATTTGTAACCAAACACAGATTCTAGTTCATGCCAGGAAGGTAAATCCTGGCAAACTCTGGACATCAAATTTTGTTTTTAGCACTGAGTTCTACTAAAACCAATGCCATGTTTAATCCTAACTCTGTGGTTGTAGGATTCCTATATTGTGAGCTGATTCTAGGATGTAATAAGTGGCTGTCTTATGAGTTATAAAACTGGACATATTGCATAGCCTTGGCCATTTTATTCAAATCAAGGTTATAAAGCAAGTATAAATAACCCTGTAATAAGATGACATCTTTCTGCTTACAACTATGTTTTTAGTCATTTACTCATGATGATGGGTTTTCCTAATAATTCAGGTACATTTTTTATGCTCTTTCCTTGTGATAAACAATTTACTTGTGCAAGTTAGTTGGCTTGATATTAGGGTATTTTCTGTGGTCATTAATATGTGACTGGGCCATGCCATACTTGATCTCATTATCTTGCCCTCCTCAGGACAAAGTTTTAACCAAAAACCTGGGCCAACTGAACTAACTGCTGTTTCATGTCTACCAAAGATTCCAGGCAATAATTAAATAGCTCAGTGAAATATGTAGCTTCCCATACTCAGCGGCTGAGGATACAACTTAAAGAATTAATTGTAATAGTCAATTCCTTAATTTATTTTTATTTTCAAAGGCCAGCTCTTTTCAGCAGCTGTGTCAATAACTAAAATATTTGCCAGAGATGTGGCTCCCTGAGATTCTTCTGCCCCTCTGATGAAGGGTCTATGAACAAGCTGGGAGATCTGGGATGGAGCGGAGGTACAAAGCAAAGAATTCGCATTTGAGGATTATTCAAACTTTGAATAATCTGGAGTTGATTTTTCATTTGAAGAGCATAGAGCAGGGAATGCTCTATATTTTTCTTAAGAAGGATGCAGTTTTCAGAGAGCATTGCATTCTACTTCTCTTCTTCAGTATGGATCACACACTCCAAGGCCAGAGGGACCAGGCAGGTGATGTTAACCAACTGAAGCCACTGAGGAGGGGCTGTGGCAAACTACAGAACCAGAGAGTTCATGTTCATCTGAAGAGGCAGCCTGACCTCAGGTCCAGGCAGCAATCTGGTTTACTGTAACCAGATTGTCCACTGATCAAAAAGCTAGGAATCTTCTTAATCAAATCACCTGAATATTAAATGCTAGTAAATAATTCAAGAACATTTTAAATGCTCTATGGGCCAAATAAAACATGAGTATAGAATAGATTCAGCCCATGGGCCACCAGCTTGCAACCTCCACCTTAACATGTCCTTGTAATTTCTGCTGACACCCACGTTTCACTCTGTCTTTTTCAGACTTGCTGTAAGTTGCTATTTAGTGTGAAGAAAATGAAACGTATTGTTACCATGGTAGCCTAAGCATTTTCAATGAGTAGAGATGATTTATATTTAAACAATGTGGATATGGAATGATATAGAACTCATGAGTTAAAAATATACCAAATTACTATTTCCTTAGGAAAAGCAAGCTACTCTGCTTTAATTCTATCCTGCATAGAATCAGTCTTAGAAACATTTTTGATTCAATAAAATCAGAAACCATATATGTAAGCATTTTCCCTTCAATTTTAAGCCCTGTGTATATCTAAAGGAAATACAATATATCAATTTCTGGTTCATTTACACTAAATCATTAAAATGTTTCATATAACCCTTTTGATGTCTAAGATGCTTTTGGAAGTCTTTCAAAAAATGTTCTAATCCTTTTCCCCTGTAGTCATATTTTGACCAAAATAAAAGTTCAAACACCAAAGGATTCTACTTCTAAGCTATAACTCAGAACTTGCAGAGTCTGTGACTTCTGCACTGTAACCCCAAACTTGCAGATTCTGTGAATTCTACACAGATTAAAAAAAAAAAAACTTTCTCTAATTATCACTGTCTTCATTTACTCCATCCCAGAGAAATGATGAAATAAATTCATCAAGTAAAGAACTCCCATTTTTTCATCATAAGACATAGAATCTATCTGTTTGAAGTATGGCTCTGAGCTGAGGTCAAAGTCTTAGATTCTTAAAATAGAATGAACTTGGTCATACAGCTCAGCTACTGCTAGCTGTTCCTCTGAATGCACATATAACGAGGCCTGAAAAGATGTGCCATATGGGAAAGAAATATATATTTATGAGATGATTTTTTATGCAGAGAGGACATGCATTGCTGTATGCTCATATTCAAGCAGACAAAATAGATCTTCTGTGAGAGCTGGAGCTATCCCCACATTACCAAGAGCTGTCACTTAAAATACAATTTTGATTAATGTCATTTGCAAATTGAATACTGACTTTGGTTCCTTTCCTTCCAACAGGAAATGCAGATCTGTAGGGATACAGACAAAGAACATATGTAAACCCTTGGGAATGGACAATGATGAAATGACCCCAAACATGATTATTCCTTGCTACTTCCTGAAATCTGTTCCTCAAATCCCCAAACTAACAGTTCCCTGAATTTACAGTTCACAAAAGTGTTCAAGGGTTTTCAGACCCTTCGCCTGGCTCCACAGAAAGTGCGGAAGGGAGGGATTTTAAAGATGTGCACAAGTGGGTCAGCCAAGGTTCACTTCTTGAGATCTTCCAGATATTTATTAGGAGTTCATGGGAGGGGATGTTCATTTCTGTAGACACAGGATGGATTTTTCAAAATGTAAAGTGCAGGTACTTTTAAGTCTATGGCTAGACTGAGATAAGCATGTCTGCTGATGATGGAATTGTTCAGATGTAGCCTGTCTAGTTTACTCAGAGGCCACCAAGCAAAGCCAGAGGAGCAGTGGGAGGCATGCCAGGAAGTTGACATTGAAGCGACTTTCCCAGGCTCCAGAGGCAACAATCAGGTGAGCCCATCCTCTCCATAAGGAGGGCTATGCTGACCAACTGGAAGCTTGGGGAGCATGGTCTAGTGTGGGCTAGCCCAGCATCAAGGAGAGAAGGCCATTCTAGGGTAGCATGTGAAATATGTGCACCTTGACTCCATTGTGCTTGTTTCCTAGGCTTTAATGGGGCTTATAAACACTCAGTCTGCTTATAAACACTCAGTTGGATAATTAGCAAATGTTTATTTGCTATTGTGTGCATAAAGCACTATGCTAGACACTGGGGCCATTCAGGGCAACCTGGCTAGGGTGGTGTTTTCTATGTTTGCCCTTCTACCACCTATCCTGATACATATGTCTCTCTATATATAGCAAGAAAAAGCAAATATGTGCTCTTTTCTTTCCAGAATCTCTTGTTTGCGGCCCTTTTCCTAAATCAGTCAGAGGTATATGCATTCTTTGGAGAAAAATTTAAATTGTTAGAAAAAAAGAGACAAAAATTTATTTCTCTTTAAATTTCCCAAATCAGCTCTTTTGCCCTCTTATTAAATTGAGGTATGACATGCCTACAGTGAGTGCACTAATCTCAAGCACATGATTCAGTGGATTTTTGCAAATGTATATACCCATACAACCACCACCCAGATCAAGATATAAACATTCCCACAAACTCCAGAAGGCTCACTTGGCCCCTTCCCAGTCAACACCCAGCCACTCTTGAGAGTAACTTCTATCCTAACATCTATCACTGCAGAGTAACTTGTCTGTTCCTGAACTTCATATAAATACAATCTTACAGGATGTACTTTTTTTTTATTGGTTTCTTTCATTCGACGTAATGTCTTTTAGATTTATCTGTTTGGAGCAGTAGTTCATGTTTTTATTGATGTGTAGTATTTCATTGTATAAATGTCACTATTTATCCATTGTACTGTTGATGGATATTTAAGTTATTTCCAGTTTCTGACTCTTAAGAATAAAACTTCTGTGGGCATTTTTGTGAATGTTTTTGTTGGATGTAAATGTTTTATATCTCTTCGGCATAAGTCTAGGAAAACAATGTATGTTTAGTTCAAGTAGATGTTCCAAGCAGTTTTCCAAAGTGATTGTACTATTTTCTGCTCCCACCAGTGATAATGTGAGCGTTCAGTTGCTCCCAACCTTTCCAAAAATTGGTTTTGTCTATCTTTTTAAAATTGTAGTGTCCTGGCAAGTGTGTAATAATAGTATTTCATTGTGGTTTTAATTTATACTATCCTGGTGACTAATGTTGAACAATTTCCGTATGGTTACTTAACCTTATATATATATAGATAGATATAGATATCTATATATATATTTATACATAGATATCTATATATATATTTATACATAGATATCTATATATATATTTATATATAGATATAGATATCTATATATATTTATATATAGATATAGATATCTATATATATTTATATATAGATATAGATATCTATATATATTTATATATAGATATAGATATCTATATATATATTTATATATAGATATAGATATCTATATATATATTTATATATAGATATAGATATCTATATATATATTTATATATAGATATAGATATCTATATATATATTTATATATAGATATAGATATAGATATTTTTATATAGAGATATATATTTATATTTATATATATTTTATATATTTATATATATTTATATTTATTTTATATACATATTTATATATATTGTTTTATGCAGTACCTGTCCAAGAATATCTCTTTATATTCATTGTTTTCTTATTCTTATTGATTCATAGGAGTTCTTTATATATCATGAATGTCGATCTTTCAATAAGCATATATACTGTAAAAAAATATTTTTCCAGTCTGCAGCTTGCCTTTTTACTTGTGCCTTTTGATGAACATAAGTTCTTAATTTTAATGAAATCCAATTTATTATTAGCTTTATATTTTATGGCAGGTTCTTTGTGTCCCAATTTTTAAAAATTGTTGCCTGTCCCATGGTTATACAGATAACTCTTCCATGTTTTCTTTGAGAATACTTATTTCACATTCAAGGCTATTGTCCATCCTGAATTAATATTTAAGGATAATGTGAGGTCAGGGTTAAGGTTAATTTTTTTATATGGCTATCTAATTATTTCTACATGACATAAAAAAGATCCTTTTCTTATTGTGCCTCTCATACATCAAGTAACTGTATATATGTGGATCTGATTCTAGAAATATCTCTAAAGAAAAATATTTGAATGTGCAGTTTTGGTCTTACAAAGTAAGCTCTTGCAGCCTTTACCAGAACAGTTGTTTTGAAAACCAACTTTTTTTATTTGTTAGAATCAGGTTTTCTCAAGAGGAAATGCCTTTGAGAACTGAAAGGAAATTGAATGGTGTGTTAGGTTGGAATTAGAAAGAAGGTAAAGGGAGGCCCTTAGCCCTAAAGGCTTACTGGACTGTGGGTGGGAAGAGGGAGGAGAGTTGGACTGGGGGCACATGCAGCCAAAGACTGGGAGATTGTTCTGAGGGAAGCACTATATAGGGAGAAGAGTCAGCACGGAGAGGGAGATTCACAAGAACTACATGGGAATCAGGTGCTTGTTTCTGACTGTGAAATATGTGCGCCATTCAAGGGAAGATGACCCACCACCAATGCTGAAGAGCCACATGAGCCATGAACAATGTGAGGGCTTTTCCCTGACTACTACTTGCAAATCACCTACATATTTATCATGAAACACAAATGACAACCCAAGTCCCCAAGATCTTCTGAAACTGGAACATTCTCCTTTATATGGGCCCAATATATGGAGAGTATTGTAAAAGCCATACCTTCTGGCAGTTTTATTGCCATTAAGACAGCAGCAAAGGGAAAATTTTCAGACTTTTACTGTGATGGGACTAGCTAATGGTGACACCTGTCTCGGTTAAATGAGGTTCAGCCTCCTGCACTTGAGGAAGAGAATTGCCCCCATCACTAGGCATTTTACAAATCAATGGGAAAAGCACTAGTGTTTATCAATACTCAGTAACGTCCTTGTCCTTCTAAGCCTATTCCCTTGTTTCACATAACCGGATGCTGAGAAACTACATTTCCCAGACATCTTTGCCAGCAGAGCTCTGGTTCACATTCATCCAATGAAAGGCACTGATGTGAGATTTAGATGGCAGAAGAGAACAAGCCATCATGACTCCCCTTCAGGCAGCAATAGGTGGATTTGTGGAAGATGTAAGTGAGGTTTGCAGTGGCTTCCAGGTGAGTTCCTATGATCTGCCTGTTCTCGAACTGCCAGAGGCATTTAATAATTTCCTCAAAGGCTGCAGAGGCTCTTTGAGACTTATACTTCCCCCAATCCTTCTAACTGCACATAATTACGTGTTTCCTAATAGGCACATAATTCCCTGAATTAAATTCCTTCCTGCTAAAACATCTAGAATAATTTTCTGACTTTCTGACCAAACCCTGACTGATTTAGGAGGTCACTCTCTTTAAAAAGTTTCTTTTAACTAGTGAGCTGATCCAATCGATTATTCAACTTACCAATTAAATGTTATACTATGAAGAATACAACTCTTGGGCAGATGGCTGTAAGTCAGTTTGTCCACCTTTAGTCTTGCTGTTGGCAGCTATTCCTTCATCACAGATCCGTCCACACACGACAAATATTGATTGAATAGATCAATAAAAATTTGAGGCAGCTTAATAAGGTAGAGTACAGAATTTGGAGTCAAAAGCCTTTAATATAAGTTTTAACTCAACTACTTATAAACTCTGATCTCAGACAAGTTATTAAAGCTTATACACTAGGTAAAATAAAAGCCTCCATTTTGTCTATTTCACAGGATTTAGTGAGATAGTGAATGTGTACTGCCTTACAATTGTAACATGTTACAATTTAGCTATATAAATGTCACCTATTTTTATTAATGAAAGATAGAAATTAATGAAGATAGAAAGGCTATCTCCCTTAGATATATATAAGGCTATAACTCTTAGAAAGGCTAGCATTTCAACTGTGGTATGGATCACTACTGTGAAGTGAATACCTTCTCTGTAATAAAAACTGTAATAGCTAGCACTTGTTAAAGGCTAGGCACTATTCTAAGTTCCTTAAATATATTAAATCATTTAATTCCCCCAATAACCCCTTGAGATAAGAACTATTTATCCCTTTTTAATAGATGAGGAAACTGAGGCACAGAGAAATTAAGTAATTTGGCCAACACCAAATAGCTCATAAAAATGTGGGGACAGGATTTGAACCCAGATAGCCTGGCTAGAGAGTCTCTGTTCTCAGCCACTAAGGGAAATTTGGAAATTGGAAGAATAATGTAAAAGGAAAAGTTGGGATAGTTCAACTCCCCTCTAATATGTTTAATTCAACAAGAAGACAAAGAACCAGTCAATATCAGCTGTCAGTCCACATTCTTGCTCTTGACATTGGCATGAAAAGTGACCATGGAGAATAGGCTATGAGCAGCAGCAGCAGCTGTGGAGTAAATGGGTGGGGAAAGCAGAGCATGGTGTGGAAAAGGCCAGAAAGCACAGAATGTGCTCAGGCCCAGCCAGTAACAGTACAAAACCTAAGCCAGGCTGTGATCAAAACTCTAAGGCAGACATTGCAACAGCTGTGCTTGGTGACATCACTGTATTCTTAGTACCCATCTTCATGTGGCCATGCTGAGTGGAGACCCTGTACCACATCCAGGAGAGGTACCATACCCAGCAACCTGCTCCCTGGGATGCTGGGAATGTGGGAGCAGTGGCTTTAGGCCGCTGGCCTCACCTCAAATTGGCATCTGGTGCTGGAGTCCTTGCCCACTCACCATCTCAGCCAACAGATAGTAGCTGCCTTCCTTCAAGCTTTTTTCCACATCCATCATAATCTTCTGCTTATAATTCTGCCTTGTTCCTTCCCTCAGAAGAGCAATAAGAGAGGTAGAAACACTTCCACCTCAGTACTAGGGAATAAACAACTCTTTTTGAAAGCCTCCCAGTCCTTTGAAAAAATATTTACTAAGTTTCTTACAGTAACTAAAATTACAAAATAGAATGATTGATTGAAAATGGACAAGTCTGGAGACAGACTTGGTTTGGGGGAGGGAAATGAGTGAATATGGTGGGAAGGAAATGAGTGAATATGGTATCAGTCACTGAGCTCTAGATGAAGGTGGAAGGACTGTCAGGTGTGGCCTAGAGTTGTATATCCAAGGTTTAGCAGAGATCAAGGCTGAAGAGGCAGATTTGAGCATCATTTTTGTAGGAGTGTTAGTTGAAACCACAGAAGAAGATAAATCTTAAGGGCAAGACAGTAGCTGGCAAACCCAAAGTATCAAAGACAAAGTCTAGGCAACTCTTTTCCTAGATCTCTAAACATTCCAAGAGACGCTTTCCTTGGAGCTAGTGGGACAAGGTGGTACTTAAATTACAATGTTCTAGTCTACTACTAATTATTTTTCGTAGCTCTCTTGGGATGCTGTCTAAATCAAGATTTGGGAAATTGGAGTAAATGTGGAATAAAGAGCTTTTAAAAAGATCCACACGAATGTGTTGTTGTATTATTTAATGTACTGTATTATTCATTCTCTGGTCTTTTAAATTATTCTGAACAATAACCTCACATGAATGTCCTTTTTCATTAATTTGCAACTTAAAAATTATCTCTATATGTAATGGAAAATATATACCTTAATTTTTCAAAATGTTACCCCAATACACTTGGATTTTCTCTCATGCTCCTAGTGTAGAAGTCTATGAGTACTGTAGAATGAACTTCTGAATGACATTCATACAGCCAACAAACATATGAAAAAAAAAAACTCAACGTCACTGATCATTGGAGAAATGCAAATCAAAACCAAAAGGAGACACCATCTCACGCCAGTCAGAATGGCAATTATTAAAACGTCAAGAAACAAATGCTGGTGAGGTAGCAGAGAAAAAGGAATGCTTTTACACTGTTGGTGGGAGTGTAAATTAGTTCAACCATTGTGGAAGACAGTGTGATGATTCCTCAAAGGTCTAGAAGCAGAAATACCATTTGACCCAGCAATCCCATTACTGGTATATACCCAAAGGAATATAAATCATTCTATTATAAAGATGCACACATATGTTCATTGCAGCACTATTCACAATAGCAAAAACATGGAATCAACCCAAATGCCCATCAACAATAGATTGGACAAAGAAAATGTGGTACATATACACCATGGAATACCATGCAGCCATAGAAAGGAATGAGATCATGTCCTTTGCAGGGACATGGATGGAGCTGGAAGGCATTATCCCCAACAAACTAACACATGAACAGAAAACCAAATGCCACATGTTCTCACTTATAAGTGGGAGCTGAACGATGAGAACACATGGACACAAAAGGGGAACAACACACACTGGGGCAAGGGGAGGGAGAACATAAGGAAAAATATCTAATGGATGTTGGGCTTAATACCTAAGCGATGGATTGATTTGTGGGGCAAATCACCATGGGACTCATTTACCTCTAACAAACCCACACATCCTGCACATGTACCCTGGAACTTAAAAGTTGATGAGGGGAAGAAATGAGTGAACTTCTGAAGTTTGTTTCCTCACTGATGTAGATTAAGGAAAATGCTTATATGAATTCATTTTTAGTGTCTGTATTTGATCATGAAAAGTGCTGAATATCAATACCTCACCCTTTTCTGCCCCCATCCCACCCCACTCCTACTCCCAAATCTACTGGCAGCAATGGATTAAACTGGAGGTAAGTTCCTGCCTGAACCATGTCCTCAATGAGATTCAAATGTGTGCAAACATGTTTAGAAAGGTTGAGGTGGTTGGGGGAGGGGGGGCGGTCCATGGGTAGAGGGGAGAAAGAGTAGATTCCTGAAGGGAAAATTCAATATATGGAATTAAAAAGATAAATATGGCCTGGCCAGCCAGACTCAGCCACAGAGTCAGCCTGCTGTTTGGAGTGGAGTTGGTATTTCTGGAACACACAGCATGGTATCTGGATATGGAATCTTCACATCCCTGCTGCCTTGGTGGCATTTCTCCATTCCTTGAAGAATAGGGGCTGGGAGTGTGAACTGACAGGTGTTACAATCAACCTGGTAATAATCTGAGGCCCAAGGAACCATGCTGTGGGACATACCCATCTGAAGGTGACATAGAAGCAGTGAATATTTTCCTTTCTAATTTACACGAGACTGTGAGGCTGTCAGGGTCTTGTGGTGACTGATAGTGCTGTTGGCCAGAGTGAATTAGCTGAACCTGGGCCAGGAAGACGCCCTTTGGAAGGGGTCCAGGTCAAAGGGAAGAATGTGGTTCAGGGAGACAGAATCTGCAGGAGACTGCAGCTGCAAAACAGCAGAGGCCAAGGCAGGTGCTGGAGGTCAGGGCCGTGGTGGGACAGGCAGCAGAGGCCCTTTGGGGCCGAACTTGGATAGCAGAGGCAGTGACAGGCAGTGCCCCTAAGGTGACTCACAGATGGATGAAAATTACTCTTTGGGAAGTTCCATATGTATGTGGGGGATCTTGCAAGGTGCTGTAAGAACAGTCGGGGGCTTGCTGTTTCCAAAATACGGGCCGTAGTGGTCATGCCATTTCATTCAAATCCATAGATACAAACTGGTATGTTGAGGATGTTTGTGATATAAATGTGTGAATCATAGAACAGTTGGAAAGCAGTCATTTACTTATTTTAACAATATATATATACCTTTTAGAAATCTAAATATATTAGCAATTACACAGACATACACACACACACACACACACACATTCCAACAATGCATAGCCTGCAATTAAATGCAAAGGCATTTGCAATTAATTTTAAATTACTTACATATTAATGGATGGTTTTAAGATGATTGAGCACAGTTTGTCCTCAAGCATTTCAACATTTAAACATACTCCTTACCTCCCTCTAATCTTATTTGCACTGTTAATTTGCTTAGCAAATATTCTCTGCTAACATCATTTTTGTGTGTGCTCCTAAATTACGCAACTGTAAAGACTTAAGCTCTGCTCCAAGGTAAATGCCAGACAACTGGAAACCAAAGGAAGGTGTGTGTGTGTGTTGTGGGGTGCATGTGGCTCACCGTTTTCTTAGAAGAGACAGGATGTCCATTGTATTAGGGTTCTCCAGAGAAACAGAATCAATAGGAGACCTTACACACACACACACACACACACACACACACACACACACACACACACACACAGAGCTATTACGAGGAACTGGCTCACATGATTGTGGAGGCTAAGAAGTCCCACTGTCTGCTGTTTTGCTAGCTGGAGATTTGGGAAAGTTGGTGGTATAATTCAGATTCAGTCCGAAGGCCAGGAAACCAAGAGAGCAGATGGTATAAATCCCAGTCAGAGGGCAGGAAAAGATGAGATGTCCCACCCAAGCAGGCGGGCTGGGAGAAAAAAAGGTCAAATTTCTCCCTTCTCTGACTTTTGTTCTACTCGGGCACTCGGTCGAATGGATGGTGTCCATGCACTTTGGGAAGAGCAATTTACTGAGTCCACTGATGCAAATGCTAAACTCATATGGAAACACCCTCACAGACATACCCAGAAATACGGTTTAATATGGGCACCTATAATTCAGTCAAGGTGACACATACAATTAACCATCACATCCATCTAACATGGGCTGGCAAGGCATTGGTTAAATGAGGGTACAGCCCATGTTGGGGAGGAATGGAATCCTCCTGACTAGCCAAGGGCTTTAATCTTTAGTTCTCAACTCTGGCAGCACATCAGAATCACTATGGAGTGATTCGTGAATACGTCTGGGCCTGCGTCAGGAGCCGTGTGACCATCCTGCCTGGTCAGCCACAAAGTTACAATGCTTCCTTCCTGGGTAACCTGCCACCAGGAGCACATGGCACAGCAAGGCTTGGAAGAAGGTGAAACAAGGAAATCACCAGGCGTTCTTCACTCTTTACCTCTCACTCTTTGTTTTGACAATTTTGGCCTGCTGGCTACTTCGTATTTCTGTTTATGAAAAGAGGAAGTCTGACTCTGCCAAATAGGAAAGGAAGAATCGTAATTGTGTTATTGGTGGAGGGTCTTGACTACAACTTGTCCCAGTTCTTGGCGTTTTGAACCAAGAATTGGACAAATTAAACAAAGCAACCAAAGAATGAAGCAACAAAAGCACAGACTTGTGGAAACGAAAGTATACCCCACAGGGTGGGAGTAGGCGCCAGCGGCTCCAGAGCACTGGTTATAGAACGTTCTGGGGTTTAAATACCCTTTAGAGGTTTCCCAGTAGTTAGTTGGTTTACACCCTATGTAAATAAAGGAGTGGCCCACAACCAGTCTAATGGGTTGTGGAAGGTGACGAGTCAGACTGAAGTGAAGTTACCAAGTAATACCCTATGCAGATGTCTGATTGGTTGTAGGAAGGGGACCAATCAGAGGTACTTGCCATTTCTCATCTGCGATGCAGAAAGGGGTGCGGGTTGCAAAGGGAGTAGCCTCTGTTTTTTTGTTACTTAAGCATGGGAAGTTGGAGTTTTCCTTTTGATTCATTTCTAGGAAGTCGGTGCAAACTGGCCCTGCCTCCAGACCCTATTCTCCAGCATGAATTGCATCTCATCAATGTCATTTTCACTTTTGATGATGAAGGCTGATTACCTTGTAGAGAGAGAAGTCATAGGGATGTTATGTCCATGGAGCGTGGCCTTAAGTGGACCTATTTCTTGGGGTCTCCAGATCTGTTTGGAACTTCAAAATTATTCAAGAAAAGGTGTCTCATCAGCAGAAGACTGAACAGTTTTACCTAATGGTATCTTGAGTAGAAATGTAACCTAGAAGAGTTTATTGAAAATCCTCCTGGCTGATGCTTATTTCTTGGAATCCTGAGTCTTACACTTGCTACCTAATAAAAAGAAGGAAGATTCTTCTCAGCAAGGTTGGTTTTTTGATCCTTTATGACACAGAATTGGGAGTAACTGGGGAGAAATATAAAAGGTCTGAGACTAGATAAGGCTGGTGGAGGAATTGAGTGGTATTTCAATCAAGAAAGGGAGGGAACAGCTATATATACGAGAAAATGAAGAAAACAAAATGTTTACATTTTCTTTGTATTGAAATGTTGTCGTGTTCTATTACCCCTTTTGTGGTGTTCAAGAAACTCAAGTACAGATCTTGAATACCTTTGGCTGGACTTGCTTTATTGGCTACAGCTCTGCATTAAGACTGCTCCAGTAGGGTCACAGACTTATAAAAAGCTCTTCAGACTCTCTCAACCAAACAAATCCATGCACTCCATAGATTTGTTTTTTCAATCAATTATTTAGCCCTCAAGGGGTTTTTTATACTCATAAAGTGTAAAAAGTCATTTCAGATCCCTCTACTCATGAAGGAAGGGGAGGGGGGGAGGGAGGGAAGTAGAGGGGGGGAGGGAGAAAGAGATAGGGAGGGAAACAAGGAGGCAGAGAGAAAAACGAAACAATGAGGTTTTGACTTCCCTTGAGCCACTAGGCTGGAGTGCAGTGGTACGATCTTGGCTAACTGCAGCCTTGACCTCCCAGGCTCAAGCAATCCTCTCACCTGAGCTTCCCAAATAGCTGGGACCATAGGTGCACGCCATCACACCTGGCATATATATATTATTTATTTTATTTTATTTTTATTTTTTTTGTAGAGACAGGGTTTTGCCATGTCATGCAGGCTAGTCTTGAACTCCTGAGCTCAGGTGATCACCCACCTCAGCCTCCTAAAGTGCTGGGATTATAGCCATGAGCCACCATGCCTGGCCACAACCAGCTTTAAATAAGAGCTCTGGACAAGAATTAAGCTGGAATTCCCGAAAGCATCCATTGTATGTAATGAATTAGCTGTCTCTTAGGCATTTAGATTACTACCAGTTACTTAGAATTCAGAGAATTGAGAAAATAGTCAAAAAAATAATTTTCTGTGTTCTATGGTTCAGATGAGAGATATTATCTGAAAAAAAATCTAGTTTAGATCAGTTTCTTGACAGTGGCACTATTGACAATTTGGGCCAGATAATTATTTGTTGTGGAGGTTTCTCTGTGCATTGTAGGATGTTTGGCAGCATCCCTGGCTTGTACCCACTAGATGCCAGTATCTCCCTCTCCCTTTCTTTCTCACACACATACACAATCATAATAATCAAAAATTTCTCTAGATTTTTGCCAAATGTCCCTTGGGTGGCAAAATCCCCCCTAGTTGACTAGTCTAAATCCTTGCTGGTCCAGTAGGGTCATAGATTTATAAAAAGCTCTTCAGGCCATCTTTCAACCAAATAAATACATGCACTCCATAGATTTGTTTTTCCAATCAATTATTTAGCCCTCAAGGGGTTTTTTATACTCATAAAGTGCAAAAAGCCATTTCGGACTTTTTGCTGAATAATGATAGACATTAGTGTCTATCAGCTTGAGCATCTCCTGGGAAGCTTGTTGAAATTCTGGAATCTCATGGCCCACCTAGACCTTCTATATCATAATCGGCATTTTAACAAAATCCCCGTGTGATGTGCATACGCACCAAAGCCTGAGAGGCACCCCCAGTTTTGCAAAGGTCTGCTTGATTGAGCCCTGTTGAGAATCTATCATGAGCATACTAAAAGACAAAAGTATAACAAATTTGCTTTAAATATCTTAATTGGCTTTTATTTGCAATTCTAGAATCGGGCAACACCACATTCTATAAAATGAGTGTTCCCATGAGCTGAGTAGAGGAGGTGGGCTTTACAGACAGAAAAAGGCAGAAGAAAGCAGAAACAGTGAAAGGAAAAGCAGACTGGTTGTTTCAAAGTTATTTTCCTTGTATAGTTTAAACCCAGGGGACTTCTTTAGCTTGCCGGCTGAAGTGAACTGGGCCCCTTGAGATTGGTTGCTATGACTCTCCTGGCCTTTCTTTTTCTTTCTTTTTTCTTTTTTTTTTTAAAAACTGGCCTGTTTCAGAGCTCAGTTGGATCAGGTGGCACCTAGCATGAGTGACTCCATTCCCGTTTGGTCTGATTTGCGGGAGCCTAGCACAGGAGGCTAGTCCAAAACCATGGCCTCTTATGAATTTCATTTAACAAGCAAGATATCTTGGCATGCTGTGGGGATAAACTGATAGACATAATCCCAGGTCTCACTGAATAAGTCTGCACTTGTTCAGCTAAGCTAAATGTATTATATGATTCTCACACATGTCCATATGATCAAATAATATGTAGCCAAAAATTATGATGCAGATCTATATTTATTTACATGTATTGATGTTCATAACATATCTTGTTAAGTGAAAAAGCAGATTGCAAAATAGTATATATCACACAGTATGATCTGTTTTGCAGACACAAATTAATTCAAATTATATGTACATAAGAAATATATCAGTGTATATAAACATTCTTTAGCATATCTTGGAGAAAGATTATTGTTGATTTTTATCTTCCTTAAAATGTTTTCAGCATTTTTCTGAATTTTTACAATGAACGCATATTATTTTTATAACTAGAAAAGACAATTTCTTCAATTTTGCAAAAGACGGCCTTAACAGCTACATCTGCTCTGCCTCATAGTCTGTTCTCATAATAAAGAGGTCCAAGATTTATAAAATATGTCTAGAGTATTCCTTTTCTGGCTGAAATCCACCCATTTTTTCACCCAGAGAACAGGATCCAGATCTAAGGGTAGATATGATTCTATGATAGTCCCTGGGCTGGAGGCCCCTATACTCTCTGTGGTGGGGTGGGAGTGGGGGTTCAGAATGCTATAACATTTGATGTTATGGTTAGAGCTGGGGTGGGGCCAGATCATGATTCACCAATCCCATTTCCTCCTGGGCACAGAGCTGGGCTACATTTCCTAGACTTCTTTGTGGTTCAGTTTGGTCTTGACTAAAAGAATGTGAACAGAAGTGATACATGACACCCCACTCCTGGTCCTTAATACCTCTGGATGTGATTTGCTGTGCTGTTTCCCCTATGCTGGGTGGATACAGAAAGTTCACGTGAGATAGATGGCAGAGTCACAGGGGAAGGACCCTGGGCCCCTGCCTCACATGCTGATGCAGAGCAGGCTGCTGATGGAGAGCATATTTTGAACTTTATATAAGCAAGAAATAATAAACCTTGATCACATATGAGCCCATACACATTTGGGGGGTTTGTTTGTTACAGACCACTTACATTCTGTTTTGAATAAAGTACTGTTGCTATGCAGAGGAAAGAGAACAGGAAGTAATTAGTAAAGAAGCAGTAGCCTCTGAAGGAGGACTAGTTTGAATAAGCCAAATCACGTTTAACTAGAGTCTTACAACTAGGCTTATGAGAGCATTTATTGGCACAGATGATATAAATGGAAAAGGCCAGATACTTGGGCTCTGCCTAATAATCTCTTAATGAAGAGTAAATTTAAAATGCAATGTTTCTTTCCAAGAAAGAGGGTCTCTAGCAGGAATTTGAGTTCATTGGTCACTCAGCAGAGCTACACTGTCATTATAGCAGCAGGTTGTGGGCAAAGGGCTATCAAGAAACCATCAGAAGCCTGAGTTTTCTTGCTTGCTTGAATGTAATAGCTCATCCATTTGACATTGCATTAGGTTGAAACTTGGCACAAGGCTTGTCAGCCCAGATGTGAAATTTTATTGTCAAACAAACAAAATATGTTTTAAAATGTTCCAGGGATCTCAGGTTGTTGTGGTTTAAAGTTTCTTTTATTGAAAAATTGAGCCAATAGATAGGAGCTTCAATATAAAACATAAAATTTTGCAAACAGTTACTACTTTAGAAAAATATACGACTCTGTATCCACTCAAGAGCCTTTGAAATAACAGCCAATAACAAGAAAAAAATGTGGACATTAATAAACTGTTTGGGTGGGCTTGTGTATGTTCTTTTCCTTCCTGTCTCTCCACTAAACTGAAACCTTAATGTTGAATAACAAACCTTGACCTACAAATAATTTCTCTATTTTCTCATGGTTTCCTTTCTTGGCCTTTTATGAGGCAGGAAAGTAGCATGGTCTGAGTGATATCTTGACAACCAACATTTCCCTTTGGATGAGAAAAACAACTGTTATTCTAACAGGAGATGACTTCTATGCTAACACTTCTGAACAATGCCATGCCCACTTGAAGGTATGAAATTCAGCATTACAGGGTATTATGTTAGCCAAAAGCCAGGATGAAGCAGAGAATCTAACACTTTGGAGGAAAGAGCTACCTTGCCAGAACCAGACAACACTCAGGCCATCTAACACCTTCAATAATTTAACATTGTAAAAATGAAGGACAGGGTGGGCATGGACGATGTCCTGAGGGAAACAAAAAGAATGGTGTTAAAATCTGGCAAACTCTCAGAAGGCACAGCACAAGTGAGTTCTAAACCCCTCCTGGAGCATAAGCAGAGACAATGCTATTGACAAGCATGACTGCTCCAGGAGGGTAACTCAGAGGCCACTGGAAATCCATTGAAGACCACCGGGGGAGCCAAGACCACCCCTGGAGGACCACTGAGTTGGTGGGTAACTCTGGGAGCCCAGAGGTAACACTCCTTTTATTGCCTGAAAGACACAATGATACTTATGACCCATTCTGGGAGTCTACAGGGCTCAATAAGTTCATGTGCATAGGCACTAAGAAGTATGGGTAAAAGACTAAAATTATATTATTCCTGGCTGGGAATGTTCCCTGTAAAATTCCTTATAATTACAGTGCCACCCTTGTAGATATTAGACGACAGTGAGGTTCTGAGCTGTATCATAAACTTCTTACCACCCAATAAACCTCCTCTCTTGGCTTTTTCTCCCTGAAGCATGTTCTTTTACCCCAAAACTTTCTATACCCTGGCCTACTAATTTCAATGGGAGTCTCAGACAGCTAAAGCAGGATGAAGACCAATAGAACATCAAGTGTAACCACTTTATCTTACAGATTAGGATGTCAGGTTCGGAGGAATGGCATCGTATAGACTCTGAGATGCAAATAACACTCCCCAAATCACCTGAATAACTCTTGGGCTCAGCCCTTTTCAAGTGTTTTTCAGAACAGTGGTGCTTCATGGCCTGTGCTTGCCATGCAGTTAAAGTACAATAACATGGACATTTTCCCAATCTGTGTCTCTCTCTCACTTACGCATATACAGTGTTAATTAGTTAATGAGTTGAATTTCCTCAGTAAGGAGTTTGTGTATTTGTGGGCATGTGCTTAAACTCTGTTTTCTGTTAATATTGGTCAGGATAATCATTTAGCAAAACCATAGTACTTAGTTATTTTTAGTTTAAAACATCAATGACTCATGGCTTTCCAGAGCTCATGGGAAGCCATGCTTCCTGGTCTTCTGCTACCTGAACATGTTTGAGAATCTCTGCACTCCCCCAGGCTTCCTGTCCCTGGATTTGGGCATATAGAGAGCATTTTGGCTTGGCATGAAGGAGAGACACTGTGAGACTCAGGATGCATGAGTGTTGCTTCAGGAGCAGGTTACACATGTGTTATTGGGCCATTCTCCTGGGTTCTTCACAGAATCCAGCTCCATCTCAGGGATGGAAGCTTTGGGAGAGCTGAGAGGCATCATCCTTATTTTTCCAGAAGGCACTATTAACAGCAGTAACAGTGTAGTTACCCTCAACAGCTTCTTTCACAGTAGAGGTTGACAAAGCAAAGCTGCAGTAGAAGATAAAAGCTGTGGATATCTCATGGTGGCTATTGACCAACTCACAAGTGGGCTTGAGATCTATGTAGGCTGATCTTCAACAACTTCAAGAAGTATTTGTGTGTGTATGGTGGAGATGGGGTAAGAGGAGTGGGTGGTTGGTTTTATTTAAGGAAAGATATGCTAAAGAGCCTGCAGACAGGCAAAAACAGGGGCTTTGGGTTATTAATGTTAACCATAGCTCATTGTTAGTCGCTAGCTGGGCTGGTGAAGCCTGGGATATGTAAGTAACATAAAGTTAACATTTTGATCAGAGATTGCATTCTCTTGTTGGCACAGAATAGTATTCCAGGGACTGCAAGTGCTGTAATTCATCCCTACAGACCCAACTTATTATAGAGTGACATGAGCTCCAAAACACTTTATTCCAACAAATATATGCAAAAGTAATATTTTGGTGTATTGGAAAACACTCTAGGTTTAAATCCTAGCTCTTTTTGCTGTGTGATTTGGGCCAAATTATTAACCTCTCTGATCCTCAATTTACCACCTGTTAAATGGGCATAATAATACCAAACTCAGAATTTATGGAGGGATCATTTATTTAGTCAACAAATATTTACTGAGACCAAATATGGGTGAGGCATTGGACACAGAATGATGAATACAAAGACTGTTCCTTCACTTATGAAGTGTATCTTCTGGTGGAACATAAGAAATAACATATAAAAACTGTATTAGCACAATAGTTTGAAATAAGGGGTGCTGAATAGACAGCACTTTTCATTACTATTTGCCATTGTTAATATTTCCATTTGAGCTTTCATGCCTAGGAGATAGAAGTTTCACAATGGCGAGGAACTTTATTCATTTTGTACATAGCTAAATAGCACATAGTACATAACCACAAAATATTTGCTGAATGGATGAGTCCAAATGTTTCTCATAGTTTTTAACAAGCTTAGTTCCTGCGTAAGTAAACATGTTTTAGATTGCAAATGCATACATTCCCGATGTGTTGCAGAGGGCTGATTTGTTAAAATATTTGCCTCTGAAATATTCTCTTTAAAACGTTTCTATACACATACACCTATGTACATATTTATGCTTAACTACCCGGTTCAGCAATTGATGAGCTATATTTTCCCTGAGCTCTGAGTAAGCTCTACAACTAGGCAGAAGCCCCAGCTCAAACTTAGATGTGCTCTCACAGTGAGTGTGCCCTCCACATCAGCTCCAGAGTTGATAGTGTTCTGTAATGTGTGTGGTTCCCTCCACTGTGACCTCTCTCTAGTCCTTCATTTTGTGTTCTGGGGGAAGAGTTCTGATTCCCACAAGAGTGACAAAAGAGGCACAAATTCTGGAGCCATAGCTGCCACATTGAAGCAAAGAGTATTCTACTAGACAGTGAAATGCAAGTTTTGTGGAAGCCCAAGTTGCTTTCAAGGCAATAGGTGGTAGAAGTGGAAAGAACAGAACAGTCTGGTAAGAATCATTAGACATTTTACAAGCAAAATATCACAGCAGTTGGCGGTCTGAACAATTGTAGACCTGGTCTTCAGAGACCATGGCCAGAGGCATGCCACACCTTCAAGAGATTTGAAGCAATGAAAGGATCACTACAGATGGACAAGAAAAATCTCTCGCCATAGGTATGAGGTTCTAGTAGGCAATATAGTGTGGACTGCTTACTGCTCCAGCATTCTGGAATACAACCCCATTTCTCAAATCCTTAGTTGAGAAAAGACTCATGTTAGCTTAAGCCAGGAAAGAATTTACTCAACAGTGCTTCCAAAAACCCAAGGGCAAGCATGCAGTGGATCTCAAAATAAACTGGAATCTGAGAGAGACAGCCATGAGGAATCTGACTCTCCTATCTCTAGTCATAATGGGTCTTGTTTCTTCTCTTTTTACACCTTGGCTTCCTCTGCTTCCCTGGACACACCTTTTGAAAATATAACCAATAATGATGTTTATCCACCTGGAGAAGACTAGATCTCTCTCCACTTCATTCCGTCTTCCTAAGAAATATTCCTATTGGCCCAACCTGGCCCAGTGACTATTGGGCCCAATCTGGGCCCAGTGACTGTGGCCGGGGTTGATTCATATCTTACAAACGTGGCCACCAGGAGCCATGGTGGGGGATGGGGAGAGCAGTTTCCAAAAAAAGGCTAGGGTTAGGATGAGGTAAGTTTCTAGACACATAATCCAATAGGTTTTCAGCATGGTTCCTGATTAAGGACATGGCCCGTAAAATATACCAGACCTTCCGTATGCCCTTAGTTGGATATAAATACAAGCCAAAGTAGACTGAAGAGGGGGGCCTCATGGTTCGAGACCTGAGTTTGTGTTGCTGCTTTGTGGCCTGAGGCATGGTCCCCTCTCTGGACATCTGTTTCCTCTTCTGAAACATGAAATTGCATTAAGCCAGTTCTACATAAAAGTATCACAAATCTTATTAAAATTCTAATATTTATAACTCATTGACAATAAGACTACTCAGGTTAAACTTAATTAGAAATGGTCTTTATCTTTTATTGAAGTTATAACAACTGATGTTTCCGGTGAGAAGTTCTGATGGGGTGATATTAATGTTTCTGAATACTAAAAGTCAGCGAGAGTAAATTCATGACTAATTCATAAATGCAGTTTTGTGGACAAACTGCTGCAAAATAGAATCCATTCAGGGGTGAATAATAATAATAATAGCTACCATGATCTTAGCCAGTAATAGCATTGGCTGTCTGCCAGGCTTTGTGCTAAGATTTCATTTAGTCGTCACAGTAATACTGTAAGGTACATACTATTTTTAATCCCTGTTTTACAGATTTAAGAAAATTGAACTTTGGCTTAGAAAGGCCATCCAGTAAGAATGTGGCTGGACCAAGTTTCAAACCCACTTCTATTGAAAAAGATTGAAAACTGTTGCATTAGCTGATCTCTGCCTCTTAAACTAAATGTGATGAAATTAATAAATTATACAATTATACAATATGATGTGTGTGTATATTGTATACTTTTCATCTCTGATACTCCACACATTCAATGCATGTGTCAGAAAGGCATAGATGTATATTAATGTTTAAATATTACCTATTCCCTTGTCTGAAATGCATGACAGTGTTTCAATCACAGAGCCAGGCACATGCAGGGAATTTTGCAAGCACAAGCTCAACTATATGAGAGTGCAAAGTTAAGTTTTTATTGGCCTGAGTATGGTGATTCAAGCCTTGATGTTTTACTACTTGGGCCATGTGGTTTGGGAGGTGCTGTTGTAGGGTGTGGGGGTCTGTGACTGCTCACGTGTGCACACGTGTGTGTGTGCATGGCTGGGTATTTTCCAGAGTGGAACAAGAAGGATTAACTTTCAGCATTTGGCTCACCCTAACCTATAGCAGATGGGCACTGGCTTTAAGTTCTCATAAAAGTCAACCCTAGAGACTTGTTAAATAATTTATCCTCAACTTTGGAAGAGCAAAGGAATAAGGTGATTAGGAAAAATGGAAAGCCACATGATAATGTGCCATTGATGGAGTGGGGTTGTCTTTCGCTGTGGTACATGGTGAATGTAGCAGCGAATGAATTTGGAAAGTAGTGGGGAGAGAGTCGGACCTGGTTGGGAGAGCCCTTGGAGCAGAGAGCTCCTGACTTTTATCCCCAGCAGCTGCAGCAGAGAAAGTGAGAAAACCTCCATTCTTTACCCAGGGAATGGCCCCAACTTTAAGACATATTGAACCATGCTAATTTTAAGGCCTCCCAATATAACCATTTTATTTCATCCAGCTGTGGGGCCTGACTTTGGGCTGGAAAGGAGAGCCAGAAAAACAGGTAGGGCAGAGCTGGAAAAATAAATCCACAGGATGCCTGTCAGTACCTGGTTTTAAGCTGAGGGTGTGGGAGCTGTAGCAAAGTCACATGGGTGATTTAACATAGACCACCACCTCCTACTGGCTTTCAATGACCTCCTTTCCTGTTCCCCACTGCCAGCAGCTGGAGAAGTGAAAGTCCTTCAAGCTTCAATCAAGAAGCTCTCCTACTTTCAGTCCCTTTTAATAAGATGCCATGAGCATAGCTCACTTGTTAAATAGTCACTCATCCATTGAAACAACTTTAAGGAGGCAGGGCTAGTCAGGATCCATGGTTGCAAACAACAGAAACTATTTCTAGTTAATTTAAGCAGAAAAGGAAGTTATTGGAAGGAGACGGAATAACTTGCAAAACCAAGAATGTGCATGGAGAACTAAGATTGGGCGATGTCCAGGTGCCAACGGAGTCCAGGTGCTGGAAACACAGCCAAGGTCATGCCACAGAAGGGTCTGGATGGCGCTGCAGCTGCCCCTGAAATCCCCACCAGTAAGCAATATTAAGATGTTGCTGGTACTGCCAGAATTCACCTTTAAGTATCCCATAGTTCCCTGTATCACCTGCTTCAAGTTTAAAAATCCAGGGCATTGGCATCCAACCTCACTTGCCAGGGGCCAGGTTAGTGAGAGAGGAACCATTTGAGGCAAGCCTTACCTTCAACATACCTTGGGGTGGCCTGGAGGTGTAGTTCAGTGGCTGGAAAGGCAAAACTGCCAAATATTCACAACAGAGCTTTCTCTAAAATTGAGAATTTCCTCTTTCCAGAGAAAGATAAAGAAAGATGGCCAGACATAGTGTTTCATGCCTGTAATTCCAGCACTTTGGGAGGCTGAGGTAGGCAGATCACTTGAGGCCAGGAGTTTGAGACCAGCCTGGCTAACATGGTGAAACCCCATCTCTACTAAAAATACAAAAATTAGCCAGGTATGGTGGCACTTGCTTGTAATCACAGCTACTCAGGAGGCTGAGGCACAGGAATCTCTTGAACCTGGGAGGTGGAGGTTGTAGTGAGCTGAGATCAAGCCACCGCACTCCAGCCTGGGTGACAGAACAAGACTTCATCTCAAAACAAAAAAAAGAGGAGTTCCTCTTAATACCCTGTTGATGGCAATGTTAATTAGTATAGTCATTATGGAAAACTATGGAGGGTCCTAAAAAAAAAATTATAATATAGCTACCATATAATCCAGTGATCCTACTATTGGATATTTATCCAAAGGAAAGGAAATCAACATGTCAAAGAGACATCTGCACTCCCAAGTTTATTGCAGCACTATTTACAATAGCCAAGATATGGAATCAACCTCAGCATCCATCAACAGATGGATGGATAAAAATATGTGGTCTATCTATAGTATGGAATACTATTTAGCCATAAAAATAATGAAATCCTGTCTTTTGCAGCAACATGGATGAACCTCATTATGTTAAATGAAAGAAGTCAGGCACAGGCACAGAAAGACAAATACCATAAAATGCCATTCATGGAATCTTAAAAATTTGATCTCATAGAAATACAGACTAGAATAGTGGTTACCAGAGCTTGGGAGGGTAGTAGGGAGGGGACGACGGGAAGAGATTGATCAAGTACAAAATTACGGTTAGATAGGAGAAATAAATTCTGGTGTTCTGTAGCACAGATGGGTGACTGTAGTAACAATAATATACTGTATATTTTAAAATAGCTAGAAGAGAGAATTCCAAATGTTCTCAGCACAAAGAATTGATAAATGTTTGAGGTGATGGATATGCTAAATACTATGATTTGATCATTACACAATGTATGTATGTATTGAAGCATCACACTGTATCCCATAAATAGTTACAATTATTATGTGTCAATTAGAAACAAAATAATTTTAGCTGGGTGTAGTGGCATACACCTGTAATCCCAGCTACTCAAGAGGCTGAGGTGGAAGGATTGCTTGAGTCCAGGAGTTCCAGGTCAGTGTGAGCAACATAGTAAGACCCTATCTCAAAAACAAAATTTAAAAAAACTGAAATAATTTGAAATTCTTAAAAAAGAATAAGTTCCCAGTATCATAATGGGCTCAAAGACTAATTCATACAGTTGGTTTGCATTTCATACTTTCCATGAGGTTTAGAGATTTCTCTGACCTAAGTTCAAAGGAGAATTTGTTCTGATGTTACTTGTCCAAGGAAAGTTAATGTGAAGGTCTCCTGACACCTGCAGAGATGGGCCTTGTTGCTATGACAGCCTTTGGAAGAGGGAAGGATGCAAGAGGTGGAAGCATTACACACCTGTAAAATAATGGTCCACTCCTTACAAGTACCCTGAGCGATTTGATCCTATGAAGAAAATAAAAAACAAGGATTTGTTTCTTTAACTCCTCACCAGGCGTGGCATGAGTTAGGTTGGAGAGTTACAGGCAGAGCCCAGGTGCAGTCTGTTTGGCCTCTGTACTCAGCAGGTATTGATACCAAATCTACGTCGGCCAAGACAGGCCCTCAGAGCCACTCCTTCCACCACTTTGGAGGGCAGTAATTCCCAGCTGTTTGCCAGATTCATGTCATCCATTACTATCTTCTGGGAAACGCTGAGGACATGGGGGACTGAAACTGCTCTAGGAATTGGAGACTCTGCCCCAGGTGAGCAATGTGATTCTGGGTACAGCACCAGGCCCTTCTGGGCCTTGAATGTAGGGGTGAGACACGATAAAAAACCTTGCAGTTTTAAAATGAAAGGACTGTGGATTTAAAATACAAAATAGCTTCAGCAGTGACTAAAAACCTTGGTAGCCCAAAAGGGAATAAGGGGAGAAAGTAAACTCTGAGAGTATTATCCTTTGAGGCTCAAAGTGTCTCGTCTCTAGGATAAATACAGATTTGTTCCCAATTGTTGGGGTGTTCTGATGTGACAAGCACCCAGTGCTGCTCACCTGAGGGTAATTAAATTTGTGGAGGCACTTCTCCCTCAGCCAAAGGACCTACATGTCATAAGATGGTCGTTATAAAATAAGCATGTCAAATGTGGCCCTGATTTAATAACAAAGATGAAAATCCAATGGGATCTACTGAGACAAGCAAGCTTCATGTATGACTAAGTGCAGGATGAAGGGAGGGTAGGCACACCTCAGTCATTGGCCTGAAGATCAGGGAGGACAATAAGCAAGAGTGGCTCCCATTCCTCACCATCCACACCTCCACATTGCCACCAAGCCCCCCAAAGTTAGACCATCATCTTGTTTAGGAATATACCTGGGATCGACAAATGGATGTGATTCTATCAAGAACATTCTCTGTCTCCTTATGTTTAGCAAAGGCTCTGGTGTTTGTTCAGCATTGTGACAAATCACTGGATGATTGACTCAAGTATTCAATTTGTGTGTCCTGTAGCAAGAGCCAATTTCTCTGAGTCCTTTCTTGAGCTGTTTCAAGAAAACAGTGGCAGAAAAACTTAGCATTTCAACCTATACTTATGTTTTGCAGAGCCTGTCCTTTGAGTCACTCAAAGCTATGGCAGAGCTCTTCCCCAGGGCAAGGAATTCAGGGTTCTCCTCTTTGGAAACTGGATGATGGGGAGCAGGTCAGGGAGGCAGGGCTGGGAGCAGGCAGAAGCAGACTCTCCTGCTGGCCTCTGGAGACACTTTCTCATTGGCCAGGGGTCATGAGCCAACCCTGGCAGTGATGCTATCATCCCTATATCCATGGATGTCTTGGACCATTTCTTATTTTAGATGCTCCATCCCTTGAACTCATAAAAAAAACCTAGTAGTTATACGTAATTTACTTTTGGTTTGAAGAGCAGGGCTACTACTTGTTCTGGTGGCAGACTCTTTTTTTCTTTTCCGCTTCTCATGTTAATTGTTATTAGACATTACTTGTGTAAAAATATCGGTAGGGGGTTCAGTTTCTACTGATACGGCAGACTACCTATTCTGAAAAACATTCCTACTACAAAATATTTGGAAATGCTAGGGAAAATGCAACAAACAAGAAAGTTGGGGAAATCCCAAGGCACCGAAGATGGAAAGGGAAATAGAAACCTGAGTGGGAAGCAGGTGTTGAGGCCAGTCTGTCCTGAGGGTGTCGTATGATTTGGGTGCCCTTGGGTTTTAACAACTATGCAGGAGACAGGGTCTGTGCCAGGTGGGGAGGTGAAACTGAGATCTGTCAAAACCTGGGACTTTTGAAGTCAAAGCACAGATTAAAGGGGAAAATGGTGTATTGAAAAAGGGAGATGACAGGAAAACATGAATGACTCTATATGAATTTTGAGTGGTGAAAAAAGGACTTTCTGGAAAATTTGCAGCCTTGTGCTTGTCATTCTTTGGTTTTGAGGTTTGAATTTACACCATCTGCATGATTGAAAATGCCCCAAGTAGAAAAGGTGTCTGGGACATTTGGCTGGAACCAGTGCAAATTCTGTGAAGAATGGAATCACCTTAGAGTTTCATTTAAAAAAAAAAAAAATCAGAGACAAAAAACAGAATTAGTGTTAGTGAAAGCAAGAGATACAGATTGTTATTTAGGCTGCTCTATGAAGCCACTCCACTCCAGAACTGTAAGTAATAAATATTGTTTTTAAGCCACATGGTCTGTGGCATTTTGTTATAACAGACTAAGACACTTGCTTTATATAAAATGGCCAAAATCATACTTTCTTTGCTCAAGCTTTATCTGGATAATATCTTACATGTGACTAGCAACATACAGTCTATAAAGCCCTTTTACATCTGTTAATCTCATTCTCCATGATCCTATTAGTAGAATTAGATAAATTGAACCCATTCTGCTACTGAAAAAAACTGAGGGTTAGAGAGACTAAGTGCTCAGCCCTGTTAGTAAACGATAGAGCAAAAAATCTGTAGGTCTTTAAGCCTGAGTCCTGTGACCTTTCCAATCTGGCAGCCCACTTCATTCATAGACAAGCAAAGTTTTTAGACTAGGTCTTGTTCTGTTGCCCAGGCTGGAGTGCAGTGGCACGATCTCGGCTCTCTACAGCCTCTGCCTTCTGGGCTCCAGTGATCCTCATGCCTCAGCCTTCCAAGTAGCTGGGACTACAGGCATGTGCCACCACACCCTGCTAGTTTAAAAAATTTTTTTGGCCATGCACGGTGGCTCACACCTGTAATCCCAGCACTTTGGGAGGCTGAGGTGGGCAGATCACGAGGTCAGGAGATCAAGACCATCCTGGCTAACACTGTGAAACCCCGTCTCTACTAAAAATACAAAAAATTATCTGGGCGAGGTGGCAGGTGCCTCTAATCCCAGCTACTCGGGAGGATGAGGCAGGAGAATGGCGTGAACCCAGGAGGCAGAGCTTGCAGTGAGTCAAGATTGTGCCACTGCACTCCAGCCTGGGCGACAGAGCGAGACTCTGCCTCAAAAAAAAAAAAAATTTTTTTTTTTTTGTGGAGACAAGGTCTCACTATATTTCCCAGGCTGGTCTTAAGCTCATGAGCTTAAGCAGCCTGTCCACCTTGGCGCATCCCAAAGTGCTGGGATTATAGGCTGGGTGACAAGCAACCTATATTGAGCTAGGACCGAGGGCTGGGGATACTGTACTGCTTGGGATGCTTACTATGTCATGCAAGAGTCATACAAGAGCCAACAGGGGGATAAGTACTAAAGCTAAGAAGGAAGCCCTGTGGAGGCAGGTAGGAGAGACACCTAACCCAGAATTGGGAGGCTCATAAAAGACTTCTCAAGACGCAGGTCCCTCACGCCATCCTTTTCCAATGTAACCTACAGCAGCTCCTCCAGACCTCTCTCTGAAAGCACCTGAGGCCAAAAATGACCTCTTAATTCCCACAATAACTTCCATCTCCACTTACCTGTGCCTGGGCACAGGAATTCTGGTATTCTGATTTCAGTAAGCCACAAAGACCAAGGACTCTCCTGGAAGGTGTTGATTCGCACTGCTATAAGTTGCTTCAGGGACCTACAAATGTTGAAATGGAGGGATGACCAGAGGGGAGGGGAGGAGAGAATTGCAAAAGAAAGGATTGACTGCGACAGGGAGGCATGACTTTGCCCGCCCTTCCTTCTCATTCTCAGGTCAGACTCTTCAAGCAGCACAAGGGGCTATGGGGTCAATTTGTAATCTGCTCTCTGATTAGAGGAGAAAATGTGGAAAAACTTTCATAATAAAGGAAATTTGTCTTGGGTGCCCTCTTTCTCCCCTTTCTGGATCTTTCCATCCACTATACACTGAGTGAAGCTATGTTGCAGGCAGAATAGGTTAAGGCTACACTACAGAGCTAGAGAGGCTAAGGGGCTGGAGAATAGAGGAAGTTAGAGAGAGAGGCATAGAGGGCTCATCTCCTTCCCCATCCCACCCAACTATCTCGAGCAAACACCAGAACCACACTCCAGTCCAACTTCTGTAGACCTCCAATTCCACCCAGAACTTACCTCCAGAGAACTAGGGAAGGGAGGATGAAGAGAGGGGAGGAAAAGTTCCACTAAGGTATAATTTTTAAGTAAATATTTTTAATAAAACCCTTTAAATATGTCTCAGTGTTCAGGTTTAAATCATCTCTTAAAACTGAAATTTAGGTGATAAAATTATCACTGAACCACGTCCCTCCATCTTCCATAAGGCAATTTCTTCTAGGGTTACAGGGTTTTAAGTTGTGGGATGTTTTCAGCACTGCTTGGAGTTAAAACACAATTTTATTTGACAGCTTGAAAAATATTTCATATAGTTCAAATATTCTTCAAAGAAGTCTGTGGAATGAATGAATATTAGGAAAGGCTGGGGCAGTGGGGCAAGGGAAGAAGGAAGTAAAGTCTCCACAGATGCCCTAGGATATCTGAAAAAATGAGTGGGACAGGGTAGCACAGCCCTTGAGAGGTAGAAGGAGTTGCCTGAGAGAAGGAGAAGCCTTCTGAGAAAAGAAGCCAGGTACAGCCCGTGGCAGCTGAAGAAAAGTCCTAGCCGTCAAGAGGGAAGAACAATTCTAGGCACAGCCCTGAGCATTGCTCCTAGTGGAGGCCCTACTGGACTCAGTGTGGGAGAACAATGTGACCAGGAAATAAAAATGAAGAAGTTTTTCTCCTCAACTCTGGAAAATAAAGGGACTCAGGCAGTCCTGCTGTGAGAGCACTCCAACCCAGTGGGACACAGAATGAAGCACAAGACAATATGCGGTGCCACTAAGCATGCTTGTGGGGTAGAGGGCGTGACCTGGCAGGGGAAAATGAAGGTGCCCAGTAGGAGGTGGCAGAGTGGTAACACCCATTGACACAGACCAAAATATTGAAGGAGCACTTAACAGAGCCCTTCCTGGACAAGTGGGAACAAGAGGTGGTGGAATTGGAGTAAACTACTGTTTATGTACCCTTAGGCTTGGAAGGACTGGGGAGATCTGAGTTACACAGGTAGCTCCAAGCTCCTGCCTCTAGTGCCCTATTCCATTCTGCGCTCTCCCTTGGGAAAGAGCTCTCACCCAAGCTGACTC
Organism: Homo sapiens; assembly: GCF_000001405.40. NCBI lineage: Eukaryota > Metazoa > Chordata > Mammalia > Primates > Hominidae > Homo > Homo sapiens. Next base: position 74,085,742 of record NC_000005.10, on the reverse strand, counting down.
TATTTATCAGAATCACACACACACTCAAAGCTTATGAATATACAGATTATAAATGGATTCAAACCAAAAGCTCTTTGAGGGCATTGTGTTAACAGTGCCCTTAACAATGGGAAAAGATCATATCTGCGTAGAGATGTTGTGTTTAAACCCACTGTTACACACATCTCATTTGGTCTACATAACAAGTCAGTGAGGTAAGCATGGAGTGTGAAAGCCTGAAGTAAAACCAAATGTAAGTACAGCCAGGTAGTTGAAAATCCCTTTGTTTGTGGGTCTCAAGCTCCCACTAACAACTACCAGCTTCTTAGCAGAGCCAGGTCTCACTCCTCCTGTGAGCCAGACTGACGTGGTGATGTGAGATCTTATCAGTTCTGAAAGGGAAAGAAGTTAAATTCTCGTGGCCTTCTGGAGAGGATCAAGTGTTTTGCCTTCTACCTAGAGAGTCGATTCTTCTTGACAAGGGGATGAACTCATGAGCTCATGTAAGGAACCAGTCCTTACAGACTCGGTGTGTTTTGAATTGTGTTTGTGAGGTTTGTTTTAATATGTGTCTACCTGCCACGGTGACATATGCCAGTGCCTGTGTGCTGAGGCAGCCCTTTTAAGAACCTTCCCCCTGAAAAGGGCCTTAAAATGTGGCAGCTAGCCTTTGGCCTTACGTTGAAGACACACCTCACTGTATGCCTCTAGTCCTGCCTCCAATCAACTGTCGCCTAACTTTTTCATAGGGATGGCAGGGAAACCTCGGAAGAATATCATCCTTAACACTCTGCGCCTAAATCTTTCCTGAAGTGAGATGGGTTGAATTCCACAATATCCCTTCCTCACACATTAATTCTGTAATGCAATGGAGCTGAGTCTTCTCCATGAGACTTCCCAGGAAAGGTCCCTTTGAGCAAAAATTGAGATGCTGAAAACCTCAGGAAGCCTGGAGATTGACTTACCTATCTGTTGTAGTCACCAGAATTTCTCCTCCTACTGCAACCACATTTATTAAATGCCTTTCAGTGACAATGGGCTATGATAGGGACCCATTTTGTGGTTTTGGAGCTCTAGTTGTGACTTCCATTCACAGGCTTGGCTGCATCTCTCATCCATCTCATCCATTTACTCAGTACCCATTTCTTTTTTTGAGACAGTCTTGCTCTGTCACCCAGGCTGGAGTGCAATGGCGTGGTCTTGGCTCACTGCAACCTCCAACTCCCGGGTTCAAGCAATTCTCCTGCCTCAGCCTCCCGAGTAGCTGGGATTAGAGGTGGCTGCCACCAGCTAATTTTTTGTATTTTTAGTAGAGACGGGGTTTTGCCATCTTGGCCAGGTTCGTCTCGAACTCCTGACCTCAGGTGATCCACCCACCTTGGGCTCCCAAAGTGCTAGGATTACAGGCATGAACACCCGGCCTCAGTACCCATTTCTTTGAGTAACTGTGTCTCATGCACCAACTACTACTAACTAAATACTAATATTTAATGTGTGTCAAATGGCAGCTACTGTGCTAAACATCTTACATACGACATCTCCAACCCTTCTCAACAACCTACAAGGCAGTTACTATTAATATCCCCCGTTTTACAGGTGAGAAAACAGGCTGAGAGAAGTTGGAAGAAACACAGGAGCAGGGATCCCACATTAGACAGTCTGATTCCAGAGATCAGGACCTTGGCTGCAACACTATATGGGCTCTGGGAAATCCAAGGTTAGTAAAACATGGTCCCTACTCTCATGAACTCATGATTTAGAGGAGGTAGAATTGTAAAATAAGCATAATGAAAAATAAATGTTATCCTAAAGGAATGTGCCCTTAATACAGCATGTGAGGCAGGATCTGCCTACCTGGCTGGGAGGGATGAAAATCAGGGAGATGACTGGTGATCAGGGGAAACTGACTTTCCAAGCTGAGACACAAACTTCAGTTCCTCTCATTCTTTCTCTAATAAAGACATAACAGACAATAACTTAGGCTTTAACAGACTCACATCCTTTGTAGCACAAGTGAACCCTCATTGGCAAGACAGCCATGAGCCACTCCCAAGAACTTGGAAATGAAGAATTTGTAAGATCTTGCCCCTGGTGAGAGAAAGGATCAGATATAAGAATTCAAATGGAAATACACAATGTCCACATGACTCAGATCTTGCCCTGCAAGGCAGTCAATTTGAAAATGTTAATGTAGATACACAAGGGACACTCAGGCCGGGAGAAGGATAGCTGTCCGCCATGCTTGATGATCTCAGATCGAAGGCTAGTGCTGCCCCATTTAGCACTGCTTGGGAGAGAAGATGTCCTTTGAAGGCCAAGCTAGAATCCCAATGTGTTTACACACATCTGGCTGCCAATTCCTGAGGATGACATTAAACATTCCCATTGTAGAATAAACTCCCCTATTTCTGATCCCATAACTTTGCTTCCCTGGCCCTTGTCTATAAGGAAAGAGTGCTTTGGCCAGCCAATCTGTATGCAGGCTTGGGCTTGACAATGATATTTCTAAGTGGAAAATAATAAATTAGCCTTCTAGCTATATACATCAGCTATGTGAGAAACCCAAGGCCCAGAGAGGTACTACAAATTCTCAAGAATTCATTTTGTAACCCTTCTTAAGCTATCATTATCAAAGTAAGATATCACCACAGCCAGCTCCCCCATTCCACCCTTCCACTAGACTGCACAGAGCACCTATCTGTATAAACAATTTGATTTTAACATATTTTTAAGCATTCATAGGTTCATGTGATATGCTGTGATTTATTAATGGAGATTTGGAAAAAAGTAGAAAAGAGGCCCTTACGCATTTGCTTATCATTCAATAAGTGCAGGTGAAGATTCTTGAGAGTATCCAGATACCATCTCATCCTGCTCAAGTCCAGGAACTAAACTATCTTTTTATGTTCTTTATTGTCAAATGCACTGTTTCTGGCTAATTTCATGTCTGCCACCACAAGAAAGAGGTAGCACTGCTGTTATTACTGACAGTGCTGTGACTTTGGAACCTGTTTGTATTGAAACAATGTAGATCTGCTTGCCTCTGCAGTTCCCTAGAGGTGTTGATTTAATATCGGTTACCTCTTTCTCCATGACACTGCATCATTCATCAAGCAGTTTGTAAATACTGGCTTTTGGCGACACTCTCAAATGTTGTTACTGGGCATCATTAATGATGATCACAAATGCAAGTCTTACCCAGAGTATGCAGAAAAATGTGAACGACAGTTCATTTTCTGGTCATGTTAATTTTGCCATTTGGAATTTTGTAGCATGAATGTAGAACAGTACATCTCCCAAGAATAGCTTTTCTTAAACTCTTTAGGCCATATGACATTTCTATATAGACTGTACTCTTGCCTTCCACATGCCTCCAGCAGTAGTGAAGTTCAGTAAAGGGCCCTGGGAAGCTAGAATACTGGTCTATTCAAACAAAGTATGTCTATTTATCTGGCAGGAATTAAGACCCATCAGGGAGGGCATGCAGTCAACACATCTTTCTGACTCAAAAGAGGATATTAATTGGAAAGCTCCGTTAGCATCATGGAGCAAAGGCCCTACAGGCCCTATAGAAACAGGAGTAACCATGCCTAGAGGACTCCCTGACATGTGGCACAGAGCCTGTGGTACAGTGGGATGACTGTCTGGGATGCCAGCAGGAAACTTGCTGCTACCCTTGTCACCTTTTAGACTATGCAGATATCCTATTTCTCATTAAAACTTTAATTCTCCAGTTTTAGTATCCACTGATAGTTTCATAAATCTATCATTTTTTTCTCTATTAATTGGCATTCAAGTTAAAGAAGGGCTTTTCCTTCTTACCAATTTGTTTATCTGCTTATATCAGTATGGTATGGAATCGAGAGTTTTATTTTATTCACCTGGTTAGAGTATACTATGATCACTTATTTTGAGCTCAAATTGCCCCAGATTTAAGAAACAAGGATTTTTCATAAAATGTCTGGCTCTAAGAAGCTGTGTGACCTGGAGCAGGTCATTTTGCTTTTTGAATCCCATTTTCTCATTTTGCATAATGAGAGAGCTGCACTAGAAAACCTTTTACTTTCTTTTTCTATGTGTAGGTCTAAAGAACCAAGATTCAACATTTTTATCTCTCTTCATTTTCTTAAAGGCCTTTTACAACTTGGTTTTGTTTTGCATTTTTTTACTTGCATTTAAAAAATCATTTAAATAGGCCATAATAGTGGTTAATTAGTCTAAAGCAACACATAATTAGTTCATTTATTTCGTAACATGGGGAGAAGGAGGCGTAAAGCATGGCCTTTTGTATCAAAAAGGATGGAATAACTTGAAGACCCCTGACCCTCAGCAGGTAATATTTGCTGCTCCCTCTGACAACAGCCCTTCTCAGTTGGGCCATTGTTCTGAAAACTAATGGCCAGAGAGGAAGCAATTCTCACCCACCTCATAATCTTCCCTCACTTCCCCCATCGTTCATTTCCTTACATAATGAGATGCCCAACACCTAAAATGCGGAGATTCTCTCTTGCCTTTACATGCCTTTATGGCCTGGACAGATTTGATTGTATTCATGAGAATGGGCAAGGTGATTGGTGATTTGCAGAGGAAGAAATTCCATGTGAGTTCTATTTTGTGTTTCCCACTTACTATTACGGGCAAGCACAACTACATAGTTAGGGTGTTATGTATGTTGTGTGTGTGTGCAAACATCCTCAAACACAGGTTCTGGAAGAAACATCATTTAATAACTCAAATTTATCATTTCTGCTTATTTAAAAATTTTAGATACTCTGGAATGTCCATTGCTATTTAATTGAGCTATAAGTTTATTCTTTCTTTTGCAATGCTGATGAAACTGTTAGGAACATTCTGAAATTAGAACCAAGGCCAAGGGAACAAAAGTAACAAAAATGAGGTGTTTTAACAGTGTTTCCTTTGGTCACTTACTAACATGTATTTCTGGCAGTTTTGATTCTCATTATTCTAACTCAAAGCCAGGCCAATAATGGAGCAGACCAAATGGAAAGGGTTTGTTCTTTTTGTTCTAAATATTTCTATCAGCTTCCTAGTGCAATATTAATCTCATTGTCAAAATAGGTTTCACCTCATCTTTCCAAAGGCTACAATTTAGGCAAGGAAGAGATTATTAATATACCCTTAACAGTATTTCCAGGCAAAAATAAGCCCACTACAAATTTTCCTTCAACCAGATTCCCTACTGTTTAAAAATACTGACTTTTTATGTTTGCTAACATCTCTAGTCATCTTTTTCTTTGAGGAATTCCACAGAGAAAGTCTATGTTGACCTAAATATCAGTTCTTCAGAGTTTAGACTGACCCCACTACAAAGGAGAAACCAAAACCATATCTTAAAAAAGGTTAAGAGAGGAAACAGTTTCTAGTCTATTCACTCAGCATATTTGTGCAGCAGATCTGGTTGTGCCAGCAATCTGCAATCGACTTTCTGAATGGAGAAGTTTCTAGAGTGTAATGACCCTGAGGAAATGAGTTATTCTTGTCACCAATCGGAGACAGTTGCCATTCATACTAGAGAAGAAAGCAGATCTACTGCAGGGCATGAAATTAAAATTTCCAGGTAGCAGCAAGTAATTGATACCGTGGGGTGACCTTTGCCCACGGCAGCCAATTTCAATCTGTAGAGAACAGCAATAGGACCCACTACCCCAGTGACCCCTACAAGCTGAGCCCGAAAAACAACACACTTGAGTAACTTCAATGTCTTCTCATAAATGCTTCCCATTTTCCTTAGCTTTGTTCTGTCGGGCTTTGTTGTAATTCAAATGTCCCTGATGGTCTCATACATTTTTTATGAAATTATTAATTTATCCACCTGAGACACTAAGTGAGAATCAGATTTATCAGCTTACTCTGTAGTTCAGGGTTTGGGTTTTTTGTTTTTAGACACGCAACATTGCTTTTTCTGGGTTTTCAGATCCTACCTTTTAAACATGTTATCATCAGAATAATTTTTGGAAAATAGAAAAAGCCCAAATAAGCCACATCAGTCTTGTTTTGTTTTTTGTTTTTTTTTTCCCCCTGTACTGACTACTCATTTATATATTCAAAATTAATTGGTTTCTTCTGGAGTGTGGCAGAGCATCTATCACCAAGAATGAATTTTAGGCTGAGTACTGAATTTATTTAAATAACAGGTTAGAATGGGAAAGGCAACCAACAGAAAATAAATCATGTGCCTGTCTTTCGGAATTGCTGAAAAATGAAATCATTCTAGAAATTCACTCCTTAACCTATCGCTAGTCTTGAAATTCTTGACGTTGGGTATGCAATAACTTCTAAATTAGGATTATTTGGCTCAAAGCTCCAGACCTTTCTAAATGCCTTAGGTAAGAACAATGTACTGAAAGTCCTAATGTAACTATTTGGGGCATAAATTATATAACAGCAAAGAGCAGACCAAAAGATCACAGCTCCTTGAGCCAATTTAGATTTTAATCAGATTTTTCATTCCAACTTTAATTAAAGCATTTGACTTAGAAAAATGACTATTAGTAAAACTGACTGCCAGTAAAGCAAAAAAGAAAAATTAATTGGAAAAAAAATGTACCCTGACTGCTATGAAGATTCATAGCATATGTTATGAAAGAGAGTGGAAGAATGCTTTAATGAACTAGTATAACATATAGTATATTTCTCTTCCTAGACATACAGAAAATTATGTCATATTTTTCTCCTTAGATGCTGACGTAAGTGAAAATAACAGAAAATGCCTTTTTAAAAAATTTAAAATCTAACAATAACCTCTAAATTATAGGCTGTAGTTTGTCATTAACATCTTCTGCCAGGTTTGGTTAGGCTAATTTCTATTGCTATGAATCAGTCAACTAATATTTGTTGAATCTTTACTTGCCTGGGCACTAGGAAGATTAATGAAGTATCAAACATAGTCCTGCTCTTGGAGAGCTTAGTCTTATTGAAGAAAAAAATGGGAAAAGGCTAAGGCAGTCAGATCTCAAGGCAGAGAAACTGGGTGGTACATCCTTGCCATAAAAGTTGAGATAGGGGAGCATCTCCCTGGTTACATCAACTCCTCAAGCATCTATGAGGATGAGAGATTGAGAGATGGACAGGATTTGGACAGGTACAGAGGAGGTAAGAGTTGTTCCAATGGAGGGGACAGTTGGGTAGGCTTAGGCAGGGGATAAGGAGCCAAGCCTGACCAAAATAGAGAGTTTGTATGGGGTAGCAGAGCACAGGAGTTAGGCTGAACAGGAGCTTGTGCACCAGACAGAGGCACTGATGTCAGATACGATGTACCTAATATGTAAGTGTTATTGCTGTCTATGCTTTGTGCATTTACATTCTTTCTCTGCTGTACTGCCTCTTTCCTATAGGCCCTTGGGGTCTAGTGGTGAGAGGATGCAATTTTTAAAAAGAGCAGCCTGGTGGTTTTATGCAGGTTGCATTGTCTGAAGGAGACTGACAGCAGTGAGGCCATGGCCATGGTCACTGTCCTGGCCAGGGTGAGGAGGCCTATTTGGACTGGGGTAGATGCAACAATGAGGGATGCAAAAAGGAGAACCCAGATCACCTTCATTTAGCAAACAGTACTTGAAATCTTCTATGGGCTAGTTCTGGAGATCTAAAAAAAACACAATGAGTATGACTCGATGAGGAAGCGGCAACTCATGGTCAGGTTGGCTCCAACCAACAAAAACACAATGCCAGGACTCTAGGAAGCACAGATGTAGGCTCTGTGATGCCAGGCTTGAGATGGCACAGACTCCCATGGGAGGCATGGGCAGATGTGGTAAGCAAGCCTTCACTCAGTAGATTACATTTACCTGGGCTTTGAAGGATAAGTCTAATTTTGCCAGACAGAGAAGAAAGAAAACACAAAAGCAGGGGATGGAAATGAATTAAACTCAAGGCAGCAAAGACAGAAATTTAAGATTTGAATTAAAGGACCACTACTGTCTTCTACATCCCATTTCTGGGATTTTCTAAGGGAAGTGGGGAGGAGAAGGGATTACATCAGGGGTATCCAATCTCTTGCCTTTCCTGAGCCATATTGAAAGAATTGTCTTGGGCCACACATAAAATACACTAATAATAGCTAATGAGCTAAAAAACAAAAGCAAACAAAAAAAACTCCTAATGTTTTAAGAAAGTTTATGAATTTGTGTTGGGCCACATTCAAAGCTGTCCTGGGCCATGGGCCATATGTTGGACAAGCTTGTATTACATACTTCAGCAAACAAAAACATCTATAGAGATAAAAAGAACTATGACTTGGAATTGTCTAGGAAATTTCAGGATATATTTTAACAGGGATTCCCTGGGGGAAGGAGAGGGACAAGCCTAAGCAAAAGTTGAGTGCTTTGTAGGAAGTATTATCACAGGAAAGCAAGAGTAAGAGTGTGTTAGTCTTTTTTCACACTGCTATAAAGAACTGCCTGAGACTGGGTAATTGACAAAGAAAAGAGGTTTAATTGACTCAAAAGAGATTTAACTGACTCACAGTTCTGTGTGGCTGGGGAGGCCTCAGGAAACTTACAATCATGGTGGAAGAGGAAGCAGGGCTGTCTTACGTGGCAACAGGAGAGAGAGTGAGCAAAGGGAGAAGAGCCCCTTATAAAACCATCAGCTGTTATGAGAACTCACTCCCTATCACAAGAACAGCATGGGGGAAACTGCTCCTATGATCCAACCACCTCCCACCAGGTCCCTCCCTCAATACCTGGGGATTACAATTCAAGAAAAGATTTGGGTGGGGACACAAAGTGTGACCATATCAGAGAGGAAGGGAAGTAAAGAATGGAAACAAGAAGCCAATGCAAGGATGTGTGAGTGATGGCTTTGGCCACTGTGTCACAATAAGGCACAAAGTGACAAAGCCAGTTGTTTGATAGGTGCAGGATGTCTCTGGACAAGCTTGTATGGAAAACCATACCTCAGAACAATGCATCAGAGGGACAAATGGAGAGAAAGCCTGCCGATTCCCTCTTGTCTCCTCATTCCCATTTACCAAAATGAACCCCATGGAAGTTAATCCTCTTGTAGTTCTGGGTTGGTCACCTGGCCCCTTTTGGCAGCAGACCTCTGGGGGAAGCAGACCCTGTACCATAAGAAGTGGCCTTTTATGAGATCAGAAGTGAGGGAAGAGCTGAAGACAACACAGGGGGAACCATGAGGTTCTACATAGAATCCTTCCTCTCAGCTGCTGGCCCAGGGGACAGGTGAAGCCAGGAGAATCTGAGGCAGCCCATAGGATGCATCCTACATGTGATAGATTATTACCACAAGTATATCTCATGATAATTGTGGTCAATCCTTTCTTCTCAAGAAATTTCCAGACCCATTGTTTCTTTGATTTCTCCATTCTGTGTCCTTATTGTGCCTAATTCTTAAGCTGTTCTAACAAAGGCAACAAGAGGCAAGAAAGAGAAAACTCATGTTGGTGAATGCTGTCACTTAGAAGTTCACTGGCAAAACTGGTTAAGCAAGATAAAAGTGAATAAGGACAGTTGGCATTAAATGGAAGGTTGGGGGAGAAGTAAGTTCCTGATGTTTGCTTAAGCTTGGTTTTCAGAAAAATCTTTTTTTCTTTTAATGCAGGAGGTGGGGGGATTGTGCTGAGTGTGTCCATTTCCCTGAAACTTGATCCTCTCTCAGAAGGGCAGGAAGAGGGGGCAAGATTGACTAAGAAGAAACACATCAGCAGTGTGAAATACAAATGTTAAATCTATGTCATGGGGAAATCGTGCACGAGGCAGCCCTAAGATGTCTAGGGCTGAAATAACAACTATTTCTATCACAGCCTGATCTGACAAATTTATAAATCTTAAAACAACTTTAGGAGCAACACTTTGAAACAAAAGAGATGAAAACAAAACAAAACAATGCTTTGAGTTTATATACATAAATGGTCTAGGTAATAACTGGCCCCGAAAAGCGATCACAAGCCTTCCCTGGAAGTATTGCTCTTAAACTTGGAAATTATGCTATTATCAGCAGTTGACTGGAAGCTTCAGGTCCATCTGAACTGTGACTCTGCTGGTCGGCTCCTAATTAACCTCTGTCCTGCTGACTGTATAATTCAGCAGGGGCCTGCAGATGCTCCGCTTTTAAGTTAACTGAGGCCGTCTGCTCATTCAAGCTAATCCTGATAGTGCCTTAACAAGAAGGAAAAGGAAAAGATTAGATGTACCTGAAGCTACAAATGAGAAAGCTGTGTGGGTGGAAGAAGAGGAACCATTATTTTCCCCTTTTGTCTGTTTGAGGCCCCTATTTTTTAAGCTGTCCAGTGTAACTAATTAGGAGAAAGAATTCTGAATACTCCTTCTTATGCTCGTAGTCAAACAACCAATTTGATTAATTTTTTTATCTAAACAGATTTGGTATGTAAAATTCTTACTTGACATTTATACCTTTTTTCAAAATCCAATCATTTTCATACCACCTTTACACTTCTTGATATGTCTCTGGATCACTTTTAAATGGACTTACTTTGAAGAAAGAAAATAGCTACTTTAGCCTTGTTGCAGCAACAGTATTGTGGAATTACAATTTTAATGGGCTTTGTATGTGTGTGTATGAGTTTGTGCATGTCATCTTTCAAATTTGCAATCTCTACTCTTTTAGATGTTTGGAGAATAATAAAGTATGGATGTGACACTTTTCAATTAGAGCACTGAAACCATAAAATGGAACCACAGTGTCACATTCTACACTCCTGCACATATACAGGACTCTAAACCAGTTGGTTGGTTTGTTTTTAAAAGGGAAACCATGAAATTATTGCCACCTGTCATGGATTTTTAACGTTTCTATATGCTAAGAAGCACTCTCTATATAAATCTATGTATATATTTTATAAGTTCTATTCTTCTAGTAAACCTATAAATAAGCAATAAAAAAGTCCTGTACTACATAAAATCATCCCATGTTTTACAGTTTGTGACAGAGGATTCAACTGGATTTTTTGTTTGGCTAATTTTGAGGGAGTAGAGGAGGGCTCTTTGATGTGTGGCCTCAGGCCAATGGGTTTATGTCACTGAATTCCCTGCCTTACTACTCCTCATTCCTTGGAGATCCAATTGAGACGGGAGAGTTCCCTTGAACCCCTCACAGGACTTGCAGCAGGGGTGTGGCTCATTTACCCAGCCACCCTTCTCTCAAACCCCTTGTGGGAAGGGGAGGATGCAAGTGAGTGGGTGCAGGAGCTGGGGCAAGTGCTTTTAGGCTCTGGCCCCATGGCAGCCTCTAGGGGTATGTTACAATTAATGTTCCTTTAGCAGTTACTGTCCACAGAGAGCTAAGTGTTAACCAGCTCAATGAAGAGTCAGGGTGACAGCCGTTTATACCCTGCCCTCTTGGTACCCAGGTTCTTGTCCAGCATTCAGGAAGAATCAGGTCACATGGACTTGAAGGATACGAAGATTTTGAGTGATGGAGGTGTGGCTCTCGGCAGGATAGGGATTTGGAAAGAAGATGGAGTGGAAAGATAATCTTCCCCTGGAGTTCAGCTGTCCCCAGCCGAATTCCTCTCCAACTGTCCCCAGCCAAATTCCTCTTGACATTCAGACACGTCTTCTCTCCTTCTCTGCCACACCACACTGCTCCTTTGCCAGTGGAGTTTGGGGTTTTTATGGGTACAGGATCGCGGTGTGGCAGACTAGGGTGGTTTTGGAAAAAGCAACTTTTGGGTGGGAAAACAGGGATAACTGTTCTAATTTAGTGCCACAGTTTCCAGGCTTAAGGGTGGGTCTTTGCCAGGGAACTGCCCTCTTCTACCCAGGTATTTCCCTGCCTCCTGTCTGTATCGGAATCACTGACCATGGCACATTGGGGATGTTGTGCAGATAAATCAGAACGACCTGGGTAGACATGGCCCAGCCAAAACTCACATTTCCTTCCACTTGTCTCTGTTGGGAAGTTTGCCGCATTTCACTCTCCTGAGAGACTGATCTCTAGAAAATCTCGATTCATATCAGGTAGACAAACAACAAAGTTCATGAAAATAAGCTATGCTTTAGACTAAGAGCAAGAAAATAAAATGAGTTCCACTTTGAGGATGGTGGAGTGAGAAGCTCCGTGGAACCATACCCTAGCAAAACAACCTGAACTAGTGAAAACTATTTTTAAAGCAACCATTTAAACTCTCTGGAAATTGTCGTCAGGTCACACAGCAAATTAAGAAACATTAAACAAGAGTCTGCGGCACTTCAGCCACAAGTCCACTCTCTAAGCTCCACTCTGGGTGGGTGTAGCCAAGAAGAAACAGCTCCCTTCTCCCTCAGCTCCAACTCAAGGGATACAGTATTTCACCAAGAGGCAGTAGCCACCAGCATTTCTTATCTCTTTTAGCTCCAAGTTAGAGATTAAATTTCTGGTAAATACAGCCAAGAATTTGCTCTCTTCCTTCCCACAACCCCCACTCATAAGGCAGAGGTTCTGCTTCAGGCATGGCAATCCAAGGATACTGGAGCCCTAATTTCTCTGGCTTCAGCTTGCTCATAGGATGGAGATTCCATGCTGGGAAGGGCAAGCTAAGAAGACTAGAGGCCACTGCCCCTGCCCCTGACCCACACTCTGCTTATAAGGCAGGGGTATCACCCTCATCCTATTTCTGGAGCAGTAGCTCAGAGAGTTCAGAGAGCTCAGAGATTTTACCCAAGAGATAAGGGAGACCACAAAAACAGACACCTCTGAAGTTCTCCCCAAAGAAACTGAGTTTATTTGAAGCAGAGTGAGAAGTTCAAGCCTAAGGATTGAACTTGGGAAAACAATCGATATTTTGGTGGCAAGCAATTAAAAACCAGTTGGTAGCTCTATGAGAGCAGCCAACTAAACTGTAGGCCTAAGTTTACCAGAGAGAAGAAGGGAAAGAGGTAGTTAAGCAAAGCCCTCCTAGGGTTAGAACAAACCTTAAAACTGTCCCAAGGGGACTAGATATACTAATAATAGGATCAGACTGTGGGGCAATTTATGTCCCAGGCATGCTCAAAAACAATAGTGCAGTTAGCCAGCAACTAGAAGAAACTGTCAGCTGAGTGGGATACCAAATAAAACAGATATTTTCACAGATCAGGAAAAAAGACAGAGCCCTGCTTAACCTACTGTCATCCTAGGCTTACCCTATGTGTGACCAAGTCTCTACCCTCTAAGAAATAACATTATAAGCTTCACATTTAGCGGGAAATAGATTTCACTAAAATGGACCAGCCAAAGAAATAAGCAGACAACATCAAAAACAAGCCCCAAAGAAGGGAAGGAGATTAGTATCCAAAGTTGCTACAGTATATTACCTAAAATGTCCAATTTTCATCAAAAATTTGAGACATGGAGAAAAAAAAGTATGAACCATACACAGGGAGCAAAGCAAGCAACAGAAACTGCCTGTGAGAGGGAGATGTTGAATTTAACAGAAGAAAGGCTTCAATACACTACAGGAAACCATGCTTTTAAAAGTAAATGTAGGTATGACAATGTCTCATCAAATAGAGAATATTAATAAAGAGATAACTTTAAAAGTATAAATTATGGAAAATTCTTTTGTAAGGGTAATTTGTCTTTTCTGCCCCACTTATTCAGTCATTTATATCAGTATGGACTCGTGGATATTTAATACTTTGTATTATGATCCAACACTGCTTTATTTTATTGCTCTAATTTTTCCAGCTTTGGCCTTTGGGAGCTGTTTCAGTTGGCTCCTGGATCCCTGTGATATGCCTCTGTGAATGTAGGGTTTAGTAAGTTTTGTTGTTGTTTGTTTGTTTTATTAAGCACTTCTGTTCTTTCTGGTACTACAAGATGCCCCAGGCTCAATCTCACATATTTCCTGCCCCAGTCCTAAAATCACCCATTTTTCTAAGGACCCCTGGATCTTTTGACTGGAGAATGTTCTTAGAAAGTATGATCACAGCACTTGCTTTGCTCTGGCGTTTCTTTTTAAAGTAATGAAAATGTTCTAAAATTGATTGTGGGGATGGTCACACAACTCTGAATATGCTAAAAAGCACTGAATTGTACACTTTAAGTGGGAAAATTGTATGGCATGTGAATCTCAACAATGTTCTTATATAAAGGGAAAAAAGAATTAGTCTGAGAGCATACCCTATTTCACAAAGCAAAGGAAAAATATATGGACAAAAACTGTACATAATGATAAATCTTTGCCAGTTAGAACCAAGCATGTGGCCCCAAGGTGACCATCAGGAATACATTCGTATTTGGAATATCATCTATATACCAGGAGTTACTGCCTACAAATAAGAAAGTCTTAAAAACTTTTTAGAGAAAGTTAGGGCAGGATGTGGTATCTCGCACCTGTAATCCCAGTGCTTTGGGAGGCCAAGGCCGGGGGATCACTTGAGGCCTGGAATTCAAGACCAGCCTGGGCAAACATAATGAGATCCCCATCTCTACAAAAAGTTAATATAAGCCAGGCGTGGTGTCACATGGCTGTAGTCCCAGCTACTCAAGAGGCTGAGGTGAGAGGATTGCTTGAGCCCAGGAGTCAGATGCTGCAGTGAGCTATGATCGTGTCACGGCACTCCAGCCTGAGTGACAAAGCGAGACCCTGTCTTGGGGGGGCGGGGGGGGGAGAAAAAAACAATTAGGCCGTCCCAAATAATTCAAATTATATATTTTCTTAGGGCGTTGGGGAATCTTATATGTGGCATTATTTAATTAGAGCTCTGAAACAATAGAATGGAAAGAACAATAGATCGAACACTCCTACATTCCTGGAAATACATGGGAGTCTAAACTAGCTTATTCATCTCTTATGGGAAACATTGCAGTGGTTTCTAGGCAGCTGCCATGAACTTTTAACGCTTTCTGGCTGGCAAGAAGCCCCCTCCACCTACTGTACTGAAACAAAGACCTAGGGCCATATTGTACTTCTAAAGCTGTTAGGAAACATGAGGCTAAACAGGTGTAAGTGTTGCTTGTTTTCTGAATGCACTCAGAAGCCCAGTGCTCCCCTGTGCCAAGGGTGGGAGACTATTTATTGGTATGGAAAAGTACAGAGGAAAGAAAAAGAGATGAGGATTCCGAATCAGGTAGTTGTGTAGCCACCTCTGGTATATATTATCACAGTTCTCAGAGAGATGCCCTACTGACCTCTATTCTTGTCCTCACTTTATAACTTGTTCAAGAGCCTATGCATATTCTTCACTAAACAAATATATGTATAGATATAAGCACAATTATTTTAAAGAATTAGCTAAGAACATATGCAAACACATACAAATGTGGTAAGAGACTATAATATAATGATTAAGGGTGTCTCCTTAGAATTAAACTTAGTAGGTCCAAAACCTGGCTCTTCATATACCAGCATGGGACCATGTACTTCCTACATCTGCGCCTTAGTTTCCTCATCTATAAATGGGGAAGAAAATAATGCCTACCTCTGGAATCATTATAACCATTAAATGAAATACTGAGTAAAGTGTTTGACACACAGCAAACATACAATGTTAGCATTATGTGTGTCTACTTATCCATTGGTGATAGAATCCACAAGATCCATTTCAATTGTACATGCTATGCCTAGAGAAAAACACTTCCAACTGAGATAATCTCCTAATTGCCTCTTAATATTTTCTCTACTTTAAAGAGTATTTTTAAAAAATATTTAGTTTATTTTGATTACAAAAGTAAGTCATACTCAAGCTGGGCATGGTGGCTTGCATCTCTAATCCCAGTGACTTGGGAGGCTGAGGCAGGAGCATGCCTTGAGGCCAGGAGTTTGAGACCAGCTTGGGCAACACAGCGAGACCTTGTTTCTGTAAAATTTTTTTTAAGTTAGCCAGCATGAGTGTACGCTTGTTGTCCCAGTTACTCAGGAGGCTTAGCTGAGGATCACTTAAGCCCAGGAGTTTGAGGCTGCAGTAAGCTAAGATTGCACCACTGCACTCCAGCCTGGGTGACAGAACCAGACCTTGTCTCAAAAATAATAGTAATAGTAAAGTCAATCATGCTCAGCAAGAATACTTAGAAATAAAAGAGTTGAGATGGCCGTGCATGGTGGCTCACGCTTGTAATCCCAGCACTTTTGGAGGCCCAGCCGGGCAGATCACGAGGTCAGGAGATTGAGACCATCCTGGCTAACACGGTTGAAACCCTGTCTCTACTAAAAGTACAAAAAATTATCCGAGCGTGGTGGCACACGCCTGTAGTCCCAGCTACACAGGAGGCTGAGGCAGGAGAATCGCATGAACCCAGGAGGCAGAGGTTACAGCAAGCAGAGATTGTGCCACTGCACTCCAGCCTGGGCAACAGAGTGAGACTCCATCTCAAAAAAGAAAAAAAATCAATAAAATAAATCAATAAATAAAGATTTAAGGAAAACTAAAAATTACTATTATTCCATCAGTCAGACATAAGTAATAAAAAATTCACATTTTATGTATTCCTTCCTATATTTTTTCTATACATTTTAACCTGCTTGGGATCGCACTATTTATACAGTTTGTATGTCTTTTTTATACTGAGGATTATGAAATTACTTACAAGCTTCTCATTGGATATGACATATTGACCACATTTGTTCATATCTTCTCCTTTCTAAAATCCATTTAAGATGAGAGTAAAGGAGTTTAAAACATATACAATTACAGGGACAAAGAATGAGAGAAAGACAAGAGCAAGTAAGACTCTGCAATAATTTTTTAGGAGCTCATGGAGAAGCAATGTTATGATTTTTCAGAGCAGAGGCCACAACCCCAAGGTCTGCAGTGATAGATAGGCCAAGAATGACTATTTCACCCTACAGAACTCAGGAAGGCCCAGGACTTGGTGGCAGCAGGTATTACTGAGGGGTGGAATGAGATGCAGAACCAAATGCAGGAGGATTGGTTCATGTCTTAACGTGGAACTAGCTGGATTCTCAGCCCCCTCCTCTCCCGCAGGAAACCTGAAGTTTAGTCTCTAAATAAATTGAACCAGAGAAAATCTGGACTCAGAGAAACCAAACACAGAAGGGGAGGAGGAGAAAGAAACCTGGACATAAATTCAGAAGAATTAAGTGAAATTTTAGGTATGAATTAGACAAACCCTCCCTAGCTCTGTTCCTTCTGCTTCGAAACGCTAACAACTAAATATATACTCCCCAGCCCCCTGCAAAAACAAATAAAAAATGTCCCTGGAGAAAAAAACTTCAGATACTGATATTTGAGGGTCCCCCAACAACAAAAAAAGCCATCTTGTTACCACGTAATCTCCAGTTAAGGAATGACATGTCTAGCATATACACACGGGGCTTTCAACAAAGTTTTTAGTAGTTAGCTCTTAAAAATGAACAGAAAACCAAAGGTAATCTAACCAGGGAAATCCTCTGTGGAAGACGCTGCTAATGTTCTCTCTTCCTGGACACTCCACTAGAGTACATTGTCCAACCTCCTACATCTAGGTGAGGCCATAATGACTGGTTCTTCCCACTGGAATGTGAGCAGAGTGATTGGTGTCACTTCCAAGCCTAGCAGTTTAAATGCAAATATATTTTTTCACTTTGAGAAGATATGGCATCTGCAAACACAAATAGGAAGTAAGGTGTAAGGAAGTAAGGGATAAGAGCAATCAAGAACAGAAGGTCTTGGAAATCAGAAACATGAAGGCTGAATGTGAAATTCAACAGAAGCATTCTACCATAAAGTCAGGAGACTCTCCCAGAAAGTAGAATTAAAAGGCAAATAAGTAGAGGACAGAGAAAAGACAAGAAAGTTAGAGCATCAAATAAGTCCAATGCTTAACTAAGTAAACTTCCAGGAAAAACAGGAAAACGGGGGGAAATTTTTAAAGAAGTAATGAAAAAAATGAGTCACCAGATTTAAGAGGCTCATAAAATTTCCAGCACAATGAAGGCAAACACACCCAGGCCAAAAATATTGTTATGAAACTTGAGAACACTGGGAACGAAAAGAAAAAAGCACCCATGGAGAAGGGGAACAGATCAGAACAGATCAGGAATGATATTTACACCAAATTTCACAACATCAATATCGGGAGGTAGACTATATTGAGGAAGGATTTCAAAATTCTGAGAAGAAATTATTTTCTACATATTCTATAACCATGAGAATGGAATAAACATTTTTAGACACACATTGCTTCCAAATACTTACCTTCCATGCACCCTTTCTTAGGAACTGCTAGAGGTTGTTCTTTACCAATGTGAAGGACTAATCGAGAAAAAAGAAAATGGGATCTCTAAGGGACCTAACACGAGGCCCTGGCAAAGGGAAGTGCCAGGTGGACAGCTGCCCCTCAGGCTGAGAGGGCCCTGGGCACAGAGCAGGCAGGTGAAGGACAGGGTGACAGGGAAGGGGTCTCCCAGGGAAAAATGAACTGGTATCTAATATTTGGGCTGTTTGGAAGATAATTAAGATCTGTTTTTTGTTGTTGTTGTTGTTTAAGAGATGAGATCTTGCTCTATCATCCAAGGTGAAGTGCAGTGGCACAATCATTACACACTGCAGCCTTGAACTCCTGGGCTCCAGCACTCCTCTAGCCCCAGTGCTCCAAGCAGCTAAGACTACAGGCCTTAGTCTGGTGGTGTAGCTAGACTACACCACCATGCCTGGCTAATTTTTAACAATTTTATGTAAAGATGTGGTCTCACTATGTTGCCTAGGCTAGTCTCCAACTCCTGACCTTAAGAGATCCTCCCACCTGGGCCTCCCAAAATGCTGGCATTACAGGCATAAGCTACCAGGCTCGGCCTAGAATTTCATTTTTTAAGTATATCAACAGGCACATAGAAAATTTAGCAAAATAATGTCAATGCAATAATTAGAAAAACATTCCACAAATAAGGAAATGTAAACCTTTCTTATTTGGTTTACTAACAAACAATATTTACACAGTAATAATGTAAACATTATCTTTTACTTAAATGAATAATTGTGACATAATTATTCAGAGAATTAAGGGGATGTCATGGGAAAAAAGATTAAAGAGAGCTAAATCTTTGTTTAGCATAATAGGAAGACAAGAATTAAGCCTCAGATTAACAAACCAAGAGAAGGCACTCTTGGTTTAGAAATATGAATGTTTCTGATAGTAGAGACTCAGGAGAGTTGTAAATGTCTGCCTCTGGGGGTGGCATAAACTGGGAGGGAGGAAGGATGGAGCATGAAGTTGCTGAGGTTTGCTATGAGACTTTGAATACAATTGAATTTTTAAAATACGTGTATTTATCAAATTTTAATTTTAAAAGTATTCATGAAATTTAACAGCTACATAATATCTTATCATAGGGTGAACAAATTTATATCCATACTTCTTTATTGACAGATATTTAGGTTGTAACTACAATGTACTTGTTACACATAGAAACTTTACTACAGTTTGGGTTGTTTCCTTAGAGTTGCTACAAATTGAATAATGAGAAAAAGAAGAGAGCATGGTACGATGTTTTATTTATGTATTTCCTTTTATTTCTTCTTACTTATATGTAAAATTATCTTATAAAATTGGGCTGCTAATCTTCACTTAGAGTGGGGCAGGGAAATGCCCACCTTACTGTGCTCTTTTAATATTCTTATTTATAAAAGTGAATTTAATAAATTAAAAAATGGTAACACTTGTTTTAAGTTCCATTTATTTTATTACTACTGAGCTTTCCAATCGTTTTTCCTCCTTTGCGAGTTTTCTGTTCCATTTCCTTTACCTATTGGTTTTTGGAATGTTGGTGTTTTGACTATCAAATTGTGTGACCCCTCTAAATTTGTTTAAAGCTCCAAATATTTCTTTCAGTTTATTGTATTCAAATTAGTTCTCTTTATGCTGTTTTTGACATGAAGATATTTTAACCTTTTTTGCAAGAAAATCTGTAATATTTTCTTATTTTTCTATCACTTTTAAATATGGCAATCCAGATGTTTGAAAAGTATAATATATTTCTTTGTATTTGATATGAGCTGAGTCTCTAAATTTGGCCACCCTCCCCACAATAGCCATTCAGTTATTCCAGGACCACTTCCTCCCCAATTGATTGAAGATGGCACCTTTGTCAAATATTAAATTCTGGAGTATACTGGGGCCTGTTTTTGAACTATCTCTTGTCAGTCATTGATCTATAGCTCTAATTTTGAATCAATGCCATACTGCTTTAACAGTTATAGCTCTATGATATATATTTAACCTATTTTAAGATAAATACCCCACTATTTTTTTGGGGGGGGTGGTTGCAGGAGGAGAGACATTGGGTTTAGAGGACTGGGATCATCTTCCTCCATAGTTCACCACACGCTATTGTTGTTTTGTTTAAGGAGAATCTCATTTTACTATTTTGTTCTGTAGTACCTCCATCTTCCCACACTTAAATCTCCTACTTCCCCCATAAGCAACAATTTTAACGTACTTGATATCTATACTTTTCTTTATATGTGCTCTTGTAAAACACATATTCATGCACTGTTGTTTTATATACATGTTTTAATTTTCAATATGGGAATTTTTTTAAATATACAAAGAAAACAGAATAGCTTAATGAATAATGAATATCCCCGTACTTATCTCTCTTTTCTGTATTCTTTCACTTAGCCTAATAATGGCTGAGATTTAGTCACATTGCATATTTCAGTGGTTTATTCTTTTATTGATGAAAAGCATTTCATTTATGGCTACTACAATTTGTTTAGCCATTCTCCAGTTATTGAACATTTGGGTTGCTTCCAGTTTTTTGCTATTGTGAGTAAAGCTATGTTCATTCTTGCACAAACTTTTGTAGACCTGTTTTCATTTCTCTTGGATAAAAACCTAGGAATAGAATTACTGGGCCAAGGGTAGGTAGATGTATGTTTAAAGAAATCTTCAAACCTTTTTAAACGTGATCGTATCATTTTATATACCCACTGGATAGTGGTGTATCTAGAGTATTTAACACTTGAAGTAGATAATTTTTAGCATTCTTTTCTTCTATATAACAAAATTATTTTCAGTAGCATTCATGTAGTAATCAGTGATGATCATTATTTTACTGATTCATTCTTAAGTTTAAATGACCAGTTAATTGAACAAAGTTCAATTTTTAAAATGTCACTCAAATATATTCATGCAGGAATAAAATTTTTTACATATCTAAACAGAAACATAAAACCTTGCAGTTTGCACTCTACTTCTGTTTTAAATTTTAAGCAAATGAAAATTGCAAGTGGTCACATAGAATGACAGAATTAAAGTAACTAAAGTTCTGTTATTTTGACTTTACACTCACAGTGCTTTCATTGTTTATTTCAATCTACTGTTTAAATGCAGGCATATGTAGTGGGCTGCAGACTAAAATTGTGCTCTGAAGGCAGCTGAAAAGATTCCAAACCATAAGAGGCTCATTCTCTAAACACATGTAGCTGAATCTGAATGTGTAGGGACTGGCTGTATAACTGGGAGTAACTGGACTTCTGTGCAATATACAGTGATTATCAAAGGACAGATAATAAAATGTGCTAATCTGATGCTTACATATACATTATTAAAATTCCAGAGTAACCTCAAAAACTGTTTAGCTCTTAGACCAACAAAAAGATATTTTTCAGGGAGAAGGATTTTATCACTAATGTTGTTTAGAATTGCCAGCATATGTTGATAATAAAAAGCAGACTGACTTATAATCAGGTTTATTATTGTTTTTAAATTCTCTGAAGGCAATGCACCCACCTCCTAACAACCTTTGCTCTGGATGACCACTTCCTCCCCCTCACCCTTGATTCATCGCTGCCACCAGCATTGTATAAATGTGTGGGGCGTTCCACAGCCTTGTTGACATTTGGCATTGTCAGTCTTTTAAAACTGTAGACATTCCAGTGGGTGTATGGTATGTCATTGTGGTTTTAACTTGCATTTCCCTACGATTAATGACATTAAACACTTTCCTATGTACTTCCTGGTCATACATATTGTATCCTTTGCATCTATGAGTGTGCCTATCTTAGATAACTCATGTGAGTGGAACCAGGCAGCATTTTTCCTTCTGTTCATTTCACTTAGCATAATGACTGGTTCATTTCACTTAGCGCAATGTCCCCCAGATTCATTCACGTCATCACAAATTCAGGATTACTTTCTTTTTTAAGACTGAATAGTATTCCCGTTATATGTATACACCATGTTTTCTTTATCCATTCATCTGTCTGTGGACACTTGGGTTGTTTCTGTATCTTGGCTATTGTGAATAGTGCCACCATGATCATGGGAGAACAGATTGAGATCCTGATTTCACTTCTTTTGGATACGTACCCGGAAGTGGGATTGCTGGATTACATGATACCACTATTTGAGTTTTTCATGCCAAGCATTCTTGCATTCCTTGTATTAACAACACTTGATTACAATGTTACTTTTTATGCATGGCTGGATTTCTATCTTATTTGGAATTTTTTTGCGTCTATATTCACAAGTTAAATAGGTCTATGTTTCTTTTTCCATGTTGTTCTTATCTGCTGTTGGAACCAAGATTATATTAGGCTTATAAAACAAGCTGGAGTAGGGAAAATGTAAGAAAAGCCTTTAGCATCTTGTAATGCCAGAAAATAAAAGTTCTGGAGAAAGGATAGGGGCATTGTTGCAGAGGGCACAGGAGCCAAACTGAAAGAGACCGCAGTGGCCAAAACTGAAACAACTTGAGCAACAAAATATTTAACAGCAGTATTGGATTATAACCCATGGAATAAAATAAATGTCCATGAGGCCATGCTGATATTAAGTAATTAATTCATGGAAGAAAAAAGATGGCTTTTAAAAAAACTAGAATTCTAATAAATATTAGAAGAAATGAGGGAAATAGAATATCACCATTAGAATACCACAGTAATCATTACTGCAGGCAAGATCAACCGATGAATGCTAAAACTAGTGGGCAAAACTTTAAGGAGAAACAGTATTTGCATAACCTCAAAGTATCTTCCCCCAATACTTTACTAATTACAAAGGGAAAGATAGCAGCTTTACAGTGGAGACATCTGGGAGACATCTCCAAATGATTAAGGTTAACATCAGTAACAAGACATATAATGTCCCCCTTAATCTTTAGGTTAGTTAGTAGCATTGTATGGATGTTTTAGTTTTTATAATTGTACTACGATTATGCAAGATTTTTAACATTTGAGAAAGCTAGCTAAAGAGTATAAGCAGTTCTGTTTTTGTAAACTTTCTGTGTCTAAAATTATTTCAATATAAAAATTCAATTAAAGATTGCAGAATAAAAAATCTATGATTAATATATACCTTTGTTTAGATTAGAAAACTTTTGTTCTTTTTGTATTTTTTGTACTTTGCAAATACTTGCTGGAACAACTTATGTAAGTCATCAATTAACTGAGTTTTAAAAAATACAATAGCAATCAACTGTGTAGCTCTCTGGACTGGGGATTCTGAAAGAAAAGTGCTTTACTGTCATTTCTTAATACTTTAATATTTCATTCTTTCATACTTATTGGTTCATGCAAGTTTTCTATTATACTGATTTTGGCATATTTTCAAAAATTTATGCATTTCACTAAGTTCAAATTTAGTCATTTTGTTTTTTTAAAAAACTTGTGCTTTCTGTAGAAATTTCTCCCTTTTCATTCTGTACTTGGTTTACTTGCATATTTTTTCTTGATTTATTCACTCTAGAAACCTATCTATATTGCAAATATTTTTAAAGAAATAACTTTGGACTTAGTTAACCTCTGTGTCATTTGCAGGTGTGGGTACAGATACATGCACTATTTTACACATTATATATTTATCTTTTTTTTCTTGTTTCTTTGAATGTTCTATTGCTTTTTCTGTACCTTGTGAGTTAAATCCTTAGCTAAGTGTTGCTTTTAACCATTTTTATTTTCCAATAAATGTATTTTAAGCTGTGTATACAATGACCTGCTTTATCTGTGTTCCTTTAAACTCTTGGAAGTAACATTGTTAGAAGGCAAATTTTTTAATATAGAAATTCACCAAATTTTGAGATATGAAAAAAGGAGAGAAGCATGAACGTCCTTCATCAACTGCTCCTCCCAGCAGGGCTGTGGCTGCCCTGATATAACCAGGACATCAGTGCCCTGAGCTGTGGAGGTTGTTTCTAGGGCATTAGGGTAGGGAAGGTTTATACAGAGGCCACATGGGAAAGCAGAATTTTGTTTCTCCAACCTGTCCTCTCTCAATTTCCACTGGTTGCTCTGTGTCCAGCCTGCAACCATCTCACCTACCCCAGACCTACACACACACACACACACACACACACAGAGACGCACACACATACACAGAGAGGCACACATACACAGACAGGCACACACATACACAGAGGCACATGCACACAGACACATACAGACTCACCAAAGACACACAGGCACACATTCAGACATTCAGACACATTGTATGACACACAGTCACATAGACAGACACACAAAGACACACATTCAGAGACACAAAGAAGCACATAGACAGAGACACATACAGACATACACACAGACACACAGCCACACACATATAGAGATATGCAGACACACAGACACATACAGAAACACACACATATAGAGACAGACACACACAAGGACACACGCACATTCAGAGACACACGCAGAGACACAGACACACATACAAAGACACACACACACACACACACACACACACACACAGGTTTCACTCCCGACAGGGGTCTTGCTTTCACTTAGTTCCATGCTTTCTTCTTACTTCCAATAGTTTTTCTAGGGTTGCTACTGGGCAGGGTGGCAGGAGGCCATGAGAATCCACCATCTTAACAGGAGCCAGAAATGGTCCTCATTTTCCACATTTTTTAGCTATTTTTATACCTGCAGATCAGTTTAAAATAACTTTGTCAGTTTCTTCCAAAAATCTTCACTAGGGTGTTAGTCATACTTGTCATATGACTACACGTTAACTTGTGAATAACTGACATAATTTTGACAGGCAATATTGCCATTCAGCCATCAAGTACCTGGGATATTCAATTATTTTCTCTCTCAAGAAAGTATTATTTCATTTAGGTTTCACACATTTCTTGTTGAGGGTTTCTAGTCATTTTGTGTCTTTTACTGCTATTGAGTGTGGGATACACTTCCATTTTATTTTATAACTAATAATTGCTGATCTATAGAAAGGTCTATTGACATTTGCAGGCACATTGACTATTCGGTGGTTCCACATCATCTACAAATTCTAATGATAATGGGAAATGGGTTTTAAAATATCCTCTCAAAAACAAGTGAAAATTATAATTTACTTTATTTTCACAGTAATGAGAGGGAAAACTATTTGTATCTGGGGCTTTGTAATTTTCTTGGGGAGTATGTGGTCATTATATTTTTCTCATAAATGTAATACATGGTGGAAACTAGAGGGAAAATTTAAAAGGTTGAGAGAGGGGTGTCACAGTACTAAGTGATATCCTCTGTGTTTTCGTGTGAACACACACACACATACACACACCTCTGCTTATTAGGAGATGGCTTATGGCTGGAAAGTTCTCACAACTAAGTTTCAGACATAACTAGACATGTCCAGCAGTCTGGTAGACAGTCAAAATATGTAATATTGTGTTTGTTTACTGAGATAGTTTGAAGGACCAGTCTTGAAGAGTTTTCTTGGATCTTAAGGGAGATCTCTTAGGGACAAAGGAACCAGATGCGATTAACTCATCTGGTAACAAAACCTTAGTGGGACCTGGGTGATCCTGAGTCCAGAATCATGTCAATCACACAAATCTGTCCCCAGCTCAAGCCCCTGGGTGCACCTTTAGGTCCTATGAAGAGAAAAAGCTACAGATTTCCAACAACTCTGTAGGATATGGGCACCAGAAACATGACTCAGAGGCTCTAGCAGGGGACAATCCCAGAGAAGTGCAGTGTTCTCCCTCCCTGCCACCTATGACCACATAGGACTCCAAGTAGGGCTCCCCAAGCTACAGTGATGCCTGCAGGCCATCAGCCTCCTCCAAGAGTGTGAGCACATGTTGGACACTCCTTGGGGATTCCAAGTGGCATTTAGGTAATATTGGGGAAACCTGGGTATCCTAGGTGATTAGTAGGGAAAAGAGCCAGTGCAATCTGAGTTTTTAACGTTTGTGTGAGGCCTGAGAAGTCTTGGATAACTTGTGTGTGTGTGCGTGTGTGTGTATATACATATGATCCTGGAATTTGGATCATATTTTACATTTTGATGCATTAACCCATTTTTAAAAATATTCTACAAATACATAAAAAAGATTGAAGGAGACCTGGCGCAGTGGCTCATGCCTGTAATCCCAGCACTTTGGGAGGCCAAGGCGGGCAGATTGCCTGAGGTCAGGAGTTTGAGACCAGCCTGACCAACATGGTGAAACTGTCTCTACTAAAAATACAAACAGTAGCCAGGTGTGGTGGTGCACGCCTGTAGTCCCAGCTACTCAGGAGGCTGAGGCAGGAGAATTGCTTGAACCCAGGAGATGGAGGTTGCAGTGAGCCAAGATCGTGCCACTGCACTCCAGCATGGGCAACAGAGCAAGACTCCATCTCAAAAAAATAAAAATACTGAAGGAACACTTTCTTATTTCAAAATACTTAGAACCACTTTATTGGTTGTCCGATTTTGAAAGTTACCTCAATAGATAATGAAACGTACTCCAGAATATTATTGACAAAATTCTAACTATATCAGGCTCTTAAAAGTGAAATTTGCAAGGCAAGGTTCTTCAACTTCTGGATATCCTGTGAATTTTTTAAATTATTTTTAAATGTGAATAATCCCAATATTTGTTATCTTACCAGAAAGGAGGATTCTTGAACCTGAGGCGGGCTCATTTTACACCGCCTTTACATTCCTCAGCCCTGGCAGGATGACAGCCACCTTGGTTTTAAAATGGTAAAATATAAATACTGTGACTGGACTTCAAAGAATTGCTTCTCTCTAATACACACTCACACAAACACAAATATGTATAATATACACAATCTATATACAATTATAGATAATATACTTACACAAGTTTATGTGCATACATTATACAGAGAGAGGGATAGAGAGTGGGGATTGTGAAACAGGAGTAAGACTCTAATCCACCATCTAACCCCCAAGCCAGACCTTTGTTTTAGCACATATTTGTGTACAGTTCCTCCTCATTACTCAGATTCTGTATTTGCAAATTCACTTACTAGCTAAAATATATTTGTAACACCTAAATCAATACAGCACATTTGCAGTCATTTGCAGACATGCACAAAGTGATGAAAAATTTGAGTCACTCACTGGTTTCCAGTGAGGCTCCCATTCCCAGTTGCGTTCAAAAAAGGGGATGCTCTGGCTTCTTGTTTCAGCTCCTATGAAGAGTGGATGAGGATAGAGATCGGGAGCAGTGCAGTGCTGTGTAAGAGGGCTTCAATTCTGGGGCAGATGCATGGTGCGCACCTGTTAGTGGGGGCCTCAGATAACTCACTTACTTCTGAACCTCATCTTCTTTTTTGTAAAATAAGGAAAATAGAACCTACCAGGAAGAGCTGTTTTTAAGATTTAAGATTATAATCTATGTGAGATATATGCGAGCACGTATAGTCATCCCTCGTTCCCCGTATCCATGGAGGATTGCTTCCAGGACTTCCCCACAGATGACTAAGTCCCTGGTATAAAAGTGGTGTGGTTACATATAACCTATGCATGTGCTTTTATATACTTTAAATCATCTCTAGGTTACTTATAATACCTAATACAACACAAGTGCTATGTAAATAGTTGTATTTTAAAATATGTACTTTTATGTTGTATTTTTTACTTTTTAAAAATATTTTCAGTCCTCAGTTGGTTGAATCTGTAGATTGTACAACCTGGGGATGTGGAACTCATGGATACAGAGGGCCAACTCTGTGCGTTTATAAATATAGACAGAGATATAGTTGTAGATTTCAGTATTTTGCTAATTCAGTGTTTGCAGCAACTTCATAGAATATAACCACTACAAATAATGAGAATCTACTGTATCTTTAAGTAAGATATTATTTAAGTTGTTTGATTTAGGCTTAGGAAAATGGCATCATACTGTATGAAATCTTGTAAAAAAATTTTTCCCACAGTATTATTTGTGAGATTCTACATAATGTGCATAGTCCTAACTCATTCATTTTTCATGCTGTATAGTACTCCAGTGTCACAATGTATTCACAGACTTGCTTATTAATGGCCTTTGAACTGTTCAGATAGTATTTTTGGTCTTAGTGTGTTAAATGACCATTCTTGTAGATGTGCCAGGAGTTACCTAAGGGATATGTCCGGCAATAGAGTTATGGGTTAGTTAATAATGCCAAATCATTTCCCGGTGTTGTAGAACCAATGCATACACATGCTCCAGAGCAGATAAGAAATTCCTTTGTCTGTATCCTCATCAGCACTAGATATTATCAAACTTCCCAATTGTTTCCCAATCTCTTAGATGCAAAATAGGATCTCATTTGGGTTTTAATTTGCATTTCCTGCCTACTAATCAGTTATATATACATTTTTCAAGTATATGTTAATCACTTGCATTTCCTTTACCCTAAGGTGTCTATTTCTGTCATTTACCCAGATTTTTTCCTGGGCTATATTTCTCTCATTGATTTCCTACCTTTATCCTTTATTCTCGATACTAAACTCTTGTTGGTTTATGTATTGGAAATCTCTTTTCTAAGTTTGGAGTTTATCTCTCTGCTTTCTTTATGATAACATTAGATAAACAGAAGTTTCTAACTTTAGTCTTATTCTTTATTTCAATGGTCCCAGCACTTTATTAGGTTTCCCATTCTGCCCATTCTGTGTAATTACAACACAGAAATGCCAACACAGGCCAAGACTCATACCTCCAAGGTACTCCCCAGGAACTTACTGGAAGGCAGCCCTCTGGTGGAGAGGCCATCACAGTCTCTACTGCTCAGAGAGAAGAAAAACTTACTTGACCTAACTTACCAGAATGACTGAAAAATATACTTCAGAAAAATTTTTTCAATCAGATTAGCAAACCCAGTTGTGTAGCTACCTTTAATTACCCCCAAACCATCCTGTTCCTTAGCTGATTTAGCTTCCTGGAATGGCTTTCTCATTCAGCATTGCCCCTGCCACTCTTTATGTTGCCTTTCTGCCCACTCCATCAAATCCATTTTCTCGGGGCTTTACTGACAAGGAATAAACTGATGACTGTAGCTCTTTTCACTTTTTAAAGTTTCCCTTAGCCTGTCAACATTAAGTTTCCCAGTTCTGAGGGAAAAAGCAACATTCTTCACACTTATGTAATCCTAATTTCCAGTAATTCTTCACGTGGGTGTGTTTTTTAAAAAAGATTATTTTAAGTGCCGACTTAAGATTTTCCTAGAATTTATAAGCAAGCTGCGCTATAATATAAAAAAGGAGCTGGGAAGTTTAGCAGGCCAGAGGGAGAGTTTCCTTAAAAAACAAACAAACCAAAAGCCCCTCACATGTGATTACCTCTTCCCTTTTGCAGTGTGACTTGCTGAGGCAAGTGTGAACCCAGCTTAAGACCGTTCCTACCACATGACACCTCAAGAGCTTCTATCTACCATCTACACAGAGGTGGGCAGATGAATGTTCCCCTTAACCTGAGAAAGTCCCTCCGGGTTTCTAGACTGCATGGGTTCGAGAACAGCTTGGCACATAGTACCAGAGATGCTGAGAAAGGGGAAAAAGTGGCTCAAAAAACCAGTTCATCATCTCACAGTAAACCCCCATCTGAGGGGATGCTTCTCTTCAGCCTGTCTGGGAGGTAGTGTTTATAGAGGCACAGCTCATGTTTTCCAGAAGAATAGAACTTCCCTTGTCCTCCAATATTCTCTCCCTCTGGAAACTTATTTATGGTCTGATGTGTTGAAACAATAAACATGGGTGCACGGCTGGGGGCATGGGGGAAGGAGGGGTGTAGGATAGGAAAGGGGTTTCCCAGCTTTGTGTGAGAAGTGAAAAGGAGGTGGCAGCTTTCACAGACCAATTCGAGCCCTTTTCTTCCTGCCAGAGTGCAACTGCCAGCTGAGGCCCGACACCTTTTTTTATTGTGTGAAGACAGGAAAGAGATCTCTCAATTATCTTCAAATTAACTGCCTCTTGCCATTATCTGCTCCCTGAGGACCAATCAGAGCGTGTGTTTGAAAAAACTGGGAGTCAGCCTACCACTTCATCCACTCTCTGGGACCCCTTCCTGCCTACCCCCTCCCACACGCCCAGCCAAAATCATCTGTGCTGCCATTTCTCATGACAAACTTTAATGCTTTAATTAGGAGGCATCTGCGTGTCCACTCTTCACAAACACCATATGGTGCTCAGTACGAAATATGTTTCATTTTCATGAAGGCAAAGCCTTAGGAAAGGGTAGCGTTTTGAATATCAATTGTTGTTTCCACATTGGGTGAAGAATAAATTTGCTGTGCTTTAAAAGAGACAACAGTGTTGAAAAAAATGAAGGGGTTTGTTCTCTACCTGGCAAAACTTGGAGGAAAAATGTCTTATGTTGGAACAAAGCAGAATTTTACTTTTAAGGCTCAGAAATTCAGAGCCTTTTAGAAGTGCGTTGCAAGAATCTTCTAAACATTCCAAGGATTTAAGATAAGAGATGTGCTGAACTAAAGTTTCAGATTTTAAGCAGAATGGTAAAATAGCCATCTCTTTCACAATGAATCGTTAGAAAATGTGGGACCCAGTCTTAGAATGCTGAAAAGGCACCCACTTAGCAAAGCATTCTGCCTATACTTAGGAGAATGGCTTTTCAAGGGCATACTTTACAGGGAAAATTAACTACTTTGCTTCTTTGACAGCCATCGACTGACTTGAGAAATATGGCCCAATGGGATATAGTCTTTGGATTTGTTTTCTTTTCAAATATTGCATCCTTGAAATAACAAATCTAAGTTTTTCAAAGTTCACATTTTTTTTCTAAAATTCAAGGGCTTCAACGAGGCCAAGTTTCAGAATCTTTTCTCCAGTGAGGAACAGGGGGAGATACAGGCCAAATTCCAACATGGGCCTTTTCCTGCTTTTATGCAAATCACTCAACATGCAAATGATTAAATAATTAAACCATTATGCTGTTTAAATAAGCCATGTATATTTTCTTCATTGCTCAGACCAGCTACCATTCTTTTGTTGGAGCAATAGGAAAGGGTTAGGAAAAGTCCCCGTGGAGAGTGAGGGATTGGACCAGAAAGGGCTATAATTAGTCATTTTTGTTTAAAATAAATAAAGCAGTTGATGCTATGGAGTGAACACCAATCCCCTGTCCCCAAATGAGGGGACTGGTTTCTTTCTTCGTTGTCACCAAGGACCCCTGTTCTTCACTCTGGCCGGGTGTCAGTCACCTCAGTTTTCTGTTAGACTCGACTACATAATTATGAGCTACCACATGTGGCTTCTGAGACACAACTTTAATTATCCAAACTCTAGCACACAACAGACTCTGAATTGAGTGAACAAAAGCCTATTAGAAGGTAATCCCCTGTGGCCACATTGTAATTATTGTCAGGGGCCATGGTGGCTATGGAATTATCTCTGCAATATCTCGCTAACCTTCTATGCTAGAGTCATATGAATGATGATTTGTGCCATAATCTCATTTCTTTTAATGGTGTGACACAGAAAATAAAGGGGCAGTGGGAGGGTGGGGTAGGGAGGCGCTGCCTGGCTCTGGCACGAAACTCAATTCAGAAGGCCACCACAGATGTGCAAACACAGAACATCCAGCAATTATTGCTATGATAGCCTCTGTCCTCACACCCAGCAAGCAAGGAGCTGGGAACAGTGGGGCATTACTACTCACAAAGCTAGCAACTGAGGCACCCAGCAAGAGCAGCAAAGGCCCCTGGAGAGGAAAATAAGTAGGAACCACCCAGTGACGTGGCTTCTTTTCCAAAGATTTTCATAAACGCATAAAGGATTATTCCACTGCAATGGAAAGTTAAAAGACACTGACATGATGCTCATGGACCTTTTCTATACTATACCTACGAATGCTTTACCCCCACAAGCTGCTCATATTTTATTCTTTGGACTCCTTGAGTAGTACATTTTGCAATTCAATCCAGCTTTTTAACTTCTTTACAATGTGCAGTAGACTGGTCAGCTTCTGTTCAGAACCCTCAAGTCAGCTTGATCATGCAACTGTTAAAGGAACATGGAGAGAAAAAGTATTAGGTTCAAAAACTGCTATTTCAATTGCTTGTTGTTGTTTGTTTTTTTTAGAGATCGAGTCTTGCTCTGTCGCCCAGTCTGAAGTGCAGTGGGGAGATTCTGGCTCACTGCAACCTCCACTTCCCAGGGTTAAATGATTCTCCTGCCTCAGCCTTCAAGTAGCTGGGATTACAGGCGCATGCCGTCATGTCTGGCAAATTTTTTTTGTATTTTAGGAGAGACAGGGTTTCACCGTGTTGTCCAGGCTGGTCTTGAACTCCTGAGCTCAGGCAGTCCGCCCACCTCAGCGTCCCAAAATGCTGGGATTACAGGTATGAGCCACCGTGCCCGGCCCTTCAATTGCTTCTTTAACAAAATTGCTTTACTGGCTTTCTTTGTATTTTATTGGCTGGACAGATAATGATTTAATCACAGCATAGCCTCCTACATTACAAACATAGGAAAGCTCTGGTTTGTCACCATAGAACTTAATGACTAAACGGTATCATCATATTATCACAATGCTTTTTTCTTTCCTGCAGTTCTAATATTTTTCTCAGACCTAATATGTTCTTGGAAGATGTACTTGAACACACTTACCTCCATCCCAAGACAGCTTCTCTTCATGATTTATCTGTGTCTGTCATCGCTTCCAAATTGGCAAACAGAGGCATTCAAGGATATGCATAATGTGGAAATTCAGCGTATGAATTTCATTTATTTTCCCTTACTTCCACATGCCACATAAGCTTTCTAAACTAAATGCTAAGCGTTCCTTATTTCCCACCTTGCTGGGTTAGTGTGCTCTGTTCCCTCAGACAGGAATGTTCTTATTTATTTCCCATCCTACCCCTGATTACAACATCCTATGCATCCTTCCTGGACAATCTCAAGTACAGCTTACCTCTGCTTATTTTCCAAGGGGCTGTAGTTCTCACCTTCTTGGAACCTAAACAGCATTTTCTTTAGCATGTTCACCTCTCTCAGCACTTACTACCTCATTCCACCGTGCAATATAATCACCTGGGTGTTTCTCGCTATCTCTTTCCAGAGAGTAAGCCCCTAAAGGCAGAGATGAGGAATTACTCATCAGTTATGCATTCATTCAACCATCTATCCATGCAATAGATATTTGTCCATTTTTGGCCCAAGAACATTTATTGAGCATCTGTTAAATTCTAGGGATTGTTTCAGGCAATGAGGGTCCAAGGTTAAGAAAGACTAGGACACATTTCTCACGGTCCCTATCATCAGGAACTTAGAGTTTAGTAGAGAGAAACATCTACAGTATCATTTAGAGTGTCAGTGTTCAGAAAGGAGTGATCCTCAGTGAAGCCATAGCCAGCTCAGTGCCAAATTTGTGGCAGCTCCTCCTATTTGTTAAATTTGGTCAGAGGTAAACTGAGTAAGCCCAATTCCCCCCAAACTCATTTTTGAATATGAATAGCTTTACCTAAATGTGCTAAGATGTGTTATCCCTGATGATTCCTAAACTGGACATTTTCAGGGATATATAGCTTCAGCAATTCCTATCATTCAAAAGGCAAAAGACCCAGCACAAACTCTTCATGCATAAAACCTTCAGAGATGCTTTCTGGAAGCACATTCAGTAACATGAGTTGGAAGGTAGCAAGGAGTAGGGGAGGGGAAGCTTTAAAAATTGCTCCTTGAGAATATTCTGGTCCCTTTCTTTCGGCTGACAACTCCAATATCAGCATTTTTGGTGTCAGACCAGGGAAGTCTTCGCAGAGGAGGTACCCTTTGATCTGCATCAGAATGATCAAAGTTCATCTAAAAATCCATGGTAGGAAAAGTAAGTTGCTGGATTAATATCACCACTTTGCCTCATGCTATCTTTCATCTCTATCCCTACTCTCTACAAGATAGAGGTTATCTGTTTAAAATTGCTTTGATATCTTATTGTTTTATACAATTCTTCCTACTGAGATTTAAAGCTGCAGATAGAAAAAAACAAATGCAATATAAAAGCTGGAATTTAGTTAGTAGTAATGTTACCAATGTTGATTTCTTGGTTTTGACATATGTATGACACTTCCTATGTAAAGGGAAATTGGATGAAAGGTACAGTGTTTCTCTGCATTATCTTTGGAACTTTTTTGTAAATCTAAAATTATTCCAAAATAAAAATGTATATAAACAATAAACAAATATACCTCTCCTAAGTAGTCAATGATAAACAGGAATATTTGTTTTGTTTCCAAATATCATTTGCAAACAGGAAACAAATATGCCTTCCCCTTGCCCATATTGGTCCCTGTTTATGCTCTCATACATTCTTTCCTCAAGCTGATCTGATGATGCAAAGCATGGGCCCGCTCACCCCATCTGTAACCTCTTGAGCTCTTGAACTCTCTGAATGCAATTATAGGTCAAAGTCTTCTTGATTGGATTGGAAGAGGTGGCCCAAGTGACATTTTGCCTTGAGGCGCTAATAGTGACATAGGCTATCCCTGGGGTTCTGACCACAGCTCTGTCATTAGCCAGCTACCATTGTTTTGTTAATCTAATGCATGGTTCCATAGGAAATAACAGAGTAAAGGCTTATTAAAGGTGAAGGCTTCATCCATTAAAATGTTCTTTGTCCTTAATGAAGGTCAGTAGAAGACGGATTGTAGGAGGAAATCTTGCTTTATGCTCACCCATATGTCTTAATTAATCACCATGTCAAGCAAGTCCTCAGACTGGATTTGTGTTTGCCCTTATTCTTTAAAAGTTGTCGGAGCAGCGGTTACTGAAACAAACTCAGTGCACTCTGCCATCAGAAAACCGTGTGCTGTACAGCATCCTCCAACCTATGTATCTGAATTTATTTTCTGAAATATTTTCAAGTATGTTTTTCTTTTAATCTCTAATTTCACTAAGACTTTTAGATTTGCACTTGTCCAATATGGTAGCCACTAGTTACATACGGTTATTGAACCCTTAAAATGTGGCTAGTATAAATTGAGAGATGCTGTAAGTGTAGTTTGCTCACTGGATTTCAAAGACTTAGTACAAAAAAAGCAAAATCTCATTGATAGTTTTTGTATTGATTACATGTTAAAATTATAATATTCTTAAAATGTATTGAGTTAAATAAAATGTATTATTAGATTTTATTTCACCTGCTTGTTTTTCCTTTTTTTGATGTGGCTAGTAGAAAATTTGGAATTGCCTATGTGACCCAAATTATATTTTTGTCAGTTAACAAAATTTCCTTAGAGGATCCAGCAAAATATGTTTAGTGACTGCCTGGAACTACCTACCTTCTTCAAAAACCTATTTTAGACCTGACTTATAGGCAGTGGGGACATGGTACAAAGTGATTTTCCTTCATTCTCCATGACATAGTAAGTTAATAAAACTAGACCTAGTTGTTCCACTTGGCTCACAGTAAAAAAAAAAATTATGCAATTGAGAATCTACATGCCACTAAACTCTTAGAGGATCATGAGCTGTTTTAGGCATTGGAGATGCATACGAGATACCATCTCTCTGTAGGCCATTGGTTCTTTTCCTTGCTTGATCCTTTCTTTCCTCCTACCTCCCCAGATATTTACCACCTACTTTGACAGCTTCTTCTAATGTGTTTCCAAATGATCTTTATCTTTTATAATAGAGCCTCTGCAGCTTGACTGAGAGCTTCTTGAAGACAAAGCCTATATCTTAGTCATTGCCCTGTATTGCTCCCTCTACGGACCAGGCACTTAATGAGTTGCTCTATTTGATATATATCACAGGAATAATAATAAGAATAGGATCATTTATTGAACACTAATATATGTCTGATCTTTTTTATAGATGCTTTTCCTGTATTCTCTCATGGAACTATTAGGTAGATACAAAATCACCTATATTTTACATTTGAGGAAATTAAAGGTTGACTTGATAAGGTGGAGTTCATGCTCAGCCTGTGGTGAAAGCATAGAAAGATTGAAACTGGTTCTGGAGAGTCCTTTCAACAAGGGCACTGGTCCCTAGAAACAAAGAGCCACATTCCAGCCTTTCCATCTGCTACTCTCATTCTGGAAAGATGGTTGGATGAACACTAAGTTATTTAATTTAGATAACAATCTGTCCCACACATCCACACACCAAAAATACACGTTGATGGCCTGTTCTGGTGGAGCTGCTTAACATGGCAGCCCCATCCTCTGGAGTGAGAACAGGCTGAGGCCTCCACCCATGCCTGTGCCCAGAGTGCTAACTGGCTGGCTCATCCGGGCAAGCTCAAATCTTCATCAACCATTGTGACTGGGGACAGTCATGTCACTCATTGTTCTTGGGGAACATTATGACTTGGGCTATTTCTTGCAGCTGTGGGTTGATGTTTCCACAGTCTACTTGACAACTTAGAACAAAACATCTGGGAAAAAAACAATGATAACAGACACATGGCATTACTGAAACTCTCTTCTCCTAAAGAGTTATAGGCAAAGGGTATATAGCGGTGGAGGGAGGAGGAGACCTAGGGAGAGTCAGGGTAAGAGGCAGACAGTGAGCATCAGGTGAAATGGTAAAACGTCCACTGAGGGTCACAGGTGATATGATTCTAGTTCTGGCTCTGATGTCAATTAGTTTTATGACCTTAATTCACCTTACCAGAGTCTCAGTTGTTCATCATTAAATTAATGAGGTGATTTTGTCCCTAGAATTCATCAAAGAAACTACAACAGCATATTAAATGCTATTGTAAATATATTTCCATTTTCCAAAAAAAGGGCAAGTGCATAAACTGAATTCCCCCCTGCCAATCCTCTTCCCTGTAAATAGTACATGGAACATGTTACTGCCAGGGAAACTCATTAGAAGCAGTGTAAACTCAGAGCAAGTAGTACATACATGTTTATACTTCAACCAGCCAACATAAGGCATTAACATGAAGGTTGGGTCAATTTTCTAAACTGTAGAAATGGCTTCCTGGCTCTTGAGGTACAATGTGAAACGGTCTCCCAAATGATCATGGGTCTGTAGGAGCTTGGCTTGTCATTCATAACAGCAGTTTTTGAAAATTTCTTTCTCCAGTAGCAATTAAATTTTATACTGTGCATCGTTTATGAGATATTTTCTGCTTCTAGCTGAGTCCTATTAACCATAGAACACAAAAAGACTATCGCTCACAAGATCTAATCCCTCACAAGATCTGAAATAAGAGCACAATGCAGCTGTCCCAAACTTTTAAAACATTGCTTATAAGTAGCATGTATACAATAATTTCTTTCCTGTCTACATAAAGTTTCTGGTGAGTATACGTTTCTAGGTCTCATGGGAATACAGATGAGTTTGGAGAACACATAATATGAAGCACTATATTTGAATTGTCTGGGATATTCAGTTCTTTCACAAAGCATTGTTATTTGTAAATGTTAGCATCTAATTTTAGATGTGTCTTTCTAATTTGAAATAGTAAGCCCTTTGGGCATCAACCATGACTAATTGTATGTTTTGAAGAGTACTTAGTGCATGGTTGGTGCTCAATAAATGTTAAATAATGAAAATACTAACAATAATCATATTTTTTTAGCACATTGAGCAAAGACTGCTCCTAAATTATGTTTCTGTGTACAGCTCAGTGCATTGTTGGCAGGCAAACAACATGGAATGATAACAACACCAAATGGTCCTCTTTTATTTTCCCAGAAATAAAAGGGGAATTTAGTGACACTTAAGCTGATTTTAGGGTTTGTAGGAGGTAGATAATGGCTTCCCAAAGATGTCTGTGTTCTAATCCTTGGAACCTTTCAGTATGTTAGGCTACAGGACTGTAGATGGAATTAAGGTTGCTAATCAGCTGGCTTTGAGATGGGGAGAGGAGCCTGGACTATCCAGGTGAAATCAATGCAGTCACAAGGGTTCTTATGAATAAAAAAGAGGCAGATAGAAGAATCAGATGGATCGAAGAGAGATTTGAAAATGGTGCCCTACTGGCTTTGACAATGAAAGGAGGTGCCATGAGCTAAGGAATGCAAGTGGCTTCTAGAAGCTGAAAAACGATTCTCCCCTAGAGCCTCCAGAAGGAACACAGTCCTGCTGACACCTTGATTTTCGGACTTCTGATCTTCAGAACTATAAGATAAAAAATGTGTGGTGTTTTAAACCACTAATTTTGTGATAATTTGTTACAGCTATGATACAAAACAAATACAAGGTCTTATTAGCATAGACACATGGACTATCATTGATAGTGGTTTTATGTGCTCTGAGTACAACTTGGAATATTTCTCAGCATTATGTCAAAAAGACAATAGGAAAATCAGAATACAAAATCTCAGATTTCTAAGACCATCATTATTCAGAAGTGTGTACATGAATGATGGAAGCCCAGGAGACAATGTGAATAGTTGTTTAAGGCCTGTGAAGTTGTAATTTTTTCCTTTTTTGAAAGTCCCTTCAATGCTGTCCTAACAGTTTTAATAATATAGTTTGTAAAAAAAAGAAAAATCTCATTTTTTTGGAAATGCACATGTGGACTAGTATTTTCAGACAGATACACTTCCCAAAAGCTACATGATCACATGTAGTTCTTAGAGAATATTTTTTTTCCAGATCTTCAACTTCTGCCTGTACTTTTTCCTAAAATTTAACTTGCTCCAAGAATGAGAACATGCCTGTATCTCCCAAAGCCCTTTGGTCTGTATAAAAGAGAGGCCAACTGCTCACACATCTCGAATCTTACTCTGGATCCTAGTAGCAGTGATAAGGCTTTCCCAGAGCACCAAACAAAGGGGATACATTCTTTGGGCACCAGAAACCCCTAGGACTCCAGTCTTCCCCAGCTCTAGGGGCATTTTGGCCCACACCTGGATGTTCTAAACTCAGATCTATGGTGGAACAGTTTGATAGAATAATGACTTTTTATTACTTTTCTTCTTCTGTCCCCCAGCTATGGTCAGAATACCTTATTTCCAAGGAAGAGTCCCAGGGCCCCAAACCAAAGAGCACAGAAAAATACTGAACTCCAGAAAGAGCTTTTCCCCCATCCCATATTTAAATAAAAGTTATAATAATCAGCTATTCTCAAAGTCTTCCCTGGAATGTCACGACCCTAAAAAGAAAAACACAAATAGTCAAAATAGTATAGACTTCTGTGTTTATTCTTTCAAATGTAAATGGAGTATTTTCTGCATTACTATGATCTTCAAAATACACTAGAAAACTCTTGGATAATTTTAATAATTTTTTTACATTGGATGTATATGCTTAGTAAGATATCTAAAATGTATTTTATCAAATTATATCATGAGCTATATATCCCAACTATGGTCAATTTTTGTCTTATTTCATCTAATGTTAAATATTTTCTATCTCATATTTCCAAAAAATTAATTATATGCTAGCTGCCAAATAATTAGCTTTTACTGGTATATACTTTTCTCTCTCATTAAATATAAGGGTGAATGTCTAATGAAATTAATACAGCTATTTTTTGATACATGATTCTACCTTTTCTCCTAAAAGTCAGAGTTTGAGACACACATGCACATAAGTTTACCAAAAGTTATGACAATTACCAATAAATTTTTGGAACTCCTTGTGTCATATATAACTTATTATCTTACCTACAAATTACCTTGCATTATTATCAATTAGAACAGCATAAAGCTGGGCGTGGTGGCTCATGGCCTGTAATCCCAGCACTTTGGGAGGCCAAGGTGGGCGGATCATGAGGTCAGGAGTTCAAGACCAGCCTGGCCAATATAGTGAAACCCCATCTCTACTAAAAATACAAAAATTAGCTGTGTGTGGTGGCAGGCCCCTGTAATCCCAGCTACTCAGGAGACTGAGGCAGAAGAATCGCTTGAACCCAGGAGGTGGAGGTTGCAGTGAGCCGAGATCATGCCACTGCACTCCAGCCTGGGCAACAAAGCGAGATTCTTTTTTTTTTTTTTTTTTAAAAGACATATTTATAATTCTGTATTTACATTATAAAAATGAGCTAATTATATTTGTCATCATTTTAATCTTGACCTGACTTGTCTTACAAGATGCATTTCATAATTTCTCTTTAGATCTTATAATATTTGATAAAACATATTAACATGTTTGTTGAAAATTGAAGTCATACTTTTTTTGACAGGAAGTAATTCTAATTTGGCTAATTTGTTGGAATGTTAATTTGGACTTTGCCAATTAGAGTTCATGACCAACATTTCCCATAATTAAATGAGTTTGTAGCTTCGGCTTCTGGAAAAAAAAATATGTATTTAAAGCATAAGAAAAGAACATTTAGCACAAAAAGGTAGTATTGGCAAAAATATAATAAAACCAGTAATATATTCCTAACTTAAAATATATATATAGATATATATAGTGAAATAGAGTGCCTCTAAGTGAAAGAATAAAAGTTTAGGCCAGGTATGATGACTCGATGGCTCACATCTGTAATCCCAGCACTTTGGGAGGCCAAAAAAAGGATAGCTTGAGCCCAGGAGTTCAAGAGACCAGCCGGGCAACATCGTGAGACCTCATCTCTACTAAAAATAAAATATAAATTTAAAACAATTGGCTGGGTGTGGTGGCATGCGCCTGTAGCCCTAGCTACTTGGAAGGCTGAGGGGAAAGGATCACTTGACCACAGGAATTCAAGGCTGTAATGAATTATAACTATGCCACTGCACTTCAGCCTAGGCAACAAAGGGAGGACCTGTCTCAAAAAGTTCAACTGATGATCATTTAATAAATCTTGGTATGTTTTTGATATACGGGACTTACCAGAAATTGAGACAGCAGATGGCTATAATGCCAAATTATTTTGCAAGCAAAGTGGTTTCCAATCCTTGATTTGAACAGAACTGAAGTACCTAATAAAGTTGTCAGCTAAATTATCCTTAAATATAAATTTTGATGATAGATCATTATGTGATTTTTTTTTTTTTTGGCTCAGGAAAAGTTCAAAGAAGTGAAATGTGATAAAGTTCTTCATTATCTCCTTATTTGTATGAAGAAAACTTCTCAGGTGCAGTGGCTCATGCCTGTAATCCCAGCACTTTGGGAGGCCAAGGCAGACAGATCACCTGAGGTAAGGAGTTCAAGACCAGCCTGGCCAACATGGTGAAACCTCGTCTCTACTGAAAATACAAAAATTAGCCGGGCATGATGGTGCAAGCCTGTAATCCCAGCTACTTGGGAGACTGAGGCAGGAGAATCGCTTGAACCTGGGAGATGGAGGGTGCAGTGAGCCAAGATGGTGCCATTGCACTCCAGCCTGGGTGACAGAGCGAGACTCCCATCTCCAAAAAAAAAGAAAGAAAGAAAATTTCTCAGTGTTTCCATTTATAAAACTAAAAAATAGAAATAAAATTGATGTTGGCCTCTATCTTATTCTAGAAATAAGTCACACAACACATGAAACTACTTAAAAAACAAAACAAAAATTCTGCTCCATTTATTTGATGAGAAGCCACAAATCCTTAAAATGTTTTCTCTTTGTGTCAATTACATTATTTATAAAATTATGTTATATGTTTAGGTTGTTTTGATCAATTGAATGCCTATAAGAAGTAAAATAATAAGTGTATCTGAAAGAAATTTTTAACCTTTAGAGCAGCTCTGTTCAATAGAATGTCCTGCATCAATACTAACGTTTTCTATCTGTATCCACGCATCAACTACTGACTAGCCACTGTGGCTATCGGGCTCTTGTGACTAATATGGGGAAACTAAGTTTTTAACTTTTTCATTTTTGTTCATTTAGATTTAGATAGCAACAGGTGCTAGTGGCTACCATATTGGGATAGTGCAGATTTACAGCCTTATGAATACAGAGAATAAAGCAAATTTCCAGTTCATATGCATATTTTTCTTGTATGTATACAAAAAATGTATGATAGGGGAATAAGTAAAAGGTT
This sequence comes from Homo sapiens, assembly GCF_000001405.40. Taxonomy (NCBI): domain Eukaryota; kingdom Metazoa; phylum Chordata; class Mammalia; order Primates; family Hominidae; genus Homo; species Homo sapiens. The sequence continues at coordinate 74,043,836 of NC_000005.10, read as the reverse complement.
TAAAGACTACTATATTTTTACATAAATACCTTATATACATTTAGATTAAATCTTGTGTGGTAATAGGTTGAAAATCTAGATTCAAGGGGGAAAAAGATTTAAATTTTCCAAATGTCAGAGTACATCATGCTCATCTAGTATATTTTCTAACTGGATCATGTGAATATTAAATCTTTATAGTATTTAGATTCTTTGGACACAGTTAAAAGAATAATGTAGCAGGCTTTTTTTAATGTCAATATTTATAATGTATAAGGATTATATCCTTAATGTTCACATTTCAGTGATTCCAAGGGACATATTTTTCATTTTAACATCTGTTAAATTGGGGTGTATCTTATAAAAATGGTAAGCATTTATTTTTTCTTATCTGTTCATAATACTGTGAAAGAAATATATCTTGCAATCAATGGACTATTAGATTCTATGGGCTATGACATTTAAACTTAAGATAAAAATTTTAGATATCGACTTGAAAATGTGTAGGGGTACATAGTTCCTAAAAATTCTGCAACTATGTGAGCAAAAACATTTGTAGACCAAGGATGTAGATCACTTCCTGCTGAAGTTCAGTGTTTTCATCACAGCTTCTTTGCCTGCACAGAAGAGAGAGTTGCCTAAGCCGGTCGGGAAGGGGTTGGGAATTGGAGCGTCATCATGTAAGAATGTGGGCATCTCAAGAGTGTAAGTGCAGAGTGCTCAGCACAGCCTGGTCTCAGGAACTGGAAAATTCATCTTCCCAGGACCTCTCATCATTTCTTACGGGCCATAAACTTTCTCCTCTCTGGTTTTCTCTTATATCTGTCCCCACTTTCCTGATTCTCTTAGCAGAAAGCTTTCTCCATTCATCCATCAAGGACCAGATAATAGCCTCAGACCTGAGTCTATGCAACCTTCCAGCTCCACAGCCCACAGCTGGCTGCTCTCAATTACTCGCTGTTCCCAAACCAAAGAGAGGGTTCTGATTTTTCCAGCTCAGATGAGACGTCCACTCCTGATCTAAACAGTTGGGGCTTGGATGGATACACCATTTATGTAATGCAAACATCGCTGGGGGAGGCGATTAGTGGGTGGAAGCAGTTCCTGAAGATGAGAGCTGTGAGTAGGAAGGCAGCCACAAACATAGCAACGAGGGGCAGCAGTTTCAATAGCTGACATCAACATTGTTCCTACGATTGCTAGGCACCATGCTAATGGCTTCAAATAGATTAACTCGTTTAATCCTCAACACAAACCTAGGAATGAGGTTTAATATCCACATATTAGAGAGGAGGAAACTGAGGCACAGAATGTTTAACTAATTGCCCAAGGTCAAACATTTGATAAGTGTCAGAGCCTGGCTCTGTCAACCTGTCAAGCTAAACTGCCTCAGCAATTTCCTCTCTTTGTCTAGAGACTTGCTTATGACAACAGCACTAAGTATAGAGTATTCTGTATCAGTAAATAGTGCCTAATAGGGAAAAATGGTAGCAACCAAAATTTATCATATGACTAAAAGCCATAGGATATTTTGGAAATTAGCAGGCAAGGAGAGAGGAACTATAGCATTTTTAATACCTACTTCACTCCTGGCACTTTATATGTATTACATTTTATACACACTATAGTAGAAGTAAGTATTAAAACCTCATTTTACTATTGAAGGAACTGAAGGTCAGAGGATTGAGTAACTTACCCATGGTCCCACAGCTAAGAAGCAACAGAGTCAGAGTCCTGACTCAGGGCTGACACCCAGGCCTGCAGATTTTCCTGTACATCCCTCTGTCAGATTAGTGTCAAGTCAAATAAGGTGACATGCAAGACAGAGAATAATTCAGTCAATCATGAAACAAACCAAAATGAGAGTCAACTTCCTCAAAGCAAAGTCATTTTTTAAATTCACTTACAGATGTGTGCTTGATTAGTCTGATTAAATATATATACTCTCTATATCTTTTTGCCTCTACAAGCATCAATCTAGCTGTTCCTTAATTCTGTTACACGTATTGAAGTTTCTACTGAAACAAGGAAGAGGTTTGTCCAATTCTTTCCCTAAGACATGACTGCTGGATAAAGTTTATTTTTGCTCTGCCCTTCCTCGTAGCTGGCTCTTTGCCTGTTGATTTAAAATGAATTTTCAGGGGCTCATAGAACAAGAAGAATTTTAACTCTTAAAAATTAACCACAAAGACAGGAACAGATCTTTTTAAAATACCTTGTTTAATATTGGTACACTGTGAGGGGTTAACAAATGAGAAGTAGGGTCCTATTAGTCTCTTATCATACTAAGAAACCATCTTGCCATACTTAGCTTGGTAGTCATTGCAGATAGAATGTGCCATCTGTGAATGGAATAAGCACAAACCATTTGAACTACAGGGTACTCCAAAAGCCTTTTTTGAGTTCACTTACATGTTGTATTTTTTATTTGTTCAATCTTGCATTCACTCAGCTCATAATACACCTGCTCAGCTGTAACTGAGATGGAGATATCTCACCAATAAAGGCAAGACAGGAATTCAGAGCACTGGGTTTAAATGTAAAATCAAAAAGTAGTGGGGCCCACATGCGTGAATGAGCCAGAGGAGAGGTGGCACCTGGCCAGCTGGACTCCCAGTGCAACTGCCTCAGTGGGGAAGCAGCGTGTGCGTGACAGAGTATACCACGTGCCAGATGCTATGCAAGTCTTCACCTGTGTCATCTCATTGAGTGTCCCCTTCACAGCAACCCTTTGAGGGAGGACTTCATAAGCCATGTGTTCCAGATGAGGAAACTAAAGCTAAGAGAAGGTAACTAAACTGATTAAACTGAGGGGTTACACAGCTAGCAAGTTGACTTGGCTATAAGTCAAAATCAGTCCTGAATAACTCCAAAAACCACATTCCTCCTACTTCACCATGAGACCTTCCACTGATACAACCCTCAGGGGCTCGTCAGAGGAATAAGCAACTAAGAATTATTCATCAAAACTTCCTAGAAGAATCCCTGCTTATAGTGTGTTAAATTGTATTTCATTAGCAGAGCTGCATCTCATTCCTGGCCTCCCTGCTTCTATGCCCACACATCATTGTGTTTACTCTCTTACTAAGACCCGATTTCCCATACAATAATATTCTAGGGCTTACCCTGCATAGGGGAGGAAAGACATTGAGGGGACTTGAGACTCACTGAAAGAACTAGGTTTTGTAGGAGATCAAGAAGGGGCAAGTCAAAGTAATAGAAGAAAAATTAACCTGAGAAAGGGGGAGGGAACTTTTTCTTCTGAGATATGAAGGAAACATGAGAAAACAAATTTAAAGCCAGACTCTGGGAGGTAGAGTGTTCTTAGAAAGGAATCTCATATAAGAGATATTATGTATGAAAAAACCTTTCAAAAAGATGCTACACAGACATAGGATCTTTGGGCATCTGCCAAGAGTCATAAAAGAAAATCCGGCTCAAGAGATGAAAGTAATATTCTGTAATAATGAGAATACTCACCATGCTGGGCTCCTGTGCTGTGGAAACACTCATTCCAAAGTAATGTTCATGTGTGGGACACTGAGATACACCACCCAGACCTCCCTGAAATAAGAGCTTGTTGTCCCAGCTGCTGGAAGTCTGTCAACAGACAGCCTTCAGCTGCCATCCCTTCAGGCAAGCTGCCTTGCTCATGATCAAGCCCCTCCTGGGCAGCCCATATCTAGTGACTAATAGCTTTGGAGTAAGAAGACCTTGCCATCTGGCTCAACTCTAGCAAGACCATTCTAGCTCAAGAGCTCTCATGAGCTCAGCCAGGCCGTCACTGGGCCTGCACCACATTTCAACTTCTTCCTCTACCCAGTTCTGCCTTAGTCTCTTCCTGTGGAATGCATAGATCCCAAGGACCCTCCTTATAAATATCCTGCACACTAGATTCTATCTCAGAGCCTGCTTCTGCAGCAGCCCAACCTGCAGTAGTACTTTTTATGAGCAAGGGGCCAAGAGCAAAACAGAAAACTGGTATCCCCCTAAGTCCATTCAGACTATCATAAGACAGCACAAAATTGCTCCTTCTCGGGCTTGGGTAACTGTTTAAGCAGGTCTCTGCTAGCTGAGTTATTACCAAATCAGCCTGTCATACTGCAATATTCTTCTTTGCAAAGAACTCACATGATTTATTCTTATTTGTAAAACTTTGTGAGATTAGGCTGTTTCGTCTTTACACATATTCACTTAACAAGATTTAGTAAACACCTACCCAGGCACTGCACTAAGAACTGAGGGAGTGGAAATGAAAAAAAGTCCCAGCCATTACCAGGCTCCCAGATGAGTAGAGGGCACAAACTCCAAAACACATGAGACATACAGTGGAAGCCTGAACACAATCTTTTGTGAGTCCACATGATGGCATAATTTGGAGTTTCAGGATGGCAGAAGAGGAGGCCAGAATACACAAGCTATTGCCTTCATTGCAGGCATTTGACCATAGTAATGAGCAATACAGACTCTGGAGTGAGACTATGTGAGTTTGACTCCTGCCTTCATCATCTTCTAGTTCTCCCTAGGTAAGCTATGACATAGCCTCCCTGGGTCTCGATTTGCTCCTCTATGAGGTAGCACTCATATTAATGTAAACCAAAAGTACCTGAGACAGGTCTGAATCAGTTTAGAAAGTTGATTTTTGCCAAGGTTAAGGACACACTCATGACACATCCTCAGGAGATCCTGACATGTGCCCAAGGTGGTGGGGTACAGCTCAGCTTTATACATTTTAAGGAGATATGAGACATCAATCCATACATGTAAGATGTACATTGGTTCAGTCCAGAAAGGCAGCATGACTTGAAGTGGGAGCTTCCAGGTCATAGGTAGATTAGATTTTCCAATTGGCAATTGGTTGAAAGAGTTATTATCAATAGAAAGGAATGTCTGGGTACAATAAGAGGTCATAGAGACCAGGGTTTTGTCATACAGATGAAGCCTCCAGGTAGCAGACTTCAGAGAGAATAAATTGTAAATGTTTCTTATCAAACTTAGAGTCCGTTCTACCAGTAATTCCAAAAGGGAGGAGGGTATAATGAGGCATGTCCAGCTCCCCCTTCCCATCATAGCCTGAACTTGTTCTTCAGGTTAATTTTGGAATGTCCTTGGCCAGGAGGAAGGGTTCATTCAGATGGTTGAGGGGCCTTAGAATTTTAATTTTGGTTTACATTAGTCAGCTTGGGCTACCACAACAATATACCATAGACTGAGTGCCTTAAACAGTGAATAATTATATCTCACTGTTCTGGAGACTGGGAAGTCCAAAATCAAGGTGATAGCCAACTTGGTTCCCCGGTGAGAAATTCTTCTGACTTTCAGAAATTCTTCTGCCTTTTCCCTGTGTCCTCACATGGCAGTGACAGGAGAGGGAAGCAAGTTGTCTGGAGCCGCTTCTTAGGGGGGCCCTAATCCCATTATGAGGACCCCACCCTCATGGCTTTATCTAAACCCAGTTGCCTCCCCAAAGGCCCATCCACAAATACCACTACACTGGGGGTTAAGGCATCAACATATGATTTCTGCAGGGGTGGGGAGGCACAATTCAGTCCATAGCAGCAGGACAAATAGTGTTTTCCTCACAAGATTGTTGGGTCTTAAATGAGCCAGTATATATAGAGTGCCTAGAACAGTGGCTGCCACATATTAAATGCATTATTTGTAAGTGCTAGCTGTTATTATTAAAGCCACATAAGCTGAGTCAAAAACTGGGAAAGGTCAAGTGTGTCAAGGCCTCACTTGCTGGGATGTATTTCCTTGGGGTCATATTGCTTCTCAATGGAAGGGAGAAAAATGAGCTTATTCTTGAGAATTAAGAATGGGCCTATTTTCATGCAAATATTGGCTTGGAGAGCCCCTTTGCAATCAATTATTACTAAGGTGAAAATCCTGAACCTCTCTACTCTCTGTGCTTTCATACCTTCCCGCTGCATTCTCATCTTTCACTTGTGATCAAATGCCTAACAATCTCAGAAACATGTCCACTTAGGGGATTACTCTTGTTAAAGAGTATTTAGCTTTTAATCCCACAAGGCACAAGCAGTTTGAAATATAAGACATCATAGAAAAAGAAGTATTTAGCAGGGTTAATCTTGGAGGTGAGAGGTGAAAAGGGGCGAAATGGAATCCAAAGGAAACCCATCTCAATGAAAATATGAGTTTTAAGAGGGGCAAGCAATGGTTAATTTTTTCAGCCTATCAGTAGCTCTAGAATGGTGTACAAAAATGTTTTACTCAGCTCCCATACCTTCTTCATAGAGAATACATTGAACTTCAGCTTATTTTCTACTGGAGGCACGCTGCTGGATTAAGTTCTGCATTCAGGAGTTGTGGCATTCATGTCCTTGGTTAAGCAAACGGAGATTTCAAAATCCTTTAGGCTGGAAGAACTGGGTCCTTCATCCCTTTTTTAAATTCTTAAGTCTCATTCCTTGCTTGTTTCATTTAGGCTGCTGAATTCATTGGCAATTGTTGACAACTTGACTGTTTTGATTGTTTCCATCTTAGACATTTCCATTGCTGTTAGACTATAAAGTTGACAGCCCAAATCCTAAAATACCTGGTTGGCCCGTTCAATCTATTTCTTTCCTGCTTAGTCCTCCTTTAGAAGGAATGAAGCAAGATGTTGTAATTAGAATGGTGATGAAAAAGTGTGAACATACACTGTCAATAGGGGAGTGGAAGGCACAGGTACTCTCATGCATTTTTTAAAATAAGAGCTTTATCGAGATAGAATTCACATATCATAAATTCATCCGTTTAAAGTATAAAATTCAGTGGGGTTTAGCATATTTATAGATGTAGGAGCATCACCACTATCTGAATTCAGAACATTTTCGTCACACCGAAATGAAATCCTGCACCCAATACCACTTACTCTTTAGCTCCTTCCTTCCCCCAACCCCTGGTGACCATTAATCGATTTCTGTATGGATTTGCCTATGCTAGATATTTCATGATATAGGAATCATATATTCTGTGGTCTTTTGTGGCCTTCTTTCACTTAATATTCTCAAGGCCTCATATATTCTTGATAGAGTATGAATTGGCTCGATATTTGAAGGAAAATATGTCAATATCAATCAGAACTTAAAGTACATGTACTCAGAAATTTTATATCCAGGAATTAATCTTTCAGAAATACTTCCACAGACATAAAAATAGTTATACAAAGACATTTAGTGCAGCATTGACAAAGACTGGAAAAACTCTAAATTCCATCAGTTAGAGAGGCCTGGTTGAACAGATTGTGGTTCACCTCTGCAGTGGAGTGCTATGCATTCATGCACAGATTGAATCAGTCCTGTATGGAATGGCGTGGAATGATCTCCAGAATTTATTGATAAGTGAACATGAGGGAACAAGACAAGGTACAGAGCAGTGTGTGAAGTTCTATCTATGTAAAAATATGTATATGTTATGTTTACGTGTGTATATGTATTTATGTGTGTGTGTGTGTGAGTGTGTGTGCGTGTGGAGAGAGAGAGAGAAACGGAGCAAGAAGAATATCTATCTCCGGTAGGAAGTCTAAAAATGCACTAGCAGTGGTTATCTTCAGGGAGGGAAAATGGGGGTCTGGAGACAGGGAGCGGAAGAGAGGAAGGGTATTGTTTGAAATTTACTTACCAAGTACACAGATTCTGAACATTTTAAATAGAGATGTGTATTAGGCAGCCACATGGGCATATTAGGGTCTGGGGACCACGCAGGAAAACCCACAGCCTCTTTCCTGCAGGGTTTTGTGGTCAGTCACAGTGGAGACTGACACCCCTGTAAAGACAAGTTTCAGTGAAACATAAAGATCTGTAATTTGAAGCTCAAAGATTTCTGTTCTTATCTTGCCAGAGGCCTGTTTTCACCTGCACAGCATTTCTACCTGCCCATGAAAGGCAGACTTACGCACTTTGATGTCAAAGACCAACCAGAAAGGTAACTTTAGAGATGCTCACCCGAACGCCCCCTGTGCACTGCCTCTCTTCAATGATCCTGACCTCATCGTACCTTTTGGGAGTGGCTCTGAGTCTGTGTTTCCACCACTGACTCCTTTGAAGAAGATCGTCAGCCTTGGGTCTGGAATGTAGCCCATTAATGTTCCCCTTGACCTTTGGTGGAAACGCTGCCATTTCCTGTCCTGGTTCCTCATCTTCTCTCATGTGCCTAAACACTGACCCCAAGTGGGAGAGAAGATACAGTCAAGTTCTTCGCCTTGACACTGTTCTCTGCAAAGTCAAAGTCACTTTCAGTCTTGATTTTAACCAGAGCTTATTTCCTCCCACCAGTGTTGGGATGAAAGTCAAAGATGAAGTGAAAGACAGATTGTGTAACTTTTATTTTTAAAAGAGTGTTTAATTTTGGAAGGTATGATTAATATTTCAATACTGCTTCTAATGGCTTCATTTATTTTTTTTTCAGCCAATAAGAAGTGAGAAATCCTGTCTCCGTAGCCAAAATCTCATATAATTCCTCCCCAGCAATACAGAAGTCTCTCTGTTGCTACCTAGAGTAAAAATGTCAATACACATCATGTATTAAAATTCACCTGTATTTTCTCAACACCTTTTCGATATCTTTCCAAATTGCTTTAGTAATCTCTGGCATCAAGAACTGGTAAGAGTATGTGGCATTTTCCTTCCTGTTTGAGTAACACCTATTAAGAGAGGTGGCAATTAAAATCAAATTGTAATTTTTAAACCTTAAGGGAAGCTATTGCAGTATTGCTAAGAACATTCAGTTACCGGTATGTTAGCTAACACCTACACCCGCTGCGATTAGCGATGAAACAAACTTCTACGGACCTTAAAAAACCAAACGTCTCCTTTAAAATAATCATCCTATGAGTAAACAGTCCTGTTCACACATGTATATGAGATGTCATCCTTTCTTTGCCGTTACAGCGCTCCGCCTTGCCAATGCTGCTGAGCACTGACTCACTCACAGGGCATTTGGAAGGTGGGCGATTTGTTCCTGCAGCATCATTGCACTCCAAATGTGCTGAGAATGGATGTAGCCTCCAATGCTGCCGTGCCAGCAGCAGCTTAGATCAGAGGGATCAGCAGAGGCTATTGTCCATTCCTCAGCAATGCACTTGACCTTGAGAGCTATATAGAATGGAAGGAAACCCACTAAAGCCAAATTCATGTCCTAAGATTTATATCCTTTTTAGGGATCCCACCCCTGGAACGTAATTCAGGTCCAAATCCTCTTCTTCTCCTTTCCAACTGCCACTGCCTTAGAGTAGTGGACTTATCTCCACCTGCACATTTTAGAGTCACTTGGGGCAAGGCAGGGGGCAGACGTTAAAACATACCAGTGTCAAGGTACCATCCCAGAGACTCTAAATTAATTAGTCTGTGTTGTGCCTGAAATGAGTACTTTTTAATACCTCCCTAGGTATTTCTAAAGTACAGCTAGGACTGGAAACCACTGGAGTCCAGCACAAGCCTTTCTCATTTCTTTCCTGGTTTATGGCAAATGCCTCCTGAATGCCCTTCATCTTTTGTGCCTGAGGCTAATCACCTTTAATGTGTTATAATGATTGAATTATTTTTGTATTAATCCATGTTTGATGTAGAAAAATGAGAAAATAAAAAGCAGAATGAAAAAAACTACAATCAGAAAAATGATACAATATTTTGTCTTTCCTACTGGATTTTTTATGTACATAAAATAACTATTTTCAAAAATGATATCCTGCTATAATTCTCTGTAACCTTCTATTCTTTGTTAACAATATATTATGGGTAAATTTCCATGTCAGTAAGTATAGATTCATATTATTTTTAATGGCTACATAGCGTCTGAGTGGGTGGCAGTGCCTTTGTATTTTTTAACCAATCCTTTGTTTCAGGGTTAGGCATCTACATTGTTTTGTGGGTTTTTGTTGTTGTTTGTGTTGTTGTGTTTTTTTGTATTTTGTTTAGCTATTACAAACAACATTGAAATGAGCCATTTGGAAAAAAATTTTTTTGTGAGTTGGCCAACTTCCTTAGGATATATTCCTAAAAGTAAATTTGTTAAATCAGTATATCTATTAATTTTTAAGAATTCTGACATTTGTTACAAATTGGTCTTCTAAACCACTCATATACAGGTAGTACTTAAGAGTCTGTTCTTCTAGTCCTTCACTAACGCTGGCATTACTGTATTCTTTTTAAATCTTTGTTTAATCTGGTAAGTAAAGAATGATAGCTACCTATTTTAATTTGTTTAGATTACTAGTGAGTTTGAACATTTTTCATCTGTTGTTTTTTGGGGGAAACTTTTGAATATCTCCTTTTGCAAATATCTTATTTTTGTTCTATAAGGCATTTTCTTTTTCTTGTTTGTATGTATGAGTCATTTCTATATCAAGGCTATTGAATATCCCCCAATTTGTCCTTTTTACTTTTTTTAAAACTTTTATCCTTTTAACTTTAGTGGTTTTGTGGTTTACTTTTAAATCTTTATATATTCAAATCTATCCCTCTTTTCTGTGTGGTTTTAACTTTTCGATGCCATATGTTGAAAGCTTTTCCCCAAGTTAAAAGTATATACTTACCTATGTTTTTTTCTAGTACTTTTATGGTTTTATTTTTTATGTAATTAAATCTTTGTGGCTAACTCTTAAAGTACAAATATGATCATGCCACTCCCTAAGACCTTTGCCGTCTCCCCATTGTGTATGTGATACAGTTCAAGTGTCCTCATGCCCCACACATTATCTGGTCACCCTTTAGCTTGCATGTCCCTCTCATCTTTGCTCATAGAGCTCTTTTTTTCTCTGCAATACTTTTTTCTCTGCAATACACTATGAGTCTTTTTCTCCATGTATAAATAGGCTATTACTTCAAGTTCCATGAAAATAGAGAACATGACTGCTTTGATAATCTCAGCACCCAACATAGTATCTGGAAGAAAATATATACTCAATATTTGTTAAAAGAATGAATAAAACATTACCTCCCCTGGTAACCTACCTCCAATGTCTCTGGGCAGAATCTGTCCTTTTTCTATTGCATTCCTAAAACACATCATTCTGATCACTGTTATCATATGATGTCATCATATTGTATTATAAATCATTGAATCTTTGCCTGTAAATCAGGCTCAGCTCACATTTTTATCCCTTGCTCCTTAGCAAGGTTGGGGCATGCAGTGGGTACTCAATACATGCTGTTGAACTCAGATGAATGAATTCTGACGAGGTCTCCCTGTCTTGCAGTACTGCCTTGGCATGTCCTTGTGTTAAGAAGTAAAGACCTTGACAGTCTGTAAAAAGACAACTAAATAATTAGGTGACAATACATGTGCCCAGGTAAAATCTACAGTCATTAATATGGGGTTAAAATAGTGCACAATAAAAATAGTGTCTCAGAGTAATAGTGAAGCCATGATAGTAATGCCTTCTGGCACCTGCTTCTGGGGCTATCCATTATGTCATTAAGAATCAGAGCATCAATCTGGCCCAGAGCCCTATCCCTGAATAAATTAAAATTTTTAAAAAGACCCTCCAGAATTAGTAGAGAATAATAGTAAGCTAACCAACTAACTTTTCTCCAAGAATGTTGTAGCTAAGCATTACTACGCTTCCTTTCAACAGGCAGTGAGAATTGAGTTACTCATACTGTTCCCCTTGGCTGCCTTTAACTTAGGGGTTTGATACAGATTTTTTTCCTAACCTTCAACTTTTTTTCTCCTTTTAAAATATTTTTACAGCTTTATGATATGTCTGCCTTTCATTACAAGCCACCTCAAATCCCTTTAGACAGTGGAGTTTCTATTATAAATAATAATAAAAAAATTTCCTCTGCCTCAATTCCCTCTGTCCCAAGTGCTCAATGCATGAACAACATAAACTGAGGCTTTAAGAAATAGGATTTCAGCCCTTTGAGAAAGCTGTATTACAAATTGGTTCCACTTCATAGCTTGGAAGAAAATTGGAGTTTTCTTTGGATGACATCAATGATCATAATCTCTGACATTTAACTGACCTTGGGCATGTCATTTTACCACTTCAAGTTTCAGTTTTCTTATCTGCAAAGCAACAATGCGGGTGGGTTCCTTCCCACCCCAGAACTGTATCTAATCATCTTTTCCAGGAAGATAGGGACAAAAAGACCACCCAGGCAGCACAGGGAAAGGAATCTCCCCTTCTATCTGGCCCCGTAACCCTACCTTCTGTCAGTTACTCTGCTGCAGATAAAGGGTAGGGGAGTCAATTCCCAGCCACATACCACCCCAGGGCTGCTCTGCCATTCATAGCAGCTCCCCACCATAAAGAAGCTGGATGATGAGCTGACCAAGCGTCCTGACTGGACTGCTGTTTATGGCATTGTGCTTTCATTTGTGTGCCCAAGAGGCGACTAGCAATAGGTTAACTTGGTGCTCCTACAAAGGAAAGTCTTTTGCTTTTCTTTCTCAACTATATCTTAGGTTTTAATTAATTAAATTAATATGGGGCTTAATAGCAGACATGTTTTGGACCTTGGAGCCTGTTTACCCTCATCTTACCCAAGGGGCACTGTGGACCCAGGCTAAGACGCTGCCAAAGAGTTTTCTGTGTCTAGGAGACAAAGCACACCCTGTAGCCTTCAGGAGTGCTGGGTTATCCCAAGCCCACCAAAGAGCCTGCAAAGAGTGTGCTAGCAGGACTGGGAACATTCGTCTCCTAGCTTTCTCTAAGAAGCAGGCACACTCTCCTCTTCACACTGTGGCCTAGGTCTGATCAAAGGCGGTAGAGAAGGTAGCTTTCCCTTCCACATCTGACCAACAAAAGCAGCCCCGGTGGGGGGAGACTGGAAGTGAGTATCGCAGTGGTTCCTCAGCTTACCTTATACCTTCCAGATAAGTCAGTGATACATGCCACAGGGCTGACTGTATTTTGAGGCCCTCCCATAGCTCCAGAAGCCAGCCCATTCTATCAGGCTGTACTCGGGACAAAGGAGGCAGCCCCAGCCCAGGTACTTAAGTAGACACAGCATTTGGCCTCAAGGTTAAGAGTACAGTCAGTGGTCCTAAACTGCCTTTTTTGTAGCTTGGTTATGGTAACTTGAGTGCAATTGTTTAACCTCTCCCTATCTCAGTTTCTTCATCAGAGAAAGGGGGCTGCTGTGATAGTTGGTACGTACGGAGTATATGGAACAGTGCCTGGTAGGGAATAAGTCCCGTAAAAGTTAATCATTTTATATACATCAAATAAGTCTGTTCTACCTCTTTTGTCCCCCCAGACGAAGCTCATAGAATGATTCACATTGATATTCATGTTTAAGCCTTAAGCCTTTTTTGTTCTTCTAAGACTTCCTTTGGTGGTGTACATTTTGATTGTATCTGCTGGAATAACAATGCTGATGGTTGGTGGGGTTGGGAGGAAGGATAGAGAGGGAGGGAGAAATAACATTAACTGCCTAAGAGATTTCTCTGAAAGAGCACATGAATATTGAATGATGACTTGATTTTACCAACAAAACCCATAATTATTGCTTTGCATCAAGGGTGAGGTTGACTTAAATCATCAAGACTTGAGAATGAACTCATAATCAGAAAACGTGGACTATTAAGTTTTGTTTGCTTGCTTGTTTTTGCATATATCTAACCCAAATCTTGTGTTATTTCAAATGGTGCTATATTTGCCTATGCTTGTAAATTGAATAACATCAATATGCAAAACTGATGCATTTTTCTTTTTAGGGAGAACATAATCTCCCAAAGCCACTCCATTGGTGATGTGACTTGATTTTTTTCTGAATCAAGAAATTTGGATAAACTTGGTGATTCAGAAGGATTGATTACTACAGATAACCCACTTATGCTTAACTAGGTCTTGAACCATGAATGCATGAACTTTAATTTGCAAGCCTCTTTCTCCACAGCTAGCCATGGTTAGAGAGAGATGTTATGGAGGAAGGACGAGTAAAACTCCAAGTTATTAAGGAGGAAAAAGAGGCTGCTTAGTTGATTAATCATTGTAGAAGCCTCCATCACATTCAGCCTGGGAGATTTCATTCATTCACACAAACGCCTGCCACTTTCTACACCCAGGAGTTGTATCATCCACCAGGCACACTAGAAATGTGGTTAGTGCTACCAAGGACCTAATGTTTTAATCTGGTTTAATTTTAATTAATTTAAATTCAAATAGCACATGTGGCTAGTGGCTACTGTATTGCACAGTACAGGCATAAGAACATTTCTACTCAAATCTTCATGATGATACGATGGGCTTTAACAAACCCTTGATAATAAAAGGCAAAAGCTGCAAATGTTATAGGTCAATATTCTCTCCACAAATCTTTATTTTTAAGTTTTAAAAATATAACCCAAATGTTTGTGTTCCCTCAACCTCTTCTTCAAGGTCCTAAGAAACATTGAGGAAAGAGATAATCGTAGGATAGAATTTTTCTTTTCTTTTCAAGTACCTACAATTCTCAGATGTTAGACTGACTTCTTCCATAACTGACTTTTAAATCAAAGTATCCAAAAATGAATATGCAAATACATTGTCAATGATTTCAATTCAGGAAGAAGCTGCTCCAAGATCTCATTATTCTGAATGACATGGAAGAATCACGTACACATTGCCCATTTCCTATCTCATTATTTTCTGGTGTAGAACTGCAAATCCCATTAGCAGATTTTCCTTCAGCCCCCTGAACAATCTGTGAGTGACTCACACTTTAGAACATCTTTGCTGCTGGATTACTTTGAAAGGCAGAAGTTGGGACGGTGTCAGGGATAGGCTGAAGATGAGAGGAATACCTAACACGTGCCTTGTTTGCAAATTTTCATTTCAGTCATTTAAAAAGTAATTAAGGAAAGAGGATCTTGATAAGATAGAATTCAACTCCCCTCTTTTAATGGATTCAGGGAATGAGGAAACATAAAGATAATCCATCATCGCATTACTGCCATCACCAGAGTTGTCTGTTTCAAAGAGCCTCTTTCCTTCACCAGGAGGACACAGAGCTTCGTGTGCTCATTTGGGTGTCAAGAAATAATAAAATGATAAATCTGCAGACTTGGAAACAGCAGCTCTCAGATCAGAGCTGAAAATGTCTGCTCTGTGTTCTGTGGGTCTTTGCTTCTTGTGAGTCCAGACACCTGTCACAAAACTATGTGGCTGTGGGTGGCCCTATTTGTAGGATTTCTAAGCCATCTGACCCTAGATAAACCTTGGTGCTTTTTAAGAGCCAGCTTAGGTGCTGGACCAAATGGTGAAAAATTGCTTCCTGACTAATTGATGAGCCAGGGTGCTTTGATGTTACAAGTGTGGTTGGAGCCTAATGCAGCCATATCATGAGGAACACTGTGTCATCAGCGGGATGTGGAAAACCACTCCTCAACTGCTTACCAAGAGGCAAACCGTCAATAATGAGATGGTTTGGAAGCTGAGGTTATGAGTCATTCATGTAGATGCAGGTAGAGGCTGGTCCTAGGCCCCCAGCGACACTGATATAAAAGAATTTATAAGCATGTATTTTAGGACAATTTTACAAAATAACAGAAAATATCCATTGAGTCCTTAGTGTGTTTTTCACACATTATCTTTAACCTCACCACACCATTTTTGATAGGTTCAAGTATTTTTTTTCTCTTCCCCACATGAAAGAAGCATGACTTGGAGAGGTTAAAATTCCCACCCAAGATCATGCATTTAAAAAGTGAGAAAACCAATATTCAAATTTAGGTCTTTCTGACCCCAGAGCCTGTGATTTTTCTGTTTCACTAAGGCCAGTTGCAGAGATATGCTTGTCTCAGCTGTTTTCCAGTATGATGTATCTGAAGGACAAGAGGAAGAATTTCAAAAAAGTCTCCAATTTTCTTGCCTTAGAGCATCTACCGAAAGAAAAAAAAAAATGAGAGAGAACCCAAAGTCAAAGATAAGAGCCCTGGAAGAATCTGCTCTGAAGAATGGCCTTGGGGCCAACTCAGTATTTACTCAATTCATAAAGGAACTGAGCTGGAGTCCTCATTAGTTGGGTGTGTCCTTGGTAAACCAATTATTAAACCCTGGTATGAGGGATGAAATGGCTTTGTGTTTAGTTTTTGGCTTTATCAATTTCTGATGACTATCCACAAAAATTATAAATACATAAACATTTTTCTACAGCGATTCTTCTTTCAGAAAAGTAACCTACAGATATACTTGTATATGTACTAAAGGATGAATGTACAAGGTTGTTCCTTGGAGCGTTTTGTAGTAAAAAATAGGAAACAACCCAAGTTTTTATCAATAGAGAACTGATTCAATAAATTATAGAACATCCATACAAGAGAATACTATAAACTATAAAGAAGAATGAGAAAGCTTCCTATAAAATGATACAGAAAGAGCTCTAGGATATATAGTTAATTGAAAAAAGGAAGGTATTAAACATTGTTTATAACATGGTAACTTTTGTGTAAAAGAAGTAAGAAGAAAAGAAGCTCATGCTTCCTGATAGAACATAAAGAGACTATGGAAGAAACTAAGAATAGTGGTTACCATGGCGCTGGAAAGAAAGAGCATGGCAGATGAGGGACAAGGATGGTATGGAGTGTTTTACCCGTTTTGGATTTTCAAACATGCAAATAGTATTCAAGGAATAAATCAAAAGATGAAAATGACAAGTCCTATGCTAAAAGATACATTCTCTGAGAACATATTCACAATAGGGCTGTGCTTTTTTTCTCTGATGAAGAACACCAGACTCTTAAGCCAATGGCCAGGGTCGAAATGCTTACTTTGCCACTTCCTAACGGTGTTAAATTTTCTGAGTCTCAGTTTTCTCATTTTAAATAAAAAAGAAGAAATAACATCATTATTTTGAGGGCTGACCAAAATAATGTGAAAAAGTGCACGGTTAACCTTAAAACCTCTTCCAAAACATGGTGTGTCACTCCAAGGCAGTGAACTCAAGGCCTAGGAAGATGGGCCTTGCTAAATACTAGCCAGAGCTCCAGAGAATCCTCCTGCCTCCTCTTTTGGCCTGGAATTTTACCAAGAAGGCTTGTCAGAATGGACTTGAGACCCTTAGAAGTGCCTCTCCTGTATCTTCCATCGCAGTGATGCAGCCAACCTTAGTGCCTAATATCCAGATGAACCCATCTTCCCTCCTGGCCATTGTCTTACTTTATCCTGTGAGTGATCCTGGTAGTAAAGAAAATCAATGTCTGGTTCTAAATCCCAGGAGACCAGATTTTTATCTGGACACAGGTGTCTCAAAATTATCAGCCCTAAATGATAGCGGTGATGATTGCACAGCTTCCAGGAAACAAAGCCAGAGGTGGCTATTGACCAAATGGGCGTTACACAGCTGCAAACTGATGCATGGTGGCTTTGATTTTCCATCTTGAGATAGGAGATGGGAGATAACTTCTTCAAGACTGCATTTGGATTTTTGAAGATAAAATTCCTAGGCCCAGCTGCCTGTTTTGGCTGTCCCTTCTGGCATATACTGCCACCTAAGGGCTTGCAGCTTAGTTCCTTTGTGGGGGCTTTGCTCCTGCAACATGGCCCCTTTAGGTTTGCTGATGGCCTTTCTCCTCAACAGTAACACATTCCCAGGGGGATACTTCCTGCCCTTGTAGCACACATGAGCATTTTAGCAGTTAAATTTGTCTGAGTTCTGCCTCTGTCCACTCTCCTAAATCTAGATAATTCCCTTCTCTCCCGTGCTACACAGGAAGAGTCTTCTCTTTCTGATAGCTAAAGCTCCCATCCTTTCCCTCCTTTTTTTTCCCCGTTGCCTTTTCTCTCTTTTTTCAATATTGAGAGAAGTTTCCTGTATCTTGATTTGAACAAAACAATGCCTAAGACCTGGTTACTTCAAGCAGCTAAAGTACCCCAGGGTACAAACCTCTTCCTGTCTGTCAAGAAATGAGGGAGAGCTGAACCATAGCTCCTCCCAGTACCTGCTGCTTTGCCCCTTCTCCTGCTCTGTTCCAAGACTCTGAAACCTAGGACACCTGTAACCCTGCCTGCTCATCGGCTATGGAGTCAGGCCTCGCATTCCCCAGTTGTGCTGGACACCCTCTGTCCTTGTTCAAACTGTTCCCTGACAACTCTGAAATGGGCTTTCTTTAAGCATTCCCATTGAAAGAAAAATAATTATAAAGACAAGCTGATGTGGAAGCAGTTATTTATCAGCTCTGATGACGAACGTGCAAGTCACTCCATTCTAAACAATAAAGTCTCCAATTTATACATCTGACTTAGACCAAATAATTTGATTGTTTTAATCCTTAATAATTGCTAACATAGTGCCAAGCACTATTTGAAGTACTGGTCTCAGGTCCAGTTCCCCAGCAGAGCCTGAGCCAGGGATTCTGTGCAAAGGAAGGAATAATTTATGGAGGGAAAACCAGGAAAGGCGTGAGAGCAGGGCAGGGAAAGAAGATAAACAAAGAATGGCTTTAGAAGTCTAGCCCCAGCCTGATCCTATGGGAGTTCTGACTAGTGGATTGTACCACAGCGTTTAGTCCTCCAGAAGCAGGGGTGCTGGCTCTTATAACCCTGAACCAGTAGGTCATTAGTTATGGGCCACTTGCAGTAGTGGGTGCTGGGAGAGTGCATAACAAGCACCCCCTCAAGAGAGTACCTGTCAGCCAGGGGCAAGCCTCTTGAGAAGGGTGCAGGTGTGAATATTTCTTTTCTTTTCTTTTCTTTTCTTTTCTTTTCTTTTCTTTTCTTTTCTTTTCTTTTTCTTTTTCTTTTTCTTTTTCTTTTTTTTTTTTTTTTTGACATGAAGTCTTGCTCTGTTGCCCAGGCTGGAGTGCAGTGGCGTGATCTTGGCTCACTGCAACCTCCACCTCCTGGGTTCAAGTGATTCTCCTGCCTCAGCCTCCTGAGTAGCTGGGACTACAGGTGTGCGCCACCACAACTGGCTAATTTTTGTATTTTTAGCAGAGACGGGGCTTCTCCATGTTGCCCAGGCTAGTCTCAAACTCCTGACCTCAAGTGATCTGCCCACTTCAGCCTCCCAAAGTGCTGGGATTGCAGGTGTGAGCCACCATGCCTGGTCAGGTCTGAGTCTTTAGTGGCCCAAACCCTCAGCAGGTAGGGATGGGTATTTGCATGGAGTAGCCTCAGCGTCTGTTGCAGCACTCTGCCAACATTAAATTATTTAGTCGCCACACCGTTTCAGGTAGATTACTATTTTATAATCCCCATATTACAGAAGAGGAATCCGAGACAGCGGGTTAGCAAGTATATTGATGAAGGTCACACAGAGCTGTGATTTAAACCAGTCTGACTCTAGCATCTGTGTGTAGCCTCCATATGAACCTGCTCTTCACACTGGAAGATGTGAAGCAGCATAAACGGGCAAACTCTTTTCCTTACATGCTCACCGGGTCACTTTGGTTAGTGGTTACATCCACTCAGGCAAAATGATTATTATATTTCACGAGCAGATATTAAATTTTTTTATTACTGCAACATAAGGATTGACAGACGAATACTTTTGAAAATAGAATAAAGACTTGATAGCAACACAATTACACCAAAAAATGCAATAATATATATTACTCCATTTCTAATTTTAAAGCACAGTTTATTCTCTATATTTTATTAAATCCATATTCTCACAAATTTCCATGAATATTATTTTAAAGGCTGAAACAAAAATTAAAGACAGTAGGAAATAAACTCTTCATATTCGTGTTATAAAAATGTTTTGATTCGGTTTGCCGGCTTCAGTTTGAATCCAGCAGCACATCAAAAAGCTTATCCGCTACTATCGAATCGGCTTCATCCCTGGGATGCAAGGCTGGTTTAACAGGCACAAATCAATAAACGTAAATCCATCACATAAACAGAACCACGGACAAAAATCACATGATTATCTCAATAGATGCAGAAAAGGCGTTTGATGAAATTCAATAACCCTTCATGTTAAAAACTCTCAAACTAGGTATTCATGGAATGTATCTCAAAATGATAAGAGCTATTTATGACAAACCCACAGCCAATATCACACTGAATGGGCAAAAGCTGGAAGCATTCCCTTTGAAGACCAGCACAAGACAAGGATGCCCTCTCTCACCACTCCATTCAACATAGTATTGAAAGTTCTGGTGAGGGCAATCAGGCAAGAGAAAGAAAGAAAGCATATTCAGATAGGAAGAGAGGAAGTCAAATTGTCTCTGTTTGCAGATGATATGATTGTATATTTGGAAAACCTCATCGTCTCAGCCCAAAAACTCCTTAAGCTGATAAGCAACTTCAGCAAAGTCTCAGGATACAAAATCAATGTGCAAAAATCAGAAGCATTCCTATATACCAATAATAGACAAACAGCCAAATCATGAGTGAACTCCAATTCACAATTGCTAAGAGAATAAAATACCTAGGAATACAAATTACAAGAGATGTGAAGAACCTCTTCAAGGAGAACTACAAACCACTGCTCAATGAAATAAAAGAGGACACAAACAAATGGAAAAACATTCCATGCTCATGGATAGGAAGAATCAATATCATGAAAATGGCCATGCTGCCCAAAGTAATTTATAGATTCAATGCTATCCCCAACAAGCTACCATTGACTTTCTTCACAGAATTAGAAAAAACTACTTTAACATTCATATGGAACCAAAAAGGAGCCTGTATAGTCAAGGCAATCCTAAGCAAAAAGAACAAAGCTGGAGGCATCACACTACTTGACTTCAAACTATACTACAAGGCTATGGTAACAAAAAACAGCATGGTACTGGTACCAAAATAGATATATAGACAAATGGAACAGAACGGAAGCCTCAGAAATAACACCACACATCTACAACCATCTGATCTTTGACAAACCTGACAAAAGCAAACAATGGGGAAAGGATTCCCTATTTAATAAGTGGTGTTGGGAAAACTGGCTAGCCATATGCAGAAAACTGAAACTGGACCCCTTCCTTACACCTTATACAAAAATTAAGATGGATTAAAGACTTAAACATAAAACATAAAACCATAAAAATCCTAGAAGAAAACCTAGGCAATACCATCCAGGACATAGGCATGAGCAAAGACTTCATGACTAAAACACAAAAAGAAATGGCAACAAAAGCCAAACTTGAAAAATAGGATCTAATTAAACTAAAGAGCTTCTGCACAGCAAAAGAAACTATCATCAGAGTGATCAGGCAACCTACAGAATGGGAGAAAATTTTTGCAATCTATCCATCTGACAAAGGGCTAATATCCAGAATCTACAAAGAACTTATACAAATTTACAAGAAAAAAACAACCCCATCAAAAAGTAAGCGAAGGATATATGAACAGACACTTCTCAAAAGAAGACATTTATGTGGCCAATAAACACATGAAAAAAAACCTCATAATCGCTGGTCATTAGAGAAATGCAAATCAAAACCACAATGAGATACCATCTCACACCAGTTAGAATGCCCCTCATTAAAAAGTCAGGAAACAACAGGTGCTGGAGAAGATGTGGAGAAATAGGAACCCTTTTACACTGTTGGTGGCAGTGTAAATTAGTTCAACCATTGTGGAGGACAGTGTGGCGATTCCTCAGGGATCTAGAACCAGCAATACCGTTTGACCCAGCAATCCCATTACTGGCTATATACCCAAAGGATTATAAATCATTCTATAAAGATACATGCACATGTACATTTATTGTGGCACTGTTCACAATAGCAAAGACTTGGAACCAGCCCAACTGCCTATCAATGATAGCCTGGATAAAGAAAATGTGGCACATATACATCATGGAATACTATGCAGCCATTAAAAGGATGAGTTCATGTCCTTTGCAGGGACATGGGTGAAGCTGGAAACCATCATTCTCAGCAAACTAACACAAGAACAGAAAACCAAACACCGCATGTTCTCACTCATAGGTGAGAGTTGAACAATGAGAACACATGGATCTGGGGAGGGGAACATCACACACAGGGGCCTGTCAGTGGGGTGGGGGGCTAGGGGAGGGATAACATTAGGAGAAATACCTAATGTAGATGACAGGGTGATGGGTGCAGCAAACCACCATGGCATGTGTATACCTATGTAACAAACCTACACGTTCTGCACATGTATCCCAGAACTTAAAGTATAATAAAAAAAAATTTGAAACTATGCCTTAGAGCAGAAGTTTATGTCCCACTTGCCATTTTTATAATCGTGTTTGGTCATTTTCTTTCTCCTGAAATCTTCAATTTACCATGAAAGATGAGACAGTTACAATTTTCAGTGCTGTGTTTCTGTAAATGTTATGGAACAGAACTTGATGTTTAAGAAAATGTTTTAAGAACAGAGATATTGAATATCTATGAAGGGTGCAGAACATGTTTCTGTCACTCAAACTAATGACATGCTTTTTAAAAAGCATTAGCATGTGGAACAATGCCATGGTGAGATTAATAATGCCATAATACTACCTAAGAATAAGATGAAATCTAGGAAACACATTTCATCTATTTCCTATGCTTAGTCACAAAGCTAATCCCTCCCAAACAAATTTTTAGAAAAAACAAAAAGTGGGCTCTTTAAAACCCCAAAGCCTTCTATTCCAGACAGTTTTGTATTCTGTCTGTTTAGCATTATTCTTTGAGATATAGACAATCTCTCTGGGAACCCCAGACCATGTGTTTCCTGTGGTGTCTTGGCTGAGCTCAGCAAAGCCTAGGATTTCACTAGGTGTTAGGTAGTAAGATCTACTGTGATGGTGTGGACTTCCCCTTAAGGGACCTATTAGTAGGTCAGAATACCTAGCAAACTTTCCTAAAAGTGGTCCCAGAGAAGCTAGAGAAGGTTAACCAGAGTCAGTGTGGCTATGAGGGACCAGCTGAAATAAAGCAGCTGAAAGCTCTCATGGGGACCCTAGCTTAGATAAGCAAAAGCCAGGAGGGGAAGGAGAGAAAAAAAGTCTATTTTCTGACTCTCAGAAGGGAAGGAGGAAGTTGGCTAATTAAATTTGGGGACCCAGGTGAGGGAAAAGACTCCTTGATTTGGCTAACCCATGAAGGAAATAAATTTGTTGGAAAATTAGAATATTGAAACTCTAATTTAACTTTTGGACCTTTTTGAATGCTTGAAAGTGGAAAGACCGGTCTTGGGGGGAAAAAGAGACATCTCTGTATTTGAGCTTCTCAGAGAAGTGTTAGTGCCACCATGCTGTTTGCTTTAGTGAAAGGAGAGTCTTGCTTGGACCTTGTCCAAGTCAGTTTCGTTGCCAGAACACCCAAAGGACCTCATACTGAAGTGGCCCTTCAGCCCCAGAGCTTTCCGTCCCAGCCTCTCCACCCTTCCCAGACTCGCAGCCTCACTCCCCTCCTCTCTTTCTTACTACCTCTTTAATCCTTCCCTTCCCACGGGCTCCTTCCCCTTGGCCTACACACATGCACATCTCCAGACCCTGAAAAAACAACCAAATCCTCCCATGACCTTGTCTCCCTCTCGAGTTACTGTCCCATTTTCTTTCTGTCACCACTGACCACTCGCTTCCTCTACTTCCTCACCCCAGTTTACTTACTGACTCCCTGAAGCCTGGATCCTGCCCCGCCATGGAAAGTGCACCCCTGAACGTCCCGAGCCACACATCCAATGGCTTCTCTTTCCTCCTTCTCAGCTTCTGTCGCAGTTAACTCTTCGAATCACTCCCTGCCAAAGTCTTCTCCCTTGTTGTTCTGAACACAGCATTCAGCTGCCTCCCCAGGGCCTCCCAGACCATTCTTGCTGAGTCTTCTCTGCAGGCTCTTCCACCAACCAGTTACATGTAGACACTCCCTAAGGTTCAGTTGCCTTCATCTTCTCCTCACTCTGTGTGTACTCCCTGATGAAGTCATCTACTCTCCTGGGTTCCATAATCACTTCCGCATGACACACTCAGATAATGAAAAATATTTAATGTCTGCACAGCCTCAGCCTCTCTACTGAACCTCGGCTTGCAATGCAAGCTACTAGATAACTTGTAGGCACCTCAAATTCGATAGGTACAAAACCAAGCTCACTATCTTCCTTGTTGAATCCTTTCTTTCCCTAAAATTCCTTTCTCTTCTGCTGGCATCAGTACTCAGTCTCTGCTCCTTAGGGTCATTTTTGACTTGTTCCTCTCTCTCATCTACCATGTGTAATTTAATTTTAAAATTCTGATGATATGTCTTCCACTTTCTCTTCCTGTCTAATGCCTTCTTACTACTCCCACTGGCCTAGGTTAGGCTTCCAGATGACCTCTTTATCACTTAAAGACTTTAATAAGTCTGTGGACCAAATCGTCTTCCCATTCCTCATCACTTCCTCCAATCCATCTCACACTCAGACATGAAGCATTAGGTCATTGAACTGATGACATTCTTCCCATGTTCAAAAATATTTCATGATCCCTGTCAGTTACAAAATAAGCTTGACCTCCTCTGCCTCAGCACCCAGTCAGTAGACTCAAGGTCTTCTAGAAACCAGTGACCAGCATTGCTTTCTGTCACTCTGCCTTCCACAACTTATGCACCCTGCTATTCTGCTTGCTGAATATATTCTGCATTTCTGCATTGTTTCCTGACTTGTTAGTATTTTATTTATGTGAAGACACTTATAGTTGCTGCCTGCTGAAATCCTACCCAGACTTCTAGGCTTTGATTAAAAACTACAGTACTTCCTCCATAAAGTCACTCCAGATAACATCCTCCCTACTGCAAGAAATTACTCTTTCCCTCCTCTATAAATAATCCCATTACTTTGACTTCTAATATAACGATGCTACTCAAACAGCCATAAAATAGCAGAACAGCATCACTGGAGTTTGCTAGAAATGTAAGATCATGGGCATGATCCCTGACCCAGTATCAGTGGGGATGGAGTCTAGGACTTGTGTTTTAACAAGTTTGCCAGATGATTCTGAGACAGGCTTGTTTAACTAACCATGACTGCATTCAAGCCTTTGCCCTAGAGCCACATTATGTGTTTGAATGTGTCTTCCCACCTAGACTGTGAACTTCCCGAGGGCAGGTCTAAGCCATATGGTTGTTTTTCATAGGCGCTTAATGCAAGCTTGTTGAGTAGTCACCAACAGTATCTTCATGTGGCCCTGGAGTACTGCTTAAGTATTGTGGGTTCTGCAGAGAATTTGCTACTCATCAATAAAAGAATCAACCCTCCAATTGCAGTTTATATATTTTATTTCTCTTTCTTTGTTAGATTCGATGTCAGTGGTGGGAAGAGAGGACAATATTTTATCTAATATAAATGTCCAGGAAGAGTGTCCTGACCAACCTTTGACTTCATCTTGGCTCCCTACTGAGTGCAGAGGAAGAAAGTTAATGTATCAGACATTTATTGCCTACCAGACACTATGCTGTTTTTGTTTAACCCTCCCAACAACCTACGATTACTTCCATTTTAAAGATGAGTAAACTGAGGCTCATAGAAGCTAGGAGCTTCCCTATGATGGTGCAGCCAGAAGTCTGAGACTATAGGTCCCACTTGGAACTATCACACTAAATCCCGTCTATGGTTTCCTGCCTACTAAGTACGTCTGGACTTTTCATGGAAGACTGCGGAGTCTCTGTGGTCTCCTGAGACCATGCAATTTCCCAGCCCAGTGGTTAAACCAGGTTTTACTGTGTCTCTATGATCCCTGGCTTTGCTTTTGGCCTTCTCAAGCACTAAAAACTCCCTGGCTACAACAGCATTTTCTTGCCAGTTTTCAGTAGACTCGAGTTCAAGGCAATTATCACCTGAGCAGAGCCTCCTGTCCTCAGACAGTAGTGAGAGGAGATGTTCCTAGAACCTATTAAAATCTGCCTGGAGCAGTCTGAGTCATGCGCCCTGTGAGTCAAGATGCCTCTGAATTGGAGTAGGCAGCAGGGCCGTTGGTTTTTATGGCAATGCACTCAGAACTCCTGGGGTTATGTTAATTGGCCTTTTAAGCCCTGGCAATCTCCAGTTTTGGCATGGGGATGGCTATTCACAATTGTGCCCCAGATAAAGAGTGATTGATTTTGGACAAAGCCTGTGGTCTGGAAGGCTCTCCTTGCTGGATCCCAAAGCACCAAGGGCACACCCCTGTCTAGAGCTCTGGCCCAGGTTTTACAGCCTTGGACTTGAGAGCTGAATAAAAAGAAAAGTCAGACTCACGGTTCTCCCATGGGCTTTTCTCAGGCACAGGTGTTCCAGGGCACCAGGGAATAGACACGTGTTTGGAACTGGGAGCTCAGAAAGCTGGCTTGGGCCCCAAACCTAGTCCCAAGTTACCTTTCTATTGTCTGGGGGAAGAGGAGAAGGCACTGAAGATGAGGAGGGGACAAGGGGATTACTCTACTTGGCAGTTACTCCCACACATAATCTAGAAAGAAAAGTTCCAGCTGGTGAGTGCTTTTACCACCATGCTTAAAGAGAAAGTTAACAGAAATATCAACTGTCTTCATTCATTCATTCACTCAGCAACCATCCTTTCAGCACCTACTGAGTATCAGGTGTTGTTCTGGGGGCTAAGTTACAAGGAAGACACCATGAACCCTGCCCTCAAGGAAATCCCAACCTAACAGGACACTTGTATTAGTGACTCCCTAGTCCTTTGGAGTCATCCCCTATCTGCAACTCAGTGACTCATAATCCCCAGAAGAAGTAGGAAGGAAACGTCTTTGCAGCCTCAGGCCCAAAGGCTCCTGGCTCCACTCCCACACCTGCAGGCTCAGGCACGGAACAACACCTGGCCCCCTCTGACTCCTCCCACAGGAGCCCCTCTGATGACCTCTCCAGGCAGACACAGCCTTACATGCCCAGGTACCTCAGCCCTTCCTGAAGCTACCCTCAGTCTTAGCCAAGATAATTCTTTGTTTCTCCCTAGCTCTGCTGAGCTCTTGCTCTAGCTCCATTAAAATCCCTCATTCTTTCTAGAAAGCTGAGGAGAAAACTATTACGTCCTTGACAAATGTGGTTCCCCATCCCAGATCCCAGTCTTAACCACAAGCCTAAGAGACTAGAAAATTCAAAAGTGATTAGGATCAGTCACATCCTTATTCTGAAACTCTCCCCTATAGACTTTAAGGACCAGAGAAACAAAAGAATCCCATTCACCTCCCCCTTACACTGTCATCTCCCATCTGCGGGAATATGAGAGTGAGAGAAGCAGAGAAAGAAAGGTGGTGGGCAGCCAGATTGAGGGAAAACGGTGGACTCCAGGCAGAAGAAAGCTTCCTGGCAAGTCCTCTGAGAGGACGCTCCTCTCTCTGCTTCTGGGGACTCCCTGTGTGAGGGAGACAGGTCAGTAGGGTGAGCAGGAGCAGGCAGAGGACCTGTTAAGTAGGAGCAGATGAGGATAAAATGGGAGTGTGAGGTGGGACGCCCCTACTGGCCTCCTCCAGGATTGCAGACACCTGCAGTCCTCAGTACCAGGGGCCAAGAGTGAGTCATCCTTTAGCCCCACCTCTCTGGGGTGCACAACACCGGCAGGTGCTGTTCCTCTTTTCCTTCAAGATTGGCAATGGGGGCCAGGCATGGTGGCTCATGCCTGTAATCCCAACAAGGATTGGGAGGCCGAGACAGGAGGATCATTTGAGGTCAGGAGTTCAAGACCAGGCTGGCCAATATGGGGAAACCATATATCTACTAAAATACAAAAATTAGGTGGGCATGGTGGCAGGTGTCTACTCCCAGCTACTCGGGAGGCTGAGGCAGGAGAATTACTTGAACCTGGAAGGCAGAGGTTGCAGTGAGCTGAGATCACGCCATTGCATTCCAGTCTGGGCAACAGAGTGAGACTCCATCTCAAAAAAAAAAAAAAAAAAAAAAAAGCAGTGGAGTTTCAGACTGAGGAGGGGACCAATGGATCCTAATTTTATGGTCCATGGGGGTAAATAGCCATGCACAGGACCAGAGAGCTAAGGTATAAGTTATGTCCAGATAAGCAAGCTCTGCCTTTTACGTTGGGAAGGAGAATACCTTAGACATCTCTGGTATGACATGGGAGGTGGTAGGGAAAGAAGTCAGTGCCAACAGCTGTGGGGCCTGGGGAGAAAATGAGATTCCAGTAGAAACAAGAATAATTGCCTTTCAAAAATGAAGGGCAAGAACAGGAAGGTGGGAGTCAAAACTCCTACAGGCTGGTTCTTTTCTTTTCTAGAACATAGCAGCTGATTACATAGAAATATTTTTGCTATCTATCTTTACTTTTAAGCTAGTTTGGCAAGTTTCCCACCTAAGGTTTGGTAAGTTTTTCACTTAAAGTAAAAAGTACAGCAGAGCCACTTTAAATGACATCTACTAATTGCAGATATAGACAACATCCAATTACTTCCCCTGCTTCTGGCAATATAACATCATCCATTTTCTGCTGGTTTTTCTGTCTAATCTTCCCTCCCCAGATCCATTATCCACCTATATCAACCCAACTCTGAGCTGGGGTCGGGGTATCTGATCCTTATGTTTGTGTATTACTGGGCCTCATTCCTCTTCTGGCTGCCAGTTGGTTTTGGTCAGAGGGAGGCACCAGCAGGAAGGTGGAGGGGAAATGGTTCTTACCTTAAGTTGTCTTAAAAATCTCAGCTGAGGCCAGGCACAGTGGCTCACCCCTGTAATCCCAGCACTTTAGGAGGGAAAAACAGGTGGATTACCTGGGGTCAGGAGTTCAAGACCAACCTAGCCAACATGGTGAAACCCTGTCTCTACTAGAAATACAAAAGTTATCCGGGTATGGTGGCATGCGCCCATAGTCCCAGCTACTCAGGAAGCTGAGGCAGGAGAATCACTTGAACGTGGGAGGCAGAGGTTGCAGTAAGCCAAGATCATGCCACCGCACTCCAGCCTAGATGATAGAGCGACACTCTTTCTCAAAAAAACAAACAAAACAAAACAAAAATCTCAGCTCAATGTGCCTTCTGGTCCCCCTGGTTCTTGCCAGGACCCTGTGTGACACACCACATTCTGTGCTGATGTCCTCCTGCCCAGCAACAAAGTCATCCAACAATTCATCTAGTTGTGCCCAATAAACTGGTGGATGGCATTGGTAGGGAGTTTGAGAGCTTACCTTTGTAAACAAGGAGAATCTGAATGGATGTTAAGGGTGGCATCTTTATTTGTTATTGAAAGAAGAGGCTGGAAAATATCATGTAGGTGGAGTGGGGGATGAAGAGAGTCTTCTATGTAAAAATAAGAATACTTTCCAATTTGTTTTTTTCATATTTTTCATAAAGGTCTCATGTGCTGGTTACTGTGCTAGGTCCTGGGGATGCCAAGATGCCTAAGGAGCTTACAGGTTAGTCGGGGAGGAAGAAGTACAAAGAAATAATTAGAGCATAGGAAGAGCTAGGTCAGAGATATGCATGAATCTGAGACAAATACAAGGGAGTAACTAACTATAGAGAATTAGGAAAGGCTGCCCAGAGGAGGTGATCTCCAATGTGAGCCTTAGTGGTGAGTGGGAATCAATTAGGAGAGAGATGCCTGGAAGAGAAATTTCCAAACAAAGACATTCTAGGCAGAGATGCACAGGTTACCATGTACTTTCATACTCTGGAGTACCAACCTTTGGATTGAAAACCTGTCTACCCCAGTGGTTCTCACATGGCAACTGTGCGTGGTGAAATCATGTGGGGAACGTTTACAACATACTGATGCCGGGGCATCCCTAGACTTACTCTCAAACAATGAAGTGAACCTTCAGGGTCACTCATTTGCACAAACTATTCCCAAGGCTCCAGGATAGAAGGGACCACAGTGATGTGTTCACAAAGTCATACTTTTGTAAAAGTTGTAAAAGTAAGATATTATTTTGTTCTTCTTAACCAGGCCCTCAAACTGTATGCTCCTTAGGCCCCATGGACCTGGATCTGTCCCTGGACCTAGGTGCTACACCAGCCCAATTCAGAGTCTCTGGAGATGTGGCCCGGCCCTCGGCGTGTTTGGAAAGCTGCCTGGGTTTGAATTTGATGTGTGCCCAGAGTTGAAAACATTACACATTTTAAAAGCTGAAAGAGATCGCAGAGTCCTGGTAAAATTCTCTCACTTTAAAGCTGAAGAAACCATAACCCAGGGAGGAGAAGTGATGGGCTGAAGGTCCCATAGGTCATGATTGAAGAGCCAGGACCAAGTTTCCCCAGCTCCAGATCCATGCCTCTCCTGCTTAGATAGCTGGCCATTTCAGGAACAAATGCCATATACCAAAACACACATGCCAGGGCTTGACCTAGCTTTGTTCAAAATCTGGGTCTTCCAGCCCTGATCCCATTAGCAATTTGTGGGGCTTGCTGAATCAAGGAGGCCCAGCCAGGACTGCAGTGGGGCAGAGAGGGCAGGGGAGTGGAGGTGTGTGATGAGGGCCCTCAAAGGCTGGAATCAACAGGGAATGCCTTTGGCTAATCCAGTTGAAAGTCCCCAGGGTCAGAGAGAATAGGCACAAAATTATAGCTGTCCTAGCCAGAATCTCCCATGAGAGGCTTTTCCAGAGCTGGTTTTTACCACACTTGCCGTCTATGTAATTATCACCTGGGCAAAGCCTCCCCTTTTCAGACAACTATGTATTGTGAGAAGCCCATGAAACCCACTGAAATATGCCCAAGGGCCCCACTGAGTCATGCAAAACGTTTTACCCTCAGCCTGTAAGACTTCCTTTCATCACAGTGCACTTCCCAATGCACTCATAATTAGTCTTTAAAGACCTCAAAATGCCTTTTAAAGAAGTACTCCTGTATAAAATATCACTAGGCAAAATAGAAATCACAAAATGATTTAGGGAAACTAGAATTGCCCCGTCTTGCCTGGGAACTAAAGTAGTCCCTGGGCATTTTCAGACAGGCCAGTTGGGGGCAGAGGGGACAACAGGAGGGATGGAAACTCCAGGTCTCCAGGTCTGTGTGTGGAGGAGTGGGAAACTGGGGCTTTCACCTTTGGAAGGAGGTTGTGTATAAAAGCCTATAGGAGGTGCAGAGATGTTTGAGTTACTGTAAAGAGGAGTAAGGGGCAGGAATGCCCACACCAAGACACGTGGTGAAAAGCATCTCTCACCATCCTCCAGCATAATGTGGCTGGATGTGGGGCAATTTCTCTTGGACACTAATTTATTCTTTAAAAAATATAATTGGTATTATTACTACAATGTTGATGAGACATGGATATTACTAGTTAGGCTTTTACATACCTGGAACTTCTGCTCCTTCCTACCCACCACAGCCATGCACCCCTGACTGCTCCTGACAGGCACGTAGGTGATTTGGGCAGTGCCATGTTGCTGGGGGCCAGGCGTGGTCGGCCTGTTGTGGATCCAGCCCTGGATCTCTCAGCTCCCATAAGTTAGACTCGTGTTCAGGAGGACAGATTCTTGCTTGTGTACATGGGGAAAGAGGATGAGAAAGTGCTTCCCTCGAGAGACAGTTTATAGGGATCTTCTATTCAATAAAGCATAAAAATTTGAAAGAGAGGATCTCAGCCATCAGGTGTTCTCTGGCCTCCTGCCACAGATCCCTGATTTAATAAGTATTGATAGAATGATGGAGCCAAATGTTGGAATCCAAACAGGATGGATTTGAGGAGAAATCTGGAGTGCCCTAGCTTCAGAAAATTTATGGTCATCCTTGCTTCCTTCCTGTGGGAATAAATCAGTCTCGGGGGCATCTAAATTACATGTTTGCATTGTTACATCCTAACTGACAAAATATAAGTATCTACTTCAGTTTAGGAGCTATCATAAGAAGATTAGGACACAGCTCCTGTTATTAAGAAACATCAGTCTAGACAGGGGAGAAAAAGAAACTCATGGGAAACAACCAGAGAGCTCCACAAGCTGCACGTACTTGGACAAACCTTCACAATACGACTGCGTTCAGAGGAAAGGGGGATGCTTGAAATCTCAGCCCTGTCCTTACTTATGAGTATCAAATGTGCTAATGTGTATAAAGATCTTCAACAGTCCCTGGCCCTTAGTAAGTCTTCAGTAAGTGGCAGCCACTGTTGTTGCTATTGTTTCAAAGATTTGAGTCCAGGCCAAACATGCATTAAGAAATGATTCCTCTCTCTCACAGGGGGGCAATGTTTACCCCCAGCTTCCCTTTTTCCACTCTGTGCTGATCTACAAGCAATAATTCAACTCCCCCTACCCCCACCAAAAAAAATCCCTTCGTTCAAATTTTCATTATCCTTCCCTTGGACTATTGCAATAGTTTCCAAAGTGGTGTTCCTGCCTCTTGGACTAGATTCTCTATTTCCAAACCATTCTCTGCTTTGCCCAGAGAATGATGTTTCCAAAACATAGAGACATATTCAAGGTCTCTGCTTGAAAGCCTTGAATAACTTTCATTCCCTGCAAAGAAAAAAATTATGTAAAACATGAAAGCTAAGGAACACGGGTCCTGCCTCTCCCTAACAGTTCTGTTGCCCCAAACTTCAAAAATAGCAAAAACAACTCAGTTTCCTAAACTTGCCACACTGTATGCTGGTTTTATGGTTCCTTATATTTGAATGCTAATCTCTCTGCCTTCATTCTCCACCCTGAATTCCGAGACCTTCTGGGTAAATTCAATTTATTCTTCAAACTCCTTGCTATGGACTGAATATGTGTGTCCTCCCCAAATTCATACGTTGAAGCCCTTATCTCTAAAGTGATGGTATTTGGAGCTGGGGCCTTTGGAAGGTAATTAGGTTTAGATGCAGTTATGAGGGACTAGTACCCTTACAGGAAGAGCCAAGATCTCTCTCTCTCTCTCTCTCTCTCTCTCTCTCTCTCTCTGCCATGTGAGGAAACAACAAGAAGGTAGCCATCTGCAACCCAGGAATAAGGCCTTTGCCAGACATCAAATCTGTCAGCACCTTGGTTTTAGACTCCCCAGCCTCCAGAACTGTGAGAAATAAATATTTGTTGTTTAAGCCATCCAGTCTATGGTATTTTGTTATAGCAGCCAAGACTAAGACACTCCTCCTAAGTAACATTGTCTCCAATGCCCTTCTTCCTTCATTTATTCATTCATTTTTTTATATCTTAACTGAGCACCAAGCATGTAGCAGAGTTTTGCTACATTCAAGGGATATAAAAACTGTCTCTGTCCTCAAGGTGTACTTAGTTTAGATAGACAGATACATAAGGCTACAACTGCAATAGGTTGCCATCACAGCATAGATGAGGGACAGCTAAACCAGACTAAGGATTAAAGAAGGGCTTTCCACGGGGGTGGTGCTGGAATTCAGCCTTCCATTATCTCAGGTCCTTCCTAGCTCTATCACATAAAGTTCATCACTCTCCTCACTATCAAACTTCTCTGACTGTGTATGTGCTCTTACTGTCACCTCCTCTCTAGTTATACTGTAATTTAATTATACATATGTCTTCCTACTAGAATGAACTTTTAACGGCAAGAACACTATCTTACTCATCTCAGTATTCCCAAACACTGTTACAGTACCTAAAACGTAGCAGATACTCGGTTAACGTTTGATGAATAAATGGATAGAGTTTCACTCTGCCTTTGGATGGATGGATGGATGGATAGATGGATGGTTGGATGGATGGATGCTTAATAAACATTTCCAGTGTTTTGTTATCTGAGCAAAATTGAAACTTGGAAAGAATCCTTTAAATCACTTAAAATCTACATGACAAAGAAAACATTAACCTAACTTTTATGTTAAAAGGAAATTAAAATTATTAAAGTAAGTTCTTTTATAATACAAATTTAGATAATATATATAATTAGGTACTATTTTTAGAAATGGAGGGTGAAAATTTTTCAAAAAAATCTCTAATAGCATCAATGAGGACATTGTAATTTCAGGTTGGATTATTGTGCTATAAGTAAAAGGAATACTTTTGAAAAAATATTGACAGTTTCACAAGTTTTCAGTAGGGCCTCTTCATATTTTTATATGTAATACATTACATTCAAGTGTGTATTTGGCCAATTTTCCTTCTTTAGTTGGTAACTTACAAAATTCTCTGGTATCTTTATTTGTCAATGGCTATGTGTGTTTTGAACAGCAGCTCAATATCACTTTCATCAATGTCTTACAATTTTCAATCTTTTACAAAATTTTATAGAGTATATAGTTTCACTTTGCCTTTTTTACACTGAATTTTTATTTTATTTTAGGTGTTTTCAACAATCAATAGTAAGTGGTCCAGCAATAATAATGAGCCAATGGGCATGAAGAAATCCAGTGATTTTCTGGTAATTAAAAAAAAATTATCAGAAAGTCAAAAGCTCTGACTTATACTGTTGGCCAACTGCCATAGTGTAAATACTCCACTGTGGCCAACGTCAAGCTTCCAGTGTGATGTCACTGAATTGGGAGTTGGGAAAAGATCTGTATGTTGACTCTGAAAATCCCTCTGAGCCAGCTTGAGCACACCATTGGCTAGGTACTAATGTTCAGCAGGAAGTGATGTTTGAGTGGTCACTAATTCTTAAGTTGTTCATTTTCTGGTGGATATGTCTATGCTATGATGACTTTTGTCTTTTTTTTTTTTTTTTTTTTGAGACAGGGTCTGGCTCTGTTGCCCAGGCTGGAGTGCAGTGGCACAATCTCGGCTCACTGCAATCTCTGTCTCCTGAGCTAAAGTGATCCTCCCACCTCAGGCTCCCAAGTAGCTGGGACTACAGGCACACACTACCACACCTGCGTAACTTTTGTATTTTTTTTCTTTTTTTGTAGAGATGGGGTTTCACCATGTTGTCCAGGCTGGTCTTGAACTCCTGAGCTCAAGCAGTCCGCTGACTTTGGCTTCCCAAATGCTAGGATTACAGGTGTGAGCCTCTGTGCCTGGCCTGACTTTTGTTTTTCAAGTAAGCCTTCAAACCAAAAGGATTCAAAAATTAGGAAACCCGTGTACATCATTTAAAGCTTCCTATTTGCCTTTAAAAAGGAAATAAAACCTTGGTAATATTCTGTAGTATCTCTAGAGGTAGACCCTGGTTCAGTGATGTTTCCTGTGCCTTGGTGAATTATCTTGTTCCCAAATATGATACTCTTCCCAGACTGACCACCACTGCTAAATTCAGGGTCTATAATAGCAAGACGTTCATACCTTCTTAACAATGTTCTTCCTAAAACCATCAGGAAACTGAAACTAAGCCTAAATTCTATATTTCCCTTCCTCCCCTTGAAGCACAGGAACACCCTTGCAGATTGTTATGGACTGCGTTGTTTCCTCCCAAAATTTATATGTTGAAGCTCTAACCCCCAGTGTGACTGTATTTGAGATAGGGCCTTTTAAGAGACAATTAAGGTTAAGTAAGGTCATATGGGTGGGGCACTAATCCAACAAGACTAGTGTCCTTAGAAGAGGAAGAGGCACCCAGCAGGTGTGCACACAGGGAAAAGGCCATGTGCACCAAGAAGGCGGCCATCTACCAGCCAGGGAGAGAGGCCTTTGGAGAACCGACCCTGATGGCACCTTGATCTTGGACTTCTAGGATGCAGAAATGTGAGAAAATCAATTTCTGTTGTTTAAGCCACCCTATCTGTGGTATTTTGCTACAGCAGCCTGAGCAGACTAATATACAAATGAATCACTGGAATACCCGTGACCAGCTCCTAATTCTTTACAGTAAATGCACAAACTAACAATGGCCCTGGTATATGTGTGAATATGCTTACATACATATATTTTGTATTATTCCAACCCTGTAATTTGGTATGTAGGTTTCTTATTTAAGGATTTTTGAGAAGATTGACATTGGACAGTCTGCAAATTATTATAACTTGGTCTGCCAAGTTAAAGTGTCAGTTTCATTTTAAAATATTTATTCATTTTGGAAATTGACATAATATAAAATATTCTTGCACATACTATATTAGAGTCATATAATCAAAGATATGTAGTCCATTTAAAAAACAAACAACCTTTCAGTTTGCTGAAGTGAACCTGGAATTTCAGATAACCCTGTCTCTACTTACCTTTATCTGTATGTTTCTCAAGCAGGATGATGAGGGCAATTTACTAAACTGCCGTTTTTTCCAAATGAAATGGGCCAAAGAATGAACATAACTTTATTTGAAATAGAGTTTTATTTGGCCCAAGCACACCAACACAGTTCTATTTGCCAAACCCCCCCAGTCACTTCCACAAGGTTGCCAGTAAATCCAGATCACTGGTACCACCTGCAAACACACACAGGCAGCGCATTGTTGGAAGAAACTGTAAAGAGTTTAGTTCCTAGACTTTAATTACATCTCCCTTGCTGCTAACAAAGAACTAGTTAGTTGATGTTCTGGGTTAGGTAATAGGCTCTCTCTGGCTTTCAGAGCACCTTAGATTATCTTCTCCATCCTACTTCATCCCTCCTCCTGTTCCACAGCCTCTATCTGCACACAGAGCAGGAACAGGAATCTGAAGGGTTTGACTGGCCTCTCTGCCCTTGGTGCTGACTCTGATACTACTCCTTGAAACTTAATGAAAATATGGCAAAGATGATGAACAGTCAATACCACCAAAGAGGAAATAGAAATGGCAGATAAAGAGGTGAAAGTACATTATATTTCACTGGTCATTAAAAGAATGGCATATTAAAAAATAATGTTTGCTACTTATCAAATTGACACATATTTAATAAAATGATAGCCATTAAGATAAATAACCTTGGGTTCAACATCTGTCATTTATTATCTGATGTTACTGAACATCAATTTTGCTCTATGTATTAAAAACCTTTAAAGTGTTCGTGTGCCTTCTGCTTTCCAGCCAAGATGAAGTAAAAGGTACTAGATTTACTCTCCTGCCTGCCTGAAATTACAAAAAAGAAAAAGAAAAAATATGTTAAATAGTGATTTTCAAGACAATAGACTGCAAGGAATGAAATATAATTACCGCTAAAAGACAGGAAACAAGTGAGGTGAACCTTACAATTGCTTAGCTTTATTGCCTTGAGAATTTCCAGACCACAATACAGGGAGGGGAAACTCAAGTGGAGTCCAGAGGCTTCCTAGAGTTTAGGATGTGGAGCTGAGAGTGTCAGAAATTCAAATTAAACTAGAGTTCTCTGAACAAAGTACGGGAAAGGTAAGAGCTTCACAGAGAGATCTGCAGAAAGTCTTCCTTGAGTATTCAGCTGAGTATTGATCAGAAAATACATGTGAGGAAACCACCAAAGGCTGGAGAAAGAACCACCTAATAGGATTAGAGGTTAGAACTCCTGCCACACACTATTCACGATAGCAAAGACATGGAGCCAACCTAATGCTTATCAACGGTGATTTGGATAAAGAAGATGTGGTACATATGCACCATGGAATACTACACAGCCATACAAAATTAAATTATGTCCTTTACAGCAACACAGATGCAGCTGGAGGCCATTATCCTAAGTGAACAGAAATGCAGGAACAGAAACCCAGACACCACAGGTTCTCACTTATATGTGGGAGCTAAACATTGGGTACGCATGGACATAAAGATGGGAACAATAGACACTGAGGACTACTGGAGGGAGGAGGGAGAAATGGGGGCAAAGGCTGAAAAACTACCTACTGGGTACCATGCTCACTACCTAGGTGATGGGATCATTTATACCCCAAACCTCAGCATCACACAATATACTCATGTAACAGAGCTGCACATGTACCCCCTGAACCTAAAATAAATGTTGACATTTTTTTTAAAAAAAAACAAACACTGCACAGGGCTGGATATAGAGCATGTTCCCACAGACAGATTTTTAAAACTTCACAATTGATTAAATAGATACACAGAAGGATCTTGCCTCAGCAATCGAAAATAAGCCCTAGACTAAGCACTACTCAGGTCTTGCATAACAAATCTTAAAATTAAGACTAAAAAGGATCCAATTGTTTCCTACTAAGTTAACTGCATCACAGAACAAAGTCCATGAATATTGATAGGAATACAAAAATATATAGTATCCAGCAAGACAATTTAAAATGTCCAGAATATCATAAAAAAGTCATGCAAAGAAGCAAGAAAATGTGATCCATAATGAGAATGATCAATCAAAACTGACCCAGAATGGACACAGATG
The DNA here is from genome assembly GCF_000001405.40 of Homo sapiens. Taxonomy (NCBI): domain Eukaryota; kingdom Metazoa; phylum Chordata; class Mammalia; order Primates; family Hominidae; genus Homo; species Homo sapiens. The sequence goes on along the minus strand of NC_000005.10, from coordinate 74,006,000 downwards.
TTAGAATTATCAGACAAGGACATGAAAGCATTTATAACTGTATTCCATATATTCAAGTAGGGACATAGAAGATTTTTTAAAGATCTAAATCATACTTCTAAAGATAAAATTTTCAATATCTGATTTGAAAAAATACAGCAGATGGTATTGTGACAGATTTGATACTGCAGAAGAAAAAATTAGTGAATTTGAAGATATAGCAAGATAAAATAGTAAGAGAAAATGGTTTTTTAAAAAATTAACAAAGCATCAGAAAGCTGTGTGACAACTTCAAGTAACCTAATATATGTATAATCAGAGTCCCCAAAGTGGGAGTCAGGAGGGAGGGAAATGACAAAAAATGTTCATAGAAATAATGGCCAAAATTTTACCGAATCTAATGAACATTATAACCCCCAAATTTCAAGAAGCCCAACAAACACCAAGGGCAAGAATCAAGCACAAATAATGAAAATCTTGAAAAAAAACTTCAAATCAGCAAGAGAAAAAGGACACATTATATACAGAGCAACAAAAGTAAAGATGACATCAGATTTCTTATAGGAAAACAGAACAGTGGAGCAATGTCTTTAAGTACTAAAACAAACAAAGTTGCCAAAATGAATTCCACACCCAGTAAAAAAATTTTTAATTGCTGAGTTAAAATAAATACTTTTTTAGATGTACAAAAGCCAAAATCATTCATCACCATCAAACCCCAACTGGGAGAAATATTAAAGGATGTCAATCCTTTTATATTAGAAGAAAAATTATATCAGATATCCCACAAACAAGAGAACCAAAACTACTTGGGCAAATATATAAACCGTTTTATTATGAATTAAGTGTCTTTGATAACTCATTGCTTAAACAAAAATAACAATAAAGTGTGGTGTTTATAATGTATGTACAAGCACATGGTATGAGAAGAATACCACAGTAGTTGAGAGTGAAGAAATGGAAGTATGCCATTGTTAGGTTCTCATACTGTATGTGAAGTCATATGATATCATTTGAAAGTAGAGTGTGATAAATTAAAGATGTATGCTATACACCCTAAAGCAACCACTGGATTTTAAAGCAACCACTTAAATTTTTAAAAAAATGTATAACTACTAAGTCAACAGGGGATACAAAATAGAATCATTTATGATATTTAATACAAAATAAATAATATAAAATAAGATATAACAATGAGGAAAAGGGGAATGAAGAACAGATTGAAGAAATGAAAAGCAATAGCATGATGATCAATTTAAACACAAAAATATAAGTAACCATTTTAAATGTAAGTGGTCTGAATATTACAATTACAAGGCAGAGTGTTAGATTAGAATAAAAGAGCAAGACCCAACTCTGCACTGCCTATAGGAAACACACTTCAAATATAAAAGCACAAAGAGGTTAAGACTAAAAACATGGGAAAAAAAGACGTGTCATAACACTAATAAAAAGAAAGCTGGGGTGGGCTATATTATATTTATGAAGTAGATTTCAGAGCAAAGAATATCACCAAGGATCAAGAAAGTCATTGTATGATTATAAAGAGATCATTTCATGAAAAGAAATAATCCCAAAAGTTTATGCACCTAATAACAGAGCTTTAAATGACATGAAGAAAAAAACTGATAGAACTACAAGGAGAATTAAACAAGTCCACAATTATGGTCAGAGGTTTTAACATCCTCTTAATAATTGATGGGACAAGTGCATTAAAAATTCGATAAAAATACAGAATATTTTAACAATATTAACCAACTTATTGACATTTATAGAACACTTTGACTTATGCTTTGCCTAGTTATTTATACACAGAACATTTATCAAGATAGACAATATATTCTAAGTCATAAAATAAGCCTCAATAAATTTAAAATGACTTAAGTTATACAAAATATGTACTCTGACTACAATGGAGTTAAATTGGATATCAATCGCAGAAAGAGCTCTGAAAAGTTCTCAAATATTTAGAAAGTAAATAACATATTTTAAACATGAAGTTGAGGTTCATAACAGATGTACAAGTAAGCTGTATGTTTTACATAATACAATTTTAAAGAAATTAGAAATTATTTTGAATTGAATGATTTTAAAAATATAAAAATTTGGAGGATATTGCTAAAGCAGTACTTGAGAGAAATGTATTGCACTAAGTGCCTTTATCTGAAACGAAGAAAGTTAAGCTGTAGCGGCACACGCCTGTAGTTCCAGCTACTTGGGAGGCTGAGATGGGAGGATCCCTTGAGCTCAGGACTTCAAGACCAGCCTGAGCAACATAGGCCAGGCCCAAGAAGAAAGTTCATAAATCTATTATCTTAGCTCTCCCTTTAAGAAGTTAGAAATAGAAGAGAAAATGAAACCCAAAGTAACCAAAAGAATGGAAATAATAAAGATTACAGTAGAAATCAATAAAATAGAAAACAGGAAAAAAATTAAGTCAATAAAACCAAAAACTGGTTCTTTGAGATTTATAAAATTGATAAACTTCTAGCCAGATGGAATAGGAAAAAAGGAGAGAAGACACATATTACCAATATCAGGAATGAGGGAGGTGATATCACCACAGATTATATAAATATTGAAAGGATAAGGAAATATTACAACTTTATGTCTACAAATCTGACAACTTGGATAAAATGTAAAAATTTCTTGAAAGACACAAATGACCAAAACTCATTCAAGAGGAAATAGATAACCTGAATAGCCCTATATCCATTAAAGAAATTTAATTTGTACTTTAAAATTTTTCCCACCGAGAAAATTTCTATGCCCAAGTGGTTTCACTGGTACTAGAGCAAACATTTATGAAGAAATATCCACCCTGCATAAACTGCTCCAGAAAGCCGAAGAGAAAGGAACTCATTCTTCAAAACCAGCATTATCCTAATACTAAAATCACACAGAGGTATGGCAAGAAAACTAAAGAACAGTATCTCTTGTGAACATAGATACAAAAAATTCTAAACAAAATTTTAGTAAGTTATTCCAAGAATATATATAAAGGAGAATACATCATGACCAAGTAAGATTTATCCAGGAATGCATGATAGGTTTAACATTCAAAAATCAATAATTTGCCCTATGTGGTAGTTTATTGTAGGTATCAACTTGATTGTGTTAAGGGATATTCATACTCAGATAGCTGGGAAAGCGTTATAGCTGGGTGTGTCTGAGAGGGTGTTTCCAGAAGAGACCGACGTTAGAATCAGTAGACTGACTGAGGAAAATCCACCCTCACGCATTGTGAGCAGGCACCATCCAGTATGTTGAGGGCCCAGATAGGACAAAAAGGCAGAGGAAAAGCAAATTCATTCTTCTGGAGTTTCTTCTTCCTTGGACATCAGAACTCAGGTACTCCGGCCTTAGACTCCAGGATTTGGAACCCTCTGTTCCTCAGGCATTTGGCCTCATTCTGAGAGTTATAGCATGGGCTTTCCTGTTTCTCAGGCCTTCAGACTTGGACTGAGCTATACCACTGACTTCCATGGTTCTCCACCTTGCAGATGGCCAGTTGAGGGACTTCTCAGCCTCCATAATTGCATAAGCCAATTCCCATATCGAATCCCCTCACATTAATCTAGACGTATGTATCTGGTTCATTCTATTTCTCTGGAGAACCCTGACTAATTCATCATATTAACAAACTAAAAAATAAGAATAAATTTGATCATCTTAATAAAGAAATGAAAAGCATTTGACAAAATCCAACATCCATTCCTGATTTAAAAACAAACAAACAAACAAACAAAAAAAACCTCTTAGCAAAGTAGGAATCGAAGGAAATTTCCTCAAACTGATAAGGGACATCTACAGAAACCCTACAACTAATATCATATTTAATAGTGAAAGAAGATCCCCCTAAGATCAGAAATAAGACAGTGGTTTTGCCCTCATCACTTCAAGTACACATTGTACTGGAGACCCGAGCCAGTGCAATAAGTCAAGTAAAAAAAAAAAAAAAGACATATGTATTAAAAGGGAAGCAATGCTGTCTTTATTCATGGATGAAATAATTGTCCGCATAGAATATCCAGTGGATCTGCACAAGACCTACTTGAACTAACAAGTGCATTTAACAAGGTTAGAGATAAGAACAACATACAAAAAAGCAATTGTATTTCTTTATATTAAAAATGAAAAATCAGACATCAAAATTTAAAAACTTTACCACTTAAAATAGCATCAAAAATATGAAATACTTGGAAATAAATCCAACAAAAGATGTGAATAACCTAAACACAAAAAACTACAAAATATTGCTAAGGTAAATTTTAAAGGATCTAAATAAATGAAAAGACATATCATTAAAAGTAATAGCAAAAGGTGCAGTTGCTTTTCCACCAACCTAATATTAGCATATCAGTGCTCCCCAAATTGGTCTATAGATTCAACATAATCCAAATCAAAATCCCAGTACTATTTTTAATAAAAATTAACAAACTGACTCTCAAATTTGCATAGAAATACAAAGGACTTAAAATAACCTAAACAACTTTGAGAAAGAATGAAGTTGGAGAACAAACACTACCTGATTTCAAGGCTTTATTATAAAGTTATACCAATCATGGCAATGTGGGATTGGGGTCCAGATAGATAAACTATCAAGGGGGTAGATACAGAGTTCAGAAATAGACACCCACAAAACAGGCAATGATTTCTGACAAAGGTGCAAAGGCAATTCAGTGAAGAAAGAATTGCATTTTCAATAAATATGCTGAAATCATTGGATATACATATGCAAAAACTTGAAACTCAAGCACATCCAAAAATTTACCCAAAATATCTAAAAATTCAAGATGGATCACAGTCCAAGCTAAATTAAGGCAGGTATATTCTCAGTTATTACTTTGCCTGAGGTTATTTGCTTTGGGACAGGAGGGATAGGAGAAGCTGTTCTTAAGCACCTAACCCCACAAAAAGATGGGAAGGCATAACCTACAGAGGCATGGGGCAGAATGGGAGGCATCACACTCCCTTCTGAGCAGGCTACATGGAGGGCTAAGGAGGCTCTTGACACCAAGAATATTTTGCAGACTCAAGATCCCAGGAGACAGCCTACTGGGCAGGGAAGCAGGGCTCCTCTCACAGAGCACTCATGCTCCCTGGAGGGATGATCACACGACTCTCTCAAGTAGCTGTGGCCAGGGCACATCCACAGTGCAGAACAGGAGAGGGTGAGTATGTGGGATCCTGGGCTACCTCAGATTCTCCCAGATGACTGTTGGAGAAGTTGAGGCAGCACTGGAGATCCATCCCACAGTCTTCAACTAGCAGGGAAGTGTGAGCAAAGACACTAATTTTTAAGAGACCTCATGTGATCCTACAAATGGATTAGGCAGAGGGACTTTGGGTTACAAGTGCACCACAGAAAAAACTCTGGAAGAAAATAAATCATTTTCAGTTGCTATCTTTGGATGGTGGAGTTCCAGGTCATTTTCATTTTCTTTATAATTTCTGTATTATGTGGATGTTTTACACTAAATATGTAATTACCTTGATAGTCATAAAAAGCAATACAGCCATTTTTAATTTATTAAAAATCTCTGAAGCAAAATCAGTTTTTAAAAGTTTTATAGTATATGGCCCCGTTATTGTGAAATACAAATTCATTATAAATGTATAGAAAAGAAGCATGAGAGGAAATATACCAAAATATTAATGGAATGAGGATTTGAATGGTAGAATTATGAGTACTTTTTTTTCCATTTTGCTATTTTGGGTTCTATTTTCCTCATTTTGCTCCAGCGAACATTTGTCACTTTTATAGTCAGAAAGATTATAAAGTTATAACAAATGTTTTTTAAATCTTGTAAAGAGAGATGAAGGCTGGCTGGATATGTAACTATATACAAGTCTATCTGACTCTCTGTGATCTTACTTCTTCTACTTGCTGAATGAGAAGTTTGAACTAGATACATTTTAAAGCCCTTTTTACTATAAAATTTACTATCACTTGAAATTTTCAGTGATTACATGTGAAAAACTCTGGTTCTCTTATGTTTAAGCTTAAAAATAAAAATGCTACTAAGAGAGGTTTTTAATTTCTCCAAAAGCTCTTCCCTCCTCATACTGCCTACTGAGCTAGGCATTCTGCCCTAGATTTTCTTTTTTCAAACTGAGTCCCTTATTGGTTCAGATGAGATTAATTCTGAAGTTCAAGATTGCTAGGACTTCATGTTTATTTAAAAGTTCCTTATTGAAGCACATAACTTGTACTTGCTCACACTGATGCAGGCTTTTTCATGCCATACTGCCCATAAATTATCCAAATACCAAGTTTCCAGATTGACTTTTATTCTCCTCTCCCCCATTAAGTCATTATATTAATCACTCCAACATTTTCCTTCATTGAGGGTATTGATGAATGGGAAGTAAATTATCTGTCAATTGCATATTCGCCAAAATATGTAAGATTAGTCCAGACTTCTTAAGAAGTATCCATCCAGAACTGCTCACTAGAAATACCAGGAGTCCAATTTCTTTTGAGTTACAGCAACAGATGTGCTGGTCTCTCCCTGGAAAGGCTAACGCTCAAGTAATCACATTGGTGCACATGAATTGGATTTTATTAGTTGCCATTATTATTTATGGTTTGCTGAGGAGCACTGATGCATAGCTCTTTGCAGACTCGTGTCTTAGCTCACTTACCATGGCAATACTGAACCCAGGGTATATTTTTCCTTTATAAATATCTATTCCTTAAAGGCATCAATTCACAAACTCAAAACCAAACAAATCTGGAACAAATGTAGGATAAGATGTGATGTTTCCCTATCTCTCTTATGGTCAATGACCTCTTTTTGAAGGAACACATTTTTTATTATCTTTCTCAGACAGGTATCCTAGAGGACAATGGGACTCGCCACACATTAATGTGGGAGGTATTATGGCATCATGGTTACAAAAGTGAGCTTTAGAGTCACACAGATCCTGATTAAATTCTGGCTCTGCCACTTACTGGCTATCATCTTCAGAAAGTTACTTAACCTTTCGGGGCTTCTCTTTGCTCAACTGTAAAATGAAAATAATAATGATAGCTATCCCTTGGGTTTTTAATCAGGATTAAAAGACATAAGATATTATTGTAGACTCCTTATGAGAGTGCTTAGAGCATAGATAATATCCAACAAATTTTCACAAGTGTGATTAAGGAGATAAAAAAACGGGGCTGCTGCATAGGTTTACAGTGAATTGCAATTTTCTTTTACCTATTCCAGAGAGGTTATCTGAGTTCCCCAGGCAGCTGTTGCAATATTTTGTGTCCATGGGTTACTTTTTTTCTAGGCAGGTCATTTTCATTGCTCACTGTGTTTTCTGCTATTGTTTGGACAAAGATCTCATACGTTCCTTTGTGCTGTGCTCTCACTGCTGCTTAGTGTTCCCCTATGTTGACACATCTCTGGACACAAACTGTGTTGATGAGCTAATGGCTGAATGATCTAGCTTAACACAATAAGCTCTAAAAGTAGTTCTTTCACTTCCAAACGTTTTAAAGCCACTTTTTTGTAAAATCGCAGTAAGAGAAAGAAAAGAGACTATTTCACCCGTGTTAGTGGTAGGGAATAAAAGTCTGAGCATCCTCATGGCTGAAAAGAAAACCACAATAATAATACCTTGCATTTCCCTTTCCAGAGTGCTTCGCAAAAAGTATTTTATTTTGTTTTTATAGAAAACCAGGGAGAGGATCAGAGGTACACATACTTTAAATGTATTTTATCAGCTAGGAGATGAAGGCCAAAAGGAGGATAAGCAATATGTTTTCTTCTGCAGCTGGTCAGCTATTCAGAAACCAGTAGTTCATGGCACCATTAATCACCATTTCATTTAATCTCCTCCATTCCTTTGGGGCAACCAGAGGCTTCCATTCACAGTTTACTGGAGCTGCTTCTGATCATCATCATTGTTGTAACAACAGCAGCCATAATAACAATGACTAACATCACTGAATCCCTATATACCAGATGTTCTGAGTTTTTCACAGGTATTCACTCATTTCACTCATTGAATCCTTCCACAACCATATGAAGTAGGTATAATTATTTCCATTATAATGAAGAGGAAAATGTGGTACAGCAGATCCTCAAATGTCATTTTATTATAACCTTGAGGAGAAAGTAAAAAAGAGGAAACAAACACCGCTTCCCAGCTGGGGCCGCTGTCTGTGTGGGTTTTCTCCAGGTACTCCAGTTTCCTCCCACACCCTAAAGCTGTTGGCGTGTCTACGGGTCCCAGTCTGAGTATGCGTGTGTGCTTATGTTGAGGGGAGGGAGGGCTGGTTCCTACCCTGTGCTCTAAGCTTCTGGGATAAGCTCAGAGCCACCCGTGACTCTGAACTGGAAAAATCGAGTAAATGATGATCTTACCTGTTTGCATTCATCTTTCTTAAATGTATGTATGGCTCACATTTATTTCAATATTTAGCATTAGAAGTGTTTTGGTTTTCCTTTTGAAATTTGGTCGTTTTTGTGAACATAAATATGCCGCAGTAACTTAATTCTTATTTATATCAATTCATCTATGGTAAAATTGGTTTCCTTATCTGTCATTTTGCTTAACATCACAGCTTCCAAGAACCTATCAAAGACATTAGCAGGGGGGACTTGCTGTACTTGTTAGGGGACACATAACTGGTATATAGCATGGCAGCCAAGGGCATGGGACTGGCAAAGATGACCCTGATGAGCAGCTCTCTGGACCCTCTGCCTCTTTCCATTCATCCACCTTTTCATCCATGGCCCCCTGCCACTGTGAACTAAGATCATGACGTTGTTCCAAAGGCAACTACTTCTGGGTCCATGAGTTGACTAACACAGCTTTAAATGAAATAAATTTTAAAGGAAAAAAAAAAGTATGGGCCATAGGCCCAAACCTCAACTTCTTTTATCAAACTTCTGCCATTTCTTATCTGTAGTCATGAGTGATTAGAAGAAAGATGAAGGAGCATAAACAAAGCTGGGTCAACTTGAATAATAAAAGGACAACAACTTGGGGACCAGCTGTTCAATCTAATGCAGACTGCATGTTGCATCTCTAACAAACCAGACTTTCATCACACATTTAATATTAGAATTTTCTGTATCCGTTATCAAATGGATGTGTCAGCTATCATAGAGTTGCACAGAAATCATTATAAGTATTGCTGTTCCATCATTAGGAGGCAGTCAAGCCTTCAATAAATTCATGCTAAGGTGAGAGAGGGAAAGGAGAATGGTTCTATTTCATTGATAGTCACAGGTTAAAAGCTAAATAAAATCTAGAGTCATTACCAAACCCTAAAACCTGACACACATTTGTGAAATAAGGCTACTCTGAGAAGAGCTTCTTAAGACTCTTGAGGCAGAAAAACATCATGTTCTTACTTGGAAAAATCAAACCTCTAAGTAAAAGACTTGCCTTGAAAAAGGTCCCTGCCTAATGATTAACTGGTTAATGCTGAGAGCAGGGAGAGAAAGAAACTGGGAGGCCTGTTTGCCTTTAGGCCAGCTGGGGGCTCATTAAAACCCAAATCATTTTCAAGCAGGAGAAAAAACTAGGCTGATGGGAGAAGGCTCAAGCAGGTGAGAATGTCACTATTATGAAAGTAGCCATTCGCCCAGATCCCCTGAGCCACAGAACCACAGAGATTCTCCACATTGCCTGCTGCTGTGTAAGCCTTGTGCCACCTCCCTGGAGTGTAGGCCGCATGGGACACAAAGGATGTGGAAAAAATAAACTGATGCCAAGAGGTTGGCTTCAAAGTTTGCTGAGGATTTTGGTTTCTTTGGGAAGCAGTCATTCAAGCATGAGCTCCTGCTCTGCCCAACAGATGGGCTGTTTATGTTGCTCCTCTCCCATAAGGATTCCAAATTCATGTGAAAACAAGAGGAAAAGAAGACAAATAAGTTAAAAAAAAAATCCTTAATACCTAAATAAAGGTGTTGGGTAATAGGTGTCTCTCGCCCTTACAGAAACAAAATATTTTGTTCAACAGGAGTCTTGGGCCAGGCACAGTGCCTCACACCTGAAATCCCAGCACTTTGGGAGGGTGAGGCAGGAAGATTGCTTGAGCCCAGGAGTTCGAGACCAGGCTGTGCAACATAGGAAGACCCCCATCTCTACAAAAATTTATAAATAAAAATGAGTCTTGTACCCCAGCAGACTCTGGAAGACCAACCACTCTGAGAGGTCATGAGGGGCTCATAGAAGTGGAAGGGCAGCTGGCACGAGGTAAAGATGTTACAGCCAGAACAATGGCCAGGCAGAGAGAAGACCAGGGGCTGGGCCTGGCATCGTAGGGCACTTAGTGTTGCTTACATACACTGCATGCCTTATCTGTGTCAGTTTTTACACTACTCATGCATTATTAGATATTTTCTATGCTGCATACTCATGGATTATTATTTTCCTGGCATTTGTTTATTCAAAACATTCTAAGATCCTAACATATAAGTGGAAAAATCATAGAAAATATAATAAGTTTAAAATTATAAAATGTCAAGTATCAGAAGTTCAAATTAAAACCATAGTAAACTAGCATTTTTCACTTCCAAAATTAGCAAAGAGTTTTATAATGTGATACCTGTTTCTGGTAAGAATACATTAAAGGAGCCCTTTCATCATGATGAAGAGGAGGAGGAGGATAGTATGTTAGAGACCTGGAACCTAATCAGTGCTTAATAAAGAGTTGAGTGAATGAATAAGAAATTCGAGAAATTTTGTCTTTCAGTTCACCTTGGACTTAGCTTGGCTCACTCATGCTGGTAATGGTTTCTCCCTGCAGGACAGCAAGGACACTGCAAAGCCTCCTACAGGAGAGTATGGTATGAGGCTCTGTCTGCTCTGAAAGAGTTTCTTTATCATTCCAACAAATGACTCCAGGGCAAATGACTGTGTCTTCCTCCACATACAATTCTCTTTGCCGCAGTGGAAAATATAATGAATTTTGCCATGGACTTGAAGTTCAAGGTGTGATTCATGTTCTCTGACAGTAATCTGTGCAGAGAACATTCAACAGTAGAAATTTCCCTTCTGGGAAGGTTTGGCTAGTGGTGTAATGGTTATATACAAAAGCACTTGGTTCTTTCTATCAAGACATAGGTGAGCCATAGAAATGGGAGTGAGTTATCATTTGTTCATCTTGGGCAGGTCCTGCACTAGTGGTGGGTTGACACTCAAAAAGGAGTCCTCAGGACACATTTTGGGGCAGTGTTGCGGGAAGTCAGGGACCCCAAACGGAGGGACCAGCTGAAGCCATGGCAGAAGAATGTGGATTGTGAAGATTTTATGGACACTTATTAGTTCCCTAAATTAATACTTTTATAATTTCTTATGCCTGTCTTTACTACAATCTCTAAACATAAGTTTTGAAGATTTCATGGACAGTTATCACTTCCCCAGTCAATACCCTTGTGATTTCTTATGCCTGTCTTTAATCTCTTAATCCTGTCAGCCAAGGAGGGTGTATGTTGCCTCAGGACCATGTGATAATTGCATTAACTGCACAAATTGTACAGCATGTGTGTTTGAGCAATATGAAATCTGAGCACCTTGAAAAAAGAACAGGATAACAGCAATTGTTCAGGGAATAAGAGAGATAACCTTAAACTCTGACTGCCGGTGAGCCGGGCGGAACAGAGCCATATTTCTCTTCTTTCAAAACCAAATGGGAGAAATATCGCTGAATTCTTTTTCTCAGCATGGAACATCCCTGAGAAAGAGAATGTGCACCTGGGGGTGGGTCTCTGAACTGGCCCCCCGAGGGCGTGGGTCGTCTCTTATGGTCGAGGCTGCAGAGATGAAATAAACTCCAGTCTCCCATAGCACTCCCAGGCTTATTAGGAAGAGGAAATTCCCGCCTAATAAATTTTGGTCAGACCAGTTGATCTCAAAACCCTGTCTCCTGATAAGATGTTATCAATGACAATGGTGCCCGAAACTTCATTAGCAATTTTAATTTTGCCTCAGTCCTGTGGTCCTGTGGTCCTGTGATCTTGCCCTGCCTCCACTTGCCTTGTGATATTCTATTACCCTGTTAAGTACTTGATGTCTGTCACCCACACCTATTCACACACTCCCTCCCCTCTTAAAAATCCCTAATAAAAACTTGCTGGGTTTTGTGGCTTGTGGGGCATCACAGATCCTACCAATGTGTGATGTCTCCCCCAGATGCCCAGCTTTAAAATTTCTCTCTTTTGTACTCTGTCCCTTTATTTCTCAAGCTGGCTGACACTTAGGAAAAATAGAAAAGAACCTACATGATTATTGGGGCAGGTTCCCTGATACGGCAGAAAGTGGTGAAGCACTCATACAGGAAGCACAGGATTCTGGAACTATTAGGACTAATTTTCGCATATTGCAGATGAGAAACCCAAGGCCCAGAGAGGTTAAATAAATGCCCAAAATTAAACAACCAGAACTGGAGCCCTGAAAATCTAATACCCAGTCATGGGCTTTTTCCACTTTGACCATGTAGACAACAGAGTATTACATGAAACACAACTTCTAAAAGATTTTCCAGGGAAGAAGAGCAGAAGGAGGTTTTATGGTAAGAGAAATGTTGGAATCATACATGCACTATACTCTATTTACTCAAGCTCCTCCTCCCAGCTCCACTTCTACCTGGAGATTTACAATGAACCTCAGCATTTCAAAGGCTCTGAGAAGACATGCAGCAAGGAAAGCTTTTTAACACAGTTTAAATCAATGTTTTGAAGTTCATTTGACCACAGACTCTATTATATTTAATGATATTCTATAGTATTTGCATTCCTCAAAACACACTTTCAGAGATGCTGTACTATAACTTGCCCAAGTCTTCCCTTGCCTGAAATCAACCTCACACAAATGCTAAAAATTATTGCAGGACTAAAGATGGGACTCAGAAATAAATATATATCGCTCCTCCAGGAAATCTGGTATGGAACATTGGAAGGGATCAGCAGACTTTCCCCTCTATTTATCCATAAGACCTCAATCCTTCAACGATATTGTAAACCCTGTCTATTTCTTGTCCCTCTGAAATCTCAATTTTGCCAGCCTTTTAGTTATGGCATCTCCAACAATGATATAGACAGGAGGCAGAGAAATACTGGGTAGAAGAGGGCAGTTCCCCAGCAAAGGCCCCCACTCCCCTCAAGCCTGGAAACCCTTGGCCCTAAATGGGAACAGGCATTCCTGTTTTCATACTCCCCTATCCTGTACCCATATCAACCCCAAACCCCAGGCTCCACAAACAGAAGATCAGAAGAGCCGCAGAGCGGCATGGCAGAGAAAAAGAAGAGAAAGGGTGTCTGAACGTTGAGAGGAGTTCGACTGTGGGATGGCCAAACTCCAGGGGAAGATCATCTTCCCACACCATCCTCTTTCCAGCTCCTTATCCATCCTGCTGAGAGCCACCTCCATCACTCAATAAAATCCCTGCATTCACCATCCTTCAAGTTCGAGTGACCTGATACTTCCTGGATGCCAGACAAGGAGCCGGGTACCAAGAGGGCAGGGTGTAAATAGCTGTCACCCTGACTCTCCACTGAGCTGGTTTAACACTTACCTATCTGTGGACAACAACTGCTAAAAGAGCATTAATTGTAACACATCCCTAGACACTACCGTAGGGCTGGAGCCCCAAAACACTCACCCCAGCTCCTGCACCTGCCCATCTGTGTGCTCCCCCTCCCATAAGGGGTTTGAGCACAGCTCAAATAAACGAGCCACATCCCTGTCTCACGTCTTGCGAGGGGGTCAGGGAGCTCTCCCATTTCAATAATACTGATGTGTTCCACTCTCCAGCCTGCGTGGTATGCCTACTTCCATAATTTCTGCCCAGAAAGATGGCCCTTCTTAGTAAAATTACCACTTGGTTGTTTAAAAAAAAAATGCTTCCTCTTCAAATAATAAGAACAAATGTTTGCATTTTTCTCATTATAGAACTTTGCCTTAGCTTTAACTAAAATATAAATAATTAAATAGCTTTCCAAGGTCACTTCATTGACATGATCTATCATGAGAAAGAAGTTGAAACCCCCCAAAATGTTGTCTTCCAATATCAGAGAATCAAAGAACTTTCTCTAGGTGACCCATTTCAGAGTTCAGAATGTACTTGCTAAAATATTAGCCTCTCCTAGATATTATTTCTCAATTCTTTTTTCAAATTCCAGACATCATTTTAGCTCTCTGTGTTTTGTTAAGAAACATTGGCTCAGGTGTGGCTCATTCATTCTTGTCACTTCATTCAGAATCACTTCCCACTTTGGAAGGTCCCCTAATGGCTTCTTGTCAGGCTAGCAGTAAGGCTGCGATAGCCCATTGCTTCCTCTCGCTCTCTTCCGCCATCTTGAACTGCTCTGAAAGGTATATTACTCAGAACTGAGCAGGGCCGCAGACGGAGTCTGAGGACCTCATCCCCAGCTTAGAAAAACACCCCCAGGTCATGGCTTATACCACCCGTAAAGGGATGAGGGGTAGTTAGGACAGGCATGGCTTGCACTCCGAAAGGACCTAGGAACTCCTCTGAGGGGAACTGAACCAGAAGCTTAGCTATGGGAGGCAGAAAGGATGCGGGGTAAAGGGAAGGGGTAAATGGTACCCTCTCATAAAGATTTTAAGCTATTGACATGCAGTTAATGAGATGTGAACTTGCATGAAATGTGTGATTAAATCACCAATGGGCAGCTCATGGGACAAACTGAAAAATGTGGTACGTTTGTCATTTGCCCTCTCCCCCACTCACCACAGGGACAAATCCCCTCATAGTCCAGCCCACTGCAGTCAAGTTCCCCAGATGTTAAAACCTAGTGAAGCTTCTGTTTGGAAAAGCCTGGAGGGTATTTTCTTTGCTGCTTGACCACTGCAATGGAAATGTTGTCCATTTTGAGTTAAGTGGGCACTTGAATGTGTTTAAAGTAGTAGCAAAAAATCCTGTGTTCCTTAAGCTTTCAGATTTATATCTAATTCAGACTAAACTATGTGAGACCCAGACAGAATCTGGGGGCAGATCTGGACAATTGTGACTTCCACTCTGGGCACCTGAGAAACAAGAAGGAGGTTGATAGATTACAGTGAAAAAGGAAGAGGCATAGAGTGATTTATGAGAAAGATTAAAGCAGTTAAAAGAGTTTGGGCAAGGCATAACTAAGATGAGAATGAAGGTTAAAAAGTCCATAAATATTTGCATCAGGAAAAATTTTGACACACACAAACACACACACACACACACACACACACACTCCAGCAGCCCAGAGAAAGGGTTAAATGTCTTTCCTTTAAGGGCTTTAAAATACACTATTGGAAGATTTACTGCATACCTGAAAAGGTCTATTAGCTTTTCTCAGGAGAACGAACCACAGTATTGAAACCAGAAGTTTAGCTTGGGGAAGACAGAGGGGAGTCAGCAGGGAGAAGGGAGTGATTTCCTTCCCAAGCACATTCTCCAGAAGTATCATTGTCTTTTTGTTGTCAGGGTACACAGTCATGCAAGGTGGGCAGCATTGAAATAATCTCTCATGACTGTGATTTGATGCTTTGGTTGTGATAAGACTTTGGTTGGGAAAAGTCAGAAGAAAGGTCCTAAGGTAGTGAATTATTGCCACTGCTGGGTTCCTTGAGATAAGGACATATTGGCTGCCTTGCTTGCTTACCATTGCTAACCCAGTTGGATGTACGCTTCATTGCCCCATTTGAGATTTGTAGAACAGTACAAAAGGGCTTCTGGTGACTTTGGTGTCTGCACATCTTAGAATACCGTGACTGGCAGCCTCTCTTGCTCTTAGTTTTATATTCCTTGTAAAATCATGCAGCATTCCATGTCATTCTCTCAAGGTACAGGAACTCTCCTTACTCGGGAAATTTGATAAGAAAGATAAGGCCCGCAAGATTGCTCAAATCAGAAGGCAAGTTCTTCCTGGGAGTGTCCTGAGGATACTGGTAGAAACTGGCAGGATGAGATTAGAGATAATCCACATAGCCAGTAAATATCCTGTAGATCTAAGCCAGAGAAGGACTAAGCAAAGCACCACTGCTCCTGACTCTTTATTTTACTACTCATCTTTATGAGAGTCAGAGGCATTTGAACCAGAGCAACTCCATCTTGAGTAGGGGCTGGGTAAAATAAGGCTGAGACCTACTGGGTTACATTCACAGACAGTTAGGCATTCTAAGTCACAGGATGAGATAGGAGGTCAGCACAAAATGTAGGTCATAAAGACCTTGCTGATAAAACAGCTTGCAGTAAAGAAGCTGGCTAAAACCCACCAAAACCAAGATGGGTGACCCTCACTGCTACACTCCTACCGGCACCATGACAGTTTACAAATGCCACGGCAAAGTCAGGAAGTTACCCTATATGGTCTAAAAAGGGGAGGCATGAATAATCCACTCCTTGTTTAGCATATTATCAAGAAATAACCGTAAATATGGGCAACCAGCAGCCCTCTGGGCTCCTCTGTCTATGGAGTAGCCATTTTTTTTATTCTTTTACTTTTCTAATAAACTTGCTTTCACTTTATTCTATGGACTTGACCTGAATTCTTTCTTGCACAAGATCCAAGAACACTCTGGGGGTCTGGATCAGGACCGCTTTTTGGTAACATGAGGAACCACACATTAAATAATAAGATTATTATTCCACAAGTAACATACATGCACAGTGAGGTAAATTAGAAAACACATTTAAGTTGTGGTAGATTACATGATAGTTTCCAAATTTCACCACTTCCTATATCCATGCCCTTTGCCATGTGGCTTTGCAGACCCTTCCACTAGAAATAGTCTATTTTTCTCCCCCACTGATTTAGGACATGGGAACAGAAAGGGCAGCGTAATAACCTCTAATCAAACCTTAAGAGATAACACAGGTTCCCACTCGCCCCTTTGCACTTCTGTTATTGCCAAAAGAACATACCCTGCTTAGCCCTCTGGTCTAAGGAAGATGGGATACAGAGAGCAGACCTGGACCCAAACTACAGTTGGAAGCCAATCTTAGCTGAGCTGAGCTCAACTTAAAACAGCTGACCCCATAGACATATGGTCGTGAATGAGAAAAAAAATGACTGTTGTTTTAAGGCACTGGGTTTTGGAGTGGTTTGTTACACGTCATTACTATGGAAAAAGTTAACTGTCACAAGTATAAAGAGGAAAAGAAAAGGCACTATCATCTCGCCATTCAAAAATACCATTTAGTGTGTGTTTTTCCCTAACATCTGTATGTGTGTGCTATACATGTGATAACTTTTATAAAGCAATATACATACTGTTCATATTTCTCTGAAATTTGGTGGGTTTTTTTCTACTTAATGGGAAAATTTCCAAATCAAAAAGTGTATCTTACAACATATCTTAACATATTAATGACCATATAGTGTGTTACAATACTGATGTAGCATATATATTTTTTAATCTTAGTTACTGAATTTGAGTAGTAGCTAAATGTATTTTCTTTGTAAACAATACAAAAGTATGTAGACTAAAATTCAAATCCTCCTTAATATATGCTCTCCCTAATATATGCCTCCCTCCTCAAAGATAATAACTGTTAAATGTTTGATTTGTCTTGTTCCAGACTTTTTTTGTGTATTAATATGTATGTACAGGTCACCTGAGGTCAGGAGTTCAAGAACAGCCTGACCAACATGGTGAAACCCCTGTCTCTACTAAAAATACAAAAATTAGCTAGGCATGGTGGTGGGTGCATATAATCACAGCTATTTGGGAGGCTGAGGCTGGAGGATCGCTTGAACCCAGGGGGCAGAGGTTGCAGTGAGCCGAGATTGCACCACTTCACTCCAGCCTGGGTGAAAGAGCGAAACTCTGTCTAAAAAAAAAAAAAAAAAGTGTGAGTGTGTGTGTGTGTGTGTGTGTATGTATATGGCTTGTTATATGTCAGTCATGTTACACTAAAGTATTAAGTAACCTACCACAATATGGACATGCCAGTACTTAGTACTTAAGTGCTCTATCATTTGTAGACATATGAGTCATATCCAAGTTTTTGGAGTGTTCAGTGAACATCCTTCTTTATGCCTTTTTGATTACATATGCAAGTATTTCTCCAGGATCAATACTTTGATGTAAAATTAGCAATTTTACTAAATGCTGTCTAAGCGCTCTCAAAAGCCTGTGTCCAATTTATCCTCTACCAACAGCGTATGAGAGGACCCATCCTCACCAACACTAACCAAGTCCTCTGTATTTGTTTCCAACTAACTTTGCAGCTTGTCTCAAAACTTCAGCTTCCTAATCTTTAAAATGGCCATGATAATTCTTATGTCATCATGTTATTAAAGGAAAGAACTTACCATGATTCATAGCAGTAGCATGGCTATCATTTTTCTTACTATTGTCTACCAGAATTTCTCCATGAGAACCTTCTATTTCATCCATCCAAGCCCATCCTTTTTGCCACTCCGAGCTTGAATCACACATTTCCCTAGACCTTCTCCCCTTCCTATTTTTCAAAACCCAACTGTTATCTTTCAAGGTTAATTAGAGTTTCTTCCTTCATCATGTGGCTCCCTGGCCATTCTTTTGAACTCCCACATATCTTTTTTCTGAGCCATTTTTTGACTTTACCTAGAATCACCAGCTATCTAATAATAATGTTAAAATAGCTACTATTTATTGATTCATAACCCTGTAGGAGCCACTGTGCCAAATGCTTTTGTAGACAACTCATTTGTCATCCGTACATTATTATTATCCTCAATGTACAAAAGAAAATTCACAAGCTCAAACAGTTTAGACAACCTGCTCAAGGCCACATATAAGTGGCAGAGCAGGAATTCAAAGCCACATCTCCATGCTGCGAATCCTATGCTATCAATCACTCCACAATATGGTTCTTACCCCTTCAGTGAGTGCTATGGTCTGAGTGTTTGTGTCCCCCTCAACCTCATACGTTGAAACCTAATTACCCATGCAATAGCATTAAGCGTATTAAGAGGTGGAGCTTTTAGGAGGTGACATGGTCATGAGAGTGCAGCCTCATGAATGAGATTAGTGCCTTTGTGTAAAGCTCAAGGGAGCTTGTTTGTCTCTTCTACCATGTGAAGAGATAGCAAGAAGATAGGAACAGGCCCTCACCAGACATTCAATCTGCTGATGCCTTGATCTTGGACTTCCCAGCCTCTAGAACTGTAAGCAACAAATGCCTGTTGTTTACAAGCCACCCACTTTATGATATTTTGTTATAGCAGCCCAAACAGACTAAGAGACTGGAAATTCCTGAAGGCAGAGGCAGAATCCTGCCTTTCTTTGCATCCTCCTCACATCACAACTCAATGTCCTGCATATGGTGAATACTCAATTATTGTGTTATTTGGTTGAATGGTTGAGTCTTTTTCTTTCCAGGCCCACATTCTAGGCATGAATCATCCATCATTCCTGTGTGGCATATCCTGTCATCTACATCATAGGAAGAGATCTAAGATTTTGTTGAACCAACACTATGTACCCTCTCCCCACTATATTACAAGAGCTATTTGGGCCACAAAAGAAATAAATTACATAGCCCTTTGGCTTAAGGAACTTCTTTTCCATATCTGAGGGATAAAATATAAACAACTGAAATAAATTGTGATGAATCAAAATGCCCCAAAACACCTACCTAGAAAGCAAAGGCCTGAACCGAATCTTCAGTCATATGGAATGCAAGCGGTTGGAAGAGAAAAATCTCTATAAAGTTGAGGAAGATGTTTGATTTGTCTTCTTCCAGACTTTTTTTGTGTATTAATATGTATATACAAATATAACTGTACACATGTATAGGATTTTAAGATCTGTGACTTTTCTTTTCTTCTAAATAGTCTCTTCTAGAGCCATTCTTCAAGTCCCATGAAGTGGGACTTGACATTATACTCCTGACATTTTAAAATTCTTTTTCTATCTCAATGTTATGTGTTATATGTGCTGCATTTCCAGCCTTTTCTCCCTGATGCTTTCAGAGGGTGTGCCCTTGGGGTCCATGGCGGTAGCCGTGGTGACAGGCAGATTGGTGACTTCAGATCCCATGAAGTGGACTTGAAGAATGGGTGACATGGTAGGGAATGGGAGGAGGACACGGCCAAGGTGAGGAGCAGCCAGAGCAAGAGTATGGGTCCAGATTTCCAGCTCCTCTTTCTTTCCCATGCTGAGGGCTTCCCTGCAGTTTCCTCTCCATAAAGTGCGGATAATAATATAGCACAGCACTCATACTTAACCTGCATAATAAAAATGATATAATTAGGCTATGACTATAGAGCACTTTGAACTCCAAAACGGAACTGACTAGAGTGGAAGGTTGTTATTAGTGTGAACGTGGGATAGCCCGTTTTTAAAAACATAGCAAATGTCTTCTCATAACTAATTCCAGCCCTAGAAAGCAGTGGCCCTGCAGATTCCTACACAGAGAATCTTCTCTATGTTTCAGACACAGGCATTGGACTGGAAATAAACATTCTACCCTGAAAATAGAAATAGTCAAAGCTGATCAGGTCCACTGATATCAGAAGAGAGAAAATATTCCATATATAGGAAACAAAACAAGGCAGGTGATAAAGTTGATTAAGAACTAGTGATTCAATTGTAAGCCTGAAACTTGGCCAGTCTGGCCTTGGGCTGAAATGACCAAATCTCATACTTAAGCCCACTAGAACATGTTTGCACAAAACTGTTAAGCAATGCTGATTGTTTGGGTCCAAAAAACAATCCACACAGAAAGTACATTGTTTCCAGCATAATACTAAGACTAGTCTTCAAGGATTGGAGCATTTTCTCTCAGAAAACAGATTTTGGAAAGGAATAAATTGCCAACTACCTAAACTGTGTGTTTAGGTGATATCTCCCTCTTGTGGGAGAGGGTGGGGTGGTACTCCACGTTGACAAGAAGGTAGGATGAGTGTCCATTTGTAGATGTTGTTAGAAGGAAGCAAATTTCAGATGAGCTCAGAGAAAGAATTTGTAACACAGCTAGTGGGGAGTCACACAGACTTTGTCTCAAGATAGGGAGTGCCCCAGCACTGGGGTTATTCAAATGCTAGTAGAGAATCTCTGGTGGAGGGATTCCTGAAACGGAGAAAATAGACCCAGATGGCTCAAGGTGGCCTATTTAAGTCTGTAATCAGTGTGTTTCTTCATAATCCACCATGGCTCTGCTGAATAGAAAGTGAACCTGGACCCAGGAATGGGGTGGAAAACGTTGTCCAGTTGCAAATTATTCAGCATCAACTGTGAGCATTGAACACAGCCCTGTCGTCAATGTTTCTTGAATGAGAATTAGCAGAGCTTGGGACTTGGGGACTCTGGGATCTTTTTCCCTTTTTCAAAAAAAAAAAAAGCAAGTGTGCCATGATGTGTTGGGAAACACAGTGTGCCCTGCTTCTTCTTCCAAGATCCTCCGAATCCTGGTGGTATCATAGCCCAAGGAGCTCAAGGTGTGTCCTCATCAAAGACACTTAAGAAAGCCATCATAATAATAACAACGAGGGCAATAAGAATAAGAAGAATGCAACTACCACAGAGAGTGCTTACTGGTCTTAATACTCTTCTAACTATATCAACTCACTTAAACCCATTTTACAGATAAGTGGAAACAAGAGTCCAATGTAAGAAGTTTGGTTCCAAGCCCAGGCATTTAATCGTTATGCTATACTCTTGACATTTTAAAATTCTTTTCCTATCTCAATGTTATCTGTTATATGTGCTGCATTTCCTGCCTTTTCTCCCTGATGCTTTCAGAGGGTGTGACCCTGGGGTCCATGGCGGTAGCCCTGGTGACAGGCAGATCTGATCCTCTTGTCTCTCATCTCTGTCACTTACTAGGTTATACTCATCAAGCCTGCTTCCTCATCTGGAAAACAAGGGTAGTACTATCTACTTCTCACCTTTCTTGTGAGGGTGAAGAGCGGTCATGTCTGTGCTGGCCTGGCATGATGGCTAGCCTAGAGAGAGCCCTCAATGCATGGGGTGGCTCACCAGGGAGCACCCTGGAATTCCTCTGTCACGTGTTTCCAAACGTGGAATTTTTTGCAGGGCATCATGTTGATGTCCAGGGGAGCCATTCTGATCTGTAAATGCAGGTTACTTTCCAATATCCAGGCTTTCCAAAAACCAGCCCTAGACTGGGCAGGCAGAGCCTACCAGAAACCTGTAGTTTGATGGATTCAGTACCTGAGACATGTCAGAGCAGAGGCCAGTCTCCTTGGTGTTTACTACAAAGCTGCCAAACATGCTCAGTGAGCAGGAATGACTGCCTCCCTCTTTCCATGGCTGGATTCAGGAGCCCGTGGGAAGTCAGAATCAAATGAGATTCCATGAAATCCAGTCAAGATGCTTGCAAGGGGGTGGGGTGCTTCTCAAAGTTACACATTAATTTGGGTAAGTTCAGATTTATCTCACATCCCTTGTAAATTGATTGGAATTGGAATCACAGGACGCTTCAAAGAGGCCTGATAATCTTCAGGTGTTGGGATTTAGCAAAAGGCAACAGAAGAAAAACAACAGTGCTATCAGCCAAGTCTTTTCTCAAATAACAGGGCCCTGTAATAAATCCACCAATCAGATTGGTGCTAGAATCTGTATGGATGTTAGCTATGCCCTGCACCACAGTGCAATGTGAAGGGGACACAGATCACAAGAGCAGAGGTATACATTTGTTTCGCTAGAATTCAAATGGAATGAGATTGTTTATTTCCATGTAAGAACCATGTGGTTTTAAAGTGTTGTGTAAAGAGAGGTTTTGTCTATTTCCCATAGACAAAGATTGTCATTTGAGAGCCTTTGTCTTTACCTAACACCCGGAAATGTACCATGGGTCACCAGCCACCCTGGTTTGCCTGGGACTGAGGGGTTTCACAAAACACAGGATTTTCAGTTTTCAATTCAGAACAATCCCTGGCAAACTGGAATGGGTTGGTCACTCTAAGAGCTTCCTTAACCCTTTAGACTATGGATTTCTTCTTCCCTACTCTCCTAGTCTCCCTACCAATCTAAATCAATAGTTCTGAATTCTGGCTGCATGTTAGGACCATGTGGGGAGCTTTTGAAACTCTCAATGCCCAGGCTGCACCTTCAGATCCATTCCACAGTGAGCTCCTGAGCAGGGAGCAGGGACCCCAGCAGCTGGCAGGAGGTGGCGGGGTGTAGAAGCACTGCTCTGAGTAGGCACCAAGTTGACAGTTGGTGAATGGGGCTGCTAATGCTTATGCTTATTAAAGGAAATACTTTTATAAACAAAAATGCTTCATGATAACAATAATCTTAGGCTAATAGGTTTGATAAATTTGTATTTTTCTCTGTGTCTTCTGAAAGCAAAACCCAGCAGCAGATGCTTACATCTAGGCACTCATCATCTCCAGCACTAAGCATTTTGCAAAATAATTGACATCTATAGTTTTGTAATCAAATAAGTTTGAAAAGCAACAACCCAAACTAGACTCACATGTGACCACAGAGCTCTTGTTGTTGAGAATACCAGCAATCTTCATAGCTCTTAAAATATCTTTCTTCACCTGAATCATGATTTGTGCTTCAAAGCATGGAGGACAAAATATGGGCACTGAAGGTGGACAGACCAGGGTTCAAATCATTCCTCTGATGTTTCCCATTTACTCTCCACAGGAACTTCAAGTCATTTCACCACTCTGAACCTCAATGTGCTGATCTTCAAAATGGGAGTGATCATGAAGTCTTCTTCAGCCAAGCCATCACTGAGCCTAGTAAGAAAATTAATGTGTTGAGTTTGGTCCAGTGCCTGGTGAGCAATTAACAAGTGGTGATGTCTTCACTCACCCAAGGGACAATGAAGCAGGCGGGTGCCTACCTGGTAAATGACAGTTGACACTATGGAAAAATCAATATACGTGGGGAAAAATGGCTTTGAAAGTTGGGGTTCCCCTTCTGAGCCAACGGGATTCTTCATCTTGAACAAGAGGCAACTGAAGTCCTCAGTTCATTTGAATATAGGTCCTCCCAGCTCCCCCGAAGACACTGTATTAAAATTTGAACCACAGGCTTTGGTCAGCACCTCCCTGAGCTGTTGCTTTTGAGGAGGGCTTAGAGCTCAGATCTTTGGTAACTAAGCTCTCATCAGCAGAAACAAGAAGGAGAGGACCATGTGCTCTGGGCAAGAAATCAGCCTAGAGCTTAACTCCATCTGTTCCAGTGGTAGGGAAGGGAAAAGGGAAGCATCTGGTTGCAGCTTAAAGCTTCTTATAACCAAGTGAAGTGCCTGCACTCGGCATATAGGAGCCGCATGAAGAGAGAAGGACTGTTACCATCTGCCCTAAGATGGAGACTACCGTCCAGCTATGTGCACCCTGAGACAACTCACTCTCCAATTCTCCACGTTTGAGAATTTCAGGGTGAGTCCTTCCTGCTCACTTCTGATTTTTACCAAAAAGAAGGCCTTTGTCCCAAGGCTTCTCGTCTATTTATTGGTTAACAAGCTTGGTTTCTATTATCTTACAGCCTCCTGTAAAAGGATAAAGGCTCTTTCTCCGGTCCCTAGATGTTATCACCTTGCAGAACAGCGTATGCACACCACTGGCTCACTTCATTTTAGTCTCCTTCCTTCCAGGAAAGATTAAGAAGGTCAGATGTTCTAATTTTCAAGTACTCACTGTCTATAGGATTAATCCCCAACTAGGTTGTTGGGGATGCAGAGATTTTTACATAGGCCAGTGGCTCCCTAGTCTGGATGATTATCAGAATCAACCAGGGTGCAGCCCAGAAATCTCTTGGGGGAGATCTCTCATTTTTAATAGATTCTGCATTGCCTCTTTTGGTAAACATTACTGACTGATTGAATCCAATATCCATTCTCTTCTACCTTGCCACCATTTTCCCAGCCTTGCTGGTGGCCGAGAAAGTGATGGGATTTTGTACTGAACTGTGTGACATAAGCAGAAATCTGGCCACTTATGGAAAGTTTTGCTATGTTGCAAGTAGGGACAGGTCCCTCCCTATCCCCTTCCCATTTCCTGTGCCTTGAAGACAGACTTGATAGCTAGAACTACAGCAGCCACTTTGTGACCATGAGACATGTCAGGAAAGCCAAGGGAATCACAAAGACCTTAGCCAGGACCAAGCCACTGACAAAAGTCAGGAAATATCCAAACTTGTTATGCTTTGAGAAAAATGGACCCCTCTTTAAGCCACCATAAAGTGGGCTTTTAGTTACTCACAGCCGAACACATTTCTAATAAATATACCTTTTCTTTTTCCTTTTTAACTTTTTTTATTCATCTTTCCAGTAGGGTTGGGTAGGATGGGAGCCAGGGATAAAAGGAGGAAGAGAAGGGACAGAGAAAGCCTTATGAGCTGGCTGCTGGTGGAGGGCATGGCCACTGGAGCTGAACTATTTGGGGGCCTGCTGTGTGCTGCTCTCTCACTCTGGACTGGGCATCTTTTCCAGACCTGGCCTGGCACCTTCATGCTGTGAATTACTGTTTCAGATGTGTCCTTCCCAGTCCCTCCATGAGTCCTTTGTGTTCTAGTCCCTCTCCACCTTTTCAACATTTTTTCTAAATGGGAGGTTTCTTAAGGACTACTATGGCTTTAAATTTAAAAAAAAAAAAAAGGCTGAGTGCAGTGGCTCATGCCTGTAATCCCAACACTTTGGGAGGCCAAGGCAGGCAGATCACGAGATCAGGAGATCAAGAACAGCTTGGCCAACATGGCGAAACCCCATCTCTACTAAAAATACAAAAAAAAAAAAAAAAAAAATAGCCGGGTGTGTAGTCCTAGCTACTCGGGAGGCTGAGGCAGGAGAATTGCTTGAACCTGGGAAATGGAGGCTACAGTGAGCCGAGATCATGCCACTGCACTCCAGCCTGGGAGACAGAGCAGGACTCCATCTCAAAAAAAAAAAAAAAAAAAAAAAGAGTGCCATTGGGTAGCAGTAGATGTATTAGTAATCCAACAATACCACTCTAGGGTGACTTTCTTCTTAAACTGTTTTGGGAGCCTGGTTGTATGGAGACAGAGCGGGACTCCATCTCAAAAAAAAAAAAAAAAAAGAGTGCCATTGGGTAGCAGTAGATGTATTAGTAATCCAACAGTACCACTCCAGGGTGACTTTCTTCTTAAACTGTTTTGGGAGCCTGGTTGTATGGCCTTAACCCTCTGGGAGAACAGCCTCCCAAAATATATATCCCTTGGCTGGTTTTTCCTATGAGACAACCATCTGACGAGTGTGGAGTTGAGACAAACCCAATTCCACTATCCACAAACCCAGCTGGGAACGTGGATAGTCCGTGGGAAACAGGCACATCACACATTGGAGTTGTTTGACCAGAGGTCAGAAACTGGTGGTCTCTAGTGAGTCTTTGAAGCTTTGATGGCACTTTTCATAGGCAATCTTGTGCCTGCTCAAATTGGGGTGGGCAGTGGAAAGGTGGGGAGACATGGGGAAGGGGTAATGCCTTTCACTCTCATGCCTGAAGAGAAAGAAACCAATCTTCCAGCTTGGTTTATTGCACTCTCTTGAAAGCCAGGGATAATCATATTCATGTCTCTTTCTGGATAAGCTCTTTATGAGGTTCAGGCTGCCTGCAGTTTTCCCAAAGACTTATCTCAAGCCATTGGCAGACCCGCCTTTCTGCTTCTCCTTCTGACTCCTGCAAAACGAGCTTTTTGCAAAAGGACAACCATTCTGTTTTACGCTTCTCTGTGCTGAAAGGTTTTCCCAAATAGGTAAAATCAACTGATTTCTTTCAGGATATGCTTAATGGTTTCTTCTGAAATCAGCTTTTAAACTTTGTTTTCAGCTATACATCATATTTAGAACACTTAGGAGTCTACAAGAGTCAGAAATGAATAGTTTTCATCTCTAGGTGAATGTGCTTCATATACTGTGATTCTTGGTTGGTCATATGGGACCCTTTTGTAAGGATATTATGATCTTAAAAGAGTAATTGACCTTCCCAGTGTCCTAAAATTTTCCCTGAAGTCAAAGTCCTTCCACTGCCAGGAGATAGAAAATGTGGGCACCTTAAAAATACCTTTTCTGGATATACTTTTACAATAATATGTGTTTCAATGACAATATGGACAGATATGCATGACTGAATGTGAAGAGAATTCTTAGCTCCAAGAAAGACAGGTTGGCAGGGACACTCAAGAAGTGGAATCACAATTCTAGACCTAGATTTAATACCCTCTAGTTTTTTATTTTCCTATTTTAGTTTTGCTGAATCTGTTACCTTTGAATAATAGGGTTAGCTATAATATGAGTTAATATTTTTGAGGCCTTCCTGTGTGTCTAGCATTGCTAAGGCCTTCATATGTGTGCTGCCTTGTTGAATCACTACAGAAGTCTGTGTGGTTAGCAGTAGTACAACCCTCTTCTCCTCATTTTAGAGAGGAGAAAGTTAAGGCAAAAGAAATCCTACATGAGTTATCTAAGGCCCTATATACCAAACCTGCTTCCAGAATCTGTGCCCTAAACCCCTGAGCACACTGCCAAATCCTCTTGCAGGCCCGTTGACATATGTAGAGAAAAGGATACCCTCCACCTCCATCTCCACCCCACTTCCACGGCTGCTGTTGTCGTTGTTAACCTCCATTGCACCTGAGAGATGGCACATAGATTCTCTTCTAAAGTCATTACCCAGTTATTCCTGAAGCTCAAAATTATCTTTTCATACCACACTGTTTCCAATGCCAGAATATCTGAGCAAAACATCTGGGGCATGTTTCTTTCTGCCTGGTCCCACCACTCCTTAGTCTCCTGCATGTTGGAATCCAAGGATGGGACTCAAATCAGAAAAACTTCTCTAAATAGTATTACTCTAAAGTGACCATGTTTTTGTTTCGGGCTTCATTCTTATTTTAATAGTAATTCAGCAGAAGAGTAGAAACAGCGGCAGCAGGTATCACTAATGAGCGTTTTATAGGTGCCATGCACTGTGCTAATTGAATCACTTCCTGTCTTAGTCTGTTTTCTGTTGCTTGTAACGGAATACTTGAAACTGGATAATTTATTTAAAAAGAAAAAGAAATGTATTTCTTAGAGTTATGGAGGTTGAGAAGTTCAAGGTTGAATGACTTCATCTGGTGAGAGCCTTCTTGCTGGCGGGGGCTCTCTGCAGAGTCCCGAGGAGGTGCAGGACATCACATGGCAAGGGGGCTAAGCATCTTTGCTCAGGTGTCTCTTCTTCTTCTTACAAAGCCACAAGTCCCACTCTCATGATAACCCATTAACCCGGGAATACATTGATCCACAAATGAGGGCAGAGCTCTCATAGCCCAGTCACCTCCTAAAGGCCCTACCTCTCACTACTGCCACATTGGGATTAAGTTTCAACATGCGTTTTGGAAGGGGCAAAGAGCAAAACCATAGCACTGCCTAATTTAATCACTTCAAATACCTTACAAGATTGTTGTTATCTCCACCTTAGAACTGAGAAAACAGAGGCTCGAGGAGACTCTGCCCAATTTTATAGCTAAGTTGTTGAGCCAGAAATTGAATCAGGCATGATTCCTAATCCATTTTGTTCAGCTTTTGCCCTTGGAAACTAACAATGTGACCCTCTCATTGCCAATCACTGAGCTCTTTTCTCCATTAAGTGTTTAAAATACTTCTGTTTATCAGGAAGTTTTCTGTTTACTCACTTATTGTCTAAGTTCTAAAAGTGAACTGAGAAAATGTTCCAATGGCATTCTGGAGTGACGTCTAAGGCTCCAGGATTGGATTGTGTTCTTCTGCAAAGGCTCATAATAATATCTCATGGATAGTGCTTGCTTCTCATCAACAGCATCTCCCCCTCTCCACCCACAGCTAATCTTTTTTCTCTCCTTTCTACCTTCACATTTAAAGTATCTGTTTAAATGAAAAGTGCAAAGTGTTATTGCATCTACCCAGTGCTGTCAAAAATCATCTCACTTTGTCCTTCAAACAAAGCTAGTTTTATTTGAAAATTGAGAAATGAATGCTGCAGGCATTGGAGTGATCTGCCCTGTGCTACAAGTGGTGGTACCTAGCCAAATTGGGACTCAGCAGAGCCTGTTGATGTCAAACCCATCAGAAATGCAACCAAGCTAGTCAGGGCTAAAGGGGCTCCCTGCTGCCTGCCCAGGACACTCGCAGCACCCCAGGGCCTTCTCTCTCCCCACTCAGGATAATTTCTACCATGTTAGTATCTTCTGTCTTCCATTGCTCACCATTCAGACAACATCATGCGTTGGAAACAATGCAGGCTTCAGAGCTGGAAGGACTTTGGATCTGACTCTTGGCTCAGCTTCTCATTAGCGACTTTTGAGCATCAACGTCTTCATCTGCAGAAAGAAGGTAATAAAATAATAGGCTTCCACAGTATTTCTGAGGATCCAGTGAGACAATGGTGAGTGAGAAACACTGCACAGTGCCTGAAACCTAGTGGGTGCTCCTCTAGTATGTATATACCCTGAATTGTTTCCCTCTGTCTACAATTACCATGCCCCCCTCAACTAAGCAAACAAATAAGAACCCACAGTTTTTCTCCCCTTTTGTGTCATTTATGTCAGCATTTGTTGACTGTAATTTTACAGCACATGAGTTGAAAGGTGAGTTGCCAGTAGTAAGATGGGAAAATGTTACAGAATAGCTCATAAGACAGAGGGTTCCAGAGTATAGCTGCTTCACGTTTTTCCATCTAAGGCTTCACCACTGACCAGCTGGGTTAAGGAAATAAGCCTCAGGCTCCAACTCTATAAAAAGGGGATAATAGTACCTACTTATGAGGTGTCGTGAAGACCAAATGAGATGCTCACATCACAGCATTTCATAGACTGGAAAGTCTATGAATGTATGTATGTTGGAAAACATACAGTAAATGCTCAAATTCAGCTGTCATTATTATTACTACTTAGGAGAACTGAAATTTATAGATCATTTAATTTTAAAAAATCAGTCCTCGTTCAGACTTACCCCTAGAGTAATGTCACTTTCTTTTTTAGCATTCTGAAATGCTTCCCTGAGTGGAAGAGAAAGGAACAGAGCCATAGCTACAAGCCAAGAAATGCCCAGAATCCTAAGCATGCCCATGGGAATGTCGTGCATAAGGATGGCATGTGATGCCTGCTGTCCTAACCCAGATCATAGCGCATAGACAGTGTTTATGAGGAGCCAGGCATTATTCTAAGCTCTTCATGCATATTAACTAATTTCATCCTCACTACCACTCCATGAAGTAAGTGCTGTTATGAACACCATTTATGTTAATACATGAGGAAAACGGCACAGAGATGCTGAATGACTTGCCCAAAACTGCACAGGGCAAGTATCAGCCAGGATTTGAACCCAGGCAGTCTGGCTCTAAGGTCTACCTTCTATACTATATTACCTAGAAAAAGAAAGTCCTTCATTAAAGTACTTAACTTCCAACAATTGACTGCCTAATGGAGCTTTAGGGCACAACTAGAGTGTAAAGCTGGGATCATTCACACTTTCTGTATTCCATTTGGAATTCCATTTCTGCATTTAAATTTATTTAAGCAGATGAATCCCAGATAAAGTAGAAGCCTTTGGATGCAGCCCTCCCTGGCAGCTGGGCATCCTTCCCAACCACCCATGCCAGGCAGCATTCTAGGATGGCCCCAACGAGTGACAGCCATCTATCAGCCCCTCCCCTTCAGCGCAGGCAGAAACTGTAACTGGCTTCTAGCCAACAGGGAGTATGAAGAAGGTGGTGGGAGGTCACTCTCATGGTCTTATTACAGAGGGAGAGATTCTCCCACTGGCCTTGAAGAAATGAGCAGCTATGTTGTGAGAAGGCCCAGGAATTGCGAGGAATCCAGATGCTGACAGCATTCCCCAGCTGGCAGCCAGCAACTGAGTAGGGACCTCAGTCCTCCAGCTGAAAGGAACTGAAGTCAGCTGATAATCATGAAAGCTTGGAAAACGATCCCAAACTCCAGAAAGAAACACAGGCCACGGGCACTCTGATGGCAGCCTTGTGAGATCCTGAGGACAGGATCCAGAAGTCATGTCTAGACTCTTGGCCTATGCAAACTGTGAGAGAATAACTATGCTATTTTAAGCTGCTAAGTTTGTGATTGGTTATGTTGCAATAGAAAACAAATATGTACTACTTTTGTCATCCTGCAGGTGAAAAAAATTGTATTTGAAAAGCCTAGATAAGGCCAGGTGCAGTGGCTCATGCCTGTAGTCCCAGCACTTTGGAAGGCCGAGGTGGTCAGATCATGAGGTCAGGAGTTTGAGACCAGTCTGGCCAACATGGTGAAACCCTGTCTCTATTAAAAATACAAAAAATTAGCTGGGCGTGGTGGCGGGCGCCTGTAATCCTAGCTACTCAGGAGGCTGAAGCAGGGGAATCACTTGAACCCGGGAGGCAGAGGTTGCAGTGAGCCAAGATTGCGCCACTGCACTCCAGCCTGGGCAGCAGTGCAAGACTCTGTCTCAAAAATAAAAATAAAAATAAAGCCTAGATAATACCAGAGGGATTAAAAACCAAAGCTTCTAACCAATCTCACTCCTTAACACAAAAGGGTGTCTTTATAGGTATTCAATTAAAAATATAAAAGAAAAAATGCAGGCTGATTCCCTATCTAAGATCACAAATATATCAACAGAGAAGTGTTTCTTTCCTTTGAGCTAATTTTTTTCCCAAATGGACATTTTTCCTGCTTTTGCAAGTTTGCAGACTCAGAAAGCAGACAGTACCTCCAAAGTCTATCTTGTTCATTTGCCTGGCTCCACAAAGGGCCCCATCTAAATCAAATTTAATAAAGAGGTGTCTACTCTTACTTAAAATTCTCCCTTGACATTCCAGTGACTTAAAACCTTCAACCTCAGAAAATTCTTTCTGTCCACTCAAAGTTCTTCTCCCTAAGCCTGCCTGCCTTTGGCTCATTCTCAGAGGAGATGGAAAGCATGCTGTCTGCATCTTATGCACAGTAACACTTCATATATTTGAAGGCAGATAAATCCCTCTTAATGCTTGTCTTCCTGAAGCCAAAATCCCCTCACTCCCACCCTGTCTCTCCAGTTCCCTGATGGCTCTTACAACGGTTTCCTGCTACCTGTGTCTTTCTCTTCCTAGAGTGTGTGAAATCCAACCACATGAAGTAACAATTCCCTATCAGGATAGAGGAATCAGAGATCTCATTTTACCACAACATAGCTGGAAAGGGCCCCCATGGATTACATGGGGTTAAAAAGATCAGGAACAAGAATCAGGGAAGTATTAAGGAACCAGGAGCTGGTGAAAATTCTTCTTAGGGAATTAAGAAGGCGCTGGCAGATGCAAGTAGAAATTATTTTGGAAAGAAAATTCATCATGGACACTGTAAGGAGAGAGAGGAGTTGAAGAAGAAGGAAATAATCTAATTAATTTCCATGAGTGGTTCTTAAAGTGCTTTATCAGGACCACCAATATCAGCATCTCCTGTACTCATGTCCTAGGGCTGCCCATAACAAATTACCACAAGCTGGCGGCTTAAAACAACAAAGGTGTATTCTCTAACAGTTCTGGAGGCTAAAAGTCCAAGACCAAGATGTCAGCAGGGGCACATTCTCTCTGAAGGCACCAAGGAAGGATCTGTGCCATGCCTTCCGCTTAGTTTGTGCCATTGCCAGAAATCGTTGGCCTACTTGGTTTGTAGACACATCACTCCCCTCTCTGCTTTTGTTGTCACATGGCATTCTCCTCTGTGTCCCTGTCTGTGGGTCTCTCCTTATTAGGATGCCAGGCAAATTGGATTAAGGGCCCACCCTATTCTAGTATGACCTCATCTTAACTAATTACATCAGCAACAATTCTATTCCCAAATAAGTTTTTATTATGAGGTCCCGGGAAGGACATGAATTTGGGGCTTGCTATGGGCTGACTGTTTGCATCACTCCAAAACTTATATGTTGAAATCCTAACCCTCAAGGTGATGGTATTAGGAGGTGGGGCCTTTGGGAGGTGATTAGGTCATGAGTGTGGAGCCCTCATGAACTCGATTAGTGCCCTTATAAAAGAGATTCCAAGAGAGATCCCTTGCCCCTTCTGCCATGTGAGGTTATAATAAGAAGACAGAAATTTTTGAGGAAGCAAGCCCTCACCAGACATCAAATCTTTTAGCACCTTGATTTTAGACTTCCCAGACTGTAGAACTGTGAAAAACCAATCTCTGTTGTTTATAAGCTACCCAGGCTACAGTATTTTTTTAATGGCAGCCCAAAACGGATTAAGACAGAGGACACACACTCTGACCCAGCATATCCAGGAACTAGTCATAAATGCAAATTCTTGAGTCCCACCTAAGACCTACTTAATCAGAAGCTCCGGGGGAGGGGCCAAGTGAGCCATGTTTAACAAGCCCTCCAGGTGATTCTGATGCTTTGGAGAACCATTGATTTTGATGCAACTGAGGCATTTCCCAAAATGCACCAAAGTGATCTTGACACAGTTCAGAAATGTATAGAAATAGGGGAGAGGCCGGGTGCAGTGGCTCATGCCTGTAATCCCAGCACTTTGGGAGGCTGAGGTGGGCGGATCATGAGGTCAGGAGTTCAAGACCATCCTGACCAACATGGTGAAACCCCGTCTCTACTAAAACTACAAAAATTAGCTGGACGTGGTGATGCACACCTGTAGCCCCAGCTACTCGGGAGGCTGAGGCAGGAGAATCACTTAAACCTGGGAGGCGGAAGTTGCAGTGAGCCGAGATCCTGCCATTGCACTCCAGCCTGGGCGACAGAGCAAGACTCTGAAGAAATAGGGGAGACTCCTCAGCAACACACGAGGCTACAAGGAGTAAACTTCTGGGCCACTTCATCTGAAATCAGCTCTATGAGTATATTTCGGTGGTGAAACATACTGTTTTGCTATGAATACATTTAGAGGGTTCCTTGCACTTAGAGACCAAGGACTGATTATGACTGTTTTCTGTCATCATGCACTCAGGGGCAGTTGAGAAAAGCTCTGAGTGGAACAAGATTCTGATCATAGACCACAGTTCATAAAGGGCCTTCCACCCCTGCTGAAGGGACTTATCCCCAGCCCATCATAGTACAAAAGAACCTGAGGACCGTAACCTCCAGAATGCAAACAGAGCCCCCAGAAACTGGTCTGACATTCAGAATTGACCAAGTCAGGGATCAAGGCAGTCCAGAAGGAAAATACACCAACTCTTAGCCCACGGGAAGAAGAGAAGCCATCCTCGAAGGAAACATTTCCAGCTTCCTATTCACTGAATAGACACACCTGCCTGGGATGCTAGATGAGGCTCCTGAATTTTAGTACCGTCAGCAGAACTTCTGGCCGTCTGGGAAGC
Organism: Homo sapiens; assembly: GCF_000001405.40. NCBI lineage: Eukaryota > Metazoa > Chordata > Mammalia > Primates > Hominidae > Homo > Homo sapiens. Next base: position 73,971,815 of record NC_000005.10, on the reverse strand, counting down.
TTCATGCTGTATCCTCTAAACTTGCTGAGTTTTTATTGCAGAGTGTGGCCTGGAGATTTTGACTGTCTCTAGGGGTGCAGTAAATGAAGGGACATGAAAAGAAAGTAAGATAGCATTCAAAAACACCCCTTGCAAGTGTGTAATGGAAAATAATCACACCGAAAATAAATGGCAATGTGTCCTTCGGGGACCCTGTGCTGCTGCCTTGAGCCTGGGTTTCTATTCTTCTGGAAGGAATTAATGCAGTGATGGCGGCTCCTGCGCAGGCTGCAGGCTCAGGTTTCCTAGACAATATCCTGACTGTGGACACATGTGTCTTAGCAAGATATATGTCCACTGGCTTGGGAGAGTACAATGGCTGCTTGGTGGCTTATTAGAGGAGAGAATATATTAAGCAAGACAGCAGTTTTTATTTTTAAAATTCAGGCTCTTTCTGACTCAAAGATGCCTGGAGGAATAATACTGCTTGCTACCTTGATTTTTATGTGACCTTATTTCTCCTAAAAGCTTCTTAAGAGAGAAATTGGGCCATTTAGATAGTCAGGTATTGCTCAGATTCTGTGACTATTCTACAATGTGCTTGAGATTTGGGGAATTCACAGCCATGTGGGTTCTGTATCTAAATAGTATGGATGCTCCCAGTCAGCTGCCTCATTTGCAGGCATATTTTGCAGGGAATCAACTGGGACTCCCCTTCCCCACCCCCTGCCCCTTGCAGAGGTTAGGAGGAGGAGATGAGACAAGATATTAAGTAGATGAGACCTGTCGCCCTCCCTAAGGTCCACCCTGCTCACCTCTTTCCACAGAGGAAACCCTCAGACATCTACCCCTTCCCAACCCCAGCCTACTAATCCTTCCTCCCTCCCCACTCCCTGCCAATCCCCAACAACAGAGCAAGGGGGAAAGCTTTGTACTCTGCCTGCCCCATGACTGCTTCTCGTGGGCAACACCATTTGAAACTAAGAGACACAATTTCTATTTCCAGCAGGTGGGCACACAAGAGGAAGGAGAGGCTGTCTCCCCAATCCACCCTTGACCCCCTCTCCTCCCAGGAGGGAAAAGTGACTTGGCAGTACTCCCAGAGCCAAAGAAGGAAACCAGCCCCAGTGAGAGAAATGTCTACTGGAAAGTAAATGAGCCCTTCTAATGAGCTGCTTACATGGCTGCACCTGATATTCCAAGTATTTCCTCCTGTCCTAGCCCACTCTAGGGCAGAATCCCCAACCATCTGTATGTGAAAATACAGAGATGGTTATTCTATGGAAAAAACCACTAACTCCATGAGTTCTAGAATGCCTACAAGATCTATTGAAGATTAGGCATCAATAACCAATGTCAATGCTGAGCAAAACACAAAAAAGGTTTCCTAAAACAGAGCTCGGTGTTTGCTGTTCACTTTAATTTTAGCAGACTATTCAATCCAACTGGGGCCGTGGGTGAGAAGAATTAGATAGTCTAGAAATGTAGCTGTATTATGTTGTGTCTGTTTGCTCTTTCTTTTTCTTTTTTAATAGAGATAGTAGACTCACTGTGTTGACCAGGCTGGCCTCAAGCCATCTTCTCGCCTCAGCCTCCCAAGTAGCAGGGCCTACAAGTGTGTGCCACCAAGCGGAATTGTGTCTATTTTCTAATCTGCTTCATTAATGAGCAGATTTATTTGGGTGCCATTAAATAATGATAAATTATGAAGCTGCAAACAAAACTTGAGGCACCTGAAATCTTTCTGATAGTATTGTCAAATGCCTTCATAATACTGTCAACCGTACAAAATCAGGAATGCTCTTATAAACTATACTGTTAAAGATAAGGGATTCCCATCCCAGCTATTATGCACAGCTTGATTAATCTTTTTAATTAGAAAATTTGAAATATAATGCATAATATCTCAAAGAAGTTCCTGCCTAAGGCAATATTGTGTAAATTGTTTTTTTTAACGATCCTTTTTGAGTCTCATGTTGTTTTTGTTTCTTCTGCACATAATTATTTAATGTCTCTCCTTTGTTCTAGTCCTTGTGCAAACTTTTTTTTTTTTTTTTTTGGTGCTTTTTTATGGGCTTGTCTCTCTTTCTCACATTTCCTGCCATGGAGTAGGAGGATACATTTTTATTTTGTAATAAGGTTGCTTAAATCGCCTCCTCAATCTCTCTCTGGAGAACAGGGTTTCAATAAAAAAAAAAAACGTTTCATGGGCTCTTAGAATGTCTTTCCTTTGTTGCTCACTGCTTGGGAGATGGGAAGAAATGGAAACTGTTGTCGTAGATCTGGGTCTGGCAATGAAAAAAACATACAGGGCTAGGGAGATTAAATACAAATTGGGAGGGGTGGGGGATGCTCAGCACTTCTAACAGCAGCCAGCCCCCACCACCAACCTCCCTCCCTGGGGCAAACAGGAAAGATAAGTGGCTGTCCCGTTGGGTTAGTCTTCCCACACTCCCTTGCTGGCTGCACTTCTCTGCTCCCAGGGGCCAGTCTGTACAGGGGAGTTAGTGTTAGAGTAACTGCTTTTATCTCTCTTGAAAATATTTATGGCTAAACACTGGAAATTGCTCTGGGATGCATCCCTATAAATTTCAAGACCCCCACCTTTCCCTATCTTGAAATTCAAGATGAATTAATCCTAGAGTGAGAAAAGGAAGGAAGAACTTTCAAGGGTGAAACTTGATAGCAGTTTCTTATCTTATTGGCAACTCTCGATCGGGTGACCGATCGCTGACTGGGGAAACACAATTCCTGTAGAGAGGTTCAAAGCCTCCCAACAGAAACTGGAGATAGCTCAAAGATGCTTCACCCTGTTTTGGAGATAGTGACACCTCATTCTGCAGGAAGATGTGCCTACAAGCCTCCAGGAAAAGAGGCCGCCCACTCCAAAACCGCACCGTGGCAAGAAGGGAATATTTGGAATGCAGAACATTTGGATGCAGCCCCATCCAGGGCTTTGTGGAAATTCAGCTGCAAGGCCTCCTTTGTCTTGTGTGTGAATTTTAGGAGACTCCCTTTCATCTGATTCAAGCTGGGTTCTAAATGTCACATGAAGAATCCAGTTCGGCATTCAGACAAGACTTACCATCAGAGTGGCTTCAAAAGCTCAGGTGCCCCTAAGGCTCCTCACCCAGCCTGTTGCAGGGTGAGTCCCAGGCTTTGAGTGTAGGGTCACACTGACCTGCATTTGCTTTTGGCTCTGCCTGTTATCCATGGTGTGAGGAGGGTAAGTTTCTTAAACTCTCTGAGCCTCCTTTTCTTCATCTGTAAAATAGAAATAAGAAATTTATTTCATATAGTAATTGTGAGAACTAAATAAGACAACACGCATAAATCTCTTGCACAGTATCAGGGACAGAGTAATCCCTAGGGAAAAGCCAGTTGTCGCTGTCATTGGTGAAATGGTGATGTGATGGTTTCCCAGCCACCTCTGGGTTCTTGGTGATTTCAATCCTAGCAGAGGCTGAGAGAGTAAATGCTTACTGCAGAGCCTGCTTCTGGTGCCTGGCCCAGACCCAAGGATGGGCCCAATGTCTTGTTAGGAAATTTAGCCCACCTTGACATGTAAGGCACCAAAGCCTCCCCATCAGTGCTCTCTAAAAAGAATTTACATTACAGACAAATCTCCCTGACATATAAGTAACACATGTTGAGCACATAAATATCAGCATTTTGGCTGGAATCAAGTATCACAGTCTTATGCCGTCAAGTACTATTCATGACCCTCTTCATGAATCCTTGTCGTGAGACCTCAGTGGTGAGCAGCTCACATACATGACTGTAACTGATCTGACTTTCACACAATTAAACTGTAAGTTTCATTTTATTTTCTCATTTTCCTAGTTCTCCAGAACATAGAATCAGTGTTTATGGAGACTATTTTCCTGATTCTGGAAAAATTTCAAGAGATGATGAAAGTCAGATAATGCTTTCAAAATTTCTGAGATGTATAACCACTTCCCACTGTCTCTAAGGCCAAGTGGATGAGGCTTCCCGGGCTCCATTACTATCTTCCCAGATGGTGTATTCATCTGTTCTTGCACTGCTATAAAGAAATACCTGACACTGGGTAACTTATAAAGAAAAGAGGTTTAATTGGCTCATGGTTCCGCAGGCTCTGCAGGAAGCATGGCTGGGGAGGCCTCAGGAAACTTACAATTATGGCAGAAGATGAAGGAGAAGCAGGCACGTCTTACATGGCTAGAGTAGGAGGAAGAGAGAGAAGGGGGAGGTGCTACATACTTTTAAACAATCAGATCTCATGATAACTGACTCACTGTCATGAGAACAGCACCAAAGGGGATTTCTGCCTCCGTGATCCAATCACCTCCCACCAGGCTCCACCTCCAATATTGGGGATTACAATTTGACATGAGATTTGGGCAGGAACACAGACCCAAACCATAACAGACAGCAAACTGAATTTCTTTTTACCTTGAAAGGCTTCCCTTGAAGTTCATTTCTACATGAACTGCCTGCAAAAACTCCCATGTGTACTGCAGGAGGCAGCCTGCATCCCCCAAGAAGGCTCCTGCACACCATGTACTCTCTCTCCTCCATCCTTACCTCCAGGCTGTCCCACCTTACCACAAGGACCAGTGCCTCATGGCCCTGCATGCATCTCAAGGGATCTAGAGCATTCCCCAATGCCAAGAGCCATGACCAGTGTTTGCCACTTGCTCCACAGACCATCCTTGACCTGCTCAGATCTCACTTCCTTCACCCCCAGATCCACAACTGATGACAATGTCTTCAGCCTCTGTTGAGTCCTGGGAGGAGATTTCCAAAGGGTGAATAGATAGGAAAGCCAGTGAGTTTAGTAACCTGAAGTCAAACATTGGTGCTGCCTACCTCACAGGAAAGAAACATGTATTTGCCACTGTGGGGGGTCCTGTTGCAAAGGAAGAGTGGAAACCAGCATTTCAAGAGGCTCAGCCCTTTTGTTTCCTGGCTTAAACCCTTAGCCTTCTGGGATCTGATTGGTTGTAAATGAATTTAGGTCAATAAATTCCAGGATATTTTTTTCCCTAATTTGCCATCCCCACTCATGACCAGAAATAACATCTCTCCGGGAACGAGTCCCATTTTGAATGGCATGTGGTTGCTAACGCTCTTTCAGTGGAATAACATTGAAAGGCTCTCCTTTATATTCTGAGGTCCCTGAGACTATAATTAAATCACTTATGATCAAAGAACATTACTCATATTACCACTGAAATACACAATCTCTATATTCCTAGACAGAGCAATCATGAGTTACCACCAAAGCAATGCCCTTAGGCAATTGGGACAATCATTTCCATCTTAGAAATTGGCTTTGGTTTCCTTTAGCTCATATAAAGGCCCTACCCAGGGTACACTCTGAGCATTCTTACTCATGGCTGCTATTGATTTCTGTACAAAATTCAGATTCTGTTAGGAAAGTATAGAAAGGATGGGATAAATATTGGGTAGGCAACCAATATCCTACTCATTATCCTTTTATGGAGCAAATAGAGCACTGATGTTATCCTCAATCCTCAGAACATCCCCATTTATTGGAGAAAAATATGGGTGGTTGCTAATTCCATATGGAAAAATACTACTCAGAAATAGCCTACTATATAAATTTCAAGGTAAGCTCGTAACAAAGACCAGGATACTACCTTGTACTCCCCACTTCCTACTTCTCTTGGATAAGCCCTCTTCAGGGGTAAAACTTCACTGTCTTATATAGCCTTCCAGATTTTTTGCCTACACTCTTCTCTCTTACTTGAGAAGGAACTTGATACCAGTAAGAAGGCATACTCCACTTCACTGTGCTTCCTTGCCATGCAGTTGTTCCTTTAGAGATGGTGAAGATGAAGTTGAAAGAGTTGCAGGAAAAAGAGGAAAGCAGGTTGTGTGGTGAAGACAGGCTTGTCCTTGTCACAGCATTATGTGGCTTGTTGGCTGAAGAGTCAGAGGACCTGGATGTAAATGTCACCAGATGTTTCTGCCATCTCTATCATTCATGTCCATTGCAAAGTTAAAATCCCCTTTTGTCTCTCTTCACTCAAGAATGGCTGATATGTGATTGGGAATAAGAAAAAAACCAACTCAATGGCCTTAAATGAAGAAGACTGATTGGCTCATCTAAGTGAAAATGTAGAGAGACCAGTGACCAGGTGTGGCTTATCCGCAGTCCTGACTCTACATTTGTGACTCTCAAGGCTATGGGTAGATATGGAAACTTCGTGGACAGGTTTCATTTTTAAGCTATTATTGATGCAGCTCCAGGAGTTCTGGACCTTATGTCTCTGCATAACAACTTCCATCCTAACATTCCAGGCATGAGGCCTGAGATTCATCCTGCGTGGATTACTTTGGTCACATGCATTTCTCCTCAATAGACTGTTCAGGGGAATAAAATGCCGATTGTCTTAATTAATAGAAATAATCCCTGAATCGTGGAATATTAGGTCAAACCGTATGAGACTACTACTAATAGTCAATGATTTTTGATCTGTGAAAACATTGATTTCATATGATTCAACCTAATACATGAGATGTGTATGCAAAATGATAAAAACTAAATGAAAACCCAGATGATTAAGAGAGCAGGAAGGAAGCGAACATATCCAATGAGTGAGCATCGTGGGGTTGTGGGGGAAGGAATTCTTCTCTGGCTGGCTTCACTGTGCACTAGCTGTGTGAACTTGGATAAGTTTTTTTTTTTTTTTTAAATCTGTCTCTGCCTTAGATTCCAAATTTACCAAATGGAGATTACAACACCACCTACTTCACACGATGGTTATGAAGTTTCAATGAGTTAGTTCACAAAAATTTTAGAATGGTACCTGGCTCTTGGCAGATATAAGCCTCTGTTATTGTTGTTTTTATTGTTATTTCTGGGCAAATGTGATGGCCTCCATTTGTCATCACCATGGTGCTTCATTCATTTTGGGGTGATATTTGATCTTGTAACTATCATCAATATCTGCACTCCCAGAGCACTCATGTTCTGGGGGTTATTAAAAATTGGAGTCATCATTCAATTACATTTCATCACATTGTTTTTATTTGTGTGTTACCCACAGAGGCTGTGCAATCACTACACTCTCAAAGCCAATTACAGTCAGCGAATTACCCAAAGACATAAAATTAATGAAATTTACTGGCATAATTGTTTTCTAGAAAGCACAAGGTAGCTAGGCATAGACTCAAATAAGATAACTCGTTTCATGTGCTTCTCTATCCCAAGGGAAATGCCAAGCTTGCTCATTCTCCCCCATCCCTCTTAAAGAGGGTTCTCTCTCTCTCTCTCTCTCTCTGTCTCTCTCTCTCTCTCTCTCTCTCTCTCTGTGTGTGTGTGTGTGTTTAAAATCCTGGGCCTCAGTATTACCAGCAGCATCCTAGGAAAGTCATCTTGGTTCATCCCTCCACCTCTAGGCAGAATTATATCAAAATCATCGCAGGCTAGAGGGACAACCATACTACCCCCTGGGGAACAGCTCAGCTCCTGCAAGAAGCACACTTTCTACTAATTCCTCTGCTCTGCCTTCAGTGGGAACAGGAACTGCATTGACCGAGCAGTGGCAGGAACAAGAGCAACAACACAAGCCAACCCCTCCCCAAGCTCCATTCCTCCTAGCAGTCGCTTCTCTGAGTAGCATGGATAGAGGCAAGCAGATTTCTTCTTCCATAAAATAAGCTGTTTAGACTGAATGACTTTTACAATAAAGTGCAGCTTCAAACTTTTAGGGCTCAGATTTGGGGGCTCTGGTGATGTCCCTCCTACTAAATTCTATTCTAAATTCCCAGGGAAGCCATCTGTTAATGCATTTTACACAGCACTAAGCTCCAAGAACACAAAGCCACATGAGGCCATACCCTACTTTGTACCTACCAGAGCGTCTTCTTCGGGACCACCCTCACAATACAATTCAAGGGTACAATTTAGGCCAGATATTGTGATTTATATCTGCCTGCCTGGACAATAAGGCCATCATGTGGGAACTATTTCTAATTCAGTCTTTTGTATGATGCCGAGTTGTCACAGCCACAAAGACGTGAGCCAACACAACGTATGTGGACTGTGCCAGGAAACTCTACTAAGCTCTTTTGCTCACCTTATCTCATTGAGCCCTGCAGAACCTTTCAGTTAAGATGTGCTAACCCCATTCTATGTATGAAGGCGCTGAAGTTCAAAGAAGTTAAGTACCATCCCCAATGTCATACATGTCAGTGATGGGATTGGGAGATGAAAGTAGGGGTCTGCCTCTCTACCTAATCCTCTTAATGTTTAAAGTGCCCACGTTGTAGGCTCCTTGGGGGCAAACACAGACAACCTGCATTTCTTTGGGCCTTTTCATAGCACCCAGCACAGAGCTGTGCACCTCCTAGAACCTCATTTGCTGTTCTCCTACCAGCCCATCATTCTGAGCTAAGGCCTATGAAGTCGGCTGAACTCCACTTCTGCCTTCCAACAGCTGCCATGTCCATTTCTGGCTTTCACCCCACCTTATTATTCTTGTCATAATATCATCCATGACTACTGTGTACCAAACAAAAACAAAAACTATTAGTTTGGGAAGCTATCACAGGTATGAAATGAATTCAGAAAATTTGGCTCCCAGCCTGCTGAAACTTGAGGAATTGAGCAAGCACATGTTGTTGGTCAAGTTTCGGGATTTTTTTAAAGATGTGTGGCTCCCTTAGCTTTCGTTCCACATTCTTTGGGTGCTTGGCTGGATGTTTGATGTGCAGCATTAAATTAACTTCCCAGCCCTGATAACATCCCAGGGTTGTTAAATGCACCGAGGTACTTGGTAATTCATCTCACTTGAAATTTTCTCAGCTCGGTAAGCATGCATTCATTATCATAGAAATCACTTTCATGCTTAACAAACATATCTGGCATATTCTCAGCGTTCACATTTTCCACTGTCACCTAACCTGTCATGAAACATGCTTTGTGTATACAAATAAACAATTTACGCAGAGATGATTTTTCACTGTGTCTAAGGAAAGACAGTCAAGTTTCAGGTTCTCTTCGGAGAGAGGATTCTCAGTCCTCAAAAGTCGCTACATTTTGACTCTGAGTAGTAGTTTTCCTCTAACTTGGTGGGCCCTCCTTCCATTTAAGACCTGGTTTAAGATTCACCCCCTGCATGAAGGTTTCCCTGAGTAATAACACATCTTCCCATTCCCCCAGGTTGTAAGCGTGCAGTTTGTGCATCACTCTTTCCCGTGTTTACAGGCTGTGGTTGCCGCTTCCCTCAGGTTGCGAGGTCATGTGAGTGTGCTCCCTTCCATGAGACTACAGGGATTGCTGCAGTTTCTTCTAATTCCTTTTTGTTTCTCCTACACTCTTTTGTGTTTCTCATGGTGTTATGCCCTCTGTAATAAATGTGTATCAGCGTTGGGTACCATGATATTATATTTCTTCGAAAATCTCCTACAAAGACCCAACAGACACGACAAATCTGCTATGTATTCAACCACACAGAGGACATCCAAAGGAAGTTGAAAAATGTAGCCTGTTTCTTTCATGTTGCCTACAATTGACTTGTAGAGGTAAGATTTCATAGATAAACTAATAACATACATTAGTATGATACATCCTTAGTGTTCTCCAGTGCACACTTTGAATGAGTTCTCATGAATCATGATTGAAGATATAGACTTACAACCAGCCAAATTGTCCAGGCATACATGTATAGATTATCTTATACATTGTCAACTCAGAGTATTTAAAAATTTAAAAATTGGTTGCCAATAAATTTATAAAGATAGGACCTATCACCAATGTCCATATTTCTGTCTTCTCTTGAAAAATTCCTTGTGCAATCTGTGACGTCCACCTCAAAACTGGATTTTGCTCCCCTTTTTCAGGTTCCATGCAGTAATGTTGGAGAAATTATAAAATTGCATTTCTTTGTAAGAAGTGGCCCTAAAAAGACAGTCAACCAGCTTTATAAGTAACTTAAGTCCTATATTTATACACGTCATTAAGAGACTGAAGGAGCACTTAAATTTTTCTACAACACTTTATTGCATTGCATGAAGGATACTATTATGTTGTCAGAATTTTTGCAATTTTGCAGATTTGCTAAGGCTTTAGAATGTATCTCTGGTGAATTTCAGGGGTCTACTGCATATAATAAGCCACTAACTGTGTGGGAGAGATCAAAATGCTAACCTTAAGGAATCAGGGAAGGGATTCATGTGGGTTAGAATGATTAGGAAGACTTTCACCATTCACTACTGGAGCTTATGGACACACAGGCAAACTAATCTAAAGAGATAGGTTAGTTTTTTAAGATCACAGCAACATCTCTCAATTACCCAGAATTCAGATGTCTTGTAAATTTCCCTATCTAAAAAACTTTGGGGAAACATCAAAAGGACACTACAATATTCAAAATGGGTCTCACAACATCCACATACTGAAATGTGCCTATTTTATTCCTAAGAAAATCTCATTCAGAGACTCTTTACTCTCACCTTACTTAAAGTCCACTAAGATTGGGTACTGGTCTCTTCATTCAAAGTTGAGTAGAAATGACTAGTTTAAGGAGAAATCGTAGAAGTAGGCCTACTGATAGCAGCAAGAAGTTACACCAACAGAATGACAGCAATGAAGGATAGAAAAAATATTCTAAAAATCAGAACCAAGAATTCCAAAGGCCTCACTACCCAGAGCCATCTAGCGACAAAACCTTGGTAACACGTTGGCCAAACCTGGACCGGTATAAGGATGACGGTTTAACGCTCGCTCTGACTTATCAAAAAAAAGGCTAACTTGTGTTGAAAATTGTTGTTCAGGATGTCAGAGAACTATGTTACACATTTCAAAAAAGATTTTCATTTAAATGACTAAAATAAATACATATTTACTCAAAGGGAATAAGTTTCAGTTATCTGGAATATTCTTATCATGCATGGCTTAATTCCCCAATAATGCTGGAGAGGTGTGACTGTATTGTATCTCGTAAAGTTATGTGTATATGTTCAATTTGTAAAAACATGAGGAAACAATCAGTGTTCAGAGAGATAACCATTCTTTTTAATTATAATCCATTTGAGTCAAACTGTAAATATTGCCATACCTGAACACAAAATGAAATAAACATGCTCAAGGATATTTACTGACCCACACTAACTCTGTGAGTCAATTTGATTTCAAAATGAACTGCCTCCAAAGCACTCCAAACCCCCTTCCTCTCACATGCAACAGAGGCAAGGCTGGACATTACAAGACAGAAAACAGAACAACCAAAACATATTGCTCATTAACCACAAGCATATGGAACACTCAAGCATGTTTTAATCAGTGTGGTCCAATTGAACCACAGTACCGAGGTACATCACTTCCAGTAAATGGACACTAATTATTTTCCATTAAAGAAGTATCAAGTAGCAGTCTCAAAATCAGGCCCTTCTAAATTACTCTTCTGTTCAATAACCCTGTCATCTATAAGGGTATGCATTATGTGGTGCTTGATACCCCAGCCGGAAGTAATACAGAGCTACTCTGCAGTCAATTCTTCTCATGTCACTTTGATAGAGAGGGTGCTTTCTCCTCCAAGTCAAATGGAAAAAGGGTTTGGCCTTTAGCATGTGTCTTCTCTCAGGTGTTTGTGGTTAGGTCAGGCAGGACCACCTGCACCGGAAGTGGGACAGATAGCAAGGGAAAGAACACTTCTCTGGAGGCTGGAGGCAGTATGAAAAAAAGAGGAAATGAACATCTTGTTCGCATGTATGAGTCCACACTCAGGTCCAATGTCTGCAGGAAAACTAAGGTTTTCGGAAAGCATCTGGAGAGCAAAGTTAAACATAAAAAAGAAATCGGCCGTGCATGGTGGCTCACGCCTGTAATCCCAGCACTTTGGGAGGCTGAGGCGGGTGGATCACGAGGTCAGGAGTTCAAGACCAGCCTGGCCAAGGTGGTGAAACCCCATCTCTACTAAAAATACAAAAATTAGCCAGGCGTGGTGGTGCACGCCTGTAATCCCAGCTACTCCGGAGGCTGAGGCAGAGGTTGCAGTGAGCTGAGATCGCACCACCGCACTCCAGCCTGGGTGACAGAACAAGACTCCATCTCAAAAAAAAAAAAAAAAAAAAAAAAAAAAAAGTAAGACAATTTCTGAAGTTGAAAACTGAAGCACCTTTTTTCCCTGTCAACTCTGACTCTCAAACTCAGAATTAGCATCATTATCATCATTTTCATCATCATCATTATTACATCACTTATTTTTTCAGTATTTTGTATAAATGAAGCCCTATGCCAAGCATTTTACATACACACATGCTCTTACCTAATCCTATGAGGTAGCTATGACCTTCCTATTTTTATTGTTAAGGAAACAAAAAAGTAGCTAAAGAGACTTGCTTAAGTGATACAAAGTGGTAGAATTGGGATTTGAATCCAGGCATCTGACTCCAAAACCCATTCACTAATGGACATTCTTACACCCATCAAAGTAACCACGTCACCCCTACAACCTCTTCCATGGTGTCGGGCTCAAGAAAACCCTCTAAGTCCTGGTTGGAGGAAGTGGTCCCGTCCAAAAAGGGTTTCAGTTTAGGAGTGAAAGGGCTCCAACTCTCTGAGACTTGCAAGGCCACACTCAGATTCCTGTCTTTGCTGCCCTCTGGCCCCCTATACCTCCCAATCAAAATGTCTAGTGTCTCATTATACCCTAAGTCTGCTTTCACTGCCATGCCCAAGTAGTGTGACTACAACCCATCCATGTAGTTATACCTTAGAGAGGGAAAGAATGATTGAACTCTAGGGAAAGGACTTTCCTCATTGCAGTTGCCTTTAAACATACATAAGATCAATTGCCTAGTCCGAGAGCTGCCAGGTCTTAAATAAGTCCTAGGTAGGTTAAAACACCAATTAGTGGTTTCTTCTTATCCACCTGCCAATCATCTCAAATGTGTCTATCGTAATCATTTTTATTTTCCCATAAAGTTGATTGGTTTCTTGCAATTAAAATCCTTCAGCATCACCTTCCCTTGAGTTCCCATTACCAAATCTTCTTTAAAATGTCCATCTTTTTAATTAGGTGGCCCATGCAGATGAAGCCAAATTCTTTGGCTGGCCAGGAGGAAAAATGTGCCATAAGGAAAGAGGTGACAAAACAGTTGATCTCTCTTTCTGCATCCCATCTGTTCCATCCCCAGTCACCTCTTTTGCTTAGGGAAAGAGGAACACCTAATACATTTTCCTTTTTAGTTGAACCGTGGGCATCAGCTTCCTCTTTCTTTCATCTCTGTCTTTAGGTACATAACATGCTTGTTTCTTTTGCCTGGTTGATAGTTTCCTCTGGGAACTGTGAAAGTTATCAAAATCAAAATGGAGTCACTAATGTGAGAAGGGAAAAAAACACTGACAAATAGAGCTGGGGAAGGTCATGAAAAGAGGGTTCTCATGCTTTTATGCCTGATAACAAAAATTATCACAAAAAGACTGCACAAACCACAGCCTTGACCAACAGCCATCACAACCTTACACACACAAAAAAAAATACTTCTGCAAGGACATCTGCTCATCAACTGCCCGTCCAGCCTCAGACTGGTGTCACCCTTGTTATTGATCTTTGCAGCCAAAGATAATTATTTTAAAACAATTGCGCAACCCTCCTTATTTTTTTCCTTTAAAAACCTTTGTCTTCCTTTACCTGCCTGAATATGCATGTCATTTGCTGTACCACACATATTCCCATGAAACTGCTCTATTCCCAAATAAATATCTTTTTCTATTAGAGAGCCACTCCCTGTTATTTAGGTTGACAGAACTAAGCTGTTAGGTGATTTGCATACTTGGGTAGCCAACAACACTTAATCCCTGCCTTTTTTCTCTCTCCCTTCCCATTTACTATCAGACCCTTTTATCACAGCTATCCTTCTCCTGAAATCATAAATAGCCATCAGCTTCTCATGGCCTTTGCCAGAGTTGCCCACTCTCTGAAGACTCCTCCCTACTTGTGGGAACCAAACAGAACTAGCTAAGTTTCCCACCTCCTCCAAACTTATCACCAAAACCTTCAAAGCTTGTTGTGTCCCAGCCCACACAGTTGATTGGGGGAAAGGGAGGGAAGTCAGATCAGCTGGAGCCTAGCACAGAAGAGTGGCTGGTGTGGAAAACTGGGAACTGAGGGAACATCAAGGGCTGGGCCCAGGCAGGGCTGAGCCTGGGAGCAGGAGCCAGAAGCCCCAGAAGGTTAAATCAAGAGCAAAAGTACGTAGACCCAGAGTGATGTGAGAGGTGGGAACCAGAAGAGGAGATGAGTCACACGGAGCAACAGAATGCTGGGGGCCTATCCAAAGGAAGAGCTCCGTCCAAACAAGTCAGGACAGGAGATGCATGAGTGTGAGGTGAATCCAAGGGCAGGAATCAGGGAGTCCTGAAGGGAACAGGAGCTAAAGGGAAGTAGGGGTCATGTGCAAAGCAACAAGAAGACAGGAGAAGGGGTGTGTGGTGCATTCTCCAAGGGCTGAGTCTAGCATCTACCGCTGAGACAGCATTCCCACCATCTTCCACGTCTGTTCATTCTAGAAGCATGTGACAGTCCACATGCTGTAAAGCCACCATGAATGGCTTCTGACAGTCTGTCATTCCTCTCTGATCTGGGGCATTGTTTTCCAATCAACATTCAGGACACTTGAATCCAATTTTGCACTCTAAAGACTATTCCTTTGCTAGTTAGGGGTCAGACCTTGACTCAACTTCCAATATTGCTAGGTACTATTGATTAACTTGATTGGTTTTGATCTACAAAATGGCAATTTCACATGGTTCAACCTAATTTTACCTGACCTTGGACAGGTTACATCACTTCTCCAAGCCTCGGTTTTCTTTCCTGTAACATGAAGAAAATAATACCCACCATTGGCCAGGTACGGTGGCTTACGCCTGTAATCCCAGCACTTTGGGAGGCCGAGGTGGGTGGATCACGAGGTCAGGAGATCTAGACCATCCTGGCTAACACAGTGAAACCCCATCTCTAAAAAATACAAAAAATTAGCTGGGCGTGGTGGCGGGCACCTGTAGTCCCAGCTACTTGGGAGGCTGAGGCAGGAGAATGGCATGAACCCAGGAGGTGGAGCTTGCAGTGAGCCGAGATCGCGCCACTGCACTCCAGCCTGGGCAACAGAGCGAGACTCCGTCTCAAAAATAATAATAATAATAATAATAATACCTACCATTCATTGGTGATTAGATGAATTAATGTATTTTACAGTGCTTGGTATAATGTCTTATACCTGGTAAATGCTCAATAAATACTAGGTATTGTTATCCTGGATTTGCAGGAATAATAAACATCTTAGAACTGAATTTGACAGTAAAACACTCTGAATTCTCCCTTAGCAGGTAATCTTTGACATACATAACACATTTGGTATTCTGTAGTACAAGGCCCATCATAGTTGTTTTATCTGCCTCTAAGTACAGTGGAGCATATGCTTAAAACCATGCATGGGCTTTGGAGTCTACCAGTCATTGGTTGAATCCTAGCTTCACCACTGAATGACCTTCAGCAAATTACTCAACTTCTCTGAACCTCAGCCTGCTTATCTGTAAATTTGGGATACAAATAGTACCTGCAGAGACATATTGCCTGTGAAGTGCTAGCATAGTGCATGGTAGATCATGAGTGCCTGATGAATGGTGGTCCCTGCATGCTGGCCAGATCTCAATTCCAACCTAGATCCGTCCACTAATTCCAGCTCCAGTATGAAGACACACCAACCCTTATGTAGGAAGGAGAACGTTAAGCACATGCTCCTACCCTCCATTCTGGTGGTCCTGGATTTACCCTGCCATTGGCTTGTTTTGTTGGGTGGCCAAATGTTTCATTTCAGGTAAATCTGGAAGGCAGTTTGGCTTGGTCTTGGAACAACTCTTACTTTGCTTGTGGTTTCTGAGTTTTAGGTTGATAAAGAATTCTTGGCAGAAGGAGAGTTTCTCATTCAAAATAAAACAGCTTGTTCTTAATTTTTTTTAAAAAAAAAAAGCTCATTAAGTTTCTGGGACATAAAATGGCTCTTCTGAAGGAGAATGTAAATTGGCTTCAGCAGAAGTATCACACAGAAGCAGAGAGAGTACATTTCTTCTACATGCAGATGGTTTTCAGAACTTGGTGCAAAGAGCCAGCAAGGCACACATTGGGTGCAGTTGAGGCTGAAATGTCTGGAGGCGTCTGGCTGAGCCTGGTCTGCCTGCTGCTTTTCCCAGTGGGAAGCTGAGTGATACCAACCGCACTGCAGCCAGATGGCATGTCGCTACTGGGAAACAGGTTATATCATCTCATAGAAAAAACTGCACTAACATGCCAACTTTCTTCAGCTCAAATCAAAGGCCCACTCCTCTTTCATCTTTCTGGCTCTGTGTCTTCCAGGCCCCCAAGTTGCCATGTGTGGCTCATTCTTTGCATTGAGATCACCAGAGTTTATCAGCTCAGCTAGAGTAGAGTAAGCCACACTGCAAAAACAAACCACAGTGGTAACATGGAAGCTGCGAAAGTAGCTAAGTAAACACCATCAGAACATGGGCATAGTGTGGGGAACTAACAAGGGCCACGGGGCAATTGCATTTTGGGCAAAGGGAATGAGATATTTGGACCCTATAACAAAAGGGGATCATTCTATTGGAATCACTGGCTTAAGAAAAGGTATTGGGGGTCAATTAATGAGTCAATCAAGATTCTGATATCCTTTTATCTTTTGATATGAAATAATCTATGGATTCAGAGTGGTCTTTGTGGAATCTGTGGGAACAAGTTCAAGCGTGGGAAGAAAATTAGAGCTGGACCCATTTAGTCTCTAATCTACCTGCAGAGATTCAGGGGATTTTTCTGCCTTATGCAATAACATATCACACTGGGTTCAACAAATTGTAACTGAGAATCCACTGGGTCAGAAGACAGAACCGATAGGAATTCCTACGATACCCAAATAGAGACAGCCAGAAGCCTCCACTCCTGGGAAATGACTCCTTTCTCTCCAAGTCTAGTCTAGGGAATATAATTAATCTTGGCCCAGGGAAATGGATTGAAACCAAATTGGTTTTGTTGTGTCTTATACTAATAGCCAGTGTCTCACCCTTCTTGATTACATGTACTACACTGGAACAGTCAGATCATTTCTCCTAAAATTAGCATCTTGCCTGAGAGGTAGCTTTCACCAAAACAACAGCAAATTCCATTCCTTTTTGTTCTTTGGGTTTTGTGGTGACTGTAGCAGAAGTTCCTGAGTAGAAAAACAAAAACCATTATACTTATGCATCACTCAAGTGATGACAACTTGAGGACCTTTTCATTCCTCCTTCCCTTTACCATCCCTTCTGGAGGGGTGGCAAATTCACCATCAGCAGTTCCCAGGGGAAGTCACGAAGTTCCTGGTGTTCTGGCGAAGACAGACAGATGGTGAAAGACCAGAGAACCAACCAGCTAATGATGATCTAAGAACATGCAGCATCATTTTCCTATCTTTGACAATGATTAATTAGAAAAACCTTCTTTTTCTACTGTGGGAAAGTGGCTTATACCTGTTTGCTTATCTACTTCTGGATGATATTGTGAGAATGAACAAAGGGTCTGAAATCTACTTTTAATTTCTCAGATAAAAGAACTTATATAAATAAGTTATATCAAGGGAGTAGTGGGGATGGTGAATGCCTTTGTTCAAATGAAGTATCAGGAAGTCAGCTCCAAATAACAGCTATTGATAAAATGATGGAAGGGTCCTGAGGGCTTGCTATGCATTCTCCAAGAGCTTTACATGTACCTCAAAATAGCCTTACGAGGTGGTGTCAGTCCGTCTGGGCTGCCATAACAAAGCACCATAGACTGTGTGGCTTATAAACAACAGAAATTTATTTTCTCACAGTTCTGGAGGCTGGAAATCTGAGATCAGGGTGCCAGGCTAGTCGGGCTGTGATGAGGGCTTTCTTTCTGATTGCAGACTGCCGACTTCTTGTTGTATCCTCACATGGCGTGGAGCACAGAGAGACAGCCTGCGTCTCCTCCTTTTTTATAAGGGCATTAATCCTATCCTGAGGGCCCCACTCGCATAACCTTATTTAACTTAATTTCCTCCCAAAGGCCCTACCTCCAAATACCATCACACTGGGGCTGGGGGTTAGGGTTTCAACATATGAGTGGGCGAGGGGGACACAAACCTTCAGCCCATAACTGAGGAAGATAATATTATTATTCCCAGCTAACAGATGAAAAATGGAGGCACAGAAAGGCTAGATTCCAACTTAAGGACTTACAGGTAGTAAGTAGTAGCACTGGGCCTGAAATCCAGGCGGTCAGGCTCTAGAATCTGGGCTCATAACCACTACTTTGTGTTGCCTTCTATATTCACTTTAGGTCTGTTGAGGCTCCTGGCTCTACGGCATTCTATTTAAGCTATTTCTGTGAAGTAGAGAAAATGATGTGGACAAATTTCTTTTTCAGAGGCTAGGATTCTCTCTGGCAGATTCCAGTGGATGAACACCTATCTAATGAATTCTGGATGAGTTAACCTTAAATCACTTTTGCCCCCTATGCACTCCCTGCACCACTCCCATGCTTAGTGAACACCTTCAGACTGCTCCTCCTGGAGGAGTACTTTGGAGCTTCAATACAAACCCTGTTGAACGTTTTGGAGGCAAAATATCTACATTGGCAGCATAAACCCTAACCCTGTTCATGAGCAAGGCCAGCAATGAAGCTCTGCCCGCTGGAATTATGCCAGCCATTTCTAGATGCTAATTCGTAATGTGATGTTGCCCAGATGAGTCCATCAGCAGACTTGTCACTGGCAGTTGTTAGAATTACCCAGCCCACTAAAGCCCTTTCTTGCTTTGCAGTCAGGGTTGGAGCCAAGGGTGGGATGGCTGTGCCCAGTGGGCTACACAAGGCTGGCAGCCAGTGCTCAGAGCCTCTGGCAATTAGCACAGTTCCTACAGTTCCTTAAACAATGCTGATGGACCCTTGTCTTTCATTAAGCTGCCTGAAAGTCAATCTCCTGATGGATCCCAGAGGAAAAATCAAAAAGGAGAGTTTATTTTCAGCAGTTTAATAGCAATCAACTTAAGAAGTACCTAAAAAATGATTATTAAATATTTCTCCAAGGAGCAAATTAAGATAAATACCCTAAGAGTTATTTCACATAGATCTGTTTAGAAAATGTCCGATTAGGATAATATAAACCACATTTAAGGACCAAAGGGACTGTTTTGCTTCACTCCTTTTTGCCATTGTTGATATTTTAGGTTTCTAAGGGAATGATTGTTTTACAAGTTCAAGAGTAGCATACCCTCTCAAGGGAAGTACTGGGATACAATATGGCGGCACAGTATCTTATTCCACCCTCGACTTTGTGAGTCAATGCCTTCTTAACAAGAGTCCGAACTGAAGTGAATTTAGACCAATGAATGGAGCCTGATTAAGAGGACTAACCTCATTGTCAATCAAATTTTGTGCCTATTGATATGACTTCTAGGGCAGACTTGTGCTTTTCTCTCCCTTTAACAAATAAAATGAGCATCTACTTTTCCTGAAAGGAAACTGGTTTTTTTTGTTTGTTTGTTTTTTGTTTTGAGACGGAGTTTCGCTCTGTCGCCCATGCTGGAGTGCAGTGGCGCAATCTCTGCTCACTGCAAGCTCCGCCTCCCGGGTTCACGCCATTCTCCTGCCTCAGCCTCCCCAGTAGCTGGGATTACAGGCACCCGCCACCACGCCCGGCTAATTTTTTGTATTTTTAGTAGAGACGGGGTTTCACTGTGTTAGCCAGGATGGTCTCGATCTCCTGACCTCGTGATCCACCCGCCTCGGCCTCCCAAAGTGCTGGGATTACAGGCGTGAGCCACCGTGCTCGGCCCGAAACTAACGGTTCTTTTGTCGTGTTGATGTTGACTGGGCTTCCAGAAGGCCCCTGTCAATCTGGCTTCCAGATAAATATTCCCTGGAATAATTTCATTCCAAAGAATTTAAAGTACTTGGAGTTGATCCTTTGAGTTAAAATCCTTTACAAGTGTCACTTCATTAATCTTCAGTGAGAGGGTGAACTTTACGATGAGACCATTTTATGGATGAGGAAAGCTGAAGCACAAGGGTTTTATGGCAACTGAGAAGGGCCTGAGGCTGGCTCTCAGTGATGGCTTCTTCCCACTCACAGCCTTCTGCCTCTATCATGCCTCACAGCAAAGTAGAGTCAGCCTCTTCCCAAAACAGGTGATCGATTTCCAAAGGAGGGTGGGTGGTTTAGTTTTCTGATCTGAGTTTTTCAAACCTCCCACGTTTGGCAGGTCAAGGCAGGACCAATCTACTTCTAGAATCCATTTTTGTTGGCTGTCTATAAGGCTAGTATGTCTCAAGCACATTGGGAAATTAAAGAAAACAACCATTAGTGTTTCTGACACATGAAATGCCTACCAGGGTCTTTTCTACCAGGGTCTTTTTCCTGCTCATTATGAAGGCTAATATGAAAATATTGCTATAGTGAGCAGAAGAAAAGCAGTATCTGAATGACTTTTCGTCTCAATGCAGTGCAAATGCCTGCAGTTCAAATGCAGGAACTGCCTCATCTCCTTTGCTTTTGGCCAGGAAGAGCTCATTTATTACCCATCACTAGGAAGAGCATGGCAGAGCCCTCATTATCTTGGATCCATGCTTTCCAAATCAATCAGCTCCCCGCTACACTGCTGGGCTTTCTAATTTAAATGTCAGCTAAAGTTAGAATATGTTCTTTAAAAATGTCAGAGCCTCGTTAACTTTGGCTTTGTGTTGCCCTGTCTATCACAATGAGGTTGGCAATGTTAAGGAAATTATTTTTCTAAGAATTCTTGAACTAAGGCTCCTCTTTGAATTTCAATGATACTCTTCCTAAAAGTCTTGCTCTGGTTCAAAATCAAGATGTTCCATATTACTGGCATCTACAAATAGCCACTTTTCAGAATGTATAAGGATTTCTAAATGACTTCTCACTTTTGAATTCACACTGTGAAAAATATTCTAAAAGCTGAAATTTGATCCATGTTTTTCAATGGGCTTTTGCGGTTTGGCAACTGATCTTGGACAGGACTGTCCTACTCACCACAGGACCTTTAGCTTTCCTGCTTCTCCTGTTCACTTAATGCTAGTAATTCTTCCCAGTTATTGTGATCTTGGAGTGCAGAACATGATACCCCAAAGTATGACACCTTGGTGTGTTGAGTACTTTGAACTGAAAGAGACTGGAAGGGCCTCAAAAGCAAGATCTTCTGACCTTCCCCCACCCTCCTGTCTCCTGTCGCTCTTTCTTCCCCAAGCAAATCATAGAAACCAGAATTCCTCTTCCCCAAAGGTGAGTCATAGAAACTCGAGTCCCTCTCTCCCAAAGCAAGCCATAAAACCTAGAAAGGCCACTGTCTTCCTTTTCTCTTCTCCTTTGAAGACCCTTATTCTAGAGAGGTCCTGCTCCAAACCTGGGAAGAAGAAATGCTACACAGAGAAGGGACTGGGATTAGTGCCCTTATAAAAGAAGCCTCAGAGAGCTGCCTTGCTTCTTCCACCACGTAAGGACTCAGCTAGAAGGAGCCATCTATAAACCAGAAGAGGAGCCCTCACCAGACACTGAATCTGCCAGAGCCTTTAGCTTGGGCTTCTCAGCCTCCAGAACTATGAACAATAAATTCTGTCCTCTATAAGCTACCCAGTCTATGGTATTTTGTTTTAACAGCCAAAAGACTAAGACAGCGAAATGGTGGATCATGTCTACAGCATGATAGCAACTGGGCAATTGGGTACTTTTGGCCTCATACTAACATATGGAAGGACAAAATGGAAGGAAAATGGTAGTTTGTTTAAGTATACTGAAGTGACTTCAAACAGTGTGCGTATACAAACAAGTATGGATGAAGGCACACACACACAGAGAATACATACTAATGTCTGCCAAATATAAAACACTTCTCGAAATTTGATGATTTAGAGGGAAAGTGGATTTTCTTCTTGAATTAACTCCCTGTGCTGGCTCTGGTTTTATTGGTTTCAAGCTTTCCATTGTTGCTCTTTTCCTAAAGCATTTAACAGATGTCCCTTCAAAGGCATTGAACCACTGCTGTTGTTTTTTCTCTCACCCCAATTTCCTTTTCAGTTCACAAAGTACCCAGAATATACTTTCTCCTGTATCTATATGTGGTGGGGAGAAAGAAAAGGCAAACAGAATTATATTTAATAAGTCACTTTTCTTATTAATACCCAGAGATGTAAAAATCAATCACAGTTGATTCAAATGGCAAATACTACTTTCTGTAGCCTCACTAAATGCTTTCTCCGATGAGATAAATGGACATAATCCTCAAATGACAAGAAACATGGAATATACAACAGATTTAACAGTCATGTTTAAGGGTGAGTGAACTTTAGGTCGCAGTTGTAGAGGACAATGCGGAAATGAAGATGCAGACTTAAGTTTTCTCCCCAGATAGTGATAAATTCACATTGATCCAATTTGTCCCTGTTTCCCTGTCTCTATGGCTCTTAATAGCACAACCAAAAGATGTCTGATTTCTAAGATGGAAGAGTGCTGCCTGCAGCCTTCACCTAGTTGTTTTTTGTTTGTTTGTTTGTTTTGTTTTGTTTTAAACTGCCCCATTCATAGACTGAAACCCTCACAGAATCAGGCTGTAATTAGTGACATGTAGAGACATGGCAAGACTGGGAAAACTTATGTCTGTGGATGTGCCTGACTCCTTAGAGGTGTAGGAGTTTGACGAGACACATGCTTTAGTTGAGAGTGTGCTCTTGCACACACCACCACACACACACATACACAAACACTTGACCTCCCAGGCCACGCAATTCCCCATTGCATCATTACTTTCTAACTCATCCTGCATAGTCTGTGGGTGGGAAGAGGCCAAATTTGGGCCACCAGGACACAGTCCACCAGGAAACAAAGTACCTCTGTGATGCTTTTTGATTCAGACAACCCCACCTCCACAGCTGCGAGACAAACAAAAAATGATCATGCTTCAAAAGCTACCAGTTCAAGCAAAACTGCTGCCAACCCAGCAGAAAAGCCTTTAGACATTTTTAAGCCATTAACTACTTCCTGCCAACCAGGAGGCTATATGGGGACACCACTCACTGGGGCCACTAAGCAGGATTCCAATGGAACCTAATCTGCTGAATTCAGACCTAAACCTCATGTTACTATATTACTTAAGAGAAAATAGAAATACAGTGTTTTAAAAAGCAAAAGATTTAGTTCAAACTGAAACAAATATTCTCCAAATTAAACTCAAACCAGACTGATGTTTCATTCACTTTCCAGTCTTAAAGGCATTCCCATGACAATTTCTCCTTGGCAGTTGCGCAGCCAGTGTCTCTCTTGGCTATCAATTCGCTGATGACAATACTACCAGGGGGCTGGACAACTAATAGAGCTCCAGTCTGCAAACTTGGCCTTCCTGCCAGGCAGCTTAAAAACCATTTACACAGTCCAGTTTGACTTTCGAGTGTTCAGAGAGATGGGTCGTTTGAACTCACTGATCCAAGAACATGTTTTTGTATATTCCTGGGCCTATCATAAATCAGACCAAAAAAGAAAGAAAGGTTGGACTGCTTGGCCATTTCAAGCAATTATTCTGTCTGGCATGGGTGGAGGAGAAAATAGAGTAGTGTCAGCAGAGTTATCAGCAGTTAGTTCTACTGAAGAAAATGTCACATGTCCGGTGCCAAGCACGTCTGACTGCTTTGTCTCGGATTGTCTCTATTTTTCTTTCTCTCTCACGTACACACATACCCTCTTTAATTACTAACAGAAAATAGTGCATTCTGCACACTTCACATCTGTTCAAGCCTTAATTAATCCAACTCTCATAGTCTCCATAGCAACGATGCTTAACAGGCTCAGATTCCACATTAGAAAACCTTCCTCTAAGTGAGTGACTCAAAATATGGCCATTACAAAAATGTTTACATTAATTCTGTGTCAGATATAATAAGAAATTTGCATGGAGGGAGTTTGGATGGAAAGATGGAGTTGTATGATCACATTCAGCTTCATCATAGTAAAAACTGCCCCAAACTAGGAACAGAAGTTAACATTAATTTTCTAAGCTATTGCAAAAAAAAAAAAGAAAAGAAAACATAATCCCATTACTACCTTTATGTTACTAGCAATTCCTGTGCTACGGAAGATTAACGACCACAGTTGCCTCGATGGAGCACACAGTTACTGTTCGTAGGGTAGCAAGAAGAAACGCAAGTGTTTTTAAAAAAAAAAAAAAAAAAAAAAAAAACTCTTCAGGAGGTGTGTTTCCTGAGCTATGGCTCTACAGACCTTAATTAAAAGCCTATTGTCCTTTGCTGGCACCTGCCAGCATCTTACCCAAATCAGAGCTTGTCAGCAGCAGAGAGGTGGACCAAGGCTTTCCAAGGAGGCTGTGAAGCTGCCACGGGAAATGTCAAGCACATTTCTAAGAGCCTGTTTTAGCTCCGTGGCCAATGCAGATGCTGTCGTTCATGCTGGCTATGTTTGTGTTTATATTTGAAGCTGTTATGTTAGAGATTGTAAAAATAAGCACTGGCAACTATGCAGAAAACCTGCTCAGACATTATACAGGGTGTGAGGGGCTGGGGCGAGTAGTGGTAAAGAGAGCATGAAAAAATGAAGCCAGGCATTTACCCCCAAATGGCATTTCAGCCCATACCCGCTTCCATCATTAAATGTTTAACTTGGGTTGCTAACAAGAAGTAAACCATTCATCAGAGTTCTAGCTGCTTTCTCCCTCACTGTTTCCTTCTATGAATAGGCAAACAACCCAAAACCAGCTCAGGAGAGAAAGAAAAGAACTTAGACACACTCTTGAGTAAGTAAAAATACATGTTAGGAGACAAATCAGATCTCATTTATGAAATAAAATGGAGACACTCAATTGAGCTTCTGAACAAGAAGAGAAGGTTTTTCATACTTTCCCTAGGGACTGAAATTGTGTGCCCTAGGAGACAGTTTAACCCTGGATTGCCTGGAGACAGAGCCAAGTTAAATTTATTGCCAGACCTATGCATAAAAAAGGGGAAGGTGGAAATTGGGGCTCTTCCAGAAATAAGGAACAGTTCTCTAATGTAACTATAGAATCTAGTGAAATTAGCAAAGAAAATATAATCCTGTGTTCGTACCAAGTTCATTCTTTCTCCTTGGGCAATTGTTATGAGACCCATAGCTGCTGGTAGTATCTAAAACCTTTGACTTTCTGCCATTCAAAGAGTAGACAACTAGGATTCAAATAATGGCATGTTGAAGTTTCTCAGCCATGAAGCTTCTACAGAACCACTGAACCATGGTCCCTTGTTACTTCACCCAAAACGATGTTCAATCATCAACTCGAGCTGACTGCTTTGAACTCACCAGCCAGAGGCAAAGAAATGTAATGGATCAGAGTTCTAGTTCTAGTTCTGACGACCCTTTGATCTCTGATTTCCAAAGACTCTTGTTCATCCTCTCATCCAATAAGTAGCATGAAGCTCTTACTCTGAGCCCAGCATCCTAACAGGCTTTGATCTTCGACATCTCTCAGCACGGGAAAATGAGCTGGACAAAACCAAAGTAGCGATGCCCTAGCTACTTCGATTCTTGAGCATGCCCAAGCCTGCCTTCTTTCTACCCCTATCCCCAGCATATAACAACTGCTCTCATTTTTAGAGTGCTGACTGTATGCCGTTTACTGCACTGGGCTTCTTCAAGTAGTTCACAACAGCCCTGCAAGACATGGCTATTGTTATTATTTTTTATTTATTTATTTATTTATTTATTTTGAGACGAAGTCTCGCTCTTGTCCCCCAGGCTGGAGTGCAGTGACACGATCTCGGCCCACTGTAACCTCCGCCTCCCAGGTTCAAGCAATTCTCCTGCCTCAGCCTCTCGAGTAGCTGGGACTACAGGCACCTGCCACCATGCCTGGCTAATTTTTGTATTTTTAGTAGAGACGGGGTTTCGCCATGTTGGCCAGGCTGGTCTCGAACTCCTGACTTCAGGTGATCCGGACATAGCTATTATTATCCTCATTTCATAGGTAAGCAAACCTAGCTCAGAAGCAAGGTTGCAGGATTGTACAACTCCATAAGTTTCCACTCACGTTGGAATCTACGCGTATGTGTGCTCCAGAGCATGAATAGTGCCCCCTGGTGGTGTGCAACCCTGTGGCCCTGGGGGAGATCCAGTAAGTAGGGCCCAAGTCTGTTTGGCTTTTCCATATTTTTTTGCTGCCTGTCTCACATTGGTAGAGGGACATCTGTGCATGAGAGGCAGTCAGGAAAGAAAAGAGCAAACTCTGCATGTCAATCAAGATAATTCTGGAATCTTCCATGTGTTCCCCTCCTTTTTTTCTTTTCCATGCTCCACTCAGCCCTAGGTGGTAGATTAAAACAGGGAGCTATGGGTAGCATCAGGGTTGGGTAAAAAATAAAGCAGAAGAGGTACATGAGCCTGTCTCTTTTTTTCTCCACTTACAATCTTGCCTTGTGGGTTATCATGCAAGTCATCAATCCACCCCTTAGCGGTACACTTAGGCATCCTCTTGGTCCCCTCTGTTCCAATAAGCATCTTCAGGTGATCCCAGGACCCCTTTTACTCTTAGTTTCTTGTGGCGTGGGATCAAATAGGAAGATATCCAATTCCCCATTTGACCAGAACCTACATTGCTTTATGGAAGAGGTGGATGTGGAAAGGTGAGGGGATGAGAGGGCATTTGGTTACACTTTAAGAGCATAGCATCCCAGGAAGGAGTCCGCTATTGCTCCATAGCCTGGAACCTGATCAGTTCCAACGAGGGCAGGGGTGGACTTCCACATTTCCCCACTTCTTATATAGAGTGCTTGAAAGAGGCAGAGATAGATGGACATTCTCATTGGACACCTTAATCTAGAGGGGAGGAAATCATTCTGGGTATCTCCAAACGTATGCCACAGTCTCTCATGTCTTTTGTTTCAAACCTCCAGACTTTGGCTCAGGTTTCCCTCTGTCTTAGTCCATTTTCTGTTATGATAACTGAATATCTGAGACTGGGTAATTTATTTCAAAATGTTACAATCTTACAGTTCTAGAGGCTGGGAAGTCCAAGAGCATGGTGTTGGCATCTGGGGCCTTCTTTGCTTTGTCATAACATGGCAGAATGTATCATATGGCAAGAGGGCAAGAGCATGCATGTCAGCTCAGGTCTCTCTTCCTCTTCTTAGAAAGTAACCAATCCCATCATGGGGGCCTCACTCTGACCTTATCTAATCCTAATTACCTCCCAAAGACCTCACCTTCAATCAATTAAAAATTCTGGGATTAAGTTTCCAACAAATGAAATTTGAGGACATATTCAAACCATAGCATTTTCCTTGCTTAGAATGTCTTTCCCTACTCCTGCTCTTTATCCTTCCAGCCTCAAGCATCTTCTTCTTTAGAACAACTCCCTCCATTTCACGTATTACTAGGCCCCAATGTGCTCTTCCTGTGAGCTCCTATAGCAACTTGTACTTCTCTATATAATTATTGGCACCTCTCTACTTTAGGATCATCTGTTCATGTGTTAGTCTTCTCCAATAGCTTGCATACTTATTAATCTTTATTTTGTCCCACACAGATTGCTTGGCCTTTAGCGGACCGTCAATAAATGTTTACTGAATACATGAGTTAAGAGGAGATTTAGAAATGCAAATAAGTTGAAAGCTAACTTTCAACTTACCTAACTTTCCCCAGTCTTACGTCTAGCAATCTCCAGACACTTGAATTTTCTATTCACTTTTTCTGGCTATGCGGAAGAAATCTGCCTAAAGACTGGGACTAGGCTGAGCAATTATTAACAGATTTTTAAAATAATATGATAATAATGGCTAGCATATATTAAGTGATTAGTATATCCCAAGCTCTATTCTAAGCATATTGCATATATTAATAATTTAATTCTTGCAACGATTCCATAAGGTAGTCATCCCTGTTTTATAAATAAGGAAATGGAAACAGAGCGAGGTGAAGTAACATGCCAAGGACACACAACGAGTTAGTGGCAGATGTGGATCCAGAATCCATACTTTCAATTTCTATGCTCTGCTGCCTCTCAATGAGAGAGATACAGAGGTTGGACATTAACAATCTCAGGTTGGTTCTCAGTTTGAAAGTAGCTCATGTATTCCTAGGTCACAGGAAGAAATACATATTCCTCTCCACTTCTTTGTCACCCCATGATGTAATTATGCTCACATTCTTCACCTTACATAACTCACACACACAGCAAGTCCTCTGTGCCAAGGGCTGTTACCCTTTTCTTAATGAATAGGGCTTCAACTGTGAGTGGGCTGGGAAGTGTTGCACGATTCCAGGAATTATGTAGTCCTGATGAAATGCAGAGTAGCTTGGACTCTAAATGAAATGATGAATAAATTCATGCAGCCTGGAAGGGACAGAGCAAAAATATTGCTTTTCTTTCTAGGACAGATCTCTAAAGGAATGAGTGTTTCCTTTAAGCTCTTAACTTGGTGAGAAAAATAGGTCCTTTTGGGGAAACCCATTTATGATCCTGAAAAATAGGGTGGTCATCTCTTAAGATTAGTAAATTTGTGCTAGAGTCACTCTGTGACTCTGTCTTGAGACCTTAGTCTGTTTGGGCTACTATAACAAAAGACCATAAACTTGGTGTATTACACACAATAGAAACTTATTATTTCTCACAGTTTGGAGGCCAGGAAGTCCAAGGTCAAGGCACCAGCAGATTCCATGTCTGGTGAGGGCCAACTTCCTGGTTCATAGAAGGTGTCCTCTTGCTGCATCCTCCACATGGCAAAGGGGCAAGAGAGCTCTCTAGTGCCGCTTTTATAAGGGCACTAATCCCATTCATGAGGGCCCCATCCTTATGCTCTACTCACCCCCTAAAGGTCCACCTAATAATCAATGCATTGGTGATTAGGTTTTCAACATACAAACCTGGGGGGGATATAAACATTAAGACATTCAGACCATAGCAGGATCTGAGCTCATTACATAGTGGGGACATGGTGAAAAGGAAGAACTTATCATCAAGAAAGCTTTGAAATGTAGTTATATGCCATTGAAAAGTCATCATATTAAATAAGAGAATTGCCCAGAGGAACCTATGAATATAGGTACTTAAAAAATGCTCTGGCTTTCCCAGAGGAACTGCATGCAGACCTGTTTTGCAGGTCTTGAAAATCCAGAGCTCACACATTTTTAAAGAAAGAAAGAACCCCATGAGGATTTTGAACATCTTAACATATTTTCACTATTTCTATATATAATTTCATGAAGAAAGGAAAGATATTTATAGTTATTGGAGAAAGGATTTAGACTGAAATATCTGCATGCTTTTCATTCAAGAGATATAGGATCCTGGACTAGACTTTATTGAAGAAAGAGGAAAGACAGATATTTCTAGATGTCTTTAGGAATGGGAGATACATGTTGTAATTGAAGAGTTCAGCTTAGAGGTGAAGTGATTGAATAGAAGTTTAATAAGTTATATCCATTCTGTGAAAAGATCAGTCACCGAATTTTTAATGTAATTGTTACAAAAATAGCCAGCTAAAGTCAGAAAAAGACTGCCCCCAAAAGGGGCTTTTAAAAAAATTAGGATTGGACTTGCCTAAGTAAAAACACAATGTAGATATCCAACTTAACAACTTTAAGTAGGGAGAAAAAACTATTGAGATCCGGGTGATTTTTTTTTTTTTTTTTCTGTTCCTATCACATCTCACTCCCAGTAGGTGTTGCATTTTTGGATGAATCTAATAGTTTTCCTTTATTTTCACTTTTCACGAGGTGAGATTAGATGTCTGTGTGAAATGAATGTTTTACTATGGTCCTACACATAATGTTAAAATTACAAAGTAAAATAATGAGGTACAAGATATTTATTGACACCAAAATACATACAAGTATTTCCGAACAAGATGAAAATATCTCCTGGTTTCTCACACAGAGACCCATACTACTCGGAAGGCAGGATATGCCAGTTTTCCTTTGTGGAAAAGTGTATCCAGGCAGCAAACTTAATGAGGAGTGGGCAGTTTTGTCCTTAAAAAACTGCAGGGAAGGGTTCTTTCCAGGGAGTGGTAGTTGGTGCTCCAGGTGCTGGCAGGGACAGGACAGCTGATTGATAGAAGTGAGGGCTCTAACAAAGTTCACTATTTACATCAAAATGACTTGATGGGGGCTCTGGGCCTCTGGGCCTTGTTAAAAGATGATGCTGAACCATGTCTTGAAACCCCACCAGCATTAGGCTTAGGTACTAAGCAAGTCCGGACTGTATCCCTGGCTCAGTGACTGACCAATCACAACACGTGCCCAGTTGAATAGTGACTGTAACAGATCACCACTTTTAATGCTCCCAGAAGAAATGAGCACACAAAAACTAGCTGAGAAAAACCCTTTCCCACATCCTCCTCTGCCTATGTGGGCACTGAGGCAACTGCCCTGACTGTGAAAGTTCACCCCTTGTGAATACCACTCTTTAAATCCAAATTGCTTCATTGAGATCTTAAAAGGAATCTTGAAATCCAGATGATTGGGTAGAAAATGTGACATGGAATTTTACTCTAGCGTCAAAACAACTTTTAAAATAGTCCTGCTTATTCAAGTTAGTTTCTCCTCCAGAAATCTGAAATTAGATTTGATAAGTTAAAGATTATACAAACAGGGTGGCTTTCAATAATTTAATTAGACTCATGCCAAAAAAATGAGCTTCCAGGAAATATTAAATATTATTCTTAAAGCAATTTGGACACAGACAATCACACATACATAAGGAATGGAGACAAAAAGTTTCTCCCAAAAGTGCCAGTGTTTTGTTTTGTTTGGAAAAATGACAACACAATTAGAGGTAAACAATATTTTCTTTGGCTCCATCTCCAGTTTCCCCATCTTGTCTGGTCATTGTCCTTGTCGGTAGATTTAGCTTTGCTTCTGTTATAAACGCCTGCAGTTGAGGGCGGTGTGAATTTGAGTCATGGGGGGTTGGGGACTCAGTGTGGGAGGTGTCCAAATCTGCAAGAAACAGACAGCACAGGTTACAGGAGGCCACCTGAGATGTACAAGGCAGATGTCTTGGCGTTAGAGCTCTCTAAGATTAGGAAATGCAGTGCCCATATAGTCAGCCACAGAATGGCCAAGCCCAATGAGAAAGGAACATAATAGGTGTCAAAATCATTCATCAATATCATTAAGATATGTTCGATTGTGTGCACAAATGTCTCCTGTGACTAAATATGGGTTACTGTTCATGGGATCTTAAACCGCTGCTATTGCTGAAAAAGGGATGCCCATTTATTTTTTAAAATGGGTGAAAGTCATGGAAATACAGTATATACTCCAGCTATGTGTAAATCAACTATATTTGCATCTGCAGAGCACCTTCCCTCAGAATATCTGTCAGTCAAGAATTGACTTCAAGGCTCAAATAACATATTTGGCACTTTACTGATGTGGTCAAGGGGTGGGGGTAAAAAGTGAAAGAATGAAGGAGACCCTCCAGCCTCACCATTATGCTGTTAATCACAGATCTGTTAATACTACACAAAGTACTCAGCAAGAGCAGCCAGGTTCCTAGGGAAAATCAAGCCAGTTTCAGCTCTGACTGGGTTTGATGTTTTCTGGTTACCTAGCAACAGCAGGACACTGTGTATTCTCCCTTTTTCTGATAAAATCCTCTAATATTATATTTTCAAGGAGAGACAAAAGGGAGGCTTGATTTGAAGAAAGACACTTGCTGCAAACCATTTTCCCTGCACTTGTTCCACTGACCACTCACCCTCAGGCTCAGCCATATGGCAAAATTACAAATAACCAGCTTGTGTTAGAACAAAAACCTGAGTAGGAATGGAAGTCCAGGTGGGAAAGGAGGGCAAATAGCTCTGAGGCCCACCTGCTTATTTTTCAGTCATTAAGAAGAGGCCACATACACCTACTACAAACTTATAAAAATTAAAATTAAAAAAAAATTTAAAGAACATAAAGAAAAAAAAGAGGCCATTGTAACCCTCGCCACATTTTCTTCAAAGCCTCTATTATTTAGATGGATATACACACGTGCAGACATTCCAATGACACAAATGCTTGTGGCCTTTGCCCTCCTGACAAGGATCTTTGGTTGCTAGAGAAGGCAGTAAGCAAGGCTTGGCAGGAATGAAAGGAAAACTCTTCCCAGAAGGCTCCATCTTTGGGGACATGGTGGCCTTGCCACACCTCATTTCATCCCATCTTCCAGTAGGAGGTGGGTCAATGGAGGAGGAGCAGCCAGGGCCACAGGAGCCGATGAAGGTCCCTGGAGGAGCTGCACCAAGGCTGGACTGTGCCTCTGAAGCAAAGGAGGACCCTCAAGGCAGGGGAGGGGAGGAAGAGAGGTAGGGAGGCATGGGGGTGAGGCTGCAACCACAGCTCTGCTCAAAGGCTTAGCCCATCCCTGACCCTTTAGATGCCAATAGGCACAAAGCTTGATTCTACTGCCCCTGATCCTAAATGCTGTACCTCAAATTCCAGGAACTCACTAACAACTGAAAGCATACCTGCAGAAGGTGCCTCTAACTGCCACCATTTACAGAGCACAGGAGTTGTCCCAGGTCTTTTACATTCGTCATCTCTCTCTAAGTCTCAAAATGCTAAAACCCACAATTTACAGGCTGGGAAACCGAGGCTCAGGCTAGTGAAATTCTGACCCACATCATGCAGCTAGGAAGTGATCTGGATCTACGCTCAGAGGATGGCAGCCACGTGATGACTCCTTGCTCTAATGATCAAGACTCTCGTGCTTCTCATTTCTCTTTGTGCTGAAAATGGCTTGGCCATCTTTTCTGAATTAAGAGATCCTCAATGTTTAATACTTTCCCTCCCTTACATACTACATTTTGAAGAGTCACTTGCCAAAAAAAAGAAGAAAGCAAAGGCAAAAAAAAAAAAAAAAGACATATTAATGTTAAGCTTCTCAAAACTGACACAGCAATTGTTATAGAACTAGGAACCTCCCTTAATCGGGCGAACAAAAATATTCCCAGGCAATGATTTCCTTGTCAGGGCAACATTACAAATCAACCTGGAATGCTCTGAATCCTATTTTACCACACTGGGAGACAAAGCATGCCTGTGGTCACAACACGCAGTCACACTTCCAATTCCTTTTCCCAGCCATAGACTGAAGCTATTTCACCTCTAAATACAAATATGCACAGCTAAATTGCTGATGTTTAATTTTATACAACTTCAAAAAAATGCCCCCAAATTTCCATCGAGCAGACACTGGCAGACTGAACAGGTCACCAAAGCCACAACAGTCCTGCCTCCTTACCAACAGAAGGGCCAGCCAGAGCACAAAAATTACTACATTGAGGATGAAAAATCATCCAGTGAATGAGGCAGCTGGGAGGTCATTGCTGACACATCTGACAATGCCGGACACACTGGAAGCCCTTAATCTATGTAGGTTTTCTTCATCTGGGGTGTGAAACATGGAGCAAAAAATTCAAAATAGTGATATTTTGAGGTACATGGAAAATCCCCTTAATGGCTTCAAGAGAAGACTTGTTCAAAACAGCCAAATTGAATATATATCAGAAATAACTCTTTTTTAAGTTACATTGTATGCTCTACTTCAAGAAGATACAGAACCAAGAATGAACGGGGATGGGGATGGGGAGTTGTGTGTGTGTGTGTGTGTGTGTGTGTGTGTGTGTGTGTGGTGTAGTGTAGAAGTTTAATCAGAACTTTTTCAAATAAGAATAAAAATACAGGAGAAACACATTCCTAGGTGAGAGCTTGTTGTGCCCTAAGGTGAACAGCCCATGTTGTAATTCCAGATGTATTACTGGAGGTGGTTGTGGTTGTATGTCACCTGGACGGGAACTCAATTTCCTTCTCCATGTTCCTTCTTGGTTTCTACCTGAACTATGTAGGCAAGGTCAGACAGTCTGTCTTTGAAATTAGAAACCGTTTGGTGATTTCTGATTTTGTTACTCCATTTCAACTCTGAAAGAACCAGCACAGCAATTGTATATTTCTCAAGGCCAGCCACCTTTTTCCACACTTTTTACCCTAGAGAATATGATCATCATATAGAACCCTAAACTGAAAAAACATTTGTTAATATTAAACCTCACTGACTCAGAAAGCAGAATTCTTGCTATATAAAAGTAATCACCCAGTTTCATTTGTGATCGAATTGCCTGTAAATCGATGGACATAAAAATGTAATAACATATTTCTAATAAGCAAGGAAATAGCAATACAATCATAATTTGGTCAACTAAAAACGAATATTATTATAATGAAACAAAACTCAAACTACAAAAAAACATTTCAGCCAAGTATCTCAACACAATTTTGCCTCTTGACATAAAAGAAATAATTTGATCCCTAACATTATCTCTGGAAACTAAACAGAGCGAGCATTATTAACCTTTAGAGCAAATAAGCTAAAACACATAAAAGCCCCAAAGCCTGACTAAACCAAGTAGAAAAGTGGGATCTTGATTGAGAGTTTTTTCTGCTACATTACTGAGCTTTTGTTCACAAACTAAAATTTCAGCCTCTGCAGGAAACTTCGATACTCACATTATGAGGACCACCGTGGGGGGTCTAAGTTAGTCTCCTAACATGGTTTCAAAAAATTACAGGTATCCACATTTTGGCTGGCACCATTCCTTTTCTTTGTGGGCATGTGGGACAGGAAATAGACTGTCAAGAGACACACCTGCAGACAGCACTGATATCCAGAGAAAGTTTCCTAAATCTCCCAATATTTAGCCCTTAGGTGCAACCTGCTGGTTGGAACTTGCATTTATCATTTTTCACACTTTTCTCTGTTTACCCAATACTGACATTTCTAACAGTGAAGAGAAATCAGCCTTCCCTCCATTGGCTCACCATTATCATCATTCTTTTGAGCCAACTGACTAGTTGGCTATTTTCAAGACCAGACTATCATCTCAGTGCATAAAATGCAACTATGTGTCATATTTAAAATGAACAAAGTGGCTGGGCATGGTAGTTCACGCCTGTAATCTCAGCACTTTGCGGAGCCAAGGCAGGAGGATCACTTCAGGCCAGGAGTTTGAGACCAGCCTGGGCAACATAGTGAGACCCTGTCTCTACAAAAAATAAAAATAAAAGTAAAAATAATAAAATGAACCAAGTGCCTCCTAAACTGTGATGTGAATAAAATCTTTTACATCACAAGGTAAAATGTAATCTCAGGCAAGTCATTGCCCCTCTCTGGGCTTCAGCTCATGAAGGATTGAACTGAAATCATCATTAAGGCCTCTTACACTTCTCATGTTATGTGTGAAATTTTACAGTTGTATTTGGGCTCAGTGATTCACCAAATAATATTCCTGAGGTACAAAAAATGCATTTTTCAATTGCTTTATACTTGAGAAACACAACCAAGTTCATTATCTGACGCAGGTATGAAGCGTTGAAATGCAGTATGCAGCATTTCAAAATCATGTTTTTAAGGTAATTGCCACACTTGTCCCAGCACTATATCTTCAGTCTTCCTAAGAACATATATTTGAAGTGAGCCCACACACAATCCTCAAAAGATAGTATTTGCAAAGTTAACTAATGAGCAGAAGACATTGTCCATAATCAAACTCCGCAGTTGATCTGCCCTCCTACGAACAGCAAACTTAAGAGTAACTTGTCATAAAGAATAGGTCTGTGACAAGTAGAAAAGCGTTGTCTTACAGTTTAAAAGTAATTAATGTAGGCTTTGCCTTTTTCTGAATTTCCTGCTGAATAGAAAAGCATCATGATCGTGATCATTGTTAAATGAAAGTTTTATTTAAATCTAAATGCACCAGTATCTCTTTCCTCATAAACATCCACTGTCAAGGTCTGAATTTAGCTCACCAGTGCACCCCATGGCCAGGCACCCAGAAGCCCAGGGCTGCACAAAGCATGTTTAGTCTGCCATTGAGAGCACTGATGACGCGCTGTTCAGTTCTCTCCCTGTCTTATCCCATTCCATCCTCCCCATCAAAGGTCACAAAACAGAACTGCGTATCTTCTGAGCCTTGGCTCTATTCTTGTTTATTTTAATCATGTGTCTGACTTGTACTTCTTATTACTATATCCCTTGTGCATGTTCCTAAATCAAAAATTCACACTTTCCTAGAATAACTCTACTTAAAAAAAGGCGGGGGGCTTTATCATTACTGTTCCAACTCTGTAATATAAGTTATATTCCCTGTTTAGTGGTTGATTCATATTTACCCTCTGAAACATTTAAAAAATCATTTCCTGATGGCATTACTGGCAATCCCTATGGTTTCTCAGGAGCATTAATGCACAACATTTTTTCTTCTAATGGAAAACATTTATCATACAGAGCTTGAGGTATCTTCAGAGCAAATAAAAATTGGTCTGTGTCCCTAATAATTTTGTGCAACTCAATTTTTTTCCATAGTGAGCCACAAATAGGATGTGAGCCCCTGGCATGACAACCAGTCTGGAGTTTATATCTGAAGCAAACACTCTAAATTAGTATTATAATTCCCTTTTCTATTCTTCATATGCCAATACTGCACCTGAAATAAAACAACTGAAGTGTGCTGTGGGGTGGGCATGTGTTTGTGTATGTATGTGGCATGTATAACACATGTACAAATTTGTGAAGTAAGAGCAAATTGTGTTACAATTTTTTAAGTTGTGATTGTGGGAGTTGAACTTTAATCAGTACTTAACATATTTGGAATAGTCAATATGGGCTATATAAGCAATGCTGAGAAGAAACAGAAATGAAAACAATCCATACAATGAAGATGAGATTATATTAACAGGAGATATGATACAGTACATCAGTCCTCTCTGCTGTCTGAACTTTGATTCACTCTCATGCTCTTCCTTCCCTCAAGAAGAAGGCCACTGTTAGGGAGCCATGGCCTTCACATCACAAGCCCCGTGGGAGTATGGGGCAAACAATTCTACATTTCCCTCTTCCTTGAGATGCATTTCAAAGTATGTTTCTCTAAACAGGATGCCAATAGATATTGACGATAAAAGAATGTAGTGGTCAAATAAACTGATGAAATTCCGGGTAAATCAAGTTTGTTAATCAACAGATCCCTCAGAACTTTAATAGGCTCATGTGTATTATAAATCTCTCAGAGCAAAAACCAGTATGCAGCATCCCCCAAACTCAGGGAGCCTTTTCTCACAGTGTACCCGACAGCGTTGTGTTCCATGTAACATAGCTGGAGAATAGTTCATTCAAGAATTAGAAGTCTATTAAAGATTAAGAAAGAGACAATAAATGGTCAAGATGCCAGAACAAATCAGGAGTGAGAAGGTGGAAATAGGTGAGCTTTTCCAAATTCAGAAGCTTCTAAATTCTGCATGTAACATCTATATTACACCCAGGCAATAATTATCAATGGCTATTAAAATCATTAGGAAAAAAGCTGATGTGAAACTTTACAACAGATCAAGCTGACAACATCTGGACCCAAGGATCAATTTTAATAACACAAAAAGAGAAACAGACATTGTGTGCCACGTGATGAGATGCAATTTACAACACCATCTATGTATATTATTTTCATGTCAAAAAATAAAGCCTGCATCTAATCAAATCTGTATTCCCAGTTACCAATTTACAGGAAATATAGGGGCAGAAGAATATTTCAAATGACGCGATGGGAATGCAATCAGGAAAATCCAGAATGTGGGGAATATTTCAGAAAATAATTGAACCTGTCTTTTCCACAGATAAACAACACAGTTCTTATGACTCAAGAGGCATTTAATAAAATAAAAACAAACAAAAAACACAACCCAGACTTTTTAACAATTGTAAAATTTTTTAAAGGCGGCAACAGAACTTTAGATTAAAAGAGACTTAAGAGACACACCAACCAAATGCAATATATGAAATTATTTGGATTCCAATTCAAACAAACTGAGGGGGAAAAAAAAAAAAACATTTATGAGACAATCCAGAGAAATTCAAATACTGACAGCATGATTTTAAGTAACAACTGTTAATTTTTTTTTAGATGTGATGATCATATTGTGGTTATGTTACAGAAAAAAAAGAGTCCTTATCTTTTAGACAAAGGTATTGAAGTATTTCTGGATGAAATGATAGGATGTCCCGGATTTGCTTTAAGAGAGCCCAATGCAAGAGAAGAGAGAAAAGGCACTGAATTAAGACTGGCTGTGGGCAGATGGGGTTCACTAAACAATTCTCTCTACTTTTGAATAGGTTTGAAAAGTTCTATAACATTTTAAAAGTCTATAGGCTTCCATATATTTGGACTACAATATTATAAAGGGTTCTGTTATTCCAACAGTCTAGCTTCTATATATCTGATATAAATGGAACACTGGGGCAATAAATTAGAAGCCTCTTCTGGATGCCAACTATGTTTAGATCAATTTTAATGCAACTGTATGACAAGTCATTGGCTAGGGCATGTATGGATTTATATCTATTTAGAAAGATACACAAATTGTGTGAACCTACGCTATAAAATGGATAAGGTTCATTTGAGCTTATAGCTACCCATTAAAAAGAAGATAGATTCAGGTATGGGCTTTGCTCTTGCCTAGAAAATCTAATAACATCTCCTATGTAAAACAGAATTCAGGAAATATTTCATTTTATAGCTTCAGTGTATCTGTCCTTTGAAATGAGTTAACGTTTTCTTGGAATTTGGATTTCTATTCTCCAGTCTTTTAAATTTGAGTTCATTTAAAGCTTAAAAAGTAATATGTAAGAAATAGGAAATAGGCCGGGCACGGTGGCTCACGCCTGTAATCCCAGCACTTTGGGAGGCCGAGACGGGCGGATCACGAGGTCAGGAGATCGAGACCATCCGGGCTAACACGGTGAAACCCCGTCTCTACTAAAAATACAAAAAAAATTAGCCGGGCATGGTGGCGCGCGCCTGTAGTCCCAGCTACACGGGAGGCTGAGGCAGGAGAATGGCGTGAACCCGGGAGGCGCAGCTTGCAGTGAGCCGAGATCGCGCCACTGCACTCCAGCCTGGGCGACAGAGCGAAACTCTGTCTCAAAAAAAAAAAAAAAAAAAAAAAAAAGAAATAGGAAATAAAAGTAGTATAACTAGTCCAAAACTACCGAAGTAAATGTCAGGTCATAATAGTAGTAGGTTTCAACATATATTGTCAAATGAATAAATGAATTAGTGAATACTTAATTTGAAAATTCTAATATAATTAGAGTCATGAGAAATCACTAATTTGGAATTCTTATGTTTAGAAAGGATATTAAAATTAAATTTAGCCTAATCCTTGTCTTCTTAGCAAAAACAAACTGAAAATGTAGTCAAGATAGGATTACATTGCAGGGCTTCTCCTGGTTGGCCACTAGCATTATTTGACCTTGGGTAATAACTTTACCTGGAACTTCCATTTCCTTATTTGTAAACTTGGGCACTTGAACTAGATAGCAGTCAGCCCTCGACTTTTTCCCACCATGACACTCAGAATGACATTCACTCCCATAGATTTACCCAAATTATAGGCTGTGTCACAGATGAAACAGGCTGTAAATTATTAGCAATTCCTAGGCTAACGCGGTAACTTCAAGCTCTTTACGCCATGAAAAAGTATGTCAGAATGAAGTGAGGGACAGAACTGTTATTATGAGAAAAACTAGAATTTTCTCTAATTTATCATGATACATATCAAACTTTAGTAGTTTACAAACTTTAGTAGTTTCTCTGTTATTTCCAACATAATACTTGGGCCACTTCTCAATACTGATAAAAATAGATGAAGGTACACATATGCTTGAACTGAAATATTTCAAGTTTCTTAGAACACTAACCTTTTACATTTTAACACCAAAAGCTTCACCATTTACGTTTGTTTTTAAGGTATTTCAAGGTGATCTATAAATGTAAACAGCCAGGCTGTGGAAAACCTTTAAAATTACAAAAACAACATAATGTATGGAGTACTTACTAAATGCCAGGCATTGTTCTACATATTTTGTATA
This sequence comes from Homo sapiens, assembly GCF_000001405.40. NCBI lineage: Eukaryota > Metazoa > Chordata > Mammalia > Primates > Hominidae > Homo > Homo sapiens. The sequence continues at coordinate 73,931,878 of NC_000005.10, read as the reverse complement.
CATCTCTTATTTGATTCAATCCCACGCCAATCCAAAATGGTAGGTAAACTATGAAATAGGAAAGCAGGAGTCTAAAATAGAGACAAATCTAACTTGGAGAAAACAACACAACTCAGGAACACAGAAAGCTGAAGAAAACTTCCAAAAACCATAGTTACTATCTTCAAAGAACTATTTAAGAGACATTTCAGCCACAAAACAAGATTCCATAAAATAGCAGCTGTAACAGGAAAAATATCTTGAAAATTTTCAGTATGCTAGCTAGTATTTTTTAAACAATCAATGGAATAGTAGGAGTTAAAGAACAACAAAAAAGCCCCCAGAAAATAGAACAAAAATGTGAAGAAATGGAAATGGATGGAAAATGAAACAAACAGAAAAATCAGAGGATATAAAAGGTCCAATTTCCAACCAGCAACAGTTACAGTAAGAAAAAACTGAAGAGAAGCAATTATTTTTTTAAAAAATAGAATATCTCCCAGAACTGAGGGAAATATACCTCTAAAGTGAAAGAGTCTAATAAATAACCAGTAAAAATGACTTTAACGAAAGACCTCACTGAAACATGTGATAAAATTCAGATAAGGGGACAAAAAAGACAATTCTAAAATTATCCAGAAAGTAAGAACAGGTTACAAACAAAGAACCCAGAATCGGAAAGGCATCAGACTTCTCAATAGCAACCCTGGAAAGTGGAGTCAAACCCTTGGCAACAGGCTGGAGGAAAATAGTTTTGTATTCTAGAATTCTAAGCCCAGACAAATTATTTAAAAAACAAGTGTCAGAGTAGCAAAAATAAAATGAGAAGGACATTTCAGCTAATCTGGAAAAAATTTCCTTTAATCAGACTTTTTCTTAGGGAGGGCCTGGAGATATGTCCAACCAAATAAAGGAAAATACTATAAAGGGGAAGCATGAGACTGAGGGCACAGAGGTTTCAACACAGGAGAGAGAAGGGATGGCCCTGGGTGACCACGCAGAGCAGGCCTGGAGAGCAACAAGTCCATATTGGAACAGAAGTACAGAGGACCCTAAAGGCAAAACTTCCAGGAAAGAAAATGAAGCGGATAGATGTTGACTATATTGAGTATGTGTAAAATAACACTGATAAGTTGAGAGAGGCATAGGAGCTTTGGAGGAAAACATAGCAAGGAGTAAGGGAGAAGGTATGCAAATAAAAAACAAGGCAGATGGTTAGTCTCAGTAGGATGGAACAGCATAGTCAATCACATTTTGAGTAGTTTCTGCACTTGCAGTTGAGTTTTCTCCACCTAGAAAGAGCTTAGTTCTCACGAATGTCCTTTTCGAATCTTAAAGTGTTCACGTGTCATTGTAAACATGATTTCTCTGAAAACCACTCAAAGTACAAAATCTATTAAAGCTATCCCAAAAGAATTAACTTGTCTATATAATTAAGAGTGAACACATTTGAAACTCCAAAATCTGCTGTGAGTCAGAAAAAACTTTTATGAACAGGAAATTCACAGAAGGAGGAACCTAAACAGCCAATAAAAATGAAATGATATTAAATCTCATTGGTAATCAGAAAAGTATGAAAGAACAAGTTACCATTTCATGCCCAGCATATGGGCAAATTTTAGAAGCCTAACAATGCTATGAGCTGGGTAAGATCTGGGGGAACTGGAGTTCTCATATCTTGCTGCTGATAGTTATATTGTACAACAACTTTGGAGCAAAATCAATCATCGCTGGCAACAGTGAAGACATCCTTACCACTTCTAGGTGTTATACTTGAAATAAACTCTCATTCATGTGACTAAGGAGATGTGCATAAAAAGATGTTTACTGCTCTCCACTTCTAATAGGAAAAAATTGGTAAGATCCCGTAAATGCTCCTTAGTAATAAATATACTAAAATTTTTTCATTAAAGTGAAATATAGCAGTTTAAAATGAGCAATTTGTGTCGCATGTATGAATATGAAAAAAACCAAGTTGCAGAAAGTACATATATATTTAAATAGCTATATAAGCGTTAAAAACAAAAAATTATGATATTTTGTTTTTAGATATAAATATGTAGCATTATAAAAATGTAGCGGTAACACAGACACATACTGTGGAAATCATATCCACCAACTTTAAGATATTTGCTAACCCTAAGTAGGAAAAACAAAGGAAAAGATATGGGTAAGGGCCTTTAGCAATATCTGTAACATTTTATTTCTCTAAAAAAGCAAAAAGGCGAAGATCTGAAATAAATATGGCAAAATGGAAACATTTGTTAATTGCATGCCTAATACATAATTTCTATACTTTAAAAATATTCACGATTAAAACTTTCATATTAAAGAATGTATTAAACTACTGCACACAATTGTGTGGTTTTATTTGGATCCTGAGTCAAAAATAAACTGTGAAAAGTATACACACACATAACATTTGTGAAACAACTGGCAATCTAAACATATGACTATATGTTGATATTATGGAATTATTAACTTTTTCTTAGGTGTGATAATGATTTTAAAAAGAGAGCCTTATCTTTTAGAGACAAATACTGAAATGCTTATGGATGAATAAATACTTATAGATACTGTTTAAGATCCGCTTCAAAATAATACAGTATGTATTGGGGGTAGGAGTCTAGAAGAAACACAATTAGGCATAAGTTCCTGATTTTCTGAAGTTGAGTGATCAGAACATGAGTGGCTATTATATTATAATTTTGTATATGTTTAAAATTGTCCATAATACAATCAGGTAGACAAGAAATATGTCAAAGTCAATTTGTAAATAATCAAAACAAATTAAGATAGTCAATCTTGGAGTCTCTGTTAAGAAGTAGGAACTTTTCTCAGGAGGCTGAGGCAGGAGAATGGCATGAACCTGGGAGGCGGATCTTGCAGTGAGCTGAGATCACACCGCTACACTCCAGCATGGGTGACAGAGCGAGACTCCGTCTCAAAATAAATAAATAAATAAATAAAAAGAAGTCAGAACTTTTTCTGAGCGCGCTGAATTAAATGACATACAGGTCATCAACCTCAAGAATGGGGTAGTATTCTCATGACTCTGAATTCCTCTTAAGGCTCTAGAGACCAGGGACTTCTAAGTACCTTGGCAAAAAAGCCAACTTTCTGGGGAGCGGCCTGCCTCACAACCCTACCCACACTAAAAGAGTTATGCCTCTCATTTTGCTGAGAGAAGAAAAATCAAATTCATTTCTCTGCCAGCTGAGTAAGGCAGGAAATCAACCTAGGAATTTTAATGCTGCATTTACTTCTTACTGGTTCAGTAGAGGGAAAAACAGCTGTTAAAATTCTTAAGCATACAAGATGCAATGTTTTTCTTTGAGCCAGAGAAGAAGGCAAGCAATTAAACCTAACACACCCAAGCTAATTAGTTCTACCTGCTTCTTAATAATTATGTTATTACCAGACTTCTTAAAAATTGGCAACCAATTCTTTTTAATTTTTAATTTTTTTGCTGTTGTTGTTTTTTGAGAAAGAGTAGGACTATGTCACCCAGGCTGGAGTGCAGTGGCGCGATCTCAGCTCACTGCAACCTCCACCTCCCGGGTTCAAGCCATTCTCCTGCCTCAGCCTCCCACGTAGCTGGGATTAAAGGCACCTGCCACCATGCCTGGCTAATTTTTGTATTTTTAGTAGAGACGGGGTTTTACCATGTTGGTCAGGCTCTCGAAAGCCTGACCTCAAATGAGCTGCTGGCCTCGGCCTCCCGAAGTGCTGGGGGTACTTCTAAGGTCTACAAATGATTGTTTTTTCCTCTTTATCAACTACAAAATTATGAGATGTCAAAGAACTTACATACCTATTCTGGTTTGAGAAATTGATATTCACAGTATTCAGGAAAACATAAAACTTTTTTCCTTTTAAAAATGAAAAACATTATTTTTTTAATTCTTATTTGTTTGAAATGACATCTGCTAAGAAACCAAACCCTGAAACATCTTTCCGAACCACAGCCACAGCCTTGCGTTTGTCACTCGTAAATGATTATAATCTTAAAAGTACAACCTAACATATAGACTGTGTTTCGTTTAGTGCAGATATGAATACCCTCAGGTGTTCTTTTTACATTTAAGTTTGTTATAAGAATAAAGGTCCCTCTTCCATATTTCTAGAAATTAAACTTAAACATTTTTAGGAATTATACAATTATAAAATTAGGCAGTTTGTAAAACAGAAGAAAAATTAGGCCCTTAAAGTACCAAAACAGCAATCAAAAGAGAACATAAAGCCAGATGTTGTGGCTCGTGCCTATAGTCCCAGCTACTGAGGAGGCTGAGGCAGGGGGATCACTTGAACCCAGGAGTCTCAGGCCAGCCTGGGCAACCTACTAAGACCCAGTCTCATGATAAATTGCTCTATTCCTTTACTCCTTGGAGCCATCTTTCCCTATGGGAGATGACTTTAAATTGTTTAGTGCATACAAATGATATATAGCAATAATCTAGCTTTTGATATCTGTGCTTCCTGACAACATCTGACCTGTGACTAGCACTGGATCCTAAAGAAAGGTTTTTTTAAGACAGTCTTGTTTTGTCACAAAAACTGGAGTGCAGTGGTATGACCACAGCTTACTGCAGCCTCCCAGGCTCATGTGATCCTCCTGCCTCAGCCCCCCAAGTAGCTAAGACTATAGGTGCACTCCGCCATGCCTGGCTAAGTTTTTTATTTTTTATTTTTATTTTTTTTTTTAGTGATGGGCTCTCGCTATGTTGCCCAAGCTGGTCTTGAACTCCTGGGCTCAAGCAATCCTTCCACATCAGCCTCCCAAAGTGTTGAGGTTATAGGCATGAGCCACTGCACCTGGCCAAGAAAGCAGCTGCCTTTCAATTGTCCACCAGGTGACATGAATTCCCAAGTTTGTACTAAAGCCTCCTCTTAAGAAGGAGCTATGGCATTACCATGTAATTAACTCCTCTTTAATGGAATCGGCCATCAAGAGCAAGGATCATGAAGACTAGCATCAGCTACTTAGTGGCCAGCAGCCTCAGCTCCTATCAGACTGCTGAGGGCCACTACATACGTGTCCCTTAAGAAGCCTATTACCTCACAGAGCAGAAATACACAGACAAGTAGAATAAAAGCAGAATATCCTGCTAAGTGGCTAATGAACATTGTCCACAGGTGGACACCATCTCAAAGACTCTCCAAAGAGAGCAAGCTTCCAGATGTGGTGGCCAAGGAACACTTCAGAGAGGAGAAAGCACATGAACTGAGCCTTGAAAGCTGCCCAGGGTGTCCACAGAAAGAGATGGCTGTGGCTGCATGTGGCAGGCCTTCTGGGTGGAGTCTGTGGCCATTGCAAAGGGGAGAGAATGCAAGATGTCACAAAGTAGGGAGAGTTGTCAAGTTTGGCTGAAACATGTATTTGTGCAGGTGAACCAAAGGGTAGGGGGGGATGAAAAAGGAGGTTTGGGAGGGTCTTGAATGGGAGTGTTGGGAGATTTAACTGCAGGAGGTGAGCTCAGCTATACTGGTGATCAGGACCCTTCTATGGCCTGTGTCAACTTGCACACCTGATTTTACCTGCACATGCTGCCACCCTGAAACGAGAGAGGCAAGTCCAAGAGCACAGTAAGAAGGAAGCTATGTCTCTCTTGTTTTTGCCTGCCTATAATCAGCCCACATTTAGCCAATAAAATTTCCATCTCCTTGATGGACAGAGCATTCATTTTTTCTCAGTTAGTAGTAGAGATGTCAGAATGAAAACTGATTTGAACTTCTTATTCATTCATTCTTCAATAAACACTGAATGTCTAGCATGTGCCCTGCCCTGGGCTGGACACCAGGAAAATCACGTTGAACAAAACCTGGTCTCAGCACCATGGAGGTTTGTAGTCAGGACAATCACTATTTCACAGTATAAAGCTGTTGCACAGTTTCTTGAAAGTTAAACAGACACCTATCCTAGCAGCAATTCTCCTAAGTATTAATCCAAGAGAAATATAAACATAATTCACAAAATCCTGTACAAGAATGTTTATAGCAGCTTTATTCAGACTGGCCAAAAATTAGAAATAAGCCAGATGTCCATCAACAAGGAAGGGATAAGTAAACTTTGGAATATTCATCAATGAAACATAATACAAGGGAACCAACTATGGGCTCATGCAACAACATGGTTGCCTCTCAAAAATAATATGCTGAGTGAAAAAAGCTAGGCCCCAAAAGGCACAAAGTGTTCCATTCCATTCCATTCTAGAATCAGCGAAATTCACCCATGGTGATGGATTGCAGAGGAGTCGCTGCTTTGAAGGGGAGGGGTTGACTGGAAAGGGGCATATGGGAACTTTCTAGGGTGACAGAGTGCTCTGTGCCTTGATATTCTTCCCACAAAACTGACTGGACAGTAGACAGTATCTGAGCATTTCCCCCTATGTAAATTATGTCTCAATAAATAAACTGCATAAAGCAAACAAGTGAGAAAATACTGTGGAAGCACGTGGCCCTGGAGCCAAGTCCTGAAAGATTAAGTATGGGGTCATCAGGTTGAGAGTAAAAGGTGGAGGAGAGAATATTCTCGATAGAGGAAACACATGTACAAAAGGTTGGGGATGTGGGGGTGCGTAGCCTTCCACACAATGAACAGAATTCCTATGGCTGGAACACAGGATGAGAAAGGAGAGAACAGCATGAGCCGAGGCTGAGAGATCGAGATGCAAGCGTATCGCCTCCTGTGCCTCATAAAGGGTGAGGGACTTCCAGCACATGGAGGGTTTGAATAAGCCCTGGAAAGCTGATGCAGAAAAGCTCTAAGAGGTCTGGATACCAACCCTTATCCACGGGACCAAAAACTGGCCTGGGGGCTAAACAAAGCTCTATCTGAAATTTGTTGTGTTAGATTTGGGTTTCAAAACACAACCCATGTGGCAAATCATGCTAGGATATGTCATTTGAATTTCAACTGTTCCAAAGGGAGGAAAAATGTCTTTGAAGGGTATGCCGCATGCAGTGAGTTTATTTCAATATCCCCTGACATCAGTGTTTTTTCCACAGTGTATTTCAAGGAATAAGTAGTCTTGCAAGATGCTGGCCTCCAAAGGAGGATGCTGTGGTTGAAAGGGTTTGGGAAGGGCCAATTCTGCAGATTCACAGTGCACAGGAGCACAGTAGAAGTTTGGGAAAAGTTGTGCCTTCCCAAAAATCAGCATTTCTCAATATTATTTGATTATGGGAAATTCTTATATAATACCTAATACTAACATCCAAACTGTGGAATAATTTTTGAGGTGTGCTGATTCATGTGATACCCAAATGAGGCATAACAAGTCTCTCTGGTCCCCAGAGCAACCACTTTAGAAGCAGCCCAGTGGCTCGAATGCACCAAATGCACTTCCTAATCATGTACTCCTTTCTCACCACAAGATATAATAGTAACAGTGATAACAGTAGTGTTTATTAAGTGCTCACAAAGGTCTAAGAGTTGTACACACATTGTTTTATGTAATCATCATACCACCTCCAAAGTAGATACTATCAGAAATCCAACTGTAGAGATGAGGAAACTGAGACACCAAGTAAGTTTAAACACCTGCTTAAAATTTCATAGATAATAAATGACTGAGCTGGAATCTGAACCTAGGCATAATTCCCAAGCCTTCCATCTTAATCACTATGCCAGCCTGTCATCTCCATTGTTCAGTATAAATAAAGTGCACTTGATGTGTTCATCCATTCTTTTCTTCACTCAGGTCCCTCACTTAATAGTGAAGTATCAATAAATGTACATAAGGCTCATTACATTGGAAAAGTGTGTTTTCAGTCAACATTTACCGAAACTTGGCTGCAGGCAATGGGGGTTGGATTCATTATTTTTTCATCCTGAATGGCAGTTCCTCACAGGAACATGTCTGGTCTGATTCAGTTCTTGGTCATTCTGGTCAAAAATGATATTGCTAAGCATTTCACTCTATGTAAATTATGTCTCAATAAATAAAATAAATTGGATAAAGCATTTTAGAGTCTATTGCTAAGCAACATCATTTTTGACCAGAAGAAGCTAGGGTTTGTTTCAACCCTAGTGTTTTTTTCTGGGTTAGTGTTAACTCAGTCATTTAATTATCCCTTCATGCAACATATTTTCTGAAACTTTCCTGAACCATACATCCTCAAAGTTAGCCAACAGTCTCTCTAAAGAAACTGAAAATAGTCACCACCAGAAGTCCTGTAAGTTTGTTTGAGAAGATCAATGTTTTACCTTAAGCCCACCTTGTTTTAGACAAAGAAGAATTCAATTGTGTGTCTATCCTATGGTAGAGGGGGTGAAGGGACTGGCTATCATAGTAGGCAAGAGATTGAACCTGACAAATATATTCATCTTACCTATATATCTGTATCTCTTACCTGACAAATACAAAGAGAAAATATTTTAATTTACTGGGCAGCAGCATTTGAAAAAAACCCTCTGTAGTCTTGCCAAGACCAACGATAACTTCTACCAGTAGCATACTTTGATGTAATTTTTCCCAGTACTTTGTTCGCTTCCAGCCGACAGAGTTCAGATTTAGGCTTTTTGCTCCATATTCATGAAGGTAACGGACTCATAGCCAGCTCATCAGAGAAAGGGAGCTCATAAAGACAAATTTAGTATTTGATTTTTTTTTACCATGCTTTATCTCAGACTGCTTGTTTAGCATAAACCAAAACATTTTAAAAACCAAATTATGTAGGTAGTTGAGTGGAGTACCCTAAAAGAAGGCTAAGCACCCCCCTTGCAGTATTACCTTTCAAAGTAGATGTGGTTCCAGTCCACAGTCCCGGGGGAGATGTCAACGTACAACTGCACTTTGTCATACTGGAGCCTGAATGCAAAATATGGCCGCATTACCAGATGCTGACTAACAGACCATCACATTTTGGCCAAAATATTCATTGTGTTTTTTCCCTCCAATTTCCATGCCAATGAAAAGTACTTTGCATTTGCAAAACTTGGTATTTTTCAGGGCTTATGCTGAACAGAAGCATCAAGCATCTAAAAATACAGGATGTGCTCTACTTGTGTCTAACATGCCAATCTGGATACATTAACAAGTAATCAAAAATAGTACAACTTTTTGATAGGAATAAATCCATCATGAACTAGAAGTTTAAACTACTCATTGGAAGTAAAACAGCTTTGAAAACCTTTAGTTTCTTTAAAGAGGGTTCAGTTTTAGTCAGATGGAATATATATTAAACTTCCATGTTCTTGTTATAAGAACATTCCAAAAACAGAACCATATGAAAATGAATAAAGACAACACAATATACACACATCCAAGGGTTTAGGCTTATATAATTTTAAGAATGTTTAATAGCTCTATATTTACTATGCTAAAATTAGAAAAAAAAATCCATCATAGTTAAACAGTTAACTGCAAGGGCACATCTGAAATGACAAGCACACAAGCTTAAGATCCTGAACACGCAGATTCCAGAAGCTTTCGGCAAAGCCAAGTATGTGAAGGCTCCTTGACTTCTGATGTCACGCTATCCTATCTTCTGCCATCTGCCTCTAGCAAATGTCAGTGTATTCCCAGGATGGAAACATGTCTCCTTTCTGAATCATTTCTACAAAGGCTCCCCAAAATATGGCCTCTTGCAGTTGAAAGTGACTGCCCTAAATTCAGAGGAAAACACAAAGCCATGGGCTTCTCTTGGTAATTCAGAATCAAGAATTCCCCATCTAAATGATCAGTGACTAAACCGAATGAGGCGAAAACTTATAGAATCCTATGATGACAGCCCAGTAAAGGGCCAAACAGTCTTTGAGAAATGGAAACTTCAAAACTCAGAATCCACAAGAAAGTCTTAAGGCTTCTGAGGACACTTTAGAAAACAGAACATAAAATCACCTTTTCATCTGGGGTTTTGCATGAGGAAGTCTTTGAGCATGCAATTCCTGTTTTTTTGTTTCTGGTGGATTTATGAGACTCTTAGAGTGCAATGCCCTTATTGCAGTGTTACAACATTCATTCTGTATGATTAATTGATTGCAAATCATTGCACAGGGTGCCGAGATCACTGGTAGGAAGCAGGTCATTAAATAAAATTAAAACTCTGCCAATGTTTTGCTTGTAAACGGTTCTTCCAAAGCCTTACAGCACCATTCCTTAAAAACAGCCTCAATTCATCAGAGAAGCAGAGTCTCCCGAATTTCTAGTGGATGATCCAAATATTCTGTATTTAATACAAACATTCACCATGTTATGTTTTAGAAAGAAAAAGCCATAGTGTAATAAAACTTGTACAAAAAGAGTATGGAAAAGAGTCACTGTGAAAATAATTAAATTTGAACAGCCTTACTATGAAATTGTTCAGCAAAAGGCTCAGAAACCTATCCTGCATAACTACACCCTTTGGAAGCCTACATTTTTCCTTAGGTAAATCTTCAAACCAAGCATTAACATTTCAAATTAAACTGAATTAATATCTTATCCAGAAAGAGAATGGATACTGTGGCCCCTTATTCAAGGAAACTCAACAGTGATTTATCGTGGCAAATTAACATCTCCACAGATCAAAACTAAGGCCCAGGCTTATTTATCATCTGGTCAAAGGTCTGAGCAGAACAACTCTTCCTCCTTAGCTGTGTCTGAAAAGTGACCCACTAAGAACACAAGTATGTTTCAGTCAGTATGGGGTAAAGCAAAGGGATCTATTTCTTAAGATTCAACCACACTTCATTTTAAGTTTGCTATAATAAATATTTGATGTTTCAGGCAACATTTTAAGGCTGATACCTAGAAGGCCATGCCAGGGAAATTGGTTCACATTCTAGGAGCATATTTAACTAAACAAATACTAATTGTTTTTGCCTGGGGAGATGCACTGAACTGTTAAGTAGGATTTAGCAGAAGAAAAAAAGAGTTTAAGAAAGTGTTTCATTGATGTTGAACTGGCCACCCATGCTTGATGTCATGGTATTCAAGCTACTTTATGGTTAAAAAAGAAATACCCCAGTGAACAGATAAGCTGACTAATTGTTATTGATATAACAATTAAATCGTAAATGTGTCATCTTCCTACAGCGACAGCACTGGATTCATTTCTAAAGCTCAGGGTACCATAAAGCATTTTATGGGAAACACATTTTAACTTTTTAAGTTCTCATCTCCTATGCATGGCCATATGGGGGCTATATGTATACAATATTCTAACGGAAAAATAACTCATGTAAAGAGATGCTCTCCATTAGGGCAAATACCTGATGCATGAGGGGCTTAAAACCTAGATGACGGCTGAGGCAGGAGAATGGCATGAACCCAAGAGGCGGAGCTTGCAGTGAGCCGGGATAGCGCCACTGCAGTCCAGCTTGGGCGAAAGAGTGAGACTCCGTCTCAAAAAAAAAAAAAAAAAAAAAACCTAGATGACGGGTTGATAGGTACAGCAAATTACCATGGCACATGTATACCTATGCAACAAACCTGCATGTTCTGCACACGTATCCAAGAACTTAAAGTAAAATAAAAAAAAGATGATCTCTAGAACTGAACAAAAAGTACCTATGCCAAACTGATACATATAGTACTATACATTGATAAATTTACTCCAATACTAATGAGGCAGAAGAAAAGTTTGTAATTTTTTAAGTCTACTACTAGGAATCCAGTAAGATATTAAAGGCAAACAATCTTACAGTTACCCCAACATTTTAAGAATGCTATCTAACATGCACCATATTACAAAAAGTTTAAAACAAACACTTGATCCAGTTAGCTAGCCGGAGACACTCATCTATCCTGCCTGTGATAACCACCATCACACACCCCATTTCTCTGATACCTCAACTTCTTTCAGTGCCTCAGTAAAAGAGTCAACTGTGTGGCTTCAGCTCATGGTTGCTTTCATTTCTGCTAATGAGTGTGGACCTGGACTCCTCCATTCATTTCATAAATGTTTATCAAATCTTCATCATATATCAAACACTACTTGCTGCTGGTGATAGAGCAGTTAACAAGAGAGAAATATGTAATGCTCTACCCACATGAAGCTTCCTCTCTAGTGGGACAGACATTACATAAATTATTACCCCATATAATTCAAATTATAAGTGCTAACAAGAGATGCTTTCTGGCGATGCTGAACCATGACTTTTATCAGTTTCTCCAGAACTAACAAGTACAAATTGATTCAGGATAACCAAACTCAAAAAGAGATTAAGGTGATAAACTAGAACAGAATCTTTAGACTTAAAATGACAAATAGTTTACACTAGAATATTCCTGTAGGCTGCTTTTGACATTTTCTTTCTAGTAGGAGAGCCCACTCCAGAAACCAAAGTACAATTAGAAGTCTTCCTGGGGGTATATTTGCATAATGTAACCAACAAGTGTTGGATGGTCTGTAGATAGGAAGCTTTCCATCCCAAATGGAGGTGATGTTCAGTCATGTTGTCAGAGTATCTGACATTTGGGTGTTTATATCTGGTTCTAAAAATGTGGTTGACTTACGTAACTTGTTCCAGTAGACAGAGGAACAAAAGGAAGAAGCAAAACGCTGTGCTATCAGAGCTTCATCCCCAAAACAATTCTGGTGATCCACTGACAAACACCTCCTCTGAGATTGATATGGAAAGATAGTTACCCTTTTTATTCTAATGTATTTCCAATCTGAGTGAAAAATTTCCCAATTTACAGCTAATTATTTTATATTTTAAACTATTGGCTTTCTAACAACGTTTAGGAAACACTTTCACTTTGTTGGCAGGCGACCCCTGAATCACAATCGGAATACATTATTTCCAGAATGTAGGAAGGAAGCTGATGCTCACTGGATCCCCGGGACAGGCCAGGCATTTTTTAAAATAATTATGTTAACACTTCCTTCCCATTTGTACAGATGGGGAAACTAAGACTTAGGGATCCCACGGCAGTAGGAGCCAGAGTCCAGGGTTTGAAGCAAAGTTCTCTTATATCAAGTCCAGTATCCCAGGCCAGCAATCCGGGGACATGCGTCAGGCTGGCTGCTTCAGAATCAACTAAGAAGAATGTTAGATACACAAGTTTGCAGGCTCCAGCCAAGCCCTGATTCAAATCACAATCTCTGAATAGAGGAACCTGTATTTTTTTTTGTTCACCACAGCAAACTCTGATGCATAGCCAGCTAAGGGAAGCATGATTCTAGCAACAAATTCCTATCCATGTATCTTACTTCTCATTAGCTGCACAGTCAGAGGGTGGCCCTCCTCAATACCATCACAGAATTTGGGGAGCTGGAGTTGGGGAGAAGGGTTTCTCCAAGTTTTAAGCCTCTGGCCTTAAACTCCATCTAGTATATTCAGCTATCTCTTCCTGAATTTATGTTTTCAGAGACTGAACAAAAAGCGAAAGAGAAAAGTTGTCTCTTTACAGAGACAGTAACCATCATTTCACAAAATCATTATAAAGAGCAAATGAGATCATGAATTCAAATCTGCTTTTGAATGGCATGAAATGCCATATAATATTGCACTATTAATTCACCCAAAGGTGAACATTCCAAACAAGGAGGAGTGTAATTGTCACTCCTCACTTAAGTGGAGGAAAAGAAAGTTTGGAAACCAGCCTCTGGGGTAGGCAAACTACAGCCACCTGTTTTTAGAAAGTTCACTGGAACACAGCTAAACTTATTATTTACATATTGTCTATGGCTGCTTTGCAAGCTACAATGACAGAGTTGACTAGTTGTAACAAAGATCCGATGGCTTGCAAAAACTAAAATATTTACTATAGGACCCTTTAAGGAAAAGCGTGCCACCCCCTAAGACAGATGGTCACATTCTTCTTAGGCAAACATAAATCAATGGTACTCAGCCGAACATTCCACATTTTAAGCAAACCTTAAAAACAAAATCTGCATAGCTGGATGGGGAGAAGACAGTCCCCAGATTCTGATACATGGAGAGAGTGATGCTTCCTTTCCTTTGCTGAAGCCGGATCATTACCCCATCAGTCACTGTGACTGAAGGCAGCAAGCCTCATCCTTCAGTTATGTTTGGTATACAAATTTCCCCTCCAAACCCAAGCCTTAGTCTCTTTGAGAGTAAAGCCACATCATACTAGAGAGGTCAAACATGTAGCCCATAGACCATGTGTGTGTGTGTATATGTGTGCATGTATTATTTTTTTCATTTTTAAAGCTCAGGATGGCCAGGGCCAGGCCTAACCTCTGATGCTCTCTGGAGCATTCACACCATGTGGACTCCCACACTTCAGCAGCTTGTCCAAATTAAACTGGAACCCAGGGTAGAGATGAACAGACACCCGCATGGCTGGCTGGCTGCCTCTGAATCCACCCACCTGCTGGTTTTGCTCTCCTGCTGTGTCTTAGGCTCTGTGTGCTGAGGCGGGATGGCCCTGGCCCAGTTGGCTCACATAGCCAACCTGCCCCCAGAGAAATATGCAATCAGGAAGTTGGCAGTAAGCACTCCTGGCTCACCAGGCTCTACAAGCGAATGTCATCTTTCCTTTTCCTTGTATAAAATCTGCAAAAGGCTAAAGTCAATCATCTCCACTTGTCGATGAGAAAGATGAAAATTAAGCCCTTGAGCCCAGTACTTTATATTTTTGTCATGATATAGATTACCAAGAGCAAGCAATATTATAGTTTCCTTTAAAACATAACCTAATGTGATAGTCACGATTCTAGAAGAAAGAGTTGCCAGATGATTTCCTCAGACTCCTATATATATCTCTGAATAATAATTTGATATTGTAATTAATGTCTTCAGCCCTTCAGCTTTGTTTTCATTTAATCAATCCCAAATAAAGGCACGTAATGTCCCTCCCAATCAGAGCACTCACAATTCCCAAAGCCCCTTAGTTAAGGCCTAGGCATGGAAATAAAACTATAAGTAGGAAATAAACCTATAGACTCAATATTTTCTGCTCTAGTTTCACTAAATAGGAAATGGATTCAATATTCCTGCCTTAATTTCTATGTGTTGAACTAGGCTTGATAACAGACTTCAATATCTATCAATATACAGATATAAATATTCATCACAATTTTATTATTATGTAATTATTATTTTCTTTACAAAGTTCAATTCACTTCCCTTACCAAGTCAAAAAACTAACAATGTTGTTATAGTTCAACTTTGGTATATATAAAATTCAGGCTTTTTAATATTAAATTAAGGCTTTCATGACACCTAAAACTATGGTAGGGAGAAAAATCATCATTTTGTCCCCTGTTAAGAGCTGAACTGTGTCCCCCCAAAATTCACATGTTAAGGTCCTAACCCCCAGTAGCTCAGAATGTATTTGTAGATACAGCTTTAAAGAATAAAGTTAATTGAGGTCATTATGGTGGGCCCTAATCCAATATCACTGATATAAAGAGAGATTGGGGCACAGACAGGCACAGGGGGAAGACCAGGTGAAGACGCAGGAAGAAGGTGGCCATCTCATCCGCAAGTCAAGGAGAGAGGCCTCGGAAGAAACCAACGCTGCCAACACCTTGATCCCTAATTCTAGCCTCCAGAACTGAAGAAATAAATTTCTGTTGTCTAAGCCCCCTAGCCTGTGGTACTTTGTTATGGCAGCCCTAGTCAACAAATACATTCCCCCTCTTCAAATACACTCACATCATAGAAGTTTATGGTGTCTAATACCAGTTTCAATTTCCAGGAAAATTGCCTAAAGTTCTTTGGGCAAAGCTTCTTTCCATATAGATTACACAAGTAAGGTGTCAATTTCTGAATTATGAAATATTTTAAAACATGAGAAATTATCATCCTCTCACTTCTTAAGACTTATTTAAATACTAAGTATGGCATAGGTTTTCATTTGGAAATTTTCTATTTTCTTCCCTTACATAAAAAACTTGTCAAAGTTTAACACAGCTGTCTTTTAAAAAAAAATTATCAAGATGAGGTATTCTAAATACAATGCTTTGAATTTTGAAAATAGTTTCCTTGGCACCAAATTCTAATATGTAGTAAAAGGAAAGAGAACTCAAACTTAATCAAGTTACTTTTTTCCCAGTATCTATATTATTAACATAAAATTTGGCTTGACTTACATTTTAGCCTATGCATAACAAAATCATAATGCTTTAACTGAACTGAAGAGAACTTTTGGGAAACCTGCAAATATTGAGGCATACAGAAAAATACAACTGAAAAGGGAGATTAGGATTTCAGATTTTTATACCATAAGATGTTTCCTCTGTTAATGAAAAAGGCAAATAACATATAGATGCATTCAATATATAGTTCTAAAATGTTAAAGCTAGGAGAAAAAAAGCCACAAGAATAAAATGTTGGGTTTTTTTATTGTTGTTTCTTTGTTTTTGCCTTTCAGAGTAATGCTGTTGAGCATCTCATAGGGCCGATTACATAGCAATTGTCCCACAGAGACTATTGTTTAAGGAAATTCAAATATTCTGTAGTCTTGGCTGGTGTCCCATAGAGGAGTACAGAAAAAGTTCTTAAGCCAACCATCTCTTCCACTACAAATAAAATATCAATTTGGATTTAATGTTTGAACATCCAAGAATTTTGTTCATGAAATAACTTCCAAAACTGGAAAGTAAAGTTCTTTAAAGTTCTATCTTAAAAAATATTTACAGATAACATGGGTTTATTATTAGGCAACATTGGAGAAACAAAATATTTTTAAGAAAATATCCCTTATGAGAAAAAAGTAAAGCTAAAGAGTATTTATGATACTGAAAATGTTCAGGCCCCATGCAAGAGTTGGCCACAGTAATCCAAAACATTTAGAAATATTTTCCAAATGTTACTATTAAAAAGGGAAGGAGGGGAGAAAAAAAAACCAATAAAAACAAAAACCTGGTCCTTAATCATGAACATCCCACTAGGCATTACAAAAGGATTAGATTAGTTCTATATCTAAACCAACTTCTTTAAAAAGTACAACTCATGGCTGGGCACTGTGGCTCATGCCTATAATCCCAGCACTTTGGGAGGCTGAAACAGCCAATCGCTTCAGTCCAGGAGTTCAAGACCCGCCTGGGCAATATGGGGAAACCCCGTCTCTACAAAAAAGCCAAAAATTAGCTGGGCATAGTGCAAGTCTGTAGTCCCATCTACTCAGGAGGCTGAAGTGGGAGGTTGCAGTGAGTCCAGGAGGTGGATGGAGCCCAGGAGGTGGAGGTTGCAGTGATTGAAAATCACGCCACTGAACTCCAACCTGGGCGACAGAGTGAGACTCTCAATCTCAAAAAAAGTACAGCTCAAAACAGCTTTCTAGAAATTAATAATTTAGCCCGGGTGTGGTGCCTTAAGCCTGTAATCCCAACACTTTGGGAGGCCAAGGCCAGTGGATTACTTGAGGTCAGGAGTTCGAGACCAGCCTGGACAACTTGGCGAAACTCCGTCTCTACTGAAAATACAAAAATCAGCCAGGTGTGATGGCGGGCACCTGTAATCCCAGCTACTCAGGAGGCTGAGGCAGGAGAATCACCTGAACTCGGGAGGTGGAGGTTGCAGTGAGCCAAGATATTACCACTGCACTCCAGCCTGGGCGACAAAGAGAGACTCCTTCTCAAAAAAAAAAAAAAAAAAAAAAAGCAATTCAGAATGTATAGTGTAATGATTGACAGCATGGGCTCTAAAGCCAATCTTCCCAGGTTCAATTCCCAGGTTCAATTTACTAGCTATGTGATCTGGACAAGTTACTTGACCTTTCTGTATCCCAGCTGCCCCTCTCAAAGGACAGAACCATCTCAGTGGGTTGTTGTGAGTATTAAATGAGTTTCCCCATGTAAAACCTTAGCACAGTGCCTGAAATTTGATGTGTCATATAATTACTGGTGGCAGGGGTGGGGGTAGAGCAATTCAGAAACCAATCACAATTAGAGCACAAAAATGTCTGCTGAGGCTGTACTGAAAAAACCAACAGAAATTCCTATCTAGGTGGTATCTAAACACATTGGAGAATTGTTTTTATATACAATTTTTCCCATCAGCCTTACTGTTCCAGAAATTCACATTTTCACTGATCTGAGCTGATCATCTATCCACAGTACCAGACTAGGCAAAAGGGCAAACCATTCTTTAAGATGTTACCTGGAACGGCAGACGTTATGGCCTAACAATGAAAGAGTGACTGAAGCCTGAATGAAATCATGGTTAAGTACACATTTAGCTAAAATACCAGCCCACAACATTATAGGCAAATTATGTTAGCCAGATTACAGTGAACTATGGAGATCCTCAGTAGTGGTCACTGATGGCCACTCACCCAGATTCAGCAGCAAAACACAGAAGAGGGGACAACAACACTGCCTGGTCCTTGGTTCTGGCACATCAGCTGTTACCACCCAGCACACCCTGGAGCCTGCTTCTTCCTGTCCGGCCCCCCGCAGTCACTGTCCCCCAAGATCATGTGTGGCAAGCGCCCACGGAGCCTAGCTAAGGCCATCACCAGTGGCTGATGTTGTGTTACTGTCAATGATAAAAGCTGTGAAAGCTCTGGAGGGTTTGAATAATTTTATCTAGCCTTGACCACTCTTTTAAGTGTATATATCCTATTCTCAATCCACTTTCTTATCACCGCCTATTCTCTGACTTTCTTTTCTCCCCTGTAGAAATTGCTTATCATGAAGTAAACATAAATAAGGTTTTTTGACTAGCTGCAAAACTCCAGTGGTGAACAGTACACACAGCATTTCTGATGTAATCCCTACTTATATAAACCAGGATGTTCCTGAGAGATTTAAGCCACAGTTGACTTTCTTCTCTCCTGTCAATGTCCTGAGCGTCCTTGGCCTACTCTGGACATACAATTTCTTAAGCGTAAGTACATTTCTCAGCATTTCCTTTGGCTCTAATTCCTTACATGTGGATAGACTGGTTTTGTATATAATCACTGTTTATTTCCTTAGTACATTTTCTATCTACTGCAAGTATGCTGCCAAATGGTTTAAAAAGTTTTACTTTGAAGCACAAGTCAATAGAAAAAGATGGGAGATACACAAAAAGTAAGAGACATGCTTCTTTTAAACAAAAGCTGAATGTGGTTTAACTCAAACTGAGTTTCGGAATTATACCAAAGCCAGTATGTAAAACCATGCTGACAAAACCACATGAAGCACTGTAAATAGCAGATTAATGAACCAACACAGCAAAGCAACATGTGCTTAGAAAAAGAATTCTGCAATCTGCTCTCTATTGTAGTAAAGTTGTAAGATAATATATTAAAGAAGTTACATTTTTCAAAATTTGGCTTGACCTTTTATTTAATCTGAACGATTCCATCATATTTTTTCTTTACCTAAAGAATATCTGAAATAATACTTTAAAAAACTATTTCATTCTCTCCTATATGCTGACAAGAAAGAAGAATGTTACCACGGTGACTTAAGTAATGTAAAGAATTAGCCACTATTAAGAATCAACATCTTTTGGATCAGTAATAAATCAACTTATAAGCAGTATCAGAATTATTACTCTTGAATTGGGAGAAGCCAAATACCTTCAAACCTTTTTGTTGCTGAAAAATTATCCTCCAACTGACAAACTAAGAATATATATTAAGCATAGAAACAAATCTGTATCCAGTTCTGAAGACTTCTATACTACTGCTTGTTTTATGTTTCTGAAACATTTTGCTGTGGGTGATTTATTTCACATCCATGTGGCCAGCCATTTGTTTATTCTATTGCATGCCATCTGTTTTTCGGTAGAGAGGTTTCAAGTTCTTCTCATTCCCTACCTCATATCCCCCAGAAAACAATTTATAATAGACATAGATTTAAATCATTCGGATTCATGTGGAGCTGGTAACACGAGCTGCCTTTCATTTATACTTGGCAAATGCTTTAATGGGATTAGCAAATTGTGTTATTATGAGGTACTTATGGAGAGACAACACTTTTTTTTTTTTTTACAATGACAAATGATGTTAACAGTTTCATTTTGGGTGTTTAATAGCAGTACAGAAGATTTCACTAACGTTACAGGAAATTGCCCTGATAAAGTCCCACTACCAACCCTGTTGGTATCTGTTATTATTTCTGAGTGTCAACATAGGTGTTTCAGGATGTAGTGGGGTCCACAATAGTGGGGAGTAAATATCAAGTTGCTTTACTTTTAAGAGGACATTATTATTTTAACCCACACATCTAAAAATCCTGTCTGGTTCTCACATGTTGTGAGCATTCTCTAAGCCCTATGACCATGGTCTCACTTGTCTAGGTAACTTACAAGCAAAGGCTGTCCCCAGACTTCCCCAAAGAAAAGTGAATGCCACAAACTCCAGCTCATCAGTACCGATTTATTCCCATGCTAGGGAGGACTTTGATTCACTCTACACAAGAGCCAACCATTCAGAGGGACAACTTCTTGTTCAAACTATACAGATGATGTTTAAAGTGTTAATTACCATTTTTACAAGAATCCTTGCTGCTTTCATGGAAAGGAAGTATCTGATGGCCGGAACCAGCGGCTGTCCACAGTTTGTGACTGACATTCGAAGGCTGAGAAGGGTCCACCTTGAGGTCTACTTGATGTTCACTAGTCCTCACCAAGTCAGAATGAGATTGAGTTGTAGGGTAAGTGGCATCCTGATGGATAACTGATGGATTCAGTTTGTTGAAAGTGTTAAATGACATTTGTACTAAAGCTTCATTGATGAAGAATGAGTTTTCATGACATAAACTCTCAGATCGATTAAGTTCCATTACCTGTGTAAAGAAACAGAGGAAAAGTACAATAATTTTTCTAACTTATACAAGTTTCATAAAGTATTTATTCCTGAGAGAATCTTAGGAATCAAGATTTCAGTAAAAGTGAGGTCAAGATTACCACTTCTTTTCTCCCTCCCCTCTCCCATACTCTTTTAATGAGCTAGTACCAAAAACTTCAATTTGCTATGCATGGCATATCTTTAACAACAACAACAAAAAAAGTGGCACTCTATGACATTAAAGTGTTTCCACTTTATTTTAATCAGAGAAAGCAGCAGTTTTTACTTTTGCTAAATAAAAAAGTTGAAAACATATCCATATATACATGAGGAGTTTGCAATAAACATAATTTAGCCAACTTAAAAGGAAAAACAGATTGCAACAGAGATCTTGTAAGCTTATCAACTTCTACAACTTTAGGCACTATCAGTAAAAAAACATACATGCACATAACACAGGAAAATAAATTTCTGGGACGAATAGGATTCTCAAGCATGATTAGAAAAGACACAAATAAATAACTCTTATTAGTGAAATGGATTTTGAATTTACTATATCAAATTTACAAAGAGAGAAGAAGCTCAGCATAACAGAATAGTACTATACTTGCTAAATTCAGTGCCTATAGTATATATTCATAGTTAATTGATCTTCTAAAAGCTACATCTAATAGAACTCTTAAGACAGATCATATAAAGAGAGTCCTTCAAATACTGGAAAAAGAGCACGCTCGCAGTGAGTGTGCCTCCAGGACAAACCCACCCTGGCCTTTCTAGGACAACTTGATTCTGTGTTTGTTCCTTAGGGTAAGGGCATCTCAGGCAGAGTGCAGTGATCCCATAGGACTTGGGCCCTCACATTGTCCTTTTTTTTTTTTTTTTTTTTTTTTTGAGATGGTGTTTTACTTTTGTCACCCAGGCTGGAGTGCAATGGCGTGATCTCGGCTCACTGCAACCTCCGCCTCATGGGTTCAAGTGATTCTCCTGCCTCAGCCTCCTGAGTAGCTGGGATTACAGAGGCCCGCCACCAAGCCCAGCTAATTTTTGTATTTTTAGTAGACACGGGGTTTCACCATGTTGGCCAGGCTGGTCTCGAACTCCCAACCTCAGGTGATCTTCCCGCCTCGGCCTCCCAAAGTTCTGGGATTACAGGCATGAGCCACCGCGCCTGGCCCGCACTGTCCATATTTTAAGTCAAAATGGATATGCGTTATCTCTGAAAGCTTCCAGCTTTGGCTACCTACAAATTGAAAAATCCTCATGAGGTCTTCTTACACAAATCCAAAATGACAGATGTTTGGTTAGTGTCCTAGGAGCCCCCAGGCCCACCCCTGTCTTTGAGAGGCTGCCTCACAGCACCGCAGAAGGTCCATACCTCGGGGCCACCCGGAAGGAGCACCGCGGGCAGGCTCCTCTGCCGGCCGTGCTTCCAGTGGCCCAGCAGGCTCTGCTGGGCCCGCATCCTCGCCTGCTCCCTCTCCACCAGGCGCTGGCCCTCCCTCAGCCGCTCCAGGCTGTGCTGGTACTCCTGGAGCTGGAGGTCCAGCTCGCCCCGGCTCCGCAGCAGCAGCTCCTCCTGCGACTGGCACTCCCGCTCCCGCTCCTGCAGCCAGCTCTCCCTGGTCGCCTGCGCCCGCTGCTGCTGCTCACACCTGCGCAGCCAGCGCCGCTGCTCCTGCTGGAGCTGGTGCTGAAGCTGGTGCACATTGGCCAGCTCCTCATGCTGCCTGTCCGCGTCGCGAGACTTCTGGTCCTGCAAGGGGCCGCCTCGGAGGATAGAGTGGCCGAGAGACAGGCCCTCCTGCTGCTGGAGAACCAGCCTGTGGATCTCAATGTGGCTGTCCTGAATGGTCAAGGCGGCCTGTCAGAGCAGACAGAGGAAAAATCACTGAACACAAGGTTCCATGGTTATTGTTTACCCTTTCGGTTGGAACTACCTCGAAACACAAAACGCAGGCCCGAATTCACTTCTCTTAATATTTCTGGCCTTTTTCTAAGTTACCTCCAAAGGCAAGGTTTTTGGCGTTCCAGAGAGGTGTGTCTACATCTGTCCTAGGGGTAGGACCTGTGAATTTATAGAGAAAAGAAACAAAGCCCAAAAGCAATATCATCCTCTCCTGTGGGAAGGTAGTTTGCTGCTGGTGGTTGGGTGATAGTTAAGCGAGTCTTCTGAATACGAACTCGGCACATAAATTCACAAGGCTGTGCATTCCTGTCCTACATCTCACTCTCTTGCTGAGGTCTCTCCCTAGTCAATCATTCATGAGAACTTAAGAATCCACATAAACCTAGTAGTATCCTTCCTTTGAGTCCCAAACCAGAAATTACTTGAGCTACATTGCATTATGAAGACATAAAAATAAAAAACAACTATTTGGAGACTTTAGGTAAATAATGTTTTTATAACATAATGCCTAAGAATAGCAGTTAATACCATTTTTAGGAGATATGTAAGTGGCTAAAGCTAGTCTCATTACTGTTATATCTTTGTATTATAGCAGGAAGGTCATGCACAAAAAACTAAGCTGAAATTTATTTGTTTAATAGATCGCTAACAGGAGGCTGAAATGATTAAGGGAAAATAGATACTCTAAAGCCCAGAGGACATTACCAACCAGATTAAAAAAACATTTTGAGTTACGGTATCTGCCTATGAAAAGTTTGGCAACATCACAGGAAATAATTACCAAGATTTGGAAGGATTCCACAAAACCAAAGAGATCTCTGTGAATGCCCTTGGAAGCTTTTAATTTTAAAAGTTCCCATTTAGAGTGCAAAGCAGTACAGAAGGGACAAATTGAAAATGGACACATACTGAGTATGTGTGTATGTTTTGACCCCATATGAGAAATCATTTCTCTCCTAGGGATAAATTCACATTTTTCCTTCCTAAGAATTTTTTAAACTGTCCATATAACAGATGTTGGGAAGATGGGGATTTGACCATATGTTCTTTGTCAGCTCAGCAGTTTCCTATACTTTTGAAAGTTAAAGAACTAAGGTATATTTTAAATTCATACTTGTCTTGGAATACGACTCAAAAATGTATTCACTGGGGCCTTTTGAACAAAAATTCATATTTTTAAATTTGGAAACTAATCTTTAAAATTTCAGACACATGAATATTTAGTGGCTTTTGGGAGTTGTTATAAATAAAACAATGATTATCATCCAGAATAGGTATTAATTACTATGATCTTTAAATATGAAATAATTAGCACACAATAAGCCACTCAGGACTCTGTTGATCTGGCTAAAGAAAATTGTAGACTATACATCACCACTTAATTCTAATAAATCTTTAGGGACCAGTATGGTAAGACAAACAAAAATCCCATACTTTATATGTCAAAACTACCACAGACAATAACTCTCACGTAAGAGTTACAGCTACAGTAATTAAGTGCTTCTGTGAGGTATTCTTCATGTCTATCTAACATTTGGGATAAGGCCATTCTTTTCCCTTGCATAGAGCTGGAATCTGAAGATCGGATATTCATCTAAATTTAAATATTCATTTAAAGCTAAATGAATAATCTTCACACTTAAAGTTTACATTTATATTTAGGACAGAGAACAGCACTTGCTTTTCAAGTTTAGGGAAATTCCCAATTCACTCTCTTAACTTTACTTTGCTAGAATATCTGTGTCTTTTCCTTTTAGCCCTGTCTATGCCTCATTTCTAACTCTATTTTCCTGATATAGGGATCAAATTTCATTCCACCTGATTCAAAATTGTTTATGTAAAAACTTCAGTCACATATAAGACATTCAGCTTCAAAAAAGACGACTGTGCCATGAACAGAAATCTTTCAAAGCCCATGGCCTTGGACCAGCTCAGATTAAAATAATTCACTGTAGACTTTGATATTTCCCATGTTGGTTTAACCTAATGTGTTGCAAAAATTAGGTCATTCAGGTGATCCAGCTTTTCCGAACCTTGAATCTACACAGGGCTGCATTCAGGGTTGAAAAGAAGACACATGACCTTGTGAGTGTTTTCATCCGGCAACACTAGCCAGGATGCTCAATGTTTTCATCCCCCAAGTTAATGGCTGGTGCTCAAACTGTATCCCTTCCCAGCTGACATTTAAAAGAAAGATTAGTTGTCTTACATGATACATTGATTGCTAAGAACATCAACTCCAGAACCTCACATCTAACCTAAGACACTAAAAGCATTCTCACTAAATCTTGAACAAGACAAAGAGCTTGCTATTACCACTGTGATTTAACACATTTTCAAAAGTCCTAGCCTAAGCAGTAAGCCAAGAAAATGAAATTCATGTAATTATTGACAAATAGCCATAATATCATTATTTTCTAATTTTTATTTTCTACCTGGAATACTTCAAAATATCAATGGAAAAACTATTAAAATGAAAAATAAAGTTCAATGAGTTTACCAGTTACAATATAAGTACCCCAAAATCAATACCTTTATTTATATTAGCAACAACCACTGGGGACACAAAATGAAAAAAAAAATTATTCACAATAGCAGCAAAGAGACATATGAATAAACTTAGTGAAAAAAATACATATACACGCATATCATACCATATGAAGACAATTACAAAGCTCTCCAGCAAATCATAGAATAAGAGATGACTGACCGATGTTCTTTTATAAGACAAGTAAGTGATTATGGTAAAGGTGTTGATTCTCTCCAATTTATTTCAAAAATATAATGAAATTTTAACTTAATGATGTTGGCAAGAGATAAGAAACTTGTTTAAGAGCTCTTGTGGGGCTGGGTGCAGTGACTCATGCCTGTAATCCCAGAACTTTGGGAGGCCAAGGCAGGTAGATCACTTTGAGCCCAGGAGTTAGACTGCAGCCTGGGCAACATGGTGAAATAGAAAAACTAGCCAGGCTTGGTGGCACACGCCTATAGTCTCAGCTCCTTGGGAGGCTGAGGTGGCAGAATGGCTTCAGCCTGGGAGACAGAGGTTGCAGTGAGTTGAGATCGTGCCACTGCACTCCAGCCTGGGTAACAGAGCCAGACCCTGTCTCAAAAAAATAAATAAATAAAAAAATAAAAGCTCTTGTGGAAGGATATATAAATATGCATAGAAAAATAAATAAGATGAGCACTGTCATATACTCAAATGTAATCCAAGGCTTTAACAATTCAGATGTTGGTCCTAGAGCAAGAATAAAAGGTCATAAGAGAAAGAAGTCTTGATAGAGTCGAAGTCTAAATAACAAAACATCGAATGCAGCATGCCTTTATATTTTCTGCTGAAAACTTAGGCTTCATTTTATTTTCTTTTAAATTCAACAAGATATGAAGCATGAATGAATAATAAACCAGTGAGGGAAAAATGTTTTGTCTCAGTAGTAATCAAAGAAGTACAAATAAAATAATCAGATACCCTAATCCATCTTCAAATGGAAGAAAAAGAGAGAATGGTGGTTGATTTGATTATTTTGGCAAAGTCTATTGAAAACCTAAACAAAATAATTCTTCTCATTTACCCTAAGGAAATAGTCAGATGTATTCAAAGAGATGAGTACACAAGGATGTCCTCTACAGTGTTGTTAATAATACAAAAGTGTAAACAATAAGGGATTGAATAAACCCCACAGAGTTGAATTTAATATATAATCATTAAAAAGTATGCAATAGAATAATAGTTGATGACAGAGAAAGTTACATGTTACAGAAGAGTGCACAGAGAACAATTCTAAAATCTGGAGCCTTATACACCAACATGATAATTTTAATTCTCTTTGTAGAATCAGAAATCATTTTCTTTCATTTACTTGTATTCTCAAATTTTTCTACAAATTTTTCAACAATCCAAACATTGCATGTATATCCTTTCGAGATACATTTTAATGAGTAAATTAAGCCATCGGACACACTGAGCCTCTTTCTTTGCATGGTCTAAGGTAGTGGTCTCCAACCTTTTTGACATCAGGGACCTGTTTTGTGGAAGACAGTTTTTTTTTTTTTTTTAATGGATGGGCTGGGATGTGGTGAGAATGGTTTCAGGATGAAAGCGTACCACCTCAGATCATCAAGCATTAGATTCTCATAAGGAGGGGGCAACCTAGATCCCTAGATTGCATGCACAGTTCACAATAGGGTTCACGCTCCTATAAGAATCTAATGCTGCCACTGATCTCACAGGAGGCGGAGTTCAGGTGGTACTGCTCGCTTGCCCCCAGCTCACCTCCTGCTGTGCAGCCCAGACAGGTAACACTCTGCACCCTGGGGTTTGGGGACCCCAGCCTAAGGGATCATCCAACCATTTAATCCTAAATGCAAGCATGATTTCTTTTTTATGTCTGCTCTTCCTTGAAAGGCAGTAAGCTATTTGAGAGCAGGCTGTGTGGCTAATTTGCCTTTGTGTGCTCAGCCCTCAGCACAGTCAGCACAGAGACAGGCACTGTGTGTTCATCCCCTCAACATTAATAAATTAATAAATGTTGAGTGGATGAACAAACAAAAGAGTAAAGCAACATATGGATTACTTAACTGCTCTAAAGGCTGATGGCCACATGGAGAAGTCAAAGAATTTTAGGTGTGAATTTAGGTTTTCATCAGAAAATGTGAAGTCATGCTACACTCACCTAAGAGTTTCATTGTAAATGTCAAGCCAGATCATATTCATCAATATTTTTTAAAGATATGAACTGTTTTATGATTTCAGAGAAGAATGGTATAAAATGTAGTCATGGTGTTGCCTCTGATTACAAAACCATGTGAGTCCAACACATCACACTTAGAAGGTTGTCATTCTTTTAAGATCATTCCCTACCTCTCACTTGTTCTCATTTTTAAAGTCTGGGAATCATCAAAGAGAATTGCATTAAGAGAACCATTCACAAGGTCAAAGATTAGAGGAGGATAGTTACCTGAAGGCTGTATAAGAGACGGGTTAAATTCTGTATGGCTTGTATAATCTGAAAAACAAAATTGTAAGTGTCAAATTCTTGAAAAAGCTTTCATTATCCACAAATAAAGGCTGGTGATACATTTAAGGTATGTGCAGCAGCTCACCTCTGATTGTGAAGAACCTGGAAAATTTCTACATTCCACCTAAAATACATAAAAAACAAGAAAATGAATAACCATTCTACTTCTGAAAAGCTGCCCTGCAGTGTCCCAAAATGTATGACCTTGGGTAAATCACTTTGCTATCTCTAAACTTGATTACCTTATCTATACTGACTCAGTTTCCTCCCAGAAATAAAAGCCTATAGAATCAAACAAACACTTGACAACAAGAGCGTCCTTCACGCAAAGTCGATGTTTGAGATGGATGGCAATTTTCACCCAATCACCCCTTAAAACAACAAGGGATGACAGTAAGGACACCCTGAAAACTCAAGTAACAACATTTACCTTGTGCAAACCACAATGTGAATTGAGTTCTCTGTGCCCAGACTGAAGTTGTCTTTTGGGTCAGGCTGACCTCTTATATTCTAGAGGACAGATTGAAAGTTAAAGAAAGAATATCATGTCTGGCCTTAACTCCTTTTCTCAATGTTTGAGATTCACGATATCAACATATACAGCAGTTGGGAAAAGAAACCAGACTCAGACGGTGGCCATAGTGGCGCGCGTAGCTGGGCTGCTCTAGATCCCACCACAGTCAGAGATCACCAGACCAGTGACTGCCATAGTAGAAGTACTAGCAGCAGAGGCCACGAACCAGCCACAGGAGACCGTCTGTTCTTTAGGGAGAGGGTCTATGCCTTGTTCTTTGTCTCTTCCACAGCACACATTAAGGGCACACGTGGATAGTGATGGTTTGCAGCCTCCATAATTGAACACTTGTTTATTCATTTATTGTCGGCCTTCTCTCCCTAGGATGCAAACCAGTGAGTAGCGAGACTTTGTCCATGTGCTCCATATTATAAGAATGATGCTTGACATAGCACGGACACTCAACAAGTGAATGACTCCCAGTTGAACTCGATGGCACGCCATTCAATAAATAAATATCGATCACCCACTGTAAACTTCACACCTTACGCTATGGGAGACCATCAGATGCCCTGTCCTCAAGGGCCTACTGTCTCATCTAATTTTAAGCCATAAAAAGCAGCCAGCCATGGTCATGTCCTCGGGTAATTTTGAACTTGTTAAATTCAATTAGTTTAGGCTGATGATGCCAGGATGAGCTAGCCAGACCTCCGCTTCCCTTGGACTGCCAATTAAAGATTTCACTCGTAAGCAGCCCCTCTGATAGAGAAAAGACAGAGGCTGAAAATGGAGATGAAGCTTAAAGACATTAGATCTGTGCCAAACCCTATGGGAGAGAACAGGCTCTAAGAACCCCCGCCCTAGAGGGATGGTTGGCGTTCTCGCTGCTCTTCTGGCTCTGTCGTGGCCCATCCACACTCCACTGCTTCTGTAGTAAGACCATATGGCACAGAGTTTTTATAGTCTATAAAAATTAGAACCATAGAAATGAGTTGGACTGTGCTACCCGCGGTTACTTATGCCCAAAAGCCACTAGGTTTGACACAAGACAGGAAATTTCGCGTTTTTAATGGAGTTGTTCTGCCACCTTGTGGTAAATGTTTAAAACTGCAGTTGGCGATTTATCCATTATTTCTGCATTTGAGTCAGATTTCATTTTTTAATATTCTTTCAGAAATTTGTTCTAACCTTACCTTGTAGAGGAAGCTAATGACAAAATATCCATTATACACCTTTTAAAAGTTTGATTTCAAGTGATCCTGCCCTTTACCTGGGTTTATTAATGTATTAATCTTTCAAAATGCCTTATTAAGCAAAAAATTTTGCAGATAGCTTAATCCAAAGAAGAACCCAGACACTTAACCTCAATTATCTACCTGTAGCTGAATTGGAGTGGAAGAGGGAGACTTTAGGGGTAGGAGCCACCCAACTTTGCGTTCAAGATTAAATTATTACTGTCCAATTCACTCTCTCTTTTCTATTAACACAGTTGGACACCACAAACTTCACACTTAAAAGTGATGAAAAGCAGGAACATTTTAAGAAGCAATACATTAGAAAGCTTACAATCAGAAGGAGTAAAATATTACATTCCTATGCTCATTTTGGCCTCTGAAGTTTAAAAAAGAACACTCAGTCACAGCTGTCTTTTCTCTGGATTTTAAAAGTCCTTGACTTGATTTCTCAGTCTTATGTAATATACACAAAAAGTATATAATATGTAAAATATGTTGTATATGTGAGAAGATCTGACATTTGCCATTTTTTCACATTGACACATATTGGCACCTATTAATGTACCTAATTCAATTTTAGATAAAGCTAAACTCTGGAGCCCTGACAAGCAGGAAGAGGCCAACTAGCCACCTCCCAGAATCATATTTTATTCCTTCCCTATTTCTGACATCTCACTTTCAGTAGACATTAATAGGAAGTTTTATGTATTTAATTCTTAAAGAGAGAGTTAATATCTATGTCTATAGCAGTAAGTCAAAAAAGAGGATTCCCTTTGGGAATCGCTGTGCCCCAAGCAAAAACTGGTCAGATTAATTAAAAATTAACCACAAAAAAAGTAGGTGAAATGTGGGTGGTGACAGGAAATCAACTCTGCAAGGAGAGGAGGGTCAAGGAAGGTGAAAGAAGCAAGAATATTCCAAAGTAAAAGGTGTTTCAATTACTTTGGCGCCATCTGGTTGCAAAAGGGCCCCCGGGTGCCAGAGCTGCCAGACATAGTGGGTGAGAAGCAAAGGTTTGCAGGGCAGAAAGACCAGAAGTCAGAGAGCACAGACACACATATACACAGGAGAGTTTTTAATCTTTTTAATAACTTTTCAATCGTTGCTTTGTTTACACCTACATGACACAGGCAGTGCAAGCACATTTGAAGAAGAAATAAGTTAGAAAGTTTAAATATGAATATTTAAATCAATTGAGAACAATTCAGAAAAGCACCTTTGCCCCACTGACTGCCGTGACAGACCAGAACCTGAGGCTATTTTATTATACACAGTAACCGCTGCCGTTTACTAACAAATCAGTTCACAATACCTTCTCCCCTGCATCAGAGACGGCCAAGTCGGTTACCACACCCTGGATCCCGGGATCCACATCCGAACAGCCTCTTCCTTCTCTCCCTCCTGTGACTAATGCTGGAAGCACGCCATCGAGACAGAAACAAAAAGGACAGCGTCAAACATCGGCCAGCCCACCGGGTTCTTCTGTACACGGCCAACACATATTTCAAAATAGGAAACACCACAAAATAATACATATTGAGTATTCTTAGATGAGGTGCTTGGATGAGCGCAGAGCAATGCATGTGGTCCCTGCCCACATGGGGCTTACACGCTAACAGACAGCAACTGACGAACCGCACAAAGTATCACCATCTTTGTACTTTTCTTTCTTGCACTGAAGTGTTCGTGTGTCGTTTGTGTTACAGAGGGTAGAATCTACATCTCACTCTCACTTAATAGGAAAATGCCTCCTGGGAAGGGTGAAATTTAAAACAGGTGCTGTAGAACAAAAGCAAGGTCTCTTGGCAGACTTAAGTCTGTAAAAAGTCTCTCTTGTGGCCAGTGCAAGAGCAGCAGACGATAAACAAGGTTTAGGAGGAAGGAGGAGTCCGAAGCAGGAGGGAGACATCTTTCTAGGAAGGCGGAGATGGCTAATACTTCACGGTCTCATAGTCATACAAACCAAGAACCTGTCCCTATCTCTGAATAACTTATTTTTTAACAATTTCTAAATGTGTTGTTTTTCTCACATTTCTTGTTATGCTTTAGATTTACAAATACTATGTATTTAAACTATGAAAACATAGAAACTAGTCCCGAAATATTTTTAAGTACCAAATACAGATTTCACTTCATCCATTAAATCTCTGTTGGCAGGATTTTATTTCTTTACCCATGTGAACTCAGTTAAAACTTAAACTGTGCCCACCTTGCACTGATTAAAACTAGAATTTTCAAAGCCCAAAACAGTGTTTTATTAGAACCATGTCCAATCCAGACCCTGACAAAATCGATATTCACTTTATGACACTGTTTGTTTGTATAATTTTTATTGTGTCTTTTTAAAACTTTATTTCCAATATAGGAAATGCTTTTTTCTTTAATAAAAATACTTATGTCTTTGGAAAATGAGAGTCCTCTAGGATTTCAAAGACCTCTTCTAATACAAAGAAGTTTTTGTCTAAACGGAAACGGCTTCAGATGAGATCAGCTAAAAACAAGTCCATTTTGTTCAAGCTGATCAGCACTTATTCACTTACAATGAGGGACATTTTATAGGTTTCTCTGTCATTTGAAAAATGGTTCTACTATTGGGTGCTATTCCTAACTCTTAAAGAGTGGCCAAAGGCATCACTAAAGAATTCACCACTCTGTTTCTCACTCCCTCATAGAAATTAGGAAAATCAAATGGGAAAGAAGCTGATGACAAGGCAGAAGAATAAAACACAGATCAGGTCCCTGTCCCTGTATCCAATTTCAGGGTGGGCCAGAGGGTCTCCAGTGAACAGAACTTTCCTAGAAGTAGAAGATACTCATCATGTATACTGAAGACTGAAAATAGAGCTGTCTGCTTGGCTTATAACCTCAGGCTGACATAAGCCTGATGAAGAAGAGCCCAGTTCTCCAAGTCATTTGCAGAACCGACCCATTCAGTCACAGTTGTAGACCTTCATTTAGAACTAGCCTTGTGCCTTGAACAACTTTATAAAGAGAATCAAACTCTCATAGCACCATGTTCCAGTCTGACCCAGAACTGAAGAGGCCTTGGGGTACAGGACCCCACCAGCCAGCTTCGGTACTTCCTCTACCTGAATCCCGACATCAGACCCCTCTAAAGAGCCTCTCAATGGTTCTGGCAAATGCCACGGGTGTCCCTTTGAAACTCTCCCCAGTCATGAGAGATGTGGATACAGACAAGGAGACCTTCACTGCCTGGCCTGAAGGGAGGGAAGGCACGACCGCGGGCTCGGGCAGCTGCAGAGGGGAGCCTCTCCAGCTGTCCCTGGGGCGAGGCTGAGAGCAGCAGATCCCTCAGCAGATCCCTGCACGTATTTTTAGACAGAGACTCCTCAATGGCATAATGAGGTTCTTCTTTTAAAAGGAAATCACCCAGGGCAGTACAACTCCCCTGATGAATCTGGGCTGTGTCAAAATGAAAAACATACGTGCGCATTCTGAAACTAGAAACTCAGGATTAGATAAAGCAGAACTTGAGAGAGGAAGATAATTAGTGGTGCTGATGTTTAAAAAAGAAAAAAAAAAGAAGTATAGAATTAAAAAGCTATACTGCATCTATATATCTTAATTAATCAAGGGATGTTGTTAAAGAAGTTCTGAGTTCAATTTAATCTTCCAATCTTGAGTTCAATTTAATCTTCTGATCTCTAACTACTGAAGACATTTTATCCATTTTATCTTACGCACATAAGACCTTGTGGAAGTAAGGTTGTTACCACCTGCACAGGATGAAAAGTATACTCTTTATGCTCTTATCTTAGAAACCTTTATGGAACTAAGTAGCCTACAACTATACATATAACAGGATAGCTAGGTTCGGGGAAATTACCTAAACCAAATCTCTACATTCTATTTTTTTTTATATTTAAAATGTTTTGAAACAATGTTTTCATAAATGAATTCTGACATGAACTAAAGTGTAGGATGGCACAGATCAAGAATTTTCTGGCACTTCTGCTTTAACCATACCACCAAACTTCGTGTGTGTGAGAGAGAGAGAAAGAGAGAGGGAGAGAGAAAGGAGGGAGACGGAGGGAGCCGTGTGTATATTTCTGGTTTTCTGAGTTGTTTTCTCAGTTGATGCACATGAGATTAGGTTTAAGGGCTTGTTCTGTAATTGACCGCAGGGACTCCTTTTTTAAAAAACCTGAAAAGTTAAAAAGTTCTTTCAAAACTGTAATGAATAAATCATATCAAAAATGAGGCAGGGTAGGGGTTGGGGAAGGTCCGATATTTGGCCGGCAAACAGAGCAGTATAACCCACCAACTACTCTTTAGATCCTCATACTTGAAACCCCAGTGTCATTATTATATGCCTATGATATTCATTTAGGCTAGCATATTTATTCTCAGTTTTTTTCTAATTTAAAAAAATATATCAAGTCCCCTTCAACCAGAGACAGTCATTGCCTTTACTTTACGTGACCACTGTAAGCTCCAGGGACTGTGCTCAGGCTCATTGCCAAGGCCTGCATTTTCACTTACAGGCAGTCGGTGATCCTGGTACATCATGAGAACTGAGTGTGTCCGCCAAGACAGAGTCTCCACAACTGTCCTCACATGATTGACTCACGGCGCCCATCTGTGAGGCCTTCACTGCAACTTGTAGGCTCTCAGCTAAGATGGAGAAAAACAAAAATAAATCTAAAAAACAAAGATAGGTATATATTTAATCTAGACCAGGAATTGGCAAATCGCATTTGGCCTGTCCCTGTTTTTATAGGACCCAGGGGCTAAAAATGATTTTTACATTTTTAAAGGTTGTCAAAACATGGGCATGTGCCTACGCACGCGCGCACACCACACACACACACCCCAGAGACTGTGTGATTTACAAAACCCAAAATACTTAGTATCTGGCCCTTTATAGGAAAAGTTTGCAGATCTTCAATCTAGACCAATACTTTTAGCATCATTTTACGACAGAGAATTAACTCAATAGAAAACTATAAACCATTATATTAAAATATCTCAAATGCAACTTTCAGTAAACTGGTATGCCTAAAAACTTCCTGTCATTCAGTTAGTATAAATATACCAGGCATTAAAATTTTAAAACCTGTTGCCCAGAAATATTAGCTATTCCTCAAAAGAGTATTTCCCTACACTTATCTTTAGAAATACAGATTCCCAGTCTTTGGCTCCAGACTTACTGGATTTGATTCTCTGGAGGAGAAAACAGGATCTGTATTTTAAATAAGCACCTGTTCTAGGGGATATTGGGCATTTGACAACTAAGAGGGGAGTTTACAGATTGGAGGAGGAAAGAGACATACACAACCCACTAGACCATACAGAAGCATGTGATCAGCACTCATCTCCATCAGCATTATTAGAGCATTATAAATGCTACTGCAGCATGGAGGAGGAAGAGCATTCTATTATCTATTAGGATTCGGAATATGTTTTTACAGGAGGTGAAAACTGAGCAGGACCTGGAAGGATGGATGGGTTTCAAGAGGAAGAGACAGAAGAAAAGAAAGGAAGGAGGAAAAGCTGTCCAGCAGAGTGAAGTCCCAGGAAGACGATTCAAGGTGCACTACTGAACTGGCTTTTTGTCGGAAGATAACTCCCTCACTCTGATAAGAACTCCTGCTCCATCTTTCGGCTGCAAATGGGGCTGGATGGTCAGTGACCCAGGGTGGATTATCCAACTGCGGCTCACGCAGCACCTCCATTGCTCTGGGTTCTAAGCAGCTGGGTCCGCCGCTGCCCCGGCACCTCTGTCACGGTGTGCCAGGGGAATGGAAGCAGATGGGCGTACAACCCAGCGTTAGTGAAAGTTTTGGTGGGGGAGAAAGTTAAAGCCACTGGCTGATACTGAGAGTGGGCGATTTATTTCATCAAGCCTTTATCAAAGACAATGAGGGAGGTCACTGCTTCTTGTCAACCCACTTGGAAGTTTCTTCTTGACTTTATTTCTAAAATATATCTTGCCTCGGCCTCTTCTCTCTGCTCCCATTGTCAATGGCACTGGTCTAGACCAAGGCTCATCTTAACTTCTGTGATCACATCCTAACAGGTCTCCAGGCAGATTTGTCTCCTAATCTCTTGTCCATTCAGCAGCCAGTGTTTTAAGACATAAATAAGATCATGCCACACCCATGATTAAAAGCTTCCAGTGCTTTCCATCATATTTGGAATAACATCCTCTTCTAAAATTATTTAAACACAGCCTACAATGATCTGATCCCAGTCTGCCTGGCCCACACCACCTCATCTAACGGTGACCCCCGCTGACATCTGCTACTCTGGCCTCCCTTCTTTCCTTAAACACGTGAAGCTCACTGCAGCCTCAGGGGCTTTGCACTTCCTTCTCTCTGCCCAAGATGATCCTCCCCAAGCTTTTGAGACAGCTGGCTTCTCATTTCTCAATCCTCATCTCAAAAAGAGGTCTTTAGGCTAATCTCTCTGAAGTAAAGCCTTCATCTTACCACAATCCCATTATCTTTGGGATAGATAACTATCCAAAGTTCTCTTTTTTCCGTAAGTATTGTCTGTCTTTCCTCACTAAAAGTTTTACAAAAGCATTACTGCCTCCCTAGCACCAGCAACAGTACAAGATAGATGCTCAATGGATATCTGATAAACAGATGGATGAGGGGTTCTATCAGTGAACCCTACTTCAGACCTCTATGCCCTTCTCAAGACCTCAGTTTCCTCAACTGGGAAATAAAGATGGCTGATTCTAAGATTTCTAAATTCTCTTCCAGAGCTAATATTCTGAAATTCTAAACCAGAGGCTGGCAAACATTTTCTGCAAAGAGCCAGTTAATAGTTTAGGTTTTGTGGACTAAACAGTCTGTCAAAACTGCTCATCTCTGCCACTGTAGGAAAAAGTAGCCAGAGGCAACACATAAACAAGCAGATGTGGCTAAGTTCCGGTAAAACTAAACTTACGAAAGCAGGTTGTGGGATGTGTGTAGTCCGTGGTCTGTAATTTACCAGCCCTTCTTCTGTACAACAGCATTTCCTGCTACTCTCTCAGGAGGTGGCTGGTTTATCTCCCAAGCCCTTTGTCCCACTGTCACTTCAGACCATTATCTCCATCTCTCCCTTCAACTCCTTTCTGCCTTGAAGCCGCTGCCCTCAGGTTACAACCACTCACTACCGCTCATTGTTGCCTTTCCTCTATAGACCTTCAGCCACTCGTTTGCCTTCCCTGAATGAGTTAGCACACAGCACAAGTTCTCCCCCTCCCACTAGCGCTAATCCTGTCAAAATTCTCAGTATTTTCAATTCTATAAACTTAGTCCTTCCACCACCCTGGCCTCTCATCCTCTGGACTTTCTCATCTCCAATGACCTTGCCCTTCACCCAACCTCGGCCACCATCTCCCATTGTTATTACCAACATCTGCACTTCACCCTCTTAAGTCTATTCTCCACACAGCAGTCAGGAGGTACCTTTCAAACCACAAGTCAAGTCCCTCCTCCACTCAAAATTCTCTAATGCTTCCCATCCCACTCAGGATGAAATTCCAAGTCCTTCTCTCCCGCCATGCAACCTGAGACCTAGTGAACCCTGGACTCATCGCCTGCACTGCTCACCCCACCCTCCCTTCCCTCAGCCTGTGCTGTCCCCCTGCCTGCTCCTCAGGCGAGCCTGGCACTTCCATGCACCAGGACCTTTGTGCCGGCCATTCCCTACGCCTGGAAGACTCTCCCTCAAGATACCACTTAGCTTTCTTCCTTCATGTCCACTTACATATCATTATATCAAAGAGGCCTTCCCTGGCCACCCTATCTAAAACAGAGCGATCCCAACTCCATCACCCTCTCTCTCCCTTATCCTGCTTATTTTTCTTCATAGCACTTGATACAACCTGACATATTTCTTTCTTTATATTTGGCTATTTCTAGAAATATAAGTTCCAGCCGAGTAAGGACCTTGTCTTGTTCTGCTGTATCCTCAGCACCAAGACCACAGTGCATGGCACTTAGCAGGTGTTCAATAAACATTTTCTGAACGTGTCGACCCAAACCCTTCTCACAGCAGTTTACCTTCTTTCAGTGCTGCTGCCAGTAATGAGGCTGCCTGGGGAGGCTCGCCTGGGTCAGGTTTAATAAGGAGGTGGGGCTCTAGATGGACGTCCTCAAATCCGCTCAGTTCTCCAAGTTCAGCATAGATATGCAGCTTCTCCTCCAAATACGCACAAATTTGTTGGTCTTGGTTAGTGAGTATTTCTATGAAATAGTATTTACCATAGAAGATTATCACTAACATGAATACAACCACTAATGTGAAAGTCCACGAAAAAGATGTTGCTAATTAGCAAGCAGTAAGACCTCCAAGAGAAAACCCAGGTTGATGAGTGGGGCAGATGCAGGTCTCAGTCCTGACCATGCCACTTAGTGACTGTGGCCTCCAGCAAGTGACTTAACAACTTTCTCAGCTTCCATTGTCTTTTCTGTAAATAAGGTTCCTTTCTCAGTCCCCTACTTCCAGAAAATTTGCAAAGCTATTCTTTGTTTGTTCAGGCTGTTTTCTATTAAGACTAAACATTAAGCTTAGGAATGAAAATTGAGGCGGCCCTGTCCATGATGAGTGAACAATACAAATGCCTGGAACGGCACAGGCTAAACCAAACATACTGGTTTAAGTTTTTGTTTCTAAACATCCAATTTCTTTGCCCATCTTTGCATGCATCATTGTCCTCAGATTTCAACATGTTACAGAATTCTTAAAGCTCAAAGGGACCTTAACTAGCATTGAATCCAGGAATTCTCAGTCCCCTCTGTGCTTCAAAGTCACCTTGGGAGAGCTGAAAACCCCAAAGTCTACATCCCACCTGCCACAGATTCGGATTCAATCGGTGGAGGGTGAGGCCCAGGCATCCGTATTTTTAAAGACCTCTCAACTGATTCCAGTGTCCAACCAGAGTAGAGAATCACTGAGCTAGTCTAATCTCCTTCTTTCACACACTTGCAAACTGGGGACAAGATCTGTTGGGTTCCTTGTCCAAAGTCATTGACATGACAGTGCTGAGACCTAAAATTAAACCATGAGACAAATAATTCCAACATTCATCTGCACCACACTGCCCACAGCTGTTGTTTCATATATGTTATGTGCATTTTTTACATCCATTTTAATCACTAAGGTGGAAGTGAAGAGAATGTCATCTTATTTGAGCATTTCTAGTGTAAGTTTCTCGGGAGGGTGGTCCAGGTGGGCCTCAGGTGCACAGGATGAATCATGTAG
Source organism: Homo sapiens (assembly GCF_000001405.40). Lineage (NCBI taxonomy): Eukaryota > Metazoa > Chordata > Mammalia > Primates > Hominidae > Homo > Homo sapiens. Next base: position 73,893,374 of record NC_000005.10, on the reverse strand, counting down.
TTATAACCTCCTGTTCATGACACTCAGGCTTTCCCAACACCCAGGAGAACACCACGACCAGGGAGCCAGAAGTGCCTGCACTGTACCTTGACATTGCTGAATTTTGGCCACTCTGGCTTCAGCTTTCCTCTTGTCTTCATCAGATTCACTTGTCCTTCCCCCTTTTTCTTCAGGACAACTTTAAAAGACAATAGTCAAGAGACACAACTGAAACCAAATGCAAGTATCTGTAGATTCATTAGAAAAACATGGGAACTTGGCAATAGATTTATTCATAAAGGAGAAAATTTCAGCATAAAGGGAATGCATCATCCCCCCTGGCCAGAGACTTGGTTTTCTTGAGAATACAAAGAATCTTGCATAACATTACATGGCTCTCAAAATCGGTGGTGTGGGATGACTCAAATATTCCAGTGAACACAAACATACACTCACCACACACACCCATAATGGGAATAAAGTATAAGAATTGTAAAGGATAGAAGTGGGGTGCCAGGGCAGATGGGGTGCAGTAGAGGTAGAGAAATTTTATATAACTTCAGGATCTAACTAATCAAACTACTGTTGAGAATGATCACCCCCACCCTTGTGCTCCCAATTATAAAAACTGTCCTTGCACAAGTAATGAGGAATAAATTGACTTAGAATACTTAGATCCACCAATTCAGAAACATTTATTGAATGATTTCTCAGCACTAGGCACACAGAGAAACATAAGACATGAACCCTGCCCTCGAGGAGCTTCCAATCTAATTAAATAAACACACACATATGTACATAAAAAAGATAATAGCTACAAGGCAGTATATAAGAAGCATCAAGTAAATGCTTTAGTGAGCAGGTGTTAAAGAATTTCAGGCAAGAAAGAGATCACCAGGACTGAAGGGGTCCTCATGGAGGAGGGGAGGCCCGAGCTGCATCAACGCCCGGCAGGGTGCACACAGGCAGAGGGAGGTGCAGGCATTACATGCAGGGAGGCGTGGAGGAGAAAGCTGCAGATGGGGGGCTATCGCAGGCAGGTGCAGGGGGCAGGGGGCAGACCATTCTGGCAGAGGCAAAGTTTTCATGCAGGAAGACATGGTTAGAATATTTTCCCCAGTTGAACAACTCTGTTCCATAGATTATGGACGGAAGGAAATGTTACCTTTCTACAGCCTGCTGGATCCGTCTCATCCAGTTATTGCGTTCCTCCTTGGAATTGGTGTGAATTTCATACATCTCAGGACCAGCAGATGAAGCACTGATCAGAAACATTCCTCTCTCCTCATTAGCAACTTCTCTAGCAATAAGCTTTTGAAGGGAAATAACTGATGGCTTCTGATCCTACATAAAATAGGAAGGTGAGCAGATGAAACAGCATCCTAGCTAAAGTAAGGCTCCGTAAAACATGAGCTAAAGGAAGCAAGAGTACTAGGTAAACCTTTCTCCACTTCCAATCTTTTCAAAAGAGCTGTAGAAGTTGATACAATCTCCAATGGAGACGGTATGGAAAAGAGAGGATGGAAAAAGAGGAATTATAGGCATGCTCATCCTTAAGAATTGGTGGTTTAGGCCGGGCCCAACGGCTCCCTCCTGTAATCCCAGCACTTTGGGAGGCCGAGGCAGGTGAATCACTTGAGGTCAGCAGTTCAAGACCAGCCTGGCCAATGTGGTGAAACCCCATCTATACTAAAAACACAAAAATTAGCCAGATGTGCTGGTGTGCGCCTGTAGTCTCAGCTGCTTGGGAGGCTGAGGCATGAGAATTGCTTGAACCTGGGAGGCAGAGGTTGCAGTGAGCGCACTCCAGCCTGGGCAACAGAGCAAGACTCCATCTCAAAAAAAGAAAAAAAAAAGGAATTGGTTGTTTAAAAACTGAACTTTTTAAAAGACAGAACAATCAGAGAAGAAAAATATCAAAATGCCATAGTCAAGGCAGGAGAAGTTTTTCTAAGAGAGCATGAGATAGGAAACTATGTCAAATGTCAAAGAGACTGAGAAGGAGGGAGGCCCTAAAAAGTCCATTAGACTTGCAATACTCTTTCAATAAGGTGACGGAACAGAAGCCCAGAAACTCAGAAGCCCAGCCCATGGACTATAAAAGTGACTACAAAAGATACGAATAAGTGGCAAGACCTTTGATTCCCCAGGCGTAACCAATCCTTTTTGCTACTGTCATGTGGGTCACAGCAACAAAATGGTCTACAAGTTCTTGCCTCTTCTCACCAAGCAGATGAGCCCTTGGTGGGTGGGAATGGGTCTCATTCATCTTCATGCACCTAGCACATAGCCAAGCATAGAGTAGGCACTCAATAAATGTTGGTAGGACTAGTTTCACATAAGTCCACCACAGGGTAATAGGAAGAAAGTCTAAAATTTGGCATGTACGCCATGATTAAACCACCTCTTCTACCAACATCTACTGTGATCCTCCAATGTCTTTTTCTAAACACTGGGGATTCAAAGAGGAACAGCACACTGATGATGCTTGGTAGGTAGATGTAGTTGAAAGAATGGCCAAAAGAATGACTTCAAGATGAACAGTTTGGGGGATAATATGAAGAATTCTTCTTTGGTCTGTGGCTTCCACCAGTGTTTACAGAGCTGGTTGCAGTGTGTGGTTTTGCTTCACCATCATGGACTGAGCGACGCCTTTATCCAGAACATGCCACTGTTCCCTCACTGCTGACTCCTTGGTGCTGGCTTGTCGGCTTTCCCAGCATCATACAGCTTGGCCATATCAGAGGCTGTGTGCCATGGTGACCCAGAGTACCTCCTCACCCCACGCTTCTCAGAGTAGCATGAGAGTAAAAATATAATGGGACAAGACCACTAGTCTATACAGCCTGTGCTCAGCCTCTGAAAATGGAAGCAAAAGCAGCCCCATGGCAGAGTTGTTGGAATACTGCCCTCTCTAATTAGGGAGATCCTTGGAGCATTGTTAATCTGGCTTATTCTATTATGGACCTACTCCCTTATCTGTTTCCCTGATGCAATGTGCAATGTACTTTATAGCTTCCTCAGCTGACAAGGTAAACAGCCTCTGTATGTAAAAAGGCAGAGTAGGTTTACTTGCTTAAGACATGAGCAAGAGTGCAATTATTTGAACCAGTTGGTTAGTGTTGCAGGGGAGGGGAGGTGGCAGGGTAAGATCTTTTCAAAGTGAAGAACAGGTAAGTGCAAGGAAAGTAGCATTCATTCGATCACCATCAGACCAGGGGGCATGGGAACCTGTCCATCGGTATTCATACTAACCACGCACAAACACTGGAGATGAACAAACATTCAAATTAACTCTCCAGGAATGGAAGTACCATGTCTGCCTTGGAGGTAGATGTCAAACACTAGTAATGCAAAGGGCTAACCCAGCTTGCAGAGATGTTTTATTTGTGCCACGGCATTTAACAAACAAAGTTTAAAAATCAGTTCTCAGCATTTAAATACTAGAGGATTTCACTTTTTAAAAACTTTACATTTCTGGGTTCTTGGGGAAAGCAGAAGATGAGCAATCCTGGGCCCATATTCTCATTTTAAAACACTGGCTATAGCCAAGTAATCCCTGACATCTTTGAGACAGGGCACAGACTCACTTTTCACTACAGTCCCTACAACTTTCTATTGTCTCATTGCTTCTGACCCTATCACATTCACTCAATCACATTTCTGCCCAATGCCTACAGGCATTAGGAGTTGAAGACCTCTAATGTAGGAGAAGATGAAAGGAGCTGCCATGCTTAGCTGTATTGTTACACCGTATCCATTTTGTGCTGATTCTATTATCCAGGGATTGCATTGTGATAAAGAGATTTTAAAGCTGCTTCCTATTTGGAACTTCAGCCTGCAGGTCCACATGTTCACTGTCTTGGTTGTTTGCTCCTTTTGAATTTGCCTTCTTTGATGTTCAAGAGATTCCTCCTAGACTCAGTATTCTAAGACTTAGTGAACACATCTACTTTTTCTTAACACATTTTGTAGGTTTGGGCTCTGCCCCAATTTCCAGCTGAGTCCTTTATAAAAACAAAAACAAAGCAAAACTGTCTTGTAGGGACCCACTACTCCATCCTCTTGCTACTTTAACTGCTTATCTTCTGGCTACTTCCAAATTCATCACGTTTTCTGTAACATGCAGCAAGACAAGCACCTAGGGAAGAAGTGTTTTCTAAAGGGCACAAGGAGTGGAGAATCTCACTTGTACTAGCTTGAGGAAAACTTTCTAAAATTCTAGGATGGGAGCTAGGAAATCCAGATATCTGTATATCCCTAGCCAAATGCTTCAATTTCCTACAGTGTTAACTATAAGATATTTGTGACACATGGGCTATTGTCAGATAGATGTAACTCAGGAGTGTATGAACAGTAGGGTGCACCTGACTCTTCAAGGATAAAATGATGCTTTCTCTTTTGCTCTCTGATACCACCAAGGGCTTAGCTGTCATTTATGAATGCAGTTACATGTCAGGTTAACACATTTAAGAAATAGTATCAGTATAGCCAAACACATTCCACCAAGAAGAGCTAGGTTGTAACTGTCTTCATTCTGCCATTTGGTGGATTGCATTCCTAATACCTCACTTAATGGTAAATGTTGTCTATGGGTAGCACAGATAATGCCTCAGGAGGTCATATGAGACAAGAGGGAAAGAATCATATTTCCAGGCGCGCTCTAAGTTGAGCATTACAGGATCTGAATCCATATGCTACCTCGTCCTAAAAAACAAGGTAGTTGTATTTATATTATCTACTTCATGATCAGTCAGCAGGACATCTGTCCGGTAATATCATCCAAGAAGCAGAATTTGCTTTTCTTTTAGGTCTTTGGTTTTAAAGAAGCATTGGTTTCTATAAAGATGTGAATTTGTTTCCTGTTCCTACATGGCCCTCACCATCCCACAGGTTAAACAAAATGGTCCCCACCTTCCCACTTATTTCTCAGGTTCTTTAAGAGAATCTCAAGCATCTCAGGTAACAGCATTGAGAAGCTGCTGGACAAACCAATAGGTTTTCATGAAATTTGTAATACAGTTCAAATTGATTGGGAACATAGAGACTTCTTCAAGCCTTCTTATTATCTATATGCTAGCAATTAGATTACTCTAACACACTACAAAAATAGTTTCATACACTGTCTTTAGAAGCTACTATAGTAAAAATAAGAAAGAATCTTCTGTCAACATTAGGCATCAGGATGGTATCCCTTGTCTGGCAGAAGGCACACGATGGCAGTCACGGGGTTAGTAAGTGGGAGAGCAGGGCCAATGGGCATGGAGAAAGCCAGGTGCTGGAAGAGATTGGCTGTGCCCAGCATTCACATTTTAGTTGCTGGATCTAAGGGAAGGGGTTTGGGGGCCGAAGGGGCGGGGAAGAGAGGAGTCTGGAGGAAAGACCAAGATAGCTAGATGGCGTGGGGACATTTGGGAGGCTCAGGGCAATGCCTGTTCACCAACCACTACTGAAGGACTGCAATATTCTCACAGTTGGCTACACTGCTGAACCAGCTGAGTACCAGCCCTGGTTGTGATGACGCAACACTTACTATGCTAATTTAACCTAATGAGATGCTTGTCTCTAAACACTGCAATCACAAGTAATAATGGAAACATAACAGAAGCATATACTTCCCTGTGACTATTATATTTCACTAGGAATTTTAGGTATTTTTCAAGAAAATGTGTGGTTAAACCTATTTTTTAAATACATCACACAGTCATATACTTACAACGGCTGCAAAGATGTATTTCTGGTCTTTTTCTTGTAAAAAGAGCAGCACATCAGTTAGAAGTAGAGCTAGGATATCTTTAAAGAAAAAACATTACTAGTATTAATGAAGCAAACCACAGTTCAAATAAACTGAATAAAAATCAAAAGACTAAGATTTAGTCTAAGTATGAAAGTTTTATAAAAATACCTGTATTATGATAGCCAAAGATATATGCTATTAATAACTTAATAGAAAGCTGTCTTTAAGTGTGCATGTTTGTGTGTGGCTGTAGGTATAGGTAAATCTCCAGCAAAGTTTAATGTAGTCACTTTCAAAACAGAAGAAAAATATCCATTAAAAAAGGAAGCTTTAATAAAATGGAGCAAACTCTTACCTTCGGCAGGAAAAGTGCTGAATTAAAAATGTAAAAGGGCAGCTTCTACCTCAAATTATATAGGCCTGCTATTTTGTTTCATCTAGATCTGAGCAAGGTTTAAGATTCCATACTTCCCTTACACATTGTTCACAAGAACTCATCTTCATTGCACCCACTGAATAGTCTAACACAAAGTTACCAAACTGATTCTATTAAATGGATAAACAGCAAATGACTTCGAGCAATAGAATCTACAGGTTGTGGTTAATATTTTTTTCAATACAACATTGCTAGTTGTTGATCAACAAATCCCATTTCAGATATTAGTTGCAACCTCCATCCAAACTTGATCATCCTCCAATGGGTAATAATTTTTGAGTAGCTAGAATTTAACAACCTCTTCCTCTCACTGCCTACCTATGGATGTTATTAAGATGAACTGTTAGAAACAGTGGTTCTTAGCCCTGGCTGCAGAGTAGTCTCACTTGGGGAGCCTTTAAACATCCCATGGGCTTTGGTTTCATCCTCACAGTGATAAAAATCAGAATCTCTGGGAGGAGACATGAGCATTCGTAATGTTTTCCAGCTCCAGAGGTGATTCTAGTGTGTGGCCAGGGTGAGAAAGCCTGGATTAGGCAGTGTGATAGCTACATAATGAGTCCTTAAAAAATGGAATTATCTGCTTTAGACTCCTGAACAGAGTCAAGTTCATGCCAGTTAGCAAACAGTAGCACTGAGGAAAAGCTTAAACCACGTCAGCAGGTGTGTGGATATATTCTATTAGTCAGTAACAAAGATGACATTCAGAGTTCTTTTTATTTCTCCCCTCCATTGTCTGACAGCCCTAGGCTGTGTTGACATGCAACAGACCCTAGGTGTGTAGGTGTACTGCCTTGCTTTCAACACACCACAGTTACCAGAATAATTTTTCTGTGTCAACAATTAGCAGAACTCTCAGTTCATTTGATTTCAGACATCACAAACTTGCAAATTCATAAAACATGTATAAAGGTTTTAGCTTGGGCAGCAAACTCCCACCAAAGATTTGTATCATTGGCCAAATTTGCCTATTGAAATTCACAAATCAATCTTTCAACTGACCCAGGGTTTGCGCATGTGTGCCTGCAATTCTGAACTGTTTTTCTTTTGAAAATCTGTCCTCTGTTAAATGAATAATGTGTATGAAGGGAGAAATTGGTCTGGTAGAGCCACAGTACCTTTGAAACGACCTGTAGCAGTTTTCCAGTAAACAAGGCCATCATATAACAGAGTCCTTTCTTCACTCATCAGTGCCTGCTTCCTAAACACATGTCCATTTTTGAGCTTCGTGTATGTTTTGTTTTCAATCTTATTTAGGATCTCAAGCCATTTTTGGTTTTTCTCATATTCATTGACTTTTAAATCCACTGTTGCAATCATGTCTTTAATTAAGCAAAGCGCTTTGCGTAAGTCTTTATGTTCCTCAGTTCTTTCTGCGTGGGAAAAAGAAACAAACAAACAAAAATACTATACAATAAACCAGAGTACTAAGGAAGAAAACTTCTTCTTTAGTTTTAAAATATAGTTAAATGTATCATCTAAACAATAAAAATCCCATAAGAAAAATGTTGGATTAAACTTAAATTCCTAGCCTGGGCAACATGGCAAAACCCTGTTTCTACCAAAAAAGATACAAAAATTAGCCAGGCATAGTGGCATGTGCCTTTTGTCCCAGCTACTCAAGAGGCTTAGGTGGGAGGAGAGTTTGAGCCTGGGAGGTAGAGGTTGCAGGGAACCAAGACTGTACCACTCCACTCCAGCCTACGAGACAGAGTGAGACTCTGTCTCGAAGAAAAAAAAAAAAAAAATTAAATCCTATAATACCACTCTGTACCACCCCCCCACCAAAAAAATGTTAAAATATTTTATTATGAAAGGTTTGCATGATTAAATGTGCTTCAGCTGACACATAGTCCTTCCGCTGACAGTAAGATGTCTGAGTTCTAGGGATGGGTCTGACCTTCTCCCTAGGGCAGGAAATGTGTTATATACTAACTTAGGCCTTCCTTCCACCTTCTTAGACATAGGTAATCAATAATCTCCATGCCAAGTTTCTTAAAACTTAAGCCAGCTGTGGGGCAAAGCCAGCAATGCTTTCAGAAACAGAGCCACAGGGTTATGTGAATGAGCCTCAGATTCATTTATATTCCTTGATCCCTTCCTCCATAAAATTAACATTCAAAATTATATTTTATAACTGCATTAGCATAAATATGAATATATTACTATTATAATTAAACAATTTTCTTTGACCATTTTATTTAAAATTAAATATTTTAATTTCTTTTACCATCAGAAGAAAAAATGAATTTTCTTCTTCTGATGGGAAAAGAAAATATTTTCATGGTACCCAAGTGCTGTGCTAACGGACAAATCAGCCATGCTCATACCAAGAGCAAATAATTATTGATTTCAGTTGTTATTCTTTAAAATACTGGCTACCTGCTCTTGTCTCTAGATTATCTTATGAAAATACTCTGAAGGAGTTTCTGGAGCAGCATTGATATTTGGTGATAAAGACCACCTAGTTGATGTTTATTAAGGCAACTGGAACTGAAAGGTAATGTTTCATGTCATTTCGTAGTGGAGATAACTGAGGCTCAGTTAATAATTTGCCCAATGAATGAGTGGCAGAGCTGAGTATATACAATGCAACACAAGTGTACAAAATTCCAAACCCAAGCCCTTTTTAACATAACACACTACCACCCTAATAATAATCTTTACTCAAGATCAATATGTTAGCTTGAGGATTAGACCATTTTATTTATTCATTCATTGCATTGATATGTTTTTATTTATTGATCATCTATTCTGTACCAGCCATTGCACTAGACATTGAAGATTCAGCTGTAAACCAGACAGACACAGGTCTTATAGATCCCACAAGGAGCTTACAGACCAGCCATGTGCATTCATAGCTTCTTAAAAGATGCCCATATGTTACTCCCTGGAACTTGATGAATTGACAGGGTCAAAAATAGATCCTTCTTATAATCCCTCTCAACTTAATAACAGATTGCTTGGGAGAGTTGACATTTTGTGATAGGATCAATAGCATGTTTCATCAGACTGTTGTGAAGGTAATAGGAAAATGAGGAAGAGGAGGTATTAAGAAAGCCCAGTGGTGGGGAAAATAAAGAGAAGAAAGGCAGGTTCAAAGTAAGAAGAAGCCAGCTTGGTTTGGGCTACCTGTAGAAATTCAGACTATTTACCCATGCTGCATTATAAAAGATAATTTCTAAAAACTAATCCAAATTCTAAGGCTTTAACAGTTTCTCCGTCGTGAAACTCTTTATGAATCAGAGACCACAAACACTGATGGCTGTTTAGAACACCTCAACTGTGTTTAAAACTAATAAGAGGGGCAAATTTTTATCCCAGAAGTCACAACTTACCCTTTGTGTACTGCAATATCCTTTCCACCAAGACAGGGTATTTTGTAATACGCTGAGTGACCAACAGAATGCATTCTGGAATTCCTCGGCGTCGAGCCAAAAGATTACTATTTCGGAGCTTAAAAAATATATACTTTTATGTACACAAATTCTACCTGTATTTACTTTTCAGGTGTGAATGTAACAATACAAAGAATCTGCAACAGTACAATTTTATGCAGACTTAACATTCATTGCTATCAATTAAAACGATGCATTATCACTAATTTAAATTGCATACTTTGTCATAAATTTCAGTACCCCAACTCTCCATGATTTTAAGAAGTTTCAAGTTACTGATGTATTTGTAGTTAATTTCAAAAGAAGTTCCAATACTTCTAAGTGCCTCGATTTATGAATAGCAAAATTTTTGAAAAATAATCATAAATCAAAGTCAACTTTGAACATCAGTTTGCAGTTTACCATTTGTTTTCCCAACAGGTCTTCCTCCACATTTGTTATTATTCATTATAACTCTTAGAGTTCCCTCTAATCAGGACAACTTTTTTTCTAAAAATATCAAAGTATTCCTCATAGTATTCAAGTCCTCAACACACATTTATGTGGTAAAAAAGGGAAGAGAATCTGGTAGCATTCTTAACATGGCAGATAAAAATTTAGAATCCAGGAAACTTTATAAGACAAATTTCTTCAACAAATAAATCAGAAGAAGAAAAAAGGGGTGGGATAACATTCAAATGAAAAGAGATTTAAGAGATATAACCACCTCATACAATAAGTGAACCTTGGTCAGATTCTGATTTAAGTAATCCAATTTTATGAGATAATCAGTGAAATTTTAAGATATCAAAAACTATTGTTACTTTATTTGTATAATAATGTCATAATTTTTAACTTTTTCATCTGGAGAAAACTATTACAGATGAAATTATATGATGTCATGAATCTGCTTCAAGCTAATTCAGAAGTGGAGTAGATTCTGTGTTTATTTTCACTTTGATTTTTCTGATATATAACTTGGCATGAAACAGCTTCCCAGTATGTTACAAATATTCTCAGAAGGTTGGAAGACATGACCTCACAAATATACAAAAGGAAATGATTTGGGGGCAATATTTTACTAATACAGAAAAAGAGACTTTCCACCTTTGTCACAAACATTCCACCTCCCTTCTTCTTCCCCTGAAAAGCATCATTAGCTAAGAAATTTGTTTAAATCATTAAGAAACAAGCATAAACTATTTCTCCATGCTGATTTATCACTTTGTAATAAAGTTTTAAAATACTTGCCTTAATAAAATTCTGAAACTTTTTATTCTGCTGGAGTTCTTTAAAGAGGTTAACAGCTTCTTTATGATGGCAACAGAATTCTCCATATATTTTCTTCATTTTACTTGCATTTTCTTCTGAAAACTGGAAGAATAACATTTAAATAATGGTTTGTAAATTTAGTAAGTTCTAAACACACAAAAAATATGCAATTTTCATCTATTTCAAAATAGTATTTGCAAATAAAAAATAAATATCATGGAATTTCTGAACACAATCACTTATCTCCTCAGACATTTTTTAAATTAAAATAAAAGAAAGTTGTTGAGTGGTAAGGGTCAACATAATGTGATATTATATTGAACTAATATAATTATCAAATAGCCAAATGAAAAACATTTGATCTATTTTATTCTCATCTTAGTTATAATACAAATTTATAATTTCAATTTATAGTTTTAATACTTTTATAGATTGAAAGAAAAGTATATGGCAACATTTAGGGGCCTTCAGGAAGGTCTGGCCCCCCAAAAAAAATCACTCATTTGACATTTACTTTGGCTAACCTCCCCCCCAAAAAAATCACCCATTTGGCATTTACACTGGCTAATGACCATGTCCATAGACTGAGTCCTTAGTAGGGAATTTGATTTTTTGTTCACACATTACAAATAGATCAAGGGCAGGCTATCATTAGCCAAGATGAAAGACACCAGTGAATAACCAGAATGCCTGTTTATTAGCTAATGAAGAAAAGTAGAGATGTGGGCTGGATGTTTCAATAAGCCTTACCTGTAGAAAAACATCTGTAGAAAATCCACATAGAAATCAACTTAGAATCATAAGGTGCTGTGAAGAGAACTAGTTGAATGACTTGAATGCCATTTTTTTAGACTGTGATGGCCTTACATGCACACGTCCCCTTGAAGAGCATTGTAATGGAAACCGGAACACACCCACCCTCTTAAAAGTACTTAAAATTTACATCACGACCTCTGGTCTTTTCATCTTTGCTTATATGAATGTGTGGGGCCAATAAGCCTCAAATGATAATTCTTAAACCACTTACAATCATTCAAAAAAATCACCTGGGTACAAATCTAACAAAACACATATATGACTCATAGTAAAAACTATACAATGCCAGTGAAAGATGACAAAAATCTAAATAAATGAAGTGCTATATGATGTTCATGGATTAGAAGACTCAAAATAGTAAAGATGTCAATTTTCTTCAAACTGATATACAGTTTTAGTACAATTCTTAACAAAATCCCAGTATGCTTTTTAAAAATATAAATAAGACTATTCTAGAATATATATGAAAAAGGAAAGGAACTAGAACAGCTAGAACAATTTTGGAAAAAATAATAAAGTGGAAGGACTCATTCTTCTAAGATTATATAGCTACAGTTACTAAGACTATGGAAAGATAGATCCATAGATCAGTGAAACAAAATGGTAACCCAGATGCCCACATGATTTTTGACAAAAATGCAAAAGCAATTAGAGGAAAAATAGCCTTTTCAACGAATGGCACTGGAGCAATTGGACAGCCATAGACAAAAAAAAAAAAAACCTGAACTTAACCTACTAAGTCTCATAACCTGCACAAAAAAACACTCAAAGTACAACACACACTTAAATGTAAAACAACAAACTGTACAACTTTTTTTTTTGAGGCAGGGTGCCACTTCTGATGCCCACCCAGGCTGGAGTGCAGGAGAAGGATCTCGGCTCACTGCAACCTCAACCTCCCAGGCTCAGGCGATCTGCCCACCTCAGCCCACAAATAGCTGGGACTACAAGTGCATACCACCACGCCAAGCTAATTTTTGTATTTTTTGTAGAGACAGGGATTCATCATGATGCTCAGGCTGGTCTCAAACTCTTGAGCTCAAGTGATCCATCCACCTCGGCCTCCCAAAGTGCTGGGCTTACAGGCGTGAGCCACCATGCCCAGCAAAAACTGTAAATCCTTTTTTAAAAATAGGAGAACATGTTTGAGACCTAGGGCTAGACAAAGAATCCTTAAACTTGAAACTACAAGATGGCCGAATAGGAACAGCTCCGGTCTACAGCTCCTAGCGTGAGCAACGCAGAAGACGGGTGATTTCTGCATTTCCATCTGAGGTACCGGGTTCATCTCACTAGGGAGTGCCAGACAGTGGGCGCAGGACAGTGGGTGCAGCACACCATGCGTGAGCTGAAGCAGGGCGAGGCATTGCCTCACTTGGGAAGTGCAAGGGGTCAGGGAGTTCCCTTTCCTGGTCAAGGAAAGGGGTGACAGACGGCACCTGGAAAATTGGGTCACTCCCACCAGAATACTGCGCTTTTCCGACGGGCTTAGGAAACGGCGCACCAGGATATTATATCCCACACCTGGCTCGGAGGGTCCTACACCCACGGAGTCTCGCTGATTGCTAGCACAGCAGTCTGAGAACAAACTGCAAGTCTGCAGCGAGGCTGGGGGAGGGGCGCCCGCCATTGCCCAGGCTCGCTTAGGTAAACAAAGCAGCGGGGAAGCTCCAAGTGGGTAGAGCCCACCACAGCTCAAGGAGGCCTGCCTGCCTCTGTAGGCTCCACCGCTGGGGGCAGGGCACAGACAAACAAAAAGACAGCAGTAACTCTGCAGACTTAAATGTCCTTGTCTGACAGCTTTGAAGACAGCAGTGGTTCTCCCAGCACACAGCTGGAGATCTGAGAACGGGCAGACTGCCTCCTCAAGTGGGTCCCTGACCCCTGACCCCCGAGCAGCCTAACTGGGAGGCACCCCCCAGTAGGGGCAGACTGACACCTCACATGGCCAGGTACTCCTCTGAGACAAAACTTCCAGAGGAACTATCAGACAGCAGCATTCGCGGTTCACAAAAATCCACATTTCTGCAGACACCGCTGCTGATACCCAGGCAAACAGGGTCTGGAGTGGACCTCTAGCAAACTCCAACAGACCTGCAGCTGAAGGTCCTGTCCGTTAGAAGGAAAACTAACAAACAGAAAGGACGTCCACACCAAAAACCCATCTGTACATCACCATCATCAAAGACCAAAAGTAGATAAAACCACAAAGATGGAGAAAAAACAGAGCAGAAAAACTGGAAACTCTAAAAAGCAGAGCGCCTCTCCTCCTCCAAAGGAATGCAGTTCCTCACCAGCAACGGAACAAAGCTGGACGGAGAATGACTTTGACGAGTTGAGAGAAGAAGGCTCCAGATGATCAAACTACTCTGAGCCACAGGAGGAAATTCAAACCAAAGGCAAAGAAGTTGAAAACTTTGAAAAAAATTTAGACGAATGTATAACTAGAATAACCAATACAGAGAAGTGTTTAAAGGAGCTGATGGAGCTGAAAGCCAAGGCTCGAGAACTACATGAAGAATGCAGAAGCCTCAGGAGCCGATGCGATCAGCTGGAAGGAAGGGTATCAGTGATGGAAGATGAAATGAATGAAATGAAGCAAGAAGGGAAGTTTAGAGAAAAAAGAATAAAAAGAAACGAACAAAGCCTCCAAGAAATATGGGACTATGTGAAAAGACCAAATCTGCGTCTGCTTGGTGTACCTGAAAGTGACGGGGAGAATGGAACCAAGTTGGAAAACACTCTGCAGGATATTATCCAGGAGAACTTCCCCAATCTAGCAAGGCAGGCCAACACTGAGATTCAGGAAATACAGAGAACGCCACAAAGGTACTCCTCGAGAAGACCAACTCCAAGACACATAATTGTCAGATTCACCAAAGTTGAAATGAAGGAAAAAATGTTAAGGGCAGCCAGAGAGAAAGGTCGGGTTACCCACAAAGGGAAGCCCATCAGACTAACAGCGGATCTCTCGGCAGAAACTCTACAAGCCAGAAGAGACTGGGGGCCAATATTCAACATTCTTAAAGAAAAGAATTTTCAACCTAGAATTTCATATCCAGCCAAACTAAGCTTCATAAGTGAAGGAGAAATAAAATACTTTACAGACAAGCAAATGCTGAGAGATTTTGTCACCACCAGGCCTGCCCTAAAAGAGCTCCTGAAGGAAGCACTAAACATGGAAAGGAACAACCGGTACCAGCCGCTGCAAAATCATGCCAAAATGTAAAGACCATCGAGACTAGGAAGAGACTGCATCAACTAACGAGGCAAATAACCAGCTAACATCATAATGACAGGATCAAATTCACACATAACAGTATTAACTTTAAATGTAAATGGACTAAATGCTCCAATTAAAAGACACAGACTGGCAAATTGGATAAAGAGTCAAGACTCATCAGTGTGCTGTATTCAGGAAACCCATCTCACGTGCAGAGACACACATAGGCTCAAAATAAAAGGATGGAGGAAGATCTACCAAGCAAATGGAAAACAAAAAAAGGCAGGGGTTGCAATCCTAATCTCGGATAAAACAGACTTTAAACCAACAAAGATCAAAAGAGACAAAGAAGGCCATTACATAATGGTAAAGGGATCAATTCAACAAGAAGAGCTAACTATCCTAAATATACATGCACCCAATACAGGAGCACCCAGATTCATAAAGCAAGTCTTGAGTGACCTACAAAGAGACTTAGACTCCCACACAATAATAATGGGAGACTTTAACACCCCACTGTCAGCATTAGACAGATCAACCAGACAGAAAGTTAACAAGGATACCCAGGAATTGAACTCAGCTCTGCACCAAGTGGACCTAATAGACATCTACAGAACTCTCCACCCCAAATCAACAGAATATATATTTTTTTCAGCACACCACACCACACCTATTCCAAAATTGGCCACACAGTTGGAAGTAAAGCTCTCCTCAGAAAATGTAAAAGAACAGAAATTATAACAAACTGTCTCTCAGACCACAGTGCAATCAAACTAGAACTCAGGATTAAGAAACTCACTCAAAACCACTCAACTACATGGAAACTGAACAACCTGCTCCTGAATGACTACTGGGTACATAACGAAATGAAGGCAGAAATAAAGATGTTCTTTGAAACCAACAAGAACAAAGACACAACATACCAGAATCTCTGGGACACATTCAAAGCAGTGTGTAGAGGGAAATTTATAGCACTAAATGCCCACAAGAGAAAGCAGGAAAGATCTAAAATTGACACCCTAACATCACAATTAAAAGAACTAGAAAAGCAAGAGCAAACACATTCAAAAGCTAGCAGAAGGCAAGAAATAACTAAAATCAGAGCAGAACTGAAGGAAATAGAGACGCAAAAAACCCTTCAAAAAATTAATGAATCCAGGAGCTGGTTTTTTGAAAGGATCAACAAAATTGATAGACCGCTAGCAAGACTAATAAAGAAGAAAAGAGAGAAGAATCAAATAGACGCAATAAAAAATGATAAAGGGGATATCACCACCGATCCCACAGAAATACAAACTACCACCAGAGAATACTACAAACACCTCTATGCAAATAAACTAGAAAATCTAGGAGAAATGGATAAATTCCTCGACACATACACTCTTCCAAGACTAAACCAGGAAGAAGTTGAATCTCTGAATAGACCAATAACAGGAGCTGAAATTGGGGCAATAATCAATAGCTTACCAACCAAAAAGAGTCCAGGACCAGATGGATTCACAGCCAAATTCTACCAGAGGTACAAGGAGGAACTGGTACCATTCCTTCTGAAACTATTCCAATCAATAGAAAAAGAGGGAATCCTCCCTAACTCATTTTATGAGGCCAGCATCATCCTGATACCAAAGCCTGGCAGAGACACAACCAAAAAAGAGAATTTTAGACCAATATCCATGATGAACACTGATGCAAAAATCCTCAATAAAATACTGGCAAACCGAATCCAGCAGCACATCAAAAAGCTTATGCACCATGATCAAGTGGGCTTCATCCCTGGGATGCAAGGCTGGTTCAATATACGCAAATCAATAAATGTAATCCAGCATATAAACAGAACCAAAGACAAAAACCACACGATTATCTCAATAGATGCAGAAAAGGCCTTTGACAAAATTCAACAACCCTTCATGCTAAAAACTCTCAATAAATTAGGTATTGATGGGACGTATCTCAAAATAATAAGAGCTATCTATGACAAACCCACAGCCAATATCATACTGAATGTGCAAAAACTGGAAGCATTCCCTTTGAAAACTGGCACAAGACAGGGATGCCCTCTCTCACCACTCCTATTCAACATAGTGTTGGAAGTTCTGGCCAGGGCAATTAGGCAGGAGAAGGAAATAAAGGGTATTCAATTAGGAAAAGAGGAAGTCAAATTGTCCCTGTTTGCAGATGACATCATTGTATATCTAGAAAACCCCATTGTCTCAGCCCAAAATCTCCTTAAGCTGATAAGCAACTTCAGCAAAGTCTCAGGATACAAAATCAATGTACAAAAATCACAAGCATTCTTATACACCAATAACAGACAAACAGAGAGCCAAATCATGAGTGAACTCCCATTCACAATTGCTTCAAAGAGAATAAAATACTTAGGAATCCAACTTACAAGGGACGTGAAGCACCTCTTCAAGGAGAACTACAAACCACTGCTCAATGAAATAAAAGAGGATACAAACAAATGGAAGAACATTCTATGCTCATGGGTAGGAAGAATCAATATCGTGAAAATGGCCATACTGCCCAAGGTAATTTATAGATTCAATGCCATCCCCATCAAGCTAGCAATGACTTTCTTCACAGAATTGGAAAAAACTACTTGAAAGTTCATATGGAACCAAAAAAGAGCCCGCATCGCCAAGTCAATCCTAAGCCAAAAGAACAAAGGTGGAGGCATCACACTACCTGACTGCAAACTATACTACAAGGCTACAGTAACCAAAACAGCATGGTACTGGTACCAAAACAGAGATATAGATCAATGGAATAGAACAGAGCCCTCAGAAATAACGCCGCATATCTACAACTATCTGATCTTTGACAAACCTGAGAAAAACAAGCAATGGGGAAAGGATTCCCTATTTAATAAATGGTGCTGGGAAAACTGGCTAGCCATATGTAGAAAGCTGAAACTGGATTCCTTCCTTACACCTTATACAAAAATTAATTCAAGATGGATTAAAGACTTACATGTTAGACCTAAAACCATAAAAACCCTAGAAGAAAACCTAGGCAATACCATTCAGGACATAGGCATGGGCAAGGACTTCATGTCTAAAACACCAAAAGCAATGGCAACAAAAGCCAAAATTGACAAATGGGATCTAATTAAACTAAAGAGCTTCCGCACAGCAAAAGAAACTACCATCAGAGTGAACAGGCAACCTACAAAATGGGAGAAAATTTTTGCAACCTACTCATCTGACAAAGGGCTAATATCCAGAATCTACAATGAACTCAAACAAATTTACAAGAAAAAAACAAACAACCCCATCAAAAAGTGGGTGAAGGATATGAACAGACACTTCTCAAAAGAAGATATTTATGCAGCCAAAAGACACATGAAAAAATGCTCATCATCACTGGCCATCAGAGAAATGCAAATCAAAACCACAATGAGATACCATCTCACACCAGTTAGAATGGCAATCATTAAAAAGTCAGGAAACAACAGGTGCTGGAGAGGATGTGGAGAAATGGGAACACTTTTACACTGTTGGTGGGACTGTAAACTAGTTCAACCATTGTGGAAGTCAGTGTGGCGATTCCTCAGGGATCTAGAACTACAAATACCATCTGACCCAGCCATCCCATCACTGGATATATACCCAAAGGACTATAAATCATGCTGCTATAAAGACACATGCACACGTATGTTTATTGTGGCATTATTCACAATACCAAAGACTTGGAACCAACCCAAATGTCCAACGATGATAGACTGGATTAAGAAAATGTGGCACATATACACCATGGAATACTATGCAGCCATAAAAAATGATGAGTTCATGTCCTTTGTAGGGACATGGATGAAATTGGAAATCATCATTCTCAGCAAACTATCGCAAGGACAAAAAACCAAACACCGCATGTTCTCACTCATAGATGGGAATTGAACAATAAGAACACATGGACACTGGAAGGGGATCATCACACTCTGGGGACTGTTGTGGGGTGGGGGGAGGGGGGAGGGGGGAGGGATAGCATTAGGAGATATACCTAATGCTAAATGACGAGTTAAAGGGTGCAGCACACCAGCTTGGCACATGTATACATATGTAACTAACCTGCACATTGTGCACATGTACCCTAAAACTTAAAGTATAATAATAACAAAAAAATAAAAATAAATAAAAAAACTTGAAACTAATAGCACAATTCTTAAAAGGAAAAATAAACTAGACTTCATCAAAATTAGAAAATGAGAAGACAAGTTACAGATTTAGAGAAAGTTTGTCAATCACATATATGACAAGAACCAATGTCTAGAATATGTAAACAAACCTTAATATTCATCAATAAGAAAACAAACAATCCAATTAGAAAATCAGCAAAAGACATAAACAGAAATTTCACTGAAAGGGATATATAGATGGCAAATAAGCACATGAAAAGATATTTAATATCATTAGCCATGAGGGAAGTGCAACTTGAACCATAATGAGATATTACTTTATACCTCTTAAAATAGCCAAAATTAAAAATAGTGTCAATATCAGATGCTGGTGAGGATGTAGAGAAACTGGATTACTTGTACAGTGTTGATGAGAATGTAAAATGGTACAACCACTCTGGAAAACAGTTAGCAGTTTCTTACAAAACTGAACATACAACTCCCATACAACCCAGAAATTGCATTCCTGGGCATTTATCCCAGAAAAATGAAAGCTTAGGTTTGCACCAAAATCTGCACCTGAGTGTTCATAGCAGCTTTATTTATAAGAGCTAAAAACTGGAAACAAGAAGATATCCTTCAACAAGTGAATGAGTAAACAGTGATATATCAATAGCATGGAATACCACTCAGCATAACTCCCCCATTTTCTGCATACAGACCAACAGCTGAACTCCATCGCTGTAAATGATAGGATGAAACAGCTTCAAAAAACAGTACATTTGGAGAAGATGGCATTCTAGCATCTACCCAGGGAAAGCCATGCTAAAGCAACTGCAGATGGAGCTCCCTGCCTTTCCAAGTGTTGCAGACCACTGTAAAACGTGACATTCAGGTGAATTCCTGATTTTTTTTTCCTTAAGTGGCCCATTCATTCAATAAATATTTATAATATCATGCACTGTTCCAGGTGCTGAAATATAGCAGTAATCAAATAGCCAAGAATCCCTGCCTTACTGGGAGTTACAATCTAACGATGGTAAACACATCCTCAGAATGTCACTATGAATGTTTCAAAATATCATTTTTTTTACTCTTGTTGATGAAAGGGCAGATTTTGATTCAAATCCCACTTACGTCATAAAGGTCAAGGACTTTAAGCTCTTCTTACCTGTTGTACCAAAATATCTCCAATTCGGTCGATCACAAAATTCCTGTCGCTGCCAGCACAGGATTCCTGCCTTCGTTCCTTCATACTGTAGAAGAAATGCCTGTGGATTTCAAGCAACTCATCTAAACAGGGGAAAATTTTATCCACGGTGCTGTGGTCCAGCTGCAGCTCCTCTTTCATGCCTTTCCTGAAGATCTCAGACATGATGAACAGGGTCTGGATGTGATGCATCTCTGTTTGCATTAGCTCTGAAATGTGTGAGCACACATAAGCCTTAAACAAGCTTTAAAAAGCAAGTTTCGCTATTAAACTAAATTAGTAACTCAACACTATATGTTACGCAAATAAAAAAGAAATGTTTAGGAATATCAAGAATATTCCAATATAAAAGTCAACATTAAACATTTCATTCACTCTAAAATATTAAACCATTTTCTTTTATCCAGATATTAAAGAGGACATATATGTCAAGTCCAATATACAAGAATCTAACGTATCTGAAACTCAATAATATAACTAGCTAGCATCTTTAGATACCTTCAGCTAGGAACTAGGTCTTATTCCACCCTGAATGCCCTATGAAATACAACTTAGTTTGTTGGCTTTCTTTCTTCCTTTCTTTATTTGATTTTTGCATTGAGCAGGAGCACAATTAATTTGGTGAAATGAATGGAACTAAAGAAAGTTCTTCAATGCAGATAACCATAGGTCCTTTCTATGGCAGAATCTGTCTCCAAAATTCCACTTTCTCCAGAGGAAAACAATGCATCACAATCAATCAAAGGACATCATCAAGAAAGTGAAAAGAAAACGCACAGAATGGGAGAAAATATTTGTAAATAATTTATCTGATAAGGAACTTGTATCTAGTATATTTTTAAAAATCTTATAACTCAACAATATAAATAAATAAATAACCAATTCAAAAATGGTCAAAGGATTTGAACAGATGTTTCTCCAAAAGGATATACAAATGGCCAATAAGAACATGAAAAGATGCTCAACTCCATTAGCTATTGGGGAAATGAAAATCAAAACCAAAATGACACATCACTTCACACATATTAGGCTAGTTATAATAAAAAAGCAACAAACAGGTATTGGTGAGGATGTGGAGAAACTGGAACCCTCATACATTGCTGGTGGGAATGCAAAATGGTATAGCTGCTTTGGAAAACAGTCTGGCAGTTTCTCAAGTGATTAAACGTAAAGCTACTACTCTATGACCCCAAAAGTGGAAAAACCCAAAATGTCCATCAATTGATGATTAGGAAAACAAAATAGGATATTCATCATCCATAAAAAGGAATGGTGTACCCATACATATTACAACTAGGATGAACCTTAAAAACAGTATGCTAGGTGACAAAAGCCAGCCGCAAAAGACCACATATTGTACTATTCACATAAAATGTCTAGAATAGACAAATCTGTAGAGACAGAAAGTAGACTAGTGTTTGCCAGAGGCTGGCGGAAGGGGTAAATGGGGAGTGACTAGTAACATGTACAGGATTTTTGAAGTGATGAAGATGTTCTGAAATTAGACAGGACCTGATGGCTACACAACTTCGTGAATATACTAAAAACTACTAGATTGTGTACTTGTAAAGGAGTGAATTTTGAGCAGGTGAATTATACCTCAATTTTTAAAACGCATCAGGAGAGAAAATAACAACTCACAATTTACAGGTGCACCAAACGTACTAGTTGTACATTAATGAGTATTTCCAAACTTACCGCAAGTTTTGGGAAAGAACCTTAAATATCAGCCATGGAGAGTCAGCAAGTCTAAATATAGCTTTAATATTTTGTCAAAAATAAAAATTTCTTTAATTGGAAATCTACCAACTTTGAATTATTATTTCCTATGTTTTTAGTGCCTACTCTATGCTAAGCACTTACCTGTATCATTTCATTTAATCTTTTAACCCATTAATACATTATGACCCAGAAAATAGGAATGATTTTCCTTATCTTTTAAAGAGAAACAGTGAGGAAGAGAAGGTAAAGAATTTGCCCTGGAATGCAAGCCTTTCTGACACAAAAGACCATGTAATAATTCAACCCAATGGGTTAGAATACTTTTAATAATATGAAATTGAGAATTGAGAGGTAGATGAAGAAAATTGACAGTAGAATATAAATTGCTTAAGAAATACTAAGAGGGACAGCATCTTCCTTTCCAAAGTAACTTGCACCTACACAGCTTTTGACAGAGTTCTAAGCACACTCATACACCATCTCATCTGATGTCCATAACCACCACCTGATGCAGATGACAAGGTATCCTCACTGCCCGTGGACTTTGGGGCCCATGTTTGCATACACAGGATTAGTGAAAAGACCCAGTGTTATCTTTAAAGTAGGGTATCTTTGGAACCACATTTTGGAATCTACTTTGTAGTTGAAATTTTTTGAAGTTTCATTTTTTCCAAGTCTATAATTTAACTTTCTCCAATCCAGAATGCCTTCATCCCAAATAGCATGACAAAATACAATCTCACCACAGCTGAATTCTGTACTCAGGATGGCAGCACGTAGTCAAACCCTGCCCTAACCCAGGTGCAGCTACTCACACTGCACCTGGTCTCTGTGAATGGCTGGTGTATGCAGCCAAACTGGAAGGCCATATGCAATAGCCCTACATTAAAATATGTGAAGGTTCACTGCAATTCTTACACAGAAGAGGTAAGAGTATAGGCCAAACCTAAGTAAACTTGAAAGGAATATGGGAAATAACATTTGCTCTGTGCCAGGTACATATTATGCCTCATTGCAGTCTCAAAACAATATTTAAAACCTGAGTATTATTAGGTTATTGCAAAACCGATTGTGGTTTTTGCTATTACTTTTAATATTATCCTCATTTTACAGATGGAGAAACTAAGGTCTAGGTGATCTAAATAATTTGTCTGCGATCAGGTAAATAGAAAATGATAGAACTGGGATTTTACCCAACTCTGCACAGTTGCAAATTCCATGTTCTTTTCTCTGAACCGCACTGCTTCAACCCAAAGAGCATATTTGAAACGCTTACCAAAAATGACATCCTGTCTTTTGATGACATCCTTCTCCTGCCTATTACAAAATGAGGGATCCACCACAAGACTCCAAGATTCTGCTTCAAACTCCTGGGCATCACTGCTGAGGTCACTCCACAGAGAAGAATCCACAACATCTAATGTGTGTTTAGAAAAGAAAAGCCAGAAGTACAATAATGCAGCACAAATATACCTTCGTATATTTGTCTATGGATTCCTCACCCTAAATAAATCTGCTATGAACATGGAAACTACTAAACCAAAACATATTAACATGGAGTGAAACATCTGTTTTTTTTTGAGACAGTTTCTCTCTGTCGCCCAGGCTGGAGTGCAATGGCGCGATCTCGTCTCACTGCAACCTCCGCCTCCCGGGTTCAAGCAATTCTCCTGCCTCAGCCTCCCAAGTAGCAAGAATTACAGGCATGTGCCACCACACCTAGCTTAGTTTTTATATTTTTGGTAGAGATGGGGTTTCACCATGTTGGCCAGGCTGGTCTTGAACTCCTGACCTCAAGTGATCCACCCGCCTCAGCCTCCCAAAGTGCTGGGATTACAGGCCTGAGCCACCGTGCCCAGCCAGACTGAAACATCTTAAAACTGGACTGATGAAATGGTCCAAATTAAGACAGCTTTCATGACAGCAAAGAATCAAATATTTAAAAAGAGTGTTCATATGGAGGAAAAAAGACATTTGAAGATTCTTTTGCTTGTTTTGGCCTGCTCTATTTTAGTTTTATTTTTGGTAACCTACAGAGTCCATAATGTGTCTACAGAATCTGGAACACACCAATTTCTTCTGCCCCGCGTTATTTTGTACTGTTTACTAAAATCTGAATTATGTACTCATCCATTTGATTTGCCCTTGACTTGCTAAGACACAAAGCAGCGTCTAAGTACTTGAGTCACAAATGAGTGCAGATTTTTCTGATGAAATTACAAACAAACCACACATACATACATGCCCTTCCCCACCCCCCTCCACCCCACACACACACTCCTCAGGAAAACTAAACCCTATTTACCCAAATGGCACTCATTAGAGAGGTTCCAGCTCAAAGCAGTACAAATGAGATGACAATGAATTTAAAGACTTAAGATTAAAATAAAACAGGTTCCTGGGGCAGAATCCACTCCTCTCTTTTGTCACTACTCTCCTTCCATTTGGTTTTCCTTCTTACTGGTGCTGCTTGTATACAAAAACTAATTCCCTAGATTAAGTCCTGCTCTATAAAATATGCTTTAAAAAATGCTTTAATGGCTGGGCACAGTGGCTCATGCCTGTAATCCCGGCACTTTGGGAGGCCGAGGCAGTTGGATCACCTGAGGTCAGGAGTTCAAGACCAGCCTGGCCAATGTGGTGAAACCCCATCTCTACGAACAATACAAAAATTAGCTGGGGGTGGTGATGCGCACCTGTACTCCTAGCTACTTGGGAGGCTGTGGCAGGAGAATCGCTTGAACCTGGGAGCTCGAGGTTGCAATGAGCCGAGATCATACCACTGCACTCCAGCCTGGGCAACAGAGTGAGACTCCATCACAAAACAAAATGTTTTTATTCCCCTAGGAGGCAACAGATGGGGTAAGTATCTCAGAGATCCAAAGAAGACCAGTCTTAACTAACTAAAGTATGTTTTTGATATAGGATCCTATTATAATTCATCAATAGCTATAAAACATTTTTAATAATAAGCACACAATATATTTCATTCATTTCTCTTCGTTATGCTTGTGACATTCTTTTAGTAATATGTCTATTTAAAATTTACGTCATATTTCCTTGGTCACTCTCTGGTTTTCTCCTCTGGGGCTAAATTTTCATTCGTTTAAAAAGTAGAACCTATACCAAAGAGACACCCTGAAACAGACTTCTTTGAAAAAGAAAAAAAAAATGCTTCAATCTTATTTCCTTCAGACAGTGTCATTTTGGCAAATGCTAACAAAAACACAAATAAATGGAAGTGTGTCTTCTCCTCACCTTCCATTATGAAAGACTCTGTAGAGGGAGAAGAGCCCATGGACTGTAGCAGCTCATCAGAATGAGACCTGCTTCTGCAGCTGTTATGGTCACTCTCAGACTCCAAGGATGTGGCTGACCTCCTGAAGCTAGGAGAGAGGGAGGGGAGCAAAGTTAGCCCCAGAAGCTCTCTGAGCCATTAATATGTAAAAACACACTCAGCCTTACCTTTCCAAGGTGGTGCCTGGAACACTTCTGGACAATGGATGGACCTGTCCCACAGTCTCCCTCCTTCCAGTCGGCAATCCAACAGGCACGGAGGAAGAAGGGTGCAAGGAGAGACCAGGCTGTGGGATGTCTCTAAATGAAGAATCTGGAAATCAGAACAGATGCTTCATGTGGTTTCCAGGTCAGTAATTACAAGTAAAAGTAGTCACTTAAAAGCCAGAAAGCTAAACCCTGCAATGACTACTTGTAATCTGATGCATGCTCTGCCTTAAAACCAGTCTCCCTGCTAGATCCTGACACTTGCTCCTAGTGTCCCTTTCATTTTACACCCTCCTGACACCCATGCTGCAGGCCTGCTTCCGCATCTCCACTTGGAGACTGTGGGTGTTTGGGATTGCACAAACAAACAAGACAATGGAATGGGGAAATACTGCGCCAGGTTTCCCATAAATCACTGCTTGTACTCCTTACAGCCAGCTTTAAATAGTTGCAAGGTGTTATTAGTACTGTTACTGAATGCATATTGTGTGTATAAACAAGCATCCACACACAGAGAACACGTCAATGGAATGGAATGATGCTGGAGAGCCTATTCTTCATGGTATAAGGATCTCAGGCAAATGAAGCCTGCAAGCCAAGCTGGGCTATTCTCTCTCACACATGGAAAACTAAATAGGGCTTCTGTGTTTTTCTGGTCAGTTCTAAAATATTCTGGGCACAGATGCATTTACATTTGATGTGTACTATAAATGACTCAGAAGACATTTCGGTCCCATATTATAGCTGTGTAGCATATACATTCTCAAGCAAAAGGAAGATCCCAGACATTACAAAGCATTTTACACGTGCATAAGTTAAATTTGTTCTTATGACTCCCATGTGAAGAGGAGTAATATGTGGTATTTCATCAATTCTAAGATACTATTTATTTTCACATTTAACCCTATGAAAATGAGAAGCCCCTTATAACTGACATCATCAAAGAGACTTTTGGGGTCAAGGCAAGAGAGTGATGTGACAGTTGTTACTACCTGCACCAACTTAACCTAATATAACATTACACCCAATAGCATGTTGCCACAAATTTGCATGCATAATTGTCCCGATTAAAGTGGTTTTAAAATATCAGTCACACTTTGTTACATGGAAATGAAAAGTTACCATGCACTTAAAATTCCTGCCACATGTCAAGCAACACAACTTTAGGCAGAAGGCGTCACAAAATCTCTCACAATAAAGCAAGAGATTTTCAAATTTAGGAGACATTGGCGTGATTGGTTCTTGTATGCAATGTAAAGAACTGTCAGAGGGCACCAATTATTTTAAAGAGAAACTGCTTAAATTTCAGCAATATACACTTCAGGAAAAACAGAGCCACCAAATTTTAAAATATGCAAACCAAACTCCAGTATGCCTTGAAATTTCACGGTCATTCTAAAGGAGCTAATGAGATCACAGCCTCAAGCACAGCTAATTAAACACCAGGTAATTATAATAATGGACAACAGAAACTGATAAGAATCTACAGACTCCAAATTTGAAGACTTTTTCCATCAAACATGGCGATTCTTAAGAAGAATGTGGTGTGTATCTGTATAGACAAATATATTACTGCAATATTGCTATACTACGCTACTGCTAGGAAAACAAAGTAAGGTACATTTCATGTAGTATTTCTCTTTTCCTTGAAGGATTATTAATACATCAGCAGAGCATATTCCACTAGACAGCATCTTAGAATTGAAGCAACACGTTAATACCTTCTCCTTATAGCCCTCTCTAATATAAAAGATCATATGGTACACACAACACAAAAGTTCTTAGGTTGACCTAGAAGTTGATAGCCTTCTTGACGACTTTATAGAACTAAAAATCATGCCAAGCATATGTTATGAAAGAAGAAATAACTGGATAAATGAGAAAACAAAAGGAGATATTTTTATAATGGAAAAATGTATAGTATGTATTAAATTTTTAAAAGTTCTTGTCGTTTTCTACATCACTTACTTCCAAGGATGGTCTGTGGTTTGTTCTTGTTATATTTCTCTTGGAATTTCTGGTAAAGAATATTAGAAACACATAAAGTAAGATCAAAGTATCATTAGACTATAAGAATATCCACATAGTTACACAGAACAGAATTCTTATCTATATCATTTTTGTTATTTTATTTCCAAGAGGAATTCAAAGCAAAAGACATTAAATGCAATGAAGAGTCAAATGTGACAATAAAATGTGCAAGTTATAATGAAGGGGCCTTGTGAACATGCGCCTCCTGAACACTCCTGGCTTCATTAAAAGCCTCAGGGGAACAGAAACCAGAGGTCTCCAGCTCATGTGTCCAGACCCAGGCTGAAAGTTCCTATCAATGCTGCCTTTCTCCTTCTTGTTTCTTTCTACCTCCTGCTATCCCTCCTGACTATAGGAGACAACCACCTGTAGCACTGAAATGTCACCTTCAAAACAGCCCTCAACTCTGTGATCTGACGCAATATGTGTTCCTATTGACACAGAGGTTTGCAACTGCAAATTTCCCCCTGAAGGATCATCATGTTCACTCACATGCATCTGTGACATGACTACTGAGTGGAAAAGAAAGGAATAGAATCACAGACACCTTCATCTACTCCAGCCCATTCCCAACTACAGAGAACATTCTTCTAGTCCAGTGGTTCTCAAACTGAGGTCTCAGGACCAGCAGCAATATCATCACCTGCAAACTTGTTAGAAATGCACATTCTCAGGCCCTACCTCAGATCTATGGAATCAGAAATTCTGGAATTGGGGCCCAGAAATCTGTGTAGTCACAGGTCTTCCAGTGACTGTGAGGCTTGCAGACATTTGTGACTTACTACTCTGATCTTCATTTGCAGGTACCCAGGGCTTGCACTGGTAAACCAAGCAGGTCTCAACAGAAAGCCTAACCTAGCCACAGCATATAACACAAATATCTGGACTTGAGCTTTCCTTCTATTTCTAACAGTGTACAGTTAAGCAAATAACTATACACTTTGAGCATATGTTATGTTATCGCTATCATGATCGCTTTAGAAATAAATCTAGATGGTAATAAAAAAGAGTAAAAGCTCAAATAGATACTATGAAGCAACCATGCCACATATATATTCACAGATCACTGAGCAATTACCTTGGTGCATGCAGGCGCAGCATCTTTACAACCTTTGTGCACATTTGCATTACAGTCTGAAATAAAGGGAAAAGATACAAAAGCATCCATCTTACTTAATTAGTCTGAAATTAATAAGACTACATCATGCTTTCACTGGTCATTATAAAAAAACACATAAACATTACAAATATCTGGAAAACTAAAGAAGGAAAGACAAATATTTAAATCACATGTATCCTCACCACTCAAGCACAAGCAGAATGCTATTATTTTAATCTCTTTGGAGATATTTCTCCCCTTATACACAGGATCTTATCAATTACTAAATCTGAAGTTATGAATGATATACACTTCTGCAATGCTTCTGTGTCTCCCTGAGAACTCACTTCCTATTACATGCATTACATTGCATGGGATTTCTGACACCTGGCTGGTAGTAACTCCCCACTCCCACACTGGGTAAAATGCCTACCACAACCAGAAGAAAGAAAACAAACTCTTAACAATGCTGAAAAAAATGTATTGTGAGGTCTTGGCAAGAATTCCTACTAACCACAAGTTTCAGGTAGTCTAATTAAATGAGAAATGTTAGCCCTGTGCCCATTGTTTTATATCATAAACAATGGGCACATGTCATAAAACAATGTCATCTCACTGGAAGAATGTAAGGGAATACTTTCCCTGCCCCTTTCTGCCCATGAACACAGACACTGAGGCTGTCCTCATGGAAAGCTGCACTATGTGGGCACTGGTTGCTGCCAAGCTGTTGTCTTTGGGTCCTTTCCCCTCCCACCTGTACATCACCATCCCACACACACTGTAGCATAGACCGAGGAGCCTGGGTGCATCAGAAATGTATGCAGAATGAATCCTTCTGTGGGAGTGGAAGATCCCATGTTGGTCCATCAAAGCCACACTGCATAAATGCCAGTGACCCAACAAGAACTGGGCAGGAAGCTGCGCCCTACAACTGTCCTCAGGCTGCAGGTCTGAAGAGGCATTTCAGTCAACACGCCAGTGGCCAGCAAGCAGGGCCCAAGGCTAATCTATGCATTGGCCCGGCTGATAAGCATCAGATTCAGACAGCCCTCTCCTCATTGCAGAGTGAGTAAATAATAGGGAAAATGTAGATACCCTAAGATACCACAGAACAAAGTTACACCAACAACCCACCAGAAGAAGCAACCACTGAATACTAGATCCAGAAATAGGAAAGAAACTTTAGATACTTGAAAATTGTTCTTGATAAGAGACAGAAGACGGGGGCCTCAGTAAAATAGAATGAAAGTGCATGGAGGGAGAATAGGATGTGAGACTTGGCCTGCAGGAGGAGAGGAAAATGGAGCTTCATGAGACAGGCAAGGACCGCAAGGAAGGAAAAGAGACAATGAGAAGAATCTGTGTGGCACAGACATCAAAGCCGAGCTATGAAATTACACTTGAAAGACTCCCTCCAGAATATGGAGAAGAGGAAGCGTATAATTATAAAATAGATGTCATACAACGAACATAGATAGCAGAAATCATACTTACCCAAGGAAGAGATCAGAAAAATTAGATCAGAAGCAGTGACAGTCAAAGCCACCATAGACAAGAATTCTATAAAGCTGAAAAAGCGCCCAAAAGGACACATCAAAAGTTCTCACTGTTTCCTAAGAAAAATAATTAAATGACACCTACTCTATAGACATATTCTCATAATATCCATATGATTAAAAAATGAAAAGTCCTCAAGCATAAGGCAGAAGACAAGGGTTATCAACAAAGGAATAGGGTCAGGTTGGCCCTAGACTTTTCCACTTTAATAATAAATGCTCACATCTGTTGCAGCAATGTTGGCAAAGCAATGAAGGGAAAAGACTTTGGTCCAAGAATTTATTTAACTAAGTTGTTTTTCTTGTGTGAAAAAAAAAAATAGGTCCCTTGGTACATGAAGTTTCAGATCAACAGATCACTCCTATTTTAGCCTTTTGAGGACAGAATCAAAATTAGGAGTTCAAGAAGGATTCACTGTAGTTTTTTTTTTTTTTAAAGAAACAAAAGTGAGCAGTAAAACAAGCTAAACAAAGAACCACATCTAAAAAACTGTAGGTAGAGATAGAGCTGAATAAAAGTGTCAACTTTTTTTTGAAATAGAAAATTATACTTGAAAGATTAAACATAATAATCTTAGGAAAAGAATAATAATTAATTCAGTGTATTAACAGAGGCTGGGCCGGGGGAGAGTAAACATAAGGGAAATAAAAAGATATTAAATTATTAGCCTTCCACAGCCTTAAAGCTACTATTAGTTGACATTAAAAGAGAGTATCTTGCCAAATCCCTGGAGAAGACAAAAGCAAACAACACATGGTCTAAATAGCTAAACTAGACATCAAGGAAAAGAGCAAGGACCTATAAAAGATATGTTGGTAGCAGTAAAATTAAATGTAAAATGTTAAAAACCCTGTTATAAAACAACATCCTTCAGCTACATTACAGATTACTTCTAGCTAAATTAAAGACATGCACCTCAAATCGAAAACACAAAAATAGTTGAAAGAAATACAAACAAATGGAAAGCAGGAGGAGTATTAAGTTTAGACAAAGTAAAACTAAATGCAAAAGGCATCTAATGAAGTTAAAAGGATAATTTTATGTTGATTAAGGTTAAATCTGCAATGAAGGTATGATATATAAATTTATGTGTAACAGATAATGTAACATCAACATAATAGCCAAGAAACTTATTTATAAGCAAGGGTAATTTTATAGAAATATAATTTTGTGGAAAATTAGCAACTCAGGCTTTAACAAGAAGAAAATTACCCAAGAATTTTGAATACTTACACAATACTATGTGTTGTTTTATATCATATCTTGTTTTTAAGATTAGGAATATTAACCTTCACAATTAAAAACAAAAATGCACCCATGGAAAAAGATTATTTAACCAAAACAGCAGAGACTGTATGTATCATATTGGTATTGCTCCATGTAAAAACCTTAATATGAATAAGCAAAGTTTAAACCACCCTCTCCCCCCGCCAAAAAGTAACTGTAAATTTTGAAATTACTTCTAAAAAAAGTTGTGGGTAAAAGAGGAAATCAAATACACACTTTGACCTACTCATACTGATTCTAGAATTTAATCTTAGGCAATCACCAAATATGTGGACAATGATATGTGCAAAGGAATGCTCATTGCCAAATTATTTGTTTAAAAAATTAGGAAAAAATTAAATGTTCAAAAACAAATAGTTAAATACATTTGATGTCAGCATCAAATGAAACAGCATTAAAATCTCACATATAGCTGGGTGTTGTGGCATGTGCCTATAGTCCCAGCGACTCAGGAGGCTGAGGCAGGAGAATCGCTTGAGCCTGGGAGGCGGTGGTTGCAGTAAGCTGAGATTGCACCACTGGACTCCAGCCTGGGCAACAGAGCAAGGCTCCCATAGTTTTTTATGGTTATAAGGAACTCCATTAAAATATTAATAGTCTTTTTCTCTAAGTGGTAATATTATAAAAAGTTTCTGCTTAAACCTTATAACTTCTATAAATACTATTCCTTTTTTAAGAAATGACTGTTTTTAAAGCTAAATGTATCCTAGATATTTTCAGCAATTTCCATCACATCCACTCAACTCAATGAACCAACATATTCTTTACTACAAAAGTTTCCCTTTCAGTGAGCCCTGGCTCCCTAGGCTTTACTGGTCGCCAGCTCTGCATGAGTGACTCGGGACCTACACGGGAGTCATCGTGTGATTAGGGCCCTAAAATAACTTTGTTTCTTTTAATAGTTAAAACTCAAGGAGACTGTAAATAATCCAATTTTAAATGGATATGAAAGTGATAGGCAGGAGTTTGGACCACAGTGGTCAGGGAAGACCTCCAAAGAGCAGGTAAAAAACCAGGATCTATGCAGAGGAGTGGGGGAAACTGAGAGGAAGGAGATGATCACAGGCAAAATAGCAGAGGCAGGAAATCACACGCAGTGGGAGGAAAGGGCAACGGAACTGGTGGGGCCTCAGACTGTAAACTGAGGCTGAAGGGGGGCCTAGGGGTCTAATGAGCAGTTCCAGATGAGGGAACCAAATGCCCATGGGAAGAGCTTGGACTTAGCCCAGTAAACACAAGAGAGGTCCTTAAGTTTATGTGGGCTGATGAAAGTGGTGTTTTACAAAGATTACTGTGGGAAAAGTACTGATCATAACTTGTAGATGAACATACCTGGAAAGGAAGAAACTAGCACAATTCCCTCCCAGTATTCTAGAAGGCGGTGATGAGAATCTCCCAGAGTGGCAACAGTGAGAAGGGAAAGAAAAGAGTGACTGAGTGACATTGACAGGAGGGACAAGAGGGCAGTGGAATTAAAGCAGCCAGGGTTGAAGCTTGTGATGCCAGGCCAAGTATGTCCTGCTGGGCGTGGACTTTGAGGTCGGTTTTAGACACACTGGGTTTCGAAGACGATGAAATCTCTGAGTGATGATTCCCACATATGGTCTCCCTACGAGCCCCTGTGCCTGCCACAGTCTTAGTTTATACCTGTAGTTTTTACCATAATTCTCCAAAGTGGCCATAAATTACATGGGTACTCAGCCTCTGGGCAACTGAATATGGAAATACAAAGCGAGGAAAGAAGATATTAATACAGGAGTAACGGGTCTAAATATGATATTTTGGACATAAGATTGGATGACTATACTTAGAAACAATCAAGGAAAAATGAACAAGTGCCCAAGAACTAATTTCTGCGCGTACCCAGTATTAGGGAAAAGGAGACAACCCAGATGGTAAAACAGAAGAGTAGTGTGCCACGGAAAAGAAGGAAACATCCCTGAAAGGAGAGATGTCGACCTGGAAACAGGAAACCAGTGAGTCTGAACAATGAGGAAAGACTCAGACTTGACTAGAAAGTGACTCTCAGTTTCCATCAAAAGCAGAACTTCTGTTAAGCAGTATGCACAGAGGTCAAAATGCAGATGGTTAATGAAGAAATGGCAGAGACAGGCTTAAAAGCAGTGGGTGAAGATTACCCAACTTGAGTCTGTCTTAAAACAGGGGAGGGAAAGGTCTTGGGTGTGGCCAGGGATGCATC